>NC_000005.10:6260000-7510000 GCF_000001405.40 Homo sapiens | reverse complement strand
TTCAGAAAAGGTAACCAAACTGTCCGTTTGCATCACCAAATAATACCTCTTATTCAATACCTGACCATCTTAAGTAGAATGCCATCTTTCTTACAGTGAAAAGCATAATTGGAAATTCTTGGAAATTCACTTTACACTACTTAATAAAACCTTTTATGATCATAATTAAAAATAAAAGCTCAGGAACATGTTGATGACTAGATTGTATAAAAGATTTTATCTTTCCCATACAGTTACCTTAGGCTTAGAATATCAACTCTATAGAATGTGAAAATATTTCTTTAAATGTTATATTATTAAGCAAAAGAATACATATTATGTTCTTTGATGGAAAGCCAGGGCTTCAAAAGAGTAACGATCAAATCATGAATCACTGGGTAGCTTTCATTCTTCTTCTGAAAATGTTATTCAGAGTTAGAGAGATTGATGATGGAATCAGAGGTAAAACAATAACTTTCACTGTGCTTTTTAAAATTTAAAATAGGTAGGAGGTATGTCATGCATTTTAAAAAGCTTGAGAAAAAGAATAGTAGGATATAACATTAAAAAAAATGGGTGTCCTGAGGGAATACAGACGGCTGACTGTCTTCTCCAGCTCTTCATCTGTTCTGAACCCTCAGCCTCTACGCTGTGCGAAAGGACGGTGGCTGTGGATTCTGACCCCATTTCTCCTCCTCTTCTCCTAATCCTGATTCCTTCTTTTGCTGTGAATATCCATATACCATATGTGTCATCTTCCCTCTCCATTCACCATGCATGCATTCATTTATTCACCAGTACTGGTTTTAACTCTACAATATACATGCATTTTCTTAGCTATTAGAGATAGCACAAGCTCCCTGCTCTTAAGAGCTCTGAAGTCTTCCAGAGTGAAGCCCTATTTCCAAACTTGTCCACTGATTTCCCAAACCTTCTTTTTTTCCCTAACACAAACATTATTAACTTCAGGATCTCTCTGAAAGCCTAATTTGTTTAGTTAAAGTCTGCAAACTTTCTACCAATAATTAACAAATGACTGTCTTATGACTGAATGTGGGCTATCATCTCCATCTTCGTAGTTAAAGCAAACTCTGTTCCTTGGGCCTGGAATCATAGTGCACCATTCCCACATAGTACTCCTGTGTCCCCCAGTACCTATTCAGATTGTGAAAGACTTCTTTTGGAGGGGGTTTTCTTGGCCAACATGAGGACGAAAACACAATGCCCCTTCCTTGCATTTTCCTCGGTTTCCTAATGTAGAAGATGTGGTGGAATGCCTGATCAGACCACAGTTCCTTCTCCTTCCTCACCCGGCCATGGAAGCCGGCAGGTGAAGTGTGCTCCCCACCCACCTGGGCATGGACCTGGCTGTGTGACTCACATTGAGTAATAGAATATGGGTGGCAACAACACCTTGCCAGTTCAGAACTGGGGCTTTTAGAAGCCTCAGTCCATATTTTTGCCAGCCCTCTTGGAGCTCTGGATTTCCACAATGAGACAGTTGTGGTCCAGAAAGTCACATCTCTTCAACTGAGTCCTGGGTTAAATACACATGGAGCAGATCTGGACCCAAACCAAATTCTGGAGTTCATCCTTCCTGCTGAGCTTGTGGAGAAGGCTAACACAGATCAGACAAACTCAGCCGACCTGAAGACGAGGGGGTGTGAAATATGAAATAAATTATATTGCAATAGCCACTGAGATTTGGGGCTTGTTATTCAGTATTATTTATCAGAGCAGAAACCTAACTAATAAAACTTTGGTCAGAAGTAAGATGTTACGGTAACACAAACCTAAAAATTGGTAATTATGCTCGTGACTGGCAAAGAAGGACTTAGGCAAAATGTTTACCCATTGGAAAAATAATTGGTAAACACAGCTTCTAAGGTAGCCATTTACCCATAATGTCCAGGCTTCCCAAGCTCTTTGAATTGTATGATAAAGTCTTTAGAAACATCAGAAGAAGAACTGAAAAAAGTGAAATATTACACAAATATCTCTCAGTATATAGAAAAAAAAAATTGTCAGCTTAAAATTATCTTTTGTCTACCTGAAAATATTTTATAAGCAGGCTTTATTGGCAAGTTTTTTTTTAATTTTACAATTGGGAAAAACAAGGTACTGAGGGGTTAAGTAGTCGCCTAAAGTCATAAGGCAACATAAAAAGAGGCCATGATCTGCTGAAGTCGAACATTATTCATACATAATCCCTGAAGGTTAATGGAACACCATGAGGTAAGCTCACTCAGTACACGGGGTATTCATGTTGTTCAAAATACACAGAACCTTGAGAATCCATCTGTCCTAACAAAAACACCTCGTTCCAACACCAGGAGGTCCTTTTCCTTAAAAATTACCTTTCTCATCAAATGCAAAGAAAGAAAGTTTATTTGGAAGCAACGAGGTAAAGCAATGTTTATCAGAAAGTGCCTCCTTCTTATTTTTCTAGTTACATAATTAGGAGAAAATAATGTACCTTGTAATGATTTTTTAATCATTTATTTCAGAAGGTAGTAAATAACTTTCTACCCTAGGTTTTTACAAAAGTGGCTTTGTTACCTTTTTTTTTTTTTTTTTTTTTGAGACGGAGTCTCGCTCTGTCGCCCAGGCTGGAGTGCAGTGGTATGATCTCGGCTCACTGCAAGCTCCGCCTCCCGGGTTCACGCCATTCTCCTGCCTCAGCCTCCCAAGTAGCTGGGACTACAGGCGCCCGCCACTACGCCCGGCTAATTTTTTGTATTTTTAGTAGAGACGGGGTTTCACCGTTTTAGCCGGGATGGTCTCGATCTCCTGACCTCGTGATCCGCCCGCCTCGGCCTCCCAAAGTGCTGGGATTACAGGCGTGAGCCACCGCGCCCGGCCTTTGTTACCATTTTTACCTCTCCCTGGCTCCCTTTCGATGTGCACTGGAAGAACACAAGCCCTCCCGCGTGTGAAGAAATCCCCACCTCTGTAACTTGGCGTGTAGACATCAGTCAAGAACAAGGCGGGTGGATCACGAGGTCAGGAGATCGAGACCATCCTGGCTAACACGGTGAAACCCCGTCTGTACTAAAAATACAAAAAATTAGCCGGGCATGGTGGCGGGTGCCCGTAGTCCCAGCTACTCAGGAGGCTGAGGCAGGAGAATGGCGTGAACCCGGGAGGCGGGGCTTGCAGTGAGCCGAGATTGTGCCACTGCACTCCAGCCTGGGTGACAGAGCAAAAAAAAAAAAAAAAAAAAAAAAAAAAAGAGCAACGCATCACACATTTACCCCTTTCTATCGCAAATATTCCAACTTCACTTTCATTAGTATTCAGATTCAAATTATACAATACACTGCCATTAAATCAAGGATTTATTCTAAGCCCACGTGTTCAAAGAGAAAGTTACAGCACTTAGGTAGCTAGTATTATAAAACAATACACTCGGACTTAGGAATTACTTAAATAGGAATACACTGACGATTCCATCAAAACAAATAATCAAATATCACAGTGCCCTGGCTTTTCTTAAACCATTTTTTTCTCGGGCAATGGTAACCATGGCCTTCATTTTTATTTATCTTTCTTTTTCTGTTCAAATGCCAGCTGTTTCATCCTACTGTTAAGGACTGGGGAGATAAGGGAATCTTTGCTGCTTGTTTATCCAGTATATAATAACATAAGTGTTGTATGTATGACGGCTTTTAACTTTTAAATCACTGGCCTATATATAAAAACATCTAAAAATAGTCTGCATATTTTATATGTAAAAACTAGTTATACATTTTTGAAGGTACATGATTTTTTAACTTCATATTTGGCATTCTTCCAACTGTTTACACACTTTGTTGAGTGTTTGGCACCATACTAGGCTGAATCTATGGCTAATAGACTATGCCATTGGCAAATACTACCTTATTTCTATGTATGTAAAGGAAAATAGTGATGCATGAAACAATTTGGAAAATAAGTGATCACGCCCTCAATAACAGGTTGGCTTTGTAGAAGAAATGATGTCCTGGAAAATTGCTTTGAATTGTACCATCTCAGAAGTGGGGAAAAAAAAAAGGTAAGGTCTTCATAAAAAAAAAAATAAAATGTTATATAAAAGGGCTTTTATTTATATTCACTGTTTTGGTCCTTATGAATATTCATGTCCATATTCTTTTGAAACATTAAATTTATTTAATCTGAAAGGCCAGCGCTTCAGATGAGAAAAGCTCATGCAGGGAAAATGAGTGAATTATTCATTTAAAAACAAATATTGTTTTGGGACTCCGTTTTATACTTGTGTATTCAACAAAGACATAAATCAGCATCTAGTGGAGCAGTGTATTGTAGAATGGGCTCTTACCACAATAAGACCCTCCAAGTTCTAAATGCCTTTGTTTGCTTTTCTCCTTACTGAAAGAGGACAATCTCAATAGGAAAGATGCATATCCGTGAGCTACGAACATGAATTATTTTAGCATCTGCGTTGGCTCAGTGGGGCTTTCTTGAATTACATAACATCTTCCTGCACAGTCCTCGGCTCCAACCCATCAGGGGGATGGTCGCCTGAAACCTTGTGCTCTCCCCTGTATGTTCGTGCAAACTGGGCCTCTAATGAGCAAGTCCACTGCCTGACAATAATTAAAGCACCACTGCCTACTGCACCAGCAGCTCCCTCGCATTTATATGGGACTCCATGATTTGCACGGGACGTGGTCTTTCTAAGCCTTATTTACACCCAGGATTAAGTTTCAGGTTTATAACACCCTTACGACATGACATGTACCATGCTATTTAAAACAATGAGATTCAATCACTGCTATCATGAAAACCAATAAAAACTACACACTTAACAGGCTTTGCATTACTTTAAAATCACTTCAGGCCAGGCACGGTGGCTCACACCTGTAATCCTAGCACTTTGGGAGGCCAAGGTAGAAGAATTGCTTGAGCCCAGGAGTTCGAGACCAGCCTGGGTAATATGATGGAACCTCATCTCTACAAAAACCACAAAAATTAGCCACAGAAAGGCATGGTGGTGTGCGCCTGTGGTCCCAGTTACTCGGGAGGCTGGGGTGGGAGGATCACTTGTGCCTGGGAGGCTGAGGCTGCAGTAAGCTGTGATGGTGCCACTGTACTCCATTCCAGCCTGGGTGACTAAATGAGAGCCTGTCTTAAAAAAATAAATAAACCCTCTCTTCCTCTGAATGCAGTAGTATACTTTAAAAAATAATAATAATAATAAGGCTGCAATTTTTGGTCAGGCATGGTGGCTCACACATGTAGTCCCAGCACTTTGAGAGGTACAGACAGGTGGATCTTTTGAGCCCAGGAGTTCAAGCCCAGCCTAGGAAACACAGTTAAACCCTGTCTCTGCAACCACCCAAGATCGCACCACTGCACTCCAGCCCAGGCAACAGAGCAAGACCCTGTCAAAAAAAAAAAAAAAGAAAGAAAAAAGAAAGAGAGAGAGAAAGAAAGAAATCACTTCAAAGATAAGAAAAAATGGTACTTCTTGCTGAACAGTGTTAATTTTAAGGTGATAATGACTTTACTATTACCTAAATATTAATAGGTGTATATAAATTCCTGCCTTCATAGGCGTTGTGTTCCAGAGTCCAACATTAACTAGAGAAATGGGAAAATTTCACACTGCGTATTTTCACAATTCTATCCCTTTTAAAAGGCAGATGTTGAAATAGACTCAGTTGGTTTTATCAAAAGGAATATTGTGTTCTAGATTCTGTAACATTTGATATTTGGGTTTGTGTTTGGATCCATTTTATTTTTATTTATTTATCTTTTTCTGGTTCATAAGGGATTTTGGCTCTGTCGTTTCACAAACAGGTTCTTCATTTAAGAGGTAGCCGTGAGCACACATTTAACCCATACCCGGAACAACATGAAGCTCTGGGAGTCAGAATGCCTTCGGCTGATATTATTTATGGAAGCCCACCAGATGTTTTTCTCAATCCCAGAAGCCAGGGCAGCTGAAATACCTCTTCACATAAGAATGCACCTACATCAGGAGCACAGCCAAAACCTCAGTGAAACATGCCTTTCACTGATTGCTTTCTGCGGTGGTAAACTCCCGCAAAGGACAAACCCAGGACAGTGAGCGGGTGTGTCTGCTGCTCTCGAAAAAGCCTGTGCTTTCCTGCATTCTGTTCTCTCTCCTTGAAATGCCACCCCTGCCTTCTTTTTAAAAAGTGGTTAAATGATGTTAAAGACTTGTCTTTGACTGTGGGTTGAACCAGGTGTCCATGCAATGTGCTCTTGTTGCGTGAGTGCCCACATGCACATTGGCGCTGATCTCTACTATCGAAACACTTTTCCATTTCACCACAGCTGCGTGGGCCATGCTTTCTTCCTCTCTATGTTAATAGTCATCGACACAGCTGACATAACTGTGCAACAGTCCTATGAGCTATTTAATGGATAAGGAAACAGAATCCAGAGGTGAAGCACCTTGTCCAGATCCCCCCAACGGCAGGCGGCAGCATGTGGGTCAAAACCTGGGAGTCTGGCAGCTTTCTTGTCCCTATGCTCAGCCTAAAACTCACATGCAGTTATTAAACTGACATGACTTTAAGATGAAGCCTGTCTTACTTAAAAAGTTCAAATATATTAATAATCATCTGAAAGAGTATGCAGAGGTAGGGGTGCGAGCGATTGGTTTCTCATTGTCACCTCTACTTATAAACATTCACCTCTGCATCTGTGGTGATGCACTTGAATGGCCAAGTATTTTAATACCTAATTCACTGCATACTTCTCAGGCACTTCTAAAATCTTGAGAGGAGAGTGTTAAGAACAATTAAAAGCACTTATATGAGACTGACATGAATTCATGGAAATCAAGGAACAAATACTCTGGGTAAAGATGAAGTCCAGTGAGATCAGACGTCATTTCATTTCTTCATTCATTAAACCACATTTATCAAGCACCTTCTGTGTGCCCAGCTCTGCATTCCACACTGGATACAAGGGGAGCAAAGGAAAGCGAATCTCAATCTCATGGAGCTGGGGCTGCAGTAGGCACCAGACAAACAGCTCCGACAAAGGCACAGGAGTTGCAGATTATCCGCAGGGAGTGCCACAGGAACTCAGAAGGACAACAGTTTTATCATATCAATACCATATCAATACAACTGCCTCAGGAAGAACTTTCTAGGGAGAGGCACGATGCCTGCAAAGCATCGTGCTAGAGATTCTTCACATGAAACGATTTTGCTCTACTGACATCCAAGGACACTGGGTGATTTTACTAGTGTCAAGCACAGTATTGGGAAAAGCTAGATGAGTATCAGGGTCATTCACACTTCTCCTGAAAAGCTTCAAAGGAGCTGCTAGAAAAATGTGTGGGCAAATTATCCTGGAAGAGAAATGTAAAACCATGAATTCACAGAACACGAGCATTCCACTAACTAGTCTCTAATGAACACATATTTGAATGACCCCAAAACTTAATTTCCTTTTTCCTTAAGCCCATCTCTTTCTCTTGGTATCATCGGCCATCAGGGCCAAGAGATCAGCCCGGAAGCACAGAAGAGGGCCTTGTGATGCTGAGGAAAGTGGCAGCCTGAAGCCTGCCTCTCTGTCCTGGTCCACGGTGGGAGTAAGAGGTGGCTTCAAGGTGAGGAAGGCAGTGTGAGATGATGGATGCCTTCTCCACTCTCTGGACTGGAGGGGTTTGGTCATCACTGGCTGACGAAAGTGTCCATAGCAGGGGCTGCTCCCTGGCCTCATATGTGGGGCTCGGTGGGGAACAGCCTCTAATGCTGCCCTGCCTTAATCTGGGGACTGCCACCAAGTAAATAGCATAGTGTGCTTAGGCAGAGGGAGGGCAGAGTCCCACTTGCATTTGGTGTGTGTGGTTTTCATCAGGGATCACATCCTTTTTTCTCACCATTGTTGCTGTCTTTGAAGAAGTGTGGTTGTAAACACTGCTCTGTAATCACAAGGCACACATCAGGACCAGAGAGTGGCTTTTAATTCATCCACCAGCCTAGTTCCTTCTCCAGGGTACAGCGTGGTTGTGTCTGGTTTCCTTCCCAGGTAGATCAGCCATGTTGAAAGTCTCCCATTGATCGTGAATAGTATTTCCCCAGCTTAGGAAAGAGACTCTCTGCGTCTGGATGAAGGAACCATTTAGTGTGATGCCCGGGTGTTGAAATGACGAGAGTGTGGGTCCTCCTGTTAGTGGACCTAGCCTGAGGGCAGGAGGAGGAAGCAAATAATCCACTGATCCTGCAGGCTCCCTGCCTGGTGGACGCCCCTTGGACTTCCAGGCCAACCAAGGCTGAAGGTGGACTCAAGGCCAAGTGAGCCCTCTCTCTTCAAAAGTCCCCACTCACTTCCCCCTGCAACATTCTTTTTCCTTTGTAACATAACTTGAAGTTACTGGCGGGGGGGGGGGGAGGGGGGAATCTCATTCTTTTTTGATGGGATATGAGGAAACATCTAATCCTATGTCATTATCATTCCTCATGGTCTCTCATCCACTGAGTTTCCTAAAAATTATTTCTGATTTTTTATTCTATATCAAAACTAAACTTCTTCCCAAGCCAGATTACACCATTTAAAAATGTAACTAAAAAATGTCAAAAAAGTTGACATTGAAAAAGATCCATGATTCTGATTGAAAAGCATCAATATCTTAATAATTTCTTTTGTTGAATGACACCATCTTATGCCTCAAGGTTGTTAATCTTTAGAAATCCTTCTGCATGCTTAAGTGTTTCCATCGAGTTCATGCTGTGCATGTGTGCTTAGGACCTCTAGGGAAAGCAGCCAGGTTTGACTTTGGCTTCTGTATTCCTCTTGCTTCATATGGAAAAATAGAATAGAACAAGCACTAAACAAAACATCTTGTCAACAGCCTCAGCAGGAAGTCCAATGAAGGAAGAAAATGTAGACCTTTTTTTTTTTTTTTAAAAAAAAGCTTTTATTTAAATTGTAGCTGTTACTTGCGAACAAAAAAAAGATGCTGAAAATCATCTTTTAAAACACACATAAAGACGTTTTCAGAAACCCTGCACCATCATTCCAACTGTGAAATCACTTGACGAACTTAGAATACTTACCCACTTCAGAGACACAGCTCTCCCTGTTGATGAAGCTTGTGTTGATCATTTTCAAAGAATGCTTTTTCATCTCAGACCTAAATCAAGAACTTCTGCAAGGATCCCAGTTTCTTTAAGGGGAAAAATATTTAAGCAGGAGCTAGGTGTGTGGAGTGACCTTTCCCCAGGGTGCCATGTTTTTCCATTCACTTTCTAGGGCCACAGCTAAGAAACACATATGTAAATATTTATTAGAAATAACTGCATTCCATTTAGTCCTCATGTTTCCGGATCATCCTCCTGGTCCTGACAATTTCCCAGGCTTTCCTCATTTTTGATGACCTTTACAGTTGGGAAGAACACTAATAAGGTATTTTGTAGAATATTCCTCTACTGAAAGTTGCCTGGTGTTTTTTCTCCTGATTTTACTGGGATTTTGTGCTTGACGGAGAAAGACTACCTGGGTAAAGTGCCATTCTCATCACATCATAGCACGGGGACACACTGTCAACATGAGTTTTTGCTGTTGGTGTTGACCTTGGTTAATGGGCTGATGTAATGCTTGTCAGAGTTCTCCACTGTAAATTATCCTTTTTCCCCTCACTTTCCACTGTACTCTTTGGTAGTAAGTTACCCTGTGAAGCCCATACTTAAGGAGTGAGCGGTTCTGCTCTCTTTCCTTAAAAACAGAGTATCTACATGAATTATTTGGAATTCTTCTGCAGGAAAGAGTTGACTATTCTCCTCATTTATCTATTTAATCACTTGTTTATTTCAGTGTGGACTCATGATTATAACCCAATGGTGTTCAAATACTTCTAGCTTTGACTCTCCTTGGAGAAATGGCTGATTCTAGGACTGGGGCAAGAAACATCCAAGATCAGCTGTGAGCCTCTTATAGTGCAAGTAAGTGCATAAAAACAAACACAAATAATCCCACAATAATGAGGCATGTGAAAGGAACAAAACATAGGAGACAACTGAGAGTTCTTCTTTGTTAGCCTTCCGGAATCACTTTGAGTCTCTTGTAAAAAGCATAGAGTTAAGTTTTATTTTGTAGTTTTTTAAATTTTCTTTTATAAGTGAGTTAAGCCCATTTACATTTAATGATATGATTGAAAGTTTCCAACTTGGCCAAGTAGTTTATCTTAATTTTACTGTGTATATAATACTGCATTTACTGTGTTTTTTCTCTATATGGGCAGTTTTCTTTGCTTTTTCATTATACTTATTTGTAGCTAGAATATATATTTTGTATTTTTTAGTGGTAACATTTTATATATATACATATATATACATATATATACACATATATATACATATATATATATATATATATATATATATATATATCCACCCACATATATGTACTTCTTTAGTGCTCTGTTCCTAAATAGGTATGTATTATTTGCTTTGTTAGCTTTAAATTATATCCTTTGACCTCATTTATTACTTAAGCAATGATGAAAGAACTCACTTTATTTTTCTTCTCTCTTTTCCTCTCAATTGTGAACCTTTTATTAAAGTGTGGCATCAAAATACAAAAGTACAAAATTTCTAACTGCACAGGATGATGGATTTTACAAAGTGAACACAGTTGTATAGTCAAGACCTAGAAACAAAATATCTCAAGCATTCCAGAAACCTGTCTTTGTGCCCCTCTCCCTCCAGCAACTACCCTACAAAAAAACCACTCGGCCAGGCACAGTGGCTCATGCCTGTAATCCCAGCACTTTGGGAGGCCGAGATGGGTGGATCATGAGGTCAAGAGATCGAGACCATCCTGGCGAACATGGTGAAACCCCATCTCTACTGAAAATGCAAAAATTAGCTGGCTGTGGTGGCGCATGCCTGTAGTCCCATCTACTGGGGAAGCTCAGGCAGGAGAATTGCTTGAACCCGGGAGGCAGAGGTTACAGTGAGCTGAGATGGCACCACTGCACTCCAGCCTGGAGACAAAGCGGGACTCCATCTCAACAACAACAACAACAAAACACTCTCTGATTTCAAACCCCATGGATAATTTTGGCTATTTTTAAGATTTATATGAATGGACTCATACAACATATATCCTTTTATGCTTGGCTTTTTCTGGCCAACATTATACTTGTGACATTTGGCCATGTCTCTGAATGTAATCATTATGGTTGCTTCATTGTCATCACTGTCTAGCATCCCATTGTGTAAATATAGCACACTTTATTTCATTGTTCTTCTGCTAGTGGACATGTAGGTAGTTTTCTAATTTAAACTACTACCACAGTGCTGCTGTGAACATTCTTGTACATATCTTTGATGAATATATTTTAACATTTATGTTGAATATAAACTGAGGAATGAAATTGCTGTGCAGTAGGCTGTGCACATGTTGAACTATAGTAGATACTAATTTACAGTTTTTCAAGTAGTTGAACCAATTTACATTATCAAAAGCATTGTATAAGAGTTTTACTTGGCCGGGCACGGTGGCTCACGCCTGTAATCCCAGCACTTTGGGAGGCTGAAGCAGGCGGATCACGAGGTCAGGAGATCGAGACCATCCTGGTTAACACGGTGAAACCCCGTCTCTACTAAAAATACAAAAAATTAGCCAGGTGCGGTGGGGGGCGCCTGTAGTCCCAGCTACTTGGGAGGCTGAGGCAGGAGAATGGCGTGAACCTGGGAGGTGGAGTTTGCAGTGAGCCAAGATTGTGCCACTGCACCCCAGCCTGGGCGATAGAGCGAGACTCTGTCTTAAAAAAAAAAAAAAAAAAAAAAAAAAACGAAAAAAGAAAAAGAGTTTTACTTACTCTATATCCTTGTCAATACTACTCCCATTTATAAGTTTGATTATCTCTATATTTTCAGAAATTATAACATTTACATATACTGTTCTCCCACACTTGTCTCTACTTTCATTTTACTCTCGGATCTACAGAGTATCCATAAAGTTTGAAAAGAGATAATATTGTTTTTACTATTATTGTTGTTTTTGTTTTACAAAATGAAGGTGTCCTAGAAAACACTGTAAATGTTCACCCATGCTTCCAGTTTCAATGAATACACTGCAGAACTCAGTATATTCACTTATTCAATGGACACCCTAAGTCCTTTTGTCTATGTTTTTCAGTCATTTCTTCTTAGATAATTCTGGTCCTTCAGTCTGGTGCTACTGAAAGTGTTGTCTACCGACTGGTAACTGGTTAAATAAATATAAGAAACTTGTGCCAAATTAAATACATTATTTCACTAAGAACATTGTTTAGTTCAGGCAACTTTTTTTTTTCGGTGCAATTTCTTCCTAATTCCACCTGGGCATGGTTTCCATATCCGGCTCTGCTGGTAGCTTGTACGTGAAAGTTTATTTCTCAACATAAAAATTACATAGGTGCTTGCTAATTTCTCTCTCCTCATTATGGATGAATTATGAATGACTTTTGGATGCTTTCATTTGCTCTCCTTATTGATGCAATTTTTTTGGAGGGATGTGTGAAAAAATTTAGATTATGAGGCCGCCTCAACTAGATATTACTGACACTAGAATACTGAAACTGGAAACTGTAATTTCCTGTTTTTATTCCCAAATGGTTAGCTAACACTTTTTTTGAAGGCTCAAATTAATTTCCCACTGATTCGAAATGACACATTTATACTTGAAACTATTTCTGTTCCAGCTATCCATTTTTATTCTTTTAATTATAAACCATATACATTTTAATATCACAAAAATTCAAGTAATTCTCTACAGATCTGCTTTATATAACTGCCCTGGTTATTCTTGTTTGTGTATCTTCCATACTGTTAGTGACATGTGATTAATCTTCCCATACTTGCATGTGTATTTTGGTTGAGACTGCCTTCATTTGAGAGATTAAAGATGGGAAATTTGATACTTTTTAAAGAACATTGCATCTTCATAAGTGGGAATGTGCTTTATCTTTGGATGCATTGATAGCTTCTCTTATGGCATTCCTTAAAGTTTGATAGTTTTCTTCAAGAAATTCTGAACAATTCAAGTGTAGTTGGGAAATTAATAAGGACCTGAGTCTATATATTTAAGGGTCAATTAAGTACCTGAGAAAACTGACCTAAAACGATTAATGCCAAGGAAATTCTGACCATTGCTTATGTTTATTCCTAGATATATTATTGCTGATATATTCATATAAAATATTCCTAGATATATTATTCATGTAAATAAAGTTATTGCCCCATTATATTTGCTAACTTTTTGTTCCTTATATATTGGAAAGTAGTTAAGCTTCACTCCTAACGTAATTAATCCCTCCATTAATGCTAGTGGTTTTCAATTGAGTCTCTCGTTTATCAGGAGCTAATACTAAAAATGACTAAAATTTACAGAGGGCATACTCTCTGTCAACTATTGTAAAATAATAATCTTATATGCATTATCCAATTTATTTTAACAACAAAATTGTGAAGTATATGGTATTAATATTCTCAATTGAAAAATTAAATATTAAAGCTTAGAGAGGTTAAATAACATGGCCGAATTCATTCAGCTATTATATATCAAGGTCAATGTGTAATAGCCACAATTAGTGATCATTTTTTCTTATCCTTTCTGTATACTTTCATTTTTCTCCTTGTTCAACCAGCTTGGTTAAGTACAGTGTTACCCAACAGAATTAAGAGCACACACCCTCTTTAGTCTTCGTCTTAATGATAATTCCTCCAATGTTACATTCCTAAGAATTTGGAGTTAGCGATTTTTATTAAAATGTTGTTGCTTTTATAAACATTTTATAAAGTGTATAGGAAATTTCCTTTTGATTTTTTATCTTGCTAAGAGTTTCTCCCCTATAAATTAGAGTGGATTTATCAGAACTATTATTCAGCATGCCCTTTTGCATGGTGTGTTGTTTGCCTTCAAAATCAAATATTTAATGAAAAATCATAAGTCTTAGACAACCCCTGATAGTTCCAATCTTTGGTTCTTACATTTTAAACAGGCCATTCACACTTTAATCTTGGACTATGCAGCAGCAACAACCACCCTTCAGTGCTTGCCTAGGAGAACTGCACTTACAATGGGTTACTTTGCAGAGAAAGAACACACATGTATTGGTAGGCGTGAAAGAAAATTATTTTTATAAATTCAGTCATCTTCTACGTGATTACTCCTTTTTCTAAAATGAAAACTTTCCACTGACTGGCTAAATAATTCATTGAAAGTGCCTCCAAATCTATTTCTAAATTTAAGAAATGAAAAGTATTTCACAGACTATTTTTAGATAAGGATGTCAAAATGTTCAGATTTAGCATACTCGCATAACGTTCCAGAGGGAAAAAAAGGTACAGTATGATTGTTCCAGGTTTACTTGTAATGAGACCAACTGCATTGGAAATAAAACACTATTTAAGAAGCAACTTTTATTACCAACAGATGAAATAACTTAGTCTCCTCAAGATTAAAAGCAATTCATAAATACACTCATTTTAGGTCATTTTGTGCAAAAATAACTATCCTCCTTTGCAAATAGATTTAGATTCATTTTCTGGGAACAAAACAAAATTTCTGATATTAAGGTCTGCTATTCTTCTGCAATAATATCCCGTTTTATGCTTATAGCATTAATTTCCAAAGCTAATTAATTTATCCTATCTTAAGAGTTCATGGTAGCAGACTAGAGTCTTCCAAACAAAAGAGCTTGATGATGCAATGAAGCTCGAAATTCCTGACACAGAGATACAGGCGTTTCCTGGCACACAAGGAACAAGGGCACAAGTTCCCACGAAGCCAATTTAACTCCTTTTATTTAGAGCATATTCAGGAGTGAAGTCAGATGCAGAACATGGAGGTGAGGCACGGGGGTGATTAGGGCTAACATACATGTGCAGGCACCTAAACATGGCTTATAGACTAGACTGCACTAAAGATAGTCACCAGGATATTAAATATGGGTTTGCCTGAGTTTTGTTTTATCTTTGAGACATGGAAAATTTGAGCAAGAAATGGTAAAAGCAAAGTGACAGCAGAGATGAGGAAAAGCTGGACAATTCCCCAGACAGGGTGTGGCCAAGCCTTGGGTGCAGCCACTGGCACATCCACAACATGGCAGCTGGTCCGGTGTTCTCTCAGAGAAGCTTGGTTTGGAAGGATGGAGCCAACAGTTACAACACCCTTTCCACTGTCTAAAGTTTAGTCAAACCTACAAGTTCAACTAATCAAAATGAAGTCTGTTTCTTTTTCTTGTTCTTAACACCTTGTTGAATTCTGTTACTTGACACCTTGGTAGGTCTCCAGGCAATTCACACTTTGCTGGAAACCTACAACAGCATTACCAAGTCCTTACTGTGGCATTAAAATGGAGCTGAGAGTCTCTGCCTCCGTAACCACTAACACTAATTAAAGAGTTCACTCCCACTAGCCTTGAGCCCCCACCATCTGCCAGGCCTGGAGGAGCCCTTGGAAACAGGATCCAGACCTTGCTCACTAGGATGGGTTAAGGATGGTGAAATTTGAGCACATGTAAGAAGTACCCAGCTCAGTTTTGAATAACAGGGAAAATACTACAAGAAGCACAATGTCCCATGCAAAGACTTCAAAGTAGAGTGCAGCATGTGCAGAGGGAGGGAAAGCGTAGAGTTGAGAGCAGAGAGAGAAGGGGAAGCCAAAGCACCTGCAGATTCATGAGCTTCAGCAAGAAGTTTAGAATTGATCAGGGGTATGAGGAGCTACAGAAGGGTTCCAAGCAGGGAGTGGGATTTGACCACACTGGAGTTTTAGTAAGATTATCCGCCCTGGTGAGACTGGGTTGCAGAGGCTTGAGCTGGAGATAGGGCAACAGCAGGAAGCAGGTGATTCCCCTGGATGGGTGGACCGAATGGAAAAAAGCACCTGAGGGCTGCCAGCAAAGCAGGGTGCATGTCAGCACCAGAGCTCAGCACCAGCTTGTGCCTCTCATCACTGGGGGCCCCTGTCTGCACATATTTGACTGCTGAGGCAGAACCAAGCCTACATTGCACAGAGCAGGAGGGACCTGGGGACCTTTCCTCTCTGCAGCTCGGCTTTTCCAGAGGATCCTCCTCTGGTTTCCACCGGGACCGGGGAGAGAGCGTTATAGGGCTGGCTGCTGGGTTTATGGACCTGAGCCAGGGGTACAGACTTGCACTTATTTGACTCAGTTTCCTTTCTGCCTCAACCTGCCTTCCCCTAGGCCAGGGTTGCTAGAGATGGAAGACTTCCTCTTTTACTTAGGATGAATCAGCAACAATTTGTGTATCTCAGAGCAGTTGTTGTATCCCGTGATTGAACTCCTGAAGCTCCCAGCTCCACTATCCCTCCATCACTTTCTATGTGTGGTCCTATCTCTCTCCACTAAGAAAACAGAGGACAGCAAGAGCCAATCTCCTCAAATTCACACTCCTGCCATCCCAAAGCTGCATGCCTACTGTCTTCACATCTTCTAGGAAGGGATCCCCCTCTAACCCCACATTGTAGACATCGTCGTTTCCAGCCTTAAACAACAGAGTTCCAGCAATTATTTATTCCTTGTCCATCCATGTTGGTGTCCATTTTCAGATCCTTACAGTTTAAAAACAGGCTTATGTTTCTTTCTTTCTATATAAAGGCACCCGATACCCCCTCTCCTCTCTCCTTCACTCCCCTGTCCTCTTCTTAGAGGAGTAACAGGCACTCACTTCCTCTTATTCATCTTCCTGCCACTCCATTCATAGAAGAGCTGCTACCCTCAAAGCCCTGCTGAGAACCTTTTGGAAGGCTGCCCATGCCCTCATTGACAGCTCATGGAGAGATGGACCCAGGCTTTCTCTTCACTGTCTTTCCTTCCAAACTTACAGATCAGTGCTGACTCCTGGCTTTCCTCCCATACCTCTTACTTTACTTCTGCTTTCTTTTTCTTCATTTTTTAACTCCTTGACCTTCTCTTACATCAATGGTTTGCAATCTCTTTGCCATTAGCCACTGCCCTGAGACACTGAGGAAGTCAAGCTGTCTCCCCACAGCCACACTCTTCCCAGGACATAGCTCAGAACCCCGGCTGAGCACAAGAGCAATGGCCATGAACTCAGGATGCAGCCCGGGCCCTCACAGCTCCTCACTATGTCCTTTTTCCTTAGCAGGGGTCTCATCACAGCCACAGCATCACTACTGCACCACTGAATGCAGGTGGAAGAGCCCCAATCTATAACTGCAGCTCACCCTCCTCTGACTTCCAGAACTATAGTGTCTTCTATTTACCCTTCATTACTATTATAACACCTTCACCTCCCCAAACTGGACTCTGCAAGCCACTCCGTTAACCTCCCCAAACGACTCTGCAAGTCACTCCATTAACCTCCCTCCTCTGGCCTTTTTCTCCTCTCAGATGCAAATCTCTGTTAAAGGCACCACCTTCCTCCCCAGTGTTTAACTTAGGAATCTCAGAGTTGCTCCCACATCTAACTGATCTATAAGATCTGGCAGCTCGATGATTCAATTCTCCAAATATCCATTGCCTCTGGCTCCCTTTCTTGACTCCTACAGTCCTTCCTTTAATATCTGTTCATCTTCTGATGGCTTATTACAGTCATTTTCTAACTGAGCTCCCAGGGGCTGGTCTTAACGTCCTGCAATCTAACTTCCCCATGGCAAAACTGCTGAAACATGGATATGATCACATTCCTCCAATGCCCCCAAAAGATTGGATGATTAATCAATGCTAATGCAAAACATTCCATCCTGTGGTGTGACACTACAGGTCTTTACAATCGCACCTCCACCTATCATTGTGGTCCCACTTCCAAACATGTCACTGACCAACATACGCCCTGTCCTGTGGTCACAGCATGACACAGTGATTTGTGTCCTTCTCACCTCCATCCTTGTGATGGTCCCTTTCTAGGTTCCCCTGTGCCCTTTCAACCTGGTCAAGAATTTCCTACTGAAAACCCAAGTCCAGTGCAGGAGGGTGATCCCTGCTGCTGAGAAGCAGACATCTACAGCACCTGGCACCCTGGCCCATGTGCCCTCCACCCCGTGACACCTGTGCTCTTTCAGGGCAGAGCCCCTGTGTTACTCAGTGCTGTGCAACAGACAGCCTGGCACACACAGGAAGTTCAGTTAGTTCTTTTTAAAATTTAATAAATGACCACAATGTGGAACATGGAAACAGAATATAGTAATAGATAGATGAATAAAACAGAACAACTTGTTTGGTTGTTTTGTGCTTATAAAAAACACATTCTAAATTTTCCCAAATGGAAATAGTAATCATTAAAGAAAGATAAACATTAATAATATAAAAAATTAGTTTCATATTATAATATGATGTCAACAACCCAGTTAGGGGCTATAACTTATATGTTACATAAAGTAGTGATTTTAACATCTATTTTAGACCTAAAAATATCAATGGCTTATGTTCTAAATTATCTACCAAAATTATATAAACTGTTTTTCTATATATAATGCACAAAAAGAAAAGAACAAAAAATGATTCTTCAAAGTAAAAATAATAATGGGTTAACTTGTTCCCTTATGAGATTCACCAGGGATCAATTTTATATAATTAGCATTTTTATTAGTTTCTAAGTCCTCTTACAAACACAAAGATAAATGGAAGAAAGTAGGTAATGTGATAAAAAATATATATCATTTTGAGCCTGTAATCCCAGCTGCTCAGGAGGCTGAGGCAGGGAGAATGGCTTGAAGTCAGGAGGCGGAGGTTGCAGTGAATTGAGATGGTGCCATTGCACTCCAGCCTGGGCAACAGAGCAAGACTGTGTCTCAAAAAAAAAAAAATCATTTTTAATTAGATCATTTTTGAACCAAGCACAGATATGTGAGAATACATCCTGAGTATCATAGAATTCAAGTTATTAAATAGATAAAATTATAATTTGTTGATAAACCAAGTAAAACACTCAGCTACCATTTATCAATTATAGTAAGGCATTCCCCTTATTTAATTTTGTACCTCTTGGATGGCCATGTAACATAATTAATCTAATTGTGTGCATTTTGTGATTTTCTTACTAGTATTTTAATTGTAAGGAGCATGTTATTTTTTAATGCAATAGCATCATCCTTTCCCTCAAGTTTATGTCCTCAATTACGTATATTTCATTTTCAGAGTTTCTATTTCTTACTTGTATCATATTAAATGACACCATTATTTAACAGACACCTGACTTACGGTGACTGTGATTTATAACATTTTTAATGGGTCTTCTCTAAATTTCCAGTTAAGTGACATGTCTGTTCAGGTGGTCTTTGGAAAGGTTGCTTGGCATACCTTAAACCAAGTAGATTTAAGACACTTAACCATCTGTCAGGCAATACCATCCCCAAAATGATGGTGTGCCTGTGTGTGTGTGCATGCATGTGTGTGTGTGCATGCATGCATGTGTGTGTGTGCGTGTGTGTTTACTGGCTAGAGCCTTTGAAATACATGTGCTGATTACCTATAAGGTACATTTCTATTCTTTACATTTATTTTTCAGATTGGGACAATAAAATCAGACTAGGAGAATTTCCATGTCTGTGTATGTACTAAAGCCTCTGTGGCCTCATTGCTCCTAATGTCTAGTGCTAAATTCACCTCATCAAGGCCATTCTACCTCTCAGTGGCAGGCATATCTCTGTTCATGCATTGTTTCCTATTCACCCTACAGGGGTCATGAGTGGGTGAGGCACACAGTAATCAGCTTGCAATGAATTACAAACAGTTAAATACTCTCCTTTGAAAATAGTTCAATTTAATATCATGGAAAGTAACTTCTTAAAGATATAAACCATGGTATTAATGGAATAAAAGAACAACGCTTATAGAAGCTATTCTTATTAAACAACACCTACTAGTTGTAATAAGAAAAAGAACTAATGTCAATTATGTATATTTTAATCTATGAAAACTTTCTTACTGTCATAGTAATAATGAACCTCCAATCACATAGCACATTGCCTCTTCTCAGAAATAGTACCCCAGCCCACCAAGAATGATAATTTTTACCACTACATTCCTTAGAGTCTTTACTTCTGCATTAAATGAAATGTTAAGTCTGTATTCAAAATTCAACCAAAAAGCACAAAAATCAGGAATAACAGGATAGAATTCTAATGCTGAAGCTATACGCAGCTCAAGTCTCCACATCAGTCACCCCATCTTAAGTCATCACGGGACAGCTCAGGTCTGCTAACCTGGGTCTCCAAGAGTGAACCTCCTGCCACACACACACACACACTGAAGCAGAAATAGCAAAGGCAAGTGCAGAGGGCACTGCATTGAGGATATTCTATGTTTTACATCCTGGGTACTCTCAGTCCAAATGTCCCTCCTCCAGTTGGGGTTGGAGATGCATACCCAAGGCTGGCTAATTTATCAAGGAAAGAGGTTTAATTTACTCACAGTTCGACATGGCTGGGGAGGCCTCACAATCATGGTGGAAGATGAAGGTAGAGCAAAGGAATGTCTTACATGGCGGCAGGCAAGAGAGCTCGTGCAGGGGAACTCTATAAAACTATCAGATCTTGTGAGACTCACTCACTACCATATGCCTAGCCAGGCACAGGGATGTGATAGAATCATGCCAAGATGACCCAGCAGTGGCCCCAGGATGAGCCAAGAGATGAGGAACAAGAAAACAGTCCCAGTTGAAGAAGCAACCCAAGGAAGGGCTGAGTGGCAAGGTGAACCAGGGAAACTGCAACACTCAATATGTAAGTGTGTCAAAAAGAAAGAAGACAGTGGAGGGTGCAATAGTCCCTGGATTGGCGAGTGCCACCTAGGAGTGCTAGGGGCCCTGCTGTCCTACTTGTCCTTGTATGTTTCTTGTGAGAACTCTGCTAACAGGTCTCAGAGACTCAGATGCGTAATTTTGGAAAGTCTGCAGCAAAGGGGGGTATCCAAGACACCCAAGACGCATGTTTCACAGTAGAAATGGGAGTGGGAGAGCCGGGCCTCAGGAGTGCTCTGGGCAGGGCAGGAAAGTCTGTGTTTTGCATATTTTTCTTGCAGAAATGGTAAACTGGGGAGAAGGCAGGACCCAGCTATTTGAATCAGCTCACATCAGAGCAATGTCTACGTGTCAGTTACTGATGAGGGACAGATGACTCATTCTTCAGGGGAGGCTCATTCATGGGTCCCTCGGGGTTGCACAGGCAGGTCTGGACCGCAAATGAGCCTGAGGAGGAGATCTGCAGCTTAACCTCTCCCAGGAATCTTGGTGTTGTGGGCTGGGCACTGACGAGGGGCTTTGGGATTCTAGAAGAAATGGGCAAAGGGATCTAGGGGCGAGAATGCTCAGGACACTGGCCTCGTGGGAAGGGCCTTGGGAGAAATTCCCATTGGTGGTCAGGCCCTTTTGATCACCTAACTTCCACTTCAACGTGCTCCCCAGTGTCATCTGTCACACTCTCTCCATTGCCCCTAAAAAATGAGCAGACAAAAGAAAAGCCACTATGCAATGCAGCCTTGATACAGGAGGGTTAAAAATTTAATGGAAGCAGAAGTTCTGAGGGAGAGCTAAGTAGGAGAAGTGCAAGTCCCTTAGAAACATGCTTGAGGGACAGGGGCACAAGGAATTCCCCACAAGACAGAGGGATGGAGGGAGTCAGTGACCCCCAAGCCCACATACCACCTGGAAATCCTGGCAAGATGTATTAGTCAAGATGTATTAGACATACCCAAGACTGGGTAATTTATCAAGGAAAGAGGTTTAATGGACTCACAGCTCGACATGGCTGGGGAGGCCTCACAATCATGGTGGAAGACGAAGGAAGAGCAAACGGGTGTCTTACATGGTGGCCGGCAAGAGAGCTTGTGCAGGGGAACTCTATTTATAAAACCATCAGATCCCATGAGATTCATTCACTCCCATATTACAGTATGAGGGAAACTGCCCCCATGAGTCAGTCATCTCCACCTGGCCCCTCCCTTTACACATGGGGATTATTACAATTCAAGGTGAGATTTGGGTGGGGACACAGCCAAACCATACCACAAGACCACTTGGTTACTTTTAACTTTTATGATTAATATCATAATGTTTTTTTCTTTCCTTTCAGTAGGAATCCAAACATTAAAAAGCCCTTTTAATGATGTGTGTTTTGAATACACAAGTTTTCACCTACACCACTCAGAGCTTTCCAATAAAAGAATCTCTAAATAAACAGTCTGAACTTGTCACATAAGAATGTATATTTTGGTCCTGAAAGAAAACAAAGAAATCAATTTAGATGATGACTCAAAAGTACCATATTTTAAATGGTTTCATGTCAGATGGGTTATTCTCATCAAAAGTGGAATAATCTTCATCTTCTCCCAGCACCATGACCTCAGACAACATATTTTAAATGTCTCATTGGGAAAATGGGAAGAAAATAATGACTTCATGGGGAACCAAGTGCTTTGCCACTGAACAAACCAAATGTGTTATCTAGGAGCTGAGTACATGAAGAAGATCCAACATGGCTCATCAGCAGTCGCCTCACCCACAGTGGAAAGCTTTCTCTGTGTTAGACTCTGTCAGGCTCTGGGTGGCAAAGGAGAGATCGCTTCTGCCTTCACAAAGCTTCTAGACAGGAAGAGGAGACTTTCTTTTAACAAATGATAACCAAAGACATAGGTTATCTGTTTATGATGAGGCCCATAAAAGGAAAATGGTGTGCTATGATAACAAACGGCATTGGGAGAGGAATGTGGACCTTCATGTTTGGGTGTGGCAGTGGTGATGGTGGGGGTCATTTCAGAGAAGGCTCCTCTGAGAATGTGGAGGGTATGACCCATAGCATGACAAGCAGGCACTGGGACTGACAGGATGGGCAGGCCCTTGGCTGTGATGGTCTGGAGAAGGGGTGAATCTGAATTCCAGAGATCCAGCATGGGTGGACAGCTGTCTCATATCAAGGACCATAATACTTTCCTGAAGGCCCAGGCCAAGCAATCACACACATAGCCTTTTTAAGACATCTTGAAAGACAGATCTTTCATTCACAGGCATGAACTCGAACTAATGCTTTGAAACCACTGGGAGGAAGCCTGTGTCCATGACACTGCCACCTTAGCATGGTGTCTGGTCCCCAGAGGCATGTTGTCTTCCACCGCATGGGAGACTGAGGCCATTCCCTTCCAGGAACTGGCCTTATCAAGGAACCCTGACCTCCAACGCACATGCCACTTTATTCTGACTTGCCTACCTTGGACCTGTGCAGTCACTGCCAGGCACTGTGTCTCAATTTTAGCTCACATCTAACAAACTTCTGATCGATCTCATTTTACCTGCAAGTCAGCTTGCTCCAATGGCAGTATGTGCTCCAAAGTCAGTATTTTTTTCTTTTTTTGTAAATTTCTCTTTGTAAAATGTCAGAATTTATGGAGGCAAGAAATGGAAGTTGCTATGTGAGCAAGGTGAAGCTAAGCATGATACTTCAGGCACCCTACCCCATTTCCTATAAAGCAAGGTCTGTTTCCACAGTGATGATCAGCCTAGATAGGCCAGAGACATTCACAGTTGCTCATGCAGCTATCAGCTACTGCAAAGAGCGGGTGTTGCCCTTCCCTAAACACTGTCTGAAACTCTCAGTTTCTAACACAAAAGCTTTGTTTTAACTGCCCTTAAAATTCATGTTAAAAATAACTTGGAGAAATTCGCACAGAAAGTTTATAAACCAAGTATCAGGGATGTGCCAGAAGACTCAACTAGAAATACGTGTATGTACATATTTATGTGTGTGCATGTTAACTCCTGTGTGTATAAGCATGGAAATATATGTACATTTGTGTGCCCATTCACAACTGTGTATCACGTCTGTGTATAAACTTTGACTATTACGATACTTCATGAAACTCTTTAAAATTTGCAACAGCACTATAATGAAGAGATAGCGACAGTCGGGCAGTGCACACTTTGAATGCCCACCTGCACCTAGAGACAAAGTTTCCCCAGGAACTCATTCAGTTTCTCTCATCTTATTTGTTCGTAATGAATAATATCACATATATTGTCACCTTGGATTTAAACTCAGAACTTTCCCTTATAAGAATGTCGTGTTTTATTCTATTTTATTACTTTATCCTCATAAAAATAGATATTTATTAAAATAAATGTAAAAGATTCAAATGAGGGGGACTATCACTGTAAATATCTTTAACATCCACAGCCATAGATCACTCCTTTTATTATCTGGATATTTCTCCTCCTATCTGTTTTTCTAATATAAAGAACAAAAACAAGATTGTACCACATATATAGTTCTGTAATGATGTATCACAACTAGAATGTTAATAAAACTTTATATCATAGTTTATGCTAATGTGTCATAGTTTTTTAAAATGTAGTGCTTCTCTACTGCAGAATGCTTCCAATGAAGACTCAGTTATATATTTTGCATATTTATATAATTATGTTCTTAGGATAGTTCACCAGATGAGAAACTAATATGTCAAAGGAAATGCACATTTTAAGATGTAAGAAAAAAAATCACCAAAATCCTTTTCATGAATTTGTAGCAACCTTCACTCCATCAGCAAAATATGTGTGTATCTCTTCTGCTTTGCATTATAATTCTTTCTGTTTTGAAAGCATGTCATATCCCTGACATGTTAGTTTGAATTTATTTATTATTGCTGAAATTAAACTTAATTTTTTCATGCTTTTTTTGTTCCACGAATTTTACATTCATGTCTTTGTCTATTTTATTTTGATTTTATTATTAAACATAAAAAGCTCTCTATATGTCAAGAATGTTAACCTTTTGCCTCTCAGATAACTTTCATATACTTTTTCCAATTGATAGTTTATTAAAATTCTTTATATGTCTATGTTTTCTACTTAGACTTATAAAAGTTTTAAATGTCTGCATAGCCATATCTATTCAAGTTTCGGAGGGAGAAAGGAACTCCCTGTGTACAGCAGGTATAAAGAGGGCTGATAATTGGTCCACTGAATTTAGTTAGTGACATGTAAGTTACTGGTGACCTTGTCAAGATGACCTTAAGTGTAGTTTCGCTGAATGGGCTCATTCTGTGACCTGTACTCTCCTCTGGCTCCTCTTACCTCCTTTCTGATGTCATCCACTCCAGATTGGCATGGGGTCTACGGAAGACTGGGACCAAGGAGCACAGACAATTCTTTCAAAGAGTTTGTTATCAATGAGAAGAGAGGAATGGGATGGCAGTTTATGGGAAATCGGGTCTGAAGTGCTGAATTTTAACATGTAAGAAGTAAAATGTAAGTGTACTGAAGGAAAACATCTAGCAGAGAGATTTTTAGGATGCAGAAGAGAAAGGAAAACAAAAACAGCTGGGTAGCTGAGAATACCTGAAAACTGGTACCCAAGAGAAGCTGGCCCAAGATCGGAGAGCCACAGGCATGTCATAGTTTATGATAGAAAGAAAGAGGATAGAAGTGTAGTTATTTGGATGTGGTGGTGGAAGCTCTTCAGATTGCTTAAAACTTTCCAGTGACATAGGATAAAAAACAAAGTCATCATCTGGGAATGAGAATAGACAAAGAGAGGAGAGAAGACGTGGAATTGTCCTTTGAAGGCAGTTACTTTCTGGGCAGTTCCAGGAAGGCTAATGGAGCTTGGGTCTCTCTGCAGCAGTGCTCCATTCATTCAAGGCTTCCTTTAGATCAACAGGCACACTCACACAATTTCATTATTTTCCCTGGGAAGATGATGCACATTTGTTATAAAATGCATTTTTTAAAAACCTTGTAGGTCCTGCAAATTGGATTATTTTTCCCTAATCCATTTTCTAATTGGGTATTACTATATTATGAATAAATTCTGAATGCTGTATATTTGTTGTTTATTTAGCTGGTCACTTAGAAGACCTCTCAAAGCACCCATAATCATATTTTCAACTCCGTAGTATATAAGTAGAATAAAAGCTTGGGACATTATAATTGATTTAACATTGTATTTTGTCAAGAGGAAGACTATTTCATCAATTGACAGATGGATTAAAGTAAATATTGATGTCTTACAAGAGCATCATTTAACTTCTTGGAACCTGGGTTTCCTCACCTTGAAAGATAAAATCTAGTCTATCAATATTAACTGATGATGAGATAGTATCAATCGGAGCTCAATAACATAAGATTTTCATAAAAATGTTTGTAAATTTCCCAGTAATATGCAAGCAAATAATACTGGAAATTATTAATATTACTTAAGAGCGAGAACTGCAGATTAGCAAGGCTTGATAGAGTAAAAGACAACTGAATCGCATTTTGTGTATTGAACCAGATTTGGAGAGGAAAAGATGAAATAGGAGGCCATTCATAGGAGGAAGGAGAGGAGGCACAGATGGTGTATTCCAGTGGGAGTGCCTGAGACTGTGGACAGGGCCAGCAAGGCAGCCCCTCTAAAATGTCACTCAATGGCACATTCTAGCACCTTCCACCCGGCACTCCCATGCCATGTCATCTCCCTGGGCTCCAAACACCCGAGGTCATGTCAGAACAGTACAAAAAAGTCTTAATGTGAAGAAGCTTTCAAAATATATTACTTTAATTTGTTGGTGACCCTCTTACATTTTTACATGACATTCATGAAATGAAATGTTTTCAGTACTCTGGTTAATAATGAAACAAATGCCACTGGTCTCTCTAAGATGAAATGCTTTTTTTTTTTTATGTACTGCAGTTTTCAATCATCACTGAAAGGCTAGCATGTTCTCTGAAGGATTACCTAACCTGCAAATTCTTGAATCACAGTCCCAGCAGATGACTACTCTCAAAATTTTTCGATACATAATAATTGTACATACTAATGGGGTACATGTGACATTCTGATACATGCATATAATATATAATAATCAAATCAGGATAGTTAGGATATCTATTACCTCAAACATTTGTCATTTTTTGTTGGAAATATTCTAATTCTTCTCTTCTAACTATTTAGAAATATACAATAAATTACTGTTAACTACAGTAACGCTACTGTGTTACTGGGCACTAGAGCTTATTCCTTGTATCTAACTGTATGTTTGTACCCATTAACCAATGTCTCTTCATCCCTCTTCCCTCACACCCTTCCCAGCCTCTGCTTACTATCATTCCACACTCTACTCCATGAGATCAATGTTTTTAGCTCCCACATAAGAGTGAGAACATGTGGTATTCGTCTTTCTGTGCCCGGCTTATGTCATTGAACCTCCAGTTCCATCCACGTTGCTGCAAATGAGAGGATTTAATTATCTTTATGACTGAATAGCATTTCATTATACATATATGTATATATGTATGTGTGTGTGTATATATATATATATATATATATATCACATTTTCTTTATCCATTCATCAGCTGATAGACACTTAGGTGGGTTCCATATCATGGCTATTAGGAATAGTGCTACAATAAACATCAAGGTGCAGGTATCTCTTTGATATAAGGATTTCTTTTCCTTGGATAAATACCCAGTAGTGGGATTGTTAGATTGTATGGTAGTTCTAGTTTTAGTTTTTTGAGAAACCTCCATACTGTTGTGCATAATGAGTGTGCTAATTTACATCAACAGTACATAAAAGTTCCCACCAACAGTACATAAGAGTTTGCTCCACATCTTCAAGCACAGGCAACAATAATGAAATAGACTAATAGGACTATTTTAAACTAACAAGATTCTGTATAGCAAAGGAAATGATCAAGAATGAGAAACAACCTGAAGAATGAGAGAAATTATTTGCAAACTATTCATCTGACAAGGGACTAATATCCAGAATACAAAAAGAACTCAAACAACCCAACAGCAAAAAATGAAGTAAAATAATAATAATCCCATAAGAATTGGGTAAAGGATCTGAGTAGACATTTCTCAAAAGGATACATACAAGTGAACAACAGGTTTATGGAAAAAATGCTCAGTGTCACTGTTGGGTAAATGCAAATCAAAACCACAATGAGATGCCATCTAACCCCAGATCAATACTTTTTGAAAATTTAAATCTTATACCATTTCTGAGTCAGGAGGGAAAATACACATAGTGACAGACTTAGAGCTATAATAATTCACCGTAAATCATGACTTTCAGAACTTCATCTCAAACTAACTTCCTATAGTAATTGGACCATCTTAGAAATAAATTTAGAAATAAAATATAGTGCCTCAAACTATAAAACTACTAAAGAAAAACATGGGGGAAACACTCCAGGACATTGTGCAAAGGTTTCTTGAGTAATACCTCACAAGCACAGGCAATCAAAGCAAAAAAATGGACAAATAGGATTACATCAAGTTAAAAAGCTTCTGCACACACACACACACACACACACAAATCAGCATGGTGAAGAGACAACTCATTGGATGGCAGAAGATATATACAGACTGCTGTTCTGACAAGGAATTAATAACCAGAATAACAAACAACTCTATTGGAGAGAATCTAATAATCCAATTGAAAAATGGGCAAATGATTTGAATAATTTCTCAAAAGAAGATGTACAAATGGCTAATAGGCATATGAAAAGGTACTCAACATAGGCCAGGCGTGGTGGCTCACGCCTGTAATCCCAGCACTTTGGGAGGCCGAGGCAAGCGGATCATGAGGTCAAGAGATCGAGACCATCCTGACTAACACAGTGAAACCCCGTCTCTACTAAAAAATACAAAAAATTAGCCAGGCGTGGTGGCAGGCGCCTGTAGTCCCAGCTGCTCAGGAAGCTGAGGCGAGAGAATGGCGTGAACCCGGGAGGCGGAGCTTGCAGTGAGCCGAGATCGTGCCACTGCACTCCAGCCTGGGTGACAGAGGGAGACTCTGTCCCAAAAGAACAACAACAGCAACAACAAAAAACAGAAAAGGTACTCAACATCATTCATTATCGGAGAAATGCAAATCAAAACTGCAGTGAGATATCATCTCACCCCAGTTAAAATGGCTACTATCCTTAAGAGAGGAAATAACAGATGCTGGCAAGGATGTGGAGAAAGGGAAACCCTTGTAAAATGTTGGTGAAAACATAAATTAGTCCAACCACTATGGAGAACAGCATAAAGGGTCCTCAAAAACTAAAAATAGAGTTACCATATGATCCAGCAATCCTACTCCTCAGTATATACCCCAAAAAGAGAAAATTGGCATGCCAAAGAGATATCTGCATTCCCATGTTTATTGCAGCACTATCCACTATAGCCAAGATTTGGACGCAACCCAAGTGCCCATCAGCAGATGAATGGATAAAGAAAATGTGGTACATATACATAATGGAGTACTATTCAGCCACAAAAAAGAATTATATCTCTGTCATTTGCAACAATGTGGAAGGAACTCATTACTATTTTTAATTCAACTTTTATTTTAAGTTCAGGGGTACATGTGCAGGTTTGTTATATAGGTAAACTTGTGTCATGGGGGTTTGTTGTACAGATTATTTCATGACCCAGGTATTAAGCCTATTACCCATCAGTCATTTTTCCGGATCCTCCCCCTTCTCCCACTCTTCACCCTCCAATAGGCCCCCGTGTGTGTTGTTCCCCTCTATGTGTCCATGTGTTCTCATAATTCAGCTCCCATTTATAAGTGAGAACCTATGGTATTTGGTTTTCTGTTCATGTATTAGTCTTCTAAGGATAATGGTCTCCAGGTCCATCCATATCCCTGCAAAGGACATGATCTCATTCTTTTTTATTGCTACACAGTATTCCATGGTACATATGTACCATATTTTCTTTATCCAGTCTATCATTATTGGGCATTTAGGTTGATTCAGTGTCTTTGCTATTGCAGACAGTGATGCAATGAATACTCCAATACATGTGTCCTTATAATGGAACGATTTATATTCCTTTGGGTATATACCCAGTAATGAGATTGGTATTTCTGTCTTTAGGTCTCTGAGGAATCACCACACTGTCTTCCACAGTGGTTGAACTCATTTACACACCCACTAACAGTGTATAAGCACTCTTTTTTCTCTGTAAACTTGCCAGCATCTGTTATTTTTTGACTGTTTAATAGTAGCCATCCTGACTTATGTGAGATGGTATCTCATTGTGGTTTTGATTTGTATTTCTCTAATGATCAGTGATGTTGAGCTTTTTTTCATATGATTATTAGCTGCAAGCATATCTTCTTTTGAAAAGTATCTGTTCATGTCCTTTTCCCAATTTTTAATGGGGTGGTTTGTTTTTTCTAGTAAATTTGTTTAAGGAACTGGTCATTATTATGTTACATGAAATAAGCCAGGAACAGAAACACTAACTTTGCACATTCTCACCCATTTGTGGCAACTAAAAATTAAAACAATTGAACTCATGAAGCTAGAGAGTAAAAGGATGACCACCAGAGGCTGGGAAGGGTAACTGGGGGGATTTACGGGACACTGGGTATGGATAATGGGTACAAAAATTACTTAAAGAATAAATAAGACCTAGTATTTGCTAGCACAACAGGGTGACTATAGTAAAAAAAAAAAATTTTAATTGTACATTTTAAAATAACTATAAGAGTACAATTTGATTGTTTGTAACACAAAAGATAAATCCTTGGGGTGATAGATACCCCATTTACCCTGATGTGGTTATTATGCATTGCATGCCTATATCAAAATATACCACATAACCCATAAATATATATACCTATGTACCCACAAAAATTAAAAATTAAAATAAAATATAATGATTCCTCCATTTTATTATTGATGGAACAGATTTACTAAGCTGTGAGACTGTAGCTAAAATCAGATAACTCTTGAGACAGTTGTTGGATTTTCTTCTTACATTTGAGTAAATAACGTTATGATCCCAGCACCTGAATCATAAAGAATGAGCCAGTACAGTGTTTCTGCGACACCATGGTTTATTTATAATCTTATCACTCTTATTCAAACGTGCCCCTTTTTAAGAAGTTATACTTTTATTCCAGACCTCCTCATGCTGGATTTTAACCCCTAAACGCACCAATGCATGAACTATAATTCATGAATCAAGTATATAATAATCTACTTTAGATTCCAAGGATATCACCAATAATACATCGCAAATCTATGGTTCTTGCCAAGTTTTAATCATCCAAACACTGACAATAATATGAGCGAAAAAAGTTATGCCTTTATAAAATAAAAGATAAATATTTAATTCTATAAGAGCTTATTAATTCTAAATTCAGGCATTTTACCTGTATAAATGACACGCTGAACTATCAAATTAAACTTAAAAGCATGCACATTCATGCTGGATCACAGACTGTTACTAAATGTCCTGTATGCAGCTGTGGTCATATAGAAGGATTAGTGTTTTACTATGACTCCAATACATAATGTAAAATCTATCATCCCTTTGGATGATTCTAATGCATCATCAGTGCAAAATAAACACACTTTCGGTATCAGTTGTTTTTCAGGCCAGGAACTTTCCCTTTAAAAAAACATCAGTGTGTGTTGAGTTTAGTAATCCTGTACAAATAGAGGTGCCTTTGTGTGCTTTCAAAGATTAGCCTTACCATAAAACATTAGCTGACAAAACAATATTACCTTATCAAATATGTTTCCCCTTTCATTCAAATGGTTCAATAAACATTTATTAAACAGCAAAGATACAACATTCATTCAACAGATATTTGAGTTTCTGGTATGTTAAGTATATTCTGTAATTATAAAGAGTTTATATATACACACTTATGTATACACAAAAATGTGTAAGTACACATACGAGAAATTAATGTAAAAGGTGACACTATTTTTATATGGAATAACATTTCCTCATATGCTGCTTCAATTGCATATGCTAGTTAATGGCCACATTAGTTTACATGTTTGTTTTAGCAGAACCCAGATCCTTGTTAACCCTTTTGTTATCGGTCAACTAGGCCTAGAGTGTACCCAACAGTTCAGAGAGAGAACCCACAAAGACAACCCTGCTCACCTGGAAGCAGTAGGTTATAACTGCCCACAGAACCCCAGAAGGAGATATTAATAAATAAGCCCTGAGTCTGCGATATTGATAAAGTAAATGTACAAAGTTACAGAAATACCACACCACTGTCACTTTTATCAACCAATATTTTATATTCATTTAGTCAGTCAGTCAAGAAAATCTTTCCGGTTATTTTAAATCTTCCAGACACCATGTGGGTTAAAAGACTAAATACAGTGAAGTAAATGCCCCTAGGTTCACAGCTGTGTCCATTCACAAAAAGTAATTACTGCCACCAGGGTAAATGCATATATCTGATGTAATTAAATATTTTTCTTGCTTTATTTAAATCACTAGATGTTAAGAGTAGAGCAGTGATACGGCGACGATGACAGGTTCAATTCCCGTTCACATCAGTTAATTTCCCCCAGAGATGGTTTCAATTCTCTAGACTTAGTTCTGATTAGGCCTCAAACAATATTTTACACAAAGGTATTTTATCTAAAAACACAGAAATGCATGTAAACTGAAGACTGGATAAGAGCAAATCTTCAAAAGTTATCTAAAGAAAAACACCAGGGCCTTTAGGAATGGCCTGAGCTGTCTCTGGTGCACACTTAAGGTGCTAAACAGAAGTATGCAAGCTTAGAGATTTCCTCTCAGGTGCTGTCTTTTCTGGCACCTGCTATGTGACTGACAGCAGGTACTAGATGGTGAACTAGAGAAGAGCTCCTCTATTTCTAGTTTACCTTCCAACTCAAGGTTGACAATTCTGCAAGTAGAATATAAATGAATGCACCACTTCATCTATGTATTCCTTTAAAATTGACAGTTCCAGAATATGCAGACAATACTCTAAAGCACATAGTGAGGGCATATGAGAAACTAGGCTAGAATTAAGGATATTAAATAGCTTTTCTATTTTCATTTAAAAATTCAATATTTTCTGTCTCTTGATTTAGCCTGGCTCTTTTAATGGGGGTCTCTTTTAAAAAAAACATCAAGTCCTTTCTGCAAAAGGATCCTTCTGCCTTTATAATCCATTATCATTAGAGGAAACAGAGAAGAAACTGGAGATAAATATAACTATAAGAACAAGAGCGAGGTAATGTTACGTGTGGAACAAGCTTTACTAGATGCTGGAGAACGTATTCGCAGAGCTAAAATTTTATGGTTTTCAAGAAGTACTCTTAAGTTTCTTGGACACAAAGTAATATTCTAGGTGTCAAAGAAAAGCAAGACACAATATTTCTTTTTCTGCTCCTCCAAAGTTTGGCTACTCCTGTCTGATATTATTACTGAGTTGCAAAAAGCAAAGATGGTGAACTTCATAAATGTTCTCAATTAGATGCACAATATTTTTGCTTATATATTAGAAAACAAGACATTGACTTATAAATAAGAGAATAATGTGAGCAGTGGAACTTTTTGAAATGTGGAAATGAAGAGATTTCTGGAGATCATCCATTTGCTGTTGATCTTGTCCATCCTTGTGTAGACAAGACAGAACCATAAGAATCAGCTCTGAGAAGCGGCTTTTGGGAAATCTGGATCTCTTCAGGGGTCTCCATCGGCAGGTCACTGGGAACTAAACTTGGGAGAAGACTGGTGGCCTTACACTGAGACAGTTCCTGATGACACCCAAAGGGAAGGGGCCTAGAAGAAGCCAGTTCCCAGTGTTTAGGGCACACACATGTTCCAGGGCTACATTTTGACTTTCTTCCTGAGTCCCTGAGGAGTTTCGGGCTCTGTTGACCACTCTGGCATCGCCAACTCCCCACACTTCCCTCACAGGACGCTGTTTTCCTCCTGTCTCACTGGCTGCTCCATGTCCTCCCACAACAATGTCCAGGCGTGGGGGATCCACCAGGCCTGGCCTGTGGGCTGGGTCTTCTCCACCCATGTTAGCTTCCTGGGGGATCTCACCCAGTCACCCAGCCCCAAGCTCCAACATTCATACTTTTTTTTTTTTACCCCCATCCAGACGTCTCCTACTAAATATGGAACAAGCTTTAGCAGATTCACTGAATGTGGAAAATGTATTTTCAGTGCTAAAATGGGTTTTCAAGAAGTACTTTTAAAGTTCCTGGGCTTACAGTGATACCAGAAGTGTCAGAGCACAGGAAGACGCGGTATTTCTTTTCATGCTGTCACCGTCTGTCTACTCCTCTCTGATATTATTAATACCAACGGGTTGAAAAACTATGGTGAACTTCAAAAATGAGTTCTGATTAAGTACATTACTCACATATGAGAAGATTTTTTTAATTAGAAGAATGTATATATTAGAAGTATGACATCTCCACTTGGCTGTTCCAAAGTCCACTCAGACTTTAGATCTCCAAAACATCACTGAAGCTTTCTCCCTCGAACTCAGTCCCGCCACAGTCTCCTCATTTCGGAAAGGAGTGCAGGCTTCTGCCCTCCTCCAAAGCCTGGGAGCTGCTCTTGACTTTGCCTCACCCTTCAAATCTCACTCAACAAGTCACGCTTGTTCTCCTTTAAAAATACATCTTGCCGGGTGCAGTGGCTCATGCCTGTAATCCTAACACTTTGGGAGGCCGAGGCGGGTGGATCGCCAGAAGTCAGGGGTTCGAGAACAGCCTGGCCAACGTGGCGAAACTCCGTCTCTACTAAAAATACAAAAATTGGCCAGACGTGTTGGCGCGTGCCTGTAATCCCAGATACTTGGGAGGCTGAGTCAGGAGAATCTCTCAAACCCGGGGGACGGAGGTTGCAGTGAGCCGAGATGGTGCCATTGCACTCCAGCCTGGGCAACAAGAGTGAAACTCTATCTAAAAAAAAAAAAAAATCTCAAGTTTCTCCCTGTCCTCCAGCACAGGACCTCTCCCTGCTCCTGACTTCACATCCGCCCTCTCCATTCTCCAGACCACGGATACAGTGACCCCTCAGAGGAGATTCAGGCCTTGTTCACTTCAGGGCTGCCCACTTGGGATTTTCTCTTTACCTCTGATCTTCTTCGCACTTCCGGTCTTTGCACTTCCGGTTTTCTCTTCATATCCACTCTCCGCACTTCACCTATGTGCTGGAGAAGCAGCTGTCAGAACTGGCCAATGGGTTCCTTTCCATGTTGGCTTCCCATGGAGTTTCCCACCAGAGGCCCAGGCAGGAGGTGGGAGGACTCCCCCTGCTGGGTCACCCAGGCCAGCGACCCTCCTGCCAAAGCCACGCCTCCCGGGAGCGCTCTGGACGCTTGTGGCCCAGGTCCAGGGATACCCTTCCCCACTCAGGCTAGGCTGGTAACAGCTGCCCATTGTGGCTGGCCTGGGGGCTGCATCATCCGAGTTATTTTCTCTTAAACTGGCCTAGGCCTTGTTAACACTGGCTTCATTAACACTTTCCAACCACCCCACCAGAGAGGTGTTATCTATTTCCATTAGGATCCCAGTTGATATGTGAATTCTTGTACAATCCACCAGCCACTTCCCAGTGTGCTTACAGTAAAACCCAAGCTTCTTTCTTTCCACCACCTCCACAAGCTACAAAACCTGGCTCTGCCGCCCCTGTCTTGCACTTCTCCTCAGAGGCTCTCTCTGCCCGGCTCAGTGGCCTTTTATTCATTCCTTTAGCAGTCTCCTCGCTGGGTTTCTTTGATATCTTCTGTCTGGAAAATTGTCTCCAAAATCCCTTCCAAAAACTGCCACAACCACAACTCTTAAGGCTTGCTTCTTTTCAGCCTTCAGATTTCTGCACCATTTCATCTCCTTAAGAGCATTGTCCAGTACACTCCCTCTCCCACATCAGATCCTTTTGACTCCCTATTACAGCATCTTGTTAATCTCCTTCAGAGCACTCCCATTTTTTCCCTTCATTGCATTATTGCTTTATTTTCTTATATGTTTGTGAGCACCATAAAGCAGGGCCAAGTCTGTCCTTGTATGCAGTATCTTCATGAGAAAGCTCTGTACCTAGCTTCCTACATGTTCAATCTTGCTTTGTTCAACAAATGAGTTAATGAATAGATTGAGAATGTAAAGTTAAGTAAGTAAGAGCTCTGGCTTCTGGTTAGAATGCAATTACCTGTAAAGAGCATTGCTCCAAGCCTATCACAAAGAAAAAGCATGATAACTTACAAATTCATACCATTCCTTGAACTCTTCAGAGAGCTGAGGTCACAGAGCAATGAACTGGCCTAAAATCTTAAGAAAGACAGCTGCTTCCCAGGGGAGAATGGCATGAATACTGACTCATTTGTGGCTGAACAAACGGAAGACAGGGCCACCATGCAGGCAGGTAAGATGTCAGCTGCAACTTTAATGAACTGCTAAGACCCAGGGCTAGCCTGAAAGGAGAGAACCCTGGGAATTGAGATGTAAGAAGAGCACATTCCTGTTTACAGGCTTTTCTCCACAGGCCTCCACCAAGCATTCATAAGAAAGGTTGGGAGCTAGAAGAGAAAGAGGTTGAAGTCTCTCTTGATAGTTCAAGTCAGGGAGAAGAGAATGCCTACCACTGCAGAAAGGAAACAGAGGACTGACCTTTATCATGTTAAGGCCTTAAATTGCTAAGAAAAGGCATGATACCCTGTCATTCCCAGGGTACAGGTGAAGATCTACTACACCTGGGAGAAAGGTAAAGGTATTTTAAAAGAGCCCTCTGATATGATTTGGATATTTGTCCCCTCCAAATTTCATGTTGACATTTTATTCCCAATGTTGGAGGCAGGGCCTAGTGGGAGGTGTTTGGGTCATGGGGGTGGGTTCCTCAAAAATAACCTGGTGCAGTCCTTGAGATAATGAGTGAATTCTTGTCCTATTAGTTCCCACCACAGCTACTTGTTCAAAAGAGCCTGGCACCTCCCCCCACTCTCTCTTGCTTCTCTCTCACCATGTGATGTCTGCACATGCTGGCTTTCCTATTCCTTCCGCCATGTTGGAAGCAGCTGGAGGCCCCCACCAGAAGATGTGGGTGCCATGCTTCTTGTGCATCCAGCAGAATCGTAAGCCAAATAAACTTATGTTTTTTACAAAATACTCAGCCTCAGGTATTCCTTTAGAACAACATAAATGGACTTAGACACCCTTTATGCCTGGGGAAGGGACAGGAAAGCATCCTCTATCCAGATTATAAGAATGTGCCTTATGCTGGGGGAGGTGCAGGACCACTGAGAAACCCATCCCAGGGTTCCAGGAACACAGAGACTGCCTATTACTGAGGCAGGGCCAGTACAACAAAGAATCCCCCTCCTCTGAGACCCACTATTGGGCTTGCAAGTCTGAGTAACAAGTAGGAGCAGTGTATAAACCAACTCAGGAAGGGCAGGAGTAAACACAGAGACCCTCTCTGGGGGAAAGGGTACACAGGAGAAGCCTAAAGCTGAGAGTGGAGCAGGAACCAGTATAACACTTAAAAAACTCACCAACCAACAAATCAGAACACACCCTAAGGACAAGGTAAAGTTAGAGAATGTGGTGTACTGAAATTGCAAGACAAAACCCAAACCAAGCAGAATTCTTAGCAAGATTGATCAGTCCTCCAAAACTACCAGCCTAGCTAAAGGAGAGGTATGCTAATTTCTAGGCATAAATTTGATCTGTCTCGGTCTCTGCTGTCCTATTCATAAAGCCTAACATTCAAACAAAAATTATGAGACACATGAAAATGCAAGGGAAAATGAATTGATAAAAGATAAACCATATATATATCTACTTGCATATATATATGCATATTTCCCTTGCATCATATATTATATATGTATATCAGAAAGGGAATTTAAAATGTCTATGATTAATATATTAAAGACTACTGGAAAAGGTAGGCAAAATCTATAAACATATGGATAATTTCAGGAGCCATAAGAAACAGAAAAATTACAATGCTAGAGATAAAAATATGAAAATAGAGTTTAAGACGCCTTTGATAGATTCACAAGTGAATTCAAGAAAGTTTAGATACGAATCAGTGAAATCAAAATAGGCTAATCAAATTAATCTTATGTGAGCACAAGGAAAAGAAAGCCAGAGAAAAACAAATAGAACATTGCATTCCAGAGTTGTGCAACAATACCAAGCAGCCTAACCTATGTGATCAGAATCCCATAAGGAAAAGACATAATAGCTGAGAATTCTTCTACAGATAATGAAATATGTCAAGCCGTAAATACAACCAAGAAGCTCAGAGAAAACCAAGTTGGATAAGTGAAAATAAAATGAAATAAAATCCAAACACATCAATTTCAAGCCACTGAAATTCAAAACCAAAAAAGACAACAAAAACAAAAAGAGGCCTCCAGGGAAGGTGAAAATACATTACAGAGGGAGGAACAAAGAGAAGAATTACACCTGACTCCTTGTTAGACACTATGCAAGAACATAAACAATGGAGTAGCATCTTTAAAATATTGAAGAGAAAAAGCTGTCAAATCAGAATATACACAGAAGAAAATGTCTCTCAAATTGATGGAAAAAATGACACTTTTTTTCAGACAAGCAAAACATATAGAACTTATCACCAGCAGAGCTACAGTACAGAAACTTGGATCTACACAAACAAATGAAGATCTCCAGAAATAAAGTAAATGTAAAATATATAATCATAAACATATTTTTACCTTTTAAAATAACTCTAAAATATAATTTATTTTATCATAGAAAGATAGCCACATATTATAGATTTGTAGCATAGGTAAAAATAAGATATATAAAAATAGCACAAAAATGGGAGGGACAAATTGGGAGTCTATTGTTATAAGTGCCTTAAATGCATATGAAGGGACATAAAATTATTTAAGGGTGGACTATAATTAAGGGTATCCACCAAAAATTTTAAGAGGTATAAATAATAAGCCAAAATGGGAGATTTTTTTAAATCATTAAAAATAATCAAGAAACAGGCAGACAGGACTTTTAAATGCCAAACGAACATAAAGAACAAATAGAAAACAGCTACCAAAATTGTAGTCTTTAACCTTTCCAATAATTATGTCACTCTAAAATAGTTAGACACACCAATTAAAAGCCAGACAGATTGGATAAGAAAGTAATACCCAACATGATGTATGCTGTCTATAAGAAACTCAGTTTAAATATAAAGGCATTGATAGGGTAAAAGTTAAAAAATTTTAAAAAAGATAAACCCTAATTGAAAGAAAACTAGAGTGGCTATATTTTGTCAGACAAAGTATATTTTGGAATGAGGAATATTATTAATAATAAAAAAGGACATTACTTACTGATAAAAGAGCAAATTCATGAAGAAGGCATAAGAAACAAACATGCATGCACTTAGCAACACAGCTTCAAAATTCATAAAGCAAAAGCTATCGATCATCTTCAAATAAACTCAAATCGTAGTTGGAAAAATCAACACCTCTGTCTGAATAATTAATATATTAAGTAGACAGAAAATCAGTAATGAGGAGAAACCTGAAAAAACACCATCAACCAACTTACCCTAATTCCTTTACAGAACAATTCATCCAACAATGGTAGACTATACTTTCTTTCTTTAATTACCAATAGAAGGAATATTCATCAAAATAAAACATGTTCTGGGCCATTAAAATGTATATATTTGTAAACACACACACACACACACACACATATATACAGTAGTTTTTAAAACTATATATAAATAGCCTAATATACAATTATATAGTCAAATGTATATAATATATAATATATACATATATTAATTGTAATATATGTATATAGTTTCATATAATTATAATTAAAACTATAGTCTAATATTATAGTCTAATACATATATTAGATAATACATACTTTGTGCTTTCACTACAATCCATGAAAAAGCCATCTATGAAAAAAGGAATAAAAATAATTCTAAAAGAGCTAAACAAAATGTAAAAAGAAAGAAGCTGAGATGTATGCAGAAATAACAAGTGAGCCCTGAGAGACAAAAACACTAAAGAATCTGTATATTGAATTACAATCAACAACCACTATCCTGGTCACATTTGATGAAATTCTAGAGGCATGTCCATAAAAATTACCACAACACAGTAACACCACTAGCAGTTGTGCTATTTATTGTTCTCTAAGATCTAGGCAAACCAATAAGATGATAAAAAAAATCATGAGATAAAACTATTGGAAAGTCAATGAAGACTTATCTTTTCAGAATACTAATCAAAATAAGTGAACAAGTTTTCAAATAAATAAAGTTAACTTGGCCAATTATTTAAAATATGCACAAAATTAATAATATAATTGATGACAGAAAATTTGGGTAAAATTTCCTCATGTAAATTTTGAGAATAAGATGGGTCTGGAGAGAAACAGAATGAAAACCTATAGAAAGTACATATAGAAAACAACAAAGCCTTACCAAATCAGAAAAAAAGAATGAATAAATAAAAAAATAAATAAAAAGTTTCACTGTGTTCTTATATAGGAAGAGTTATTATTGTGAATTTGTTATTATTCCCAAATTAACTTTTAGCTGCTTTGCAATGACAATAAAACTTATAAATGAATTTAGAGAAAAATGTTTCTCATGTGACCCATGAAAAATAAACTAGAATGAACAGGCAAAAAAACCATAGAATAATAAGAAAGGATTTGAAATGTCAAACATCAGAATAGGATAAATGAAATAAAACTAAAGCCAAAGCTTAAAAAAAATGTGCAAGCTCTTTCTCCTAGAAATAGCACTTACAGAATTTTATTCTATGAAATGATCTGGGAGATATATATATGAAACATATATATACTCTCTCTCCCTCTATATATATAGGCAGGTTTAGAGAAAGACTGGAAGTTAGTCAGGTGATGCACAATAAAGGACTGTTACGTTATGACAAATAGGATAGAGCCATTCATGTCAGAAGAATATTATTAAGATTATCATCTATAATGAGTAGAATATTAACCATATAGTATAAATAAATTTTGTGATCACAGTTTTAAATGTATAAAAATGAATGTACTCATATAGTCACACATATTGTATAAAGCAGAAACTACTGCATCTTAACACTAAAAAATTAATAGTACTTAAGAATGGCTGGTTAGATAATTGGTCATTTTATTTTTTTAATGTTGGTCTTTTGCCTGGGTTATAAATTTTCTGCAAAAAAGCCTAGGTTACATTTATAATCAAGAAATAAATGAATGCTACTTATTAAAATTCCCAGAAAATGGAAATTGTCATAAAAGTAACCACTCACTTACGGCTACATTACTATAATAAAATAAAGAAGAAGGCAGATTTGACCACTCTTCTGCCTTGACCTTGTAAGGACAATATGGGTTAATCAAATACTGTGGAGTGATATAGCTTTGGCATGAATTTACAAGGCTGTTGAAAAATTACATCATAACTTTTCCCGGACATGAACTACTCAAACATTTTTTGAAGGTGTTATTTATTTAAACAGTCATTTTAGCATTTGGTTTCCAATGACTTGAAAACATGAGGAGTTTAAATGTCTGGCCTGAAGTCACAAAGTAATAGAATTTTTGCAATAGAGTGAATTCACGGCCTCTATGCCCTTGCCTTTTATGCTAACTTCTAGACCTGGCAGATAAATAGGAGGGTTTTAGCTAAGCAGCAAGATACAAATTCAGAGCAATAATTTCCCACCCACCCACCATTAGCCTCTTCCTTTTTCAGCTAACAAACTTTTGTGATTGGTGACATAGTATTAACCAAGTTTTATAATCGCAAAAAAATTAATAATTATACTCCATAAAACTGAAAAAACAATCACAGAATCATACCTTCAATGGCAATACAAATGAATATATTTGATCTATCATTTAGCTCTCAAACTGATAAGAAATGTGCCCAAATTATTTAAGAATGCTTTTTCTTCTCTCCTACTGGGCAGCTTTTCTTTAGGAATGTCCTGGCCTAGCCAAGTCCATCACTGTTCTTTCCTCAAAGAACACTTCACAAAGAGTCCTTCATTCATATATTTACACCTCATTTTCTGTAAGTCTCTCATGCCCTGTCTCCGATTTTAATTCCAATATCATCCCATCTCATCAAATTTGATCCTCCCCAAGTATGTTCTTCAAAAGGCTATTGATTTATTTGTTGGCATTTAGCCCTATTTCTGATTAAACTGAGATCATACAAACTTATAAGGAAGGGATTGATTTTTTAAAATTCTTCCCCTGAAGGACAACTATAACAGTCTCTATAATCAATACCACACACAGATCACGCATGGATATTTTTATAATATTTAAAGAAAACGGGAAGTTCATTTGACTGTTCTTCTTATGGAATTATGGTTTATAAACCAGCAGTTTTTCTTTTCATTGTATTTGCATAAAGTGGCGATATTTTTGTTAATCTACATTCATTCTTACCTGGACTTCTCTCAAGCAATTTGCACTATCATTTAACCAACTGAAATGTCAAGATGAAGTTCTAGAAAAACTATTTCCCAATATGCATTAGAAAACATCATTAAGGAAATATCCATGCAGCAATGATTTATTTTATCATATGCCCTATCCTCTAAGAGACTGTAGAGAGAGAGGAATATGACAGTCTTCTCAAGGAGTTTTAAATACAAATGAATATAAAAATAAGTGTTTCTTTGAAAATTCCACTTATTTTTGTTAGAAAGATCCTATAAATTATTTCCTTCTCCACAAAAGCCATTTATCAGGAAACACTGGCAAAGCACAGAATTTTTTCCAGAGGCAGAAATCTGAGGATTCAAAGCTGGATAAAAAAGTCATAAGAACTCTGAAGGCCAGTTAGCACAAGTTGCATGTATGCACAAAATGGCCCGCCGGTCCATGGTCACGTGGGGACCCTTCTCCACGGCGGTCAATGCTGACAGTAATCACCAAAGCTTCCTGGACACTAAGCACTTGTCAGGCCTCATGCACCCTGCAGAGAAAGGGCAATTGCCTGGAAGTGTAGGAGAAGAGGGAGCTTGGATAAAAACATAGTTGGCTGATGCCTCAAGGGCTATCAGCATCCAAGAGTTCTGCTTCTCTGTAAGTTATGAACCTGTTTGTTGTCATTGTTGTTTTAAGAGGCAAGATAGCTGAGCGGTTAAGAGCACAGGTTCGAAGCCACTATCTGGGTTAGCAGCCTGGATTTGCCATGAACTGGCTGGCATTTTGGCAATTCACTTAAGCTCTCTCTTATCTCCAAACAAGGGCAGGTGCTTGTCCACTTACAATGGGGTTACATCCCGATAAGCCCAGGGTAAATTGAAAATATCCTAATTCAAAAATGCGTGGCTGACCAGGCTGACGAGGATGCTGGCACTGCCCAGCATCATGAAGGAAGGATGGTTTCTACTAAATGCATACCACTTTAACACCATCATGAAGCTGAAAAATCCTAATTCAGGAACTGTCTGTGCCTCATGGGGTGGGTGTGAGGATTGAGCAAGTGAAAGTCCTCCATGAGAATGCTGTCGGGCACACAAAAGCATGGTGTGCTTGTTACTTGCTATTATTTTTTTTCATTCCTGAAATTACAGTTGGCCCTGATTCAATTTGAAATGATGTGGACTCTATTATTTACATTTTTACCTTGAAAATACAGTCAAGAGAAACTCATTAAATTCACCAGCCTCCTTAAATGATGGGCTCTAGCAGCCAGTCTGTGGCTTCCTAGGGGGACTGTGGTGTTTTCACTTCTCTTCCAAATGCTCATTGCGAGGTAGGATAGCACAGTGATTAGAGACAGAGGCTCTGGAGCTGGCCTGGCAGGGCTTAAAAGCAGGCTCTGCCATGCACTGGCAGTGTAGCCTTGGCAAAGCACTTAACACCTTGTGCCTCGGTTTCACCTGTAAAAAGGGGTGCTGATATCACCTTTCTCACTAGAGCTGCTGAAATGAATAAATAAGTTAATGTGTAAGGGATCTAGGGTGGGTTGGGCACATAGAAAATGCTCTATAGATATTAGTTGCTATGTACAAACAAGTCTGGGACTATATGAATAAAAATAAAAATAATATTCCACAGGCCACCACATGAGGTTATAACAAAAAGAAAACTTGGAGGCATATCTTGAGGATTTTACTAAGAAAAAAATATATAAGATATGGCTGAAGTTAATATTCAAAGCAGTCATAGATAAACATTTGTCTTATATTGCTAATAATTTATCATAGCAGCAGTAATAAAGAATTTCATCTTAAAATGTTTTAATCATTACTGGCACATAATAAAGATTCTTAGTGCTAAAAGGAGGAAAAGCTATTTTAAAGAGGTAGGACTCATATAGTTGGGGTCATCTGGAAGGTAGAAAATAGACTTTTTATTTTCCAAGATTTTCTCCAATGACATATCAATGAAGAATGTCTAGATGTCTAGGATCTTCTTTCCCCAAATTTCATTGACCTTTCAGTAAGCATAGGTTAAAAAACATGCAAATGTAACACCCCCTCTTCAATGAAACTCCCAAGATAGCCAGCCCCATTACATATATTCTAAGCTAAGAGAAAGGAGGATTTCTTCTGAAATAATTTGGAACTGCTATATATTTATAGATCTATCTATACACACACATATGTAAAATTTCATTGAGCTGTAAAACTGTCATCCTAACATTCACATACTTTGCAGCATATAAGTAACACCTCAGTAAAAATAAAAACATGGTAATTAAAAAGGATCTGTGTAGCTTCTTTCTGAAAAACCATAGGTGTCTGCATTCTCAGGGACTTCATCCCAAATACACCTTGTACCTGCTCTGCAGAGCCTCTACCAATAGCTTGCAACACCTGTGCACACGCCGTGAATCAAAGAAGCACAGAATTAGACGGAGGCTTGTGGAGGGCTTTAGGGACAGGAGAAAATGAAACTAACAGCCTGGAGAAAGTGGCTTACTTTGAACAACAAGGAAGGTGGATACTGACTCTGCTTTAATGTGAAGCTTACTGGACTTAGGACGCATCCATATGGGACATGAGAAAAAAGACTCAGGAGGGAGCACTCCCAGGTGTCTGACCCAGGTAACTACAGACCTCCAGCTGACATTATGTGAGATGAAGGAGACCATATGAAAGAAATTCCCTTTAGAAGGAAAGATAATGATATGGTTTGGCTGTGTCGCCACCCAAATCTCATCTTGAATTGTAGCTCCCATAATTCCCACGTGTTGTGGGAAGGACCCAGTGGGAGATAACTGAATCATGGGGGTGGTTCCCCCATACTGTTCTCATAGTAGTGAGTAAGTCTCATGAGATCTAATGGTTTTATAAGGGGAAACCCCTTTCACTTGGCGCTCATTCTCTCTTGCCTGCTGCCATGTAAGACATGCCTTTTGCCTTCCACCATGATGGTGAGGCCTCCATAGCCACATAGAACTGTGGGTCCATTAAAAATTACCCAGTCTCGGGTATGTCTTTATCAGCAATGTGAAAATGGACTAGTAAAGATCATAAATTTAATTTTGTGATATTAGTTAGACATTCCAAGGGATATCAAGATTTTAATCAATTTAATATTGTCAACACAATATCCCATCAACTTCTCACACCTAAAATCTCCTCTTACCACCACCTACTCTTATCATTTAGATTTGGTCATTTTGACTCCTTCACATCCAATGTTCAATCAGCTACTTTTTTGACTGCATATCGAGTATAACAGAGAGCCCTGCACCCCACCCCAGCTCTGGTCCATGCCCTAAGCTGAGGTGAACTGACCTTATTGGTTCCCCTTATCTACTGCTGCATAACAAGCTACCCCCAATCTAGGTGGCTTCAAACTGCAATGGTTATCTCACAATTTTGTGGGTTAGGAATTGGGCAGGACCAAGCTGGGAGAACCCATGTTCCATGTGACATTGCCGTAGGTCAGTAGATGGCACTCTGACCTATGGTTTGGCTGGTCTGGATGGTCCAGGACAGCTTCACTTACATGTTTGGCACCTTATAGAATGGGTGGAAAGAGGTACTCAGCTGGGACTCTGAGTCACAGCTTCTGCACAGGGCCCTTCAGTGTGGCACTCTCAGTGTAGTCAGACAACTTACACAGCAGCGCAGAGCTCCGAGAGAGAGAGTGCTGGAGGACAACAGGAAAGGTGTGTGCCTGATCTGACCCAGCTTCAGCCCTCAAACAGCTTACAATGAAGAGGAAAGGGTAGACAACACACACACAAAATATACAGGATATATTTGGGAAGTAACTAGTACCAACAGAAAAATAAAATGAGAGTACGGTTTGTAGCATGAACTTCCTAAAAAACTATTGATTTATGCCATTTCTCTATTCAAAATCTCCAGTGGCTTCCCTGGACACCAAATAAAATACAAACTTACTTGGGTGTTACATAAGATGCACCAAAACACAGCAGCCAAAATGGAGAACATAGGACCTGTCCCCTAAGTCATCCCCCATTGCTTTCTTTGTAGCTTGGCTGTTGCTGTTACTTCCTCCAGCATTTGTCCTTTCTTCCTGTGATCCTATCCCACCTTTGAAACCACTGTCTCCAAGAAACATTTTTAATCTTTCAATCAAATTCATTCTCTTTCTCGTTTCAACCACCATGAATTTTTCTGGAGGGGAAGAGTAAATAATTTTATACTTTCTCTACTATGTTATTATAGAGACATTTACATGCTTAGCACATTCCTTTTCAGGACGATCTCATTCTTTTTTTTTTTTTTTTTTTTATCTATCACCTTGTGCTCTCAGCATAAGCCCATCCATGTGATGAATGAGAAACAACAGTACAGCTTCAAGTAGAAAAATCTGAGCTTTGGAATTGAACTGATCTGGTTCTACATCTGAGCCCCAACAGCAAAGAATTTGATTACACCACCTCTTTGGGTAACAGTTCCCTCAAGTGCAAAGGAAGGGACTTATAATAATTATTTCACAAGCGCAAAAAAGAAACACATCCCAGGCCTATGGTGAGCACCACTACACCATATGCACCATGGAACGATTGTTCTTTTTGTCCTCTTCATGACTGTGTAATGGACACTGAATAAATCTTCACAGAATTGAGGGGCAGTGTTAGCAGAGACACAATGATAGCATGAAGATTTTAAAAGACGTTAGCAGTCCTTTGATGTGGGGAAACCAAAAAAAATGGCATGTAATAGGCATAGGTACTGTATTTGGTTTCAAAAGCCAATTTTATAGGTATGTTTATTCAAACAATTTTTTTAAGAAAACACTATTGCTACTGACTCCAAGGAAAACATCAGCCAATTCAAAGGGAAAAGTTGGGTTTAAATCTCAAGTTCATGGACAGCCCAAACCTGTTCAGGTATCACAAAGCCCTCCATGCCACTCCCCTTTCTGACACATCTCTGGAATTCATTCCCTCTCCTTTCAGGCTTGCTGCATCAGCTAGGGAGGTCTCATCTGCTCAACCCCTTCATTCCCTGGACACTGCAATATCCTTTCAGAAGGAATCCACCCTGCCAAGGACAAGGGCCACAGACAGCAATCAATTTATTTAATGTCTATTTTCTAATCCAACCCACACACGTGATCAAATAGGAAAACCTGCCTAACACAGAATTGTTATTTACACCACGAATGAGCACCTGACACTGAAAAAGAACTAAAATAAAGCAAAGCATATACTAAAAATACACTGAATATAATGTCACCACCCTAACAATTCAAAAGGTAGTTCCAAATCTTTAGGTATTTTTGGTAATAACTGCCATCAGTTACTATTATTGTCTTAAAAGTTTTCTCTAATAAAATGTCAAATGATTTAATTTTTGCTAGCTATGTTTAACACTCTGTATTTTTTAATAATGAGAGGAAGTATTTCCTGTAAGAGATATGAAGTGTCAACTACATTGCTTATTAAGTTTAGTCAATGTCAAGAAGATAGCAGTATTGGGAATGCCATTTAATCAAGAAATTAAAACTTGGCGACTGACCTAGTTATTATCAATCAGTGGCGGAAAAACACAATTTGGGGACTGACATGTTTATTACTTTCATCTGCCAGTATTTTTTAAACATTTTCATTAATTAGTCTGAGAGATTGATGACTCTCTTCCAAGTGTTATTCAACTGCTACTTGAAAATAATAAGGTTAGACGCACTAAGAGACAGTGTTTGGGTTCGTCTGCTGTTGCTAATTAAAACACATTAGGCCTAATAGAATACTTAGGCCGCATTCTGTAGACAATTCCACTTGCTCTATTTAAAGGAGAAGGAGTGAACAGCAATGATCTGCTATCAAAATGTGCAGACACCATAAACCGACAGACAGGAAAAGCGTTCATCCTCACTTCTCACCAACAGATCAAATCATAGACAAGAAAGCAGCCTTGCCCTCCATGGCATTCCTTCTCAGGGAGATTCTGACAATGTTGCAAACTCTCAGGAATGATAGGACTTTCCCTTTAATGTGTTTTCATTATCATAGATGCTTAAATATGAGATCTAAACAGAAATCATTTTTGTCACTAGCAATCAAGTAATATTTCAAATGTGAGTTCAGAAATAAAACCAAAACATTTTTAAAGTTGCTTGGACAGTGTAACCAGCATTCATCACCCAAATTCACAAGGAAGATTAACTTGAAGATTTATCTAATAAATTTCTATTCCAAAACTGTAAGGAATTTCCTTCTTTAAATCCAAATGTAATTTTTCCATAAAGAGCCCCATACAAAAGAGTGGCTCAATGAAATTCTCAGCTCTTTTTAAAAACATGGTTGGATTGGCTGGGAAACTACGTCAGATTCTAAGATGTGCCAAAGGCACATATGTGGAAACAGAATTATAGCTTCAAGGCAGCTTATAAAATAAATAAAAGCTATGAGAAGGCAGAATATTATACTCAATTATTATACACTCTGAATGTACCTAAAATATTGGGATTTGATGCATATCACAATGGGCATCTATAACTACACATTCAGAATGTTCTCTAAAGACAAACTGAGCCATGTGCATTGAGGCGGAGCTTGCCAGTTGCCTCCAGTATTAATCCTTCCCTTCTAGTAAAGAAAAAGAAGCTCATTTCTTTGCTAACTCAGCCAAAGAACAACACTCCCTAGTCCCTTCCTGATAGATGTAATCATATGACTAAATTCAGCCAACGAGAGACAGACAGGTCTCTAAGGTTGTAAGGTTTCTTCCTGGAAGTCTCTTTGAAAAGAACAGAGAGAACCCTCATCCCAGGCATCATGCCTTGTGGTGGCCTTGGACCAGCTGCCCCTGAGAACATGATGGGAATGGGGGCAGTGGACAGCAAGGAGCCAGGCCTCTGCTGGGCCATGAAGGATCTCTACCAACTCAGGATTCCAAACTCTGGACTTGAGTGATGTGAGATAGGGACAAACTTCCCTCCTATATAAACAACTGTGGCTGAGATTGCTTTTCTTGTAAATGCAGAGGAACCTACTCTCGAATGATAGAAGCAAAGCTTAAAGAAAGAACTTATAATGTCCATCCCTATTCCAGGCCACTCCCATCACCACGTCCAACTACTTGCAAGGTTGTGTCTCCTCCCTGCCCTTCGTCTAAAGGAAGAAAGGCTCAGAATGTTACAATAGTTTCTACATAATCCCATAAGAAATACATACTCGTGGACACAATTCCATGTCCACAAAAAAAAAATTAAGACACTTAGTGTACAAAAAGAAAACACCAACCCCAAGTGAACCAACATTCAGGTTCTCCTTGACACCTTCATTTTGAAGATTGCTTGTAAGAAACACACCAACCACGGCTACTGAATTAATACCATGCTCCTAGGACATTAAGTATAAACTTCCAAAGATCATAACTCAAGAGTTTTAATTTTGATAATACTGAACATTTACATTTATATTTCAGGTGAAAAAAATTTTAAAAACAACTATAGTAAAAGAGCCTAGTGTATGTTGGCAGCATTTTATCACTGTATAAAAGATACCTGTTTATCCATGGTGGCATGGACCTATAGTCCCAGCTACTTGGGAGGCTGAGGTGGAAGGATCACTTGAGCCCAGGAAGTCAAGGTTACAGTGAGTTGTGATTGCCTCACTGCTCTTCAGCCTGGGCAACAGGGCAAGATCCTGTCTCAAATAAATAAATTAATTAAATGAAAAATGTTGTTTAATTTTTAAATGATCCCTGCTTATCAATTCTACTAAGTAGAATTTTAGAAGGCACACAGTCCAGCAGATATAATAGGATTAAATATTCACTTTGCAAACAAAAATTTCAAAAATTACCTCTTAAACAGCTGGGCACCGTGGCTCACACCTGTAATCCCAGCACTTTGGGAGGCTGAGACAGGTGGATCGCGAGGTCAGGAGATTCAGACCATCCTGGCTAACACCGTGAAACCTCATCCCTACTAAAAATACAAAAAATTAGCCGGGTGTGGTGGCAGTTGCCTGTAGTCCCAGCTACTCCGGAGGCTGAGGCAGAAGAATAGCGTGAACCCGGGAGGCAGAGCTTGCAGTGAGCCGCGATCGCGCCACTGCACTCCAGCCTGGGCGAGAGAGCCAGACTCCCGTCAAAAAAAAAAAAAAAAAAAAAAAAAAAAAAAAATTACCTCTTAAACTGCTAGATAGTTCATTTATTTGACTTATTAAGGTTATATGTTGCTAATGTTATGTGTCATGTCTAGAGGTTTTTATTTTTAATGTACATTACCAAATATACACAACAATAACTATAACCCGTTTAATTTTGGAGTTAAGGCAAGAACATAACACTGATCCCAACGACTCTTCAAGTTGCCAATACTGTTCTTAGAAGAAATTTAGCCATTTCAAGATTGTCCCTACTAAACAAGACCCACTGCTTGGAGGCGAATTACTAGGAAAAGCAAATCTCAAAACTGTCTTCGAAACGTGAGCTGTGGGTTTGATGTTAACCATCAGAATGTGAGAAGACAATAAACCTTACATTCACCTGTGCACATCCGTGAAAAGAAACAGCAACCGCAAGACACCCCTGACTGTTCTCATCCTACTTACAATCCTTTGGACTGGGGTTAGGCAAGTGTTCACTCTGCTCCAGCTCCCTCAATGGGCAGAGAACACTCCAGCACCCTGAGGTCTGCCTGGGCCATGTGACTTGCTGTGGCCAATGCATTGCTAGTGGACTTGATGAAACAGTGGCTTAAATTTGCTTGCAGAATTGGCTTGGTCCTTTTCCTGTGGTCATCCCCCAAGGAACTCCCGGTCCATGGGGAAAACAGAAGTATGTCAGAAGATCCGCACCCACCTACAGCCTAGAGTGAGGGGCAGCTGACAATCACCAAATCCCAGCCAACGCACAGACCTGAGTGAAAAACGCATCTTCATGATTTAAGCCATTGGTCTTGGGGCAAGTGGTTGTACAGCATAATTGTGGCAATGGACACTTGATACGCCACCCAAAGTCATTCTGGCCAGTCCCGTGAGCAGCCATCCTAATGAGCGGCCCTCTATCAGCCCTTCTTGTGTGACGTGCCATTACTTCAATCAGAACACTTTTTTTCAGGCTAAAGTCAACCCCACATAACTGTTTGCCTAGTAGCCCATGTGTTCTTTGTTTTGTGTACTATCGAGTCTTAGGTAAACAGTCTTTGCCATATTATCTTGACTTCTGTAATTGCTTTACAATTGTGTGATAATGGTGATATCTGTGTTGTATGGTATCAAACTCCCTGTGGGAAGAGACTTTTTCTTGTACTTCTTTGAGAGAGCCACAATGTTAGACAGAAACGCCATTAACATACGCCAGCTGGAAATGATTAGAACTTGGGAACGAGAAAGCTGAAGTTCAGAGCAGACTGACAATATCACAGAATACATGTTTTATTTTTCCTAAACGCATATTGGAGGGAAAAATAAAAGAGCATCTCTAAAAATATAAATTATATCTTAGTTAAATATATCTGATCATGATTTGCAAATAACTGCTTTATATAAATAACTAAATAACTGCAAGTTAATGCAAGTTAATATTGCTTCCTCATTATACATTACTCTACAAAACTGTTCATTACTCTCATTAATAATTTAAAGTATAACATGAACTATTCAAAACTGTTGTATTTGTAAATAAGATAAAGGACTCTATTATTTTTTGGTCCAAAGTTCATTAATTAAGAATATATTTTTCCCACTCTTTTTCTGTTCTTTTACTTACCATGCTGTCATAATGTAAGCAGCAGCAGAATCCTATCAGAGTACTATACATTACTCAAGTCTATTCATGACTATTATATACCACCATTCCCCCAGTATCCCTGAGGACATGTAAAACCAAGAAACCTCTACACAAAGTGTGCAGGTCATCATTTAGAATAATACATTTGAGAAATCATACAGGAAATCCAGGGCCAAAAGTGAGGAAACTATGCTTGAAATAAAAGGCATATTTGTACTGGATTCTACTTTTTTTGTGTCTGCTATTATTAGTCAAATTTTGAGATTTATTTTACTTTTGCAAACATGGTGACTGCCATCCTCACTGATAACAGGACGACGTGGTAACTACGAACACACTGTGTTCTGTTTTACCGATTGCCTCTTACTTCTCAGCTTCAGAGAAAAATGAGGAAGCGTTTTGGTCCCCACTCTTGATCTGAATGGACTACAGAACAGAGGGCCAGAATTCCTTAGCCAATAGAGCATTAGCCTTGATCCTGATCTGCAGGTGTGGGCAACTGTGTGCAAAAACGTTATCCCCTCCCTGCACCTTGTCCCATTTAGGGTGTGACTTTGTATCTCCTCCCCTGAAGAGGTGGAGTCCTTCCCACCACCGCTTGATGCTGGGCTGGCTTTGAATCTTGGGGTAGTCAACAGAAAAGGACAGAAGGAGCACAGGTGGCTTCTGAGGCCTTGAATGCGCCTTCCATTCTCTAGGAATCCTGGAAGAGCCTGGAGCCACCTGCTGCAGGAAGAAAGGCCACAGATGGGACAGACCAGGCTCTGCAGCTGAGGGCACCCTGAGCTCTCCAGCACCCAACTAAATAGCAGCTGACCACATGCACAGGAAGCCCAGCCAGGCCAGAGGAATCACCTGGGAAGCCCGCATGCTTGTTTAACCACTAATTTCTGGGGTGGTTTGTTATAGTACTAAAGCTAACTGATATGGCAGGTTTTCATCCAAAACCTCAATCTATCTCCTAAAACCTGAAGCCTCAATGCAGATGAGTATAGTAAATTTCAAGTAGGGACATTCTGTAAAAAATTTCAACATTCTTGGTTCTCAAACTGTCCTGTGCATTAGGACCATCTGTAGAGTTTGTTAAATGAAGATTGCTGGGACCTCCTCTTAAGTTTCTGAGTCAGTTGTTCTGGGGTGGAGCCTGAGAATTTGCATTTCCAACAAGTTCCCAGCTTTTGCTAATCAAGTTATTGGTGTTGGCCCCACACATTGACAATCACTGTTTTCTACAAACAAGCGGAATGAGAATAAAATATTCCCTCCCTTACAAAATCCTATTCTTATAAAACTAGAAGAATAAACACATCTCTTTTAAAACCCCTATTAGAGTACGAAGTCCTATCAGATTTTAATATAAAAAAGGAATTATATTCATTAAGCAGACATGCTGGGCAACATGAACATTAAACTGGAAAACAATAGATTATTCCTCCTACAGTCATCAAGACTTCATGAATTACCCCCAATACAACAGTTTATGATCCTAAAGCTTTTTTAAAACAGTGTAAAGAATAGGAATCACATTAAATATTATAGCAAGAATAAGCAGTATTTCCATATACTATCAATATTTAAATTTTAAAAATCACAGCAAGTGGAGCATGTATTTCTTGAGCCTGATCGCAATAATATTTCAGATAGTATTCATGTTATTGATGCCATCCATGGTTTATGGAGTGTACACATTTTCATTTCAAGCGTCTTACTTCAGTAACTTAAATATATTTGCAGTCTCTGAAGCTCTGAGTTTTCCTGGCAGTAATTCCTGACTTTTTTTGAGGCACAGGAAGCTATTTCTATCCAGTCTCCTTCAATCTGTGCATCCAACAGATCATCACTGAACACTGAATCCCTAAAGACATACAATTCTTCAATGTAAATTCATTTCATTTAAATCAATACCAAATTCATAATCTAGAAAACTGACTTTTACTTTTAAAATGAACATTATTTATTCTGTTTTTATTTCAAACTCATGATTATTAGTCCAATTTAAGGCAATTTTAAATTTCATTATTTTATAAACTATAAATATAGCTAATGAATAATTTTAAAGCAACCACTATTTTTATATAATAGGACTACTTTCCTTCCTACAGACACTATAAAATAGTTTATCTCAAGGCCTCATTTCTTAAAGATGAAAGTGGCAGATAAAATTTTTATTTACAATTTTAAAATTTAAAATTTAAATTTTTATTTAAAATGTTATTCCTACTATGCTTTCCTAATAACTTATATAGCTTATATATTATATAAATGCATTGTTATAATATGTTATGCAATTTTATAACAATGTACATAATACATTATTATAAATATGTAGTATGCCATTATAATTAAATATATTATAATAATAAGAATATATGTGTTATATAATATATAGTATATATGTATATATTTTTATATAACACATACTGTATATCATATATTATAATAACATAATATAATTATGTTAATAATTGATATAACAAAATGTATGTATTATAATTATATATTTGTTATATAATATATACAGTATATATACATATACCATATGTAATATAACAAATACATAATTATAATATGTACATTTTTATGTTATTATATTCATTATATTCCTACATGTTTTATAATATATAATAAGTGATATTTTAAAACAAATTATGTAAGTTTGTGATTATGTTTTTGATTGAATAGGTAATCACATAACCTTGATCCCCTATAATAATGTGTGATATCACATTTAGTGAGAACTTTTCCCTCAAATGTCCATAGTTTAAGGAGACTTTCATCAGCTGTGTTGCAAATTTTAGTGGAAGAGTGTGTGATCACTGACCAGCATCTCAGACAGACTTTTAAACCTAAATCTAACTTGTGTTTTCACACAGCAGCATAAGTCTAGCCTCTCTTTACTAACAAAATATCAACAGTGACAGCAATGTAAGTCTAACTGTGGTGCCTTAGCTAATTTTATTCTTCTGTTGTATCCTTCAAGCTGACATTCATTACAATATACAACACACAAAGAGAACCTAGGAAAGATGGCAGTATGCTAAGTTTGTGCAGCGAGAAAAGAAGAAAACCCAATTTCACAGGTGGGGTATAGAATGTGGAAAGTTCTGGCAAAGCTGTTAGATGTCTACTCTATAGCCGTATAAACACTCTTTCGGACTAGCAACTTCACTTTTACATTCAATACTGAAAAATAACTATCAAAAAGCACATAAAAAATGCTCTATGCATGAGGGGGATTTATCACAACATGATTATAATAATGAGAATATCTGGAATAACCTAAATATCTAAAAACCAAAGGAGAGTTAGGTATATTGTACAAAAAATTAACATTTACTAAGAATTTTAAACACATGTGAAAAAGGCAAGCTACTAAATTGAAGATACAATATGAGCTCAAATACATCATAAATGAAAAGAAAACACCCCATAGGAACTTCCAAAACAAGCATAGTGTCAACTCTGAGAGTTGGAATTCTCTGTGAGTTTTGTTTCCTTCATTGCATGTTAAGGTACTTACATTATAATTTTTGCCACAAAACATTATTTTATAACATTGCATGAATAAATACTTCTATAAAAATCTTTTGCCAGATTATATGAAAAAAGAAGTGTTCACCAATATTTGGAAGAGGCAGCAAGATAGGAATCAAGGATAAATTTATCTTTAAATTCTAAAACATCTGAAAACAGTTTTCTCCATTGGGAATTGAAAAGTAAATAGACGCATACATCACTAATATTGTAGGTTGGGCTCCACACCATTGCAATAAAGAGAATGCCGAAATAAAGTGAGTCGCACCAATTTTTTAGTTTCCCAGTGCATATAAAAATTATGTTGAAACTATACTATAGCCTAAATAGCACTACTTAAAGAATGCACATACCTTAATTTAAAAGCACATTATTGCTAAAAATGCTGTTAACTGAGCCTTGAGCAAGTCATAAACTTTTTGCTGATGAAAGGTCTTGCCTCAGTGTTGACAGCCGCTGACTCAAGGTGCTACAGAAGACAGCTGGTCAGACATGAACAGGGCAGGAGAGGGCACCCCCCACCCAACTAGAAATGTCAGGTGACCCTCAGGTGATGTTCAGGCAGTTGTTAACTGTCTCGCTAAAATAATAATTGGTTGCAGCCAGCACCAGGGAAAAGCAGTCTCCCTGTAGATAGAAAAAACCTGAAACTGGTGATCAGCATCTTCTTAATAAGATCTCAGGAGTCGGGTGAGTGGGCTCACACAGGTGCATTTAAGAGGCAAAATGGCGGAGTTTAACTGGTATATGACCTCCTAGGAACATTCAGCTGATAAGGGAAGATGGCCCCAAGTGAGCATGAGTACAACTCCGGTAAACACACTCTGCATGCTCCCCTCCCAAGAGCTGGCAGGCCACTGTGCATGCAAACTGCCCACCAAGGGAAGAATCAGGGGAGAAGGGACACAAGACCCCGGAAGTATGCCAACGTATACTTCCCCAAGTCGAAAAGTCAAACCGTGCACTCGTCTTTCAAGTCGCCCACTTGGCCCTCTTCCAAGTATACTTCCCGTCTTTCCTTCCTACTCTAAAGCTTTTTAATCAATTTCACTCCTGCTCTAAAATTTACCTTGGTCTCTCCTTCTGCCTTCTGCCTCCTAAGTCGAATTCTTTCTTCTGAGGAGGCAAGAATTGAGGCTGCTGCAGACACACAGGGATTCACCGCCAGTAACAAGAACTGTTGTTGCTGAAGGTGGGGGTGGCTGTGGCAATTTCTTACAATAACACTGATCTTTGACAAAGCATACAACAACATAAATCAGGGGGAGAACACAACGTTTAGTAAATGATGCTGGGTAAACTGGATAGCCACATGTGGAAGAATAAAACTAAACCTGCACCTCTCACCTTATACAAAAAGAAACTTAAGAAGGATCAAAGACTTAAATCTAAAATATGAAACCATAAAAATTCTGGAAGATAACCCAGAAAAAACTCATCTGGACATTGGCTCAGGCAAAGAATTCATGACAAAGACCCCAAAAGCAAATGCAACAAAAACAAAAATAAATAAATGGGAGCTAACTAAACTAAAAAGCCTCTGCACAGCAAAAGAAATAATCATCAGAGTAAACAGGCAACCCACAGAATGGGAGAATATATTTGCAAACTCTGCATCCAACAAAGGACTAGTATCCAGAATCTACAAGGAACTCAAATCAACAAGGACAAAAACAAATAATCCCATTAAAAAGTAGGCAAATGGCATGAATAGACATTTCTCAAAAGAAGATACACAGATGGCTAACAAACATATGAAAAAAATGTTCAACATCATTAATCATCAGGGAACTGCAAATTAAAGCCACAATGAGATACCACATTACCCTAACCAGAATAGTCATTATTAAAAAGTCAAAAAACAATTGATGTTAGCATGGATGTGGTGAAAAGGGAACACTTATTCACTGCTGATGGGAATATAAATCAGTACAACCTCAATAGAAAGCAATATGGAGATTTCTCAAAGAATTCAAAGTGGATCTACCATTTGATCCAGCAATCTCACTACTGGGTATCTATGGAAAAGGAAAGAAGTTATATCAAAAAGACACCTGCATGCATATGTGTATCACAGCACATTTCACAATTATAAAGATATGAAACCAACCTAAGTGTTCATCAACTGATGAGTGGTTAAAGAAAATGTGATATACATACACCAAGGAATACAATTCAGCCATAAAAAAGAATGCAATAATGCCTTTGAAGCAACTTGTATAAAACTGGAGGCCATTATTCCAAGGGAAGTAACTTAAGAATGGAAAACCAAATGCTGTATGTTCTCACTTATAACATACAGTGGAAGCTAAGCTATGAGTGTGCAAAGGCATGCAGAGAGATATAATGCACATTGGAAACTCAGAAATGGGGAGGGCAGGAGGAGGATGAGGGATTAAAAAACTACACATTGGGGGCCGGGCACGGTTGCTCATGCCTGTAATCCCAGCACTTTGAGAGGCTGAGGCAGGCAGATCACCTGAGGTCAGGAGTTCGAGACCAGCCTGGCCAACATGGTGAAACTCTGTCTCTACTAAAAATACAAAAAAATTAGCCAAATGTGGTGGTGCTCACCTGTAGTCCCAGCTACTCGAGAGGCTGAGGCTGGAGAATCGCTTGAACCTGGGAGGCGGACGTTGCAGTGAGCCGAGATGTGCCATTGCACTCCAGACTGGGCAATAGAGCAAGACTCTATCTCAATAAAACAAACAAAAAGAAAACAAAAAAGCCTACATATTGGGTATAATGTACATTACTTCTGTGATGGGTGCATTAAAATCTCTGACTTCACCACTATACAACTCATCTATCTAACCAAAAACCACTGGTACCCCTAAAGCTATTGAAATAAAAAAAAATTTAAAAGGATAAAGACATAATAAAATAAGAACAAAATTAAGTTTGCCACATCCATGTACTCTTTCTTTCAAAAAAACATTTCTTTGTAGCATATGATACTAATTTGTAGCATTTTACCCACACTAGAACTTCCTTCAAACTTGCAGTTAATCCTCTCAAATCCTGTCACTGCCTTATCAACTAAATTTCTGTAATATTATAAATCCTTTGTTGTCATTTCAACAATGTTTATGGCATCTTCATCAAGAGTGGAGTCTATCCTAAGAAACTACTTTGCTCATCCATAAGAAACAACTCATCCATTCAAGTTTTATCATAAGATTGCAATAATTTGTTCACATCTTCAGGCTCCACTTCTGATTCCATTTCTCTTGCTGCTGTCACCATATCCACAGTTACTTCCTCCATGCATTGAACAAAGACGAAGTCACCCATGAGGGTTGAACTCAACTTCTTCCAAAATCCTGTTAATGTTGACATTCTGACTTCCTCCCATGAACATGAATATTCTTAATGGCATCTGGAATGGTGACTTGTTTCCAGAAGATTTTCAATTTATTTTGCCCATATCCAACAGAAGAATCCTTGTCTATGGCATCTATAGCCTTATAAAATGTATTTCTGAAGTAATAAGACTTGAAAGTTGAAATTACACCTTGATTCATAGGCTGCAGAACAGATGTTGTGTTTGCTGGCATGAAAATGGTATTAATTTCCTTGTACATCTGCATCAGAGCTCTTGGGTGATCAGGCTTATTGTCAGTGAGAAGTAATATTTTGAAAGGCATCTTTTTATTTTTCTAAGCAGTAGGCCTCAACAGTAGGCTTAAAATATTCAGAAATATTTTAAGTTCATGCAGCTCATGAATATTCCAATAGCATGCCGTAAACAGATACACTGTCCTCTAGGCTTTGTTGTTCCATTTATAGAGTACAGGCACAATAAAATTAACAATTTTTAAGGGCTCTTGGATTTTTCAGAATAGTAAATGAGAATTGGCTTCAACTTAAAGTTACCAGCTGCATTAGTCCCTAATAAGAGATTTAGCCTTTGAACCTTTGAAGCCAAGCATTGACTTCTCTCTAGCTATGAAAGTCCTAGAGGACATCTTCTTATAACAGAAGGTTATTTTGTCTACTTTGAAAATCTGTCATTTAGTGTGGCCACCTTCATCAATGATCTTAGCTAGATCATTCAGATAACATGCATCAGCATTTGCTGCTTCACCTTCCACGTTTATGTTAAGGAAATGATGTCTTTCCTCAAATCTCATGAAGCCACCTCTGCTAGATTCCCACTTTTCTTTGGTAGCTTCCTCACCTTTCTCAGCCTTCATAGAATTGAAGAGAGTTAGGGCCTTTCTCTGGATTAGGCTTTGGCTTAAGGGAATGTTGTGACTGATTTGATCTTCCAGCCAGACCACTCAAACTTTCTCTATATCAGCAATAAGACTTGCTTTCTTGCCATTTGCGTGTTCACTAGAGTAGCATTTTTAATTACCTTCAAGAACGTTTCCTTTGGATTCACAACTGGGCTAACTGTTTACTGCAGGAGGTCTAGCTTTTGGCCTATCATGACTTAAGACATACCTTCCTCACTAAGCTTAATCATTTCTAGCTTTTGATTTAAAGTGAGAGACATGCAACTCTTCCTTGCATTGAACACTTAGAGGCTACTGTAGGGTTATTAATTGGCCTAATTTAAATATTGTCATGTCTCTGGGAATAAGGAGGCCTGAGAAGAGGGAGGGAGATGGAGAACAGCTGGTCAGTGGAGCAGTCAAAAGACACACAGCATGTATTAAGTTCACCGTCAAATGTGGCTGCGGTTCGTGGTGCCCCAAAACACTTAAAATAATATCAAAGATCATGGGTCACAGGTCACTATAGCAGATACCATAATAATGAAACTTTTCAAATACTGTGACAATGACTAAAATGGGACACAGTGACATAAGTGAGCACAGGTTGTTGGAAAAATGGCACCAACAGACTTTGTTGACACAGGGTTGCCAAAAACATTCAATTTGTAAAAAATTCAGTATCTGAGAAGTGCAATAGAACAAAGCACAATCACATGAGGTGTGCCTATACTGTATATGGAGTTGGTTGTTGCCAGTGTGGAAAATCAACTCCTTTTCTTTCCAGCTCCTATAGTGAGTCATTATGTATTACAATAGGGGAATACAGATATTCCATTTTATTTTTATGTATTTTTTGGCTATTCATATTTAGTAGCACAGCCTGAAAGTGAAGCTGGCACCTCTTGGTTGTTCTTGTTCTGTTTTAAACTAAAAAGTACCAGGCTGATAGAGTTCTGCATAGGAAAAGGTAAGGCAGAGGTGCTCTTTTGTTCACCCCAGTATCAAAAATAGTACAGAATACACTGAAAACACATTTGAAGTACTCATTTTAAGAAGAATCATGTTTTTGTTTCTCAGTCTATTTTGGGGGACAACATTTCTTAAAAGAAAAATTGGTTTTTCTGGATTGAATGAATTGATGGATTTGCTTCATGAGATTCTGAACTTGAGAAGATAGCAGTCATTAGAGAAATGCAAATCAAAACCACAGTGAGATACCATCTCACACCAGTCAGAATGGCGATTATCAGAAAGTCAAAAAACAACAGATGCTGGCAAGGTTGCAGAGGGAAAAAAACGCTTTTACACTGTTGTGGAAATGTCAATTAGTTCAACCATTGTGGAAGACAGTGTGGTGATTCCTCAGAGGTCTAGAAGCAGAAATACCATTTGACCCAGTAATTCCATTGCTGGGTATATACCCCAAAGGAATATAAATCATTCTATTATAAAGATACATACACACATATGTCCATTACAGCAGTATTCACAATAACAAAGACATGAAATCAATCAAAATGCCCATCAATGATAGACTGGATAAAGAAAATGTGGTACATATACACCATGGAATACTATGCAGCCACAGAAAGGAACAAGATCATGTCTTTTGCAGGGACATAGACGGAGCTAGAAGCCTTTATTCTCAGCAAACTCGGGAACAGAAAACCAAATACCACATGTTCTCACTTATAAGTGGGAGCTGAATGATGAGAACACATGGACACATGTGGGGGAACAACACACACGAGGACCTGTTGGAGGGTAGGGGAGGGAGAGCAACAGGAAGAACAGCTAATGGATGCTGGGCTTAAAACCTAGGTGATGGGAAGATCTGTGCAGCAAACTGCCATGGCACACGCTCACCTGTGTAACAAACCTGCACATCCTGCACATGTACCCCAGAACTTAAAAGTTGATGAAAAAAAAAAATAATGAATGAATCTGATCAACACCAACACACCTACAGCTGTTACAGGCCTTACATAAAATAAGTCAGAGCCATCTGCTACACAGAGAGAGACTCAGGGGAGAATCTTTTTGCACCAGAAACTCTGAGCACGAGGGAAAAGGACAGACAGCACCTGACCTGGGTCTGGCACACGACATTCTTCAGAGACCCTTCTGCATCTTTAATGTATTCTCCTGATAACTCCTTTGAGACAAGTAGGACAGGGTACTTAGCTCTTCATATTGAAGGAGCTCCAGAGCTGCAGCTGAGGGAAGCAATAACCAGAAAGACCCCATCCCTACCTCAGGGTCTTGTGGGATTAGAAGAAGCCAGAGTTCCAGGTGTCCCCAGACAGCACACAGGGTTTGCACACAAGAGGGCCTGTTGTAAGCAGAGCAACTTCAGAGGGGTGCTTGTGCCAAGATATTTGGGAGGCCTCTTCAAGGGACACCCTCTGGTCACCGTGTCTGTGGAAGTCTTGGCCAAGCTCTGCAGCTGCCCCCTCCCTTCGGTAGGAAGCCCCAGGTCCTCAGGAAAAGCTTCTGCAGCCCCATTAGGTCCTGCTCCTTGTAAGCCCCTCCCCAGGCTCTGCTCCGGCCTTTTGGACACTTTTCTTCTGGATTTTCCCTCCAGCCTCCCCGTTAAACCAACTGTGAGTGCAAGAAATTCTGCTGAGATCTGGTACAACAGCATCTTCCACCTTTGGCCCTGGAAGCCCCTCATCTGCAAGATCCAGCTCCCCACTGTGCTGATCTCTTCCTGCTCTCAGAATAGCCTCCTCCTGCCTCTCGACCTCTTCACTGTGCAGGACCCCCTGGCTTCCCACTCACTGCCCAGCTGCAGGCTGTGGGAGTGAACATTTCTGCTAGAAGAAAGGCAGACAAACAAAGCTGAAAAACAGAAATCACATGAGGTAGGGGGAGGTGTGGAGATTACCTGACCAGACCTGGAAGCCACCCTGTACCAGCACAGAGCTGGACAGGCCCTGAGGTCCAGGATCTCAATTCCCTGAACCAGATTCTGAAGTGAAGGGATCCCTATAAGAGACTTGCTTTCCCACTGCCAGGATGATGCCCACTGCCAGGATGATGCTGCAAGCCCTTTCCTCTGAGGGGCAGGAATAGCCGTGGCCAGGCAGGGTCACAGGCAGTTAGACCTCAGTGTGCAGGGCCGTCCAGGCCAGAGACATCAAGAACCTAAATTAGAGGTGAGACCACAGGAGAGACCCGAGAGTTGCAGAAGAGCTTGGGGGATTTTGTTCTGGAGGGATCCCCAGAACAAGCTTCTGAGTAAGGTCGGGTGGTGGGCACTGAGCCTATTTAACTTCAGCCCTTGTACCAGATGACCGACTAAGGGAAAGAGTGATGACAGACAGCGTAACTGTGACGCACTCCGAAAGTGAAGAAACACATGCGTCACCTGCAGCTAACAAAACAAGCAGCATCCTTCAGAATTCAAGGATGAACTTAACATGAGAGGGCAGGGTCTGTGGATACTCATTAATTTTGGTAGTGCTTATAAGAGCAGGAAGCCAATAGTCCTATCAAAGAGGTATTGTAGAAGAACATTGTAGAAGAGTATTCACAGAAGGCAAATGCAAAAGAAAAATATAGTTCTTTCTAAGTGCCAAAAGAAACCATCTCCCCTTTTAAAATAAGCAAATAAAACAAATAGACCGCATGGCAAGACTATGTATCTATACTGTGCACACACGTGGGTATGGATCCAACTGTGTGTTCACTCACAGCAGAACTGAGACCAAGAATGCTGACTGCATCGATAAATGCAAATGGCCCTCTCTCACCTATAAAAACAAGACTTTCGGGTTACAAAACAATAACTCTATTCTGTATACCAAAGACTCACATTTATGTATGTATGTATGTATGTATGTATGTATGTATGTATGTATGTATTTATTTCAGAGACAAGGTCTTGCTCTGTGGCCCAGGCTGGTCTTGAATTCTTGGCCTCAAGCAACAAAGACAATTGAAATATCCCAGAAAGCTTAAAAACAAAGAAATGTAAAAGAAATTACCAGGCAAAAGCAATAAAATATAATCTGAAGTTAGAATTTGATATCACACATCATGAAATTTAGAATAAAAATTATTTAAAATAAAACAAATACAGGTGCTTTATAATGCCAGAGACTACAACGAACAATCAAGTTTCTTAAATATAGTTGAAGATATTAAATGATCTATGAAATTCATTTCCAAAAACATCAAAAGGCATTTAACAAAATACAACAACAATTCTTTATAAAAACATCCAGTAAAAGAGGAGTTGATGGATGCTTACTTAACATTGAATGTAATTATGTAAATATAAAAATTTTAGTCCAAATGCCAGCTCTTACTTAATATGGAAACACTGGAGAGATTCCTACTAGAGTGAGAAAAACTGCACAGATGCCAACTGTCGCCACTATTATTAAACATGGTAATGGATGTATTAGACGATGCAATGAGACAAGAGAAAGCAATTAGAAGCACCAGAATTGAAGGAGAAAAGACATAAAACAATCTTTATATGCAGATAAAACTGTGTGAAGATTCAAAAGTGCATTAAAAGACTGTTGAAAACAATATGAGGATTCTTTCAAATAGCAGAACATGAATTTAAGAGAGAAAAATCAATAAACCCAATTTAAAACAAAAATATGAAAAAAAGAAGACACAGTGCTAGAAAATATCTTTTACATAATAAAATAATTGAATGAATGAATGATAAAAAATGCAATGCTGAGGCACATAAATGAGATACGTGTTAAACCTGTATGAGGAACTTAGAACACTCCTGAAAGAATGATTCATGTAGACATGCATAAATGGAAAATGTAATGTTTTTGGATGAGATCACAAAGTCACCACTTCTCTTTAGGTTTAGTTATAATTTTAATGCAATCCCCATAAAAACATCTACATGTTTTAATTTTTTTCTGAGGGTAGGAAGTCCATTATAAAATGTGTAATATTATAAAAGATCTAGCAGATATTAAACATATAATTTCCAAAAATAAAACAGAGTGGTCCTGGCACCCACAGAGGCTAACAGAAGAAAATGAAATCGATGAAATGACCTGAGTGCAAGTGGAGATGAAGCACAGGAAAGCAGGGTGACCTTCCAGTAAACTGCACTGGGCCAGCTGGGTAGCCACATAGATAAAGATGACACTGGATATGCATGTCACACTTCCCACGGGGACAAATGCCCCATGAATCAGTAATCTAAGTGTAAAACTGAGCTCATGAAAGTGCACTGCTTTATAACCCAGCAGTGGGAGTGAGGGGAAACAGACTTCCTAAATATGTCTCCAAACACACTATAAGATTGATCTACTTAACTACATAAAAACTTAAAATAGAACTTCTGTATGCAAAACATCACACCAAAATGCAAAAGACAAGGTAAAAACTGGGGAAAATCTTTGCAACTTAAATCAAAGGTAAATGACAAATATCCCTATGAATAAAGAACTCTTAAAACTGGAGAACAACCTAATCCAATAACGGGCAAGACCACAAACAAACAGTGGAGAGGAGAAAAAATTCAAATGTCCTTTGGACACATGAAAAGCTGCTCAAGCTCACTTATAACAAACAAAATGCAAATCAAATCTGCCTTGGGATGTCGTTTCTCTAACTGTGTGATAATGCACTCACCTGATTGGCAAGCTGCAACCCAGGCACTGTTAGGCACTACTGGGGAAGAAAAGCAGTCCAAGCCCGGGGGAGTAAAATGAACAATAGCCAGCAATATCATGCTCATCCTTTGCCCTAAAAATCCTGTTCCTTAGAGACTATCCCAAAGATACACCGGCAAAAATGGAAAAAATTATTCATTGTAGCATTGCTAAGAGTAAAAGATTGAAAATAACTCCAATGTCAATCAATATTGGAATGATTAATGAATTAAGATAAACAGTGAAATGAAACATGCAGCCAAAAAATGAGCTCTGTATATTGATACAGAGTGTTAGCTATAGAATATCCTTTAGGAGGAAAAAAAAGGAGTAACTAAAAAGATAAAAACAGCCCCGGCGCGGTGGCTCACACCTGTAATCACAGCACTTTGGGAGGCCGAGGCGGGAGGATCACCAGGTCAGGAGATTGAGACCATCCTGGCTAACACGGTGAAACCCCATCTCTACTAAAAATACAAAAAAAATTAACCAGGCGTGGTGGCGGGCGCCTGTAGTCCCAGCTACTCGGGAGGCTGAGGCTGGAGAATGGCGTGAACCCGGGAGGCGGAGCTTGCAGTGAGCCGAGATCCCGCCACTGCACTCCAGCCGGGGAGACAGAGCGAGACTCCGTCTCAAAAAAAAAAAAAAAAAAAAGAGATAAAAACCAAAACCAGCAGAACTGTTCACCAAAAGGGGCTTGAAGAGAACAGGACAAAAATAGCAGGTATGAGGAAGATTTACCTGAAATCTCTCTGAGATTATATATAGATAGCCATATAGTTACAAGTTTGGAATTATGCATTTTATATATCCAAAAAGTCAATCTAAGTTTTACAGATGAAAACTGCTGAAAATTTAAAACAAAGTCAACACAACTATATATCAGGGAGAATCACAAAAACAGCAAGAAAATATTCCAAGGGATGTTAAAACACAATATTCCGACCCTATGTATTTCGTGAAATGCATCCTTAGAATGGAGACAGCAACAAAAAAATCTTAGCACTCAATCAGTGGTCATAGTATTAGTGTTAATACTGGTGTTTCAAAAATGTATATTATATATAAATATGTGTACGTGCTCACATACGTATCCTTTTTTTTTTTTTTTTTTTTTTTTTTTTTTGAGACAGAGTCTTACTCTGTCGCCCAGGCTGGAGTGCAGTGGCGTGATCTCGGCTCACTGCAAGCTCTGCCTCCTGGGTTCACGCCATTCTCCTGCCTCAGCCTCCCGAGTAGCTGGGACTACAGGCACCCGCCACCACGCCCAGCTAATTTTTTGTATTTTTAGTAGAGACGGGGTTTCACCATGGTCTTGATCTCCTGACCTCGTGATCCACCCGCCTCGGCCTCCCAAAGTGCTGGGATTACAGGTGTGAGCCATCACGCCCGGCCTTGTATTCCACAATAAAACAAGAATAAATAATTATTTAAAGGTGTTGAGTACGTAGATTTTAAATGTAAGAGTATATTCAGGCATAAAACTGAAGTTCCGATCTCATAATTTTAAATTTAAATAAGAAATGTTAGCATAAACTCATGGTCTCTTTCTCTTCAAAAACACTTCGTTTCTAGTTCTGTCTCCTAAAAATACATGAAAACAATGACATGGAGCAATGAGCCCTCCTTAAACACCATTCCCATCCCTGCTGTGGAAAAGGAAAGATGGAGGGTGTGTCAGGGGTATTTTGTTGTGCAGAAATCCAAAAGCTAAGAAAGACTAACAGGCTGTGTCCAAGGATGCAGAAGTGAACGTCATGGGGCTCTGACTAGCCAAAGAAGGGATAATTTGAGCATCAAAAATAATGGCTGTAACTGATAGAAACACATCAACTACATAAGAACATTTAGGATAATATTCAGGAGTATCAATCCAAGAGTTTATGTGATGCCCTCCAAAAAGAAAGCAACTCCCCCCAGAAAAATTAATCACCGAGTAATAGGGCACAGATTCCTTACTCTGAAAATTAGCAGTTGTTGAGAAAGTTAACAATTTATTCCTATTTTCCTATTCAAGTTTCATTTCAGATAAACTAATTAGCCCTACTCATAAGTGAAAGTTCCTTACAGGATAATTTCAAGAAAAGTAGAGAAACAAATGAAATAATGAGTCCAAACCAGGGTGAGTGAGAGATGAAACCAAGAAATGAAAGGGCAGTGAGAGAAAGAGCAGTGGAGGCATCAGTTTGTCACCCTCTGAGTCCACTGATCTATCTCAGTCCCAGGAAGACTGGGACAGAAAGACACGCTATCTCTCCTGATCACAACCAGGGGAACACACACCACCAGGGTAGCATTTTTGTCCTCGCCTCCAAAAATTAAAAGTTAAACCAAATCTAATGAAGCCATTAGAGGTACCGCTCAGTTTACAGAACATATTCAGTACAAAGACCCAGACACAAGCTAAAAGCCCAAGGAGATAGCAAATGGACAAATCTAGAATGTGAGGCATTGCACAGCCCAAGACAGAGCTTGTAAGATGAGCAATTTAGAGGATTCAAGTTGGATAGGAACAAAAGAGGAGAGACTAGTCTGGATGAGAAGACACACAGGAGGCACAACATGCAAATGCAATTAATGTCCCTAATGGGGATTTTGACTACATCAAACCAAATGCAAACAACAGACGTTTTTGAGACAACTGGGGCAATCAGAGTATAGACTGGATTGTGTCACAGCAAGCAGACATGGTTAGTTTTGTTAAGTGTGATAATGGTGTATCAGTCAGGGTCCTATCACAGAAATAGAATCAATAGGACCTATACCAGAAAAACAGAGAGAGTTTAAGGGATTCACTTATGTAATTGTGGCGGTTGCCAAGTCTAACATGACGAGGGCGGGCTGGTGGACCGGACACACTGAGGCAGGAGCTGAGGCTGCAGACCTGAGGCAGAATGTCTTCTGCTCTGGGAAGCCTCCAATTTTGCTCTTAAGGCCTTCCAGCTGATGGGGTGAGGTCCACCCAGAATTTCAAGAACCACCTCTTTGAAGTCAATTGATTAGAGATGTGCCACCATATCTACAAAATTCCTTCAGAGCAACACCTAGACGTGTGTTTAATTGAATTATGAGGTACTATGGTTAGCCAAGTTAATACATAAAACTAACCATCACAAATATCATGGTGGTTATATAAGCATTTTGGGAGCCAGTGGCAGCTTGAAATGAACCATGGGGGCATAGTTATGCCTTGGAAAACAGCAACCACTATAAATCAGGGCTTTTTTTCTTTATTTTTTTTCCTCTGTCAGGTGGTTTACCAGCACGCTATCATCCTAGTCATCAAGTCAAGAAAATGTGTGTACATGTCCATTAACTTTTATATTGACTGATTATTTAAAAAAAAAACACTAAAAATAATTAAATTTCATCAATATGACATGCAGTATCACTCAGCGAAGCATCTTCACTCGAAGGCATTAATTGATACTTGTTATACCCCAGTTTAGGGATTTCAGCCATCAGGAAGTAGGTTGTGACAATGGCTGCTGCTGCAATTCCATTCCGTCTCCCATGTATCAGTCTTGCCAAACTACTCTCAGTGGACAGCTGACCAGACATTGCTGGACGCCTCAACTCCAAACCTTGGAAATCCCCAGAAGTCAAGAAGTTTGTGTCCCTCAGTCACTTGATTTTTTTTTCAGGCATTCAAAATTCCTTTCTTCCTAAGAACGTATCTCCAAAACCGTCCTGCCCTCTACACCCTGACTGTAGCCTCTGGCTGAGCTCCCATCCTCCAAAGGTACAAAACCACGTTCAATTTCTGCAGCTCCGTTCCCTGCCTGCGCTAACTTCCTATGACTTGGTTTTCTCACCTGTAACGTGGAGACAGCAGCATCTTCTACCTCAAAGGGCTGTTCTAGCTCCAGTGGGTTCTTTGGCTCAGCCCCTCATAACCCTCCATGTGACTGCCTCTTCTGCTCAACTCTTGGGCCACACTGCTCTTTTTCTGGCTTATCCGACATGGTTATATGTCAGCATTTATTGATTTCTTTTGTATCATAAATTCTGTTTTTGACATTTTGAAAATCATCTGCTGCTTCCTAGGGTTTTTCCTATCTCTAAGAAATTTCTCACCATGAAGGATCACTGGCATCTTTAATCCTCATTAGCGGATCTGTCACTGTGTTTCCTCCTATAAAGCAACATGGTGGTGTTTGGGGGACTCTGGAAGGGCTGAATTAGGCTGAATAAGGGACAGAGAATGCTGTTTCCATGTAGCTTGTGCGTGCAAAAGGCCTAGACTCAAAATGTTCAGGATAAAATAGGTCCTGTTAATCATTCATCTGCAAAAATGCATGTTTCAACTCTGAAACGCAAAATGAAAAGATTTTTTTTAAAGTAGCTTAGGGAAAAAATACTTGAAAGGCTTCTGCAATTAAACATTTTAGAGCATAATCATAAAAGCTGAGTGCGCGCAGTGTATTTCTTCAGTGAATCATCTAGCTCCCTGTGAAAGAAAATCAAGAACATCCTTTGCTATATAATTTAATGCGATCTCTAAGTGAGGGCTCATTTTTAATAAATATAAAAGTAATGCATGACGAAATCCTCATCTTGACTGGATAGATGTCCACTCTATTATAACAACTTGAATTTAAGCCAAACCTGAGCACCCTCTCCTCAGACCTAGGACTTCTTGACATCTTTCATTATTCTTATCATTTTTAAATTCTCTCATCTTTGACATCACAGTCACTACACATAGCTGGAACTTCTCCTGTGATGTGGATGCTGTCCACCCCTCTTCTCTGTACTTCTCACCCATCTTATTCCACAGCTTTGGAACAATCGCAGGTTTACTTTTAAAACAACCTTTCTCTTGAGCTCTGAACTCTCCTCTCACCCCCGGAATTCTTCACCTGTAGAGTGGTAAACTCCTTCACTCCCTCCCACCTGTGTCTCCCATTTCTCCTCTCTGCCACATTCAAAACTTGCAGCCAGCTTAGCTCCTCCTGCTCTTCTCCATCCTCATCCATGACATGAAGTGCCCTGGACTCTTCCACAATGTCTTCTACAATCAGATGGATTGTGTATAAAATATGGACTCTGGAACTTTCTCCGTGACACTTTCTCATTGATAGTAGTTACCATTATTCCATTTTGTTTGATATGAACTTAATAAATTACAAGTGTTCTAATAGAGAATAGTTAATATTAATGAGGTTACTATATGCATAATGTATATGTACACACATACTTTTGTGTGTGTGTGTGTGTGTGTGTGTGTGTGTGTATCTTAACCCAATTTGGCTATGTCTCCACCCAAATCTCACCTTGAGTTGTAATAATCCCCATGTGTCAAGGGTGGGGCCAGGTAGAGATAATTTAATCAGGGGGTGGTCTCCCCACATACTGTTCTCATGGTAGTGAATAAGTCTCATGAGAGCTGACGGTTTTATAAATGGAAGTTCCCCTGTACAAGCTCTCTTGCCTGCCGCCATGTAAGACGTGTCTTTGCTCCTCATTCACCTTGAGCCATGATTGTGAGGCCTGCCCAGCCAGGTAAAACTGTGAGTCAATTAAACCTCTTTCCTTCATAAATTACCCAGTAGTGGGTATGTCTTTATTAGCAGTGTGAGAACAGACTAATACACTCTACTTCTTTATAAAATGATTTTCTAAAAATAAAAGATCATACGTAAGAAAGTCTACCTCATGGCAATGATGTCTTCCTAATTCTGCTTTCCCTCTGTGGTCACACCAACAACAGAGAAATGCACTCACAGTGTCCAGGTACTGGTACATTTTGCAGCATTGGTGGGAGAGAAAAGACAGGAAATGAGGACATGACCCTTGTGTTGCTCCCAGGTGAGCTGGCCTGAGAGCACTGCTCAACGTGCTGTGTCCTGCTGTCCTCTCTCAAACCAAGGGACCCTGAGGGTTCTCACATCAGCTGGCCAGCCTCACAGCCCAGGGCAGAATCAGGCCCTTCAAATGCCACCCTGCTGCTCCTAACAGAACCTCCGACTGTTCACTCAGCATTTTCTCTGTGACACATGCAGTAAATACTAAAGGATTTATTAACCATCAAATCTGGAAACTGACCTGTGATGTTTCATTATACCCATTTTACACATGAAGAAACTGAGGCTCAAAGAAATTAAGTCACATACAGCGGGCAAGCAGTAAAACCAAACTCAGAGTTCAGTGTTTCTGGCTATTGCTGCTCCAGCACTCACACCTCCCTGCTGTCCCCCTAAACCACAGCCACACCCCTGAGTCCCTCTCTTTATAGTAGATGTTGGTCTCCTACATCATCCAAGTCATCATTGCTACCCTCTCTCTGCTAGCCCAGCACTGCAGTCTCCCTCATATTATTCACTTATTTCCCCCACAATACTCTCCATCTTCTAACAAGTATAAAACTTACTGATGCGTTGCATGTTATGTTTGCTCCTTCTCCTGGTAGAGTGTAAGCTCCATGAGGGCAAGAGGTTTCATTCCTTCTGTTTCCTGCTCTAATTCCAGGGCCTAGCCTCTCCATAATTACTTGTTGAACTGAAATAAATAACGGTGGGTAAGCACAATGCCCTAACAAGGAGAAGGGGAGTCAGTTTTGAGGCTTTCAAAAATATCTTGTCCACCACCTTTCCATCTGGAATCTTCCGGTGGACCTTCTTGGCTGAAATGGAGTTGACATTTACAACAATGTAAGAAATGCCTCTAGCCAGCCAGGCTACCACACAAAAGGGAAATAAATAGATTGTAATCAGTGAGTTGAGTTATATGAAAATGCCACACATTTCTTTTCTTTTCTTATCAAGATGATCATTGCACAGGGTTTAGTCTAAGAAATGGTGGCCAGACCACAGGAGCACAAAAATCTTGCCAACAGGGTCAGAAGAACAAAGGAAAGGGATATTCTGAGACTTGTGCTTCATTCAAAATTTGCACACTGCTGTCATTACTGCAAAAGTTTATACTCTTCTTGTGCTTTCTGATTTCAGCACATAAATTTTGCACAAGAAATACTGTTCAAAGTGCTAATTAAAAAGTAACTCAAATGCAGCCTAGATCCCATTGGTATCAGTATCTTTATTACTCACCTGTTGAACGAAGGAGCTGCACCACATTCAGAGTTCAGGAAAAGATACTCTGGGACACTGGAAGACTCATTGCAATCACTAAAATTTCCCGAGTACCTATCACGCCGTGCCCGGCACTGTGCTAAGAACTATCTTTGCAAATCTCCCACATCCCTCTGAGCTGCTGCTGTTATGATTATGATTTTATAGATGAGGAAACTGAGGACAAGTGGTTTCCCTGACCAGGGTCTTCGTAACGTGTGCACGGTGACACTGAAAGTGGCCTAGTTCAGTGGATTGCAGACCTGTGCTCTTAACTTCCACTCCGAACTCCTCACAGCAGTGTGGGTTAACACGTGTGGTCTGTGGCTCCCCAATTTTTCCTCCTGCAGGGGCCTTGGGTAGCCTGTCTCGGGAGGGGAGGCTGGAACATGTCTTAAAGTTGGGTTTGCAAAGCCAATACCATCATTTTACATAGCTCTGTAGTAGCTTGAGGGGGCTGAAAAAGATCACAGGGGAGGCTGAGCACCCATAAGCCAATCCCTTACATGCATGGGCTGCTGTTGAACACCAGCACTTTGTAAAAGTCCTGTCCAGCACATTGTAATGTGTCCTAATGACACCTCCTGGCCTGAGTTCCTGCAACCTTCTGCATGATGGAGGGAAGCACGGGCCCCACAGCTGGTGCCTACAAAGCAGAGCTGGGCCTGATCCTGGTGGCCCCTTTAGAGGGTCCCTTCTCTCCTTAAATACCACTGGAGGGACAGAAACAGCCCCTTGTGAAGGTGGAGCTGATTTCACACCACTCAGCATGGGGAAGGTGGCTCGGCTCCAACAAGTTCAGCTGGCCTGACATCAAAAGATTCCCTAGCACACGCCCTGAGGAAGAGGCAGTGGTTTTATCTGGATCAGACCCACTCCCATCACAAAAGTGTCCCAAACAGGCTGCACACGCCTGGCATGTTATCCTTAGGCTCTCTTTACATGGCTGTCTCAGGAGCCCACAAGAGTGCCGCGATGATGCGTCACCTGATCCGCCACCTGCAGGCAATTCCTTGCCAAAGGCACTGGTGGCTGATGAGCAAATGTCACTGTCAACATCCAGGGATGATTTATCAAAGACATGCGGACTTAGGGATCTTTGTCTCAGAATTTTAATCCTGAAATTCCTTAATCCTTGGCATGGACCTGTTCTACAGGTTTTCTAATACAATCACGGTTTTACTATATGTCAACAATAGGCTTAAATTGTTGAGTGGGACAAAAACACAACTCACAGAGACATCGAAGCCAAGGCATATATTGTTTCACTACATCAGATATGAAGGTGGAGAAGGCAACGATAGAGATAGAATGTGAAGTCAGCAACTGCAATGTCATTTCCATAGGTTATTTTATTGATATTGCCATTGTTCACTTCTCCCAAGCTAAGGTATGGTCAATTCTTTTTACTCGAGGTAGTTATGTCTATAAAGTTGCCATGGACACTGAATTAGAGAAAACTGATCATTAAATACAGGGTTATGTTCCTATGCACCCCTGGTCACAATATTTTCGTCAACAAATCAATGCAGAACCTTGTTTTATGTGTGCGTCTGTTTAAAGATACTGTATTTAATACAGTGTTAATTAATTATCATTGAACTCTGTGAATGACACCAATAATTAATTTTGGAGTTACAAAGAAATTCCAGAGAGTAGGTAAATTCACAAATATGGAACCTGCAAATAATGGAAACTGACTATATTTTCACTCCATTCTGACTCTACTCAAAAACCAAGGCTAAAATGTTGAGGTTTCTGAAGGCTTCTAAAATTTTACAGTGCCTTCATTCTACAGAAGTCCACCATTATAAAGTCACTGTTGGGTGGGAAAAAACTGCTCAGTTATCTGAGAACTTTGTTCATGTCTAACAGCTATAAATGCCCAAGTCTGATGTTAAATTCTGTTGAATGTAAACATCCCAGCATCGTGAGTAAAGCTGAGCCCTGTTTGGTCCTACTATTGACACACGTGGACAATGTCCTATACTCAAAATAGAGTTTGGCTCAAAATGAGAAAGAAACCTAAGCTGGTATTTTAATAGTCAACACATTCTCCAACTACTCTCAGGGCCATGATTTTCCAATTGGAACTATAAGAAATCGTTTTGAATTCTTAAGGAAAAGTATGTTCATGTAATTAACAGCTTAAATGCAATGAGAGTGTTTCCTGCACTTAGAAATGAGCTGTTGTATGCCCTGAACTGTCCCTGCTGGTCACAGAATCTAGAACTTGCTGGGCATTTCTGCTGGAAATTCTGATTATGTCGTATGATGAAAAGGATAGGTTCTCCCACTGGCAGATGTGTTAAGTCATGAGTGAAGAGGCATCAGGCAGCGAGAAGAAAAGCCGTAGCCAAAACTAAGCCCAGGTTTTCCACAAATGGCTAAGCACAATGCTAGTATTCCAAAAATATTCATTCTCTTCCCTGGGCCACATTTAATGTAAGTGAGCTTACATCAGTTCACTTGAGAATGTTGGAGAAGCACTGACACTGATCTCACAGAATCTTCACGTAACATAGCCCAAGACCGTGGCACAACATAGCGACCACATAGTGTGACAGTGATACTCCTCGGATTCTGTTGTAGCCTGAAGAAAACACGCAAGGAGAACACATAATCCCCTCTGTTCTGATCTGATCCTCAAAACACACCCAACTGAATGGGTTTCCCAGGTAACCTAACACCAGAAAGAAGATATTTTGGTTAGCGATAGGAGCATTCTCTTAATAGCAATTGAATAATAAATTGGCATTTGGATGAAAGTAAATTAATTCACCACTCTCAAATCTTCCCTATAAAGCTAGGAAAGAGATTTTGGACCCATGCAGGCCTCCCACAGCACAGACGCTGAAAGAGTCTTGGCTGAGACCATTGGCTCTTTATAACCACAATGTGGGAGACACGCTTTGTAGAATCCCACTTCCATCTTGCATGGGCTAGGTCCCTTTTCCTCTCTGTGAAACTCACAAATAGTCAGAGGAAAGCCTGCAGAGGCTACACCAGAAACTAGCAGGTAGATATGCTCCCAATTATAAAAGCATGCTTCTGCATTTATTAAATAGCCTATGATGGCACTTAGAGTTTGTGTGCACATCCTAAGAGCATGTGGAGTTTATATGTCCTACACTTGACCTGGGTGGCTTCCAATTTTCAATAAGGAAAGAAGTATCCATGTCATATCCAGCTTCTGAATCCCATCTTCTTCAAAGCTGTCTCTAAGGTGAAGGTGGCTTGGAATGCAAGTCAGTGAATGCAGCACACACAGCCTACTACATCTGCAGTTAAACTATGCCCCATATGTTAAAAGAATATGGGACAACTTCTGATATATGCAGATGTACTTTATTCCTTTCACTCTAACTTAGTATTTCATTGGATGAAAATGCCAAATTGATTTATCTAGTTCCCAACTGATTACCATTTAGGTTATTCCTTTTTTTCCTTTCCTATAATAGACAATGCTGACACGAACAAACGTCTCCAGGAGTCCCATGCATGCGTGTAAGACTAGTGGGTAGCTGCAAATATGCAGAATGAATTAGGATGGGTCTTTTCTTTTGCATTTATTTGTCATCATTCTTTCTTTACTTAAAATGTTTGCTTTTCATGCATATTTAGGAAATTCTTCCCTGTATTGACGTCATGAGGAGATTTCCCTCTGCACTTTTTTGAAAACTTTACTAGTTTGCTTTTCTTAGATTTTAATCCACCTAGAATTTGTATTATTAACTAATTTGTATTTTAATGAATTTTTAATTTGTATGACATGAAGACATGACATGACAGAAGTAGGAATCTGATTTTCTCCAAAAGATAGCCAATTTTTTTCTTTTGTTAATTTATTTCAATCATTTTTTAAATGTATCAAGTACTCCCTCCTGTTCTCGCTGTTTTAATTTCACCCCTGCCACATAAACAAGTCTCTTTCTGAGCTCTCCATTCTGTTCCCAAGGTCTCTTTATTTGTATCTAGGCCAATACAATACAATTCAATTCTATTATTTGATTTATTAAAATAAATCTTCCATTTTTTTTTCTTTCTTCAAGGAATTTGGCTTATCTGCTTACAAAAACAAAAGTTATCTAACTGTTCCACAATTTTTGGAGTAATGTGTTTTATGGTTTTTATGCTTCTTAGAATATTTCATTCTTTGGCTACGTCCCTCCTCAGGAAGTAAAAACTGTGATAAAAGTAATTTTCGCATTTCAGGAATATTAAAGAAATACAGCTTGGTGACCTAGGCATTGTATGTGTGTGTGCACACACACACACACAAACCATGTATGGTTTTTTTAAGTTAAAGACATTGAAGAGAGACTGAATTTTTTTAAAACTCAGCAACTGATTTTACAATCTTTTAAAAAAATTAATAAAATATGTGTTTGCCCAAGGAATCGTCTCCTCCTTAAGTAAACTTGATAAAAATAGAAATACTGTCATTTTCTTAGACCATCTCAGTAACTTTATTCTACTTCACAATAAAGGCAAAAAAGAGGGAAGGCCAAGAGTGATGGAGTGAGCATATCTGAATGGAAAGAAGGAAGAAGCAGTGGTTTCCAGCCTGGACACGTTTTTTGGCGAGTCACCAAATCTCTTTTGTATCTCAGCCTTGTTTTGTTTCATGTTTACCATGTGAACAACACCTGCTGAAGACAAGTGTTAATAGTTTGAAATGAAAAATGTGAACATTCTTTGTATGCTACAAAATCCTATACACCATCTTACACCCTTACTGAGGTATAACTGATGTACAATAAGCAGTACATCATGCAGTACAATAAGCAGTACATGTTGAAATTGTACAATTTGATGAGTTTTGACATACATAAACACCTGTGAAACTATCACCACAATTGAGATAAAGAACACAGCCATCACCCCAAAAGTGTCCTTGTGCCCATTGTACCCATCCCTCTATGTCTTGGCCAACATTGTGTACAATCAGCTTTTGACTTTTAGCAAATCTAAATTGTACATAGCAGTACTTCACTGGGCTCTGAATTTGCATTTGCCTAATAGTTAAAAATGAAGCAGGATTTTTCCCTCACCCCTTCATGGGCAGGAACTGAAGTGTGGGCGTTGGAACTGCCAGCTACTTCCGTGCCAGCTGGGGTGAACTCCAGTCACTCGAACCTGTGCACTCAACCCCTCGTGGGATGGAGCACGAAGGTGAGCGGGTCCAGGAGCCAGGGTGAATGCTTTTGGGCGCTGGCAGGAAAAAACTCTGTACCAGCCCTGCAGCAGCATCTAGTGGGTAACCCATGACCCCTGAAGCCCCAGAAGGAGTGTTACATCCAGTGCTCTTTTAGCTTTGTCATCTGCGGACAGCTTAAGTATTAACAGCTCAGTGGAAGGTCAGTATTACAGCCTTTTGCACCCACACACACATTCTTGTCCAGTGCCCAGGAGGAAAGAAGTCCCACAAACAAATCGGAGATGGTCAATGAAGGAGATTTTATTGCCAATGAAAGTGGCTCTCGGTGGGAAGGGGAGCTGAAAGGGGACAGAGCGGAAGAGTAATCTTCCCCCAGAGTCCAGCCATCCCCAGCCGGACTCCTCTCCAAAGCTACACTGTCAGACAGCTATCCCTCTGAAGTCAAGACACTTCTTTCCAACGTTCAATGGTAGTCTCTGACATCCAGCTGCTTCTCTTCTCTCTGCCAGTAGAGCTTGAGGTTTTTAGGGGCACAGGATAGGGGTGGGGTGGTCATGGGTGGTTTTGGAAAAGGCAACACTCCAGCGAGAAAACAGGGATGTATGTTCTCACTTTGGGCCACAGTTTCATGCTTGAGGGTGGGGCCCTCACCAGGGATCCACCCTCTTCTGCCCAGAATTTCCCTGCCTCCTGTCCCTATCAGTAATACTGAATATGTTTTCATGTATTTGCCAACCATCTGTCTTCCATGATAAAGTATTTTTTGAAGGTTTTGCTAGTTTTTTGTTGTTATTTGTCTTATGATTAAGTTGTCAGTCTGCTCTATATATCCTAAGTAAAAGTCCTTGGTCAGATTTTATAATGATTTGCAACTATTTTTTCCTGCCTGTGGTTTGCATTTTCATTTTCATTTTCATAACAATGCCCTTGAATGGTAACAGTGTTTAATTTTGGTCAAATCAAAGCAACTTTCATAAAATTTTATCTATCAGGGTTTTTTTTTTTAATAGTTCCCACCTTTTTGTGTGTTATATTCAAGAAATCATTTTCTAACACAAGGGTACTAACAGCTTTCTTCATGTTTTCTTCCAGATGTTTAATAATTTTCAATCTAAAATTTACATCTATGGTCCATCTCATGTTAACTTTTATACATTGTGTGAGGTAAGAGTAGAAGTTTAGTTTTTGCACAAAACCATCTGTCTTTTCTTTCAGCAACTATTACTGATAAGCTTATACTTTTCCCACTGAATTGGCTTAGAACATTGTCAAAAATAAACTGACCACATAGGCATGGGACTTATTTCCGGATAGTCTAGTGTATCCCATTGGCCTAAATGTCTATTTTTACACCAATATCACGCTATCTTGATTACTGTAGTTTTATAATAAATCATGAAATCTGGTAGGGTAAGATCTCCATGTCCTGCTTTTTCAAATTTTAAGGGGTATTTTGCATTTCCATATACATTTTAGAACCAGCTTCCTACTCTCTATGAAAAAGCTTGCTGGGACTTCAATTAGGATTGTACTGAATCTCAAGATGTGTTGATCAAATTTGGGGAGAAACTGTGTTGGTTAAATTTGGGGAGAATTAACATTTAACATTGTCATTGGATCCATGAACAGAATCTCTCTCCAGTTATCTAGCTCTTTAACTTCTCTCAACCACGCTTTACAGTTTTCTGTGTAGTGAAATTGCACATATCTATTCAAATTTACTTCTAAGTATTTCCTATTTTTGAGTTTATATTAAATGGTTTTTTTCCATTTCTAACAGATGATTCCAATATGTAAGACTACAAAAGCCTTTTTGGCATCTGCTGAAATGGTGACACACAGTGCACCTGTTGAAATTATCCTTAAGGTGGTGAATCACGAAAATTGATTTTAAAATATTAAACCAACTCTGCATTCTTGAGATAAACTACATTTGTTCATGTTATCCTTTATATATATACACTATATATATAGTATATCAATATACTATATATATATAGTATATATATATACATACACACATGAACATATATATGTGTTACTAGATTAAATGTGGTAATCACTTGATAAATTTTGATTTGAATTTTGGTTAGAATGTTTGTGTCCATGTTCCTGAAAGATACTGGTCTGTAGTTTTCTTTCTTTGGAATGTCTTTGCTTTTATCAGAGTAATGGTGGCCCCATGACATGAGTTGGGAAATGCTTCCTGTTCTATTTTGTGGATGAATTTCTGTAGAATTGAGATTACTTATTCTTTAAACTTTGGTATAATTCACCAGGGAAGCCATTTGGACCTGGAGCATTCTTTATAGGAAGATATTTAGCTACCTATTCAAATTATTTCTACATATAGAGCTATTTCATTTATCTATTTCTTCTTGAATGAGTTTTACTGGTTCGCTTTTCAATAAATTTGCCCATTTTATCTATATTGTGAAATTTAATGGAAAGAGTTGCTCATAATATTTCCTTATTAAACTTTTAAGGTCTGTAGAACCTATAACAATAACCCCTTTCATATTCCTAATATCAATCATTTTATCTTCTATCTTTATTCCCAATCAGTCTTGCTAGAGTTTCACCAATTTTACTAACCTTCCCAAAGAACCAGTTGGGATTTCACTGATTATTGTTTTCCTGCTTCCAATTTTGTTGTTTTCTGTTCCTTTTAATTTGTCTTCCATTTTCTTAAAGTGAAAGTTCAAGTTACTGATTTCAGTCCTTTCTTCTTTTCAGCATAAACATTTAATGTTATCACTTTCCTGCTAAGCACTGCCTTAGGTGCATTCCACAGATCGTGATACAGCATGTTTTCATTTCATTGAATTCAAGATACTTTCTAATTTCCCCTTAATTTCTTCTTGGACTCATGGGTTATTTAGAACTGTGTTGGTTAACTTCCAATTATTTATTAATTTTTCAGACTTTTTAATGTTATTGATTTGTAATTTAAGTCCATTATGCCCAAAGCACATACTTTGTATCATAACAACCCTTTTAAACTCAGCAACACTTTGTTGCCCAGAATATGGTCTATCTTAGTAAATAAATGTTCCACATGCATTTCAAAGAAAACACACTCTTCATTGTTGGGACGTGTTCTATAAAGATGAATTAGGTCAACTTGTTTAATGGGACTTTTCAAATCTCCTATATCCTTATTCATTTTCTTTCTTCTTGTCTCAGCAGTTATTGAGAAATGGGTACTAAAATCTCTGAGTAAACATGGATTTTTACATCATGTATTCTGAATTTCTCTTACTAGGGGCACAGGTATTTGAAACTGTTAGCTCCTCCTGAGGTACTAATTCCTTTATCAGTAGGCAATGTCCCCTTCTCACTGTACCTGCTCTTTCAGGGCCTGTGCGAGTACCAGAAATTATTTCACCTGCTCTTTCCTGGAGCTTTTTTCTTTGGCCTCAGTAGATTGCTCTTAGGCATGTGCCTGTCAGTACTCTGCTGATGAATTGGTGGGACCCTCTACAAATCACTAGAGCTCTCTCTCTCTCTCTCTCTCTCTGTGCAACTCTTCTCATACCTCTTGGTATTCCATCCTGAGAATTTCAGCACCTTTGTCTTCCCAAACTCAGAATTCTGTTTCCTCAACTCAGTGCAATTAGCTGGGCTCTGTTTGGGTCCCCTCCCTGTGTCACAGCCCACGGACTCTCTCCAGAAAGGAAACTGGAGCAATCCTAGAGTTCACTTTTTTTGTTCCCCTTCTTATCAGGGTCAATTTCCCATAGTATCCTTTGACCCATGTCTTAAAGCCATTGTTTCAAGTATTTTGTCCTGTTTTTTAGCTGTTCAAGGTGGGGAGGTAAATCAGGACTCAATTTCTGCATCATGTTTGAACATGGACATACAAAACACTATCTACTTGGGAATGAAATTATCCCCTCACTGGTTTTAACAGAATACTTATTAATCTCAGCTTTGAATTTATTGGACAATAAAATTATGAAACCCAGCTTATTGAAAAATAATTCAATTTCACATAATTTATACCAGTACACAGTGTGGTATGTATTAATGGAAACTTGGGAACTAAAGCTTTTCTTTAAAATGGAAGCTGAACTTAAGCAAATGAAAATGGTTATAAATCATATATCATGGAGTGAAAAGCCATTTATTTAGCAGAAAAAACTCTATCTTTGGCTTAAGATAGTTTTTGGTGTTTTTCCCCCTAACAAAGATAAGCAGCCACTTAAAAATTATGCCTTGTTTCCTCTACTTTTCTCATTGATTCTCTCTGAGGTAGGCAGCATTCCCTGTGTTTCAGATGGCTGGAGATTCCCTCCTGCTAGTATGAATTTTTTGCCTGAAGCAAAGTCATGATATAGAAAATGTAAGTGGTCCTCAGATCTCCATCAACCTGCTACCAGCAGTTCAAACCTAAAACCTGAAAAGCTGAAATCACCTTTCAGCTCCCCGACCCCTGCCCTCTGCATGATAGCAGACAGGCCCAGCTCCCTGGGGTGTGGCCTGTGCAGCCTCACAGGGCTCAGTCTTAGAGGGGGCCTGCCTTTGGTTAAATGCTCTGTAGTTGTTGTTCTGAAATGCTTAATAATTTTTTAACAAGGGGCTCCACAATTGCATTTAGCACAAGGAGCCATGCCATATGGAGTGGATTCTGCATACAGACTAGGTCTAGATGTGAATTTTAGGTCCGCTGGGCTTCAAACACTCCAAAGCAAATGGAAAAGTAGAAATAAGATTCTCATGATTCCCATATCTGAGTTCCTTCCTTGGTACTTGTTACTGGTTGAATTTTGGTCCCCTTCCCCACCAAAACAAAGATATGCCAAAGGCTTAACCCCCTAGAACCTCAGAATGTGACCTTATTTGGAAATAAGATCATTGTAGATGTAATTAGCTAAGATGACATCATACTGTTGTGGGGTGGTGATATGGTTTGGCTGTGTCCCCACCCAAGTCTCATCTTCAATTGTAGTTCCCATAATCCCTACGTGTTGTGGGAGGGACCTGATGGGAAGTGAGTGGATCATGGGAGCAGTTTCCCCCATGCTGTTCTCTGATAGTGAGTGAGTTCTCACGAGATCTGATGGTTTCATAAGCCTCTTGCACTTCTCCCTGCTGCTGTCTTGTGAAGAAGGTGCCTTGCTTCTTCTTCACCTTCTGCCATGATTGTAAGTTTCCTAAGGCCTTCTCAGCCATGCAGAACTGTAAGTCAATTAAACCTGTTTCCTTTATAAATTACCCAGTCCTGAGCAGTCCTTTACAGCAGCATGAGAATGAACTAATACAGGTGGGCTCCTAATTCAATATAACCGGTGTCCTTGTAAGAAACTGGCATGTGAGGACAGAGACATAGAGGAAAACACGTGACATTGGAGTATCACAGCTGCAAGCCAAGGGACTCCAGTGACTGTCAGCAAATCACAGAATATTGAGAAGATGCAAGAAGCATTCTCCCAGGATTTCGGAGGGAGCATGGAACTGCACCTTAATTTCAGATTTCTGGCCTCAAGAACTGAGACATTTCTGTTGTTCTAAGCCAGCCACTTTGTGGTACTTTGTTCTGGCAGCCCTGGGACATGAATGCAGCAGACAACCACAAATATTGCAAAGTGGCATGTTAACACAGCATCCTAGCTCTGTTCACCACTCTTGGCAAAGCTTTTCTCTCCTAAATTCTGCGCCTGGTGAGCCTCCCATGGCCATTCCTCATTTGGGTCACACTCTTTAGAGATGGCAAAAGGAGCCATGACCTCAAAGCCGTTACAGAGGGTGGAAGCCAGTGCTGGCAGCTCTAGATCTCCTGGGGGAGACCCAGGGATGGTCCACAAGCAGAGAGAAATACCAACATCTGCATGCTTATGGTGCTGAAGCTAAGATCCGGAAATGATTACAAACTCACAAACTCCAATCCAAGGCTGCCATGGTTTACATGTTTATGCCCTCTCCAAAATTCAAGTTGAAACTTAATCCCCAGTGCAACAGTGTTAAGAGGTGGGGCCTTTAGGAGGTGATTAGGACCTGACAACTCCGCCCTCATAAATGAAATTAATACCCTTGGAGTGCTTAGATAGCTGCCTGGTCTTTCCATCTCTTCTGACATGTGAGGACACAGCAACAAGACTGTCTTGGGAGCAGAGAGCCATTCTCGCCAGACACCAAATCTGCCGGTGCCTTGATCTTGGACTTCCTAACCTCCAGAATTGAGAGAAATAAATCTCTATTATTTATAAATTACCCAGTCTGTGGTATTTTGTTATAGCAGCAAAATGGACTAAGACAAAGGCCAAATAGTTCTAAAAAGTAAACGATGAGAACTCAATATTCACTTTTAACTCAGAGAAATGTTTTATTCTGGCTAAAACTCCTATTAGAGGGCACTAATCTTTGGACAAAAATAGAAGGTAAGCTGTCTGGCCAGAGCAGTGTTTAAAATAATGAAATGGACTTTCCTTATGCAGGATGGGGCCTCTCCACCTCATCTCTGGCAACTCTTCCAGGGACTTTACTACCTCGCCTCTGAGTCACATGCTTGTTTCTCGCCTGGGGGTTGGGAATACCAGTTGTGAGCAAGATGACACAAAGGCTGGGCCTGATGGGAAGCTGATGGTACAGCAATGAGTTAATTAAAATCTACAGTACCTGTTAATACCCAAACTCATTCTACAAATAGGAAAATTACAGTTCCAATGGGAAACACACATTAACAAAGCACTGCAAATGTAGAGAGCAAGAAAAAAATACCATGATAGTATAAAATATTCAACTGCTTTCCCCCATACTTATTCAGCATGAATCTAAAAGTTTACTGTGAAGCCTCCGGCAGGCAAATGCCTTTATTGGATTTGCAGGTGTGTACTTCACTCCTCCCTTTACGACTTGAGTGAAAATAATATTAGTTGCTGCTAAGAAAAAATATATTTGAAATACAGAATACCAGAGTTTAGTGAAGTGTTGCTTAGCAACTTTTCACAGGAAATAATTTAAACTCTGAATTTATTTTTTCCTGAGAATTTGCTGCTCTAGCCTGAAGTCTATAATTCACTCTCTTACATTCCAGCAGGTTCTCTGCATGCCTGCATGGGTACATATACACAGCTCTGTTCTGATGGAGACGAAGTTGTATTCGTCACAAATTCTCTTAAGAATGTTTCTTGGGATAGAACAACAGCATCCAAGACTTAATGCTCGAGTAGTTGGAATTCCATGACAAACACAAGGGAGATGATGCAGAAGCCCTAAGATAGCCGCCATCAAAAACACCTCCATTGAAACTAAGTCAAAAACAGATGTTTGGGAAACTCAGAGAACATTTTTCCTCCCTTGTAAAAGTCCAGCTCTTTCAGGAAAACACTGCAAATCCCAGACCCCACTCACACCTCCTTGTTGCGCCCTTGTGTTGCCTTCCCTAGGAGGCTCTTCCAGATGCCCTGAGAGCTGCACACATAGGTCTGGGGCTCTCGAGACAGTGAGCAGCACTGGGCAGGCTTCAAGGGAGGTCACAGGACCCATGGCTGGCACCGCACAGGGAGAAGCTGGCGAGTGGCTGGATTGAACCCTGTGTGGCATCCTAGTGAATGCCCTTCCAGTGCCCTTTGCACCTGATGAGGTTTTCCTACAGGGAGGAATGAGGCCAAGGACAGGCATATAGGAGCTAGGGCAGACCCAGATGAGAAAACCAGCACAAAGAGGTACAATTATAAGGACTCTATGTATAATAAATCTCTTTAGGAGAAAGTAGAATTTCAGTTTTAGTTGATTCCCCAACAGTAATGCTGCCTAATACATACATGGGCTATTATTATTCCTTGGGCTAAGTTAGTCCTATTTCTCTTATTGATTCATGTGAGGAGTGAAAAATACCTCCAAATGGAAATATCATCTGGCAATTCGAAACAGTGACAGTACCATATTTTTGGCATCTCTGCAGAAACTGCTCCCTCCCCACGAAGTTTTTCCAAATAACATCAACCCAAAAGTGGTTCAAATAGAACAATCCAGATTCACAAATATGTCCCTTTCACATCACACAATAATCTGTCATGTGCCAGGGCACAACAGGAGGGGGACACCCTAGTCACCAATGACAGTGGGCATCTGGACATTCCATGTGATGGTGGCAGAATGCCAAGTCCAAATTCTGGTCCTCTTCCTCACTGTGTGACTTTGAGGAAGTTGGTTAACTTTTCTGGGCTTCAATTTTTTCATCAGCAAGATGCAAGTGATAATAGTATTTACCTCACAGGGTTATACAGATCAAATAAGTTGTGTATGCAAAGTAACCACATGGTGCCTGCTACTGGAGGACCTTGGAAGTGACTCTGATCATTCTACGGTAGAAGGGGCAAGTGCACAGATGCAGTATTTGTACACTCATTTGTTCCCACAATTTTTGCGATGTGATCACTACGTGTGTGGTGCTGTGTTGTGCACTGGGAACAGAGCAGCAAGCAAAAATGTCTCAAAGACCACAGAGTATTTATTTTTATTTGTACAAAGTTATGGGGTACAAGTGTAATCTTGTTGCACACATAAATTGCATAATGGTGAATCAGGGTTTTAGGGTATCCATTATCCAAATAATTTACATCGGACTCCTTAACACACATTGGCTGTAGAGATGGGGGTGGGAGGAGAATCACAAAGTCTGTGTGCAGGCCAGAGGACAGTTTAGTCATGATGCCAATTTTCAGTACCGGAGCCCATGCTCCTCTTAAGAAAAGCAGTACAGAGAAAAGGAGGAGCAGAGAGAATGTTCCAGAAAGACCAACAGAATTGTCCATTCAAGCAAGATCAGATCTGGGAAGGCCTAAGTGAGGGTTAGGGTAAATCCTCAGCTCGAGGGACAGCCAAGCCAGTGTATTAGTCTGTTCTCACGCTGCTAATAAAGACATACCCGAGACTGGGTAATTTATAAAGAAAAGAGGTTTAATGGACTCACAGTTCCACATGGCTGGAAAGGCCTCACAATCATGGCAGAAGGCAAATGAGGAGCAAAGTCACGTCTTACATGGTGGCAGGCAAGAGAGTGTGTGCAGGGGATCTCCCCTTCCTTTATAAAACCATCAGATCTCATAAGACTTACTCACTATCACCAGAACAACATGGCAAAGATCCACCATGATTCAATTACCTCCCACCAGGTCCCTCCCAAGACACATGGGGACTATGGGAGCTACAATTCAAAATGAGATTTGGGTAGGGAAAGAGCCAAACCACATCAGCCAGTTTGGTTTCTCAACGCTCTGGCTGGGAACTCACAGTAGGGATAACTCAGAAATGCCTCCTCTGCTCCAAAGAGCCAGAAACATGGAGGTCTCCCAATAAACACACTGCAGGCTGAGCCCAGCTCAGCTGCACTTCCCTCAAATGCACAGGTGTCATCAGGATAGGTGTGGTTATTAAACAACAAAAACATATCCTCCTCTTTATTGTTAATGGAAATAATTTTAATTACTGTTTAATTTTTCTTAGGTGTGTGCTTCTTCATAGTAAGTCCAAATGCCCACACTGAAAAATCATCCTGGCACACAGCAGCACACAGAGAAGAGTTTCTTGGGTGCACAGAGACAGGCTTTCTAGGTTGCATTTTTCTACTTTCATTCATATGCTACTCGGTTCTTCCAGTGGTAAATACATTCTTTGGTCGCATTCCAAGTGACTGCACTAGAGGAAAAGCAAAAGGATTCTGCACCAGTTCAAAGGCTAAGAGAGGCCTTTATTTTCTTTCATTTTCGCTCATTTTCAATAAAAAAAGATGTTTGCACACTGATGTCCTATTTTTGTAAGAAAGGACACATATGCACATGCTGAATGTCTGACATCCTTTTAGGTAACAGGACAAAGAAAGGCTCTCCTTCCTAGAGAAAAATGTTAGCCTTTCGAGTTGGTGGTAATTTAACAAATCTGTAAAATAACTTCAGTATGGTCTCCCTGCCAAGGCTGAAATGGGGTTGTCAGGAATAAAAGTTTCTGTTGAACTCTATTCAATGAGCTTTAGTACAAGAGAAATGCAGAAAGCTGGAGTCAGATGCAAATGTGGGTCAGCTTTCCTATCCTTCCTGACCACACTGATGGCTCTTTAAGCCCATGAATGAGCAGAAGACATTCCAGGCAATCCAACCTGCCTGAAAAAAAACCATCTCAGAGGAGGGTCCTAAGTCAGTAATTATCAGCTGAGATGAAGTGGATCCGTGCTTGTCAGAAAATCATTAAACAGGCTGGGCACGGTGGCTCACATTTGCAATCCCAACACTTTGGGAGGCTGAGGCAGGAAGATTGCTTGCGGCCAAGAGTTCAAAACCAACCTGGGCAATATAGCAAGACCCCCATCTCAATTAAAAAAAAAAGAAAGAAAAACAAAATCATCAAATAAAACATCACTTAAAAGCTTAGGGTTTACAAAGTGAGTCAAAGTTTTGTTTTTTTGTTTGTTTGTTTGTTTGTTTTAATGTAACAGGCAAGAAGGATTTAATCAATGCCATGAATGTAAGAACCAACAAGAAACACTTCCATGACAGGAAGGGCAGAGATAAATCAACAACATCTAGCATGCTAACATGCCTTGACAGCACTCTGTTTATTTACACAGCAATGTGATTGGACCAGTTATTTTCTCTTTACATTCATGAGTGTTTATTTGTTTCAACATGATATTCACACACAAGAACGTCTCTAATTCCTTAGAGAAACAGGTTTGTATAATGGCAAAAACCCCAATTACTTTTGCACCAACCTGATAAAAGCCTCAAAACTTTCATAGCCCACATTTAATTTCAAGGTGGATTTGAAGGTTAAGGGAAAGTCAACATCAAGAGCAATTTCCAAATCTAAGAAGGAGGAGTGAACCTCAGAGCAGCACTCCACAAGATGGAAATGCCTGTCCTACTACCAGAGAGCACCCACTTAGGGAACCGTTGTCAGTTAGGAGTTGAACTGTGTCCCCTGAAAAGATAGCTTCAAGTCCTAAACCCCAGTACTTGTGACTGTAACCTTATTTGGAAACAGGGTCTTTGCAGATGTCATCCAATTAAGATGAGGTCATTAGGGTGGTTGTAATCCAATATGATTGGTGTCACTATAAGAAGAGGAGAAGAGCCACAGAGGAGCTACCACGTGAAGACGGAGGCAGAGATGGAGTGATGTGTCTGCAAGCCAAGGAATACCAGTGACACCAGAAGATGGAAGAGGCAGGGGAGGATTCTCCTCTAGAGTCTTCCAAAAGAATACAGCCCTGCTGACACTGTGATTTCAGACTTCTGCAGACTTCTGACCTCCAGAGCTGAGACAATAAATATCTTCTATTTGTTCTAAGCCATGGAACACAACTTGAAAGAGGCTTAGTTACAGCAGCACTAGAAACAGATCCAATGTCTACCCATGGGACAAATGACTGCTCTTTTTGAAATCAGTGACAGGACTCCAATAAACACATTCTGGAATTCCAAGCTTCCCTGTTCCTTCCGGTGGGACTGGTGGGCGCCACAGCAATTATGGGTAGAAATCCTTGCTGTGTTGTGTAATTGAGCTGGACAGAGAGGGAGAGATACACTCTGCCACTGATTTCTTAAAAATAAAAATGATCCCACTTACTAGATGCACCAGGACAGAGAAAACATACTCCTCTGCTAATTTTGAGTTCAACATGCTCATGTATTTTTAAACCATTCAGAAAAATGAAACACAATCGCAGCATCACCCTCACAGCCATCCTAACAGCTCTATCAATGGGGAATTGGAAGCACAAATGAAAGGCATTTCACAAGGCAGTCAGGCAAGAGGCAGACCAAAAAGACTTCCCTGTCAAATGCAAATGCTGCCCCGAACTCCGGGAGCCAGAAACTCTGCAGGTTACTGCGCAGACTTCACTCAGAGGTTATATTGTTTTAAAAGAGTTTTCATCTGGGAGGCAGCTACGTGGAATGGCATCAGCTGGGTTGAGTGCCAGTAGCACAGAGCAGAGGGAACCTTCGGGATGGGGGTGGTTTGTGCCGAACTAAAATAATGACGTTTGGAAAACCCCACCCCTTACAGTCAAAACCTGTGAGGGCAAATCTCTTGAAGGTTTGGGGTCTTTTTCGCTCCATTTTCCTTATTTTCCCAGTGACTCCTCCCAAACCAGGTTGTTGACCCACACCCAGGGTCCCCACCCTTGTTGTTGCCTATACTTTCTCAGGGGCACACACTGAAAAATTACTCCTCTTTCCTGATCAAAACTGCCAACATCACTCTTCAGTCGTGCCGTGGCAACTTCATACAGTTCTGCTCACTGAGGGCTTAAGAGCTGGTTATTTAAAAGGCATTACAGAGAGGCCATGTTGGGTGATATGCGGCTTCTCAGGCTCGGAACTGGGCTGCATAATTCTTTGCCCTGTGCGTTGTATGGTGATTAGCAGCATCCCCAGCTTCTGCCCGCGAGATGACAGTAGCATTCCCCCATACCCGACCAAGCTGTGACAAATGGAAGATGTTTCCTGACACAATCACATGTCCCCGGGGGGTGCAATCGCTCCCGTTTGAGAAGCACAGGTCTCCTGGCTGAGAGCCAGCCTCAGGAGGCAGACCCCTTGGGCTCAAATTCCTTTGTACTTCAGCCTCCCTCCTGTGCCTTCGTCTCTGCACTTGGAAAGCTGGGGTAGGATGGTGCCCCGCTCATAAACGAATGAGTGAAGTCATGTAAGGGAAGCACTCAGAACAGGGTCTGGCACTGGGTCCAGACCATGCACGTGCTAGCTGTCTGTGCTTGGTGCATGTTGCTGACTATGAGCTACACTCAAGCCACTGTACAGTTTAGAGTTAACCTTATATGAGGTCTGGCCTTGCCCTCAACTGCTGGAAGGTGACCTAGGCCCTTGGAATGTCCTGCCCGAGAAGAGTGTGTTTATTTATCTGGGGGCTTAGACCCCAGGACAGTCTGAATGTGGTTTATGATGGGAACTTAGAGCCCTGTGATGTCAGTGCTACCTCCAGAGGGACTGGAGAATAAAAGTGTCAGCCTCACCTTCGGAAGGCTGGAGACTAAAGGTCAGCTGTGCAGGCAGGACGTGATTGAGCCCCAGTGGAGAACTCTGAACATCAAAGGCTCAGTTGAGCTTCGGCAATAGATAATTCTCTTTGGCCATTGTGACATGTGGTTGTAGGAGAGCAGCACCAGCCATGACTCCACAGAGAGAGGACAACAGGGGCTCCATGTCTGGCGGTTTTCCTGGGCTCTTCTCTTTGCCAAAGTGCATCTGTATTCTCCCCATGTAGCAATCCCTAATCACAGCGATAACGGCTGTCACAAGTTCCGTGGGTTCTTCTAGAAAATTGTCCAATCTCTGGGTAGTCCTGGAAACCCCCCAGCTTGCAATTAGTATCAGCAATGAGAGTGGTCCTGCATAGACTGTTCCCTCTGACTGCATAGCAGGCTCATTCCTGCATCACTTTACAACTATGTTGTTAATTTAACCATCTTCCAGTGGGAACCATTCTATTCTAAAGGATACTGAAAGCAGCCTGCTTTCCTAAGCACAGTGCTTTCTTGAGCAAAGTGAACGTGCCGCAACACTTCCTAATGGCTAATTAAGGGGTATACATATATGAAGTCTGTAGTAAAAGACACCAGGGCTGGGTGCAGTGGCTCACGCCTGTAATCCCAGCAGTTTGGGAGGCCAAGGCAGGCAGATCATGAGGTCAGAAGTTCAAGGCCAGCCTGACCAATATGGTGAAACCCGTCTCTATTAAAAATACAAAAATTAGCCAGGTGTGGTGGCACGTGCCTATAATCCCAGCTACTCAGGAGGCTGAGGCAGGAGAACTGCTTGAACCCAGGAGGCGGAGGTTGTAGTGAGCCGAGATCGCACGACTGCACTCCAGCCTGGGTGACAGAGTGAGATTCAGTCTCAAAAAAAAAAAAAAAAAAAAAAAAAACAGAAGGTAGACTTTTGTTTTTAATTTCATTTTAAACCCCCATTCCCATAGAATGGACAGGGGCAGCTAGAAGTGTTGGGCAGGACTTCAGACTCTAGGAGGGGCAGGACTCGATGTCTCTCCAAGGGGTATGAGCCGGTCCACTGCATGAGGCACACACCCTGCCAATGCTCCTGGCTTAGGAATAGTGGGCAAAAATAGCTACAGCCACTGAGCCTGGCTATGGCCTTTTCTAAGCATCATGCCTTGGGTGAGAGGGCCTAGCAGACATAGCTGTGCTCCTCCCAGAAACATCCCCAGGCGGCAGGTTGAGCTGGCCTCCCAACCTGCAAAATTAACATGGAATACCTGGGCTGAGCCTCATATACACTCACGATCCAGGGCCCCAGTGGCGTGGGAAAGACAACCACAGAATGGTTGGGGTTATATTAGGGGCAGAGGTGAATATATTCGAATTCAAGATGTACGTAAAAGCAAAAATGTCAAGGTACACAGGGAGAGCTAAAACCAAGAAATTTGGCCAACAAATTCAACACCTGAGGGTAGTCAGTCTTGAGAAAATGACTATGATACAAGCATGTTTATGATCCTTAGGGAGATTTTTAAAAGCAGGCAGATGGTGTCAAAAAAACAAAATACATGTTATAAAACAACAACAGCAAAAAAGGTTAAAATACAAACAATAACAACAACAAACCTGAAGATGAAAATACAGTCATCTGTCAATGAACATATGAAATGAGAAGCTACTGGCTGCCAATGGCTGGACAGCATTCTGCTAAGGGTAAGGATAGGATACTGGAGAGACAGTCATGTCCCTGCCCAGAAGTTTATGTTCCAGCAGCAGACAATCAATAAACAAAGAGAGGGGTGTGTCCTGTAATTTAAGGTTCTATAAGTTGCCCTAAGTGCCATGGAAACACTCAAGCAAGGTGAGTGATGTTGCCTTATGAAGTGACAGATAGGGGTCAGGAAAGATCGTTCTAAGGACATGCAACCTGGGGACAAGAACATTCCAGACAGACAAAAGGACCTTATCCTGATTAATTGGTTCTATTATAAATAGTAACAATGATAAAGCAAACATTGTATTACTGGAATCTTCCATGTTCCCATCAAGTTAAACATCTGATGCCACTTACACTCTGTCCTGCCCCACTCAATTAGAAATCCTGGCTAAAATAATTAGACAAAATACTACATCAGAATAAGGTAAATTAAGGATATGAAAGGGAGAAAGAAAATTCTATACAAATAAATTGAGAGTCTCAGATCAACTAACAGAACCCAGAAGAGCCCACGGACACTGTAAGGTCAACATAAAAACAATAGTATTCTTATATATAAACACCGACCAATTAGCAAAGGTAATTTTTAAAATTCTGTTTATAAAACAACAAAAAGACTTTAGGTACCTAAGATTGAGTCTAACGAAAATTATTATTGATTTTATGAAGAAAAAAAAGAGTCTCCGAAGGAACAAAAAGTAATCAGAATTCTTTGATAGACATGCCATGCCATTTGATGAAAAGACGAAACACAAAAAGAGCATATTTCTGGATGTTTTATACACGACCCTTTCATTAATTCTTAGGCTTTAAATATCTTTCATAACAAAAATTTAGAAATTCAATATAATTTAAATCCAGAACCCAAATGGACTTTTCATTGAACATGACAAACTGATCCGTAATAAAAAGTGAGCTAAAAACATTCTGAACAAGAAGAGGTACTTGGCCTCCCAGACACTAAGTCTTCCTAGAAACCTGTAACTTTAAAACAAGATGGCTTTGGTGCAAGAAGAGACCACCAGATCCAGGCAACCGACCAGCAGGATCTTAACTGTTCTCCTGTTTACATTACCTGGGCACCAGTATGCACGCAACAGGATGTCTAGGCTGCTGGGGGAGAAAATTTTTAAACAGTAATTTTTAAAATTACCTTTTCTAATTGGTCAATGTTGATGCATAAGAATACTATTGTTTTTATATTGATCCTGCAGTCGTGGTGGGCTCTCTTATGAGTTCTGTTAGTTGATCTGAGACTCCCAGTTTATTTGTATAGATAGTATGGTCATCTGCAGATAATTAGAATTTTCTTTCTCCCTCTCATGTTTACCTTATTGTTATGTAGTATTTTGTCTAATTGTATTAGCCAGGATTTCTAATTGAGTGGGGAAGGACAGAGTGTAAGTGGCATCAGGAGCACAGAGAGTGAAGGAGAGAGCGGGGAGTGTGAGGGAGAGGAAGAAGCCAGACAGAGCATGGGGGCCGCGCCCAGCCCTCCAAGGGGCTCTAGTGGGAGAGTGATAAAGGAGAGGTGATGGCGCCCGCCGGGTCTTGTGTCCACTATGACAGTGTCCTCTTAGAGCCATAAAGACTAACTTGAGTTCACTTAGTCCAGCCTCCTCCCTTTGCCCAAGAAATGGAGGCACAAAGAGAATAATGGCTTGGCAGAGGTCACATGACTACTTACCAACAGAACCCACTGGCCAGCTCATCTCTGGGCTCTTTCCAACTGAGGCACACCAACAGTATTCTGTCCCTTGACATGGCTTTTGAGCCATTCTGTCCACACCCTCTGGAAACCCTGGAAACCCTCCCTACAGCAGTGTACCCTCACTGGCTCTCTTCTCCCCATCATGGCTCCTCTATTCCTTTCCAGATCCTGTTCCTGGCACACCCCTGGCTCTCAATGTCCCCATCAACCCTGCGACAGCCCTCTCAGCTACTCAGTCACCCTCTCCCTGGATGGCTTCAAAACTCCATGTCTCGGTTGACAAGCTCTAAACTAGTAGCTCACATCTCAGCCTAGGCCTGTCCCCTAGACAACACACCATTTATCACGCTGTCAGATGAATATGCTGGGAGCAGCCACCCACATAGCAGCAGCACTACAGAAAAAAGCCAATAGTTAGACAACACTCTCCTCAGGATATGACCTGAGGCCCAGAGCCTCAAAAGGTGCAAAATGAATGAATGTGGGTTTTTCAGCAGGTATCCGAAGCCACCCCTTCAATAGCTTGTGACCATGTGGAGGGAAAATCAGTGTCACAGAAGTAGGAAGGGTCTTTAAGTAGGAAAATTCTAGTAATTGAGAAGGAATTTAAGGACAACAACCAGTCCTGGAGGGTTGCAAGCACCTGGAGAAATAGGAAGCCTAGACAAGGCACTCCGGAAACAGAAGGACTGAGTTGTCGAAACTGTGGTTCGAGATGTAAAACAAGGCTACGGACAGAATTGAAGCTCAGCTATCCGAAACAAGTGACAGTATGAGGCCCCGGCCAGCTCCTTGGCTGTGGTACGATGGGTTTGCTAAAATGAGGACAGAGTGACTTTGACCATGAGTCAAAGACAGCTATTTCAAAAGCCTTTGTTCTCTGTGCCTGGCTTATTTCACTTCCAGTTAGACAGGAGGAATAAGATTCAGTGATCTATTGCATAACATGCTGACCATAGTTAATAATAATGTATTGTATATTTCAAAATTGCTTAAAGAGTAGATTTTAAAGCTTCTCACCAAAAAACTATGGAAGTGACATGTTGCATATAATTAGATTTAATTTTATATTAAACACATATGTATCCAATTATACACACACACATATACATACACATACACATCTATACAAATACACATACATACAGATATAAATACACATACATACAGATATAAATACATATACCTTGTACCCCATAATACATACAATTATAATTTGTTGATTAAAAATAAATTTTAGCAATATAAATCGAAAAAAATAGACTCTGCTCTCAGTTATAGGACTCCTCTTCAAAGTTTAAGGCCAAGTTGTTTACAGAACTAAGTATGTCACAAATCAAGACATAAAAGAAGTACAAAAAATATTTTCACACCTTACCTGGTCCCAGGGAGAGACGGTGCCTCCAAAACACATGAACAGGTATCCCATGGCAACAAGGCATATCCATATCACCAACGAGAAGAGGCGCAGCAGCTTCTTAAACACAGACTCGATGCAGACCAGGATAAATATCGCAAAGAAAATCGCCAGGGCAGTTGGAACTGTTATTAGAAACGCCACATGGTCTTCAACTTCCTGAGGAGATAAAAAAATACATGGAAAAGTTACCATTTAGAGACACTGTGATACCAATGATTTATGTTGTTAAAATGTCATCAACGCTTGTCAATGTCAGAATATATTGGGTTTAAGAAATTGTTTTGAAAGTAGAACAGTTTGAACATTTAAAATTCAAGTTTCATAATAAATAAGCATGTTTTTCTAAATAGATAATCCAATGTTGGATATTTAAAATAGGACAAACAATATCTCATCAAAGTTACATCTTCCCTGATAAATGCAGAAATGGATTTTATTCAGAAGTGAATGTAAGAACACATTAATGCCAGGAGAAAATAAGACAACCAACTTCTCTCCCTAAATCAGAGGAGCAGAAAAACCCCGGCCTTAGAAAACTATCTTGCAAATGGATTTTAAATGTTTTATTTAAAAAACTTCTTTCAAAATTATCTGTTTTTATGGTGATGAGCTTTTATTTTAATGCATGGCAATTAATGTTTTGATGGGATCATAGGTTAATAGAAAAGGGTCAGAAAGTGCTGAATATGGAACGTGAGGGAGCGGGAAATGCATACAGGAGGGCGCCATGTTTGTTATTTCTCTCTCAAGAGAGATGGAGAAAATAAAATAACAAACATGGCAAAAAGAAACAAGCAAAAAGAAAATGGGCATTTATTATTCACTTCTTACTAATGTATTTCTTTACATTTATTTTGACACACAATTTTTTTTTATTTATCTCTTCCTTACCACATGACAAAGACCCACTATTTCCATTCTACACAAGTTCAACTCCACATACAGACATTATGTTTCATTTGATTACACAAGCCTGGGCTTAGGCTTTAGCTTCTGCAAAACATTATGCTGGAAGCTTGCTATGGACAGCGTTTACTATGGAACAGAATACAGTGTAAGGTCTTTAATCCTCACCCAAACATGTGTAGTTAACAGAAATATCCACAGACACTTCTATTAAAAAAAAAAACCGGCCGGGTGCGGTGGCTCACGCCTGTAATCCCAGTACTTTGGGAGGCCGAGGCGGGCAGATCACAAGGTCAGGAGATCGAGACCATCCTGGCTAACACGGTGAAACCCAGTCTCTACTAAAAATACAAAAAAAAAAATTAGCCGCGCGTGGTGGCAGGCGCCTGTGGTCCCAGCTACTCCGGAGGCTGAGACAGAGAATGGCGTGAACCTGGGAGGCGGAGCTTGCAGTGAGCCGTGAGCGCGCCACTGCACTCCAGCCTGGGCGCCAGAGCGAGACTCCGTCTCAAAAAAGAAAAAAGAAAAAAAAAACCCCAAGGCTGGGACCATATATGGGACTTACAAAGGGACTGTCTGTCTGGTGATCTCTATTCTTTACAGGTGGGCACAAGGTTCATTCCACCCACTGGCAGCTCTAACTTCACACTGGAAATGGCTCCATGCAAATACCAAGCAACGAAGCACAGGGAGATGGGGAAACAGAGCAGACCAGCCAAAAATCCACACGGAGTCTTGGTTCCCAAGGAGGGAAAAAGCCAGAATCCAAGCCCTCTTAACTGACATCGTTTCCCTTTCTCTCCCACAATTATGTGTGTTAAATGATGCCTGGGAAAGAGGCAAGAGGAACAACAAGAATGGTAAATGCTAGTAAGTGCTACTTGTGCTAAGCAGGCTTACATATATTAACCTCTTTAATCTTTACAACCACCATCCTGGTAGGGGCAGGCAGGATGGGGGGCACTAGTGTTAGTTCCATTCTACAGCTGACGAAACTGAGGCACAGAGAAGGGCTGCCATGGATTGTCCAGCTGGTGGGTGAGACAGGCCTCCAGCCAGGCATAGCCTGTGGGTCTGTGGTCCTGCAGCAGACAGTGAACTCAACCGAATGGGGCTAGTTGTTGCCGTGGCCGAAAGAATGTGTGTTTCCAGAACTGGCAGAAAACAAGTAGATCAAATGAGATGTTCTTTTTCTCTCCCTCCACTGCTATTTTTAGCCACGATTAAGTGCCTAAGTTATTACTCTTACCCTCAGACACAGTTTACAATTGCTGCAAAAGGGTATTAGGTGTCTGCCAGGCTGCGAGCACTCCCCGGCACTCAGACACCACGAACAAACGGACACGTGGGACATGACAGCGTGTTATCTGAGGACATCAAATCTGAGATTATGACCACTGCACACATGGTGCCATGAAAACTGATTTAACTTAAACCTCCCCAAATGAGCCTCACTGAGCTGTGGACAGAAAACTAACCAGTAAATAATCAGGAAACCTATTTCCTAGTATGACTTTTTTTTCCAGTCATTTCATTATCCCAGCAGGGGTGAAACAATCATTGACTTTACTGGCTCTTAGATCTCCAGAAAGACTGAAAAACCATGCAAAAATATGCATGACTGTAAAGTGACAATTAGTAGAGCAGGGAACCAGGGAACAAGAAGATGCTGATATAGTCCTTCCAGGAAGCAGAGAAGAAACGGAATGACCTGTAAGAGCTTTCCCGTGCTTCTCTTTTTTTTTTTTGAGACGGAGTCTCGCTCTGTCGCCCAGGCTGGAGTGCTGTGGCGGGATCTCGGCTCACTGCAAGCTCCGCCTCCTGGGTTCACGCCATTCTCCTGCCTCAGCCTCCCAAGTAGCTGGGACTACAGGCGCCCGCCACTACGCCCGGCCAATTTTTTGTATTTTTAGTAGAGACGGGGTTTCACCGTTTTAGCCGGGATGGTCTCGATCTCCTGACCTCGTGATCCGCCCGCCTCGGCCTCCCAAAGTGCTGGGATTACAGGCGTGAGCCACCGCGCCCGGCCGTGCTTCTCTTTTAAAGGATCTCTCTGTCAACAAGACAGAGACCCAGTGTCTTATTTTTCTGGGTAAAGTATGTAAGACTTGATTTTGATTTTGGTTCTAAATTGTAAACTCTCTATTTTTTCTCTCTCTTTTTTAAAAATCAGATCCCCGAGATGTGATTTGTCAGGGCTGCAGGTGACTTCTCCATCATTAATCACAGTGAGCACAGTGTCTGGGTCCTACAGCCCTCTTAGAGTCCTGCAAAAATGTTTAAATTTCTTTCAAAATGAGAACAGCCAAAAAAGCACAAACTCTTAGGGTCAAAGATTACATACATCTTTATGACAATGCAGTTGCAAACTATAAAGAGGACTTTGACCTCTGAAGTCCTAATCTAGGTCATGATCCTCAGTGGCTGGTGGTGTGCCTGCCCTCCCCAGATGGGTGACGTTAGCAGGTGGGTTCTGCATAGCAGAGGAGGAGAGTCATCCTCAGACCACACACCCCCACCTCAGAGGGTGAGCCAGAGGCTCTGACGGCCAACGGCTTGAGACAGTCAGCTGCTGCTTGTGAGGCCTGTGACCCTAACCTTTGCAAAAGCTGGGCCCACTGAAAAACAGAGACTCTTCAAGGAAGAGAACAGCCACCAATTTGTTCTGTATCTGCCTTTGAATGCTAACTCTGAAGGAGTTTTGAGAACCTTGCATGAGGGTGTCATGGGAAGAACAGAAGAGTATTCACTAGAGGATGTACGAGCTTACAGGCCACAGTCTTCCCTGGCCTCGCTGCCTGCATCATGCATTTTTCTTAAGGCTAAGTCAATGGAATAAAGAGACACTCTCAGACCTAGGATGACAGCTTCTCCTCTCTCCTGTCCAGCTCCCAGCAGATGGAGAAAGGAAGGAAGCCAGCAAGGTACACCCCGAGGCCATGTTCTTCTGATTGAGTTGTTTTCAAACATTAGAATATAAAACAGACAGACTAGCTTAAAATAAGCAAACTAAAACATTAAAACCATCATCAATCTCAATTAAATATTCCTATGTATCCTCACCCCTCCTCCCTTTGTGGAAAAAAATATCATATAATGCAAATTAAATAAAATGTACTAAAATCCTTTTAATATTACCTAAAATATACTAAAATGTCTTTTTAAAAATGGCTTTAACAAGGTAAAATAAAATTTACCATATAATGCATACTAAATGAAATGTACGAAAATGCCTTTAAAGCAGGAGATTTTGACTATGGTATCATCCACTGAGATGATTATGGGTTCCTTCCACTCTAAGCATTTTATCCCTTCATTTTCCATGCATTTTCCGGTAATTTCAGATGGCTTCTAATTGCCAGGCCTATTAAATACCCATCACTTTTATTCCTTATGTGACAATTCCTTTGTTTCTTAGATGTTTTTCCACGCAGTAACAGCTTGTCTGTATTTTCTTTCTTTTCAATGTACTTTTTCTTTTTTCTTTTTTTTTTGAACAGTACTATTTTGTATGAGGGTGGTAAAAGACAGTCTAATGTAAAATACTGCCTTTCTATTTAATTAAAAAAATTATATTTTAGTGAAATACTTTGAAGTCAGCAAGACCAAAGGTAGAAACCAATTTCCATCACTTCCTGCTGTGATTTTTCAGTGGGAGAAGTCGAATGTCCCTCAGCCGGCTTCTTCACATGCAGTCATCCAGATTTGGTGTGGCTTCTGGGTGTTTGGTATGTCACAGGTGTACCACAAATGACAGTAATTACTAGGAAAAATGAAATCAGCCTTTAGCTTTGATAAACATTTGACTACAAATGGATGTGTGGAGATACAGTTTTTCATATGTATATAGATAAATAGATAGACAATTTTTATTCTTATCTACATACATAGTCATACTCCATTTTACCATGAGGTGTGAAAGGAATAAATAGGCAATTATAATAATTTTAAACATCTATAAAACTAATAAAATAGCCTCAAACTGTATAAAGCAAAAATTTAGAAAATCAGAGAAAAAAAGTAAACTAATCTACTAAGAGCAGACAATTTCAGCTCCCCATCTTGCTATTGATAGGCCAAGCAAATAAAATAAAAATGCAAACAAGAAAAGATGTTAAAGGATTTGAACATCATAATTAGTAATCTTGGCCTAATTGAAAAATACAGAATTCCACATGCAACCATTAGGTGGAACAATATTCTTCTGAAGTGCATGTGGAATATTTATAAAAATCATGTGTCAGGCAACCTCCAAAGATTTCAAAGAAGAGTTATCACACAGAGCCATGTTCTTTGATTACAGCATAATTTATCTTAAAAGTTCATCACAAAAATGTAAATTAAAAGTTACCACATATAAGATAAAAAGCACAATTCTGAATAACCTTTAGAATGAAAAGTAAAACATAATGTGAATTTTATTTTATTTTATTTTTAACATTTAAGTTCAGGGGTAATTGTGCAGATTTGATACAGAAGAAACTTGAATCCTGGGGGTTTGTTGTACAGATTATTTCATCACCCAGGTATTAAGCCTAGTACCCATTAGTTATTTGTCCTGATCCTCTCACTCCTCCCACCCTCCACCCTCCTCAGATAGGCCTCAGTGTGTGTTGTTCCCCTCTATGTGTCCACGTGTTCTCATAATTTAGCTCCCACTTACAAGTGAGAGTATGCGGTATTTGGTTTCCTGTTCCTACATTAGTTTGCTAAGTATAATGGGCTCCAGCTCCATCTATGTCCCTGCAATGGACATGATCTTGTTGTTTTTCATGGCTGCATAGTATTCCATGGTGTATATGTACCACATTTTCTTTATCCAGTCTACCATTGATGGGCATTTAGGTTGATTCCATGTCTTTGCTGTTGTGAATGCTGCTGCAATGAATATTCACATAAATGTGTCTTTATAATAGAATGATTTATATTCCTTTGGGTATATACCCAGTAATGGGATTGCTGGGTCCAATGGTATTTCTGTGTTTAGGTCTTTGAGGAATCGTAACGCTGTCTCCCACAATGCCTGAACTAATTTACACTCCACCAAGAGTGTAAAAGTGTTCCTTTCTCTCCACAACCTCACCAGCATCTGTTTTTTGTTTTTGTTTTTGGTTTTTTGTTTTTTTGCTTTTTTACTTTTTAATAATAGCCACCTGGCTAGGCACGGTGGCTCACGCCTGTAATCCCAGCACTTTGAGAGGCTGCGGTGGGTAGATCACCCAAGATCAGGAGTTCGAGCCCAGGCTGGCCAACATGATGAAACCCCGTCTCTACTAAAAATGCAAAAATTAGCCAGGCATGGTGGCACATGCCTGTAATCCCAGCTACTCAGGAGGCTGAGGCAACAGAATCGCTTGAACTCGGGAGGCGGAGGTTGCAGTGAGCCGAGATTGTGCCACTGTATGCCAGCCTGGGTGACACAGCAAGACTGTCTCAAAATAACAATAATAATAATAGCCACCTAATGTAAATTTTCAAAGAATAATGAAAACAGTGCACATCAACATTTGTGGTGCGTGGTAACAGTGGTGTCTGGTGGGAAAATTACAAGTTCAAATACTGAACTGAGTTGCTTAGGTGTCAGTTTTGCTGCTTGTTACCTTTCCCAGAATCCCCTTCCCTCTAGAGTTCTTGGTTAGAACTGAACAGAAGGGGCCAGGCACGGTGGCTCATGCCTATAATCCCACCCATTTAGGAGGTTGAGGCGAGCAGATCACGAGGTCAGGAGATCAAGACCATCCTGGCCAACATGGTGAAACCCCGTCTCTACTAAAAAAATACAAAAAATTAGTTGAGTATGGTGGCACATGCCTGTAAACCCAGCTACTCGGGAGGCTGAGGCACAAGAATCACTTGAACCCAGGAGGCGGAGGTTTCAGTGAGCCGAAATTGTGCCACTGTACTCCAGCTGGATCGACAGAGCGAGACTCTGTCTCAAAAAAAAAAAAAAAAAAAGAACTGAAGAGAAAGGAATTTGTGCCAGAATCTGTGCCAGAATTTTGAGGCAACAGTGAGGCAAGTCTTCATGGTCAGACATGACGATGGACACTCACGGGGTCCCAGGCCGGCTTCTGCACATCCTCACTCTCCCTGGCTCTATGTCCTGCTCTTCTTCCCAACTTGTGGCCATTGATGAATGGGGGCCCAGCAGACACTGGCTGCTGAAGCACAGTGTCAGCAGCTACACAGAAGCAACAGATGCCCATCGACCTTTTCACCAAGCTGCACCACCTTTCGCCACCCTTTGGCTGACTAGACATGTGATACGGTTTGGCTGTGTGTCCCCACCCAAATCTGATGGTTTAAAAGTGTTTGGCAGTTCCCCATTGCTCGCTCTCTCTCTCTCTCTCCTGCCATCATAAGAAGACATGCCTTGCTTCCCCTTCCCCTTCCCCTTCAGCCACAATTGTAAGTTTCCTGAGGCTTCCCCAGCAATGCAGAACTGTGAGTCAGTTAAATCTCTTTCCTTGATAAATTACCCAGTCTCAGGTCGTTCTTTATAGCAGTGTGAAAACGACTAATACAACATGTTTGTCTTCAGATTTCCCTGAATGTTCTGACTTTTCCACCCAAACCAGTGCCTTACAAAGACTTCTGAGTAACTGTGGAGATAATTATTCTTCTTTTTGAGAAAGGAAAAATTGCTGTCTTGTTACCAGACCTTAGAATGGTCTGAACGTTGACAATGGGCCACACAGTCACCATGCAATCTGCGACGTCCACCACTGTTGGAGTTCATCCGACCCTCAGATAACCCATTGTTGAAAACCAAATGGATAAAGGTGCCTTGAAGTTAACTTCTAAATAAGAGTGTGGTGCCAGGAAATTATTTCAACTGAACAAAATGGCACAGGGAAAAGTAAACTCAGAGTGTGTTTCCCATACAGGCTTAAAGTACATAGAAGCTGAAAGAGAGAGAGACAGACATAGCATGAGAAGGCAGAGAAAAATAGCAAACCTTTCAAGAAGCATGTCTTGAAAAGAACTCTGGCTGTGACTATTGACATTACGAGGTTGAATAAGTTTTGAGAGATTTGTGTTCCTCAAAAAAAACTAACCTGAACTATGGATGTTCTAGACTTAAGAGAAACTGTGCCTTCTTATTTATGGCAGACAAGAGGTGAGAAAGTCACTCAGCCCCCAAGAAGGGAATATCCAAATATTCAGTTCAAATGTAGCTAAGAGGATGGTAAATAAAGAAGAAGGACCTCCCGGGGAAGATTCAAAGGCCACATAAAACAGAAGAAAAGGGGACTATCTCCTAAAACAAGAGTCTGGTTGTAATGAAGAAGCAATCTCTAGTCTCTGGGCCAGGGACCCTCACCCTGCCTGCCCAGGTGGACTTGGAATTGCTGTGAGCCAAGGGCCAATGAGTTTCATCCTTCTTTTGGGAGAGCAGAAGGGTTTACTGTGGTTATCCTAGGTATATGAGGTGGCTGGGTAGATGGCTGATAACAAGTCTTTTTAGACCACTGGTCTCCAGATCACAGAAGCCACACCCAGGCTTGATGGAGAAAAGACCATTCATTGGTCCCTTTGAACAAAAGAGTGCCCTTCCCTTAGAGATCCTAGATTCTGAGCTTACTGCCCTTCACAGACAAGACTTTAGGGTCATCTCTCCTGAAAAGGGAGTATGTATATTTTCTTCAAAAGGGAATAAATTGGCCTGGCACAGAGGCTGATGCCTGTAATCCCAGCACTTTGGGAGACTGAGGTGGGTAGATCATTTGGGCCCAGGAGTTTGAGACCAGCCTGGGCAATATGGCAAAACTCCATCTCTACAAGAAAAAAAAAAAATTAGTAGGGCACGGTGGCACACACCTGCGTCCCAGCTACTCAGGAGGCTGAGATGGGAGGATAACTTGAGCCCAGGGAGGTCAAAGTTGCAGTGAACTGAGATCGTGCCACAGCACTCCAGCCTGGATGACAGAGCAAGACCCTGTCTCTAAATAAATAAATAAATGGGAATAAACTATATATTGGGTGACCAGGTAGGTGGACTGCTGTAGTAATTAGGGTTGCTCAGCATTCTAGTTTGCTTTTCTGTTACAGCTTTTTTAAAAATCCAAATTGGCTCCAATAATCCCCTTCCCTGTATCATGCCCATGTGTAATTCTCTCCTACACTGAGTCTGGCTCTAGCCACATGGCTCCATTTGGCCAATCTAATGGCAGGTGCATGGCACAAGCAATAACTTGAACAAAGACTTGGGCAGTAGGGCTTGTCCCTTTCCTCTTGCTCTTTGCAAGCTCCTGAACTCCATGCAAAGAAGCTCAGGCTAGCCTGCTAAATGAGAGGAGACAGCCAAGTGACCTGGCACCCCACTCAACAGCCATGGTGGATAGCCTGCCAGCTGTCCACACACATAAATGTAGCTATTTTGAGTAATCCAGCGATTAACTAACCTGCCAGTAGAGCACACAAACATGAGACAGACCAGCAGAGATCAACTGGGAAACCTAGGTCAGAAGAACCAAGACCTGACCCACATAATTATGAGCTAAAAAAAAAAAAAAAAAGAGTAGTTCAAATCTGTTAAGTTTTTGGTTGTTACACAGCACAAGTTAATTGATACATCCTTCTTCCAGGCATATGAAAGTTTGGCATGGCTATGTAAGGTAACATAGCAGATGGTATTTTCCACACGTGGGGACAATCTACATTTCATCCCATGTATGCTTGACATTCCTTTCATCAAGTTAGGTTCTATCCCCTTAGACTGACCACCCACCTGAGAGGGTCTTCACGGTGCCTCAATCAATACAGTATGGCAGAATTCCCTGACTTGAGAGACAGGGTCATAAAAATGTCATGCAATTCCATCTTTTTCTTTTAGGATGATCATTCTTGAAACCAGATCCCATATCAAGAGAAAGTCAAGTAATCATGAAGAGAGGCCACATGAAGGTGTTCTGGCCAGCAGTGCCAGCTGAATCTCAGTTGCAAGCCAGCATGACCACCAGACAGGGAAGTGAGCAAACCTTCAACGGAGGCAAGCCCCAGCCTTCAAACCACCCCAGCCGATGCATGGGGCAAGGACGAGCCACCACTGGCAAATGTGCCCAAACTGCAGGTTCAGGAGGAAAATAAATGATGGTGGTGTTTCCAGTCATTAAGTTTTATGGTGGTTTTTAAGGCAACCAAAGACAACTAAGAACATTTACTCTGGCCAATAAAAAAATGAATGAAAGTGATGTGTCACTTCCATGTGGAAAGTGTTCATCGCCAGTAGTTAGACATGGAAGCAAGCTTTTCCTCCTTGGTGCAACAATTAGGAAAGAAGTGTGTTGTGGGATGTGCCCTCCTTCATCCTGAAACCCTGAGTGACAGGACTGTCAGCAGAGTCCCTCTACTGAATCATCTTTACCGTGTATCTTGAGCAAAATATAAACATTTGTTGTGTTGTGTTAATCCAGGAAGACTTTGGAGTTGTTTCCATGACATAATCTAATATGTTCTGACTGACGTAACAGGAGATAATAAAGATAAAAACACACACAAAAGAAGTAATGGATAAGATAAACAAAGAGGGATGGTTCTTGAAAAAGCTAAAAAGACATCTGGTGAGATTATACATGAAGGCATATAAAAACAATATTATAAATAAAAATCAAAAATAAAGCATATGGAAAACATCAAAAGGAGAACAATATTATCAAAATGAGCATGCAGTTAAATTTGAGAATTTGGATGAAATGCAAAAATTCCTAGAAAAACAACTTATTGAAACTGACCCAAGAAATAAAATTAGAAATACTAGACAATCTTACTACTATCAAAGACACTGAAGCAGAAGTTTCACTGTCCCCACAACCAACAATACTTATTACAGCGCTTTAGTAATTTTGTGTGTGTGTGTGTGTGTGTGTGTGTGTGTGTGTGTGTAGCATTGAAAGGATAAAAACAAAACAAAACAAAAACTTAGTCAATGGGGCAGAACAGCCCATAACCAGCCAACCATATGTAGAATTTTGATATATGACAGATATGAAGAAAGTAATTGAAATGGATCAGTGGCAATTGATTCTCCACAAGGAAAAAATAGGTAAATGAATCTCAATTTCTATAACACACCACACATATATATAATTTATGTGTATGTGTCTATATATGATAAAATGAACAAAAAGACAAGTAAAAGAATGATAAAATCCAATTTCAATATGAAGTTTACATTTGAGGATAGAGAGTAGAATGGAATTAGTTGAGCATATAGAAAGAAATTTCCTAACTAGAGATATTCTAGTTCAAAATGAATTCATGAAAATTTATTTTACTATAAATGAGCCACATAGAGATTAATAAGGATTATGCCTGAGAATCAAATATTAATTGAATTAATCAAATGAGTAATTCTATTTTATGCACCTAAAATTCAATTCCAAAGAGCATGGAGGTTGTGTATTTGAATGCACTGCAAGTCAATGATGGGAAAGAGTCAGACATTAGGTTGACCATATGTCTGAACTATGCTAACATTTCCTCATTATCTGTTTTATTCACATTAACCTGATCTCCGTATTTAATTTTTAACATTAATAATTTTAATTAGTTCTAGTAATGGACTAGTCTACAATTTTATTTCTTTCATAATGACCACAGATCATTAGTAACTTGATATCTTAATTATTTGCTCTTTTTTTCTCTATATACCTAAAAAAAAAATACAGGACACTAAAAACACACACACGCACATATACACACACAAAAAATAATTCAGTGTTGGGAGTAAGCACACAGGAATAAAAACCAGCACCTTTGAGCTCTGGCTTGTCCTAGCTGCAATACCCCAGCATCATGTCTGAGAGACAGCAAAGGACATTGATATAAATGGGTAGAAATCATAATTCCAAGATCTTGCAGGCAGGGCTCCCATTACAATAGTGCTGATCTGCCATCTTTTCTACCAGGAACTTTCTATGGGGTGATGACCCTAGAGACCTGATTTATTCACGGGACTCTCCCAGAAAATAATGACCACCTTGAGAAATCTTCAGAATTACAATCTTTTAAAATGAAACGATTGTATTATACTTTCTGTCTATATGTTTCAAATGCAATAAATTATTTACTCAACATATTTTAATTGCCCTATAATTGAACTTTCCCATTTCCAGCACCAAGCTTTTCAGAAGTGACTTGGTTCAACTCTGAGATACAATCTGCCTTACACATCTCTATGAGCCATGGTCAGGTCTGTGTTTTCATTCTCTTTGTCTTGGCACAATTGTTCTAGAACTCTAGGCAGAGTCAGAAAACTAGCTGGTAAAGCAGCCCACAATGGTTTTTTCGGTTGAGGTTTTTCTTACTGTGTCTACCCGACTCTCACTTGCATCTGGCTCCTGGAGACAGAAGTATAAGCAGAAGCAAAAAGCGGGAACCAAAGGAACTATGTCTAACATTGCCAAAAACAGTTGAACAAACAAAGTCTTCTCCTAACCCTCTCTTCATCCTCTCCCTTGTGATTTTTTATTGCATCCTTATACCAAAAAAGGACTGAAGAATTAGCACTGGCTTAATTTTGTCAAATGGACCAAACCCATGAGCTAACTTAATCCTTTTCTGTCCTCCCAAACGTTTGGATATAAGGCACGGAGATGTGGAAGAGACTTTAAGATTAGGGGAGCCACTCAGGAAGATCCAGAAAGTGGAGAGGGTCAGAGTTGAATGCCCTCAGCTCTTGTGGTCCTTAGATATGATAATGATGATAGCTTGCCCTAGAGCAGTCACCAGTATTTAAGGGATCATGTCAACATGCAAGGGGTGAGCCAGTTCAGGGTGGACTGCCATCCAGGGTGATGTCAATCACAGTGCTTGCACCCCCAACCCAGGTGCTCTAAATACTCAATGAAGGAAGAAATGAGTCAGGTTCAATGAATTGTCTCGATGTCAATATCAAGTGGCAGGAAGAACCCATATACCAGTGGAGTATGCCCAACATCCAGCTCAGACTCTCCTGTCACTGACAATTTCTCATGAAATATATCACACACAAAACACCTTCAACACAGGAATATCGCAGCTCTAACAGTGTTGTTCCATTTTTAGTAGAATATTCGGTTTTAAATTATCAGTAAGAATCACGGCTTAATAGGAATGATTCTCACACCCATGGTGCATATGCCAGGACTTCTCAGACAACAAAAGCACAGCCACATTTGAGGCTCCACTTGATGGGGAAGACACTGGGGACATTTAGCATAATGAAAATAAATAATGCCAGCACGTCAGTGAATTAATTATGAGGAAGCATCTCTACTGAATTCCTTTAACTCTGGAAGAGAAAAACATTAAAAGGTAACTCCATTACACAGAATGAAGATTGAGGCTGTTCATATCAGTAAGAAATTTCAACAAGAAAACTTGCTATTTTCCAAGACCAGCGCTGGGAATTCTAGACCTTCAATCTTCTCTAGCAAAGTCACCCAGGGAAAGTCAAATGCCCTGTGACCCTGTGACAGCGTAGCAGTTGCATGACCTTGAAGAGATGAGTTCACTTCTCCGGGTCTCAGTTTCATCATCTGTAGAATGAGCACCTTTCTGGCTCTAATGCAATGTGACTACAGTATTCCCTCACAGTAACAGTGAAAATGCAGCTACAAAGACCTAGGAACAGCTAACAGTCCTGGAGGCTTACTTTATGCCAGGCATTGTTCTAAGGGCTTTGCATGTACTAATTGAGGACATCAGCTTACAAGGCAGGTACCATGCCATTTTACAAACAAGGAAACTGAGACATAGGTTAAACAATTTTCCCAAGGTCACAGAAGTGGAAATGGACAAAGCCACAACTCCCACACAGGCAGATGCTCTCAACCATTTCACTCCACTGTCCTTTCAAAATGGGAAAGGAAGGTGCCATGTATATATTTAATCATACATTTCAATATCCAAAGGATGCTTCCAAATCCTTTCTAGCTAGGCCTCTAAATTGCAACCATCTTTCCTGCAGAAAATTACAGTTTTCCCTTGGCCTTTGTTATACCACAAGTAAATTATAACTAAAACGACTTAGAGAATTACTGGTTGCAAATTACAAGCACCTGCAGAGTAAGATTTCCTGCGTGTATAGAAATGCATAAAAAGATGAATCTTTAGTTACCTTTACTGCAATACCTGAGAACATGCTCTATTCCCTTCCACAAGGGAAACTAGAGAAAGCATGCACAGAATTTCCTGCTTCTTAGAGGGGATGTTGGGCACATTTGTCTGCCCTCCCATCCTTCAACCCCCAAGGAAGGAGGTGATTCTTCCACCTATTGGGGGTGCTGAAAGATTGTCTGGAATAATAAAGTTGGTTGGCCTCTACAAATAATTAGCTATGTTAATTTGTTTTGGAAGAATAAGATTCTTTCTCTATGTACACACAAAAGAACCTCTCTGATAAATCTGCCCTTCGAAAAAATATCTGATGCTGGAACATTGATTCATCATAAAAATACCTCTGGTTATTGTTTTAAATATCTAGCTCATTACATCACCATAAAAGAAACAAGGTGGGCCATATTCTCAGTCACATATATTACCTATTTATAGTTAATAAAAGTGCATACTCTTATTTCAGTATCATACTAAAAAAAATCTACTTTATTTCTCTGACTACTTAAAATTATGGAATAAAATTTTTTCATTTATATTGAAATATTGACTATTCCTAATCATAAGTTTTAGCCAAAACAAATCTGGCTGGAGCCAGCTGGTATCCTGACAAAATAAAAAAAAATTATGTCAACCTTTCTTAACACTGACAGGCAAATTTTGAAAACAGCTGGCTGATTTTGGATATAATAAATGAGAGTATTAAATTCTGAAAAAGGGTTTTCATGCATTCAGTAATAAAAACCAGTTCCAAAAAACAAAGTAGAAAGAGAAAAAAATGAGAAAAAGAAAAAGAAAAAAATTAAAAACCAAGTGACATGATAAGATTTATGACTTAAAATTTCATTTCATTAGCTCTAAGTTTTCTGATGCCAGGGGTCAATTTTATTTTGTTCCCCATGCCCAGCATTATTGCCATTCCTGGCACTTGGTAGGCACTCAACAAGCTGATGGTGAAAAAATTATAAATCAGATTTTTCATGAATACTCTCCATGATAAACAGCAGAAACTATTACTCATATTATTAAACAGAATATTTAAATTCAAGACATGCCATCAAATTTTATATTTACTGAGTTTCCTGTCTTCAAATAATTCTTCACAAATATGGGATTAAAACTACTTAATAGTTTTCATGTAGAAAATAATAAATTAACCAAGACTGTGAAGTTTCAATTCAGAATTTACTTTTACAGCATATAAAACTTTGAGGATTACTTTAACTTTAGGGCCAACAATGCAGAATCAAGGATTGATCAAAGGTTGAAATTAAATGAAATCACTTTGTGAACAATATCAATTAGGGAAATATTAAATCAAAATGAAGCTTGCTTTTTTCTTTTTAGTATGTATTCCAAATCACTTCTACAAAGGCAATTACATACAGCAAAAAAATCTCTATGTACTTGCATTATGCTAAGAGCATTTTGTAGTCCAAATGCTCTAGGAGGCTAGGGATGTGCTTTAAGCAGATTGCCAAACTTCTATAAGAACTGATGAAAGTCTAATGGAAATCAAAATCAGGCAGATTCAGGGGGAAAAAAAGGAATCTGTCCAAGATTTTAGGCAGCAAAAATAGATCTGCTTAGCTCCTGAATTGCATGACAGCCCAGCTATTCAAGTAAAGTGCTCCAGCATGGAAACCTTGGCAGGGTCCCAAAGCAGCCATTCCCACCTCCCAAGGTAGACCTCTCTGAAGCGAAGCCCTGCCAGCCCAAGAAATGAACTCATCTCTAATTACATGAACACAGCTTTACCTTAGCCCTATTCTACCTTCAAATGTTCCTACCCCAGCCATCGCTGACTATCTGGATGGAGAACGTGTTTTGGAAAGCAGAGATGCTGGTTATGGTGTTTCTAAAATCAAAATAGAAACAGGCTGTTGGGAGCCCAACATCATCCCAGTCCCGACTCAGGTCCGGTTTCAGAACACAGGGCACATTTCTCCTAGGCATAGCTCCTTCCGACTTGGTCCTGCAGCTGGTCTCTGCCTGAAGGTGGCTTTTCTATCAGACTGAGTAACCCTCCCTGATTCTGGAACATTTCTGCACAGCTTATCTCTTTGAAGGGTGCACATAGTAGACATGAGACCATGAATTAGGTATGGCCAAGGACAGGATTCATTTCACTGTCTCTGGACCTCACCATAGGTGACAGCCATGCTGTGGGAAATGCCCACTTTGTGCTTAAAATGATTTAGCTGAAGGCAAGAGGAGCATTAAAATGATTGATTTATCAAGGAAAAGTAAAGATGCGTGGAAAACGCTTTGAAAAGGGTACCACTAACACATATGCACCAAGCAAAATGGAACATAAAGGAATTGAATATAGACACACAAATACAAAGAACAAAGACAATTCAAAGAAGGGTGCTTTAAGCCCAATAATGCTAAATCTCTGAGTGACCCATTCAAGAATCTCTATCAATGAGGTTTAAGAAATTAGAATTCTCCATCACAGAAAACAAAGTGGTGTGTGCAGAGGAAGCATGAATTTCACACTTGTCTTTAAATATATTAATGCTGCTATAAATAGGTCATCACCTGCTCCTTTCCATTTAGAAGAGAACAAGCCAGAGCAGGTTTGAATTACAGGTTCAAGAGAATCACAAGCTGAAATGCCCCAGCAGAACAGATTTCCAAAGGAAAACTCTGATGTTTCTTTTCTTCCTGGCAAGTAAAAAATAATAAGTAGATGACTTTAGAGATCCTGCTTGCCCATGAGACTGAGCAGAAGTCTCTCCCCAAGTCCTTTTTGTTCCTAAAAGTAGTAAAGAGAGATAAAAATGCCATTCCAGAGAGCATAGAAGGCTGGTTACATGTGGAGAGAGTGAGGGTTTCTCCGGACTCCTATCTAGACTACAGGGATCAAAAGTTACTCTCTGCTCTAGGTTTGATAGTACAAGAGCCAGTGTGTGATCTGTGACTTCATGGCCTCCTACATTCTATTTCTATTCTTACCTCATTGAACTCAATCAGTAGACAGCTACCATTGAGTGGTGTGGGGGAATTTTTTTATTTTTTAAAAACATGATGGTAACAATTCTTCCCATGCATAACATTTGAACACCATCTGGCTCCGGACATCCTAAACAAATTGCCAAATACCAAGGACAGCTATTTTATGCATGGTGAAATATAAGCAAAATCCACTTCTTTGGTGGTGGACACATATAAATATAGGCACATATTTATATTCTAAGCTCAAAATACATCACCCAGTGGACACATTCACAGATCAACCACTGACTAAAAAAAAAAAAAAAAAAAAAAAAAAAACTCACTGGTGGATAATCAATGCCTCGCACAAAATCTGCACATGCATGTCACAGGCAGTGCAAAAGTTTGAACCACACACTCAGAGATCAGTAACAGGAAGTTATCGCCATCTACAGACTTCCCCTCACTTTTCAAGGGAGCGAGCCAAGGATTTCTGCTTGAAAAATATAAACTGGCAAAACTGACATCAGCTGTTGAGCTGCATTATACTCCTCGTGATGAAATCCACTTTAATAACCTGTCCAAAACCCTAAACACGTTACTTCTTTAGAAACGGGAAAGCAATCGTCCGTCCCAAACGCTTCTTAACTGTAGTCTCTGAGATGAAAGATTGATTCACAAGTCAACACCACATCACTTTCCGTCTATCGGGCTAAAGAGCTAAATGCATACAGATTTAAAGGCAAAGATGTATACTTAATTTTTCTTCTTCATTTTCCTTGTCATTAACCACTTTCCCAAGGCAGGCTTTCTGCAGAGTTGAATAACGCCCAATCCCAACTAAAATGCCAACTGTGGGGCCATGCCAGTGGAACCGGGCAGGAGACAGCGACTCGCCCAGGAAGCCCAGGGCTGAGTCGGGGAAGACCTATTCCAGCGCTGCGGGCAGCGGTGCCCGGCGGAAAGCGCAGAGTTTGCCAGCGGGTGCGCAAAGATGCAAAAAGCACACGCCCTGCCCGTCCACCTGGTGAACACCTCGGGAACTTTATTTTGGGAAGAGCCTTCCCAGGAAACTTTTCTCCCGCCCGCAGCCCTTGCCAGAGTCCACCGGGCCGCGGGCCAGCAGGAGAAGCAGGGAGCCGCGGGCCGAGGGGCTGCCGCGGGCCGAGGGGCTGCCGCGGGCCGAGGGGCAGCCCGGAGCGGGACGCGGCTCGGCTGGCCGGGCTCCTCTCAGGGCCGGGGAAGGCGCGGCGCTGGACCCGCGGGGAGGCCACTCACCAGCCCGAGCGCGAAGAAGACGGCGAGCAGGGCGAGGCAGGAGCCCATGACGATGAGCAGCAGGAAGACGATGAGCGGGTGCTGCTGGCTCATGCAGTAGTAGGACTCGTAGAGCCAGTCCCGGGACCGCGGCAGCCCGTCTCCGCCGCCCGCCGCCTCCTCGGAGCGGTCCCGCAGGTAGCGGCGGCGCCGCATCGCCTCCTGCCACATCGGGGCCGCTCACAGGGCGCCCGCCGTGCGCGCCCGGCCCGGGCAGCGCCGCTCGCCGCGGCCGCCCGCGTCCCACCCCCGCGCCGCCTCGGCCGGCCCGGCTGCCGGCACCCGGAGCTGCGCGCAGGGGCCTCCGGCGCGGGCGGAGCTCGGCGCCCCGGGCTGGGCGCGCTGACGCGCGGGCGGGGGCCGGGCGGCGGCCTCGGGGGCAGCTCCCGGCGCCGCCGCCGCCACCGCCACCGCGCGGGAGGGGGCGGGTTCCACGGGGCCCTCCGCCCGCCGCTCCCCGCCCCGCGCGCAGCCGGCCTCCGTGCAGGGGCGGTGTCGGCCCCCACCCGACGGCCCGGCTGCAGGCTGGGGACGGCGGGGGCTGTACGGTGGGGGGAGTGGCGAACTGAGGGGCTCCCGCTGCGCCCCGGCCCGGGGTCGTCCTCGCCCGCCGGCCTCCCACACTCAGCCACCAGGTCGTCCACCTCCTCTGCCCTATCCCGAGTGCAGCGTGGGTGGGGTGGGAGGGACGGCCCTCCCCGCTACGAAGTGAGAACACAGCCTAAGGGGTGGAGGGAGGGAGTCCTACCCCCACCACTCCCCCCGCCCCACCTGGCTCGGAGCACTGCGGGGCTCCTCAGCTCCTCTCCACTACCTCAAGGTCAGCGGGCAGGGACGCTGCCACCCTCCTGTTTCCTCCACCCCTTAGTGGGCTGCGGGGCCTGCTCCCACCCTCCCCCACAGTCACAGAGCGCAGCCGGGGTCAGAGGACCCGGGGGGTCCCTCCTTTAGTACGCGGGTCAGAGGACAGCGGGGTCTCCCTCCTTTTCACTCTTTTGGGGAGCTGGAGAGGATTTCCCACCCTTCCCGCCTCCCCGCGGTGGGCACCGGTTTGCCGTCCAGCCCTTCTTCCCCTCAGCGTAGCAGGGTTGAGGGCTCCCCCATCCTCTCCACCCTCTTGAGAGGGCCGGGGCTCCCTGCGAGGGCGGCAGGGCGCGGAAACGCCAGGGGACCTAACTGGAGACCGGCACCATGTGGAAGTGAAGCGGCAGTGACTGCACTGGGAGCCCCCGCCACGGCCTCGCGGGGGCAGCGTCCGTTGCGCCCTGCACGCTCAGCTTCAGTCACACTTTGGAGGTGCCGTATAAGCCTGTCATATCACAGGTTTACAGAGCTGCCCCGTGGCTGGTCGTGGTCCTCGCCGAGCCCCTCTGCTGAGCGGGGATGGCGGCAAAGGGGCGCCGGGGAGAGCGGCTGGGCGCGGGAGCGGGCGGGTCGGCCCTGGGAGTAGCTCCCTCCCTGTCACCTTGGGGGCCTGGACGCAGGAGGCGCTAGAGACCCGGCAGGAGCGTTGTGGGGGCGGATGTCACCAGGGACAGTGTCCCCTCCCGACACGCGTGGGAGCGGAGGCCGCTGGCCTTCGCCCTGGGGGCCGAAGGGGCTTCATTGCTTATCACCAAAGGAACCCACCCTTCTGGAAGTTTCCTCCTATTCGAGTGTGGTCCGGCCCAAAGAGCCCCCAAATCCCACCTCCTCCCCCAAAGCCTTACCCCAAGGAATCCAAGGCACAAGAGCCCTCCCTTCTCCTGCCACCAGCGAGCATCCCAGAGGGCAGCCCCAGAGGGCTGTTCCATGCACTTTTCATCTCTTCCAGGAGATGACCAGCTCTCAGGACTCAGCCTTGTCACCACCTAAGACCTCAGAACCTTCTCGAATGGCCCCATGCCCCGCCTCCCTGGCTGTCCTGTCCTCCTCGCTGGCAGAGGGCATGTAAGCTAGGTAGCTGCGTTACCCTGAGCACAGGGCCAGGCCGGGCACGGATCCTTCCAGAGGTTTTCATTTTAGCATCCGTCAGTGCCCACAGGGCCTAAGGATGAGGGCTCAGGAGCTGCACAGCTCACCCGCAGATCTCATAGACACCAGAGGCAGGGAGGTGGCCGAGGAGACTGGGCCCAGGGCTGCGTGCAGTACCTCAGGTCCGGCCCCACCAGGCTCCCTGGTCCCTGGACTTCCCTCCTTCTGAGGACCTGGAAACAAGGAGTGGAGGAGGAGGCAATGGGTGGGGGGGTGTCCCCCTGAAGCCTCCTGTAGGTCCCAAGGCTCACCTCCCACCGTGGGTCATCCTGCCCTAGCAGCAGAAAGAAATTCTCTTCCCTGCAGTGTTTATGGACTGCTGCCCCCACCCTGTCCTGCCTGCCCTCCACTCCAACACCCTCCTGTGACTGTAACCCAGGTAATTTCAACCTCAGACCCTCCCACCAAACCTCACTGGGCTGGATGCTTTGGGCTCGGTGCTTTGCTATGAACCTCAGGATGTGATTACTATACTCCCAGATTTTAGGTTTTTGAAGGTTCTGAGAGCAAGCTTCCATGACAGACAACACTGATGAATCCGCGGTATAAATATCCAGAACCCAATCCCTTCCAAGGAAACACGGTTGAGTGGGAAGCTGGACACGGTTTCTATTGTGTTGGTTCTGTCTTCCTCCGGCTGTGTGCTTGGTCTTTCTGGGGCGGGCAGAGTTGCACATTTCCAGTCCTTTCCTGTGCTAGCAACAGACTAATTATTCATCTTCTCTTCAATCTTTGCTGCTTCTTTACCCCTTGTATTGATACATGTTTGTCTTCACCCACTCAAGAAGGGAGAAAAAATAAATAATCCGTCATTTAGGTTTATGCGAAAAGAGCTGAAAAACTTATGAGGAAAAGGAAATGCTTAATTACTGTCTCCTTCTTCCTAGTGGGGAAGTGGAATCTTTTAAATATCCAGTATGTATACCATATATATGTTCTCTGTATGGTAAAGGCAGTCTTAAGACTTTTAAGAAATTTTGTTACAATGTAATGACATGGAGATTATTTTGCCCTTGATCTTTTTGAATTTTTTTTAATTCACTCATCCTTCCATTAGTTTATTAAACTAACATTATGTGCCTACCATGTGCTGGATGAAGGGGGCAGGGTGAAGGCGTGGGAAAGACAGGGATCCTGGGACCCTTGTAATAGTTTCCAATTTACTTTGAAAAGTAAGGCTACAAGAAGTGAAACAGGAACAAAAATCAACATTCCTACTCCTCCTTTCCTCCTGAACACTACAATTTAAATTTCATCATCATAGACACAGGACTTAGAAGGAAAATAATATAAAAATGAAGAATATGTCAGTGCTTCTCTGAGGCTTTGTTTGATCTTTGTTTTGTTTTGATGCTTATTTTTATGCGGGCTTCTGTCATTGCTTTATGTTTAATACCAAAAAAAGTGAAACAGTACAATCATTACAGTTTCTGTATTCATGTTTTAGAATCGATTGCACTAAGTATGCCTTTTAAAAAGTTCTCCACAAGTTTGTATTTCAAAAAGGAAAAAAAGAAAAAAAGAAACAAAATAATAACTTACAAGCCATATGAAGTAAAATGAAAAACGTCCTTTAGTACAAAGCCAGGAGCGTGAAATATGGACTCTTGAAACTAAAGGGACCCCAAAGGAGACCTCTGGTTCATTTCTGTGTCTCTGGGTAGCAGGGCTGCCACTCCAAGGGTAAGGCCTGGAGAGCAAGAGGTTCTCCCATATATTTACTCTGTAGCAATTTATTTGTTGCAAAAAGAAACCTGCTGGGGAATCTCTAACTGGGCCTGTGGGAGAAAAAATAAAAAGCAAACATCAGGAAGCAGAATTCCTCTTTCCTGTAACGCTAGAGGGCAGCCCTCTATCCTCATAACCCAGCAAGCAAGGCTGACTTTTTGGATCTGTGACTTGTGCAGCTGGTTTAAGGTTCTGCTGTCACCACCCTGAAATTCTTCAAAATTTTTGATCAAAAGGTTCTGCATGTCCGTTTTGCCCGCGGCCTTGCAAATTAGAAAGCCCATGCTGGTAACAGGTCACACTAAACAGCACTCCATTCTGGGCCTGCAGGCAGAGCCTACGGCAGGCCAGCCAAAGGAGAAGGCCTCCTCTGCCTGCGAACTCAAGCCCATCCCCTCCTAATGTGGTCACCTCTCAGGGATTACATACACACTAAGACACACCTAATCGATTATAAATCTAAGCAATCACGCTGCAGGATAGGTTTATGCATCAGTGGGTTTTGGTTTAAAAATAACCCATCTTCTAGCTCCTATTTCAAATCCAGTTAGATTAGCTCAGTCAATGACGCCGTCGTGTTCCTCTCAACATCCACAGGGCTCTGATTGATTAAATCAAGGCAGCCCAGCAAACTGCGCCAAGGTCAGAAGCGAACGTGTGCCAGCCAACCTGGGGCAGATTGTAGAGCTGAGCACAGAGTCTTTCCCTGTGTATTCATTTTTCTCTCTGGCAAATACATTACTAAAATTTATATAATAAAGTATGAACAGTATGTCAACAGATTCATTATCGCCATGAAATATGCTTTGTGTACCCAGATAACATTTACATTTTTATTGAACCAGAGTCTGGGAATACAGAATCCACCCAACCCAAGCCAGTTTATGGCTCTTAGAAGTCAAATTAACTCTTTCAGTTCATTTAAGTACTCCTTTGCAGTTCAGTTTCCAAAGCATCAACAAAACGTTGCTGACTGTAAGATTAATATGTTCATTTTCTTGTCCATCCAGTGCTGAATGGTCCCTACGTGCCTTTAAAAGACGCTTCTTAATTGGCTTATTTGATAAATTAAATTTTCAGGGACAATACCAGAATCAATATTTCAAAAAATCATCTGTAAAACCTGATTTGGAGTGACTTACTGAGATTTTTGGCCCTTAACATGTGAGAAGATGGTACTGGTATTTCAGAACAGACCTTTCACAAATGCCCACTGCCATGGAGAAGTTTAATCCTGGTACTCTTTTAAAATCCATTGACATGCTGCAACTCCTTCCATGAGCGCTGGGAGGAGTGACAATAGGTTAATGACTAATCAGTTCCAGCACGTCTACAGCCTTGTGAGAGATATCGATTTCTCGGCTCTTGCTCGGAGAACGTGATCTAAAAAGCAATGACTCCTGCCGCCATGGAGACGTGTGCTCAGGATCAGTTGCCTAGAGAGGTGCAGGAAGAGGGGCTTATTTAGCAAGCTTACGTAAATGGAAAGTTCACATACCTTGGCTTTTATTTTTATACCCTTGTTAGTGTCTCTTAAAATAGTCATTAAGGAGTAACTTAATTATGCTCTAAAATTTAAAAAAAAAATGTTTATTGAGGGACAAGACATGGCCTCTATGGAACCATGCCGAGATATAGTTCATGCATGTTTTTGTCCAATTTCACCTTTCTCATTCAATTCAACCAACATATGATTTTAAGCCACTTCACATGTTTTGATTCATAATTTTTTTAATTTGAAAATAAATCAAATTCACTTCTAGTCTTATTCCACACTATAGTGTAGTAATTGTGAATATTCTCAGAATTGCTTCCTTAATGTACTGGATTTTGTTCCATCTCTGATATCAACTATACATCGTTGGAGAAGTCACATAAGATCTCCAAGCTTCAGCTGATTTATTTTTAAAGTAAGAAAATAAAGAATGGACCAATTTTTCTAAGACTCTTTCAAACATGTTTGTACCACCGCTGGGTAAAGGAATGGATTTTAATCAATATTTTTAGACTGAAAGGAAAAAAATTGTTTGCATCCAATTAAAAATATATAAATATAATAAAATTGAACTGCACCAAGAAGGTTGTTGAATTTTGTCTAATTATTTAATAATAAGTACTATTTCCTTTGGTATAAAGCAAGAAAAAAGTGTATTAGTGGTGTATCATAACAATTAGTAAACACCCACAAATCCTACTTTTGTATTAACGTGGCCTGTGTTCCCTCACTAAGAGGTAAGTTCTGTCAAGGCAAAAGATTTTGTTTCTTTTGTTCCTTATAGTCCTATTACCTGAAATTTGCAAAACACATAATAAGTGCTTAATAAGTATGTGCTAGATGAATGAATGAATAAATCAAGAAAGACACAGACAACTTCATTCTTTTAAAAACTGAGTTCAATTGATGAGTAATGGCAATGGATTAAGCAAAACTTCATTTGACAAAAATATTTCCAGGTCCTGAAGAGGTTGTCTTTATATGTTTGCTATTATACTATATTAAACAGTACCCTCCACTATATCTTTAAAAACCTCATGATGTTTTCAAATTTTAAAGTGGCAAGGTTTTCATGAAAGATTGAACATCTATTGCTACCAATTCCACTTGACCAATAGAGCAAAGGGTAACAGTACATATAAGGTGAGATACTAAAGAAATAATGACAAAATAAATGTGTCCAGGAAAAGAGATTATCTGGAGAAAATATCATTGAGGTTGATTTTTTATCAAGAGAAAATGGCATCTAGTACTGTGAGTTCCCAGCAACAAATCTTGGGCAAAACGTGTGTTCCCAGTAACACATCTTGGGCAATATCAATGAAGTCTCCCAGGATTTATAAAGCGTTAATTTAAACCTTCGTCCTTGGCCAGGCACAGTGGCTCACACCTGTAATCTCAGCACTTTGGGAGGCCGAGGTGGGTGGATTACGAGGTCAGGAGTTCGAGATCAGCCTGGCCAACATGGTGAAACCTGTTTCTACTAAAAAAAATACAAAAAGTTAGCCAGGCGTGGTGGCAGGGGCCTGTAATCCCAGCTACTCAGGAGGCTGAGGAAGGAGAATCGCTTGAACCCAGGAGGCGGAGGTTGCAGTGAGCCGAGATCACGCCATTGCACTCCAGCCCAGGTGACAGAGTGAGACTCCATTTAAAAAAAAAAAAAGAATTTCATCCTCTTTGCAGCTTAACTGTATTGAGATATTGACATCAAGAAGGCAGAGGTAGGATGCAGTATAATGTGTGAGCTCCCTGCATGGCCACACTGATTGCCAAGTGTGAAGACCAGCGTAGGGGGTAGTAAGAAGAACGATCAGAATAGGCTTGCTGTTTGCTGGATTTTGTTTGTTCATTACACCTAGCATTTTTGTAAAATGTGATATATTTCTAAATTTAATTTCAAATGCTGTAAGGCCTCATGTTCATGGACTGAGTTACAGATTGCCTATAATAAATCCAGGATTTTTTGCTATTAAATGGAAGACTTCAAAAAGAAACCATAATAAATATTTTAAGTAGCACATTTGAGTGCTGCAGCACGCGATACATATGAATATCTTCATGCCTAAGTAACTGTGCACTTCTCTTCCAAATAGTACCCCAGCCACACCCTCAGCTCTCATAAGTGACAAGTCTGAAACTGAACTCAATGTCCGAACCTAACAAACCTTCTCCTGGCTCCAGGAGGCTTGGACTGTACTGCTCTTACTCTGTCACTGGCCCACATCCAAACAACTATTGTTGCTGCCAATGTTACCCAGTATTTTCTCAAGTCTCCCCCAGTTTCTTCCCTCATCATCTCCTTCCTGCTTGCAGCTGCCCTGCTTAACCGTCTAATGCCATTATACCTCTTGCTTTAGGCTCCAGAAATAATTGCAGGGAGCCCCTCAAGTTTCTGCGACCACCCTACTCCCACCCCCATTTCTGGACCTATATCCCTGTTTCTTCCTTTGTCTGCAACAGTACCCGCCACCCACACCCACCCACACCAACTCTCACCTACCCACAACCCTCCACTTCCCTTGTGCAGAGAGCTGATTCTCATCATCTACATCTGGGGCTCTGCTTGGCCTCCCTCCTTCACCCACTCTCAGCACCATTAGCTGATTATAACACTATTTCAATCCTGATTACTCTCTTAAAATAGCAAGCCACTATTGTTAAGCAATATTTTGGGTATTGGGAGGGTTAAGTAAAAGACATTTTGAGAGTACATCTTTTTAGTAATGCATTATGATGATGACTAGCATGCAGGCTCATTTTGTCCTTTATTATTTAAAAAGCATGATCATTTATATCACTATGAACAAGGAATTGTAAGCACTGGGGTTTTTTTAATAAAATGAATACACAGATAACAGTGACTAAATTTTTATATAAAAACTAGTTAAGAAAATACTGTCAGAGTAATAATTGATATTTCAAATGAATAATCAATTGAACCTTCCTGAAACAGACAGAATCTGCTTTTTCCTGCACATAAGCCACCTGAAATGTACTTCTCTCAGCTCCTATTTCAGTACAACGTGATGCCTGGGACAATGTTTAGGGAAGGTTGCTGGGCTCATGTGGCCAGTTGCCTCCAAATGACCAGATATGGTTAATGTGCCAACTCTATCAAGACAAGCTGTATTTACATTGTTACTGAGAAACGTTGAAGACATTTTCATGCTCAGCAGGCTAAAGGAATAAAAAAGCAATCTTCAACCTAGACCCTCATTATTGCATTACAGTCTAATAACTAATACACAGGAAAAAAAATCTGTCTCCCTGCTGCAGGGAGCTGTTCTTCTAAATATATTCTTCCAAGGAGCCAACAAATGGAAGACTTATCTTAAACATTTAAAAAATATACACTTAGAAATTTTAAAGATATTAATGTTAAAATATCTAGATTAAAATATAGAAAATATATATCAGGCTTGGAGGTTGCTCAGTGTTGATTCAAATTACTTTATATTGTTTCATTAAAGTGCAAAGTATCTACTCTTAAGATGTACAGTTTGTAATTATGTGTTGTTACAGGGATGCATTTACTTTTTTATGTGAAGTGAAAAGTATGTAATTATATTTAGTCTTTAAATTTGCAAATAATATAATTATGTCTGTTTTGGACAAAATTTTACAAATAAGTTGTAAGTCCTTGTTGCCAACCTTCTACATTGATGGTGTAGAAAAGTGTCCACTAGCCATCTTCTTTCCCTCTTTCAATGGTATTTTATAGGAAAATTCAAGGGATAAAGGACTTGCGAAATTTGACATCCGGAATCACAGGTGTAAGTGCATAACAAAATCAGATTAGTCCAGTGATTTACACATTGCCCATCAGATGTCTTCTTTCATTTGGAACCTTTCAGAATGTTTTTGCTTCCTGAGAGTAAAGTATTCTTGACCCAAATAATATTCGGCCCTTTTCTTCTTCGGGGTCTATCAGTCGTGTTTCAGTGAATTACATCTAAACAAAAGGGCAAAATGGAGTTTATAAAATGATTTTTGTACTTAGCCTGGTACTTAGACTTCTTTTAGAGCCCAAAGTTTAAGAAAGGGCTCTTAGGCCGGGCAAGGTGACTCACACCTGTAATCCCAACACTTTTGGTGGGTGAGGTGGGCAGACAGCTTGAGCCCAGGAGATCAAAACCAGCCTGGGAAACATGGTAAAACCCCATCTCTATAAAAATACCTACAAAACTTAGCCGAGTATGGTGATGCACCTCTGCGGTCCCAGCTACTCAGAAGGCTGAGGTGGGAGGATAGCTTGAGCCCAGGAGGTCAATGCTGCAGTGAGCCGAGATCCTACCACTGCACTCTAGCCTAGGCGACAAAGCAAGACAAATAACCATGGAGATTTGTATTAAGAAATGCTGAACTGCTATTGTCCAGGTACGTTTCTTATTAAATAGGTTTCCATAACAAGAAGCAGAAGGGATACTGGTTCCACTCAACGCTTTCAATCCAGTGATTGTTAGATGAATAAACCATTGAAATGTCTAAAATGTTTTAAAGCATTTAAAAGATGATTACTTGTGCTTATTTACCTTCTTTTTGATCATTGCCCCAGAATAATTTATGATATACTTACACAAGGTCTTATAGTATAAGACCTTTAGGGAAAGGACCACACTGTTTAAGCTGCTCGGACAACTGGATACTCCACATTCATGATCTCGTTTAATTAATTTACTTATTTTTACTGTAATACATATGTAATCCTATAATCCTTTGAGTTTTGTAGCTTCTTTTAGCCATCTGGAAGCTTTTCTGTTTTTTAATTGACTGATGATTGATTGATACCCCACCCAATTCCCAAGAAGGATTAGTGGATTAATGGCAGTCCTCTGATTGTTCTATTTCAAATAGTGCTTAATTAAAAAGATAATTCCAACTGGTTTAAAAATAGGTGGAATATAAATTTCAATTAAATAATAGTGGGAGTAAGCAACTAAAGATAATTAAAACATAGCAAATTTTAAAATGATTAATGAGCACATACAAAATCTAGACTTGATTATTTTAGAATGTGTATTTAATTTCAGAAATGAACTCTAAGAAATGATGGTGAGAAAATAAGACCATGGCAATAAGAGTAACCAAGCAGAACCTGGGCTCAGAATCTCTGTGTTGCACAGTATGCCTAATGGAGCTTTCTTTCGAGAGTGTAACTCGGAAAAAAAAAAAAATGCTTCCCAGCAACACATGTCTCAAGTAGAGCTCACCTGAGCTTTATTTTTCTATAAGTGATTTCAGCTTTTCACAGAGCCCCGTCTCTGGGGTAGGGAGGAGAGGAAGTTGTTGGAGTGCAGTACCATCCATCGGGATCTGTGACAGGGTTTGGCTCTGTGTCCCCACCCAAATGTCATCTTGAATTTTAATAATCCCCATGTGTCAAGGGTGGGACCAGGGGGAGGTACTTGAATCACAGTGGCGGTTTCCCCCATGCTGTTCTCATGATAGTAAGTGAGTTTTCATGAGATTTGATGGTTTTATAAGGGGCTTTTGCCTTTACTCGGCACGCAGTGTCTCTCCTGCCACCTTGTGAAGGAGGTTCCTTGCTTCCCTGTTGCCTTCCACCATGATTGTAAGTTTCCTGAGGTCTCCCCATGTGGAACTGTGAGTCAAGCAAACCTCTTTCCTTCATCAATTACCCAGTCTCGGGTATTTTTTCATAGCTGCGTGAGAACAGACTAATATAATCTGTCACTGGGGTTACAGAGTGTATCATATAAGATTGTATTATATAATGGGGTTATAATTATATATAAATAACCTCTTATTATATATATATATCTATGTATAATGCCCTTTATATATAATATAAATATTATATATTTATATTTATGTAACCCTTTATATACAGATGTATATAAATTTGTATTTATATATAAATATATCTATACAAATTTATATACAGATAAATTATATAACCCCATATATATGGTGTTATAGATTGTATCATATAAGATTGAGTTATATAAAAGGGTTATATTTTTATATATTATATATAATATATACTTATATATTTATATATCTGTATGAATACAGATTTTATATAAGATTGGGTTATATTATTATTACCGATTATTATATTATATATTATTATTATTGATTGATTGGGTTATATTATTATTGAAAAATATGAATAAAGGTTTATTTACACTACCTTGAATTATACAGATTGTATTTTTATGAGATTAGGTTATATAAAAAGGTTATATTTATATTTATATTTATATTTATATAATGGGGTTATATTTATATAACCCCTTTATGTAACCCAATCTCTGATTTGACAGCAGCGGCTCCACTTTCAAGATCTGCTCACCCTTTCCAAACTTAACCAAAGTGTCCCCTAGGAGTGAGGGGAAGGGGAGATTCGTTATGCAAGAGGAATCTTAGCTTCAGATCCAGGGGCTTCTGTGATCCTCACTTGTCAGAAAGGCTCACTGTGCCAGTGGCTTCTGAGGTGTGTCTGCCCTGGTCATTCCATTAGCACTGGCTGATGGATGGTGTAACTTGTGGCTACCCCAGTCAGGGTCTGGTGGCACTCCAGTCTTGCCAGACTTCCATCAGCTCTCACGGACTCTTTTCCATCACCCTTGACTGAGGTAACTTTGCCTGGCACCCTGATAGACCGAGGCAAGATGGCTAGCTCTCACCCCAGCTGTCTTCAGGGCCTCCTGACATTCAGAGGCATGCAGGGATTTTTGAGGCATGTCCATGCCACAAAATTGGGTGTGTTTTGTGGGGGTCAGGGACAGGTTCTCAGCAGCAAACCGATTCTCCCCCTGCTAGCCTGCCAGGCGCTATTGGTGCTGCTCTGGTACAGCACCCTTTGTGAGTGCAAGACAGGAGTCCACCCTGAGGGCTGTGCCCGTGCCATACTGGTTGTTGAATGTTTTGACTATCACACATGTCCTAAATTTTTCTAACATCTGCCTCCTCCTATGGAGGTTCTATGAGAACACATTCCCCGCTTCCAAATCCTCCCTAGCTCTCCCTCCTTTCTTTCTTCTTACTACCCAGTCTGGGACTTTCCACTTCCTATTCTTCATATGTTCCTTTTCTCTGTCCTTGGAATTCAATGAAATTCTTAGATCTGTGTCTGCAGACCTGCCTTTTGATGTGCTAAAAGTGCAGTAGTGGTTAGGATGGCTTTCAGCATCAAGGAAGAGGATTCCTGACAACCCAAGATTCAATTATCTAGGTAATTAATAATCGCATCCAACAAGATGTCTGGAGGTGGCTCCATGAGGTCCTATATTCCCAGGGCCATTTATCACTTTGCTGTACCATCCTTGGCACAATGACTACTCTTCCCTAGTCACCTGTTGGGTACAAGGTAACCACTGCAGCAAGAAGTGTCCTGTACTCCCATAACAGAATTCTGAATAGAAAGGGCATGGGAACAAAAGGGTTTTTGCCCCCAGGACATTTTAGACAGAAGAATTCTCCCTGTAGCCATTGGCCAGAGCAAGGCTGTGTACATATCTTCCAACCATTCACAGGAAGATAAGTGACATCACCATAATGCCAACATCCATGAGGATTCACTCCCTGGAGCCTACCTCTCCAGAGCCTGTGCTGAGCAGATGCCTAAACAAAATCAATATTGGTTGAGTTAGCAAGGAAAAAGAGAAAAGTTCTGGTTAAACTGGCAAGCTGCTGTGTCCATCCCAGAGGAGATAAAAAAATGTATAATAGTCATTTCTCTCCTGAAGAAGCCTTTGATAATCATTGCTTTGCTAAAGAAGTCAAGAAAGTCAATTTTAAGATTAAAAAGTAATCAGTGTTCTCTTTGTTTTTAGCAATGTATATCCTTACCTCTTCTGGGGTTACAGTGGCACATGGTTTCAAGGAAAAATTTAAAAAAAAACTTCTGATTTAATTTTAGTAAAATTAAAGAGCTATTTTGAAATATTTTCAGGCTGGTGATCTCATCATTTATCTAAATAGTGGATATACAGTAGGAACTGGTATTGAGCTCTGAGCTAACGTCTGAAAGAAGCTTATCTGAGAAGATTCAATGATATAAAATTTAAAACGATAATTTGAAAACTAGGAGAAATATATCTTGGTACAATAGAAGAACTTTTCTCCTTCTGCTAGTTGTTTAAGATGAAACAGATTCTCTAGGGAGTTGGTAAATGTGAAGAATGAGATCTGTGATAGATATAGACTGGACAAGATGACTTCTGATTTTCCGATTTCAATGTTTTAAGACACTTGGACCAAATCTAATAAGTTTGACCACCACAAATAGGCAAACAATAAACATTATCATGCTACTCTATGGGAGTGCTATTTATGTTAAAATTCTGAATATAATACCATGAATTTAATGTGCACTTATCCTTTGGAATACTGAATAGCTGACTGACAGCAGAGCTAGTTTTATTACCACTTATTCTTAGAAAATTCACACATGGTAAATGTCTAACCCTTACCATATGTTTTCGCCTGCCAGCGAAGCTTGACATATTTTCATGGGATCTATCCATCATACAGATATAATATGTGTAACATTGTGAGGCTGTTTCCTGAGTAAACACTCTTCAACTCCCCAAAAGAATACTTTTAGAAAATGTGAAGCATCCATTTTAATTTGAGAGTTTGGATTATAGAATCAAGACAACAATGGCACTAGAGAAAATGAATAAATAGTAGTGACCATCCATATTTTGTATTGTCATAACATTTTTTATTTTCTTTCATACATGCAAAGAAACCTGGGGTAACTTGTTTTATTCAACTAAAACCAAATAAATGATATATTATGATACTTAATAATAAAATATGTTTGTATTTATGAATTGTAGTTTTCTGTTGACAACCTTCCCTGTCAACTAATGATTGGTTTTAGAATTCCATAATTTTATTTTGCAAAGATAAAATGAATTTAGGCCAATATAAATAATAATGAGAATTATTGTTAACTGGATACCAATTCCAGTGTAAGGATTAATTTAATGGCCATCTATATTGGCATTATAATTTAGTAAATGTAAGATTTTTTACAAATATACTTTTGTTTCAAATGTACATTTAATTCTCTTTTTACTTCCTGCCTAGTATATGAATTTGAAAAATAATAATAAAGGTTGATTTATGCTATCTTGAATTATTAATATTTTTAAATAGTGCTCTAAGAGTTATGATTTCTATGAAAGCAGAATGGATATATCAGAACAACCCTGATCAGAAAATAATGCACAACTCTGGAAATCAGCATTCCACACTCATATACACACATGCACACAGACTCAGACTCATTAACTGAGAAGTCTATATCAAGCAGAACATGAATTTGAAATGAAGACTTTTAAGATAAATAAAATCTGAAAAAGATTAATTACCAGTAGACCTGTGCCATAAAACATTTTCAGCATGAAGGAAAATGATATCAGATGGAAATGTACATCTACAGGAAAGAACAGAAATACGTAGGTAGATGCAACTGGCAGGGTGGCTCAAGCCTGTAATCCCAGAACTTTGGGAGGTCACTGGGGGAGGATCACTTGAGGCCAGGAGTTTGAGACCAGGCTGGCCAACATCACAAAACCCCATCTCTACTAAAAATACAAAATTTAGCCGTGTGTGGTGGCACACACTTGTAATCCCAGCTACTCGAGGGGCTGGGGCACGAGAATCTCTTGAACCTGGGAGGCGAAGGTTGCAATGAGCTGAGATTGCACCACTGCACTCCAGCGTGGACCACAGAGAAAGACTTCCTCAAAAATATAAAAATAAAATAAGAAACATGTGGGCAGATGTAAAAGATGGTATTTTTTCCTCTATTATTTTATCTAAAACTAGATATTTAATGCAAAAATGATTTAATTGTAATGTGAAGTTTATAGCAAATACTTTATAAAAATTATGACACTAGCAAAACACAGGTAGATAGGTTAATTTATGCACTGACAGCTTCTATAATGTATGTGAAGTAATATTTATGGTTTTAAACAGACAGTGATAAATTAAGAATGCATATTTTAATTCCTAAAATAACCACTAAGAAGAAATATAATGTATAACTAAAAAAGTACAATTTAAAATATTTTTCTCGTTTGGTTTGGACTATTTCTACTGTCCTACTTTTAATTCAGTACAAGTACAGATTTCAGTTTAACTAAATATTGAAACAAAATTCAATCAAAGTATTGAATTGGAATTCTAATAGCAATAATCTGACCCAAAATAATATAGGAAGTGAGAAACAAAGGAATAAAAGACACACGAGACAAAATGAAAATGCATTGCAAGGCGGAAGAACTACGACCAATCATATCAGTAATTGTCTTAAATATAAATAGACCGAATACTCCAGTTAAAAAGCAGAGACTGGAAGATGAGATAAAAAAATCAGGTTCAGCTACATAATATAAAGTCTCAGATAAAGAACTGTGTAAAGATGGAGGAAAGATATAGCATACAAAAGTAAGAATGAGGAAGCTGGTAGAATTAGATTAATATCAGATGAAATTGAATTCAAGATTGGAAATATTACCAGAGATTATGAAAGACTTAAAAAACATATTAAAAGGCTCATTTTGTCAAGAATACATAACAAATCACCAAAACATCAATTTAAGATGGATCACTGCCTTAAATATAAAAGTTAACATTAGAGAGCTGCTAGAGGAAAATATTAGAGCATAACCTCAGGACTTTGGTATAGCAATGATATTTAGTCCACAAAATGGACTCAACATAAAAGGAAAAATTTGATTAATTGGATGTGATTTTTTAAAAATTCTGTTCATAATATATGATTAAACAAATGATAATGTAAACCACATTGTAAAAGAAAATATTTGGAATATGTATACTTGAGGATTATCATAGATCCAGAATTTATGTAATTCTTACAGCTCAGTAAAAAGAAAAAAATTCAAAATTAAATAGGCAAAATACTTAGACATATGTTTCAAAAAGAAAATATACCAGTGGCCACTAAACACATGAAAGTATGGTCAATACCATTGTTCATGAGCTAAACCAAAATTACATTCACAAAAAGCATTTCATACTACTCCAATGGCTAACATCAAATGGATCAATACCACCCAATGTTGGAGTGGTTGTGGAGGAATTAAGACTCTCATACGTGCAAAATGTTACTTTGGAAAGCAGTTCAGCAGTTTCTGAGAAATGTAAACTTACACCAACCCTAAGATCCAGCAATTCCGCTGTTAGTAGGTATTTACCAAAAACAAACAATAGTGCCCACAAAAAGTCTTAAGAATGTTTACAGTTGCTTTTCCCATAACAACCCAAACTGGAAAAGGTCGTGTGTCCATCAACAGAATAATGTGAGAAGTTGTGGTACGTTTACATAATGGAATATGATTCACTAATTTAAAAAATATACGGACTACTGATACAAACAACAGCATGAATGAATCTCAAGAACTGTGAATCAAAGAAGCTGAATTATGCTCCTGCCTGGTTCCATATATTGAAATTCAAGAACAGGTAAAGTCTTGATGCTACAAGCCAAACTCATGGTTGCCAGGGGCATCACCTGGAAGCGGGTGTAAGAGAACTTTTTGGGGTAATGGACATGTTCTTTCTCTTGATTGGTGTATACGTTGCTCCATCCTCATTGCATTGCACACTTAAGATCTGTATGTGAAAAAAATAAGAAGTAGTTTGTAGGATGGAATATTTATATAGAAATAAATTCAGACAAAATTATTCTAAAACAACAAAATCATTAATATATCATTTAAAGGATTGCCAAATTTGACTGTGGTATATTTAATATCAAACATTTTAAAATTATATTTTAGGACATGTATTCATTTCAGAATTTCTTAGATCATGTTTTTTTCCTATATTTCACAAACATTTGTATTGAAAATAGTTCAATATGACAATTTAACTTCTGATTGGAAACTCTGGTCTGAAATCAAGTTATAGTACGGGTAGGAAAGTAATAGTAAAACCACTGTTAAGAATAGGAAGATCTGAGGGCCTTGCACAGCGACTCACATCTCTAATCCCAACTCTTTGGGAGGCTAAAGTGGGAGAATTTATTGAGGCTGGGAGTTTGAGACCAGCCTGGGCAAGATGGGGAGACTCCATCTCTACGAAAATAAAAAATAGACAGTAGGAACAAATAAAATGTTCAGTTTAATACGCAATGTGTGAAAATAAAAATAAAATACATCTTTCTTATAGATACCAAAATAAATGAAAAAGTAATAGATACAAAGCTAAAAGATCAGTGTTGATCAAAAATGACATAATAACAATTTTCAGTAATAAAGCTCCTATCATTAAATATTCATCCAACAAATCTCATCTTGAAATAAATATTTAATTTAGCTGTGCTAGGTAATGGCCTAAAGTATAAGTTATTCACATAATAAAGTTATAGGTCTCTAGTCAAAATTAAATAGGCAAAATACTCTAGCAAGTGCATACCACAATTCATTAAACTCCAATCCTATAGAGTATTTCTCTCACTTTCTGATTTATTCTCTTTCCTACCGATGCCTCTTCTCCACCTCAGTATGGTTACCTTCCAGAATCTCAGAATCCTGAAGATAGGGCCCCATTCTTTCCAGGGGTTTTGTTTTGGGAGCCTCAGAAACCTAGGTCAGCTAGAGGCTGTGAGTGGGAGAACGCGCTTCACATAAGCCCCAGGTACAGCAAACTCTAAAGGCCTCTACCTCTTCCTTTCCTGGGACACAGAGCCGCCCCCTCCCATCCTGAATGCTGCCCAGATGCCCCTGAGGCCACGGATCCTCCAGTGGAACATAGACACATGGTGAACCAGAATGAGTGTCCGCGGCTGTCCATTCATGACTCTTCCTTGGAAGAGGAGCTTACACACAATACTGAGCTTCCCCACTCATTCCTGAGAGGAGGAACAATGTTCTCAGGGCTCTTCCAGGTAGTTCTTTGGTGATCATTTTCGTTGAAGACCTCCCACAGAATGGCAGGTGTGAACGTAGGCACGCATTTCCTCTGTGGTTTTATTTACTCATCCCATATGTTGTGCCACAATTTTTGTGTGCGTTTGTGTACAGGCATTTGATAATGTTTACCTAAATCATACATGAACTATCTTCCTGATGTTCTTCTTTAAAGAATGTTATTTGTTAATTTGATAGAAGTTTGAAGTTTGAAGGACCAAGCAGTATATCTTATCATATAATAGCTATAGTGTGAGTTTTCAACAGCATTTTGTAAGTTCCCTGAGTGTACTTGCAGCCCATTATAATTACTTCCTGTTCACTTTGAGCAATTTAGAGAACTCCAAGGTCAGCGTATACTCCCCTATTAAAATGATTATAATTCATCTCTGTGGAGTGGTGGGTTTAGTTGCATAACCTAACTTAGGAAAAACAGAGAACCTGGAAAGTGTCCAATTAAGGAAATACGAATTGCTACACTTTATTAGAAAATGAACAGTGTCTCTCTTTGTATGTAACCTATCACTAATGGTGCAGTTACTTAGATTTGTTTTTCTGTGTCAAATCCAGTAACATGTTTTCATTGTTCCCTTTATGACTAAGATAATACATATTTGAGAAAATTGTCTGAAGTTATTAAGATATGAATTTACAATGTTATGAAAATGGGATGAAATGAGATGAAACTTGTCTTATTTGCACTTTGATCTGAACCACGGAGCCTCCCATAAGATATCATCCCAATTGTGGGTCAGAACTTACTCTTGTGTCTTCATAAACTTGGGCCTGCAGTGTTAGTGCTCAGTTCTGACTGAGTTATTTGTGGACTAATATCAGCCCTGAAATGATGGAAAAGAACATGATTCTTGAAAGCCACCAATGGGGAGCGAGAAAGATGCCCCATGGCTGAGTGAGACAAGAGGCTATCCAGGCAGATGCAGCACTCAGCTCACCAGTCATTCTATTTCATGAAACATGATCATCAGTGAACATTTACTAGCTAGATTTTCTGCAAGATATTTGAATAGTGCCCTTTCTTAATAGGGCTACACTCTGCATGTGTCTGGCCAATATTTTTGTGTCTGCAGTGTATATACGTAACCATTGTTTCCTGAGAAGAATTTGCATAGAACTACTGACAACTGGGGAGAAAAGAAAATTTTGCAAGAAGGCAGGGAGATGACAGTGATTAGGAGATGGGAGAAGGTCACCCCCCCAATTCTAGGAAGAGAACAAGCCCTGGATGAGTGCCAATGTGAGGCAGAGAGAAAGCGAAGAGGAAGTTAAACTTAAAGCTGTGCATTTATTTCCTCTCTTTTCTCTCTTCCTTATTTCTCTCCCCCAAGAAGTTCTTGTCACCTGCCCCATCTCAAACCCCATCTTGTGGAAAAGTTCCTCAGAGGTCTGAAGCATTGCCTTTGTGCCCGGGTCAAGAGCCCTCCAGGGACTCCTAAAGGAGGATTCAAGTGTCAGCCTGATTGAGGATATTTTTAACGTCATTATATTATTGATAATACTGTTCTTACACTTTGTTGCTGATGGAACTAATTTTGCTCTTTCAGAAGAATAGTATTCTGAAGGGAGAAAGGGAAATAAAAAGAGAAGGCAATAGAAAGTGGAAACACTCTGAGAGAGCTGGGCAAGACTGAAAGAGAAGCTGACACAAAACTAAATGTAAAGGTGTTGGAGAGAACGTGCATTCACACGGAGAAGGGTGGTCCAAGTGGGAGAGCTGCAAGTGAAGAGCTCAAGGAAAGAAGAATTAACAGGCAAGGGAGGAGGCCATGGCAGGTTGCAGGGGTTGGGTACTGTGACCTTGGAGAGGAGGGATGGAAGAATGGAAGGTCCTGGGCTTAGAGTTAAGCACATGGACTCAGCCCTGATGCTGCTCCACTCTTTGTAATGGCCTGGGGCCATATCTTAACTTCTCTGAACCTCAATTATAAGTGGGAGTGTTTGATAAAGTAAGTTCATGGGTACATGAAGCATCTAGCAGTAGCTCATGACCTGACAAAAGTAGGTTTTGTTGATCTGACTTCCTCTTCTGCCCCATCCTTATCAGAGAAATATAGAGAATGAGCCAGGCAGGCTCATGCACTTGAAGCTATCTTTCTGATGTATCCAGCCACATCGTCTGCAGGGCAAGGAGGACACAGGCCAGTTCTTACTGGCCTTGCAGGGTCATTGCCCTGAATATTTCAAACGAACTCTATTATGGAACCCTGTCTTGAAAGTTGGTAGAACCTGCATCCCAAGACCAGCAAGATGGAAAGCTATTATCTCAGGATTGAAAAAAAAAAGAAAGAAAGAAAGGAAAGAAAGAAAAAAGAGTGCTTGTGATAAGAATCAGAGTCTTTTAGGCTGGGATCCAAAGACGGCTTTTGGAACATTGCATTTACAAAATACGTTTATTCCTTCTTAATTCTAAATTATCTCGACCCAAATCCTTTTAACACATAAAGTTATTTTAAAAGTACACTGTCATTTCCTGCTGAAGGCTAATGGAGAAATGCTACTATAATAAAACTAGAAATAAAAAATATCAAGCTACATCTATGAGACGAGGAATGTAGTATACATTTTGTAATATTTCCTGAAAGAGACTCAGAATTGGATGTGTGTGCCTGTTTACATCAGCCACATAAATCAATGTAGTCTCAGACACTAAAAGAATTCACTCTAGAACAAACAACAGAGGAAATGTGTTTAGAAAATCTCAGGCATCAGAGAAGTAAAATCTTTCATTAATCATCCTCCCATTTCACTGTCCATTTGGTGAGGTTTCCATAGGAATCGGTATTTCAGGACGTTAGATATTTAGTGGTGCTGCGGATGGGTGAGCTGGCTTGAGGCAGGTATCCTAGGAACTGTAGGAGGCCAGAGGACATCGTTTTCTGCTTGGTGAAGATATCACTGAATTTTATTCACATGATTCATATAATATATCTACTGAAATCAGCGCGATTGCTGAAATTTGTACAAGTGCGATCAAAGTACACACATTTAGGGGTTACTCAGTATCTAAAAGGACAGTATGAGATTGAGCACTTAAGCTAAGCTATCCTTAATGTTCATGTTTTCAAAAAAGTTGGGAAAATTATTCTATAGTATTAAATGAATAGTTAAAATATTGATCACTCATTATTTCAAATGTTTAAGGTAAGCACACAAGGAAACCTTATCAGTGATAAACTGTGGGCCGGGTGCGGTGGCTCACGCCTGTAATCCCAGCACTTTGGGAGGCCGAGGCGGGCGGATCACGAGGTCAGGAGATCGAGACCATCCTGGCTAACACGGTGAAACCCCACCTCTACTAAAAATACAAAAAAAATTAGCTGGGCGTGGTGGTGGGCACCTGTAGTCCCAGCTACTGGGGAGGCTGAGGCCGGAGAATGGTGTGAACCCGGGAGGCGGAGCTTGCAGTGAGTCCAGATTGCGCCACTGCACTCCAGCCTGGGTGACAGCGAGACTCCGTCTCAAAAAAAAAAAAAAAAAAAAAAGTGATAAACTGTGGATGGTGGAAGAATTGGTGACTTATGCATACAATTTTTTTTTTTTACTTTCCACATTTTCTGAAATGACTGTGTTCCATTTATAATATATTTTTAAAATCTTCAAAAAAAATAAAGAAAGCATTCTGATGTTAAGTCAAGGACTAGAAACAATAACAAGAATATATTCATTATTTATGCCAATATAAACACATCATTTAAACATATCAGGGCATTGCTTCAAGTGCTTATTTTGAATTAATGAGAAATAAGTCATTTTTGACATGGGTCACCTGGTAAAACACCTGGTAACAGCCTTCGGGAAACCAAGTTCCAGTTCAGTAAGTAACTAACGAAATATACATTGCCTTGTAAGCACATCTTTGAGATGCCATTGGGGAAATCTCTAGGTTTGAAAGATAAGGGATTACCTGCTTAACACGCTTAATCCATGCCCAGCTGTCAAGCAGAAATTAAATGTGTTAACTCTCTCAGTGAGGAAGTAATGAAAGAGTCAGGAATATCGCTCTTTTATTTCTCAAAAACCATTAAAAAAAAATCTAGAGAAGCCCTCTGTGTTCTGCAACATAACAAGATGATTCATTGGACATTCCCCTGTGGCCAACACCTCTGTATGGTATAGGGTAAAAAGAGCTAAAGAAAAATAAGATACAAATAACTTCTTCATTTTGAGTTCTGCTGGAAGCAGCAGCTGAACCTTTTCAGCTTTGTTAAGTGCCAGATGATGATCTTGCTGCCTTTACAGTGTTGTCTCTTTCTCTGTCGTCTTTAAGTATGAAGGAAGAAATATTTTACTCATGATCATCCCCAATTTCTCCCCAGCCAATTCAGCTTTGGCTGCAGTAAGAACATGTTTGCACTGTATCAGCATCCTGAATCATTATAAATACATCATTCATTTTAGAGTTAGATAACTAATGAAATTGCTTAATCTCTTTCATTCCTTGTTGACTTGAGAGTCAAATGTGTTCATCATGCAATATACTATAAATTAGTAAAGAGAGGGAATCATAGGATTATTCTTCCTTAATCCCTTACTTCGAAGATAATAGATGAAGATTTAAATTCTGTATTTTTGATTAAGTCAACTCTATGAATTTTCTGGTTTGGATATAGGAAGCAAGGGTGATGTCCATGTAAATATTGCTACATAAGCTTATATCTCAAATAAATTTAATATCTCTACATATTTTCATAATGTTTTAATAATATGCTATGATTATTTTGATTTGACATTGTTACTTATTTAAGAATTGGTTGCAAATAACAAAAACAGAAGATTCTCACCTCTCAGATGGCCAAAGCACAAGCAGATTTGATACAGCTGTATTTTTTAGATGGAGTCTCGCTCTGTCGCCCAAGCTGGAGTGCAGTGGCGCGATCTCAGCTCACTGCAACCTCCACCTCCTGGGTTCAAGCGATTCTCCTGCCTCAGCCCCCTGAGTAGCTGGGACTACAGGCGTACACCACCAAGTCTGGCTAATTTTTTGTATTTTTAGAAGAGATGGGGTTTCACCATGTTAGTCAGGATGGTCTCGATCGCCCTCCTCGGTCTCCCAAAGTGCTGGGATTACAGGCATGAGTCACCACGCCTGGCCTGATACAGCTGTATCTTTAAAGCTCCAACATGTGAGGAGGTTCAGCCTTGAGGGGCCTATCAGGAACCAAGAACCACAACATTCTTTTCCTTTCTGAGGTCGTAGCCGCTGTGAGTCTTAGCTTCTCTCTGCATCTGTGAGGTCATCTCCCTTTCTGTAGAGCATATGATCTTTACTGATGCACCTGCATCTGGCTCAGACTTAGTCACCCAGCCCTGAAATTATATCATATCACAGGTCATTCTCTGAGTCTCTTAATGTGAGGCCTTGAGAGAAAAATCAACATGCCTTCTGTTGGATGAAGACCAATCAGCAAGATGGTGGTGATTGTGGTACAGGTGGTGGTGGTGATGGTGGTGGTGGTGGTGGTAATGATGGTAGTGATAGTGGAGGTAGTGGTGATGGTGGTGGTGGTGGTGATGAAGTGGTGTTGGTGATGGTGGAGGTAGTGGTGGTGCTGATGGTGGTGGTGGTGATGGTGGAGGTGGTGGTGGTGGAGGTGGTGGTGGTGGTGGTGGAAGTAGTGGTGGTGATGGTGGAGGTGGTGGTGGTGGAAGTAGTGGTGGTGATGGTGGAGGTGGTAGGGGTGGTGGAGGTAGTGGTGGTGACGATGGAGGTCATGGTGGTGATGGTGGTGGTGGTGGTGGTGGTGGTGATGGTGGTGGTGGTGATGGTGGAGGTGGTGGTGGTGATGGTGGAGGTGGTGGTGGTGGTGGTGGTGGAGGTAGTGGTGGTGATGGTGGCAGTGGTGGTGATTGTGATGGTGGAGGTAGTGATGGTGATGGTGGAGGTGGTGGTGGTGATGAAGGTGGTGGTAGTGGTGGTGATGATGGTGGTGGTGATGAAGATCATGTTGGCAGTGTTGGTGGAGGTAGTGGTGATGGTGGAGGCAGTGGTGGTGATGGTAGAGGTAGTGTTGGTAATGAAGGTGGTGGTGGTGGTGATGGTGGTAGTGGTGGTGGTGATGATGGAGGTGGTGGTGGTGACAGTGGTGGTGGTGTTGGTTATGGTGGAGGTGGTAGTGGTGATGATGGAGGTAGTGGTGGTGATGGTGGTGCTGATGGTGATGGTGGAGGTGGTGGTGATGAAGGTGGTGGTAGGGTGGTGATGATGGTGGTGGTGGTGATGAAGATGGTGTTGGTGGAGGTAGTGGTGATGGTGGAGGTAGTGGTGGTAATTAAGGTGGTGGAGGTAGTGGTGACGGTGGAGGTAGTGGTGGTAATCAAGGTGGTGGTGGTGGTGGTGGTGGAGGTGGTGGTGGTAATGAAGTTGGTGCTTGTGGTGGTGGTATTGGTGATGGTGGTGGTGACGGTGGAGGTTGTGGTGGTGATGATGCTGGTGGTGGTGTTGGTGGAGGTAGTGGTGACGGTGGAGGTAGTGGTGGTAATGAAGGTGGTGGTGGTGGTGGTGGTGGAGGTGGTGGTGGTAATGAAGTTGGTGCTTGTGGTGGTGGTATTGGTGATGGTGGTGGTGACGGTGGAGGTTGTGGTGGTGATGGTGGTGGTAGTGGTGGTAATGAAGGTGCTGGTGGTGATGATGGAGGTGGTGGTGATAATGGTGATGGTGGTAGTGATGGTGGTGATGGTGGAGGTCGTTGGTTGTGGTATTGGTGGAGGTAGTGGTGGTAACAAAGGTGGTGGTGGTGGTGACGGTGGAGGTGGTGGTGGTGATGATGCTGGTGGTGGTGTTGGTGGAGGTAGTGGTGACGGTGGAGGTAGTGGTGGTAGTGAAGGTGGTGGTGGTGACGGTGGAGGTGATGGTGGTGATGATGGTGGTGGTGTTGGTGGAGGTAGTGGTGATGGTGGAGGCAGTGGTGGTAATGAAGGTGATGGTGGAGGTGGTGGTGATAATGATGGTGGTGATAGCGGTAGTGATGAAGTTGGTGATGGTGGTGATGATGGAGACAGTGGTGGTGGAAGTAGCGAAGGGCCCTATGGTAGAGAGAATTTTGGATTCAGGGTGGTGATGGGAGGGTTTATTAAGAAAACATCAGGAAACAGAGAGGGTATTTCTGGTATCTCTGAAATAGTAATAATAATTTCCTAGGTCTGTAACAATGCAAAAGTCAGAACTGGTTGAAATGTAAAATTCAGGTAAAGAAAGCACATTTTAATCAAATTCCAAATCATATCTGTTCATAACATTAGGCCAAATTCTCGTCTAGCCTTATCAGTCTTTATGCATTTTTGTTGTTGTTGCTGCTGTTGTTTTGTTTTTTTTAGGCAAAGTCTCACTCTGTCACCCAGGCTGGAGTGCAGTGGCATGATCATGGCTCACCACAGCCTCCATCTCCCGGGCTCAAGCAATCCTTCTACCTCAGCCTCTTAAGTAGTTGCTCCCACAGGTGTGCCACCACACCTGGCTAATTTTTTCTTTTTTTTAGAGAAGGGGTCTCACTATATTGCCCAGGCTGGTCTCAAACTTCCTGGGCTCAAATGATCCTCCCATCTCAGCCTCCCAAAGTGCTGGAATTACAGGTGTGAGCCACTGACCTTGGCCCATTATGCATGCTTTGAGTTAGATTCCCTAGAAGCAGGTCCACAAATTGCACCACAGTTACCCTTCATCAGGCTAGGTGGCCAGTCTTTGAGACACCATGGTGGTTGACCATTGGCTGCTGGATGCCCTATCTGCTAAGGGAGGAGGGGTATGTGGTCTCCAAGACAAGACAGTCCCTGTCCTGCAGAAGGCCATAAATAGAGAATAGGGCAGCTGTGACCCATCAGCTGCCAAACTCAGCAGCTTGGGGCTGGGTGCAGCTGCTAGCAGAGAGACCCCCACAGTGCTTACCACACACAGCACAGCACAGAGGCCCAAGCATGACTGGTACTGCACAAAGCAAATGCAAGGTCCATTGGATCATCTCAATGCCGCCTCCTCATTTGTCTATACACCCTTCCCTAATGATTTGCTTCTGGAGCTCATCACTCCGGGCCAGACTCTACCATGGCCTCAAAATCTCCTGTAACCTGGGGCTGCCTCCTTCTCCTGCCTCATTCCATGCCCCACTACGGCTGCCCACTCTCTCCAGCCATGCTGGCCTTCTCTTGTTTCTTCACTGGACCAAGTTCCTTCCTCTCCCAAAGCCTGTGCACAGGCCCTTCCTACTGGTCACAGAACCCTAGAAAGCTCTTCCAGGCTTTATCCAGACCAGTCACTCCTGCCTTTTATTCCTAGGCTCAGAGGGACCTCTCTTTTTCCCACTCCCACCCCCGTCCTTGGAGCTTCTATATCACACTTAAAAAATTACAGTTGTTTTGTGACCATCCCTTTAATGTCCCTCCAGGATCCTACCACAAAATTAGTGATTTTTAAACTCTCTGTTTGTGACTTACTGAGGAGGGACTCATGACATCAGTTTAGTGAATGGGGACAGATACTTTTAATAACATTAGAATACATTGTTAAGAGCATAGAAAATATGACAGTACACTGCACGTAGTAAAATACATATTGTTGGTGACACTTTAATTCCAGATATATGTATTTAATTGTGCATGTGTTTGTGTGTGTGTGTGTGTGTGTGTGTGTGTGTGTGCCTGTATACCGAATCATGATGTAAAAGCTATTCTAACTCTGGGTAAGAGATCAAATACATTTAAAAGCCACTCTACTAAATTGTAGGCTCCATCTTTGATGAGATATGTGGCTTTGGACATATTACTTGACTCTTTCTGTGCCACAGTCCCCTTTTTATAGAGTCGTTGCAAGGATCAAGTGAGTTGAAATCCGTAAGGTGCTTGGGAGAATGCCTGGCGCCTGGAAGCACTGTGTGAGTATTACACAGCATTACATTTATTTATGCGTTTTGTTTGTAACCCTGTCCTCCCTGCCTATCTTAGTGCCTGGCACACCCTAGCTCTCAACAGTTACTGACTGAACAAACAGCAAGGAGCATGTGGCATGAGCCGTGTTGTATGTACCTATGGGTGAGAACACAGCACATGTGGATTCAGTGCATCTTCTTAGGAAGTGGCTGAGGAGGTTTCAGGGTGATTTCGTGCTAGTGAGTCTGCCCCTCTTCCTCCTCCCCACCACACTTCCTCTTACGGAAAGTCAGCCTGAGCCAGTATGTATTTATCGATATGTCTGGCCACCTTTAAACATTACATAAATAAGTAACGGGAACCCAAGACAATGGGTGGGAATGTCTTCATTTATGAATGAAGTCAAGCAAAACCCAAGCATTCCTTCCATCGTTTTTCAGAAGTTGCTCCTTTGGGGCCAAACCATAGGCAGCTGCACGAGGAGTTTACTGTGCCTGATCTAGGCACAACTGAATTGTTCATTTTATTCTTAAATCTTCCTCCACCAAACCTAAGAGAGACCCAAGGGAGGCGGTATGAACTATTAACATTGTTGAGGACCAGATGATCTAATTCAGAAGGACCAATTATATTTCTATTCTTCCAAAGACAAAAGTAAAATTCTGAGTCCCTTTTCACTGGAAATAGGTTAATGGTTTATTTCCCGTTGTGACTGTGGCTGATCCTGGAATGGTCACTCGTAAATCACATCCAACTTTGCTCCCTGGCCACCTTCTAGGGAAGCAGACCCTGGAACATGCCAGTGACTGCTTTCCTATCTCATGAAGGAAGAATTGGTGGGCGTTACATGAAGGCAGGTTTAAAGTTAACTAAAGGATAATTGAGTTGGCCAGTGAAAACCAAACCCTAAGAAAAGAGCTGCGGCAGTGTGAATGTCTATCACTGAACGAGCCCACCCGAGGACCAGATGACCATTTCCGTCTGTTTCAGGGGTTTACACCGGGGATGTGTTAGTCCATTTTTGTGTTGCTATAAAGGAATACAGGAAACTGGGTAGCTTTATAAAGAAAAGAGGTTGATTTGGCTCATGGTTCTGAAGGTTGTACAAGCATGGCACTGGTATCTGCTGGGCTTCTGGTGAGGCCTCAGGAAGCTTTCAATCATGGTGGAAGGTGAAGAAGGAGCTGGCACATCACATGGCAAGAGAGAGAGAGGAGGAGGTATCGGGCTCTTTTGTGCGAACTAACAGAGCAAGAACTCACTCATTACTGCAAGGACAATACCAAGCCATCCATGAGGGATCTGTCCTCATGACCCAAACACCTCCCACAAGGCCCACCTCCTACATTAGGAACCACATTTCAACATGAGATTTGGAGGGGACAAACGTCCAAACTATATAAGGGGATTCTAAGGTCTCTCTCTTTCTCACCATTCTCAGTGCTGCAGTAATTCTGCTGACGTCATCCCCATACTTGCCATCCTCTTGCAGGGTTGTAGGTTCTAAGGCTGGCCTCCACGGGGTGGTTCCACCCTCTTCTCTTGCTGTGTCTTTAATGAGATGTATCAGGTATGCCATTCCCTATATCTATGTCTTAGGTCCAAAGCACTAGGCTTTCTTTACTCTGAATGTGAGAAGGTGCCTGTGCACCCTCGCCTTGGTGAGGGAAATGGCTGTGTTCTTTGACAAAGATCAGCCTCTCAAGGCACATGGACACCCAAGCTTATAACCATTTATATATCAGAGCCTGTTGTCGTCATTTTTGTGTAGGAGTAATTATTATATCTTAGATTTTTCTTTTTAAAGTTGAAGTTGGATTTGCACAAAATGTTAAGAGTGTTTTTACAGCTTTTCTGTTGTATGAAGAATATGACTTTGAACATATGAATCTGGATAAAGGATATAATTTTGTGTAGGATGTTGATTCAAAATGAAAAGGTAGAGTTGTCATTTTAAATAGGAGTGGAATTTACTTCGTAGAAACCCACGTACGTACTAGATGGTTTCGTTTTTCCAAGTTTTCTTTGCATTAAAAAAAGAAATGTTTATTTTAGAAAGAATTTCACAGTTACTTTATTGAATGCAGATAGCCTTCAGACAAATTCCATCACATCACTCCATAAGTGTTCATTGAATAAATGAATCCATAACAAGAGTACTTATGGCTAACGTTTTTACAGTTTTGGAGGATGGGAGAGATGGGAAAGATGAAATTGTCATTGGTATGAATACACAAATGTTTTCTAAAATATCCAAACTATTTTAGAATTCATGAATTAAATTAAATATCTAGTTTTTTTCTTGAAAAGAATTATCAGAGAAGAAATTGAAGGAAGAAAAATAGAATTCTTTGGGTACAAACATTTTAACACAAAGAAATACTCAGACCTGTCTGGTTTTATTTACTCAGAGTTATAAAAAATGTTACTTTGGATTAAATTAGTCCAATTATGTACATCTTCTACTGAATTAAGCACATATTCTAGAAGATGGATTATGTGTACATAAAATTTGTGCTAACTAAAGGAATGAAGGAATGAATGTATCTAAAACGAAAGGCATTGTTATTACTTTCTAACCTGATATAATACCACTTCTCAAAATGAAATGCATAGAAATAAGTTTCTGAGAAAATTGTATTTTAGAATTTGCTCAAGAATTGTCAAAATATGCTTAAAATCACATGAGCTGTGGTTGATGTAGGTTTTATTTATCAGTTTTTATTACATGAGGAATTCAAACTGAGGGATTTAAAAACATGTATTCATTTATTTAAACTTAATAAGCCAATCACTGTATACACAACTTTTTTTAATGAAAAGTATATTTTCCCAAACCAAAAAAAATAGTGATATGGGTGGTATTGATTCACATTTTTGCAAGTCTATTTGATGTTTGGTTTAATAAAAGATGCCCGGATTCTCATATCTGCTTCTACATTCAATCTGTTGTGTTATGTCATTTTGGTTGAAATATATGAAGAAAATCTGGCTTACTATGGATATACAGATGGAAAAGGGAGAAATATTTTAATGGCCTCCTCAGATAATTGTAAATAGTCTTTTTGGTTACCACATCAAATCTCAAAATGTAGTAATTCTTTAAAGGTTATTTGCAATGTAAAATCTGAAACCATAACAATGATCTTTCTATATTCTGTATACTCATGAGATTGAGAAACCAAACACTGATTTTGGATTATTAAGAAAAATTTGGAGTCTCCAGTTTTTCTCGTATAACACAGTGAGAACTGTTGTTTTAACCCCCCAACCCCCACCCCAATTTGCTGTAGTAGTTTGGAAGGTCAGTATAAAGGAGATAAATTTTTAAAATATGTCTTAACAATCCCAGAAGACTTCTTTTGGAGATAATTACAAACACCAAAATCAATACTAAAATTTACATTGAAAGGTAAAGGACTCAGAACAAGCAAGGCAACCTTGAAAATGAATAACCTTGGAGGATGCACAGTCCACAGTCCTCTTTTTTTTTTTTTTTTTTTTTTTTTTTTGAAGTGGAGTCTCCCTCTGTTGCCCAGACTGGAATGCTGTGGCACGACCTCGCCTCACTGCAAGCTCCGCCTCCCGGGTTCACGCCATTCTCCCACCTCGGCCTCCTGAGTAGCTGGGACTACAGGCGCCGGCCACTACGCCTGGCTAATTTTGTTTTTGTATTTTTAGTAGAGACGGGGTTTCACGGTGTTAGCCAGGATGGTCTCAATCTCCTGACCTTGTGATCCGCCCGCCTCAGCCTCCCAAAGTGCTGGGATCACAGGCGTGAGCCACCGCCCACAGTCCTCATTTTAAGAGTTACTGTACAGTTACCGTGTCATCAGGATAGTGCGATCTGGTTTCAGGATAGATGAATGAAACTGAATAGAGTCCAAAAGCAGATCTGCATATATGCAGAAAGATTAATTTTGACAATTGTGCCAATGTCATTCAATGAGGGAAAGGAAAGTCTTTTTTAGCAAATCATGCTAGAACAACTGGTTATTCGTATAAAAACAATTGAAATTTTATCTATCCCTAACATGAAAATGAACAGAAATGGATGGATTACAGATGAAACATAAAAGCTAAAATTTTGAAACTTTCTATAAAAAACCTGAGGGAAATCCTTTTTGTGATATATGTAGTCAAACATTTCTCAGAGAGATTGCAAAACACTTTATTAGAAAAAAAGAAAAGTAAACTGGATTCATGAAAATTAAAAATTTCTATTCTTCAAAAGTGTTAAAAAATAAAAAAAAAGTGCATCATAGACTAGGAGGAATGTTCATTACCTGTATATGACAAAGGACTTGAATTTGAATTACATAAAGAACTGCTACATGTCAAAAACAGTAAGACAGACAATCCAGTAAAAATTTTCAGAGGAGTTGGATAGATATGTGAGCCCCAAATATCTGAGACAGGTCTCAGTCAATTTAGGAAGGTTATTTTGCCAAAGTTAAGGACACACGCCGATGACACACCTGAAGACATGTGCCCAAGGTGGTCGAGGCACAGCTTGGTTTTGTAGACTTTAGGGAGATATGAGGCATCAATCATATATGTACATTGGTTCCGTCTGGAAAGGTGGGACAACTGGAAGCGAAGAGGGGACTTCCAGGTCATAGATAGATAAGAGACAAATGGCTGCATTCTTTTGAGTTTCTGATTAGCCTTTCCAAAGGAGGCAATCACATATGCATTTATCTCAGTGAACAGAGGGATGACTTTGAGTTCTGTCTGTCCTTTGTCCAGGAGGAAATTCCTTGTGAGGGAGGTATGTCACTTTTTTATCTTAGTAGCTACCTTTTTTTAGGAATAGAATGGGAGGCAGGTTTGCCCTAAGCAATTCCCTGCTTGATTTTTCCCTTTCCCTTAGTGATTTGGGAGTCCCAAAATTTATTTTCCTTTCACAGATATTCCAAAAAAGGAGATATAAACATGACCATAAAAGACATGAAAAGATGTTTAACCCCATTAGTCATCGTGGAAATGCAAATGAAAACCACCATACAGACACTAGAGTGGTTTAAATTTGAATGACTTCCAACACCAAATGCCAGACAGGACATAGAGCAACTGGATGTCTCATGCTCACAGGTAGGAATGCAAAATGGTGTAACTTCTGTAGAAAACTAATTGGTAGTTTCTTATAAAATTAAATGTGCACCTACCTTATTTATGATCCAGCAATTTAACTCTAAGGTATTTCTCTAGCAGAAATGAAACCATATGCCTACACAAACTACTTGTACACTAGTGTTTATTGCAGCTTTATTTATAATAGCAAGAATGTTAAACAATCCAAAAATCCATCAACAGGAGAATAAATAAACAAATTGTGATATATTCATACTATGGAATAATAGCAGTAGAAAGAAATGAACTAGTGGTGCACACAACATGGATGAATACCAGAAATACTATGCTGAGTGAAAGCAGGCAGACTTAGATATGATATCTAGACATTTCCTTTTTTATGAAGCTCCAGAACATGCAGAGCTAATCTATGGGAACATAGTTCAGCATGGTGGTCTTTCTAGGTATGCGAAAGAGAATATATGCCAATAAACATGAAAGACTTTCTAGGTTGAAGGCAGTGCTATATGTCTTTACTGGATGTTGTTTCCACAGGTACATACATTTTTAAAAAATATCACAGTATGCACTTAAGATCTGCACATTTTACTATATGTAATTATACCTCAATAAAAATTTTTTAAAAACCCTAAGTATCACAACTGTTATGAATATTTTCTTGGTTTATTAAATGAGGCATTCAATCAAATATGCATTTTGATTGCATTATGAATATGAAACATGCTGATTACCAATTCATATTCATTTGGAAACCTACAGGCAGAAGGGAAAACTACTGTGTGTGACAGGAAGATGGACTTACCCAACCTTCAGCATTCTCAATCTCTTGTCTATTAACATGGTAATTGCCTTTAATGACTTTGTTCTCCTCGGTGTAATCAGACAGGAAACTTTAGAGGGAAAATGCATAAATTATTCTAACCCCTGCCAGGGAAAGAATCCAGACTTTAATCAACTTCTGTGCATTTTATTCTTCATATTAAAAAAGCTTTCTTTACATTTGGACTCAATCAACAAGCTCTCTTGTCTAGAACAATCCTTGTTTTGTGCTCCCGTCAGTAGGACTATGTCCCCAATGTAGAAGACAAATGGCCTTCTTGTTCAAAAAGGGTCATCTATAGTACTGAAAGTTATGCAAACTCATTTGGTTCTCTCTGCCCTTTTCAAATAGCATCTCATAACAGTATCAACACTATTGATGGTGCTAATTTTATATAATTCTTTTCAGTGTTTGAAACATTATGCATTCAAAGCAAACATCTGGGAGGAAGATGGGAGAAGCCTTCTTGCCCCTGTTCTACAGAAGTAATTGAAGTTCATGACATTCAAGCTCATTCACCAGTAAATGAATTTGGGTCATGCTTTATGTCTGTTGTAAATACAGTGAAAATTTGCCTCTGTTCCTGAAGCATTTCTAAATTGAACTTCCCTCACTTTTTGAAAAACCTATACAACCCACACTCTCAGTATTTGAGACACCAAGGAGTTGCTGCATTTAAGTTCTCTATCTAACACAGTAATCCTGGCCAGGAATTGGATGGGAGACTTTCAGGTGGAATCCACCATGGAGCCAAGGAGGATAGAGAACAATGCATGATTTTTGACAGGTCTTGTTTGCAGTCTGGCCCACAAGCTGTGTCACAGTGAAGTAGGTGGTAAAACAAATGAACACCCTTCCTTTTCATTCTGAAACAGGCTGCCTCTTCTATTGATTTGCATTTCAGCACTTATTGGGTTAAGGAAACACTAAACATAAATATTCTATTTGATTCTACACCACATTATTCTAAATGTCGATTGTCGAAGAAACATCCTATACAGGGTATGTTTCCTGTCCAAGTATTTCCAGGGGAACTCAGTGTACACCTATGTTACAGGGAAAAAAATAACTAAGATAGCACACTGTGTGGTGTAAAGAACTGTCACCAGTGTAGAAAACAAGTTTCAGCCTTGGAAAGTTTGGGGTCAGGAATGAGTCCAGGTATAAAGCCTAACACAAGGACAGCCTTAGATCAATAACCTAGACAAATAATGTCTTTAAACATCAGCTTCCTCATCTGCAAAATGAAGATAATGATATAGTCCTATGTATAACCCAGGGGGGGACCATCTACTGAATTGGAGAATAAACAGAAAGCATTTTTTGAAGCTTAGAGTTACGTGCAGCAAAAATTGTGGTTTCCATGGCTTTTTGCTGTTGTTTCTCAGCCTTTCTGAAGTGCTGATGGGTCTGGACTTCTTCTGGACTCATCTCTTGGGTTATATTCATCCTTTTAAATACCACAGGCTTCTTCTAATAAACATTTGGTTAGAGGGCCATTGCTGACTTTTTGGGGGTTTTTTAGGTGCCTTTATTTTACACCATCTTTTTGAATGGTCAATTTGTATACATGAATGCCCACCCTGACAGCAATGGTGTGTATATAAGTAGAAAAGAGAAAATAGGAACTGTTTCTTTCCCACAGAGGAGTCTTAGTTGCGAGTAAAATGAGAAGAGGAGATGTTTTGGCCCGTAGAACTGGAGCATCTAAGTCTGCCAAGACATGACTCAAGGGCACAGATGACATCTTCGGGATCATCTCAGTCTCGTTTTTTTCTCTTCTCAGCTCTGCTTTCTTTGGTGTTGGCTTCATTTTCAGAAGGACTTAGGTTCTCCCCTAGAGGTCTCCGGATGGCTACTCCTCCCCAGCTCCAGGCTTACAATCTAGCTTAGCATAATAGCTATCCAACTACAGAGAGAATTCCTCTTCCCCAGTGGCACAAGCAAATGTGTGGCAATTAAGTCTCACTGACTGGAATGGTTGGCTGGCTTGGGCCCCTCACCATACCCATAGCAAACACAGTGACCAGAAACAAGTCAGGGCACCACTGTCTCAGGTCTGGGTCACATGGGACTTACGATCAAAAGACAATCCCATCTAGACATTTCCCAACATTTTCCTTTCTTCAGTGATTCAGTGAAAAGTGTATGTGTTTCTTTGATGAAGGTAGTCGGGCAGCAATTCATTTTTCAGACCCTCGCATGTTCTGGTTTTGGTTGATGTATTAGCATCCTATGGCTGCTGTAACAAATTACCACAAACTCAGGAACTTAAAACAACACACCTTGCTTAGTTCACAGCTCTGGAGGTTGGAAGTCTGACGCTAACGTCAAGGTGTCAGACGGGCTTGCCCTCCTGGAGGCTCTAGGGGAGAATCGATTCCCTTTTCCAGCTTCTGGAACAGGAATCCCCCTGCATTCCTTGGCTCAGAGGCTGCTCCTCCACCTTCAAAGCCAGCGCTCTTACTGTGACAATCTTGCCTCCCTAACATCTTCCAACTTCTGTATCTTTCTTAGACTTTTGACCATGCATGCTTTACTCCCTTTCTCAATTCCAAACCAAGTCAGGTCTTTAATATCACCAGCATTTTCTATCAAATATACTCGAAAATAGAGAATTTATTAAATTTGTTTAGATTGTATTCTTTTAAGTTTTGGATGTATAATAATTTGATAAAATAGAGGCTGACCAACAAAATTGTGTGTTATAAAGTAATGTTATGCATTTTTTTCCCTCAAGTCCAGCTACTAACTCAAGTTTATAGAAAGAATTTAGTTTAATTATCAATTCCCAGGAAGAAATAAGAGTAGAAATGGAAGATGTATGAGCCACTCTACCAATGAATGTGGATTTGTTAATGCCTTCATTTTTAATAGGATTCTTTTGTTGCCCAAAAGAACATGTCTGTGGATTCTTGGGATTTCTTAGAAACAGATTTTGCCCATGACATTAAAATGGTAGAATGAAGTTTTATAATGTTTATTTTGTTTGCCAATAATTAATGTGTCATGTGGTGCTTCTTGCATGCTTTTTATTTTCTTTTTGTTCTTAGAAGTTTTCTAGGAATCCCTTTTAGGAAACTCTATAGATTTAATGTTTAGCCTTGAGTTATTACTTAGTACAATGTCTTTTCAAATAGTACAGATAAAATGACATGTTTAAATTATTTTTAAAAATCTACCTACCCTTATTGAGTTAAAAGATACACATTGTGCTTCCTCTTTGTTTTACAAAGGCCATCAAGTGCCTTAGAAAATGCCAGTACTGAAAGTTCTATGCACTCCAAGGTTGCAGAGAAAGGCAGAGAACCTGCAATATGCCTAGAGGATGTCCTGCATCCTCTACAGCCAGCGTTCCCTGCTTCCGTAGGAAAGCAGAATAGCACGTTGCTTACATCTTGCATGATATGGCAATTACCATGAGGCAGAAGAGCAGAACTGTCCCAAAGGTAACTTAATCAATGGATACTTTAGATGAGCTTCCAATCTTCCTATTGTAAAAAGCTTATTGAAAGGACAATACGAAAATTGCAAGACTTCCTATGTTGGTGTCTCTATACTTGTCAGAGTGTTTCAGTGGTTTCATTTTATTCAATTTATGTTCATTAACTAAAGCACACAGCATTTTTGTCACCAATATGGAAAATCTTTGGAGAGAAGTAAATGCATTAAACCCTTGCTACTTCTTTTATTATATATTCTTCTAAAACTGCTGAGCTAGTAGGATCTATACGCACAAAGCAGTGTGTTAAAAATGGCCTCAGTTAAAAGCAGGTAGAAGGCAACAGCAAGAATTATGTAGCATTCTACAGACAAATTGTGTGATTTGAAGAGGAAGTGTGAAAATTTGCTCTTTTTTTTTTTTTTTTTTTAGAGAAAATACCCAACAGATGCTTTGAGATTTTTAAAACCTTTTCAGTTGCACAGGAAGAGAGTTGCTGCAGAAAGGTTGAATTTATAGAGCAACATCCTAATGTGGACAACTTTGTGGTCAGACCCAGATTAGTGGTGCAGGGTACCAAGGTTTGTACTAAGGATGTAAAATGCTGATTTTATAGGCAGATGCATTGCAGGATGTAATAAAATGTGGGTATATACTTATTCTGATGAATGGTTCCAGAAGCAATACTTAAACTGGGTGTCTGAAGTATTGTTTAATCAAGGAAATATTGTAATAGAACAACAGTTGTACCCAGGGTCTTTAATTCTTCAAATATGGTGGCTATCCTACCTCCACCTGTGGTCCATTCCCGCTTGTACTGATGGCGGCTGATGTGTGACCTTGGCCCCCCCCGAGTCATCCAGCAGCAGCTAACAATTCTATCCCATTTCCCATTCTTTCCTCAGATACCCGAGTATGTCCTGTCAAAGAGCTGCCTTCTCTAGGGCAAAGAATTTAGGTCCTGAGCTCTCTCTGGGCTTCAGCATAGATGGCATGAAAGTGGGTAACTTCTTACTCTTGAGTATAATTCCTACATAAAGTAATGTGCTTGTATTTACAGCTGATATTTCCTCATAGTGCTGGAAAATTTGGTAAACTTTACAAGGATAGGCTGTATGCTATGCTAACAACATTTCAGTGTACAGTCATCCCCTGGTATCACAGGGATTGGCCCCAGGTCCCCTGCGGATATTAAAATCTGTAAATGCTCAAGTTCCTTATATAAAATGGCATAGTATTTTCACATAACCTACACACATCCTCCTGTATACTTTAAATAATTCTTAAATTATGTGTAATACTTAATACAGTATTAAAGTATTAATACTTAATAATTTCTCCTCCCTTCCTTCCATCCTTCCTTCCTTCTTCATTTCTTCTTTCTTTCTTTCTTTCCTTCTTTCTCTTTCCTTTTTTCTTTCTTTCTCTTTATTTTTTTCTCTTTCTTTCTTCTTTCTCTCTCTCTGTCTTCCTTTTTTTATCTTTCTTTCTTCTCTTTTCCTTTTCTTTCTCCATTTCTCCCTTATTTTCTTCTCTAGTTTTCCAGGAAGTAAGATCAACTATACATACCTTTAATCACAAATTAGAAACTGTGGAGTGATAATTATATAGTTGACTTCTTTTGATGGAGAACAAATATACTTCCCCAGAGTTCTGACTATCCTTCTCACACTGTTCCCGGGCAATTGAAATTGAGAAATGGGTCTTTATCAGTGACTCTTGACTCATGCTCAAGAGCTTTAGAATTTTAAATCTGTTGTAACCCCATCTTTATCTGAAGGTTTGGCTGGAAAGTGCACACACAGAGTGTATATAGAGAGTGTATAGAGTGTGTATTACCTACTGCCTTTATTCTGCTGCTTTTCTACTAAAGAAGTTTCCTGTTTGCTTTTGGTTCAAAACCAAAAGCCCCCATCTTAACATCCAAGTTATCATTAAACACACCTGACAACAATCCAATGTTCTCTTTTACTCCTCATCCCCTCCCCTCCACATTTAGTTCTAAATAAACAGCTTTTATTCTATTAGGCATCTTTCAAATCCCCAAGCTCCAGTCTTGTCCTATCTCCTACTTCTAAAATCCATTTTGGATGGCTCTAAACTCTTCTCCCCCTGTCAAATCAAATCCTGCAGGTCTTTTTAAGTCCAAGATGAACATTCTGGACATAGAAGTAAACTATTAAATTAACTCTGTTTTGGAAGCCTCTTTCCCTTGCTCTGAGGTCTTGCAGCATGGAAGTATCTCCTCTACACCACCTTTGCTTTTCTTCATTTTCATATTGGCCCCTTAATTGGTAATTAGCATTTTTGTTTGTGTATGTCATCTCTTCAGAAAAGGATAGTATCATTGACTTATTTGTAATCTCTTATAGCACATTGAATGATTCTCTGGTACACCAAGAGTTCATAACAGTCTTACTGAATTGACGTTTATTGTACAATGAAAAAATATTGTCTGGTGAATGACATTTTATTAAACTATTATGATTCCCCCAATGTAAGATTTTTCTACTGAATTTTTAGTGCTAATCTAAAAATGAGCAAAATAATGAAGATGATTTCTAAGAAGTGCAGTTTTGAGGAAACCATCTAGTATTAATACAGATATATTCCTCTCCCCTGTGCTACTTATACTCAGTGGAGAGAATCAAAGTCCAGAAGGTGATGCGAAATCCTTATCCAAATATGTTTACTCAGTAGCGTTGATAAAAAAGAAATTAATGCATTTAATAGAAATGTTTATGACTGAGACAAATGACTTTTCATTTTAAATCTCTGGTATCTTAATCATTATTTTTGTCCAAACATCTACATATTGATGGATAGTTTAAGTCAAAGAGATTTCACTGGATATAAAATTTTAAAACATCAAAATAACACTTAATTTATATTTTTAGATGTTAGCACAAGCAAATTCCCAGCTGCTTGAGAAAATCTTCAAGTAACTAATTTAAAAATAGTATCATAGAACCATGCTTTTTTTGCACTATTTGTGCACAAAGGCCAAAATTTTAATTTCCTATAGATCACAGACTGATACTTTTGTAAAATACAAAACTATGTTTATGGATGCCATAGCAATGTTAAATTACTATAAAACCTTCCATGTGGTTGCTGTCACTTTCTGCACTTATGTAATGGAGCAGCAACAAATGATTCATGGGAGCCAACAATCTGTAGACCACATTTTTAATAGCAGAGCCATGGATTTCACTATAACAAAAATATTACCTGAAGGAAAGAAAAACCAGATAAGTTTTTGTAAAATAAGGAAACCAAAAACTTTGAAGGAATTCTATCCAGACAAGCAGATTCTAAAGTTTATAGGCCGAGGCAAAAGACCCAGAATAGCCTACACTATATTGAAGAATAAGAACAGAGTTGGGAGGCCAGGTGCGGTGGCTCATGCCTATTATCCCAGCACTTTGGGAGGCTGAGGCAGGCAGATCATGAGGTTAGGAGATCGAGACCATCCTGACTAACATGGTGAAACCCCATCTGTACTAAAAATACAAAAATTTAGCCAGGTATGGTGATGCATACCTGTAGTCCCAGCTACTCAGGAGGCTAAGGCAGGAGAATCGCTTGAACCTGGGAGTCAGAGGCTGCAGTGAGCCAAGATCACACCACTCTACCCTGGCCTGGGTGACCGAGTGAGACTCTGTCTCAAAAAAGAGAAAAAAAAAAAAGAACAGAGTTGGAAGACTGACACTGCCTGACTTGAAGCTACAGTAACCAAGACATTGTGGTATTGGCAAAAGAACAGACAAATAGATCAATAGAATAGAACAGAGATCCCAGAAATAGACCCACATAAATTTGGTCAGCTGATCTGTGACAAAGAAGTAAAGGCAATAGAATGGAGAAAAGGTACTCTCTGTCAACCAATGGTGCTGGAACAACTGGTTATTCACATGCAAAAAATAAATCTAAACATAGACTTTCTGGTCTTCACAAAAATTAACTCAAAATGGATCACAGATCTAGATGTGAAATGTGAAACTATAAAAATCCTGGAAAATAACATAATGGAAAATCCAGATAACCAATGCTTCAGTAATCACTTTCTATACACAACACCAAAGGCATGGTCCATTAAAGACAGAATTGATAAATCGGACTTTATTAAAATTAAAATAGTCTGCTTTGTGAATGACACTATCAAGAGAATGACAAGACAAGCTAGAGACTGAGAAAAAATATTTGCAAAGACATATCTGATAAAAGACTATTAACCAAAATATATAAAGAACTCTTAAAACTTAACTATAAAAAACAAAAAGTTTGATTTTAAAAAGGGCCAATGATCTTAACAGACACCTAATGTAAGAAGATATACAGGTGGCAAATAAGCTTATTAAAAGATGTTCCACATCCCATGTCATCAGGGAAATGCAAGTTAATACAACAGTGAGATACCACTACATACCTATTAGCATGGCCAAAATCCAGAACACTGACAACACCAAATGCTGACAAGGATGTGAGCAGCAGAAACTCTCAGACACTGCTGGAGAAATGCAAAATGGTACAGCCCATTCGGAAGACAGTTTGGGTGTTTCCTACACAGCTAAATATACTCTTACCATATGATCTAGCAATCATGCTCCTTGGTATTTACCCAAAGGAGCTGTGTTGGTAGAAGAGCTGAGGCAGGACTTGCTAGTCTTGACATAATATAAAAAGTCCTGGAACATGTCCTGGGTCCAGGGTCTAAAACCCCTCGTGGCCTATGGAACACCAAGCTCTGTGCTTAAGGGTGGAAGGCTGCCCTGCCGCACTACAATTTAAGCCCAGAGCATTAAACCCCTTGTGGCTTGGATGGAATCCAGGGCTCAGGGCATAAAACCCCTCGTGGCCTCTGGAATGTGTTCAGACTTGCTGGCTCCTTACTTCTTGCTCTCCCAGGATCATAAATCAATTGTATCTTGAGTTAGAAGGACATGTTCCCCATTATCTCGAGTAGCCAAACATGTTCCATAGGCTTCAAAGAAAATGCTAAACTGACACAACTATAGATCAAATGCTTGATGCACCACTTCCTTTTGACCCCCATGTCCTCACTGCCTGCTTCTTTGTTTGATCACCAATAAATAGTGTGGTCTCCCAGAGCTTGGGAGCTTTGCAGCCTCCACACTAGCATTGGCCCCCTGGACCCACTTTCACTCTTAACTTGTCTTGTCTCATTCCTTTGACTCCAATGGACTTCGTAGCCCCCATGGCCTGGTGTTGTGTCTGATCATCCCAACAAGCTGAAACCTTCTGCTCACACAAAAACATGTACATAGATGTTTACAACAGCCTTATTCATAATCGACAAACTTGGAAGCAACCAAAATGTCCTGCAGTAGGTGACTGGGTAAATAAACTGTGGTACATCCAGACAATGAAATATTATTCAACACAAAAAAAGAAATGAGCTATCAAGCTAAGCTATAAAAGACATGGAGGAAACTTAAATGCATGTTACTTAGTGAAAAAATCCAATGTGAAAAGGCTGGTTACTGTACAATTCCAAATATGTGACATTCTGAAAAATGCAACTATGGAGACCGTGAAAAGGTTAGTGGTTGCCAGGGGTTGGGGGAAGTGGGGGATGACTAGACAGAGCACAAAGCATTTTTAGGCCAAACACTGATACTTCTGTAAAATACAAAACCATGCTCATGAACACCACAGCAATGTGAAATTACACTGTATGACACTCCAATGGTGAATACAGGTCATTATAAATTTTTCCAAATCTGGAGGATGTACAACACCAAAATTGAACTGTAATGTAAACTATAATCTTTTAATGATGTGTTGATATAGGTTCACCAGTTTTAACAAGCATACACCCTGGTGGGGGATTTTTATGATGAGGCAGGCTGTGCAGGTGTGGGGGCAGAGTGGGTACATGGGAAATCTCTGTACCTTTTGATCAGTTTTGCAGGAAACCGAAAGATGTGCTAAGAAACAAGGTCTATTAAGAATTACATCCAGTAAAAAAAAAATAACGTTTTAGTAAAGATGTATTTGCAGATAAAGTTGGGATAGTTGTAACTCTGTAAGAGACATAGTTATTCGGCGTTAATCAAGGCAAAATGTTCTAGGCAGCAGGTTCCATTCAGTCTGAACAAAGTTTACCAATGCAAAAGGAAATGGACCAAGAAGTCTACAGCAGACTGCCAACCTTTCTTATGAGAAGCTGTTTTGCAGGAGAACAGATAAATAAACAAGATGAAGCTGATGAGTCAACAAGAGGTAGAAATCAGGTGTACAAGTGGATTAATTCTAAATATCCTGTAATGGTTACCAGATAGTTTAGGCTCTGATTCTCTACAGCCTTTTATTTTCTCCTCCACTACAGAGTATACTCTGTGTGGCAGTGACCAAGAGGCATGAGATGAGATGACAATTACGACATGGTCAGCTGATTTCAGGGCAGGTCTCCCAAGGTACCCAGCCTTGGAGGGAGGCCAGAGCCCAGGGTCTTATCCTCAGCTCTGTAGGTGCAGAAATTGATTTCTGTGCATGTAGTTAGTGTTGAAGGGCATCCATTCACAGCAACAACTACACAACATTCACAAGGGTCTGACGTGTAGACAATAAAGCCAAGTTATTAACTGAAAATGGGAACTAAACTGGCCAATAAATGACCATGTTTGTTAGCGGGAGTTGCGGGTAGACACATTTTCTCCATGACGTAGGTGCTAAAGGAAAATCAATAGAAATGGTAAAATTATTTCATGTGCATAATATGAGAAAATTAGGAAATAAAATGTTATTCGAATGACCAGTGTGATCAACCTAAAAATTTAATGCATTAATGCATTAATATTTCCCTTTCTCTCTCTGTCTCTCTGTCTCTTTCTCTCTCTCCTCATAATATAAGGTATATGTATATACATAATTTTTGTTCATCAGGTTGCTTGCTCCATTGGAAATACCAGGGATATGATAAGCTTCAAATCCTCACTTTTTGGAATCCCACACAAATAATTCAATTTTAGCATTTATTAATGACATTTTGTTGGTTATATTTGTCTTTCATATTTAGTCCAAAATGTACTAAGAATTCTACTTTGACTTGAAAAATATTCCCTCATTTAGGAGAACTGTGCTGAGAACTAACCTCTACATGGATTTCGCTAATTCAGCTCTCAAGGGACAATTTTTTTTGTAGTCTTAACAAGTATTGGCATCATGAACCAATGACTTTTTTCTTAAGTAAATGTGTGTGTGTGTGTCTATGCCCTTATATCTTATAATCACACATATTCATATAATTTTCAGCACAAAATATGAATCTGATTTACCACTGCTCATAATCAATTTGTTATCAGGTTTTAAATTTCAATTTGATTTTGAAAAAAGAAAGGGAAATTCCATTCCTTGGACATAAAATATGATTAATAAGTGCTCAGCTTAAGTTTCACTTAAGTTTAAAAATGTACAACTTGAATTAAGAAAACTCTTATTCCCCAACTACTAGCTATTATTATTATGACAGTAAAAAATAAGGAAATAGTGACAGAGCAATTATAAAATTAATGTTAGGTACAAGTAGAGTGAATTACAACTTAAATTTTGTTACTGTAAGTATAATGTAGGAAATTTTTTTTTTTTCCAAGACAGCATCTCACTTTGTTTCCCAGGCTGGAGTGCAGTGGCATGATCACAGACCACTGCAGCCTTGACCTCCCAGGCACAAGCTGTCCTTCTGCCTCAGCCTCTCAAGTAACTGCGACTACTGGAGCACACCACCACACCCAGCTAATTTTTTATTTTTATTTTTAGAGATGGCATCTGACTATGTTGTCCAGGCTGATCTTGAACTCCTGGGCTTAAGCAATCTGCCTGCCTCAGCCTCCCAAAGTTATGGGATTGCAGGAGTGAGCTACTGCACCTGGCCTGGAAAATTTATTTCTAAATAAGAAAATCATAAACCTTTAATTGGCAACTCATGATGTGATGAGGTTTTACTCTAATTAACTTACACGAGAGTTTTATATTTTTAGTTATATAGATATACATATATATGTGTGTGTGATGTATGTGCGTATGTGTGTGTGTATATCATACACACCTGAATATATATGTGTGTATTTATATGTATGTATATATGTAAAGGGTTAGGTGTGTGTGTCTTTGAAGTGGCATTCTTGTCTGAGGTAAATACCTGGGGTTCAGCGTCTTGTGCCGAGATTAGTGACACAGACACACACATGGAGTGAGTTAAGGAGCAGAAGGTTTAATAGGCAGAAGAAAGAAGAGAGGAGAGCAGCTCTCTGTCTATCTTGTTAGGAGGGGCGTCTGAAAAGGAAAAAGTGGTGGACCACAGCAGAATTTATAGGCAGGCTTGAGGGGGCGGTGTCTGATTTACGTAGGGCCCCCATATTGGTTCCACCAGGTGTGACATTGACATGGTGCTCAGGGAAGGCTTGTCGCCCCAGCCTAATCTTATTATGCAAATGGGCTTTCTGCTTGGCCAGTGCCATCTTCCCTGCTCCTTGCTGTACATGTGGCTGGCAAAAAGAGAAAATGGAGCCACCATTTTGAACATGCCTAGCCGCAGGTAGTATATTCCTATTGGCACAACTGCCAACATTCTTCTGTGCAAGCTTCCAGCTTGCTTGTCTATGTCTGCAGCTCAATTTTACAGGCTGCTCTTTGTTAGAAAAGAAAATGACTTGGGGGCTGCTTTTTATTGAAAGGAAAACCTTACTGAGGACTCTGTACCCTCATTATCTGCCTAAGTACTTTCTTCTTAGCTCCTGTATCATCTTCATTTCCAAACACACGTAGAAGTTAGCATACATATGAGAAAATAAAAGTGCAGAGCATGCTTATTCAAGGGACACAAACAAAAAAACTGAATGGGCTTTTCATGTCTCAGAACAATTCTTAAAGCTCTGCTTTCATAGACTGAAGAAACAGAATACAGACCCCAGAAATAGACACATACAGACATGCTCAACTGGCTTTTGACAAAGGTGTGAAAACAATTGAGAGAAGGAGGGAGGAGGGAGAGCCTTTTCAGAAAACGGTGCTTGAGAAACTGGGCATCCATAGGCAACAACAGGAACTGCAATGAAACCTCATATCTCATACAAGAATTGAGTCAAGATAAGTCATGAATTTATATGTAGACCTTAAAATGATAAAACTTTTAGGGAAAAAAACCAAAACAAACAAACAAACAAACAAAACATAGGAGACTTTGCGATCTAGGCAAGGAGTACTTAGACTTGTTGCCAAAGTATAATCCATGAAAAAAATGGTAAATGAGGCCTCGTGAAATGTCAAAACTTTTTGTCTGAAAGGGACCATGTGAAGAGGATGAAAAGACAGGTGGCAGACTGGGAGAAAATCTTTGCAAACCACACGTCCAACAAAAGACTAATATTTAGCATATAAAAAGAACTTTCCAACTCAACAGTAAAAAACTGAACAATCCAAATGGAAAATGGGCAAGATACCTACAGACCTTCTGCCAAGAATAAATACAGATGGCAAATAACCACATGAAAAGATGCTCATCATCATTAGCCATCAGGGAAATGCAAATTAAAACCATCATCCGTTATCACTACACACCTACTAGGATGGTTAAAATAAAAAATAGCGACAACACTAAATGCTGGCAAGGATGCAGAGAAACCAGATCACTCACACATTGTTGGTGGGGATGTGAAATGGTACAATCTGGAAAGCAATTTGACAGTTTCTTATAAAACCCAGCATGAAAATACAAAATAACCCAGTAATGGCACCCATAGGCATTTGTCCCAGAGAAATGAAGACTTATGTTCACACCAAAAACTATACACAAATGTTCATCACAGCTTTATTTATAATAGCCCCAAACTGGAAGCAGCACAGATGTTCTTCAAAGGTAAATGTTAAACAAACCATGATATATCCAGATCACAGACCATGAAGCAGTAAAAGGAACAAACTATTGATACACCTGACAACTTGAATGAATCTCTAAGGAAACACATTGAGTGAAAAAAGCGAATCCCCAAAAGTTTACATACTGTATGATTCCACTTGCATAATGTTTTTGAAATAACAAAATGTTAGAAACGCAGAGGAATAGATTAGTAGTTGCCAGGACTTAGGCCCTGGGAGGTGAGGAGTGGGGCCAACGGAAGGTGGGTGTGGTTTTAAAAGAAGGAAAAGCCATACAGAATTGTTCTGTATGTAGATATCTAGATTGTAGCGGTGCATGCAGGAAGCAGGACCTACATGCATAATAAAATTATGCAGAACGAAACACACACACACACGCCATACAAATGAATACAAGCAAACCAGGAAATCGGGGTCAGGTTGGAGGATTGTATTAATGTCTATACCCTGGTTGTGATAATTGCACTATAATTTTCCAAGGTGTTACCATTGAGGGAAAATGAGTAAAGGGTAGAGAGGATCTCTGTATATTATTACTTACAAATGCATGTGAATGTTCAATTATCTCAATAAATAGTTCAACTAAAAAAACACCATTCTTTCATTGATTTCTTCACTAGATGCCATTTTGGGGCTGCCTTTCAATGGAATAGAAACGGAATGGTTGCCGTTTGTCAAGGCAGAGCTCTGATCATTTTCATCAGGGTGTGGAGCACACATGGACGGTAGCCTGCCTGTTTAGCAAAGCACAGCCTTGACAGCGTTATTTTCTCACAGCCAACCGTCCATGAAGAATTCCCAAATGGTTCTACCATTTTCTTTTGCTGCTAGATTCTTAAAATAGATACCAGGAAGAACCTACTCTGCTGTCTTGCCCGAAGACTGGCCTAAATCTCTGAATATTTTACCACACCCATACTTTTGCTTGTATTATCTGGTGAAGCAGTCTCATTATCAATACTGAGTTTGTTTTAAAAGTTATATGGAAGTTTGTGTGTATTTTGTGTATTTTCCAGAGCCCCCAGTGAGTGCCTGAGCCCATTAATTTCAGTCAGAATCAGAATGCAATTTTACACTTTTAAAACTATAACAAGTTCAAGGGCATTCCCAATACTTTTGTGATAATAATAATTTTAAAAATTATTGACTTTGATCCTATAAATATAGGCTCTGAATCTTATAGAAAAAAAATTTCATGCAGCAATAAATACAACTGCAGCATAAGCCTGCTGTGAATAATGCAATTACTATATTTAGTTACACACATTTCTTCCAGTCCAGAACTCCCAACACTCCCTTCTTCTCTCCTGTCTCATGAAGAACAATACAAAATTATATTCCCCTGAGTGATTTCTCTTTCTTCCCATTTTGAGGCAGCAACATGGCTGCCCACAGAGGTTCCCCCAGGGCTTAAGGACATCAATTAATTCAGTAGCTAGGTAGAGAGTTTCCTTTTAGAGGGACTGTTACATAACGTTGAATGAAAGGAGAATGAAAGGAGATGCAGACAGCTCCTGACTGCTGCTCTCAAGCTCAAGTGGGAGAATTAAGACAGCCTCATTCACTGCTCAGCACTTCCTTTGCTCTGATGATCATCAGAAATCATCTCAGTCTTCCTTGCGCTGCTCCTTCTTTTCCTGAAGTTCCGATGCTCCAGCTTCAATCCTCAAACTTGGAAAAAAAAAAAAAAAAGGAAATATCTGTAGTCCTTGCAACTGCTTTTTGAAGTTGTGCTCGGGCCCCTGTTGTTTCTCTACTGAAGCTTGCAGTGTGCTTTCATCGGAGCTGGCCCCTGCCCCAGCCAGCACCAGCCCTCAAAGACTTTTTTATTCTAACATAGCCCGAGTATGTTAGGAAACTAGAGCTGCATAACCACTGCCTCTTAACTCTGCTAGCCCTGGCATCTTATCTGTATGATTTCTGCAGTGATGGGAGGGAAGCTAGTAGCTCTCTAGTTCATTAAACGGAACGTCTGTCTAGGAAGATACCAGGAAGATATTTTATAAATGAATGTCGATATTTTTCCTTCCAATGTAATTAGATATTCTGTTTCAATCTAAGGCTCTTCTTACAGGCAAAAGGAATAATGAAGCTTTCAACCATGATACAACTGAGAAGATTTCAGCATCCACATAGAAAGAAAAGCAGGGCAATGCACCCTCCAAGCTTAGGAAGGAGGCAGCCAGAGAACTCCTGGCTCCTTTGTGGGGTGAGAGAGCTGCCCTAAGGAACTCCAGGCCCAAAAGAGAGAGCAAGTGGGATTAGCTGCTTATTGTGTAAACTTAGAAAGGGAAAACAGAATTAAAGTAGGGGTAAACGGGAAAAATAGATGAGTAAATTTTCCTATTGCTTTAGAAAAAAAAAATCTAAATTCATATGTAATTTTGTATCTACTTGTTTCCCATCTCTACAGGCTTCACTGAGAAGATGAACCTGCCGATGAGGTGTGCAGAGAACTTTGGCTGCACAAGTTAAGAGGAAGAGGCTGAGTCTCAGCTCAGAGAGTGCTGGTAATGCCAAGCACAGCAGAGCTGCCAGAGGGATCTACTTGGAATCTGGGGAGGCCCTGGGGAGACTAACTGGTACAATTTAAAGAGATGCAAAGCAAATGATATGCGGGGCAATCATGTGAAAAGCCTGCTGCCTTACAGGATGGACTCCAGCTGCTCAGTGGGACGGGCTGTTGGGGGCTGGGTTTTGGTAGGGCAAGAGGGCCCCGGATGGAGTGATGGACACTCTAACTCACTACTCCGCCGTCCAATACAGTCCAGATTGTTCAACAACTCTGAGAATAAATGGTCTTTTTTAAAAAATTGGTGTCAAACCTACTGTACTGGGTTGATGTGAAATTGAAATTGAAATAAGTTGTATATAAAATGTCTGGCACATAGTAGTGATCAATAAATATTAATCCCTTCCCCAGACCAATGCTGTATTTCCATTTCTGGGGCACATGCCACATTGTCTAAATCAATGTTTTATTCACTCATACATCAAAGATAATGGAAACACTTATATTTTAGAAAGAACTTACTGTACATTTTATATTCTTTTTGGTAAATTGAATAAACACTCTTCAGAGATATATAAACCTAGATTTCCTGATAGACTTTGCATTAGAACATTGGTGGAAGAGAATGCACCAGAAAATCTCCTCTTTAGGTGCCCACTTCTGAGCTTTAGTCCTCCAACCCCAGAGGCCTAGTTACTCAGCCCAGAGTTCAGTGGGGCCGTGGGAGAAGTGGATGAGCTAGTTCCCTAAAGCACAGGCATGGGGGAGGCATGTCTCTGTCATACTCAATCATCCTAGCACGGGTGTGAGGGACATGTGAAAACGGGAATATAGATGACGCGAAGGTGCAACTGGGCTCCGTTTGGAGTCTTACCCAGTTCATAACTCAATTATCTCTAAGGAATATGCAGAAAAATGTGTTTATTTATTTATTTTATTTTTATTTATTTATTTTTTGAGACAGAGTCTTGCTCTGTCACCCAGGCTGAAGAGCAGTGGCACGACATCAGCTCACTGCAACCTCCACCTCTTGGGTTCAAGCAATTCTCCTGCCTCAGCCTCCAGAGTAGCTAGGATTACAGGCGCCCGCAACAACACCTGGCTAATTTTTTTGTATTTTTAGTAGAGACGGGGTTTCATTATGTTGGCCAGGCTGGTCTTAAACTCCTGACCTCAAGTGATCTGCCTGCCTTGGCCTCCCAAAGTACTGGGATTACAGGCGTGAGCCACTGTGCCTGACCAGAAAAAAAAAAAAGTGTTTAGAAGAATAGATATTTGAAAAAACAAAACTAGTAATTTGCGAAACATCTAAATAATAATAATAATGTCAACCCTGTTTTGACTGCTCGTTACATGCCAGACACTGTTCTAAGCATTTTATATGTATTCACTCACACAATCAGCCCAACAATCCAATGAAACAGGTACTATCATCATCCCCATTATAGGGATTAGCAAAGTAAGGCACATGGGACATTCAGTGAATTGTTCAAGATCTGAAGCCAAGTGGCACAGCAAGTATTTGAATCCATGGTACACCAGGTTCTGAGCCTGGGCTCCTGACTGTTAATTTGTTTCATTGATTAACATCCTAGGGATTGTTTGTACAATTTTTTGCCCGAAGAAAAGCCCTTCACTAATTCCCAAGTTTAAGTTCATAGATTTGTTTAATCATTACTGGTGCAGGGTATTGGGTAACTGGAGTAGTTTCAGCAAAAAGCAATTATGACTTCATTTGAAATCCAAGTAGATTAGGCATGGTTGATTTTATTTTCAATGGAAAAACCTTTCAGTTGGGTTTATTGGTCATTGTTTTTCAGTGATTTGTTTGCCATTGACATTAGTCGTGTTGTGTAACAAAGAAGTGTCCATTAACTTTGATTAATTGTCTCTTACGCCGAAAGTCCTAACCACGCAGTGCTCCACTGATACCACTTGAAGGGCAGAAGCGGAGGGGTGGGCTTTGGGATTGAGAAGAGCCTTTGGATGCTCACTTAACTGTAATTTCAGAAGCACAGACAAGCAACAAGATGACAACTATAATAAAAACAAAATAATACAAATAATATCAGTGGCAGCCTTTACCCAGCAGTGGCTGTGCCCAGCCTGTTGCGTGTCCTGAGATGTGGGAACTCATCTAAGCCTCACCCTAGGAGGAAGGTCCAATTCATCCTCCCATCTTACAGAACTCTAAAAGTTATCCCAACTTTACTCAAAGCAAAATCCTCATGGCCATATGGCTTTGATACAGTCCTGGACACCACCATTTCTGGTGGCAAATTCACAGCAAAGTAATGTCCCTGAACTTCAGCTTCCCATACCCTCCTCAATTCTGCAAATGGCAATACCCAGAGCTGCTGATGTGTTTCATGAAAGAACTCTAGGGAAGTAGGGAAGTGCTCAAAGGATTTCTGCCACAAGATGGTCAATAAATGGAAGGCATTATTATTGCTATCTGGAATACCCTAAAAAATGATCAAGCTGAGTCCGGGCGCGGTGGCTCATGCCTGTAATCCCAGCACTTTGGGAGGCCGAGGCGGGCGGATCACGAGGTCAGGAGATGGAGACCATTCTGGCTAACACGGTGAAACCCCGTCTCTACTAAAAATACAAAAAATTAGCCGGGCCTGGTGATGAGCACCTCTCGTCCCAGCTACTTGGGAGGCTGAGGCAAGAGAGGGGCATGAACCCAGGAGGCAGAGCTTGCAGTGAGCCAAGACTGCCCCACTGCACTCCAGCCTGGGCAACAGAGCAAGTCTCCGTCTCAAAAAAAAAAAAAAAAAATGATCAAGCTAAGATTGTTATTTAAAGTTTACCTAAAACCCAATTTTTCCTCTGAGCAGCTTCTGATAATGGTGCCAGGAAGGGGCTCTTGGTGTTAATCCCCTGGGACTGCTGTGACAACGGGTCACAGTCTGGGTGGCTCATCACAACAGAAATTCATTCCCTCCCAGTCTGGAGGTGAAAAGTCAGAAATCAAGGCATCAGCAAGGCATGCTCTCCACCGAGGCTCTAGGGGAGAGTCTGCTCCAGGCCTTTCTCTCAGCCTCCAATGCCGTTGGCTGACCTGGGCATTCCTTGGCTTGTGGATGCATCACTCCCATCTCTGCCTTTGCCATCAGGTGGTGTTCTCCCCACGTGTCTGTGTCTCTTTCCTTTCTCTGGTAAGGACACCAGTCATATTGGATTAGGGATACTCCAATGACCTTATTTTAACCTGATTATATCTGCAAAGACCCTATTTCCAAAAAGGCCACCTTCACAAGTACCAGGGGTTAGGACTTCGGCATACCTTTGTAAGGGACACACTTCAATCCTTAACAGGTGCCCTGCAGATTGGTTAAGAGACCTGTCCCTGAGGAGGCAGGGGATATGGTTCTAGAAACTAAGCTCTCCTGTTAGCTCTGGGTGTGCCAGTTTTTGCTTAGTATATTAGTCTGTTTTCATGCTGCTGATAAAGACATACATACCAGAGACTAGGAAGAAAAAGAGGTTAATTAGACTTACAGTTCCACATGGCTGGGGAGGCCTCAGAATCATGGCAGGAGGTCTCAGAATCATGGCAGGAGGTGAAAGGCACTTCTTACATGGCAGAGGCAAGAGAAAATGAGAAAGATGCAAAAGCAGAAACTCCTGACAAAACCCTCAGATCTTGTGACACTTATTCACTATCATGAGAACAGTATGGGGAAAACCGTCCCCATGATTCAAATTATCTCCCACCAGGTCCCTCCCACAACACATAGGAATTATGGGAGTACAATTCAAGATGAGATTTGGGTGGGGATACAGAGCCAAACCATATAATTCCGCCCCTGGGCCCGCCAAATCTCATGTCCTCACATTTCAAAACCAGTCATGCCTTCCCAACAGTCCCCCGAAGTCTTAACTCATTTCAGCATTAACCCAAAAGTCTACAGTCCAAAGTCTCATCTGAGACAAGGCAAGTCCCTGTAAGATCAAAAGCCAGCTAGTTACTTCCTAGATACAATGGGGGTATAGGTATTGGGTACATACAGCCATTCCTAGTGGGAGAAATGGACCAAAACAAAGGGTTACAGGGCCCATGTAAGTCTGAAATCCAGTAGGGCAGTCAAATTTTAAAGGTCCAAAGTGATCTCCTTTGACTCCAGGTCTCACATCCAGGTCACGCTGATCCAAGAAGTGGGTTCCCATGGTCTTGGGCAGCTCCGCCACTCTGGCTTTGCAGGATACAGACTCCCTCCTGGCTGCTTTCACGGGCTGGTGTTGAGTGACTGTGGCTTTTCCAGGTGCACAGTATAAGCTGTAGGTGGATCTAGCATTCTGGGATATGGAGGACTGTGGCCCTCTTCTCACAGCTCCACTAGTCGGTGCCCCAGTAGGGACTCTGTGTGGGGGCTCCAGCTGTGCATGTCCCTTCTGCACTGCCCGAGCAGAGGTTTCCCATGAGAGCCCCCCCACCACAGCAAACGGCTGCCTGGGCATTCAGGCGTTTCCATACGTCTTCTGAAATCTAGGCAGAGGTTCCCAAACCCCAATTCTTGACTTCTGTGCACCCACAGCCTCCATACCATGTGGAAGCTGCCAAACCTTGGGGCTTCCACCCTCTGAAGCCACAGCCTGAGTTCTATGTTTATCCCTTTCAGCCACGCCTGGAGCAGCTGAGATGCAGAGCACCAAGCCTCTACACTGCACACAGCACAGGGACCCTAGGCCTTGCCCATGAAACCATGTTTTCCTTCTAGACCTCCGGGTCTGTGACAGGAGAGGCTGCTGCAAAGGTCTCTGACGTGCCCTGGAGACATTTTCCACCTTGTCTTGGGGATTAACTTTCAGCTTCTCATTACTCATGCAAATATCTGCAGCTGGCTTGAATTTCTCCTCAGAAAATGGGATTTTGTTTTCTATCGCATTGTCAGGCTGCAAATTTTTTGAACTTTTATGCTCTGTTTCCCTTTCAAAAGTAAACACCTTTAACAGCACCCAAGTCACCTCTTGAATGCTTTGCTGCTTAAAAATTTCTTCTGCCACATACACTGATTGATCTCTCTCAAGTTGAAAGTTCCACACATCTCTAGGGCAGGGGCAAAATGTCACCAGCCTCTTTTCTAAAACATAACTAGAGTCACCTTTGCTCCAGTTCCCAACAAGTTCCTCAGCTCCATCTGAGACCACCTCAGCCTGGACTTCGTTGTCCATATTATTATTAGCACTTTTGTCAAAGCCATTCAACAAGTCTCTAGGAAGTTCCAAACTTTCCCACATTTTCCTTTTTCTGAGCCCTCCAAACTGTTCCAACCTCTGCCTGTTAACCAGTTCCAAAGTTGCTTCCACATTTTCGGGTATCTTTTTAGCAACGCCTCACTCCTGGTACCAACTTACTGTATTAGTCCATTTTCACACTGCCTATAAAGACATACCAGCGATTGGAAAGAAAAAGAGGTTTAATTGGACTTACAGTTCCACATGACTGGGGACGCCTCAGAATCATGGTGGGAGGTGAAAGGCACTTCTTACATGGTGGCGACGAAAGAAAATGAGGAAGATGCAAAAGCAGAAATCCCTGATAAACCCATCAGATCTCATGAGACTTATTCACTGCCATGAGGACAGTATGGGGGAAACCTCCCATGATTCAAATTATCTCCCATCAGGCCCCTCCTACAACATGTAGGAATTATGAGAGTACAGTTCAAGATGATATTTGGGTGGGGACACAGAGCCAAACCATATCACTTAGTTTATGTTTTTCTGACTCTATTCTTTATCAAGAACTGCAAGATAATAACCCAATTTTTAGAAATTTCAAGATTACATTGGAAAAAGAAAACATTTTTCAGTTATTAACATTAAAAAACACTCAAGTCTGAAGACAGAGCCATTTAAGCCAACAACAATAGAAAATGTTCAATGAATTCTGCCCCAATATACCTTCAGATTTTGAAGTGTTTCTAGTTTCTCTTTGCCTGTGCTTAACTGTGGTGTTTAGAACACCTGGATGCAATTAGCACCAATATAAATCCACACATGCTGAGGAGGGAAAAACTAAGGCACTAAACAACTGTATAATTAGTCCACAGTAATTACTTTAAAAAAATTCAATGATGAGAGTCTTTCTTCCCCTACACTTCTCTGTTGAAGATATTGTGGAGCATTGTTAGTGATATCTGAGAGGGAAGGAATTGAGCCAAGTTCTGCCTACTGAGAAATGGTCAGCCCAACCTCCCAGCAGAGCTGTATCTTCATGGCCATTCTGTTTTGAGCAGGCATCTGTCTCCTCCATTGTCAGACCAAAGGAAGGGTGAGGCCACAGAGCTCATTGCTGCCAGCAGGGACGGATACTGTCTCCCAGAAAGCACAGATGCATTAGAGATGATCCAAAACATGAAATTTATAATAGGGAAGTTGAACCCACCACACAGCTGAAAGGTCTGAAACCTGGGTTTCCTCATGAGTGGAAACCTCATTCTCCCTCAACATTTTTCTCCCCCAGCCCTAAGCACCCAGTAATTACTTTCTGTTTCTACAGAATTTCCTATTATGAAATGGCAATGGAATGGATAAAATGGTAAATGGAATGGATGATAAATGAATGATTATTTGAGGCCCCTTTTCCACCAGGGCAGTTCCTATATTTCATGTCATTGTCTGGCCCTCTCACTAGTGTTTTCCAAGTGAGAGCGGAAAATGGAAAGCATTACTTGTTTATCTCTTCACCAGTTTTATGTTGCACCTGATGAATTCTGTTTCAATCCATAAGTGTTTTACATGAGCTTCTCCCTAAGCCATGCTCTGTGCTGGTCCCAGAGACATTACAATGCAGGAAATGTTTTTTATTTAATTATTAAACTTTTTATTGTAAGATATCTAATTGATGAAAATTGTATATATTCAGGGTGTACAATGCGATGATTTGTATGCACTCTTCCTATGTGTGTGATGATGAGGACACATAAAATCTGCTCTCTTACCAAATTTCAAGTAAACAGTAAAGTGGTATTCACAGTAAATGAGATAAAGAAATGGTGTCCATCCACAGATAATGGATACTGAAAATACGGTAAATATATTATACACACACATATACACACACACATGCAAGGGAATATTATGCAGCCATGAAAAGGAAGGAAACTCTGCTATTTGGGACAATGAGGAGTTGGTGTCTGCCTAAAGGATGCCATGCACGTGACCAGGCACTCACTGTGGCAATGTGGGCCGATCATCAGCAAGTGTTAGGTCTGCAGGTCCTGTGTGTGTCAAAGTCCTGATACAAGCATATTCAGGAAAGGCATTGGATGAGGATAAATTTAAACTGCCACTCACTCTACTTAAAGATGTGTTTTGCTTCATTTTAAAAGAGGAAGAAAGTAGTAAGGTGGAACATCCTTTTATTTTAGGGATTGTTAACTTTTGACTTGACTAGGAATACAAGACAAGTGAATTAAGTTTTCTTAGAATGTATCCATTATTAATCCATTTAAGCAAACACTTATTAACTGTTCATTAGGTGCAGGGCATGAGTTCCCAGGCATGAGAACTGTGCAGTCCACAGGGCACTGAACTTAGAAGGGCACCAAGCTTGATTTAATGCCCTGCTATGGCCATCTTTATTACTTTTGAACTAGGGGGCCTGCATTTTCATTTTGGATGCTGGGCCTCACACACTGTGCAGCATATTCCAGGTGGTATTGGGCACCCTGCACTGGGAGGATCCTTAGAATGCCACAGGGTTCCGTCTTTGAGAGATGGCATCTCTCCTATTGCTTATCTGTGCTCTCTACTCCCTGCTGATGTACCCAAATTGCTGTCATAAGAAAGGAGTTGCCTTTATTTTAAAAAGCCTTATACTTTTATAGATAAATATATTTAGACTTAAAAATATTCAACAGCATAATTTTAGTTCAAAGAAGAGAATGCAAAATGTTTGCTGTATAATCCCACTTCTCCAGTCATGTTATATGCATTACACTTTCATTACATGTTAGAGTCTTTAGAGGCAAGGCAAAGACCCAAGGGCCATTCTGGTTTGTCCCCTTGAAACATTTTTGTACAATGTTTTCTTCATCTTTGTAATTCAGAAAAAGAACACAGGATCTATCTAGCCATGAATACTTTCTTTCTTCACTTTTCCCTTAGAATGCTGTGCTCTCCTCTAACGATGCACACATAGATCTGTCTTCAATTCAGGAATATCTTCTCTCTCTCCATCTCACTCTCTGCCTTTCTCTCTCTCTCTTTCTCTCTCACTCTCTCTGTCTCCAGGATGTTGAGATATAATCCACTACCATACAATTCAATTCATCCATTGAAAGTATAACATTTACTGGTTCTAAGCACGTTAACAGAGTTATCCAACCATCGCAGCAATCTAATTCCAGTGCATTGTTACAACCCCAGAAATAAATAAATCCCATACCCATTAGTATCATTCCTTATTCCTCCCATCAAAAACCTCTCCCTACCTCTCCCTTAGACAGTCACTACTTTCTGTTTCCAAAGATTTGCCTATTCTAGACATTTCATATGAATGGAATAATATAATTTGTGACCTTTTGTGACTGTTCCTTTTATTTGCCCTAATGTTTCCAAGGTTTTTCCATGTTATAGCACACGTCAGTTCTTCATTCATCTATATTGCCAAGTAATATTTTGTTCTTTGAATATACCATGTGATATTTATCCATTCATCAGTTGGGGAAACATTTGTATGATTTCTGCTTTTTGGGCTATTATAAATAATACTGTGATGAGCATTTCTGTACAAATTTTCATTTCTTTTGGGTATACACCTAAGAGCAAGTTGCTGGGTCATATGGTAACTCCATATTTAATAGTTTGAGGAGCTGTCAGAGTGTTTTCCATAGCAGCCACACCATTTTATATTCCTACAAGCAATGCACAGGGCTCCAAATTCACAAACTAGTCAGGCCTTGTGATTATCTGTATTTTTTAATAAGCCATCCAATGAATGTGCAATGGTATCACATTGCGGTTTTGATTTAAATTTCTCCAGTGACTGAAAGTGTTAAGAAACTCTTCATATGCTTATTGTCCATTTGTATGTCTTCTTTGGAGAAATGTCTACTCAAGCTCATTGCCTGGTATGGTTTGGCTGTGTCTGCACCTGAAATTTCATCTTGAATTGTAATCCTCATAATCCCCATGTGTCAATGGTGGAACCAGGTGGAGATAATTGGATCATGGGGGTGGTTTCCCCTAAGCTGTTCCTGTGATAGTGAGTGAATTCTCAGGAGATCTGATGGTTTCATAAGCATCTGGCATTTTCCCTGCTTGTACTCACTCTGTCCTGCCACTCTGAAGAAGGTGCCTGCTTCTCCTTTACCTTCTGACATGATTGTAAGTTTCCTGAGGCCTCCTCAGCAATGCAGAACTGTGAGTCAGTTAAACCTCCTTCCTTTACAAATTATCCAGTCTTGGGTATTTCTTCATAGCAGTGTGAGAACGAACTAATACATTGCCCATTTAAAATGTTGAGTTAGTTATCTTTCACCTCTGGTATATTTTTAAAATTATTGGTTGTATTTAATTTGTTCTGCTGTGCTCTCCAGAACCAGCTGGCTGTATGTTGACTTTCTAACTTAGGATGTTAACTGTTATTTCAGATATTCCTCCAGATGTTGCAGTGGGCCATTTTTAGAGGGAGGCTCTTTCATGGGGCACTTTTTCATGGGCCTCCCCCTAACTCTGCAGGTAGCATTTAGTATTTATTACCAAATGGGATGCACTTGGTTCTGCTTTCTGTCTCCATGAGAGATATTACAATTTGCAGGTCAAAGCTGCTGAAGCGTGGCCATGACCTGCCCAGTATGTGCTGGTCTCCTATAGCTCTGTGCACAGAGGAGGCACCTCCCTGAGACTGTTTCTGACATCTCAACAATGTCCTGTTTTTGTCCTTGCTCCTACCTACTGTCCTTCACTCTGGGCTCTTCTCCCTTACTTCCTGTCACAATGTCCACTCTGGTCTCCTGCAGAGAGTGAGACCTGCGAGACCTCTTGGTGTGTGCAGGTGGCAGAGGCTGTTAATGGCTCTCGATGACTTTCCAGGCAGTTTTTGTTTCACAGAGTGTGGCCAGGGGCTGCAGTGACATGAGGCCTTGAAGTCAATGTGATGTCTGCCAGGACTTGCCCATTAGGCCATCTGTCTTCATTTTCAGTGTGAGATTTTCTTTTCATCTTGTTATTAGTGTCCTGGTGTCTTTAAAGGTATTGGGGGAAAAGTCTGGAGAGGTGGTATTGAGGGTTGCTAGATTGGAATGTATTATAAGTAGAAAGTTCCATAAACTCCATTTCAAAATGTAAAGCATATCTTTGTATTTTAGTAAAACAAGATAAAGGCTCTCTCATGCTTTAAAAATATTGTCACATATTTCTATGCTATGGCTAAGCCAAGGGAGATGTTTTGATCATGTGTCTGTCCTCTATATAATGGGATAGTCTTACAAGTGAAGGAAGTTGTGTAATGAAGTTCTGGTCTTTTCAAAAATAATCATCTTCGGTAGAGCAAAAGAAAGACAGGCTGCAGCTTTTTGGAAAATAATGTTAAAATGAATTGCTAATCACTGATCATGATTGGTGAGTACTAGCTGAAGGTTTCACACCCAGGAAACCAATCCTTCAGTGCACTGAGGTCGCGCCAATGAACAAGCCCAGAATTAAAAGTGACACTTTTTTACATGTGAATAGCTTTAGAGCCATTTTCCAGCTCTTGAAAAGTGTACTGTTAGCTCCAAAAAGTCACTCTCTCCTGATGAATAATTCTTGAGGTCATTTGCTGCCATCAGTAACTGAACTAAAGCCTCTCTTATCTCTTCACCAGCAGGCAAATAGAGAAGTTATTGGAATTGTGAGTGCTTCTCTTCTGACAGCATGTGCTGTTTACTCTGCATAATTTTAATCTAAGCTGTATAGCCAGGCTCCCGGTAAAAAGAACTCATAAGCAGAGAAGTGAACCTGGAAGGCATGTTATCCATATTCTAGGGGAACTTTGTTTTGCAGATTTCTTTTCTAGTACAGGCTCTCAATCACCAACAACCACCTCCCATGGGAAAAATAAATGTTATCGTCTAAATGTAGGTATTGCACTCCATCAGGAAGCATAATTTAAAGCAGAAAGGGTATAGATGCTGAAACAGAATCCCAACTTCATTATTCATGCAACAAGCATGTATTGTCCGTGTTGCAGGTTCAGTTCTCCTGGAAGTAGAGTCTGAGATGGAGATGTGTATGTAGGACATTTATAAGGATGTCTTGGAATTGACACCAATAGGAGGGAGAGGGAGGAGGCCAGACTGGGCAGAGGGAGAAGCTGAGTGGTGACGCAGTCCCAAAAATGTTCTTGGCAAACCCTATAGGGTACTCTAAAGATGAGATGGTCCTTCAAGTTGTCCCAAGTTGGGGGAAGAGGGTCATACATTTACCCCTCGACATTGAGCAGTCGTGGGATATGGCTGTCCTTGGAAGGAGGCAATTCCCAAAGAGGACTGAAAATGGTGGGCTGTCTCTATGGCAGTATGCCCAGGGGCTGGGGGAAGTCAATACCAAAGAGAAATCTGGATGACACTTGGCAGCATCTACTAAACCAGGTGACCTTGGGGAAGTTCTGTGTCCACCCTCACAGCTTTAGTTTCTTTATCGATAACCAGATGATTATAATGTCTCTCTGTAAGCTGGTAGAAAGGAATCCTAAGTAACAGAACAATGGTGAAATGTTCAGCTCAATAAGTATACATATAGAATTTTTCACCCCAATATTGACCCTGGAAAATAAAAGAACAAACATCATTATTTAAAGAATGCTTCATTCTGGTGTAGATCCTACAAACTCTCCCATTATGGGACAGATTTTTAAACATAAATTACAGATTTTTAAACACAAATTACTTCTCAAACTACCAAAACCTTGCCAAGTTGCTATGGTTTGAATGTGCCTCCCAGATTTCAGGTGTTGGGAACTTAATCCTCAGATTCATATGTTGATTGGAGGTGGGGCCTTTGGGAGGTAATTAGGATTACATTAGGTCATCAGGCTGGGACCCCTATTATGGGATTAATGGCTTTATAAGGAGAGGAAGAGAGGCTGGAGCTAGCACACTTGCTCTGTCTCACCATGTGATGCCTCCTGCCACGTCGTAACACAGCAGGAAGGCCCTCACCAGATGCTGGTGCCATGCACTTGGACTTCCCAGCCTCCAAAGCCTTTAGTTAAATAGACCTCTATTACCCAGTCTGTGGTATTCAGTTATAGCAATAGAAAATGAACTAAGACACACACGTACTAAAGTTCATTTCTCAGTAATATTTTCTGACCCTTTCCCTTTTCAGATGTACTTTATGTGAAATCCCTGTATTAGTTTCCTATGGCTACTATTACAAATTACCACGAACTTAGAGGCTTAAGACAACATACAGTATTCTTTTACAGTTCTGGAAGCATATAAATTGAGTCCATAATGAGTCTTACAGGGCTAAAGTCAAGATGTCAGTTGGGCTGGTTCCTTCTGGAGACTCCCAAGGAGAATCTGTCTCTTGCCTCTCCATTGTCTGAAGCCTGTCCTCATTCCTTGGCTCTTGGCCCTGCGTCACATGGCCTTCTCTTTTATAGTCAACTCTACCTCTGCCTTCCTTCTACAAAGACACTCATGAGTGCATGTTGGGCCTCCCTGGATAGTTCAGGATATTCTTCCTGTCTTGTGATGCTTAACCACATCTGCAAAGTCCATTTTACCACTTAAGGTCACATTCACAGGTCCTAGGATTTAGGAACTGAACATCTTTGGAGGCCATCTTTCAGCCTCCCACAAACCCATAAGCCCTTCATCTTTTAAGTCACATTGTAATCTGCCCATATTGGATTGTGAGCTTCAGAAGAACAGGGAAGCATATTTGAGTTTTGCTTACAGGAAAAGCAAATGTGACACACATAAGATGTTCAGAAATCATTGCTACTTTGAATCCAATCTTGTTGTCTTTATGTTAAAGCATGAAGTTACCATGTGGAATTGACTGGCTCAAGCTGACAGGCTCCTGTGTGTGAGAAGCTAAGGTAAGAGGTGCTTTTGTTCTTTGAAAGTATAGGAGAGTTGCTCAGTATAGGAGAGTTGCCAGATTGATTGGCAGTCAATCTGGGCATTGCCCTGAATCCATGGTCAGTGACAACCCTCACTTTAGGTAGTCAAGGGGTTAGTTTACATGTGGTTGAACCACTGATCCAATGTGAACTTGCAGGCATTTTTTTTCTTACATTACTCCTTATTTCAACCCTGGTGTGACATCCCAGTATACAAATCACACCTGGGATCCAAGGCCCACACCAACACTCATCTCTTCCCAGCCTCCTATAGAAGACTCAACTCTGCTTTCAATGATGGAAGCTATCAAAATGTAAAACTAAAATTTATAGACCAGGACCCTAGCTTCTTACTTTACTTTCAATACAAAGTAGACCTTGAAAAAATAATTTTTTAAATATGTAAGCCATTTAAGGCAATCCTTTCTTAATGGAAAACTTTAAGGATTAAAGCAGCAGCGTTGTCTTCTCTGATGTTTAGTCAGACTCTCAGTGTTCTTATCTTGCACAGTGGATAGTTTCTAAGGATTTTAAAAAGTAAATGAAGAACAGAATGAATCATCACAAAACTTATTTCCAAAAGACAAAGCAAAATTAATTCAACAAAATGATTTGAATTCTTCTAAAAACAAAAGTGATTATGAATATTGTTTTTGGGCTCAAGAAATAGACTCAAAGCAAACACTCAACCATTCAGTTGATGGGTACAGTCTAGGCACCAGGAACCTGTGGTACTAGGATTTGTTTACTTTTTCCCTGTACCTGAGTATTGACTATTGTACCTCTGTTTGTTTTGAAGAGCAATGTTCCACTGTGATGAAGCAAGTTGTCAGATAAAAGGTCATTCGATAGCTTCCATCATTGAAAACAGAGTTGAGTCTTCTAAAGGAGTCCAGGAAGAGATGAGTGCTGGCATGGGCCTTGGATCCCAGGTGTTATTTGTATACTGGGGTGTCACCCTTGGGCAAGGGGGAAAGTGAGCCAAAGCACAGGGGCCAAAGTGAGCATGGATGGGTGGTAAGGAAGGAACACCCACAAGAGACCGTTTTGCTTGGAAAAGACTGTTCACTTTGCAGGGCTCATTCTGGAATTCGAGACGCTCTGTGATCTGAAGGGGGGACTTCAGGAGCCCAGTCCAAGGGATGGTGTGCCACAGATCCCTGAGGCTACAGGGAGGCCTGAAACTCAAGCTGGCCCATCTTTGTGACCCATCTGCCTTGACAGGAGGAAACTGTCCAAGTGGGCAAAGGGGCCAAGCAGGGCCAATGAGAATTCCTCCAAAGGCGGTGTGATGGCGAATTTTCCTGGGACACAGGGTGTGCACATATTTGGTTAAACATTACCCTGGAGTGTCTGTGGGAGTATTTCTGGATGGGATTAACATGTGAATTTGCAGACTGAATCAAGAGATTGTCCTCCCTAAAGTGGGTGGGCCTCATTCAATTTGTTGAAGGCCTGAATAGAACAAAAAAGGCTGAAGGAGAGAGATTTTGCTCTGCTAGCCTGTCTTTGAGCTGGGGCACAGCTCTTCTCCTGCCTTCAGACTCAGACTGGAATTGACATCATCAGCTCTCCTGAGTCGTGGGCCTCCTGCCTCTCATGGGAACAAGACCATCAGCCCTCCTGGGTTTCCAGCTTGCTGATGGCAAGTCTTAGGAATTCTCAGCCTCCATAATCATGTCAGCCAACCCCTTATAATAAATCTCTCTCTCTCTCTCTCTCTCTCTCTCTCTCTATCCATCTATCCATCCTTCCACATATCTATTCATCTATCATCTATCTACTGATCTATCATCTATCTACCTTTCTATCTAGCTAGCTACCTATTATCTATCTTCTATATTCTATCTACTATTTTTTCATCTACCTACCTATTTTTTCTATTATCTATCTTTATCTATCTGTTATCTATCTAATCTATCAATCATCTATATCATCTATTTTCTATCTTCTACTATGTATTTTTTCTATCAACCTATCTGTTTTTTCTATCTATGTATCTATCTTCTATCTACCTATCTGTCTACTATCTGTCTGTCTGTCTACTCTCTGTCTATCTATCTTTTATTTGTTCTCTTTGTCTAGAGAACCCAGAATTATACAGGTAGCTTTATGGATATTATGCACAAGAAGTCCCTTTTCTGCTGGGATTGTTAAATTAGTAACCAGAATCTGGGACTGTGGCTGGTGGAGCTCAGCATCCTGCAGTTTTTCTCTAAAGCCCTTAACACCCCGGCCTGGGAAGCCCCACAGACCTGACAGAGAAGGCCCCCCCAGTCTCTTCCTCTGTGACAATGACAGCCCCAGAACCCACCTGCTTTCCCCATCCTGCTGCTGCCAATTTTGTACACCAGGGTTTACCATTTAAAACTTTTTGTTTCCCAGTACTGCGAGTGTCATCCTACTAGCATAAATTAAATGCCTGGTGTCTACTACATAGTGGGCACTGCTAAAGGCCTTATTAAAAAGGAAAGCCTGGCCACTTCCTTGAAGATATTTCCAGGGTAGTTAGGAAAGACCAGTCCGACAACTTGTCAAAAGAAGCAAGCTGAGCATGGAAAGAAACTCAGCACTGCTGAGAGGGCCTTAGAGGACAAATGGATCAGACAGAAGGTCTGGTGGAGCTGAGTGCACTTTATCTGCTGGGCTACGGCCACCTGACCATGCTCCGGCCGCAGTGCTTCTTCCAGTGTTGCCGGGACAGGAACTCAGTGCTCTGGGGCTACAAGTAAAACATTCGTGGCAAAGTAAGACAGGTCACAAGAAAAAGGAGGAAGGAAAAAAGAGAGAGGGAGAGAAAGGAGACATTTGAGATTGTGTATAGTTAATAAAATGTGAGTTGGTTTATATGGATATTATATTTTATATATTATGGATTTCTATGTTATAGATTTAGCCTTAATATGAACATACATCAGAGCTTTCCCCCTCTGCTCAGGGCAGTTCATGCTGAGTCCTACAAAATCAGTGGTAGCAAGATCCATGCAATCCCAAGTTCTAGTTTCTCAGACCTGTTTTCCCACTGGGCTGCTTTGATTAAGTCACTCTTTTTCCTGACACAATGACACCAGTTAGCCACCTAAGGCAGAGAACATCTGAAACAGAGATTGGCAGTGCATGCTTCATAGCTCTACTCTCTCGCCATCTTTGGAGGAGGCATTGCAATAGAGCCCCCATGAAACAAAGCATAATAACTTTGATGATAAGTCTACACTGTGCTTCATAATGAGGTCAGTGAGACTCCGCAGAGCCATTGTCTGAGGGCGCTCTTTGCTCCGTCAGCAGTAATTCATTCCAGGGCCGCCTGAGTTCAAGGGAGGGCCCCTAGGGGACACCACAAAGGCTCTTGAAACACTTCAGCCCAGCAAAGAGAGAGAGCATGCACTATGCTGCGTGTTCCCTGCAAAAATGAAGAAAAATGGCTTCAAGTATTGAACCGATTATTTCTTGTTTCTCCCATTAAAGAAAAGGCAACACCAAGACTGTACACTGACCTTTTAGGGGTCAAAATTAAACATCCCCAATTCTCAAATTCAAGGTAAACACAAAACATTTTAGGAACATAGATGTCTGAGAAAATATTTTCTACATTAAAACAACAAGAACTCTTGTATTACATACTGAGTATTACATCTCCAAAATGGTTAGGACCATAGATAGTGTTTCAGATTTTGGATTTTTTCAGATTTTGGTATACATGCATATGCAAAATGAGAGATTTTTGGGAGGTAAGCCAAGTCTCAACACAAAATTCATTTGCTTCATATGCACCTTATTCACATAGCTTGAAGGTAATTTTATACAATATTTTAAAGTCATCTTGTGCATGAAACAAAGTTTGTGTACATTGAAGCATCAGAAAGCAAAGGTGTCACTATCTCAGCCACCCGTGGGGACAATCTTGTTGTTTGGCACCTCCATCATTCCTGACTCTGAATTTATATGCTACTACTGATAAGCAATCATTTTCTTACACTTACTCACACATAAGTACTTAGCAGTAAAAAATATGGCATACCTTTAACACAGTGAAAAAATGTGTTCATGGTAACTAAGCAGCACAGTAGCATGCCCAGAACACGTGTATCAGCTGTTAAACAACCTCAACGACAAACAATGCAAGCTTCCAGTCTCCACCTACATTGCTGTGTTTTGATTAAAAGGTTCCTGCACACTGAATTTATTTTTTTCGGTGGGAAAAAACATTCAAAGCATTTGAGGGGCCAGGAAGTGAGTCCTCTAGGGATGAGGAGGCATTCTGCTGGGTGGCTTTTTAAATGTTTCCTCCAGAGTCATCTCAGCCTCATTAACAACTGTTTTTGTCTCAAAAGTCTCTGATTTTGTACGCTGACATGATTGCTTGGTATTTTAAGAATGCACTCTTCTCTAGTTCTTCAATAAGCCCATCAAACATGTTCACCATGCCATCTTTAGGTACTTTTCCTGCAGTGTTAACAACGTCATCTTCATCGTCACTGTTATCACAATCACCTTAATTCAGAACAATTTCTGCCATTTCACCACTGGTCAATAAATAAACAACAGGGCTTCATTATCAATGTTAAAAACTTCTATACTATCCACTTCTTTCAGTTTACTGACAGACTCTGAAGGTGTATGTTTTGCATATGTAAGGTAAGACGTCATTTTTTTTCTACTTGACATATGAGTCATTCAAAGTCACCACCTTGTTTATCATCATCACTGAACATAGTTACAGGACAGAGGTTGTGTCAGGCATGCACAACTGTGTCTTTAGTCACTGTGTTCCAGGTGTTGGTGACAGCATATCAGCAGCCTTCATGCTAAACTCCTTTTAAAAATCTTCCACACCTGTGCCTCTATTCACTGCTGCTAGCGTGCTACTCAAGAAAGCGTTTTTATATTTACTCTTCTTTGATCTAAGGATACCCTGGTCACATGGCTAAATTGATTAAGTCAATATGGGGAAAGTACATGGCATAGATATTATTTTTGATGAAAATTTCACCTGAAAGATTAGCAGAACAGTTGTCAAGGAATAAGAAAATCTTGCAGTCATTATCCAGTCCAGCTTCTCTGCAGTGAGCATGAGCCACTGGTACAAAATATTTGTAAAACCAATCAGAAAAGATGTCCCTGGTGATCCATGCCTTTTTATTACATCATAATGAACTGGTAAGATAGTCACTTATTGAAAACAATGAGGCCACAAGCTTTTGCCTATCACAGCAAGTTTACACTTATGCATGCCTGCTGTGTTGGCACATCCTAGCGTAGTTATTCTGTCCTTGGCATTTTTAATCCCTGCAGGAGCTCCCTCATCAACTATAGTCAGTATCCTTCTGGGGACAGTAACACCAAAGCAATGATGTTTCCTCGGCATTATAGATTTGTTCTGGCATCAGATTTCGACCTTGGCAAACTCCTCAACGAATTTCTCCACCTCTTTGTGATCAGCAGATGTTTTATTAGCACAAGTCTTCAATTATTTTATGCTGTGTCTTTTCTTAAATTTCTGCAACCAGCCTGTTGAATATTCACAGTTCCCTTCAATTTCCAGTTCATCATGATGAATATTTACTTTTCATGATCAGCATTCCATTAGGGGCATGTGTTGGGTGAAATCCTGAGGCATCCATTCTTTTAATACAAGATGGAGTTTTTCATCTGTAGCTTGATTAGCAGTGTTTTTCTTCTTTACATTAACTTTTCTTCATTGCTTTCAGCAAAGAACTTCAACAGTTTATTTTTCTGTTTCCTCAGAAGGATACATATGGTGATTTTTCTGTTTCCTCAGAAGGATACATATGGTGGTCATTCCAACATCACACTCATCTGTAAGACCTTTCCGCTAATGCTGCTGTCTAGTTTTACCAACAGCTTGATTTTCTGTGCTTCAAATAAACATAAATGTTTCCTCTTTTTCCACTGTTACCCACAGGAGTATCTTCAGGCCTTTTTGACATTTTCAACAATACATTTACACCATAGAGCAGAGAATAAGCAACAAAAATTATAGTAAATAATGCACATAGGTCTTGAATCTACATGGTGCATGGTGGGGAGCCTGCTGTTGATGTCTCTGGCCTGCACACGTGCCATTTTAGTATCATTTGTGGGCATTTTTAAGTAGGGAAATCTGGATGTGTGTGGAAAAGATATATCACAGCTGAAGGGGGCTGGGAAAGTCTTTTTTCCCGTAGGGATACTGAATAAACTGTTGTACACCTGTGTTTTGACTGCAACCCATTGCATGATGTCACGTGTGGAATTGTCCACTTGTGGCACCATGGTGGCCCTCAAAAAATTTTGAATTTTGGAACATTTTTTATTTTGAATTTTTGGATTAGAGATGCTCCACTTGTAGAAGACCGAGAGTCACAATAATTAGCCTCATAAAAATATTTATTTAAAAACATTTTTTGAAAGGCAATTGAAGAAAACATTTAAGGAGAGAAGGAACAGAATACATTTTCCATTCTAGAAAATTAAAAGAGAAATAAGTTGCAGCTATAGCTTTCGCTTTTATCAGCAATGTGCAAGTAAAATTCACATGTAGCAAACTATGGTGCTTTAAGCTATGAAGATGTAGCTGAAGAATCAATGAGGTAGAGAGGTTTGTAAAAATGAATTTATTTTTTATTTCCTTGACTTTTTTGTCACTACATTTCCAATAAGACTCAGTCCCACCAACAGGATGCTCTCACAGGAGACTTTGAATTGGAGCTGAGTTGTATGGCGAAAGATTGGTTCCCATTTGTTGGTATAGCTGGTGATAGAAGTGTCAAGGATCTGTAGCCTGAAATTCTGTGGCTTCTGACTTCACAAGGTAGCTTCTGGATGCCTCCAGACGCTTCAGAAGCAGTAGGGAGAATTTCCTTGATTTTGGCAAACGCAGTTCTGCTATTAGAAGCAATCTTAACAATTCCTTGGTTTACTCCAGAAGAGAAGAGTCTGGTGACTGAGAAGCACTAGGGGTCTCAGAAGCACTAGGGGTGCTTCTGAGAGCACCCCTAGAGCCTGTTTCTCCAGCCTTTGATGATTTTGTATATGTATACTTCTTTGTATTAAGTATCTTTTTACTTAAACCTACTAAAGCATCTGCAATCACACCCTAATCAATGTAAAAGTGAAGCGTTGGCCAAAAATGAATTCCAAATCACCAAAGCTATGCGAGTCTGAATGTACACACGTTTCTTTGTGCAAAGAAGGCAAAAAATGAAAAAAAGACCTTGCGAGACGGTCCCAGGGCACATTTTCTGTACATCTCTGAGTCAAACCTCAATGGTTATTATAAGTGGTTACTATCAGAATTGAACAAGGGCAGAAGTCTCCAAGCTTCTCTGTGAATGGCTTGATTTCTTGGAATAGTGTGGGTACTCGAGGCCTGGGGAAAACACTTGCTGGAGGTGAGCAGATCCTGAGAGCCAGCAGCCACAAAAGTCCAGGATCCATGTGCACAGGAAGCACACCGTTGGGGAAGAGCACTCCAACCTTTCTTCAGAAGGTCCTCTGCAGATCCAGGAGGCCCTGCTCTGAAGAAATGCTCCTGTCAATGATGCGACCTTGGAATCTTTGAGGATCACAAGAGGCTGGTTTAAAGATGCTGGGATACTTTGGCCAGCATTTGTATACGGAGCTGTTGGTAGGGTGTTCTTCACAAATAAACCCATCACCAGTTTGGTTCTTCCTGCTACAAGGGGCTGCCCAAAGTCAAGATCATGAATGCTGTCTTGATAAACTGTACTTTCTAACTTTTATACTGTCAGAGTACTTATGGTACGGGCTACTTTTTCACATGTGAGACTCATTAATGGTGGTGATTCAAACCAGCTGAAGCAGTATTATGGAAATTATTATTTCATTTAATTCTTTTTGCCTGCAGATAAATTGCAAAGTTTGCAAATTTTAAATATCCAGGTCCTGTACCAATTCCCTCATATTTATTGGTCACCGGAAGTTTCAAGAATTTTGGAGCTGATTGAAGAAAAGACAGGACTAGGAGATGACAGTATTGTACAACAAGCTTTATTGAGTGGCACTTGGGCAGGGAAGATGTTGCTCAGCAGTGAGGTGGGGCGTCTCCGGGTCATGGAGCTCTTAGAACAGCAGAAGTTTGGGTCTTTTATAACCACAGAGTTTGTCTTATCTATGGCTAGCAGATGTTGACTGCACTCTCATGGGATGTGCAAAGCAGACAGGCTCTAAATAGCTAAAAAAATAAAATGCTTATGTGAGCTATATGTAAGTGATAGAATGTGTAAAATTTTGAATTTGGTGCTGGAAGGTTTTGCGTTAATTTTCTTATTCTGAAGAAGTAAAAAACTTAGTGTCCAGTATACAGGGTTCCTCTCTGGCCAACTTACACAACAGTGTTGGCACAGCTCTTGGTAGCCCAAGAGTGCGTGAGGCTTCTCTGCACTCACCCATGCTTGCTGCTTCAGCAAGATGAGGGGTCAAGGAACTCCACGTGCCTCACCCTCTCCCTGGGTTCCAGATGACGAAACACAGATCTTTTCTAGTCTTAGTTTCCAAATTGATCCAGAAATTCTACAAAAAAAATTTTAAAGTGAATCATAGAGTTGGCAAGGATTCCACAGAGGCTAAAAAATTAAAAAGTTTAGAAAACTTTGGAGGCATGTTCTGGGCCAATCTCTCAGCCAACTCCTGCTCAATAGTGGGGACGATCTGATGACTCGTGCTTGGGTACCCAATCACCTCATATTTGCACTCCACATGCAGTTCAGTTCCTCCCATCCCAGAGCCAAATAAAATCAGGTTCTTTTATGTGAAGATAAATAATCTATTCTTGTGCCAATATGTGTTAACTCTTATTATATTTTAGTAGTTGGATTATTTGTAATAAGTGTGATAAAAAGAGTATTGAAATTAAATCTGGCTGGGTGCAGTGGCTCAAGCCTGTAATCCCAGCACTTTGGGAGGCCAAAGTGGGCAAATCGCTTGAGGCCAGGAGTTCAAGACCAGCCTGGCCAACATGGTGAAACCTCCTGTTTACTAAAAAGACAAAATTTAGCTGGGCATGGTGGCTGGCACCTGTAACCTAAGCTACTTGGGAGGTTGAGGCAGGAGAATCACTTGAGTCCAGGAGGCGGAGGTTGCAGTAAGCCGAGATTGTGCCATTACACTCCAGCCTAGGAGACAGAGTGAGGCTCCATTGCCCCCATAAAATAATAATGAAAGAAAAAAGAAAAAAAAAGAAATTAAATCTGTCCCTGAAAATTCAATGCCTGGGATTTTCATTACAACCAATATTGACACGGGAGAGTAACTAATTTACTCAATAAATGCTTATTAGATGTTGACTAAATGCTCACAATATTTTATACCTAATTAATGAATGAATGATAATTTTTTTCTAATACATTTTTAAGTAAAAAATTTCAACCTAGCCCAATTATTTTAAATCTTCTTTTTATATCGAGAAGTATTTGTTGTCTGTGGTGAGAGGTTATTTCCCACTAAACATTGTTGATGATGTAATCTATGACGAACAGATCACACTATTTCTGTAGGCTCTATTATTATTTTTTCTAGTATTTTGATAGGGCTTTAAGGAGGAAAATAATGGTAAGCCTAACAACCTTAATATTTCGTTCATTGATCAGCATATCTGAAACACGGATTTGCTTTATGATATGCAAAATAATTATGTACAAGAATATTGGTTTATCTGCAAGTTTTTTAAGTGAAAGAAATATGCCTCTAAAGAAAAGAAAGCCAATAGCCCAGGTAAAATCTCTCAGGGCAGTATTTAAGTCTGTGAACTCTTCTTTCTTTGCTAAATCCACTCTATTTCTGGAGAAAAATCCACAGCACTGATATGAAGGTGGTTGAGGTTTTATTTTAGCTTTTCAAGACACTTTGTATTGAAGAAAATGTGCTACCATGGTTTAGCAAAATAATCCAAGCCCACTGATGTTACCACTGAATCTATAAGCAGGAAGCATAAAACTACTGAAGTAAAAAATAAAAGTGGGGTGGGCCCAGCAAAACTGAAGTAAATGATCTGGACTAGAATGTTAAATCTCATCCCTCAGAAATCCAGTAGCTAAGGAATTGGCTGTACAAGTTTATGAATTCAGAAAATGTCATCTTGTAAAAGTTACATTATGAAAGTGAAGTGTATTTTTATGTGGGCTTCTAGGGCTATCCATGATGTTACCAGTTTTAGGTTCAGCAAACAAGCCCTGTGTCTTTCAGTGACCTTCCATGAGTGGGCCAAAGCCTGCACCCACCTTACAGTTGATGTCAGTCCATGCACAGCAACGGAACCGAGGACCCACCAACTGCAGAGGGCTGTGTGTAGAGTAGTGTTTGTTTCAGTGGAGGAGGATATTGTATGTAAGAACAATGCCATCATATATCAGATTTTTAATTTATAAAAATAATTTTAGCACAGAAGATATCAATCTCTTTCAACATTTGAGTGCTAATTAACCATGTTTGCTCTATCTCATTTAATTCCTGTTTTTAACCAATTAGGCTTTCAAGAGTTAAGTACTGTGCTCAGTTTTACCAACTAGAGATATCAGGGCCAGGATTTGAACCCAGATCTTTGATTTGTCAATTCAAGGCTTTAACGACGGCACTACGCTGCCACTTTCTTTGCAGTTAATCCCACAGTTCTCTCCAGAGTCCTTATTTGGGATGTTACAGACACTATGATGTCACCATTGCTTCAGCCAAAGGGAAATTCAGTAGTATTGCTTGATAAGCACACCTCAAATATCAATATTGTTTTAAATTGTTTTTCTTTCAGTTTCTTCCATAGATTGCAAAGATTCTGTTTAATTTGATGATTCTACTTGATGCACTGATTTTGCTAAGAAACTCTATTCTCCATATACTAGTTGTGTAGCTCTCTGAAAGCCTCTTTCTGCTGGAGTGAACCCCACACCACAGATTTTACATGGTTCTCATCCCTGTCAACCTCGGCCCCTTGGCTTTCGTAACTGGTCTGTCTCACAGTTGTAAGAGTGATGAGGAAATGTGTGCTGTCTCCATCTCCATTTCTCCGTCTCCATTACCACCAACTGCATCCTCAGGGCTGCAGGGCAATCCATCAAGTAGGAGAGGGTGGAGGGGGCCACTTACTCTAATAAATGTGCCTCATCTGTAGGTTTTCTCTAAATATCTTTTCTCAGTTTACTTTTTGAAAGTCACCCACACATTTGGATACTGACTGTTACTTTCATCACTGTTGAGTTTGTGATCCACAATGTCCCTTTTTTTTTCTCTCTTCTTTTCTATTTTTCTTTTTTTATTTGGAGATGGAGTCTCACTCTGTCACTTGGACTGGAGTGCAGTGGCGTGATCTCAGCTAACTGCAACTTCCGCCTCCCAGGCTCAAGTGATTCTCCTGCCTCAGCCTCCTGAGGAGCTGGGGCTACAAGAATGCACCATCACACTTGGCTAATCTTTGTATTTTTAGTAGAGATGTGGTTTCACCATGTAGGCCAGGCTGGTCTTGAACTTCTGACCCCGGGTGATCCACCCACCTTAGCCTCCCAAGGTACTGGGATTACAGGCGCGAGCCACCATGCCCGGCTGATGTCCCAAATTTGATGTGAAACAATTAATTTTCCAAAGTATCAATCTGCATGTTCCTGATAACAATAACAATCAAGAACTTAAATATGCCATGATGTTAGCCATTGCCTTATGCAATGAGATTTGTGGAAATGGAAAAACATTGCTTTTATTTAATTAAAAGATTTTCCTTTCCGTGTGACACAAAAAGTTAATAGAAAAAGGATAAATGAAAAAAGCATAGATAATACATATTTGTGTTTTGTGGTTTCCATATAATACCTTAAAGCTTCAATTATGTAAATATAATTATTTTCTGAATAGATACATTTCATTGGTTAGGTGTTAGGATTCCTCAGCATCTCCTGATATTTGGGGCTGGTTAATTCTCTGTTGTGGGGGCTGCCTGTGTATTGCAGGGTGTTCAGCAGCATCCCACCAAGCCCCAATTGAGACAAGAATGTCCCCAGACATTGCCCATTGTACCTGGGTGGGGGACAAAATCTCTCCCAATTGACAAGCACACACACACACACACACACACACACACACACACACACACAGACACGCACACGCACATCTTTTTTTTTTTTTGACTTTAATATTTTTCAGGGATATAAAATTGTAATGAGAAAAAAAAATCTGCTATTTTAAGTTAAAAGGCTAGCATCCCTAAATAAAATCACTATACACATCTACAAAAAATACAATAATAGGAAAAAATCCTTGATTTAGTGATCGCACTGTGTTAATTGGTGTTGCTGTTTACCGAATTATCTCCAAACATAGCAATCTAACAAATATGTATGATCTCAGCCTCTGTAGGTCAGGAAATCAGGAGTGGCATGACTGGTGCGTGGTTCTGGTCCAGATACTAGTAAGGGACCCAGTTGTCTCAAGGTTCACCTGAGGCTGATAGAGTCTCCTCTAAGCACATGCCTGTGGGCCCTGGAAAATGTCAGCCCCTCCTGGGCTGCTGCAGGGAGGCCTCAGAACCTCACCAGATCATGCTGGCTTCTCTACAGGGCTGCCTCTGCAGCAGGGTGACCGGCTTTTTCCAGCATGAGCCATTTGAGAGAGACAGAGAGAGAGAATGCACATCCCAGATGGAAGCCACATGCTTTTCATCATCTGCTCTGGGGACTGATATCCCATCATTCCTGTGGTAGCCCATCTCTTAGAAGTGAATCACTGTGACCAGCACATACTTGTGGGTGGATCACACAAGTGCATGATTAGTGTGTGGGCTGCCAGAGAGGCTGCCTGAGACGGGCTCCTTTATATAAAAAATTCACTTCCTTGAGAAATGAGGGTCAGAACTCTCCTTTGCTATGCTGGGATCTCTTCTCAACAACCAGGGCTCAGCTGAGCCAGCACTGCTTCCTAGAGCCATGAGTTGTGCTCAACCCAGCCAGGGAGTCTCCTGAGCCACATTGGAGTGCAGTCCCCTATTGCACACCCATCAGTGCCCATCAGAACTCCTCCCATCAGAACATCCAGTGACCTGCAGGAATCACCATCAGGGGCCCAGCAATAGGGGAGATTCTCCTTTTCTGGGGGGCTGGGGCAGTAGACAAGGAGATGGCTCCGGCTGCCTTAGGTGCAGCCCAGTTTCCAATCCAAGCTCCATCTCTTACCATGTCTCTTCAAGCCCCGTATCTGACTTTTCTGGCCCACAGCTTTTTTTTTTTTTTTTTTGGTAGCTTGGGACTAATAGCACCTACCTCTTAGGATTATGGATTATGGAGGGAATGAAATGAAGAAATGCATAGAAACGTCCCAGGACATGGTAGAAAATATGAAATGAATGTTTTCTTGTTGTCATTGATTTTTATAAGGGAATAGTTGTTAGTGATGTTTCATATACAGGGCTCAGCCTTTGTGTGAAATGACAAACAAGTGCTGTTTGAGTTATCAGGCTAGCCTGGGCTTTAACCAGCAGTGAATTCCGAGTCACTTTGGGGAAAATGCTCTGAGTTCCAAAGTGTCTGGCTTGGAATGAGCTTTTGAATAATAGCTTATGTTAATTTGGGGACAGCCTGTGAGAGTTCAATTTGCTTCCTGTACTTACTAATGATTTTAACTAGAACTCCTGACAGAAACATTATTTTAGTCAGAATGCAGGAAATATTCCTGGAATACAAAACCAGAATTCTGGAACCAGGCCTGCTACCAATTGTGGGGGTCATTCTGGGCAGGTGGCTTGATTTCAATTGGCCTCATTTTTTCCAAGTTTACAATGAAAGAGGCATATGGATGAAGCAATTTCCAAGGCCACATCTGATAAAATTCTATGCTATTCATCTTTTTCTAAACAATCATGTCATGGAGGAAATCACCCAGCAAAGCAGAAAAGATTTTCTAAAATATCCCCGTAACTTTTCTGTGTCATTTAGGAAGAACTGATAGTCTCTAAGTCAAACCAGGTTTATTGAGCCAGATGATTTTGCTGCTGCTTGCAAATCACAATGGAAAGTAGTGGAAAGTCTTTCTTTAATAGGAACTGGTAACTGTTGGAGGATGCTAGTGACTGACTTATTTTGAAAACAAGTAAGGTAAGGGGCAGAATCAAAACTGTACTGTGTTTTTCTCAGATTGATGGTACCCATGGCTAACCAAATAGTGGATGACAAGGTTTTTGTTTATAGTATTCCAGCTAATAAATGAAGAAGGAAGAACAGAGTTAGAAGAGGATCATTTTGTGATCCCAATGAATTAATGGACCTAGGCATAGACTACCAACAGCTGCTAACATCATGGAATGAGAGATGGCCCGACCCTGTGCACCTCCTCATAGGGGCTCATGATTCCACCATTAAAGTCCTTTTGGCATAAAAGTTGAGCCTGAATCAGATGAAACTCATCCAGATCCATTTCCCTGTATAAGGAAAATACACAGGGAGAGGAAAGATGTAAATAACAGCATGTAGAAGCAAACAGCAAAATTCAGTCTGCAAAAAACTCTGGAGGACAAATCAATCTTTATTTATTTTGCAAATATAAGGAAAACATTATATGAAGAGAAAAAACAATTAAAAGAGATATAAGAGATGGATCAATTAATCATAATATGTGGACACAAAAAAATCCTTTGTGTGTCCAGGCTTAAACAAACTGCAGAAAATGTAAAGAATGACATTTGTGACATTTTTGAGACAATTAGAGCTTTGAATACTGACTAGATATTCAGTATCTTAATATTGATGGTATTAAGAAATTATAATTTTAAAGATATCATAGTGATATTATAGTTATGCTAAGGAAAAGAAGTTATTATGTTTGAGATACAGTCTGACACACTTGTAGATGAACTGATAGACTTTCTTCAAAATAATGTGGGATGGGAGGTAAAGTAGTGAGCGCATGGATGCAGAAATGGTGGAGGTGAGGGAGTAAAATTTGGGGGCAGAGGTGAGACTGAAATGGCCAGGAGTTGAAATGGTTAAAGGTAGGTGATGGACACAGAGAGGTTTATTTCATAGATCTGTCTATCTATATGTTTGGAATTTCTCACAGCAAATAGTTAAAATATAAGTAGACACCAGCAATTGAAGAAAATTAAATAGAACACATTATCTCCAAAGTCCATTCTGTATGTAGAAAGCCAACTGAAAATTGAACTTGTTGGTGTATCTAAATGTAGTCTAAAATGGACTTTCTTTATAACAATTCAACTTTATAGCCAATAATAAACACTAACTTTCCTCCTAAGAGTTGGAAGTAGGATACAAAGAGTGGTACATTGGAACCAGCTCATAGAAACTCGGGAGAATCCATGATTAAATTTTTCAGTTGTTGAACAGTTATTATTAAAATTAAGTTCTATAGTTACAGTGAAATAAATTCCATATGTTTAAAGATAGTAAGTACAGTAATCAAAACTCTTCACTTCTGAATTGCTTTACTGGACTTTCCCACTATCTGTGCTCTCAGGGTTATTCTACTGAATATGTGATGGTGGCAGTGCTAAAGCATGGTGGGTAGGGTAATGCATGTCTTTGCAACTCCATGTCTAATGAGGCCATGTTGGTTGGAACCGGACATGGTAGTAATATTTATACTATGGGAACTGGGGAATGCTACACACTGAGGGCCAGTTGTTAATCATTATCAGCACACCACTTATATACGGAGTTGTTCATTTGATTCTAATATAAGTAATATATGGATAGAACACTTAAAATTAATTAAAGAAATACTAAAGAACCAACTATGTCTATCACTAAACTGTCTCATTCTTTTATACCTATGCATGTATGTGTCTGTCTCCTCTACTCATCCGTGAGCTCTTTGAGGGTAGTGAATGCATTTACTCATCAATTTTATTCACAGTACTAGAAAAGTAGCTGATACATTTGGCTGGCTGAATGATGAATGAATAAAATTCTATTTATTTAATGTCTTCAATGAGCTCATCCTAGTGCCTAATATTATGGAGATTCAGAAGAGATTTTCTTTCCCATCAAAATTTTTTTGTCTAATTGGGACAACCTACTGGTAGATTACACCATAGTAACAGTGATATATATTAATGTGCTAATTTATTAGATAGAAACTAAATTCTAAAAGAGAAAAATGAATGAGAAGGTCAGAGAGGGCAGTGAAATGTTAGTTACCTTGGGTTAATTCTCATCAATTTCAGTTCCTTGTTTGGGAACTTACCATATACCAGACTAAATAGTTCATATATATAATATTTTATTTAATAATATTAATGTTACTCTGTGATAGATATTACCACCCTTATTTTGTAGATGAGAAACTGAGCTTTAAACAGGTAATGTAATCTTCAGCAAGAGGTAGGACTTACATTTTAACTCAGGTTCCTCTGCTTTCAAAGTGCCTGACTTTCAGCATGTTATGCACTGTCTTAGAGAAGAGGAAGAACAGAATTCGTTTCTGAAAGATTTGGTAAAATTTGAAAAGTAGAGAGAAGGAAAAGATATTTTATCTAATAAGAGAAGAACCATTATCAAGATAAGGCATCAGGAGTAAAGGGGGTATCTGGAGCTGTGAAGAGCTTGTCCTGGAGGAGCGGCTGACTCATTTTGGGAGAGGATGACTATGTGGCTGGCTGACAGGACTGACTTTCCTGAATGATTTGCAATCCAGGCAGAGAAATTTGGCTCTCAAATGGGGAGCCATCGAGTTTTCTGAGCTAGAGAGTACTATAAACATTATGGAATTCAAAAAACATTAGAAAATATGCCAGGTGGATTGAAAATGCAAGAATGGCAACAGATGTTGTGGTAATAAAGGTATGAAGCAACATAAAACTGAAATAGAATAACAGGCATTTTCTTTGGGCTTTGGGAATGTTTTTCATAAATTATTGCTCTTAAGCAGTAATAATGAGGAAATCATAAAACAAATTCCCATAATTGGATAGGAAATGACTAGGTTTTTGTTTTGTTTTGCTTTGTTTTTAGTAATCATAGTAAAATCCAATATGCTGCCATAAAGGAGACTGAATCCTATAGCGGCGTCTAGTATCTAGCACACTGCAGGTCCTCTCAGTGTATTTTGGGTGAGCAGGCTCTTGAGTAGGAAGTAGAGCATCTTTTGTTTCAGGGCACCCAAAGCCAGCATTAGACCCATTCCTACCACTTGCTGGCGCTTCCCTGGCACCTTCCCAAATGTCCCATTGGGAGGATGACCATCCCCAGTGGAGGACCACTCAGGGTAGCAGACCACCTCTTGAATTCAGTTTCTTGTTCTTTTTCCCAGAAGTATCACATCCACAGAGAATGCTTCATATCAAACAACATATATTTCACTTCCAGGGAAGACTTTATAGTGATTTAATTATTCATCACTTTGACCTTCCAAATCTCTGGCCAGAAGATTTGGTTGACCTCATTTGAAATGTTTCTTGATGACGAAAAGGTGAATTGCACACAAATACCATGAATATAATTTCACAAGAGTAAGTACAATGTATAAATAATCATTCATAAGAATGAAATCACAGCTTATTCAGGTTGCAAGAAATTTGAGGCGATGATCATTTTAGTGTACATTCAATAAAGCAAAGGAAAAACAAGTGTAAATTCCTCTGAAGAAAGAGAAAGATGGATGCTGATTGAACATGACTAGTGGGTTTTTAAATAACTTATTAAATCTGTCATTAAGAACCAACTTTCAAGCCTTTAGTTTGTGGAGACTGACTGCATTTTCAAAGTCCCAAAGTCACGTTCAAAATTTATGTTTTACAAAAATGAGTAGGTGGAGATGAATAGGTTTTACTGATCTCCTCTAGCTCCAACTCATTTGCTGCTGTAGTTCACAGGAAATGGCACTGCAGCCCAAACCGATCCCTTTCCAAGCTTCTGGGTTCAAAAGTTCTAACAGTCTACATGCCAGAGGGACATCTTCATTCTTTTTACCAAAAGTTTCTCACCAAATTCTTAAAAGGCACTATCGGTAGAATCACAGGCAATAGATTAGCAGGAGACGGGGATCAAAAACTGGGTAAAGAAAATTTTATCAAACCGAGGAGTTTAGAGGGGGAGAAGCTGGAAGGAGTTGAAATGCCTGCTGTGCAGTCCCTGAGAGGGGAGTGAGACAATGGGAGCTGCCCAGGTGACAGGAGCTGTCGGGTCTGCCTCTGAAGAAAAAGTCCCAGCAGAGCCTCTCTTCAGAAAGGGAGGAGGCCGAGTCTCAGCCCTCAAGGAGCTGAGAGCCTGCTTAGTGGGACTGAGATCCAGCATTTGAGAATACATGACAGAGAAGAGTGAATGCTGCTTTAGGAAGATGTCAAAGGAAGCAGGGCCCACCGATGCCTGGAAGGTCAGGAAGGCTCTGTCTACACAGAGCCTGGACTCTGGTAGCATTGATGCAGTTCTCACATAACCAGGTAATTCTAATTAGTGCAATATTGGGTTTTGTTTAGTATTTGAATACATAAATTTAAAACACCTAATTTTATTCGAATATTTAATTATGATGGTCCATCTTACAATGGCTTGAACATTTTGAGTTGAACTTACTAGTCTTCCTACAACCCCTTCCCTCTGTTCTATTTTCAACACACCATCCTGTGATCCTTGGAAAAGACAGGTCAGACACACTTCCTTCCTCAAATCCCACCAATGGCTTCCCACGGCATTGGTAGCCACAGCTGAAGTTTTTGGAGTGGCTGCCAGAGCCCTGCCTTATGGGACCTGTCACCGCTCTGACTTTGTCTCCTTCTACCTCTCATTGCTGTCTGCACCAGCCTCATCGTATCACTAAGACACGTTCTCTCTAAGATCTGGACCTAGGCTCTTCCCTCATCTTGGAATTCCCTTCTCCTGTTGCCTATCTAGCTCCTACCCTCACCCCCTTCAAGTCTTGGCTCAAATGTCACCTTCTCAAACCCTTCCCCTCCCCATAATCACCCTGTTGAAAATGGCAGCCAGCCTATCCTGTGTTCTCCCAGTTCTGCTCTAGGTTGTCCTTTCTCTCTACCCCATCCTGGAGCACTGATCGCTCCAACATGACATTAATTTGCTTTTGATGTTCTTAATTTACTGTCAGTCTCCACCCTCTAAAACAAAGGGATCTTTCCTGATTTGCACGGTGCTACATCAGAGACAAGCACATGTAGACATCAAATATTTGTCTACTGAGTTGACTCATTAATCAATTCACCTTCTTTTTACATCTGATGGGCATACTGAGGGTGTCCAAGGCTGAGCTGTAAAGAAACACAGTGAAGTTCAGAGTCTGTGCAGGGCTGCCTTATTTTCTGGGAGACAGCCTGCTTCTTTTGGAGCTGAATGTCGACATCCTCAGAAACCCCTTCTTTCAGATGCTGATTATCTTTCTATTTCCTTAGCTGGTCTCTCACTAGCAGCACATCAATCACTCACTCTTGCTTTCTCACATGATGTGTAGTGCTGACAAAGCCCATTCTCACTTCATCATGTCTATTGTGTCCAAATTTTGCACAACTTACATTCAACACCCTTTCCCATCTGACCACCTGGGCATGCATAGATTTCAGTATCACCACTTGCAACCTCCTTTGCTAGCCTAGAGATTTGGGTGGCAGCAGGAGTAAAGAGTTGCCTGCTTGAACCTTGAACACGCTTTGGTACCATATACACATGCAGTGAGAATCGATTTTATATGCAGTGTACATTATCTAGTTAGGGACTACTACTTACCTGATTTGCCAGGCCTCAGCACAGCAGACTTGACTGCAGTTAATTGGGCCCACTCATTCAGGAACCTCTTAGCAACTCCTTAAGAGGTTCTTGAGCCTGTATAACAACACCATAAGGAATTGCCTTTGAGCAAGTGAAGATACAACACACATGAACTAATGATAATTGAATGACTAAATCCTTAAGCACTAATATAAATATCCAGCTATAACAACAGTGTGCTTCATGTATTTACCTGATTGTTCCATCAAAATGAAGGCCTCATGGGGGCAAGAACTGGATTGGTCCTGTTCATCACTGGGCCTCTGGGTTGGCAGATAGGGGTTGAGTAATTCTTGCTGAATGGACAAATAGTGCTTCACGTCCAGGGAATGCCAGGGCTCCTTCTGGTTATGAGCATGGGCTCTGTCCCCTTGAGGGCTCTGTCACCTGGCCATGTGTGTAAATTCACAAATTATTTGTGGTCCCCGTGCCTCAGTTTCCTCATCTGAAGAACTATGGGTGATACTAGTTTTTCATTCATAAACATGTGTGAGGATGAAATGTATGAATGAGTGTAGGACCTCTGGGATTGGTGAGTGGCATAAGGTGAGTACTTATAAATGTGGACTCTTACTGATATGTGGTTACCACTGGGGGCCACAGAGACCTTCCCGCTGTACTTTCCAGAAGGCAACCATTGTGGACATTGTGGGGCTGTTAGGCAGCCTTTCAGTTGGTGAAAAATTGCTCCTGGAGGCTTCCCAAGTTGTCAGCATAGAGTTCCTGCTACTGTTTCAGTGTCCACAAAGCTGGCCCTGGTCCTATTTGTGGCTGCTGGCCCCTTCCTATTTGGTCACCATCAGTGATCCACAGATAACATCCCTGAGGGCCCTGTCCAGACCTTGGACTATGAGTGACCCTCAAGGCTACTTTGTTTGGCTGACGACCCTGACGAACCCCTGATTTTATATTTTCTAGGTCCCTGGGCCTTTGCCACGGTGCTCTTCCCGTGTGGACTTCCCCAAGGGCCTTGGTGCTCCCGATTCCAGCACCTCGGCTCTGCCATGTCTCTGTCTGAGCCTCTCACCAACAAGTGCAGGATGGCAATCCCCTTGTGGTGGGGCTGATAGAGTAATTAGTGGGCTCTTAGCTACCCACCCTAATGATGCTCTTTTCACACTTAAAATAAGCAGTTATTTAGTGCAAGCTAGTTCTGTTTCTAATTGTCACTTCCTAATTAGCTCTGCCAAACTTTTTTGTTGTTGTTTTTATAGATGGGTCTCACTCTGTCACTCAGACTGGAGTGCAGTGGTGTGATCATAGCTCACTGCAGCCTTGACCTCCTGGGCTCAAGTGACCCCCAGCCTCTTGAGTAACTGGGACTACAGATGTGCACTACCAGGCCTGGAATTTTTTTTTTTTGGACAGGGGTCTTGTTATGTTGCCCAGGCTGATCTTGAACTCCTGGCTTCAAGCAACCCTCCCACCTCAGTCTCCCAAAGCATTGGGATTACAGGTGTGAGCCACTGCACCTAGCCAACTCTGCCAATCTTGACCTAATAGAAAACAATATTCTAAGGTTGAGTATCTTTAACAATAATACCCCTGGTCATTCTGAAGCCACATACAAGACACCCCAAGCTGCACCATCAGATTCTCCCCAGGCTACATGCACAGACACTGTGCTTAGAGGATCATGGCAAAGCTACTCTCTGCAGTTAAGGTGAAGGGCAGAGTTTCCATGTTTTCTTACTGTGGCTAGTTAAATACCTTTATTCTCATCAACTTGACACAATGATATTCTCATCATCTATTATGTTACCAACTGATATTAATGTTGGTAGACACTTCTCTCACCAATATAACTACACTTGTTAGTACATGAGCCACACATAACTTGAAGTGACAGGTGTATTTGAATGCAACAAAAATTGCGTTAATGAGTCTTAAAATAATTGATAACAATTGGTTAAAATCTTTAGGGAATTATATCTAGTACTCTATGTATATTATAAATTGAATATTTATAAAAGGATATTTTACTCCCAAAAAGAAATATTGTAATCAATACATTCAATGACTAACTGGTGGATAAAGAAAGCTATGTTAAAAAGTGCTCATGGCCATGTGTGGTGGCTCACACCTGTAACTGCAGCACTTCAGGAGGCTGAGGCAGGCAGATAGCTTGAGCTCAGGAGTTTGAGACCAGCCTGGACAACATGGTGAAACCTCATATTTATAAAAAATACAAAAATTATCTAGGGGTGATGACCTATGCCATCCCAGTCCCAGCTACTTGGGAGGATGAGGTAGGAGGATCGCTTGAGCCTGGGAGGTAGGGGCTGTAGTGAGCTGAGATCACGCCACTGCACTCTAGCCTGGGTGACAGAGTGAGACCTTTTCTCAAAAAAAAAGTGCTCATTATTGCATAAATAATATTGAATATATTATTACAAAGCAAAGGTGATAGAGTAACCAAGAGTAACATTCACAGTGAAGCCTCTTACATTAATAGCTCTGAAACTTCTTCCAAAAATTAAAAAATTGTCAAATAAAATTTCACAAATGTACAGTATTTATTTGAAAATCAAGTCAATTATTCATTATTAATTTTAGCTGCTTTGGGTGTGTATAATTTGAAGAAAAATATTCTTTTATGAATAATACATGTTTTAGCATCTAAAATTAATCATTTGTAGTTTGGGACCAATGTATCTATTCCCACAAATCAGAATGTGCTAGAATTCAGTGAAATTAAAAAAATCAAGTAAATGTATATAGTTGGTTGATGAGTTGTGCAAAGAATTTAATTGGCATTCAAGAGGGTTTTAACTTGGATCCATTGTGAAGATAGAATATAAATAATACAATCAAGTCATCTATTTTGTTCATTTTATCGTGCTATGGGAGGAATAAAAGGGATTGATGATCAAGAAGTAAGTCATTAAAGGGCAAAAGAAGGATGGAAACCACATATGAAAGTTGGGAAGGATTGCTATATCCAAGCACAGCGTAAGTGTTGAGTTAGAATTCACATCCACTCATCAGGAGCCTGCCACACTCAGGTGTCCTTTATAGGCACAGACTCATTTAAGTACAGAAAGAAATAATTTTGCACAAAGAAGGCAGAAAAATGTCTAGGAATCAGCCCATCTCCTCTCCTGTTTGGCAGGGATGGTCACGATCCTCACTTCCCAGTTAAAGAAGCCAAAACTTCATTATGGGGTTTCACCATATTGGCCAGGCTGGTCTCGAATGCCTGACCACAAGTGATCCAAGCGCCTCAGCCTCCCAAAGTGCTGGGATTACAAGTGTGAGCCACCGCACCCAGCCAATTAGGAGTAAATAGCCAACATTTAGCCAGGTGCAGTGGCTCACTGCTTAATCCCAGCACTTTCAGAAGCTGAGGTGGGAGGATCACTTGAGCCCAGGAGCTTGAGTCCAGGCCTGCCAACGTAGTGAGACCCTGTCTCAACAAAACATTTAAAAATTAGCCAGGCATAGTGGTGTGCGCCTCTAGTCACAGCTACTTGGGAGGCTGAGATGGGAGAGTGTTTGAACCCAGAAGGTCAAGTAAGCTGTGATTGTGCCACTGTACTCCAGTCTGCATAACAGAGCAAGACCCTGTCTCAAAAAAAAAAAAATCCAAAATATATAAATAATTGATACAACTCAAAACAAATAACCCAATTTTTAAAATGTTTTAAAAAAAGAACTTGAATAGACCTTTCTTTAAAGAAGACATAAAAATAGCAAGTGGGTATCTGAAAGGTGTTCCGCATTGTAGGTCATTAGGGAAATGCAAATCAAACCCACTGAGATACCACCTCACACCCCTTATGACCATTATCAAAAAGTCAAAAGATAAATGTTGGCAAGAGTGCGGAGAAATGGGAACTTTTGCATACTATGGATGAGAATGTAGATTGATACAGCCATTCTGGAAAAGAGTATGAAGATTTCTAGAGAAATTAAAAATAGAACTACCATATGACTCAGCAATCCCTCTTCTGGGCATGCACCCAAAGGAAATGAAATCATTACTTTGTAAAGATACCTGTATTCTCATGTTCATTGCAGCCTTAATCACAATAGCCAAGATATGGAAACAACCTAAGTGTCCATCAATGGATAAATGGATAAAGAGACTGTGGCACACACACGCAATGGAATATTATTCAGCCCTAAAACAAACAAGGTCTTGCCATCTGCCGCAAGATGGATGAGGCTGGAGGACGTCATGCTAAGTGAAAAAAAGCATACACAGAAAAACATATATTGCATAAACTCATTTATATGTGGGATGTAAAAATGTAAATAAATAAATCTACAGAGATAGAGAGCAAAACATTGTTTACCAGGGGAGGTAGGAGAGGGGAGGAATTGGGGCCATGGAGGCCAAAGGATACAAAGTAGCAGGTATGAAGGATGAACAAGTCTAGAGATGTAATGGATGACATGAGGACTGCAGGGAACAAAATTGTTCTGTATGTGAAATTCATGCTCAATGAGTAGATTTCAACCTCTCTTGCCACAAAAGCAACAAGGAAATGGGGAACTATGTGAAACGATTGGTGTGTTAATTTCTTTCAGTATAGGAATCTTTTTACAATCTATATATAACCTTTAACATCATGTTGTAAGCCTTAACTATACACAAGAAAATTTATTTTTAAAAGAGAAAAATTGACAGTCAAAGACTGACAAAGCAAAGACTAAGTAAATAAAAACAGGGGTATCTGTATTTATAGCTGTTAAACAAACAAAAAACAAAAAAACAAAAAATGAGCCACCGACTGAGGCAAGTGCCCACATCAATAGAGCTTTGTGGAGCCACAATTTGACGACACCCCCGGAAAAAACACAAGCCACAGAAATGACTGTGACCCCTGCTTTCCAAAGAGGGTTTTGGGAACTCAGTATGTAAGGGGAGAAGGCAGGCAGGAGAGAAGAAAGGGAGGGGGAGCAGGCAGTGAAGGGGTGGTTACGTTCTTAGGAAGCTCTAATTAGTGCTCAGTAAATCTTCATTTTACATAAGACGAGGTAAACGTTTGAAAAGAGGGAGGAAAGAGTCAATTATGCAGCCATCTCAGGATAGCCTGAAGAGTGCTTGATCTCATGTTCTTGTTCTGTACCTGGGAAGATAAACCTGTAATCAACATTGTCAGTGTCAGATTCAATAGAACTCAGTGTTACGTCTTAAACTGAGGTTGCAGAGCCAGGGTTACAACTGGCATATGCTTATTTTATAGGGGGACATGGATCCTGAAAGATTTAGGGGCTAGCAGGGAATGTCCCTGTGAACAGTTTGTAAGAGGGGCCACATGGAGAGGTACGTGGCCTTTTGTGGTAGTGGGGACCTGGCTTATGTCTAATGCCATAACACAGGGTTGTGAAATGGCAGCTATCTCTTTGGGGAGAAAGAATGGCAGTTTTGCATGACTAAGCTCCCAAACTTATGTCTCCTTTAGCATAACAGGTTTGGCGGTTCCAAGACTTTATTTTCTTTTACATATTAAAAAAACTCTAATGAAAGAGCTATGTGAGAGATAAAGAGGGTATCTCCTAATGATAAAAGGGTGCAACCAGCAGGGAGAAAAAGGAATTCTAAATGTGTTTATGCCTGGTAACTTAACCTTAAAACACACAGAACAAAGCTTAACAAACGAAAAAAAGAAATAAGTTGACGATCATTGTGGGAAACTTTAATATCTGTGTCTCAGCCACTGAAAAATAAACAGACAAACATCAGTAAGGAAATGGAATCTTTAAAGGATGCATTTAACACGCTCCATCTAATTGAGATACGTGATACACTACGCTCAACATGCAGAATACACATCCTTTTCAAGTGCAGAAGCAATATTTATAAAAATTAATCATATTTTTGATCATTGAGAAGACACAAATTCCAAAGAGTTTTAGTTATACAAATATTTAATCACAGTGGAAGTATAAGTTTGGAAATTAAGCAAAACATTTTCAGTATGGTAAAGGGATGAATAAAATCAAAGTTTGCTTTTTTGAAACACTGATAAAATTGATGGCCCCCAGCAAGATTGATTAACAAAACAGACAAAAGGCACAAACTCTAACCGCAGACCTTATAAGTATTAAAAAGATAAATGAATAATAGAACAACTTTGAAATTTTAGATAAAATGAACAAATTGATTCAGCAAACACAGGTTACCAAAATGAATATTCATATATATGTAATTGAACCTGTAATTAAACACCTTATTAAGAAAACTACAGTCTCACATGGCTTAATAAGTGAATTCTTTCCAAATGCTTAAGGAAGAAATAGCACACATCTTACATAAATTCTGTCAGAAATAGAAGAAACATTTCTCAAATTGTCTAACCAGCATAGCTTTAATACTTCATATTAAAACCTCACAAGTCTGGGCGCAGTGGCTCACGCCTGTAATCCCAGCACTTTGGGAGGCCGAAGCGGGTGGATCACGAGGTCAGGAGATCGAGACCATCCTGGCTAACATGGTGAAACCCCGTCTCTACTAAAAAAATACAATAAATTAGCCAGGGGTGGTGGTGGGCGCCTGTAGTCCCAGCTACTCGGGAGGCTGAAGCAGGAGAATGGCGTGAACCCGGAAGGCGGAGCTTGCAATGAGCCGAGATCATGCCACTGCATTCCAGCCTAGACAACAGGGCGAGACTCCGCGGAAAAAAAAAAAAAAAAACAGAAAAACTTAGACTCCACTTTCTCTTGTGAACGTAAGTACAAAACTACCAAATGAACTAGGAGCAAGCCCATCTCAACCATATATAATATGGTATTAATCATTTATCACAACAAAGGTGATTTAATTCCAGAAATGCAATGTTCAACATTCAAAAGCCAATCACTGTTAAGTTACCTTATCAACATAAAAAGATAAGAAAAAACACTGCTCAATCAAGAAAGAAAAAAGCAATTGATACAATTCAGTACCTATTCATAAATCTTAAAACCTGTCTAACAGAGAGGAAGCAACATGTGAGTTAAACACTCCCCCAGCTGAGAATAGTGACATAACTTATTTGCAGCCAAAAGATGAAAATTGCAGGCCAGGCGCGGTGGCTCATGCCTCTAATCCCAGCACTTTGGGAGGCAGAGGCGGGCGGATCACAAGGTCTGGAGTTCAAAACCAGCCTGGCCAACATGGTGAAATCTCGTCTCTACTAAAAATACAAAAAGAAATGAGTCAGGCGTGGTGTCATGCGCCTGTATTCCTAGCTATTAGGGAGGCTGAGGCAGGAGAATCGCTTGAACCATGGAGGCGGACATTGTGACAGTGAGCCGAGATTGTGCCACTGCACTCCAGCCTGGCAACAGAGCAAGACTGCGTTTCAAAAAAAAAAAAAAAAAAAAAAAGGATGAAAATTGAATTGCAGTATAATCTTACAACTTTTGAGAAATCTATGTTTTTCAGCTAAAAAGAGACAAACTCAGCCTTTTGACCTTTCTTCTTTCCCTCCTTGGAAGGCAATCCAAGGCCTGGAAAAACAGCAGCCACATTGTAACCACAAGAATAGAAACCAGGCTAAGGAAGTATCAGGAAACTGAAAAGAACCCTGGACTGCCTTCCTCTGCACATTTTAAGTGACAAAAATGAAATCTATATTTCTTTAAGTCACTGAATCAGATTTATTCTTTCTGTGGCTACATGTAGCCCTAAATGATGTATTAAATACTAAAATAAATACTAAATTACACACTAAAATACTAAAATTTTGGTCTTGACTCCTGATCTCAGGTGATATGCCCATCTCAGCCTACCAATGTGCTGGGATTACAGGCATGAGCCACCACACCCACCTCAAAAGCTTTGTGTTTTTAAATATATTAGACATGTCTCTAGTTTAAAAAAAAAAAAACTTAACAATCATGTAGGAGAATAAGAGAAACTTTTTCCAAAAAAGAGAAATCACTGTGATTATTTTATCTTATTGGAATGTTGGATAATATAATCTGCTTTACTAATCATTACGCACACTGTAAATTTTCCATTACAACAGGATTTGTACCTCAATTAAGGTGATAAAGTTTTAAAGTTTAGAAAGTGAAAGCCAGCCCCGCCCCTCTCCCAGAGTGGGCGGGGACAGCAGTTGCATGGGCGGCTTTCCTTGTGACATCACAGGACCTTCATGACACACAGCTGCCTGGCCCCGCCTCCTTTCCCTTTCATCTTTCTCATTGACCAATGGGCTTGGAGCATTAAGGCCACGCCCCTTTTCCGCATTCTAGTGCAGCCCTGGTGACGCCTCCTGTGGCTCAGTCACATAGCTGTGTGGTACATGACTGGAGGCATATCACTGTCCTCGCCTGGATCACGCCAATGTGACCCCAACCCCACCTCCCTCCCCACCCCATGATGTCCGAAAAAACCCAACAAAGAAAATTGGCTGGGACCAAGAGAAAGGTAAAATGCATCGGATTGCAGCACCCCAACCCCAACCCAGCCCCAGGTCCCCTCTGATGGCAGAACAGCTGCCAGAATCCATGTCACTCCAGAGGCACACGGGGCTGGGCCCCCCCAGTGCCTCTGGGCTCCCCCAACCAAAATCTTTTGTCAGCCCCAATCCCTCAGCAGTCCTGCCCCTGCCCTCACCGGTCACCCCAGGGTGACTTTCAGCCGGTGACTCGTGGGGCTCCCTGCTTTGTACTCTGCCCTCACCTCCTATTGTCCAAAAACGGATCTCCCTGGGCCCTTCGGGCTCACGTTCCCAAGGAACTGGATGCCCCAGCACCTGCCCTCACCAGTCACCCCAGGGTGACTTTGGGCAGGTGACTCCTGGGGCTCCCCACTCCATACTCGGCCCTCACCTACTGCTGCCCCAAGCCTGACTTCCCTGGGCTCTTTGGGCTCACGTCTCCAAGTACCTGGGGCCCAACCCTGTGACCCCACGCCAATCTCAAAGAGGCAACTTGGGCACAGCACTGATGGGATAATGGGTTTGGTTTGGTTTTCTCCCAGGCTTCTACTCTCCAGAGAGACTTTAACAGTTTTTTCTAAGTTCTTCACCTCATATTTGAATTCTCCATGGTTCTGGGACCAGAGTGCCCATCACTCAGTGATCTTTGAAGTGAGATTTGCTCATCTTCTGTGCAAGAGATCTTGGGAAACTGGACTTGACAACTTGAATCTTCCTCATCTCATCTCAACCTGGGGTACTTTGAGTGCCACAGGATACATATGGGGCATCTTTCTGAAGCATCAGTTTTCCTTGATTCTCGTGGGAGAGACAAAACATTAATGTTCTTAGGGATGATAGTCACATAGATTTCTAAGAGTATACAAGACTTCTCTCTGAAATGCAGCTTGGGTTGTCCTCTTTCTGTTTAATTCCCACATTTAACAGAAAGGCTGCCTTCTGCCCTGAGGATACATGACTCTAAGAGGATGTACGACTGTAAACCACACAGTGTACACCTTCCTGCCTACTTCTTACTTTTCTACCTCTGCCTCTGGTTTTGGTCTCTGGCAGCTGCTGATTTGTGGCAACACCCCAGAGCTCAGAGTCAGAAGACTGAGTTTCAGTTCCATTATTGCCTTTCTTTTAGCCATGGTATCAATCCCTCTCAGTCACTAAGTGATTGCGACAACACCTCATACAGTCGTTGGTGGCATTAAATCAGATCGTCTATGAGAGTATTTTGTATAAACTGTAAAGTGACTGTAGGAGCTTGTAGTTCTCATGAGTATCACTGCTCCTCTTTTCCACAGTTCACAGACTATCATCAGTGGAACAGTGCTGGTGTTGGTACTGGAGCAACCGACACCAAAAAGAAGAAAATAAATAATGGCACTAACCCTCAGACAACCACTTCTGGGGGGTTGCCATTCACCTGAGGATGTGAGTCTTGGGGGGCCAGTCTCCTGAGGACAAGGGGCACAAGGGGAGGTCGAGGGTAACTTAAGATTGTGGAAGGAAGAACTGCCGGGTACTGGTTAAGAATTCTGGGTCTGAATCCTACCTCTCTCTCCATCTGCGAGGGACACGGTTTAGGGAAAATTGCTCGAGTTCTTTGGACCTCTCTTTTCACATCTGTAAAATAGGGGTGGTAATGTTTTACTTACATGTGTGAAGCTTAAATCAGATTTGTTGTTGTTGTTTTTGTGTTAATCCCTAGTCCAGAGCCTGCTGTAAACTCCCCTCCTCTTTGGGCTTCCGTTTCCTGAGGAGGTAGAGTTAGAGTATCAGAGGTTTCTGTTTGCTCTGAGAGTCTGAGATTTAAAGATTCACTAGAATGGAAACCTTGGGGCCAAGGGCTCCTGTCTGCCTTTTCCGTCCTATATCCCAGCAGTGAAGAACCGTCCCCAGCCCCTATGTGCTTGCTCAATGCTTGTTGAATGAACACATCTTTCTACATCACAAGCTAGCAGAAGGGTGGGCTTTTCTCACACTCTTATGTCGGAAGGTTTATGTTACTGTCTTTTCCAGAGAATCTACTTTCAGACTTTCAGTTCTGTGGCTGTGGGCAAAAACCAACAAAGACCCAGATCCTTTTTCTTTGGGCATTAAGGAAAGTTGACCAGTTCGTGTTCCCATTGGGTCTAAGAACTTTGCCCTTAAAATCCATTCCTGACCCCTGCCTACTGCTTCCTGGCCTGGGGAATAGAGTCGAGGGGCCACCCTCAGTCACCTTCCTTTGACTCTCCCCACAGAAACAACAGAACCGAGCTCAGCTGAAAGAGGTAACATGATTTCTTTCTTTGCTCACGACATGACCGCTGGGTTTGGGGGGCACTCAGATGTAGAGGCCCCAGTCTCGTCTCACCTACTCCCAGCCTGGGGAGGAAGGCTCACCTCCCAGATTCCACCCCATCCCCACAGGGTCCCTGATAACCTGGTCCCATGGGTGGGCCTGTCCTGGGACAGTGGTGCCATTCTGGGGGCATGTCTCTTGCTGTGCCATCTCTGCCTCCCTCTAGTAAGAGCTCTGTCTTCCTCTTCTTTTCTATAGGAAAAGAAGGCAAGCCACCAACATCAGCAAGCCCTAAGGAGGCAGCTAGAGGTGAGTGGAGGGTGTGAAGTTCCCTCCTGTCCTCTGGAGAAGGTTTCTTTGCTTCTCTTTCAGCACTTGCTTTTCTTGTCTCCCAAAGGCCCAGGATCATACCATACGAATCCTTAAGTGTCAGAAAACTGAACTGGAAACAGTGCTCCATGACAGCCAGGATGCTGCCAGGAAATTTGAAGGTGGGAATCTGGGCACCCCGTCATCCTTCAACCTGGCACTTTCACAGGCCTTTGGGCTGCAGCTCAACCTCTCTCATTCCAGAAGATTCCAAGGATCTGGCAGGCCGCCTGCATCATTCCTGGTACTTTGCAGGAGAGTTACAGCGGGCTCTCTCTGCTATGTCCGCAGAGCACAAGAGGGTGGACAGGGTGAGTCCAACCACCTACCCGGTCCCCTGGGAGCCCAGCTTCGCAGATGGAGGAATGAGCCTAAAGGTCCCTTCTGCAGGATGCAGTGTCCTGCCCAGAAGACAGCATGGGCCATTTCTTGCTGCTTTTGTGCGTGGTTGTTAGAGGCAGGTTGGGGCTGAGTCAGCTGCTGTGGGTGAGTTGCAGGGCGCTGTGGGGAGCGAGCACTGGACACAGAGCTCGGAGGCCAAGTGCCCACCCCACCCATACTTGGCTGTGGCCTTGGTCAAATCCTAGGCAGAGTTTAGGGTACTTGTACCATGAAGGTACAGAAGAGTATCTTTAGTATGTTACCATTTGTGTAGAGAGAGGGAACACATGTACGTGTGTGTGTGTGTGTGTGTGTGTGTGTGTGTACATACGTATTATGGTAATATACATAAAACATGTTTGTAAGGATTCATAAAAAACTCAGGAGAGAGGAACAGTGTTGGGGGAAGATATTTCCCTTCTGTACCTTCTGAGGTTTGGACTATGCCAATGTATCATTCTTTCAAAAATCAACAAAGGATTAATTTCCTCCTCCTTATCTGTGCCCCTACCCCCAACCAAAAGAATGGGTTTAGAGAATCAGATATACCTGGGTGTTGAAATCCCAGCTCTAAGTTATCTTAGGCAAGCACTTAACCTTTAATACCCCATGTTTTTCATCTACACAATAGAGGTGATAATGATAACTATCTCCTATGGTGGTTGTGAGGATTAAATGGGATTGTTAGCTTAGTGCCTGGTGAAGCACTCAAGAAAGGTTCCAACAGTGGTAATAATAACAGTAATAGCAATAGCAAAATTATCTGATCGCTCTGGGCCCCTGTTAGCCAGCTATCAATTCAGTCTCTTTCCCTGTCCCTTCCACCCTTACTGAGTTCTCTGAAAAACAAGTGAGAGCCAGGTGCAGTGGCACATGCCTGTAATCCCAGCTACTTAGGAGGCTGAAGCAGAAGAATCGCTTGAAGCCGGGAGGCGGAGGTTGCGGTGGGGTGAGATCGCGCCATTGCACTCCAGCCTGGGCAACAAGAGCAAAACTCCATCTCAAAAAAAAAAAAAAAAAAGAAAAGAAAAACAAATGACACCATGGGTTTGGAAATGCCTTGAGAACATGTCGGGTGTGATGGAGAGGAGCAAGTGTTACTGTGGAGCATCAGTGTAGCTGTCGTTACTGGTCGTCCAGCTGCTCCTCTGCCTGCTGTATCCTGACTTGACCTTTCTCTATTTGCAGTACATCGAGGAGTTAACAAAGGAGAGGGAAGCCCTGAGTCTGGAGCTGCACAGGAACATGTAGGATGGGGGAGCGGGGGATGGGAGGTCTGAGAGCCCTTAGCATGGGTGGTGTGCTGGGAGGTGGTGGGTACAGGTGAGCATGCTAGGGGGTCATACAGGTTTACATGTGTGCGCAGGGAAGCTCCAGTGATGGCTGTGCCACTGACTCATGGGGTAGCCTCAGGCAACTCACGTCTTCTCTCTGGCCTGCCACCTGGGACTTTTAATTCCTGGGGTCTCTTCCAATGCCACGGTTCTGTGGTTGTGGGGCGAGGGTAGAGGGTCGATCACCAAAGCGGTCCTTTCTGTTCTTTGCTCATTCCTTTCTCTACTGCCTCTGGCCATAGCATAACCAATGAGGAGCTGAAGGAGAAAAATGCCGAACTACAAGAAAAACTTCGACTGGTAGAAACTGAAAAGTCTGAGATCCAGCTCCACATCAAGGAGCTAAAAAGGAAACTGGAGACGGACAAAATCCCGCTGCCACAGGTGAGCGGCTGCAGCCCCGGGGGTGTGGGAGCCGCATCCGGCTGGGACATGGTCTAGGGATCATGCAGGGTATGGGGAGGCTCCAGCCAGGAGCTGGAAAATTTGGGTCCTTGTTCTGGTCCCACCATAGAATCCTATAGAGTGTGCTAAAAATCTACAAATTGGGACCATGCCTGGGAAATCAGAACCTCAGGGTTAGGGCTTAAAATTTCTTTTTAAAGAATCATAGACGAAAACCGTTATTTTATAGATTACATTTATATACCTAGCTTATGACTCTATTTCCTTTTAAGGTTCAAACCAACACTTTGCAGGAGAAGATGTGGAGGCAGCAGGAGGAGCTACGGGATCAGGAGAAGCTACGGAAGCACGAGGAGAAGATGTGGAGACAGGAGCAGAGGCTGCGGGACCAGGAGAAGGAGCTGCGGGAGCAGGAGTAGCGGATGCGAAAGCGGGAGCAGCAGATGCGAAAGCGGGAGCAGCAGATGCGGGAGCGGGAGCAGCAGATGCGGGAGCGGGAGGAGCAGATGCGGGAGCGGGAGGAGCAGATGCGGGAGCGGGAGGAGCAGATGGGGGAGCGGGAGGAGCAGATGCGGAAGCGGGAGGAGCAGATGCGGAAGCGGGAGGAGCAGATGCGGAAGCGGGAGGAGCAGATGGGGGAGCGGGAGGAGCAGATGGGGGAGCGGGAGGAGCAGATGCGGAAGCAGGAGGAGCAGATGGGGAAGCAGGAGGAGCAGATGCGGGAGCAGGAGGAGCAGGTGCGGAAGCAGGAGGAGCAGGTGCGGAAGCAGGAGGAGCAGGTGCGGAAGCAGGAGGAGCAGGTGCGGAAGCAGGAGGAGCAGGTGCGGAAGCAGGAGGAGCAGGTGCGGAAGCAGGAGGAGCAGGTGCGGAAGCAGGAGGAGCAGGTGCGGAAGCAGGAGGAGCAGGTGCGGAAGCAGGAGGAGCAGGTGCGGAAGCAGGAGGAGCAGGTGCGGAAGCAGGAGGAGCAGGTGCGGAAGCAGGAGGAGCAGGTGCGGAAGCAGGAGGAGCAGGTGCGGAAGCAGGAGGAGCAGGTGCGGAAGCAGGAGGAGCAGGTGCGGAAGCAGGAGGAGCAGACGGGGGAGCAGGAGGAGCAGATGCGGAAGCAGGAGAAGCAGATGCTGAAGCAGAAGAAGCAGATGGGGAAGCAGGAGGAGCAGATGGGGGAGCAGGAGGAGCAGATGCGGAAGCAGGAGGAGCAGATGCGGAAGCAGGAGGAGCAGATGCGGAAGCAGGAGGAGCAGATGCGGAAGCAGGAGGAGCAAATGGCGGAGCAGGAGGAACAGATGCAGAAGCAGGAGGAGCAGGTGCGAAAGCAGGAGGAGCAGGTGCGGAAGCAGGAAGAGCAGATGCGGAAGCAGGAGGAGCAGATGCGGAAGCAGGAGGAGCACATGCGGAAGCAGGAGGAGCAGATGCGGAAGCAGGAGAAGCAGATGGGGGAGCAGGAGGAGCAGATGCGGAAACAGAAAGAGCAGATGCGGAAGCGGGAGGAGCAGGTGCGGAAGCGGGAGGAGCAGGTGCGGAAGCGGGAGGAGCAGATGGGGGAGCAGGAGGAGCAGATGCGGAAGCAGGTCGAGAGGCTGTGATTCAAGGAGGAGAGGCTGTGGGTTGAGTATGAGAAGATGCAGGAGGAGGAGGAGAAGGTCCGGGGGCAGGTGGAGAAGATGCGGGAGAAGAAGGAGAGGATGGGAGAGCAGGAGGAGAAGATGCAGGAGGAGCGGTGCTCAGAGCCCTGCCTCCCTCCCTCCAAATATCCTTGTGATATGAGCCATGCTGGCAGCCTGAAGCCTGCACGAGAGGCTGGGAAGGGCTATTCCCATGACAACCGCACTGCACAGCAGATCACGCAGCTGCCCCCTGGAATGAAGAACACCCAGGAGCACCCAGGCTTAGGCAGCACCTCCTGCATCCTATTCTTCTACCGAGGAGACAAGAAAAAGATCAAGATCATCAATATCTAAAAAGAACGGTCAACAAGGCCTACAGAAGTGTAAGCCGCCACGTGACCTTGTGAATACAGTCTGAGAACAAACTTGAAAAAAAGAAAATTTATTTTAAATTGTGGCAAAATACTGGCCGGGCATGGCGGCCTGCACCTGTAATCACACCACTTTGGGAGGCCTAGGCGGGTGGATCACCAATCCTAGGTACGTGGGAGGCTGAGGTTGCAGTGAGCTGAGATCACACCACTGCACTCCAGTCTGGGTGACAGAGTGAAACTCCCATTTCAAAAAAAAAAAAAAAAAAATTTCTACCTGAGGACTCTAATATCTATGTATGTTTCTATTGTTTTTTTTGTTTGTTTTCTCCTTTCGTCTTGTCTTGTCTTATGGCATGCCTAGTAAAGTTTTATCTGCCTCCAGAGAGTACTGACTTTGACTTTATGGCACAGAATTGGCGTTCAAGCAGATCACCTTCATCTAGTTTGGGACTAAGCTGGCTCAAAGCAGGTTTTAGTTTTTGTGACAGCTGGTCTATTTTTTATCCTTTTGGACTCTTAGGGGTGGCCCTTCCAGGATCCCCACCAAGGTCTCATCTCCTTACTGGGACCCAAATTCTCATTATGTCATTTCAGCCCTGTGAGAGTGCCAAACGTTCAGCTAGGCTCTCCAGCCTCTCAACTATCACTTCATACTCAGTTTCTTAGCCTCTTAGCCCTCTACTGTTGACCGATCACCAAATGTGGGAAAAGCACTAAGGACTGTCAGGATCACCTCCTAGGCCTGGTCACTCAAGTCCTGGCTGAGGTCTCCAATTACCTTCCAACAATTGTTTTTGATGGTGGGGGGAAGGGGGGACACATTTTTGTCCAGTTTTTCTAACTGTTCCTGTGGGGAGGCTAATCTATAACAAGCTACTCTGCCTTTAATGAATGTTGAAAACCCTTTTTTTTTTTTTTTTTTTGAGATGGAGTCTCACTCTGTTGCCCAGGCTCTAGTGCAGTGGTGCAATCTCTGCTCACTGTAACCTCCACCTCCTGGGTTCAAGCAATTCTCCTGCCTCAGCCTCCCAAGTAGCTGGGATTACACGCGTATGCCACCACCCCTTGCTAATTTTTATATTTTTAGTAGAGACGGGATTTCACCATGTTGTCCAGGCTGGTCTCGAGCTCCTGACTCAGGTGATCTACCCGCCTCGGCCTCCCCAAGTGCTGGGATTACAGGCGTGTGCCACTGCATCCAGCCCATCTGTCTTTTTAAAAATGTTTCTAATTTGAGGTATAATTTATATCCCATGAAATGCACAGATCTGGTTTACATTTTGATGACTTTTAACAAATGCATTACCCATGTAACCCACCTCCTTTGAAGATATGGAACATTTTATCATCCAGAAAGTTCTCCTGTGCTTTCATCCTGTCCGGCACTCCCCCAGCAGCTGATGAACGTGCTGAGGACATTGGTACAGGATTCTGGCCTCCCCAAAAGAGCTGCTTTGACAAGCCTGCTTGCCTTACCCAGCACTAAATCCCTGCCTGTTCTCTCAAAATTTCCATCTTTAAACTGCTTGTACCTATAACCCTCCCACATCAAATCCATAGATAAACCAGCCCACAGCCTAATATTTACTGTATACCCAAGCTTTCAGAAATACGACTCCCAGGAGTGGGGACTGGTGGCTGCATCCCCTCCTCCTCCTGGAAGCCTCTACCAGCCTACAGAGCCCACAGAGTAGATCTCACCAGGCAGCCTGAGCCTGAAAGTGCCGTGGAGCCTCCTGCTGGTTCACCCTCACTACGGTGGCAGCTGCACGGGAGCACCTGGGCTCACTCATTAAGCAAGAAGACATTGGCTTGATACTGACACTCCAACCCCAGCCTGGGCGAGCCTGGCTGAAAGGCCCCTTCCTTCTGGTCAGACTGTGGGGAGACGCGGCGGAGCATACACACTCTACTGCCTTCCTCATGCTTCAGCTGTGCTTCCTTCTTAACAGAGGGAGCCGCTCATGGATTTGGCCAAAGCCTTCCCGAGGGCTGTAGGTTTGACAGGCTGGGTGTGTAGGGGCCACCGTGCTAGAGAGAGAGACTGGTGTGTCAGAAGGCAGCCACCTGGCCAGAGGGGGGTCAACCCCCTTGGTAACCTCCTTCCCCCAGCTGGACACAGAGCCCTGCACTCTCCACATGTGACTGCTCCCCTCAGAGCTGCCACCAGAAGAGGGGTTCTAACCCTGTGGGTGGGGACATTGTGTTACTTTACAGTGGGCCATGGCTCCCTCTGACATCTCCAAATCAGAGGCAGTAGAGAGAAGATGAGAAATTCCCTGCGCCTCTAGTCCTAGCTACTTGAGAGGCTGAGGCAAGAAGGTCACTTGAGCCCAGGAGTTCAAGGCTGCAGTGAGCTATGATTACATCAACGCATTCCAGCCTGAGTGACAGAGTGAGACCCAATCTCAAAAACAACAATAATAAGTTAAACATAAATCTAACTACCACCTTATTGGCCAGGTGCGGTGGCTCACACCTGTAATCCCAGCAATTTGGGAGGCTGAGGTGGGTGGATCACGAGGTCAGGAGATGGAGACCATCATGGCTAACACAGTGAAACCCAGACTCTACTAAAAATACAAAAAAATTAGCCAGGCATGGTGGCGGGCGCCTGTAGTCCCAGCTACTCAGGAAGCTGAGGCAGGAGAATTGCGTGAACCCGAGAGGCGGAGCTTGCTGTGAGCTGAGATGGCGCCACTGCACTCCAGCCTGGGCGACAGAGCGAGATGCCATCTCAAAAAAAATAAATATGTAAGCATTCCACATTATTGACCAATTCCACTCCTAGGTATAGACACAAAGAATTAAAAGCAGACACTCAAGACACTGGTAAACCAATGTTGATAGCAGCATTACTCACAACAGTCAAGAGATGAAAGCAACCTGATTGCCCACTGATGAAGGGATAACATGTGGCTTACATATATAATGGAATAGCATTGAGCCTTTAAAAGAAAATTTTGACACATGCGGATGAACCCCAAACACCTAACAAGTTCAATAACCCAGTCACAAAAGGACAAATACTGTATGATTCCCCTTATAGGAGACACCTTGAGTAGTCAAATTCTGAGACAAAAGTAGAATGGTGGTTGCTTGGGGACAGAAGGAGTTAGTGTTTCATGGATACGGAGTTTCAGTTGGAGAAAGGGCAAAAGTTGTAGAGATGGATGGTGGTGACGGCTGGGCAATAATGTGAATATACTTAATGCCAATGAACTGTACACATAAAAATGATTAAAATGGCAAGTTTTACGGTATGTATATTTTACCACAATATTTAAATTTTTTTAATTACATTTTTTAAAATTGTTACCAAAAAATACAAATAATCCATCCAAGTTATTTAGAAAAGGAGCGTCAGATCAAGCTTTCCAAAGTGCCAAAACTCAGAAGATTACCTGGTTGCTTGCCCCACGCCCAGGTCTCCAGAATTGACTTGGCCCTATATACAGGTGCAGGAGTTTCGTCTTCATCTTTTTTCTCTTTGTCATTCAGATCTTCTTTCTTTGTTTCACTTGGTTCGACACTATCATCTGCAGAATTAAAAAATTTTTTAATCTGTCACCACTTTTCAGAATGTCACACCATTAGTCTCTGCAAATGTCCCTCCCCGAAAAGTTACAACACACATCATTAACTGAATGGCATGCCGTGTCCCCCACCCCAGGGCTGTGAGCATGTGTGACTAATAAACTGCTATTTCATCTGCCCAGTGTCGGTGTCCTACGTTCAGCCATCCCATATTCCTAGGGCAGGAATCTTCTAGGGTTATAAACAGAACTTTAATCAACCTCTCCTTGGTTATTTTACTGGTTCCATGATACAGCTTTTTCTGTGCAAAAGATCAGAACAGAAACTTCACAGAGGATACAAGAGTGGCAAAGAAGAACATGATATTCAGCATTCTTAGCCATTACGGAAGTGCAAATTAAAACCACAATGAGATCCCACTAGACTTGTTAGAATGGCTCAACTAAAAAACACTGATAACACCAAGTGCTAACAAAGGCACAGAGCAACAGAAACGTGACAGATTGCCAGTGGGAATGCAAACTAAAACAGCCACTTCGGAAAACAGTTCAGCACATGACCCAACTTTCACACTACTAGGTCTTTATCCTAGGGAAATGGAAACGATATTCACATAAAATCTGTATAGAAATGCTCACAGCAGGATTACAATTGGGAAAGAAAAATGGAAACAACCACAGGGTCCTACAATGGCAGAATGGATAAACACCATGTGGTACATCCAAATGATGAAATACTAATCAGCAATAAAAACAACTATTAATACACAGAACAGCAGATAAATCTCAAACATATAACTGGGAGTAAATGAAGATGGTTTCAAAACGTTACTTAAAATATGGTTCCACTTACATGACATTCTCAAAAAGAATACCCTATACTGATGGAGAACAGATCCGTGGTTGCCAGGGTATGAGACCAGGGAACACGTGATAAAAAGGAGCAGCACAAGGGAGCTTTTGGGGTGAAGAAAATTCTCCATCCTGATGATGATGGGGGTTACATGAATCTATAGAGGTCAAAATTTACTGAACTACATACCACAATAAAATAAATTTCATATAAGTTTTTTAATAAAAATATGTTGGCTGGGTGGGTGCGGTGGCTCACACCTGTAATCCCAGCACTTTGGGAGGCAGAGGCAGGTGGATCACAAGGTCAGGAGTTCGACACCAGCCTGGCCAACATGGTGAAACCCTGTCTCTACTAAAAATACAAAAATTACCCAGGCTTGGTGGCACGTGCCTATAATCCCAGCTACTTGGGAGGCTGAGGCAGGAGAATGGCTTGAACCTGGAAGGCGGAGGTTGCAGTGAGCCGAGATCACACGATCACACCATTGCACTCCAGCCTGGACCACCGAGTGAGACTTCATCTCAGGAAAAAAAAAAAAAAAAAAAAAAGAAGGAAAATATCTAGGTCCAGGGAGGACAGCTGGAATACAGTCTGGTGGAATCATGTCAGAGCAGGGAGCTGGGTCTGGAGGGCTGGAGTAGGGTGCGGCCCCACTCTAGGAAGGAACTAGGAAAGGCATCCTGGGTGAAGCAAGAGCAGAGTCCCGTTCTGCAACAGGTGAGCATTTATCCTGATCTGAGAAACTACATGCAAATTTAATACGTCTCACTTAGCCTCTTATTTTCCTTAACAACATGGAAAATGAGAGGACAAACAATTCAGAAGGTTAAGACATGAAATACATTTAATTCAGAAATCATACACAGAAAGGTAGGAAATGAATGGGGGAAAAAAGCAGCTAATGGAAAGTGAAAATGGGCCAGATGCGGTGGCTCACGCCTGTAATCCCACCACGTTGGGAGGCCGAGGTGGGCGGATCACTTGAGGTCAGGAGTTTGAGACCGGCCTGGCCAACATGGTGAAACCCGATCTCTACTAAAAAGATCAAAATTGGCCCGGCATGGTGGCAGCCACCTGTAATCCCAGCAGCTCGAGAGGCTGAGGCAGGAGAATTGCTTGAACCTGGGAGGCAGAGGTTGCAGTGAGCTGGAATCTCGCCACTGGACTCCAGCCTGTACAACAGAGTAGGACTCTGTCTCAAAAAAAAAAAAAAAAAAAAAAAAAAATGAAAATAACCTAACATGTACTATGCAAAGCATCTGGCCTAACAACAATATATTACCCTTTTAAATCTTTACAAACAACCTTGAAGGAGGCAGGCTTTGTTGTCTCCAGTTTACCAAGGTAGATAGACATCTTGGGTCACAGAATACACAGCAGAACCCAGCCAGGAACACAGCTCAGGTGAGAACACAGGTGCTGGCTCTAAAGGCCAGACTCTGCCCTATGTGTGTGTATGTGTGTGTGTGTTTGGGGTCACTAACCACAGCCCAGGAGCCAAACCCAGCCCACAGCCTCTTTGTGTATGGTCTGAACGCAGAGAAAGTATTTTATTTTTGTTGTTGTTTTGAGACAGAGTCTTGGCTCATCACAACCTCTGCCTCCCAGGCTCAAGCGATTCTCCCAGGTTCAAGTGATTCTCCTGCCTCAGCCTCCGAGGAGCTGGGATTACAGGCGGGCATCACCATGCCCGGCTAATTTTTTGTTTTTAGTAGAGATGGGGTTTCACCATGTTGGCCAGGCTGGTCTCGAACTCCTGACCTCAGGTGATCCGCCTGCCTCAGCTTCTAAAAGTGCTGGGATTACAGGTGTGAGCCACCACGCCCGGCCACTGTATTTTATATTTTTTAATAACTGAAAAACAATAAAAAGAAAAACAGTATTTTGTGACTTGCAAACATTCTGTGGACTTCATCTTTTGGTGTCCATAAATACACTTTACAGAATGAACGTCCCCTGCCCGCTGACGTGGTATTGTCTGTGGCTACTTTGGCACTAAATCTGCAAGGTCTCATGGCTATGACAGAGACCATAGGGTCCATTGAGACCTTAAAATATTTACTATCTGGCCCTTTAGAGAAAGTAGGCCACCCCTACCCTACAGCTGGCTATAAATTTTACACATTAAAAAAATGCAACATTCTTAATTTTAAACTCAGTACACTGGAACACTGCTCATCTCCCTTCTTCAAGATGAAAAGCTTCGACAGTCACCAGGAAGCAGACAAGAACCCTAAGTACACCTCAAGAGTTATTCTCAGGAGCATAAATTACAACACTTTACAATAGCAAAAGCAGGATGAAGTCACTGGAGGCCACGAAAACAACCAAGAGTAATTAGCACCACCAGCTCAAAGACCACACCACATCAACTTCAAAGTTGTCTACTCTTCCTTTCACTACTGTAGGGTTCAAAGTATACATAGAGAAGATCGAACACATACTACCCAAACACATTGCTTATGGAATGCTGGAGAGAAGGGAAGCGAGACCTCCCATTGGCCAGGTGTGGTGGCTCACGCCTGTAATCCCAGCACTTTGAGAGGCCAATGTGGGAGGATCACTTGCACCCAGGAGATCAAGACCAGCCTGGCCAACACAGCAAAACCCCATCTCTACTAAAAATACAAAATACGGCTAGGCATGGTAGCTCACATCTGTAATCCTAGCACTTTGGGAAGCCGAGGTGAGGGGATCACTTGAGGTCAGGAGTTCCAGAGCAGCCTGGCCAACATAGTGATACCCCATCTCTACTAAAAATGTGGCTGACACCTGTAATCCCAGCACTTTGGGAGACTGAGGCGGGTGGATCACAAGGTCAGGAATTCGAGACCAGCCTGACCAACATGGTGAAACCTCGTCTCTACTAAAAATTCAAAAATTAGCCGGGCATGCTGGCGTGCACCTGTAATACCAGCTACTCAGGAGGCTGAGGCAGAGGATCGCTTGAACCTGAAAGGCGGAGGGTAGTGGTGGCGGGCACCTGTAATGCCAGCTACTTGGGAGGCTGAGGCAGGAGAACTGCTTGAACCCGGGAGGCAGAGGTTGCAGTGAGCCAAGATCACGCCACTGCACTCCAGCCTGGGCAACAGAGCAAGACCCTGTCTCAGAAAGTAAAATAAAAAATTCATAGTCTTAATAATGGAAAACAAAAACATTTACTGAATGTCAAAACGTCTTCCTAAAAACCCCAATCAGTTGGGTTCTACATAAAGAACAATTAGGCTCTGCTTTCTAACCATGATTTTTAAAAGAACAAAGGACAAAAAAAGTCATCAAATGTGGTCCAGGCACAGTGGTTCACACCTGTAATCCCAGCACTTTGGGAGGCCAAGGAGGGTGGATCATGAGGTCAGGAGTTCAAGACTAGCCTGGCCAATATGGTGAAACTCTGTGTCTACTAAAAATACAAAAATTAGCTGGCCATGGTGGAGGGCACCTGTAAACCTAGCTACTCTGGAGGCTAAGGCAGAGAACTGCTTGAACCCAGGAGGCGGAGGTTGCAGTGAGCCAAGATCATGCCACTGCACTCCAGCCTGAGAGACAGAGCAAGAGTCCCTCTCAAGAGGAAAAAACAAAAACAAAAATTCATGAAATGTAATAAATAAAATATACACTTTGGATTTTTCCATGTACTTAGCTTTTCTTAGAGCATCTTTTAGAATTATTGTTTCACAAAAAACACTTTGGGAAACGTTTTAATTTATTAACAAATACTGGAGGGCTAGGAAGAAGAGGTTAAAACTTTTCAAAATATACAGAATGAATTACTGATACGTGTAAAAAAAAAAATAAAAAAAGTTGCTGACTCCTGTCATGGAAGGCACTGTCATATGGACACTCCTAGCCTCAGCATCCGGAGGTCCAGAAAGGGAAAATTTCAAGTCAGAGAGAATTCTATACATACCATTTATTTGGAACCTTCAGCCCTTAAGATCCCAACATTATGACCTCAGTTTCAACACAATTGTCCTTAGTCCTTGTATTGGTTACAAATACAAAACAAACAGCTCAACTGAACTCTTTTCTCTCCAGAAACACAAACACAAGACCTCATAAAAGGAGTGAGTTTCTAGCGGCCATAATTACTGCAACTTACTTCTCCAATTTTCCCCTCCACAGTTAACTCAACAGCTCAAAAACTATCAGTAACAAACAACAGTCACCATGATATGGTTAGGAGTGCAGCAGATTTCTCAACCAGTAATAATAATTAAGAAAAAAATTTTGCCTATTAATAAATCTTGTTTCCTGCACTTGCAAGAAACTAATTAAAAGGCAGCCCTGCACGATCTACAAAAACAGCCATAAAGACTGTTACATTTTAAGTTACAGGAAACAAACCTGCTCCTCTAATATAGCAAGATACAACTGACTTCCCCTTACACACCCTAAAAAAAAGCCTTACACGAGAAATTTAAACATGGAAGCAGAAATACACCAAGAAAAAGACATGTCAAACCCCACCTGTATATCTGTTTTCAACCATTCGGTGTCAAGGCGAGCCTGGGCAGCCAAACACAAAGATTCAGAGGGCATCTTTTCTCCAGCTTCCTCCCAGGTCTCAGGCCTGCAAGTAAACATACATGTTGAAGACCTAACGCTTTTTAATATTTTACAAAGACACTCCCGAAAGGTTTAATGCAGAAAAAAAAGGGAGACAGAGAACAAAAAGATGGGAGAGAAGAGCTGGGGGGACGGGAGTGAAGTGGAGAGAGGGAAAGAGGAAACAGATGGAGGGAGAGGGAGGTGGGGAAGGGAAAGCCTCCTTCCAAGGTAGGCAGGGTGTGCTGGTTTCTCCGGAGGCCAAATCACAATGTCATCCCCCTGCCCTCAAATCCAAAAGGTACACACACACATGACAGAAAGCCCATCGTTTTTTGTTTTGTTTTGAGATGGAGTCTCCCTCTGTCACCCAGGCTTGAGTGCAGTGGCGGAATCTCAGCTCACTGCAAGCTCCACCTCCCGAGTTCACACCATTGTCCTGCCTCAGCCTCCCGAGTAGCTGGGACTGCAGGCGCCCGCCACCACGCCCAGCTAATTTTTTTGTATTTTTAGTAGAGACAGCGTTTCGCCGTGTTAGCCAGGATGATCTCGATATCCTGACCTCGTGATCCGCCCACCTCGGCCTCCCAAAGTGCTGGGATTACAGGCTTGAGCCACCGCGCCTGGCCAAGAAGCCCACAGTTTTAACGACAAATGACAGCAGCATGAATCTGCCGCTTTACCCTACAGCAGGGCGCCTGCGTGAAACAAATTACTCAAAAGGATCACCTGCAGAAAAACCCACAGCCACCACCACTTAGAGATGGAGAGAGACCCGAGGCTGCGCCACGGGCGGTCCGCGCAGGCCCCCGTTAGGCCGCCCGCCAACCCCGCGCCCGCACCTCCTCCGACGCTGGCAGCCCCGGTGCCCCAGGCCGGGACCTGACGCGCAGGCCCCAGGTGCCTCGCCCCGCTGGCTTGCGGACACAGCCTCCTAGCAGCCGCTGGCTCAGGCGGCGCCAGGGATCCTGACGCCTCTCGCGACCCCCGCCACCGGCGCTTATGGCCAATCTCAAGGCGGCTCCCTGGGCGCAGCCAATGGGGAAGAGGAGCGCTTCGCCGCTCCTCCGGACTCTCCCGCTTCCTGCAATGCGGTTTATCTTCCTACTTGGAGCCCACCGGCTGAGGCCAGGGGGCAACCGCAGGCGCCGGAAGGCGGGATTTCCGCGGCACGCACGCACAGCCGCACTCCTACGGAAGTCAGTTTCTCACCACGTGAATTATTTGAACTTAGCACCACTAAACGTGGAGCAATCAGGTACAGAGTGCTTTCAGACCTCATGTAATAGAAATCACTGACACCATCTATTTTTTTTTTTGAGACAGAGTCTCATTGCGTCGCCGAGACTGGAGTGCAGTGGCATGGTATCGGCTCACTACAACCTCCACCTCCCGGGTTTAGGTGCCTCAGCCTTCCGAGTAGCTGGGATTACAGGCATCTGTCACCACACCCGGCTAATTTTTGTATTTTCAGTAGTGACGGGGTTTCATCGTGTTGGCCAGGCTGGTCACGAACTCCTGACCTCTGGTGATCTGCCCGCCTCAGCCTCCTAAAGTTCTGGGATTACAGCTGTGAGCCACCGTGCCCGGCCTATTTCATATTTTAAATATTAGAAAAGTAGAACTTGGCCAGGTGTGTTGGCTCACACCTGTAGTCTTGGCACTTTGGGAGGCTAAAGTGGGAGGTTCGCTTGAGCCCGGGAGTTCAAGACCAGCCTGGGCAACATAACAAGACCCTGTCTATTCAAAAAATAAAATTAGCCAGGTGAGGTGGCACGTGCCTGTGGTCCCAGCTACTCGGGAGGCTGAGGCAGGAGAATCGCTTGAACCCCAGAGGCGGAGGTTGCAGTGTGCCGAGATCGTGCTATCCAGTCTGGGAGGCAGAGCCAGACTCCGTCTCAAAATAAGAATAAGGAGGAGAGGGAGAGGGAGAGGGAGACGGAGAGGGAGAGGGAGACGGAGAGGCAGAGGCAGAGGGAGAGGGAGAGGGAGAAAGAAGAAGAAGAAGAAGAAGAAGAAGAGGAAGAGGAAGAGGAGGAGGAGGAGAAGAAGAAGAGGAAGAATAAGAGGAGGAGGAGGAGGAAGAGGAAGAAGAAGAAGAAGAAGAAAGAAGAAGAAGAAGGAAGAAGAAGGAGAAGGAGAAGAAGAAGAAAAGAAGAAGCTGCTTGGGTGGTGGAGGGCCACCCCCGGGCATTGGCCACCTGTGGAGTGACCTGGCTCTTGGCTCCCTGGCAGCCAGCTTCTGGGTCAGGCATCTTCGTTGGTGACTGCCCCTTCAGCTCTCCTGGTGTGGCCGTGAGTGGTGTGGCACTGCCGTGACCCATCTTTTTGTTTTGAAGATGCATCCTGACTTACCTCCACACTTGCACACTCAAGAATGCAACATCGTGATTAACTTGCTAAAAGAATATCACAAAAATCATAGCATTCGAAAATTTTTTGGTCATTGCAATGATCTTGATCAGGCAATGAGAAAATAAATGCTTGAAGAATGAGTACATGGAAAAGAGGACCAAGAGCAGAGAGTATGGCAATTTGATGCAAAAGAGACTTTTTTTTTTTTTTTGAGACGGAGTCTTGCTCTTTCACCAGAGCAAGTGCAGTGGCTCAATCTTGGCCCACTGCAACCTCCGTCTCCTGGGTTCAAGCAATTCTCCTGCCTCAGCCTCCCACGTAGCTGGGACAACAGGCCTGTGCCACCACACCCAGGTAATTTTTGTATTTTTAGTAGAGACAGAGTTTCACCATGTTGGCCATGGCCAGGATGGTCTCGATCTCTTGACCTTGTGATCTGCCTGCCTCAGCCTCCCAAAGTGCTGGAATTACAGGTGTGAGTTGCTGTGTCCAGCCGCAAAAGAGACTTTTTAATTCTCCAGAGGAATCTGAAAAATAAATTGCATTTTCACTGGATGCCTTGGCTGAGAGAAGACCAAAAGGCTATGGGTTGGCCCGGGCATGGTGGCTCACACCTGTAATCCCAGCACTTTCGGATGCCAAGGTGAGTGGATCACCGAGGTCAGGAGTTCAAGACCAGCCTGACCAATATGGTGGCAGACGTGGTGGCATGGGCCTGTAGTCCCAGCTACTCGCAGGCTGAGGCAGGAGAATCTCTTGAACCCAGGAGGCAGAGGTTGCAATGAGCCGAGATCACGCACTGCACTCCAGCCTGGGTGACAGAGCGAGACTCTGTCTCAAAAGAAAAAAAAAAAAGAAAAACAGAAAACGCAAAACGCAGAGTGCATAGCACATGGTAGATACTGACACTGCACTGAGTCTCTTACACACATCGTCTCATTTTACTCTCACAAAACCCCAGGAGTTTGGTATCTTTATTCTAATTTTTGAGAAACTGAGGCTCAAAAATATTAGGGATATGTCCAAGGTCACACAATGAGTAATTTGTAGATCTGAAATGCAGACAGATCTCTCATTCTGAGCCAAGTGCTTCAACAGCACAGAAGGTAGAGAAACAAAAGTTCCCTGTGGAGTTGTGGGATGCTTATTGAAGGTAGCTCATTTGGTATGGAAACCAAAACACAAATGTGCATTAGCGGAAGTCAAGGAGGAAGGAGGAGGGAGGGGAGTAGAGAATTTCATTGCAGGCTGAAGGAAGAGAATGCTAAAGATATTAATTTGTGAAAAAAAAAAAAAACTTGGCAGTTTTAGTAATTTACTGGTATGAGGAGAAATAAAGTTAAGAGTATGAATGGTGTGGCGGCAGATCATATGAGAGGTATAGTGAAAATTTACAGAATCTGCTGACCCCAACGTCAACAAAATCAGTGGGGCCCAACTCTGTACCTGCCATGACCAAGTTTTAAATTTTTCTGTAGATAGGCTGTTCCTTCCAAAGCTTAGAGATTAAGCATATATATATATATATATATATACATAATTTTTTTTTTTTGAGACGGAGTCTCGCTCTGTCGTCCCAGGCTAGAGTGCAATGGCATGATCTTGGCTCACTACAGCTTCCGCCTCCGGGATTCAAGCGATTCTCCTGCGTCAGCCTCCTGAGTAGCTGGGATTACAGGCACGTGCCACCATGCCTAGCTGATTTTTGTATTTTTAGTAGAGATGGGATTTCATCTTGTTGGTCAGGCTGGTCTTGAACTCCTGACCTCGTGATCTGCCTGCCTCAGAATCCCAAAGTGCTGGAGTTACAGGCGTGAGCCACTGTGCCCGGCCACATTTATATTTTTTTAATTGAAGCCACTAGACCTCAGCATGTGGTCTAAACAAAGGCTCTTCTCCTAGTTCAGTCCATTTTCCATGATATCAGGTTCTCCAAAGGATGAACCCAAGAGGTTCTTGTTAGCTGAAGACAAAGTGAAAGGCTGACAATGACATGCAAATTTAGTAGAGCAAAGAATACACATTTATAGTAGAATAATATAAGAATTTTTTCCTTTCTACCATACAAAAAAAATAATGCTTACAATGCAGGTACATTAATTTTATATTAAAAATATACTTAGGTTGACCTCTGATGTTTTGCTTTTGCACCTGCCGTAAGCCTTAAGGCATTTGGCATTCTCATTTTCACAAACCTAATTTAGTAGACTAAATAGCTATGCTAAGCATTTCACTTGCTTTCTATTATTCTTTGGCTGTAGACTATCACATAATGTGAGTGTTATTGATTTTATACATGTTAATTTCTCCTACCATGTACTATAGCAAGCTATACCTTTAGCATTTTTTTTTTTTAGGTTTTTGGCTTATAGGAAGGTATCTCCTAAACCATAAAACTTATCCCATATTATTTTCTTTTTTTCACAATTTATTTATTGAGCTTTGCTGTATGTAGCTTTTTGAAGTAGATTTTATAGTTTAGAATTGTTGCTTTCCTTTTTTAATCTTTCACTCTTCATTTTTATTGAGCTATGAATTAACTATTGTAGCGGTAAAACCATTTGTAATAGTCATAGTTTGATTGAGTGTACATAAATAAATAAAACCCCTATGTTAAACTGGGAAGTGACATCAGCCTCTTTTTATTTTTTCATTTAAGTTCTGAAAACACATGGAGATGAGTGTCCCTCGTTTCTACCTTAAATGGGTTGTTACAACTGAAGGTAATAGGGGCAGTCAGCACAAAACAAATGGGCAGCTACACACAAAGAACATTTTAAAGATAAAACATGGGTATTTAGAAGGTTGCTTCCATATGTGCTATGAGTTATGTATGAGTATCAAGGAGAGAAGACAGTAACAACTACCTGGTAATCATTTATGCTCTTATGGAGAGCGAGCAGTGACTCCATAATGTCCCCAAAATGAGGCAACAGTCTGTCACTGTAGCAAATGATGAGAGGGCCCTTGAGCTAGCAGGCTGGGGCACATTCTACAACCCCTTTCCTTTGTCCTGTAGGAAATTCAACTTTCACATATGAGAAATACTAAAGGAATTTTCTCAGCATTCACATAAAAATACTCTAAGAATAAAGATAAAAAAGGAATATATCAACTCTTGTAATCACTAGAAACATGTTGCTACAAAACAGATGAAAAAAGGAATGAACACTTAACATTCCAACATAAATTTTAAGGGTGTAATAAAACATAAAGAGACCATGAAGTGAAATGCAAGAGCATGGGGAAGAGATAGCCAGAAAGTGCAATAGAAACTGGCAGAATCCATGAAAGAAATAGGATTTAAAAACAAAATCATTGTAGAGAAAAAAAAACTAAATTGTAAAGAGAACAAGGGAGACTGAACCCCAAATAATGTAAGGGTTGTAAAGGGTGTAAGTGAGAGAAGAATATGTAGTAAGTCCTCTCCCCGTCCAAAAATCCAAAAACTGTAAAACATAGAATTAGAAAAAAGTTATTGCCTATATTAAGCCAAGATAGATCATCATAAGCCCATTTATTTACATTACTGTGTAGTATATGCTTATATATGTTATTAGAATGTTCAATGCCAAGATATATCTGTGTATGGGACTAGGACTTTAAAGATTAAGAAAGCATTATTTGGGGGCTTAAGCAAAAATAGTGAACTTAGAGAAAAAGAAAATCATTTTGGCATCAGAGTTTTCCACAGCAAAAGTTAACACCAGAAAATGGGGGGAAATATTGAGAAAGAAGAGAAGGGAGAAGCAAATGGTTATCCTTATCCTTGCAAGATATCTATCAGCTATAAAGTGTACAGTTATAAGCACCCATAATTGCAGGGAACACTGTTTACATATTCCCTTATTAACACTTATTAAGAGATTTACCACAGAACAAAGTTCTGTGTTTTGAGTAGGTAAAATACTACCAGTAAGGCAAGAGGTAAGCATTCAATGCGTCATATATAGATTTAAGGGATACATGGTGTAGAAAATGTAAAAAGATATTTTACTGATGATTCTGATAATGTACAAATGATTCAACTGTAACAACTAGGAGGAAAGAGTAAAAGAAAGGGGAAAGTAGGAATTAGCTCCCTGATTGCCTCATCTATAATAGCTGAGAGTAGTGGGTTCATTTTAAATCTCAAAATTTGCCCATAATAGTATGAAAACATTAAGTGGCAAAAAGGCAAATATTAAGAAATATCCTGCCACAAAAATCAAATAGTTCAGGAGAAGTTGAGAAAGTGAAAATAGCATAGAGTCTAATTTAATTGCCACTCATTGTGGGGAACCATTAGGTATTATCTAAATAAATGGAGAAAAATATAAATGCAGGTAAAATTACAAAAATAACAACCAGAAAACTACATCTTTCTTATCAATAAAAATAAATCATCATTTAACAATATAAAATATTTAATAATAATAAATACTAAATTTTACAATACATATACAAGAAATACACCAAAATCAAATAGAGCCAAATTTTTTTTAAATAAAATGGTCAACAAATACCAAACAGACAAATGCTAACAAATGAATTATCAACCTATTTTTATTGTCTTCTCCTTGCTTATTTTTTTAAATTCCTTTTTAAAATTTTGTTTAGATACTTTAAAATTACTCTTTTTATATTATTTTCTCTAATAATTCTAACCTTCTGGTTTTGTTTCTCAACATTTCTGCTGTTTCTATCACAATATCTATTTTCCTTGAGTGTTTTCTTGTTGGTGGTGTTCTTTTCTGGTTTTTGTTTGTTTTGTTTGTTTGTTTTGGTTTTGATTGAAAGAAATACAACAATGGAAGCTCACACTACTGCAGGGTGCTTCTCCAGATTTTGCCTATCACTCATAATTCTACTTTTATTTACTTTTCAGATTCCTCAGTTAGTTGCTTATTGTACTTTTCATAGTTTTAGTTGTAATCAACATGTAAGATAGGCTACAGGGAGCTTATCCTGCCACAAAATACCAGAAATCCATCTTTTTTTGGTTTCTTAAAAAAAGTCATTTTGAACTTGTAATTTGTAGGAAGGAACGCAGATTTAGAGGCATACATTTTCCATGACATGGACAAATCATTTAACAATGTTAAGTCTCTATTTCAGCAAATACAGAAAAGATATGATTCACAGGACAAGAAAACTGACAGTTAAGAACTTACATGCAAAGGCATTTCAACAAATAATATAATCCATCCTACTCCTAAGAGAGGAAAATTTGTATTAATGAAACTTCTACCAGGTATCACTTTCACCTCAGTTAATCCACAAACATGAAGTCAGCAACATTTTGTGATAAACCATATCCAAACAGTTGATTGATGAAATGTCATTAATAGAACAGCAGTTATCCATGATTCAGTAAAAATTCATCAATCACCCATACAACAAACTTAATTCCATCTTATACTAAGCACATACACTACAGTGAAAACTGTCAACTTCTGATGATCTAAAAATGTCTCTTCTATGACCATGTGATCACACTGAAATAAAGAATACAGAAAATTCATAGATGGTCAGTTAAAAAAAAGCTTCCGTGAAGCAATAAACTTTCCTTAAAAATGCTAAAATAATAACATAGACTGCATAATATAACACTCATTTTACTGACATAATCTGTTGGGGCATTTTGTGAATCAAATACTTTCTTTTATATATACTTATAAATGTCATACCAGAATTACACATTTTCTAATGAAATATAAAAGCATAAAAGAATCGTATTCATAAGTTGATTTAATCATTGTCTCGAGTTCAATATTACAAACAAGTGTAATTATGGTACAAGTACAAAACAAATGGTGATTAAAGCATGTCAGAAAACAGATGTTCCTGCATACAGATGGACAATCCAATTAATACTTCTCAAATAGAAAACAGCTATTTACTCCTTACTAATGAATGATATAATTATTTATCATTAATGCAGCTTGGTTTTTTAATGTCTCCATGAAGAGCTTAAATATAATTTTCCTAAAGATGCATTTGGGCCAGGCGCCGAGGCTCAGGCCTGTAATCCCAGCACTTTGGAAGGCCAAGGCAGGCGGATCACGAGGTCAGGAGATCGAGACCATCCTGGCTAACATGGTGAAAACCCGTCTCTACTAAAAGTACAAAAAAATTAGCTAGGCGTGGTGGCGGGCGCTTGTAGTCCCAGCTATTCGGGAGGCTGAGGCAGGAGAATGGCGGGAACCTGGGAGGCGGAGCTTGCAGTGGGCTGAGATCGCGCCACTGCACTCCAGCCTGGGCGACAGAGCAAGACTCCATCTCAAAAAAATAAATAAAAATAAATAAATAAATACATAAATAAATAAATAAGAAAAAAGATGTATTTGGATGGTTAATGTATTTTTAATGTATAATTATCTATTGTAGTTAAAAGATGATCAAATGTGCTGATTCACTCAGTGTCTATGTTTCAAATGCAGGACTTAAGGAACAATTTGCCATAAGCCACCAACTTATTGTTTTCTTTTAAATTATATATCTAACACGCATACACACACACAATATATATATATACAAAACATTAATAATGATGAAAATGTTGAGAATCATGAAGAATGGTATATATGTAATACATATGTTTTTTTCACAAGAGTTTTCCAACTACTCTACTTTTTTTTTTTAGTAGAATACATTAGATACTACAAAAGAAATGAAAATAAAATGATGTGGAATAGCAGGTAAGAGAGCTAAGAATCAGGCTAGCTACAAATAGAGCATTTGTAAATGAAAATTGAGATGCCATGGTGTGATGGCAGGCTCTCCTCCTGATAACACGAAGCTCATCCCAGCAACGGTGTTAGGCTTGCCTCGCTAGCATCAGGTAACATGATCATATCTCTATAGTTAGATTTTGAGAGATGGAAGAAAATCAGGATTCCTCGGCTTATAGGTGGCAAGAAGAACTTGAAAAGTTTTGATGGAAAGATCCAAAAATTATTCGTGGATTTGGAAAACAAAACAAAACAGATTCCCAGAGGAGGAAATAATGGTTTAGCCTTAAGAAAAAGGACTGAAGAGAGAGTAATGTACAATAAGTACCTTATATATCTCCATCTCAGTTTTATATGCTATATATACATTTTATATGCACAAATTTTTATGACATATATACACACTATATATATATATATATATATACACACACACAATATGAATAATTTATATATAAATATAAAGATGGGGGTAAAAACCCCCACCTTTATTTTGAGACTGACTACATGTTACATTAAACCGGAAAATAGTGGAATCTCTTCTTTCCATTTGTGTTGAAAAATAGGACAAATTCCCATTTATCTGATGTTGACATGGATATGTCCTGGAGCAATAGAAGGGCAGGGGTGGCCCTTTACATGCTCTCCACCTCTCTCAACCTATAATTCTCTGGTTATACATTCCTTTTATTAGAACAAGTCAATAAAATTGTCCATAAACAAAAGCAAGCTTTCCTCCCTGAATAGTTTGGCTCAAAGTATTGAGAAATGGAACTGCAAACCCAATTTTCCTCTTGGTTCCTTTTTGGAAATAAAAAAAAAAAAATCAATATCAAGAAGAGAGGTCTTTTGACCAGTGAAAAACACCTCAATTAATTGCATGTGAAAAACAGCTTTTTTTTTTTTTTTTTTTTTTTTTTTTGCTATCAGCTGCTAGTGACCATCCTGAAATGCCTGCCTGTCATTTGGCCCTGGGAATATTAGCACGTGACAGTGGAACTTCAGCCCCTCTGTTTTCCCCAATATGGAAGCACACAGAAATCACTTCTCCAGGTCAGAGGAAAAACGGAAAATGAAACTTATATTAGTGGAGTCAATTCCGACTTTATGAAGCGTCTACAGGTCTATTTCCTGGGCTAGTGCAAGGAAGTGTTCCCATCTGAACTTGACACATGAAAAAATTAAGGCACAGAGAATGAAAGAGATTATGTATGGGAACACGTAGCTTTCCACCTCCAAAACTTATACTCTTTACTGCTACCTAAATCTGCCATGCCGATTAATTACCACAGATCCTACAAAGCATATGGCACATTGATGACTAATCTGTGATTACTTTATGTTTTATGGAAAGTGCTGACGGCATTGATATCTGCTTTGCCATTTTACCGTATCAGCCAGGACATGTAGTCATTGCAATTTGTTACTGTAGCCTGATTCCCCCACCAAGCTATTGCCAGGTAACAGTTTATCCTTTGTAGATAAACTTACCTTCCTGTCTCCCCCAGAAAAATCCCTGATTTTACTAGGCTTGTTTAGCAAACTTCCTACTTTTAAAATGTAAGTGCTGAACCATTCATCATTGGTGTAAAGAACAGTTCTACAGGATGTGAAATTACATAATAATGTGTAGATTTCAAGCTTCAAGAGCAATCAGAAGGTTAACAAGAGAGCTTGTCAAGAAACTAGAACACAGATCAACATTTGAGGTATAAGAAAAACACACACTGGCCGGGCGCGGTGGCTCACGCCTGTAATCCCAGCACTTTGGGAGGCCGAGGCGGGTGGATCACGAGGTCAGGAGATCGAGACCATCCTAGCTAAAACTGTGAAACCCTGTCTCTACTAAAAATACAAAAAATTAGCTGGGCATGGTGGCAGGCACCTGTAGTCCCAGCTACTCGGGAGGCTGAGGCAGGAGAATGGCCTGAACCGGGGAGGCGGAGCTTGCAGTGAGCCAAGATCGTGCCACTGCACTCCAGCCTGGGCGACAGAGCGAGACGCCATCTCAAAAAAAAAAAAAAAGAAAAAGAAAAACACATATTACAAGGGTTAAGAGTCCCTAAAATAAGGTAACAATTAATCATTGTTATAGCATAGGTATGATTATAGAGATATAAGGATTATCATATAAATAATTCATTTTTTCTAAGAATTTTTGAATCATTTATATTGGTTTCATCAAGATTCTATTTTATATAGTTTCCCCTTTTCTGTTTTACCTCAGACAGCAAATTTTTTTAAGTTATTCTCAAAATTGATGACAATTAAAACCTCTTGTTCAATTAAAAATAAACTGTCTATAGACTAAGATTTATTCCAAGATCGTAGATATCAAAGAAAGCGTTGAAGTAAGTTTTCTGTTAATTAAAGTTTGGAGTTTTGATTTTTATCCTTAGACATTCTAAACTATGTATATTGTTTTGAAAAACATAGGAGTCAACAAAAGCCACTTTTCTCTAGAGTTTGTGGGAATTTTCATTAGAGTCTGTTGAAGTACAGAAATCTCGTTTGTTCTTCATCTGGGTCTCCAAGCGGTGGACAGTGAAAGCCAAAATAAAATGTGACTGATTGCACCCCTGCGCAACAGAGATAGCAGTACACTGCCACATGCATCCTATTGGTAAAAGCCCAGCGGCTGGATGAATAACATGCGGGCATGCAGGGAATAACTTGTTTTCTTAGATAAAGGAAGTTGACATAAATAAAGGATGCATTTAAAACCTCTAACCAATCTTAGGTGGGAAAATTTGAGGGCTGCATTTTTTCACAGTCTTGGTGAGATGATATACACAAAGGAGTAGCAAAATTCTCCAATATTTATCATTAGCTCAGGGTCAAACTGTCCTATTTTTATTCAAAATGAGGAAGAAAGAGATACTGGGATCTTGGAAAAGCATAGGGTGGAGAGTCGGAAAGAGAGAGGTTTTGTTTGGAGAAACTGTTATTAACATAATTTAAGATCTATTATTTTTCAGTAACTATTCTCCCCCATGGCAAATAGGATAGTTTAGATTCATTCTTTATGGTTAATTCTCTCTGCAGTTCTGAAAGGAGGTGTTATTATTCCCACTTCACAGGTGAGCCACCTGAGGTTTAGCTTGATTGAATGCCTTGCTCAAGGTCACCCAGCCAGGTCATGCCAGAGTCAGATTTTGGCCCAGGTCTTCCAGACTGCTAGCTCTGGGGACTTTCCTCCAGATCCCACAGTGTTGCACTTCAAGTGGGCATCTCCCAGCAATATAGAAAATTAAGGCTTATGATCTATAATTTCTTTAAATGGTAAGTTCTAGTATTATCTCCAAAGTTTATAACTTACTTCACTTAAGAATTCAAGACACTTCAATTGAATTTTAATAATTTAGAATTTATTGGGCAAGAACCAGATTGAATGGTTCAATTACTAGATGAAAAAATATCCAGTAGAATGAGTTTTATCATATATATTACAAGGACATATGAGTTATATTTTTTTATTTTTATTTATTTTTATTTTTTACTTTTTGAGATGGAGTCTCACTCTGTCACCCAAGCTGGATTGCAGTGGCAGTGGTGTGATCTCAGCTCACTGCAACCTCTACCTCCCAGGTTCAAGCAATTCTCCTGCCTTGGCCTCCCGAGTAGCTGGGACTACAGGCAGGCATCACCATGCCTGGCTAATTTTTGTATTTTTAGTAGACACGGGGTTTCACAGTGTTGGCCAGGCTGGCCTCAAACTCCTGACCTCGGGTGATCTGCCTGCCTCTGCCTCCCAATGTGCTGGGATTACAGGTGTAACCCACCGTGCCTGGCTGAATTATAATTATATCCAATGTATTATATAATATAGAACACATGATATTATATATATATATGTATATATATACATGCATATTCAAAAGGTATACATATCCTTTGTATAAAATATATCCTTTAAAAAATTATAAACAAAATCATTTCCTTTTTTATTAGTCTTATTAATAACATTTTAGAAAAGTACTTTCTACTATTTAAGAAGAACTATCATATGGTTTCTATGTGTTCACATTTGGGAATCATTTCTTACACTTTTTTCCTTCAGACTGGACATTTTCTCATTAACTCTTCTTCTTAAGTTACCTCCTTTAATCCTCAGAAGAGCTGGTGGGAGAACAGAGAAGGGCCAGTCGAAAATGATGCTTTCTAACTTGCAAATCCTGCTGAAGATAGCACATGTGATAAGCATGGCCCTGTGAAAGATTCTGGCAAAGGCTGGGATTTCTCATGCCCTGGAAGTTGGGGTGTGGGGAGGGTGGAGTTTATTAAAAATACAGATTTTGGCCGGGCATAGTGGCTTACGCCTGTAATCCCAGCTCTTCGGGAGGCCAAGGCAGATGGATCACTTGAGGTCAGGTGTTTAGCCTGGCCAACATGGCAAAAGCCTGTCTCTACCAAAAATACAAAAATTAGCTGGGCGTGGTGGCACACACCTTTAGTCCCAGCTACTTGGGAGGCCTGAGGCAGAAGAGTGGCTTGAATCCAGGAGGCGGAGGTTGTAGTGATCCAAGATCACGCCATTGCACTCCAGTCTGGGCAACAGAGCAAGACTCCATCTCAAAAAAAAAAAATTAAATAAAAATTAAAATTAAAATTAAAAAATTTAAAAAATACAAAAAAACTCAGTGTTATATATGATGCATACTTATAATTCAAAAAATAACTTTTATTCTCATTAAGAATAGCTCATGTTAATTATAGATATTATAAAAAAGACAAAAAGAATTATAGAAAAGAAATAATCACCTATATATACATCATTTTAAAAAACCTTCTAATATATTTGGTGGAAATGATCCCAATCTCAAGGTTTTTTTTTGCTGTTCTTAAATACACACATATTTTATTATATGGCTGTTAATTAATATATGTTAACCTGCTGTAACAAATACTCCCCCTTAGTGTCTTAAAAAGGAATCACATTATTGGAACCTCACACAACAATCTGAATGAAGGTAGGGGTTTCAGGTTGTCAAGGGGCTCTGTTCCACACAGTCTTTCAGGGATCCAGGCCATGAAGATCTTGTTATTCAACGTGAGTTTGTCAGACTTGCTCTATCCTTGGTATTTTCACCCTCTGTCTGGTTAGAAAGTGGAAAAGGAGAATGTAGAAGACAAAACTCAATCTCACTGCCCTGGACTAGGAGGGACATACATGCCTCTTGTTCTTATTCCATTTAAATGAACTCAGAGCCACAGCCACATTTCACTGCAAGACAAGTTGAGGAATGCTGGACACTCTGTCCCATCTACAAGTCTAGTTTGCTACTGAAAAGGGGATAAGGGCCGGCCGGGCACAGTGGCTCACACCTGTAATCCCAGCACTTTGGGAGGCCAAGGTGGGTGGATCACGAGGTCAGGAGTTTGAGGCCAGCCTGGCCAACATTCATCGTCTGTACTAAAAATACAAAAATTAGCTCAGTATGTTGGCAGGTGCCTGTAATCCTAGCTACTCGGGAGGCTGAGGCAGGAGAATTGTTTGAACCTGGGGGGTGGAGGTTGCAGTGAGCTGAGATCATCCTGTTGCATTCCAGCCTGGGTAACAGGGTGAGACTCCATCTCAAAAAAAAAAAAAAAAAGAAAAAGAAAAAGGAGTTGAGACCTGATGGATACAGCAAAATTTCCACCATTGGCAACTTTGGTCATATTTTCACTGTTGAGTAATGTTCTGTAACCTACAAAAACCAGTTCATTGATAGAAACATAACCAGTACAGTATAAATAAAAAACATTTTATTTTACCAGCATTTTTACCTCTCTCTGATGTATCTTCTTCTTTTCCATTATCACACTGACAGGTTCCTTTCCAGCTGACAGAGCTTTTAAGCCAGTTACAGATTTCAGGCACTAACAAATGGTCTCTTTTAAAATGGTGTTTTAAAGGCAAGACCAATCTAATATAAAACAAAACAGTCAATATCATATTCAATTTAAAGCTATGGGACCTTCCTACTTCTCTCTCTTTCCCCTTCACCTTGTGTAACTAAGTTTTGTCTGTTTTATTAGTCTCAAAAACAGCTTTTCTGTATTGATGAAAAAAGGTACCCTTTTACGTTTATTCATTTTGTTAATATCTGTTTCTGTTTTCATTAATTCCTACTGTTCACATTCTTAGTGATTGTTTTATTGCTCTTTTTCAATTCCTTAGCTTGAAAATCTATTTCATACTTTGCATACTCATTAATTTCTTTATGAATGCATTCACAACTATAAATTTTTCCTTTAAACTCCAGGTTCATCTCACAGTTTCAAAAAGCTATTGTCATTCATATATATATGCACACACACATACACACACACACATACATATTGTTTGCTTTTAATTTCTGGTGTTATTGCACTTTGGTGCAATATTATTTCTCTGAAATTTATTATGCTCTGTAAACATGGCCTGTATGATATCAATGATTGGGAACTTTGAGCCCTTGGAGATCAGAAAACTTTAATATTCAACCCTAATACTGAAATTACATTTTGAGTATGGAATTCTAATCCAACTTATTTCTCTCAGAGATTTCAAAATGTTTTTATTGTCTTCTTATATATGTTGCTACGTTTCTGAATTCTAATGTTCATTTGGTGCATTTACATTATTGTGCTTTGTCTTTTTTTCTAGAAGTTGAAAAGATTTATATTTTATACTTGGTTTTCTGAAATTCAATTACATATGCCTACTTGATCATTTTTTAAAAAGTACTTTCTGATAAATTCTGAGAGCCCTTCGAAATTTCTGCCTTCTCCTCCCCTCTAGAGCCTTCCCTATTACTTCTCTTCATCCCGCTTATTCTCTGTACCCTCTATTCCCTCTTCTGAGCGGCACAGGAGATGAATGTTAGAATCTGTGAATCTGTTCATGATGCTTCTTAATATTTCTTTCTTACTTTGTCTTTATCCTCTCAGGTCACCTTCTGGAAGAATTCCTCACCCGAATCTTCTGGTCGGCTAATTTTTTCTTCAATTGTGTCCATTATGTTATTTAGCTGATCTGTTGCACTTTTAATTTGCGTGAGCAAGTTTTTAATTCTCACACTTCTTATTCACACGAGATCCGCCTTCAGCGTCTCTGAAGGTCCAGCATGTGGACTTCTCATGGCTGCCATCTGGTTGTTCAGTTATCTGTGTTTCACTGGGTGGGCGTCCTCCCCTCAGTTCTCAGGGTTGTTAGTTCTCAGTCTGCCCACCACGTTAGAATTTGGCTCTCATCTGTATGAGAAGCCCTGTTGCCTTCATTTGTAGGCTTCCTGGGAAAGGGAAGGAGGGCTTCTGGGTCCTTGGTTGTTTCCACAAGAGCAGGAGAAGCCTCGATCTGCTGTGAGCCGTGCCATCTTGGCGATGTGCCGTAATCCCTTCCAGCCTGGGGCCCTCTAACCATCTGAGGCACTTCCCTGCTTTCAGACCCAAGCTCTCACACCATCCAGATAGCCCCCTTACAACAACCTGGCCCAACAAGGTATGCAGCTGGCAGGCTGTGGAGCATGGGCAGGAGCAGCTGGAAGCCCCTTCTGGTGTCCCTTCCCAGGTTTTCAGGGCCCCTCCTGCCACCGCCTCTAATTAAGGTGTGATTTTGTGCTTTTCCCACAATTTCATAAATTTTTAGTTTTCTATTTCAACACAATTGATGTCTGCCTTAATACCTTTCAAGGATTTCTCATAGTTTTTAGAGCCAGTGGATGCTTTCTTGTTTTCCATCTTGTTTTGGATTTTAAAAAAAACTTTCAATCATTTCTAGAAACTTGGAGTATGAGAAGCTTCACTGTGGTATGGATATCCCTACCTCTGCTAGATAAAAGGAACCTGAACAAGTAAAATAGACAGGGGACAAGACAAACATGGGGAGTCCATGCCCTGGCTTTATTCATATTGAGATTTCTTGACTCTTGGAACATAGCTGTTGTTCACATGAAAAGAAAGCATTAAGGTGAGCCAAAGAAGATTTAAGATTTGACATTTCAAATACATAGCAAATTTATGAAAAGAAGAATATTCAGGGATAATGCAATTTCAATTGACTAAAAAGAATCAATGAGAGGTCAAGAAGGATCCATCTCCATCTGCCACATTTGAGCTGATAATCAATGTGTCACATATTAATTGAATATCCATCCACACATGTACAACACACTGAATCAGTTATAAAAGATAGGAAGTAAAATGTGTAACGATATAAAGGCATGTGAAGTTTAAGGCATCAAATACTGCATTGGCTAGGGTGTTGCTGGATACTCTATCCAGCAGACTCCAAACTGTACAATGCTTAATCACAGTAAGACTTTACTTGTCATTCACATGACAGTCCAAAGCTGGCCCATGAGGGCGGTCATTCCCTGTGGTCGTATCGGGATTTTGATTGAGAGAGGTCTGCCATGTTCCACATAAGGCTTTTATGGTGGTTTGGTTGTATCCATTCCAATCTGCGAGAAGGGTAAAGAGTATGACTAGCACCTGTGGGAAGTTTTGGAGACCAGGGCTGAGACATGGAAGTGGCACACATCACTTCTGTTCCAACTGTGCTATCTAGAACCTCATCACAAAGCCAGACTTAACTGCAAGGGAGGCTGGGAGATGTTGTCTAAATGTGTGCTCTAGAAGAAAATGAGGACAAGGATTCTGTGAACACTGGCAGTCACCGGCACAACTTGCTTTGAATAAAAGGAAAAAGTCCAATAAGGTTGTCCTCAAGGATAAGCTGAGGTTTGTTAGACAATAGTGCCACGTCAACAACAACAACAAAAACCCTAGTAAGTATAAGCCTACATGATTGGAACTAGGAGAAAGCCTACTACCTGGTGTGAATGCCAAAACTTGACTCTCACCTTTAAGCGTATTCCACCTTCTCCAAAGAAACAGTCTCTTTAAAGTCATCAGGTACCCCAGCAAAGGTAAGGAAGTGATAAGTTGAAGGTGGGAGCCTGTGTTCAAAAATGTGCTCCCATAACTGTGCTGCCATGACAACAGCAACAACAATAATTATCAACTCAAAGTTCTGGAGGCCAGAAGTCCAAAGTTGAGGTGTTGTCAGGGCCATGCTTCCTCTGAAGCCTCCAGGAGAGGATCTTTTCTTGCCTTTTCATCTTCCAGTAGCCACAGATTGTTCACTTCAATCTCCACCTGGACCCCACATGCTATCTTCCCTGTGTACCTGTGTCTTCACACGGTATTCTCCTGCGTGTGTATATGTGTGTGTCCACATGTTCTTCTTAGAAGGACATTGGTCATGTTACATTAAGGCCCATTTTAATGGTTCTATTCTTAACTTTATGACAACTGCAAAGAAGTCACATTCACAGGCACTGGGGCTTAGGTCTTTGACACATCTTTTTGAGGGGACATAATTCAATCCGTAACAGAGGGCAGCAAAGGGAACTCTGCTTTGCCAAGCAGAACTGTAGGTGATGGACCTGAGACCTTTCATCTTGCTAAGGTACCAATGAGTGACTCCTTTAGCCGATATATTTCCACAATGGAAAGTAAAGCTGTCTCAGGAGAAACCTGCCTCTGTAAGTCTGATAAGATCTGCAGTCTTTCTTCTGTCTCCTAGTTTGCCATGAAATGGCCTAAGAATCTCCCTTGCTACTTTGCATGATCAATAAATGTGATTTTATGAGGAGAATGTACAAAACTACAGCCTCTTTTCTCCTGGGACTTTTCTTCCTTCCTTCATTATTCTTGTCTAATTGTATCACTAGGATACAGACAAGATCTTTAGCTTTTGACTCAGCTATGACCAGCCAATTCTGTCTGCTGCTACCCCAGCAACTGTGGTCTCTGCCTCTAAATCTGCCAAGTCAAACAGCAGCCAGTGCAGCCTTCATCTGGGCTTGGTGTTTTATGGGTGTGAGAGCACCATAAGGAAGCTGAGCCGCAACCAGAAGAGGAATTATTGCCAGATTGACATTTTATCTGTGGGGCATTGAGTTATTTTAATGGATGTCATTAAATTTCCCTTCTCTTCATGCCTAATTTTTCAGGGAAGAGCACCTTCGGATCTGAGAATTGTTTCTTCAAGCCATGTGGCTGAAAAGAGAGCAGACATATTATTTTTACTGCCCTGACACCCAGCCCCCAACAACTGAAACTGGAAATATGCAAAATGCCTTGGACTCACCCATTGAATTGCTTGGTGGGGCGACGGGGACTTGCTATCCTAGTGCTGGGAGACGGGATGCAGTTGTTATGCCTGCTACACCGTACACACATCTTATGGTTCAGGCTTTTGGTGGAAAGCACATCAACTAAGGTAGTCATTTAAATATCAACTAATTTACTTTTTAATATTTCTCTGAGAAAAATCCTCTTTAATAATATGAGGAAAACATCTTTGTTTAAAAAAACACCCTCACTAAATTGTTTTGGCAGAAAGAAAAAAAGTACATTATAAAGCATTTAAGCAGTGAAGAAAAGTACCAAAATGGCGAAAGACAATATGAGTCTAAACCCCATCATCCGGGAAAACCAATCATTAATATGAAGTAAACACTACTTCATGTTTTTGTGCATATATACAAATGCTAGATAGGGGATGTATGAATAGTTAGACAAACAGGTAGAAATAAATACACTTTTATAATTATTTCTCTATGACTTTACCCATATTATACTTTATTGAATTAATATAATTTTATAGTATGTCTTAACACTTGTTGTCAATTTCATCTCATTGTTTACATTTTTCAAAATGCGCATTGTTATTCTGGGATGTTTATTCTTCTGTAAGAATTTTATAATTTTACTTTTGGAGTTAATGACTGCATATCATTGAGATTTCCCATTTATTAATGTTACTTGTCCTATGTTCGGTTCTTTTATCCTTTGGCAAAATTTTGCAGTATCATCCATTAAGTGCTTGTACATATTTTGTTTGTTGGGTTCATTCTTAAATATATTATCGTTGCTATTGTGAATATTTGTTCCTAGTATAATTTTAACAAATAATTTATGCTGTTATTGATGTTTATATGTTCATCTTATAAATTCATCTTGCTCTTTAATTTATCTGTTAACTCTCTCAGTTGTAGACTATTTTCAACAGTCTACAATTATGACACATTGGGTCCTTCTGTTTCACTCCTTACATACTCTTTTTCAGTCATATTATATATTATATCACATATTACTCAAATATTTAATACTAGTGAAGATAGAAAATATAATATTCTTTACTTAATGGGAATTCTCCCATTTACAAATGGTTTTTGCATGTGTTTTGATTAAATACTTCTCATCTTCTACTTTACTAAAGTTCTACATTTGTTAAAAATTGAAAGTGAGTTTTGAATTTTATTCCAATATTTACAATCGATATGTTCATTTGGTTGTTCTTTCGCTCATTGTTGTGGTGAATTATAATTGATAGACTTCCCACTGTTATGCCACTCTTTGTTTTTAGGAGACAAATCCTAGTGTGTCTTGAAGACATTTTTCATAATTATACTGCTGAATCCAATTTCCCCATTTAAATTTAGACTTTTTGTATCTACTTCATGGTACATATGGTATGTAATTTTCTTACTCAGTTCTTATTCAGAAATGTTATCAAGGTTGTATTAGCCTCATAAAAAGAAATTTTACTCTACTTTGTGGAACAGTTAGCATAAGGGAGGACTCATGCAATGAATGATTTACTCCCACACAGCCAGAAGCCTTCTGGCCCTGGTATCATTTTGGGGTGAAAGATAAGGTTAAGATAAAATGTTTTGCTCTCTATTCCAAATGTTTTTTAACGATGGTTAGGTTATCTAGGTAATCGCATCTTCTGGAATCTATTTAGCTATTTTTTAGCTTTCTAGAAAATTATCCATTTAGTCTGTAGTTATCTATATTGTACGATTCTATTTTCTATGCTTTCAGATGTATTGGCATCATGTTATTAAGTTATGGTTTTCATACTCTCCCCTCCAGGTGCAGCTGTGACCTTCCATGCATTCCTAACATTATTCATTTGTTAATGTAGGAGAAAGCCTAATACCTGGTCTGAATGCCAAAACATGACTCTCACCTTTAAGCTCATTCCACCTTCTACAAAGAAACAGTCTCTTTAAAGTCATCGGGCACCCAAGCAAAGATAAGGAAGTGATAAGTTGAAGGTGGGAGCCTGTGTTCAAAAATGGACTCCCGTAACTGTGCTGCCATAACAGCAGCAACAACAATAATTATCCTCTCACAGTTTTTGTCTTTTTCTTGATTACCTTTGTTAGTGTGTGTCCATTTTACAGTATTTTCAAAACACTAGATTTTGGTTTTAAATATTTCTGTTTTCTACTCCTGTTCTTTGTATGTTACTCATTCTGTTTACATCATTTCTTTCCTTCTATCATCTTTGGATTTAATTTGCTGTGCTTTTTCTTATTTCTTCAGTGGGAATGTTGAAGGGAGGTCCCCCGATCCGAGTCACGGCACCAAATTTCATGCGTGTCCGTGTGAAGAGACCACCAAACAGGCTTTGTGTGAGCAATAAAGCTTTTAATCACCTGGGTGCAGGTGGGCTGAGTCCGAAAAGAGAGTCAGCAAAGGGAGATAAGGGTGGGGCCATTTTATAGGATTTGGGTAGGTAAAGGAAAATTACAGTCAAAGGGGGTTTGTTCTCTGGCAGGCAGGAGTGGGGGTCGCAAGGTGCTCAGTGGGGGTGTTTTTGAGCCAGGATGAGCCAGGAAAAGGACTTTCACAAGGTAATGTCATCAGTTAAGGCAAGGACCGGCCATTTACACTTCTTTTGTGGTGGAATGTCATCAGTTAAGGTGGGGCAGGGCATATTCACTTCTTTTGTGATTCTTCAGTTACTTCCGGCCATCTGGGAGTATACGTGCAAGTCACAGGGGATGTGATGGCTTGGCTTGGGCTCAGAGGCCTGACATTCCTGCCTTCTTATATTAATAAGAAAAATAAAACAAAATAGTGTTGAAGTGTTAGGGTGGCGAAAATTTTTGGGGGGTGGTATGGAGAGAGAATGGGCGATGTTTCTCAGGGCTGCTTCGAGCGGGATTAGGGGCGGCGTGGGAACCTAGAGTGGGAGAGATTAAGCTGAAGGGAGGTCTTGTGGTAAGGGGTGATATTGTGGGACTGTTAGAAGAAACATTTGTCATATAGAATGATTGGTGATGGCCTAGATACGGTTTTGGATGAATTGAGAAACTACATGGAATAACAGAAGGAGAAAAACAGGTATAAAAGGTCTAAGAATTGGGACAACTCAGGATATCTGATTAGAGAGTGCCTAAGGAGATTCAGCATAGTCCTTTTAGCAAAGATTATTTATTTACTTCAAGAGTTAAGAGTGGCAGTTTGGGGATAGCACCAGGAGATATCAGCTGTGATGGCTTGGAAAAACAGTGTAAACCGGCAGTGTAAACAAGAGCAGGGCATGTATGAGTAGTTGAGAATGGTGATTAGGAGTATGACTAGACAGAAGATAGGAGGGATGACAAGTTTTTTGGGGCACAGTCTAAGTTGGTCTGGTGTCTGGAATGAGACTGGGGCCTAATAAAAAGGAGCATCTATACAGGAGCTTAAATGGGCTGTACCCTGTAGCATTCTGAGGACAGGCCTGACTTCTGAGAAGGGAAAGTGGTAAAAGTATTGTCCAGTCCTTTTTAAGTTGGTGGCTGAGCTTGGGGAGGTGTGTTTTTAAAAGACCTTTAGTCCGTTCTACTTTTCCTGAAGGCGGAGGACCGTAAGGGATATAAAGGTTTCACTGAATACTAAGAGCCTGAAAAACTGCTTGGCTGATTTGACTAATGAAGGCTGGTCTGTTATCAGACTGTATAGAGGTGGGAAGGCTAAACTGAGGAATTATGTCTGACAGAAGGGAAGAAATGACTGTGGTGACCTTCTCAGACCCTGTAGGAAAGGCCTGTACCTATCCAGTGGAAGTGTCTACCTAGACTAAGAGGTATTTTAGCTATCTGACTCAGGGCATGTTGAGTAAAGCTAATTTGCCAGTCCTGGGTGGGGGCAAATCTACAAGCTTGATGTGTAGGGAAGGCAGGGGGCCTGAATAATCCCTGAGGAGTAGTGGAATAGCAGATGGAACACAGAGAAGTTATTTCCTTGAGGATAGATTTCCATGATGGAAAGGAAATGAGAGGTTCTAAGAGGCGAGCTAGTGGCTTGTACTATAGTATAACCTGCCTTTGCTGGTGTGTGGCGATTAGGCCTGGTGGAACCGCCATCAATAAATCAAGCGTGATCAGGGTGAGGAACAGGAAGGAAGGAAATTTGGGGAAATGGGGTGAATATCAGGTGGATCAGAGAGATACAGTCATGGGGGTCAGGTGTGGTATCAGGAATAATGTGGGAGGCCAGATTGAAGTCTGGGCCAGGAACAACGGTAATTGTGGGAGACTCAACAAAGAGTGAGTACAGCTGAAGGAGCCGGGGAGCAGAAAGTATATGCATCAGGTATGAGGAAGAAAATAGATTTTGGAAGTTATGAGAACTGTAGAGAGTGAGTTGAGCATAGTTTGTGATTTTGAGGGCCTCTAAAATATTAAAGCAGCGGCAGCTGCTGCATGCAGACATGAGGGCTAGGCTAAAACAGTAAGGTCAAGTTGTTTGGACAGAAAGGCTACAGGGCGCGGTCCTGACTCTTGTGTAAGAATTCTGACCGCACTAACCATGCCTAGGAAGGAAAGAAGTTGTTTTGTAGAAGGTGTTTGGGTTTGAGAGATCAGTCGTACACGATTGGCAGGGAGAGCACGTGTGTTTTTACGAGAATTATGCCGAGATAGGTAACAGATGAAGAAGAAATTTGGGCTTGATTGAAGTAATGGGGGCTGTCTGTGAAGCTTGGCGGCAGTACAGCCTAGGTAATTTGCTGAGCTTGATGGGTGTCAGGGTCAGTCCAAGTGAAAGCAAAGAGAGGCTGGGATGAAGGGTGCAAAGGAATAGTAAAGAAAGCATGTTTGAGATCTAGAACAGAATAATGGGTTGTAGAGGCAGGTATTAAGGATAGGAGAGTATATGGGTTTGGCACCACGGGGTGGATAGGCAAAACAATTTGGTTGATAAGGCGCAGATCCTGAACTTAACTTGTAAGGCTTGTCTGGTTTTAAGACAGGTAAAATGGGGGAATTGTAAGGAGAGTTTGTAGGCTTTAAAAGACCATGCTGTAGCAGGCAAGTGATAACAGGCTTTAATCTTTTTAAAGCGTGCTGTGGGATGGGATATTGGCGTTGAGTGGGGTAAGGGTGATTAGGTTTTAATGAGATGGTAAGGGGTGCATGATCGGTTGCCAAGGAGGGAGTAGAGGTGTCTTATACTTGTGGGTTAAGGTGGGGGGATACAAGAGGAGGACGCAAAGGAGGCTTTGGATTGGGAAGAAGGGCGGCAATGAGATGCAGCTGTAGTCCAGGAATAGTCAGGGAAGCAGATAATTTAGTTAAAGTGTCTCGGCCTAATAAGGGAACTGGGCAGGTGGGGATAACTAAAAAGGAGTGCTTAAAAGAGTATTGTCTAAGTTGGCACAGAGTTGGGGAGTTTTAAGAGGTTTAGAAGCCTGGCCGTCAATACCCACAACAGTTATGGAGGCAAGGGAAACAGGCCCTTGAAAAGAAGGTAATGTGGAGTGGGTAGCCTCCGTATTGATTAAGAGGGGACGGGCTCACCTTCCACTGTGAGAGTTACCTGAAGCTCGGCGTCCGTGATGGTCTACGGGGCTTCCGAGGCCATCGGGCAGTGTCAGTCTTCAGCCGCTAAGCCGAGAAGATCTGTGAAGGAGTCAGTCAGAGAGCCTTGGGCCAGAGTTCCAGGGGCTCTGGGAGTGGCTTCCAGGTGAGTTGAACAGTCTGATTTTCAGTGGGGTCCCACACAGATGGGACGCGGCTTAGGAGGAATCCTGGGCTGCGGGCATTCCTTGGCCCAGTGGCCAGATTTCCAGCACATGTAGCAAGCTCCTGTGGGAGGAGGTTCTGGAGGAACGCCTGGCCGCTGCGGTTCAGGCGTTTGGAAGTTCTTGTGTGCTGGAGATGTGGCTGGGGTTTGTCTCACAGTGGAGGCAAGGAATTGCAACTTTTTTCTATAATTGTACACCTTGAAGGTGAGGTTAATTAGATCCTGTTGTGGGGTTTGAGGGCCGGAATTTAATTTTTGGAGTTTTATTTAATGTCGGGAGCAGATTGGGTAATAAAATGTGTTTTGAGAATAAGACGGCCTTTTGACTTTTTAGGGTCTAGGGCTGTAAAGTGTCTCATGGTTGCTGCCAAACAAGTCATGAACTGGGCTGGATTTTTATATTTGATGAAAAAGAGCCTAAACACTATCTGATTTGGGATGAAGAAAAAGGAGCATTAAATTTGACTATGCCTTTGGCTCCAGCCACCTTTTTAAGAGTAAATGCTGGGCAGGTGGGGGAGGGCTAGTCATGGAAAGAAACTGTAAGCCCGACCAGGTGTGAGGAGGGGAGGTGATAAAAAGATTATAGGGTGGAGGAGCGGAGGCTGAGGAAGAATTGGGACCTAGCTCGGCCTGGCGAGGAGGGAAGAGGTCAGATGGGTCTGTAGAAAAGGAAGATTAGAAAGACTCAGCGACGCTTGGGGTTGGGACTGAGGGGACAGGCGGGAGGGAAAGAAGGAAGATTTGGGAAGAGTTGCACTGGGCACAGAGACTAGGAAGGGACTGATGTGTAAAAGAATGCCTGGATGTCAGGCACCTCAGACCATTTGCCTATTTTACAACAAGAATTATTTAGATCTTGCAGGATGGAAAAATTCAAAGTGCCATTTTCTGGCTATTTGGAACTACTGTTGAGTTTGTATTGGGGTCAAGTGGCATTGCAGAAGAAAATAAGGCCTGTAGGTTTTAGGTCACGTGTGAGTTGAAGAGGTTTTAAGTTTTTGTGAACACAGGCCAAGGGAGTAGAAGGAGGAATGGAGGGTGGAAGGTTGCCTATAGTGAAGGAAGCAAGCCTAGAGAAAAGAGAGAGTAGAGAAACAGAGGGGAGGGGTTCGGGGGTTCTTACCTTCCAGAAAAGTGGGAAAAGGGGTTGGGGTGCAGAGATAAGAGGTCAGGGCATGGAAATAAGGGATTGGGGCACAGAGATAAGAGGTTGGGGTGTGGAAATAAGGGATTGGGGCACAGAGATAAGAGGTTGGTGCGTGGAAATAAGGGATTGGGGGTTATTGCCTGGTAGAAAAGCGGGACTTGCCGCTAAGGGTGAAGGAGAAGGGGTTGAGGGGTACTTGCCCCTCTCCCAGAAAAGCAAAGAAGGGGTAGAGACAAGGAGAGAAGGGGTTGTGGTACTTGCCCCTTCCCCAGAAAAGCGGGACTTGCCGCTAAGGGTGAAGGACCAAGGCAGGCATCCCTGCGTGGTCTGACACCCTTGAAACATGGGTGTATAATCAGAGAGGCGTCCCTGCAATGATTAAACACCAAGGGGAGGCTGCCTTCCCAGTCCGTGACCGGCGCCGGAGTTTTGGGCCCACGGATAAAACGTGTCTCCTTTGTCTCTCCCAGAAAATTAAAGGAATTGAAATTAAGAGAAGGGAGAGATTGAAGAGTGGAAAGGAGAAAGTGGTTGAGGGACAGTGAGAGAGGTTGGAGAAGAGAGTAAGAAGAGGCCGCTTATCTGATTTAAAATTGGTGAGATGTTCCTTGGGCTGGTTGGTCTGAGGACCTGAGGTCATAGGTGGATCTTTCTCACGGAGCAAAGAACAGGAGTACAGGGGATTGATCTCCCAAGGGAGGTCCCCCGATCTGAGTCACGGCACCAAATTTCACACATATCCATGTGAAGAGACCACCAAACAGGCTTTGTGTGAGCAATAAAGCTTTTAATCACCTGGGTGCAGGTGGGCTGAGTCCAAAAAGAGAGTCAGCGAAGGGAGATAAGGGTGGGGCCATTTTATAGGATTTGGGTAGGTAAAGAAAAATTACAGTCAAAGGGGGTTTGTTCTCTGGCAGGCAGGAGTGGGGGTCGCAAGGTGCTCAGTGGGGATGATTTTTGAGCCAGGATGAGCCAGGAAAAGGACTTTCACAAGGTAATGTCATCAGTTAAGGCAAGGACTGGCCATTTACACTTCTTTTGTGGTGGAATGTCATCAGTTAAGGTGGGGCAGGGCATGTTCACTTCTTTTGTGATTCTTCAGTTACTTCCGGCCATCTGGGAGTATACATGCAAGTCACAGGGGATGCGATGGCTTGGCTTGGGCTCAGAGGCCTGACACATTGATTTACAGCCTTTCTTGTTTCATAATCTTGCAATATTTAAGTCTTTAAATTTCCCTCTAACCATGCCTTTAATTTCAAGCCACATTTTGGTATGTACTGGCTTACTGTCATTCAGTTTAAAATGCTTCTTTAACCTTCTATTGTAATTTTGGTGGGGACATTAGATATTTAGAAGTATAGTGCTTAATTTCCAACTGTGAAGATACCCTAGTTATCTTTTTTGTTATATTTAATTTAACTTCAATGGCATTAAATAACATGGTTCTAGATTATTTCACTTAAGTCTGAAAACATGAATTCAATCCTTAAAAATTTACTAATGCTTCCTTTATGGCTCAGCGTATGCACAGTTTTGGCAAATTGTTTGCATGCACATGAAAAGGTTATATTCTAAAGTTGTTGAGTAAAAGTCTATATACATTGTCTTCAGATCAAATTTGTTAATCTTGTTCAAAATTTTAATATTATGTTAATTTTTTCTGCTTATTTGGGTGTGTTAAAAGCATTTTTCTTCTTATTCTATCAGGCATTTTGCTTATCTTTTTAGTTCTGGTAAATTTTGCTTATGTTTTCGAGATATAAGCCTATACAATTCTTATGTATTCTTAATTTTTGAACTTTTATTATTGTGAAATATCTCCCTTTATTTCTAGTAAGGCTTGTTGTTTTAAAGTCCATTGTGTTTCACGAGTGGAGCTACACCATCTTGCTGTATGTGAACCGTATCTTTTTTCATCATTTTTCTGAGTTTCTTTTGTTGTGTTTCTATAAATTGCATTTAATTGGCATGCTTTTTTTCTAATGTGTGTATCATATTTTCAAGTTGTAACTTTCATGCGCGTCCGTGTGAAGAGACCATCAAACAGGTTTTGTGTGAGCAATAAAGCTTTTAATCACCTGGGTGCAGGCAGGCTGAGTCCGAAAAGAGTCAGCGAAGGGAGATAGGGGTGGGGCCATTTTATAGGATGTGAGTAGATAAAGGAAAATTATAGTCAAAGGGGGTTGTTCTCTGGCAGGCAGAGTGGGGGTCACAAGGTGCTCAGTAGGGGAGCTTTTGAGCCAGGATGAGCCAGGAGAAGGAATTTCACAAGACAATGTCATCAGTTAAGGCAGGAACAGGCCATTTTCACTTCTTTTGTGGTGGAATGTCATCAGTTAAGGCAGGAACCGGCCATCTGGATGTGTACGTGCAGGTCACAGGGGATATGATGGCTTAGCTTGGGCTCAGAGGCCTGACAGTAACATGTACCACAACTTCATTCTTTTTTACTGTCAAATATTTCATTTTATTTATCCATTCATCAGTTGATTACTATTATTACTATTTGCATAATATATATTTTCCATGATTTTGCTTTCATCCTATTTGTATACTTGAATTAAAATATGGCTACCCTAGACAGCATTAATAGGATCTTACTTTTTTTATCCAATCTGACATAATCCCTGCCTTTTGATTTGCTTATTTTATCCATTCACATTTAATGTTATTATTAATATTGTTGGATTTATGTCTGCCATTTTACATTTTGTTTTCTATACATCGTCTTTTTTTTTCTCTAGTTTACCCTTACTACCGTCTTTTGAATTAAGTGACTATTTTAAGGCAATAATGTAATTCTTTTGACAATCTTTTCACTATATTTTTTGAGTTAATTTCTTCCTGGTTGTTCTAGGGATGATAATATGCATATTAACTTGTCAAAATTAACTTCAGATTTATACTAAATTAATTGTAAGAAAATACATAAATGCTATTTATATGCCTATTTCTTTTCTTTTTCTGTGTTATTACTATTATGTCTATTATATCTATAGGTGTTACAATTGTGACAGAACACTATTACAGCTCCTGCTGCATAATTTTATGTCTTTTAAAGAAGGTTAGGGAAGAAAAAAAGAGAAAAGCTGTACTTAAAGAGTTGTTAAATAAATGAGTCAAAGACAGCTCTTGTATGTTGGCCCTGTTGTGTTTACTTCATCATGGCAGCCTGAGACGTTTAGTGGAAAATTTCTTTTACACAGGTTTTAATTATAGCCCAAGGAAGCAAAAATGTGGGCATTTAGAGCCTTCCTTTTCTGAATAACCCACAAAACTATGCCCAACACCTACTTGTAATAGGTAAAGTAAGCCTTGGGCAATAAAAACCCCAAACCACTGCTGCCTTGGATTTCTCTGACCCGGAGACCCTCCCTCTCATCATCCTGCTGAGCAATAGCCTCTAGATAAGTGAGCACTCTCCCCGGTTCCCCCACTCCTGCAGGAATCCCTGTGTACCCCTCCCCTCCTGGGCTGTGGCTCCCTGGCATTGTCTTTAGAAGGTCTCAGGCTCTGAGGAATTTTCCTCTCCCAGGCAATCCTCTCAAAGCAGCACTGAAATAAAGCTTGTTGTGCTTTACTGCCACCTCGTGTTCATATATTTTTCCTTGCTAGGCCCCAAATCCCTCAAACTCTCTGCAAGAGTTTTCGTGTTAGACTTCGTATTTACCTTTGTGGCTTTCTCCATTGTTTTCTTTCGATTTCAAGTTACCATTTGGTATCATTTCTTCACCCCAATATAGCTTTGGTCCCAAACACATCCTTGATCAAATATATTTCTATAGGTTATAAGCCCACTAATACAATTACATAAATGTTAGTTTATAGTATTGCTTTTTTATGTTAGTTAAGAGAAGAAAGGAGAAAAAATATGCAATCATGCCACCTTTTATAAGTACATGATGGCCTTTGCTGATGATCTGTGTTTTTATGTTGAGGGGAGGGATTTGAATTGCTAAGGTTACTTACTTTCAGTCTGAAGCTCAAATGCCGTAGAATCTCACTGTCCTTGGTGAGAATTAATAGATTTTCTTGAATAAGTGTTCCTTCATTTGTTACATGCCCTTAGGACAATTCCCAAGGGCATTCCAAAGATATATATATATGTGTATATATATATATGTATATATATATATGTATATATATATGTATATATACACATATATATATACATATATATATATACACATATATATATATACATATATATATATACACACACACACACACACACACACACACATATTATATATAAAACTATACATATCAAAATTTTAACCAGTGGTGGTTGGTTGTTTCTACAGGTCTCTTTACACTGCCATTCCAGAAGTCATTCTCTCATCTTTGTCTAATTTTAAAGTTAGTCTTGTTGTTTTTTTTTACCTGATAAACCCTTTGCACCTAAGTGCGGTGTTCATTGCATTTGTCCTCTGTGAGGTTCATGTATTCCTTTTCTGCTTTTTCCTCCCTGGGCTTTGCATCCACTGTCTCTCCATCTTCAGCCTAGATAATTTATAATTTGTCTTCAAGTTCACTAATTCTCTCCTCAACTAAATCTACTCTTGCTTTAACATTATCTGTTGAGTTCTTTTTAGTCATTCTATTTTTTAACTTTAGAATTTTCATTTTTTTGTATTTCCAAATTAATTCTGTTTTGTTTTTAAAAATTCATTTGTTAACACTGTGATTTTAACATCTGCATGTAGCTAAATTAACTGGATTTCTTTTTTTTTCTATTTTCTCTCTTTGTCCCTTGGTTTTCATTAATTTTGTTTTTTGGATATCTGATTTTCTGCGATTGAGTGTCACATAATTTTTTTTATTAGTTGTATAGACAATTTTAAGCTTTAGATTATCTTATATTTCTCCAAAGCATTTTGCAACTGGCAGGCAACTAGGTGAGTATCATTATCAGTCTCAGAACACTTAACCCCAACTAAATACTGGTATGAAAAAAATGTGAGCTTCAGTCCACACAAGAGCTGACCTTTTCCCATTTAATCCTTGATCCCACACGGCGAACCTCAAGACCCTAAGCCAAAGCTAGTGTGTTTTCTGGGACTTCTTGGTAGTCTTACCCCTCTTGTGTTGTGTCTTTTCATGGGTCTTGGGCCTGAAATTTCTCTGTACTTGGTAGCTCTTCAGTGCCTTCAGACAGATTTTTGTTTTGTTTTGTTCAATTTTCCCTTTTTCTTTTCCAGTGGGAGAATTAGTCCAAAACTCTTTCTGGTGTGCCATTACTAAAAATTAAACTTCATAAGTGTTTTTGGTGATCACCACTTAAATATATCTTAAGTCCACAGGGATAATACTAAAGTATAACTCATTAAGTATTTTTAGTAAGGTATTATTTAATGAATTCTAGGCATAGTATTTTCAGATTAAATAAATATAGGACTAGAGCCTAAAATTCTAAAGATATTGATATCTCACATTTCTCCTAGATAACCACTCCCTAATAGGTTACTTATACTTTTGTTAAAAGTACTTTTAAGAATCTGCAAAGTGCCAATTCAAAATTTACCACTGTAGTATACTTGGAATACAGATAAATTCTTTGTAGATACCTCAAGATTTTATAGCATGAAGAAATTATTTTGTCTGGAAACTTCATGATTATTTGTTCCTAATCAGAGGCATTAACTTTATAAATTACATGAACAGTTCTCATCAGTCTGGTAAGCGTACATTACAAATGCAGATATCTGCTCTGCAGAAATGAACTCTGTTATGTGAGTGCAGATAACAAAGAATCATAACCTGGTAGGACAGCATATCAGCAATGACTTATCCAAAGGACAAAATACAGGAATTAAGTGAGCACCAAGCCAAACACATCAGGAGCAATAATGCGTGTGAATGCCTGGTGACATTGAAGAAGTGACACATTTTTTGATGAGCTGAATGAAGACCTATGTGGAAGGTACCCAGAGGGAAAGTAATAAGATCTGAGGCTGCAGATGTGTGCAGAGAGTAGATCATCCAGTACTTGTAGGCCATGCTGAAATCCTTGGCTGATACCACACAACAGCCGTGAGTGAAATATTTGTGTGATTTAAGCAGAGAGATAACATCCCATTTTCATAGGAAAATAATTCTTCTGGTTTTGGTGGGGAGATTTAAATTGGAAGAGAAGCAATAATCATAGGTTATTAACTGCTCTGAAAGACAAAGTGAGAGTAGTATATTCTGTGATTACAGGATATAAAATCCATGCAGATGGAAAAAAACCATTTTGGATATTGTAGTCATACATAAAATTTAGAAACTTTGAAGGTCTTGGTCAGAATACCTCCGTTTTAGGAAACAAGGCTGTTTTAAGGAATTACGGTGGTATATATTGGAGATTGTCAATATTTACACATTAAGATCAAAGGCCACAGAAATAAAACATTGTTAAACCTGAATCAATGTTACAGTTGAAGGAATTTTAACTTTGGTTTTCTACTTCATTTTCATTTTGAGTGTTGTGCTGGATGGGGGCGTGGTCCCCCAACATCTGCTTGGCAAGAGTCCTTCAAGAAGCAATTTTCTCTCAGCCACAGCTTGATAGGCTGCCTATCTTCCTTTTTAGAAATCTACCCTTTGGCATCATATTATTAACTGCCCTCCACTACCACTGGTAGGAATCAGGATAGATTGAACAGGTGAAGAATTCCTAGTAGTTGTGAGCACTCAAGAACAGCACGTGTTGTTAAGTTTCATGTCATTGCAGAGAAGTGAAAAACCCTCTCTAGAAACAGACAAAGTGTAATTCCTAATGACATTTTGAGCCAGATAATTCTTGGTCATGGGGGCTTTCCTGTGCATTGCCCGATGGTTAGCAGCATCCAGAATCCCAGCCTCTAGGTTCAGCAGCACCCTTCTAGTTGTGGCAACCAAAACTGTCTTCAGTCACAGCCAAATGCCCCCCCTTAGATCAAAACTGTCCCTCTCATTTAGATTTCAGAGTTAGGGTTTTACTGTTTTGTTTTGATTATTATGATTGTTATTGAAAATTTTTATAATGGAGACTATTAGTTTTGTGTTTAATTATTTTAAATATACGATTAACTTCCTCCAATCAACAATTTCAGTTTTGGAACTTGAATGGAGGAATATTTGTTTCCATCATAGCAAAAATGAAACTTTCCAAAATAAGAAATTGGTTAAACAAATGTGCTATGTACTTAGGAAAAATTTCAAAATATCTATTACAAATATATAAGAAAAAGACCAATTTACATAGAAAAATACTCCTGATACATTGCAAAGTGAGTGAAAAAAAGCTTGAAAGCAACATGTAGAGTGTGATATTAAACTATATATGTATCTATATTTGTATACACTGCAAAGATACATAGCGCACTATTGAGATGGCATTTTATATAATTTTTGTCATTTTTATTTCCTTTGAGCATCTCTGCGTTCTTTATCTTTATGCTTTAGAAGCGTATTACATTGGCAGTGGCAAAAAAAGTAAACCACAAATGCTGTTCCATAAAATGATCACATGTGCAGAACTTTGTGTATTTTGTATTTAATATCTACTTACTTCTGAAATAGTATGACTGAAATCAGCATTATATTCCTACAAATCACAACAAACCTGCACACACCTCAAAGGATTTTCATTTTGAGAAAGACATGCGTCAACCTAATCACCCAATAACTCAGAACTACTAATTTAAAGTAACTAATTCTTAGCTTTTGTATTATGAGACTAACAAATTTCCATGTGATTAAGAGAAAAAAAAACACAGTTATTAAATTGACTAGGAAAAAAAAAACCCTGCTATGGTTCCCTCCCTGACTATAAAGGCAACAGATAATTACGAAGAAAATCACATTAAAATACAGAGAGAAAATGGACAAGTTTTAACAGTACTATTTCCTGAAAATGGAACTTTGCAATATATATTATTTTTCTGCTTTGATAATGTTGCTTGAACATTTACAAAGGAAGTTCAATAACAATGACATAATGGACTATTTGCTACTAAGAAAATAGAGATACAATGATATCTCCAAAACAATATAACTAGAGAGTATTTGAACTATTTGCAGGCTGTTATCATTTTACACCATCCAAGTTGCATCAAAAGATGAATTATTGTTTAATAGCTCTATGCTATTACAATATATGACTAATATGCTAACTCTAGTGACCATAAAATTTATCGTTAATAATTAAAACCTTCTTAGAATTCTGAAGTTCATTTTAGAATTATTTGAATAGTGCTAACCTTAAAAACATGTCCAAAGAAGTATATTTGTTCTCTTTCAATGTATTCCAAAGAATATCCAATAGAGACTTAGTATAATTCTGCTGTCCTTAGACATTTTCTCAAAGTACCATAAAGAAAAACACTAAAGGTTGGTACTATGATTTAAATGTCTGTTTCCTCCAAAATTCATATTAAAGTTTAATTGCCTTTGTAACAGTACTGAGAGGCAGGATTGGTGGGAATGTAAATTAGTGCAACAATTGTGGAAAAGAGTATGGAAATTTCTCAAAAAACTAAAAATAGAACTACCATACAATCCAGCAATCCCACTAACTAGGTATTTATCCAGAGGAAAGGAAATCAGTATGTCAAAGGGATATCTGTACTCCCATGTTTATTGAAGCACTACTCACAATAGTCAACATATAGAATCAACCTACATTTTCATCAACAGATGAATAAAGAAAATGTGGCATATACACACAGTGGAACCTAGCATTCTACTTCATTTCAATTAAAAATTTCAAAATTCACCTATCCAACAAATCCAACACTTACTATTCTATCATCAAAAATAATAGAATCCTGTTATTTGAGGCAACATGGATTAGTCTGGAGGACATTATATTGAGAGAAATAACTCGGGCACAGAAAGATAAATATCACATGTTCTTAGTCAACTGTAGGAGCTAGAAAAAGTAAAGAGTAGAATGGTTGTTAGTAGAGGCTGAGAAGTGCATGGGAGGAAGGGAGAATAAGGAAAGGTTTGTTAATGAACACAAAATTACAGCTAAATATGAGAAATATGTTCCAGTGTCCTACAGCACTGTAGGATGAATATAGTTAATAATAATTTATAGTATTTTTTAAAAAAAGTAGAAGAGAGTGTTTTGAATATTCTCAATGTAAAGAAATGATAAATGTCTGAGGTCTAATTATTCTGATTTGACCATTACACATTTGTATACATGTAGTGAAATATCACTCTGTATCCCATAAATATACACAACTATTGTGTGTCAACTAAAAATAAAAGAAAATTTTAAAAGGAGGTGAGACCTTTAAGAAGTTAAGTCATAAGGGATCTGCCCTTACAGGTGGAATTAATACCATTATTAAATAACAAATTTGGCTTCCTCTTGCTCTCTCACTCTTGTGCTTTTCACTATGTGATGACACAGCAAGAAAGCCCTCACCAGATGCCAGCACTTGATGCTGAACTTCCCAGCCTCTAGAACTGTGAACCAATACATGTCTGCTCATTATAAATCACCCTATCCTCTGATAGCAGCACAAAACAGACTATGACAGTTGATAGTTAGAAGGGATCATCTAATTAATCTGTTCAACTCGGGTATTAGGAAAATAAATGCAAATGTAAGACAGGAGTGTATTTTAGTTTTATATTAAAACAATTTCCATGTTTACTCAGGGATTAGAATAGTGTGGCTGGTTATGTCTTCCATCATGATTAAACGAAAAACATATATATTAATAGCATATAAATATATCTTAAAGACATTTATGTAATTGGAATCCCAGAAAAGAGACTAGAGAGAATGGAGTGGAAGCAGTATTTGAAGACAGAAGGAAATAAATTATGAAAAACTATTAAAAGGACTTTATATATTAAAAATGAATACCAAAAAAATACCCTCACTGAGGTGCATTATAGACAAACATAAAAAAATTGAGAGAAAACCTTAAAAGGAGAAAAAAACAACATCACTCTCAAGGAAACAACAATCAGAGTGATAGATGAATTTTCAACAGAAACTGGAAGTTGGGAAGCATCATTAAAACTTATGAAAGGCATCTACACTTCTCTACCTTGAGAAAATGTCCTTAGATATGAAAGTAAAATAAAGACATTATCAGATTAATAAAAGCTGAGAGACATTGTCACTGGCAGGCCAACACTCTAAATAATAATAAAGAAAATCCTACAACCTGAAAGAAACACAGAATCTCAGAAAGGAATGAAGAGCGTTGGAAAATGTCCATATGTGTCTCTATAAGAGAAAATGTCTCCTCATGTCCCCTTGTAATTTTTTATAGTCCTTATTATTAACTACTAATTTATTTTTGTTGTCACCAAAGAATGTATTTTGTATGACTTGGATTTTTAAAAATCTATTAAGTCTTGTTTTCTGGTCAAGAATATGGTCTATCCTGGCAAATGTTCATGTTTAACTGAGAAGAATGTACGTTCTATTGTTATTGTTCTGTAAATATAAATTAAGTCTACTTGGTTCATAGTGGTGTTCAAAACTATCCTAAGAATACATAAAAAATCTACATATTCCTATATTTACATTGCTTCTATAATTTTAAAAAAATGCTTAGAAAGAAAGCTATAGGCACAGATGGCTTCCCTGCGCATTCTAACAGACACTTAAGGAATAAATCATACCAATTTTAAATAAAAATTTTCAGAAAACAGAAAAATATAAACCATTTCCCATTTTCTTTCTAAATGCAAGATTAATTTTCTTACCAAAATCTGACAAGAATATTACAAGTCAAGAAGATTCTAGACCAATGTCTTATTAACAGATGCAAAAATTCTTAATAAAATATTAGCAAATCAAAGCCTAGGCTATATTAAAAGGATGATATTCTGTCACCCAGTAGAGTTTATTTCATGAACAGGAGGTTGATTTCACATTTGAAATCCAGTCAATGTAATTCACCCCATGGATAGATAAGGCAGAATACTCATATATTCATCATCTCAACAGATATAGAAAAAGAAGTTGATAAAATTCAGTACGCAACCATAATAAAAGCTCTCAAAATGTAGTAATAGACAATTTGTCAATCTGATAAAGGGCATGTCCAAGAAATCTAGAACTAACATCATAGTTAATGAGGAAATATTCAATAATTTATCTTGAAATTGTGGAAAAGACAAGGATATTCACTATCATCAAGGTTTTAACGAGTATAATTAAACGTGAAAAAATTAATAAAACATATAAATATTTAAAAAGTAATGCTCTTTTATTTTCAGATGACATGACTGTGCTCTCAGAAATCCAAAAACAATCTAAAACCAAGTGGAATTAACAAGTGAATTTAGCAAACTCATAGGATTCAAAGTCAATATGCAAAAATAAGATATATTTTGAGTTTATTGCAGTAAACAGTTGAAAAACTAATAAAAGTGTTAAATTTCAAGTATTTTCAATAACATCAAAAACTTAGAAATTAATTTAACAAGGATGTGCCAGATCTCTGAAAACTACAAAATATTATCTAGAGAAATTAAAGGAGACCTAAATAAATGAGTGAATAAATAAAAAGAAAAGGTGCTCAGCTTCCATACTCATTAAGAAAATGCAGATGAAAGGCATGATGGGATACCACACACACCCTCTGGAAGGTCATGATTACAAACACAAGTGTCAGCAAGGTTGTGGTGCACACAAGTTCTTGCCAGTGCCCTGGAAGTGAGAAATACATAAGCACTTTGGAAGACCCTGTTTGACTGTTTCCACTAAAAACAATATTAAAATTAATTGACCCCACAATCTTACCCTTAAATATATAAATGAATGTAAATATATTCTAAAGAAACATTTTCTGGAATGTTTATAGAAACTCTATCCATAACTGTCAAAAAGTGGAAAAAACTCAGATACAACAGGTGAGTGGATAAAAAATAATACCCAGTGGAATAGTACACATCAATGAAAATAAACTATTGGTCAATGCAACAATCGGAAAAGCTCTTGGATATATTAGTTGAGTGAAAAAAGCCTGATGTACAAAATCACATATTCTGTGATTTCATTTCTATAAACTCAAAACAAACAAATTCAACACAAAAACAAACAAAGCTAGAATGAATAGATGCTCACAGAAGTCAGAATCTGTAGTTATTTTGGGGGGCATAGAACTGAAAGGTACCCAAGGAGATCTTAACGAGTTCTGAAAATATATCTTTTTAATACTAAGGGCTTCACACTTAAAATTATTGCAGTTACTTTATATATCTCAATAAAATGTTTAAAAGACCTCTGAAATATTCAATAATTTTTCATTAAACTGTGGAAAAGACAAGGATATTCATTACCATCAAGCTGCTTCAACATTGTATTGAAGCTTTTAATGAGTACAATGAAACATTGTTGAAGTTTATTTTAATCTAGAATTGCATCGGAACAACAAACAATTCATTGAGAAAAGCAGGTGTTCAGATTAAACTACAGTTTACAACTGTAGATAATCTGACATTTTTAACATGGTGAAGAGGTGACTGCAGTATGGCTAGAGGTTGATCTCTCTTCCCTAGATGTCTATTGAGGCTCTTTAATCAGCGCTGTCCTTTAGAAATATAACATGAATTATACAGGTCGTTTTAAAATTCCAGTAATCACATTAAGAAATTAAAAAGAAATAGGTGAAATTAATTGTAAAAAGATACTTTTATTTAACCTAATATCTTAAAATATTACCATTTCAACATGTAATCAAAAATTTTAACTACATTTTATATTCCCTTGGACTCAGTCTGTGAAATATGGGGTGTATTTTTTACCTGCAGCACATCTCAGTTTGGACCAGCAGTGTTTCAAGTGCTCAATTGCCTTATGCAGCTAGCGACAACTGCGTAGAGCAGTAGAATCTCAGACAGGAGGCAAAGGGAAGTCTCCATTCTAGTTTTGTTAATTTTTCCGAGTGGGTGGGAGGAGGTAGCATGGGAGGAGAGTGGTGGCGGGAGGCACAGAACCCAAATGCACATCTTTTAATTTGCACGTGTTAATCAACAGTCTTTTCTCAGCAGTTTCAGCTCATCTTACATACGTTTTGAACCTGCGTATATTTCTCAGTTTTTGTGTATACAACGAAAGACTTTTAAATATATATACACCTAATGTATTTAAAAATATAGTATATACCTACTATATTAAATATATATGTAGTATATATATTTAGTATATATATTTAATATAGTAGGTATATATAATATATGTATTCTATATTTTTTTCTTTCATTACAAAAAGGGGTGGGGGTCCTGTTTACTCATTTCTAGCACTCTAGGATTTTTCACATTCCCTGTGATTTCTCAGAGATTGTTGAGTTTCTGACTTCATATCTGCAAAACTTGCACTCACAAAGAAGTGAGGTACCTTCTTCCCGTTTTCTCTCTCACTAGGACGTCTTCGCCTCTTGTGTTTCTGTCTGTTATGCTCTTTGAGGGAAAAGTAGAACTTGTTGTTAAATAATTCTACCTCCTTTCTTGCCATCTGTTGAAATTACATAATCTTGCACTAACTATGCTGTCATCTCCATTTCCTCTTATTTTACCGCAAATACAGAGAGAAACTAGGCTTATTATCTTAATATGTTTCACCAAGCCTTTTATCATGTTGAGAATTAACCTTCATGGAAGATAAGCTATAATCTTTTATCCTTGTTCTTGCATCTTTGTAGCTTCTTTAATCTTTTCTATTTATTCCATGAAAACTGAAGCTGAACAGAGATCTCCTAGTAAAGTAATGTTTACTCCACAGAATCAGAGAAACAGAAATTAACCAGCAACAACTCTGTGCTCAATAACATGGCAGATTCAACAATGAATACTTTTTAAAATCAAACAGCTGACATGTAGAGGCAGAATATCATCAGCTCCAGAGTCCTGTCTTTAACTTTTATTATTATCGGTGTTGTTGTTTAAAATATTATGTCTATTAGGTCATATGCTCTGTGGTTTAGCTTTAGCCTATGCTAGAAGTTCTTCCTCAGTCCCTTAAAAATAAATCCTTCCTGTTTTGCAAGATAAATTCTGGGCAGTCAAGGGCAGATCTGTTGATGCAAATCCAGAATGAGAGAAAATTCTAAGCGGCAAAACCATTTAAGGAGACTTTATTTTAAAAGATGTCATCGGGAAATATTATAAGAAGGTAATCCTTTTTTGTATTTAATAACCACAAAAATTCTTTTCTGCCTATAATAATTTTGTAAGATTGTAAAAGTCCATTTTGGATATTTGGATTTCAGAGATTTAATGTATTTCTTGTGGAATGACTGTATTTAATCTCTTAAGCCTCTTATTCAAATTGGTCACCATAGGTAACAATATTAAATTGGTGTCTTTAACCCTCAAAAGAGGATAAAGGGTCCATTTTTTTTTTTTTTTGGTATATTAGAAAGAAGAGTCTTAGATCACCATGTTCTCTTCTGCCTTATTCTTCAAACTAACTGTATCAAGGACTCTGGTAGGTTTCTCAGCTTAAAATCATGTACACAGAAATTTCATTGTGTCCACTTGGCATCTGCACTCAGTTGGCTGGAGCCAATTGGCAGATAGAAAAAACTGTGGGTGTGTGGCATGACCAGCAGCACTCAGCCCAGAGGAGCTACTCCTTGGTCTCCATCAGCACATTGCTGTCTCTGTGCAAGTCTCTAAGCCATGGATGAAACTGCAGTGACGAAATACCTGCAGGGTCTGTACCATTGTAGAAACGGAGCTAAGAAAATATAAACATCCATACAAGTATTTTCTTTTGGTGATGTATTCATCACTTTAACACTAATCTTGCTGAACTTTTATTCTTGTTTTCTTTGGTGCAAATAATTTTTCATGAATTTGAAAATTTGATGAGACACAAGTACTTTTTTCTTCTTTAAACTGAAGAATACATTTCCCAGTGATGGGAAGAGGTGGTTTTTCAATAACTAATAAGCTAAATAGAACGCTGACGTCTGTAGGACCAAAACCATCACAATCTCAATGTCAAATTATCTCTTCCGACAACTATCTAATCTTTCAGCTCACTACTTTCAGTACCCCAGCAACAGCAATGCTTCTACCTGCCAGGAGTCTCATTCCATTCCATTGTCTATCACCATTGTTGTGGATTTTTTTCCCCTTATCACTTTAAAACTCAGCTTAATCCCACAGTCAGTCATTCGCTCTTAATTACAATTCCATTTTCTTGCTTTTTTTTATGTGCTAAGCTAAAATGCAACATAGCTAAAATTCAGTTCTCCCTCTATTTGCGTGTACTTACTCAGCAGTACGTGGCTGGGAAAAAACACACAACAGGCAGGTTCTTCTCATTTCAATTCATGATCACTAATCTCAAGACAGCAGATCAACCTCCAGCCTGGTTATCTTCTGACATTTTTCAGCTTGTGTCTCCTACACTCCTATATTTCCTGACTTTCTCTAGTTATCTTTCCCACGATCTTAGAAGATGGTTTTACTCCTCCCAACCCCAATCTTCTCCAAACTCTAGCAGTTTCTCCCCACATCCATGAGAGTCTTCCCTCTCATATGATCACCTGCTTTCCTGTTACACCAAGAAAATAACCCCTACACATTCCCCTTCACCGCACAGGCCAGCTTCTTGCATCTTTGCCCATATACCACCTTCACCTTGCTGCTAGTGGTGAACTGTCCTTGCTCCTGGCTGAGCCCAGCTCCCAACCTGTGCACTGGCCTCCACCACCACTCACTCCCAAAACACAGTTCTCCAGCCGCCTTCTCCTCTGCCTTTTGCTCATTGATTTACCTGTCTCCTCAATCATTCCCACCAGCACACAAATAGGCTATTTTTCTCCCATGTTAACTAGGCATTGAGCAGACATGGACATAAATATGGGAATAATAGACACTGTGAACTACTGGAAGGTGAGGGGGGCTGGGTTAAAAAACTCACCTCTTGGGCACTATGCTCAGTACAAGGGTGATGGGATCCATACTGCAAACCTCTGGATCATGCAATATTCCCATGTAACAAATCTGCACATGTACCCCCATCTCTAAAGGTTGATTTTTTAAAAATTCTCTTTTGTCTTTTCTCTCCAGTTAGTATCCTATTTATTTCCTTCTCCTTAGGCCAAAACTCCTTAGAGAACCATCCATGCTGGTTATTTCCAGTTGTCTCTGATGCATCTCCTCTATCCTTTCTCAGACTCACTACAGTCAGGCTTCCCTGCTCCACCGCACTTCCCACCAAACTGGGTCTTGTCTGTCGACCAACAAACTCCATGTTTCTACATCCAGTGGCCGGTTCTCCATCTTAGGCCACATCTGACATATTTATCCACATGTTTTCTTCTTGAAACACTTTTCACTCATTTTCTAGGATGCCATTCCTTTTTCCTCTTACTTCTCTGAACCCTGCTTCTCAGTCTCTTCTTAATGCTCCTGCCTCAACCACCAAATCTCCAAATGGTCGAGTATCTGGGGCTCAGGTCTTGGCCTTCTTCTATTTTTCTGCATATGCTTACTGTCTAGGTCATCTTATCTATTTGTATGACTTCAGATCTGTCCACATGCTGATTATTCACAATAAAGCTTCCAGCCTAGAACCCTCCTTTACTCAAAACCCCTACGCCCAATTGTCTACTTGGCCCCTCCATTTGGACATGTGATAGACATCTAACGCAAACTCCTCATGTACTCTTGCTGACAAACTCCTCCCACATTCTCCCCCATCACAGTTAATGGAAACCCACAACTTGAACCACATTTGTCATTTCTCCCTTCAAGTATTAGGTCTGCTCAAATCTCCATTCACTCTACCTTCAAAATGTACCCAAAACCGACAGCTCCTCATCACTGCTCTCAGCATTGGCCGTTACAATTGCTTTCTAACTGGTGTCCCTGCTCCTAGGCCTGTCTGCCTATCAGCAGCCCAGGATCCACAGTGACCTTTTTTTTTATGGAAGTTGGTGTTGGTCACTGGTCTGCTCACAGTTCTCCTGTGTCTCCCAGTGTCACTGGGCATGAAAGTCAGAGACCCCCACTGTGGCCCCTCCCCAGGCTCATTGTCTTCCTCAAGTTGTCATCAGCTCTACTTCTCCTGTTCACCCTCTCCACCCACCACAGCGTCCTCATTCTCCCTTCTTGGTGTCAGCTGCTTTCCCTTCTTTCTAGATATCTAGGTGGCTGCTCCCTCCACATTCCTCAGATATTTACTCAAAAGCTACCTTATCATGAGGGCTTCCTGGATCATCTTATTTCAAATTCCAATTCCTCCCTGAATGCTTCTACCCCCTCCATACCTTCCATTTTACCCTTAGCACTTAGCACTATCTAGTATAGTACATATTTAACTTATTTACATCATTTCTTGTCTATCTTCTGCAATGGAATATCTGTTTGCTCCCCGTCCAGGGCACGGACAGTGCCTCACAAGGAGTAGGGGCTCCAGGAGAATAGGTTGAATGAATACATGAGAAGCACACTATCAAGATGCAAGCACACGCTGTTCTAAGTGCCATAACCCAGGAAGGAAGTGGTATGAGAAATAAAGAGAAAGACTTATTTATTTGAGAAATCAGGAGGGGTTTCCTGGATCCCAGCCTCTGTTTATATGGTGGCCTCAAGTGAAACAGATGTTGATGGACAGAAAGAGCATCCTGCCTGGCATGGCGGCTCATGCCTGTAATTCCAGCACACTGAGAGACCTGGGAAGGAGGACTGCTTGAGGCTGGGAGTTGGATACCAGCCCATGCAGACCTCATTTCTACTAAAAATTAATTTTATTATCAGAATTTTAATTTTACGTCTTCTCTACCATTTTGAGCTATAGTCAATGTTAGGTTGACTCTAGGGAAGGATTCCAATTCCTTCTCTCAATTGTTTGAAATAAACACTTTTTAATTTCTTTCCTGTTTTTCTCTTTGCCTTTCTTTAGTTGGAGAACAAGGCAGTATCTGACACTTCTCCAAATAACACAGGGATTTTATTGCTTTGCATCTGTGGCTCTCTCTGCCTTGGCTGGTGGCCCCCTACTCAGTTCTATCTAGCTGAGGTCTCAGCTTCTTTATGGAGTGTCTCTCCATTATGAAACGGCTTGTGGCCTTCCTCCTCCTACCCTTCTGATCTCCATTAAGGAACTGGTAAAATGTTATCAAATTGTTTGTTCACATGACCTACCTGCTCCCCCTTCCATGGGGGTCAGGGATCATGTCTTGTTTCTTTGTGTTCTCAACATTTTTCCCAATGCCAAAGAAATCAATAGACATTATCTGAAGGATCAGATACTTGAGCTGACCCTTCCATTGACAGAATTCAATGATGTAGGTCACACTTTCTCTAACGCCAAAGAATTTTTCTGCATCACCAACCACTTTGCCATGCATGACTGATTCATAGTAGCTCATAGTAGTTGGTGACCCTAAGGTGTGGGTGAGTCTTGTTTAAGGTTCTTGAGCAACCAGTGATTTGCACAATAAAAAGGGCCTCACACTTTCCCCCTTTCAACCATTGAATTTTTGTATTTTCATTTTAATTTTTATTATTTATTTATTTATTTTAATTTTACTTTAAGTTCTGCACATGTTCTGGGATACATGTGCAGAATGTGCAGGTTTGTTACACAGGTATACATGTGCCACGGTGGTTTGCTGCAGCCATCAACCTGTCATCTTTACAAATAAAAATGTCAAATGTCACAGGACTAAAGAATCAGGACAAACACAGTGCTAGTCTGAACAGCCACATGACCCTCTTAGCAGATAGTTTCTCTTCATTTCCTTTCATTCTTCCATTTGAACCATTCCTTCTTTCTCATCCAAGAGATACAGCAATAGAGCACTCCATTGTGAGATGTCATTTTAATTTTATTGGTTTGGGGAAACAATTAAAGCCCTTAGAAAGTTATAGCATGGGTCTGTGCTCATTTTTGAAATAAAAACCCAAGTTTTTGTAACATATGGGAGTCATCATTTATTATATCATAAGCTCATTTTTATACAAAATAAGTAGAAATTTAGAAAATGTCAAAAATTTGCATTAAGGGAAATATGAAATATAAATACTTCTTTTAATTTTAAATTTTAAAACGCAATTGATGGCTGATTCTTCTCATTCCTGTCTTCTTTGGATATTCCGTGGGAGAGTGCCCAGCCATTGTGGTGTAGGATGGTTGTGTTTCATTTAATTACCAGAGCTGGGGCTTTGAGGAGACTTCCCATGACATCGGAGCAGCTCTGTAGGTGGAAAAGTAGTTACCAGGGAGGAGGCCAACATTTCCCTTCCAAACCACCCACTGACACTTTTATAGAAATCATTTCATGTTGGAGAGAGGGCCCCAGGGTAATGTTAAAGCAGTTTTAATCATAGCTTCTAATTATAAACAGTAAGTCACTTCAACAATTTCTTGTGTCTCAAATACAATACAAAGAATAATTAACAGCCAGCAATAATTCTCAGGCTGGCAGAGTTACACAGCAAGGAATTTGAATTTTGTGTCTCAGTAAAGTAAAATGCTTTCTAGAATGTCTATCTACCTGATTTATTACAAGAGACAATTGACCTCTGGTCATACCAACAGCAGGTATTCCTGCAAGCACTCAGGATGTTACCCACCAACTGTGGAGGTAATTAACGCTCCTGTACACTCATGCCATTACTCACAGACAGTTAGGGTTGCAAAGCAGGTTATTGCAAACCACCCCAGGAGAGCTCCCAGTGCTCATGTATGTTTGAAGCAAATACTACCAAATCTTGGTAGTGGCTATTCAGTAATGATCTTATCAATGCTTTCATTTTTCTTCTTTATATCTTTATTGTCTTCCAAATCCTGTGTGATGAACTGGTATTCCTTTTACAATCAGAAAGCAATTAATGTTTCATACAAAAAATCCCTGAGAGGCACTTAACCTTTCCCACACCCTTCAAGCTGCAATCCCAGCTGATTTTCCCTCCTCTGAGACTTTCCAACCTGCCCATGCTCTCCAGCCTCCGTCCCTGGATCCCCCAGCCTCCCCCTGCTCCTTGCTTCTGGGCTTGCTGTCCTTAACTTTAACTTTCAGCATTGGCAGAACAGTTAATGAAAAATGCATGATTTTACCTGTTGTAAAAAATAACTGTAACTCAGCCATCCCGCTTCGTGTGCTCCTTTGAAATATTGGACTTCTTGACTTCCAGCTATGCAAATGGGGAGAGACAAAGAGGATATCTGGGAAATGGGGCTTATGGTCACACCTAAAAATTGGCTTCTATTACATCTATTCAGATTCTGTTGTCCAGAATTCAATCACACAGCCCCAGCAGAGCTGCAGGGGAAACTGAGAATTGCCTTATTTGTCTGCCCAGGAGAAGGAAGTGGGGTTGGAAATGGGATGTCATCAGGTTTTGTAGCACAAGATCAGAGTCCAGAGATCAGGTCTTGCTGCAGCGCAAGACCACAGGAGGAGTCCACAGTGCAGTGCCCAGTGTTCCCCATGGGCCCATTGACTGTGCTCTGGTCTCCTGACCTCAGCTGATGTGGGATCCACTTCCAGCACATTACATTAGATAGGCCGTTATTCCTCCTGGAAACTCAAATAGCCAGGCACTTAATAAACGGCTCAATCCCATTCTTACTTCAAGCCATAAGGATATCTATGTAGAGTCCCCAAAGTAAACACACAAACTAATGACCGTGGGTTGCAATAGATATTTTTTATTCCCAATATTTCAAAAAACATCCTTTCTCCCACACTCTGCTAGAATTCAGCTTATCAGAAATTTATTTATTTTTCTTCTTCTGTGGAAGTAAAGAGAGAGATCTGCTTGGAACCATCCTCAGAAAATATGAAACAGCTTTGAGTGCAAATGTATGATGCCTGCTCTCATGCCTCTCACTTATGAAGTAGGGGAAGATGTTCCTTATTGTTGTTTGCTGCAGGTCTTGTCTGAGTTTGTGTTTGTAGAGTGCTCACTTAGTCTGAGATGTTCTTCAGAGCATCTGTGCCATGATTCTTCTGCGGCTTCCACCTGCACTGGGTGACACTAGCCTGGGACTAAAGCTTCCTCCTGCTGCCTCACTCACTGTGCCCCCAGCCAACGGCCTCACCCCTCCATGCTCTGCAGTCCTCAGGCTCCAGCTCGATGATACCCTTGCATCTTCCACTGTCTTTGTGGAAGTGGAGGGGGATCTTGTCTAATCTGCCCTGTCCTTGAACCACCTTCCCTTACTCCCTGTGGATGCGTCTCATCTCTTCTTTCCTTTTCTGCTTGAAAGAAGACACTGTAATATCTGCCTCTTGTACTCAGCTTTCACTCACTCTTCAATAAATGCCTTCTCCTTATACCAGAGATTGCCAATAGTCTGTCTGCAGTGAAGATCACCTTCTGAGCTCCTGGCTCATGTGGAAGGGTCTCATGTTTATGTCTTTCCATGTGCATTTCCCACATGCATCTCAAAGACATTGTTTCCTAAAACAAATTCAGATGTCCTGGGTGGCCATCTGGCTGTCCTGCTCGTGTGTGACCTTAGGTCATTTGCCTATCCTCTTTGTCTTCAGTTTTCTCTTTTGCAAAATGGAGATGCTGTGGGGTTGTAGGGAGACAACAGATACCAACTGCTCAGAAAAAAAAAAAAAATGCTTCCAGGTAGGTCTTACCTGATTTGCTTATTATTTCCAGTATTACTGTTATTTTCTTTCCTGCCCCAAACTGCTCCTTTTTTAGCCATCTCTTTTGCAGAGAATGGCACCCCTAGCTGCTCAGGCTCCGTACCCAGAAATCTCTCCCACCCTCTCACGTGCATTGCTAAGATTTACCAATCATCTCCAAAGTCTACCTTCAATATACGAAGTTGCCTCTCTCTCTGGCATTCTCTCATCTTGCCTGGATTGCTGTGAGCATCCTGGGTGCCCCCCTTCCATTCTTGCGCACCCCAGTCCACTGGAGTGACCTGGATCACACCAGCCCTAGCATCAAAGCACTCAGTGGCCCATGTGGCTCAAATGAGACCCCTCACTATCACCTTCTGTGGCCTCTGGCTCTTCTCCTTAATTACCCCTCGCAGATCCTGTCATCTGCCTCAACCACCAAACTACAAGGTTCCGGAAGGCAGAGCAGAAGGGCTCGCTGTCTCTACTCTATCCCAACGATTAACATGCAATGGGCGCTCAAGAAACATATGTTGGAGTAAAAATTGAAAACTTCTACTTATTGAATTAATGTGGGCCCTCACTTCTCTTTGGAGCTATTCCTCAAAGTGGCTGAATCCAGTGCCTTTTCTTATTGTTCGTTTTCACAGCACAGTTCTCCTGGCTCTCAGCCCGCTAATGGCTTTCTCTCTGCTGGAGCTATTATTGAAGATTCCTTCTTCCTTTTTTTTTTTTCTTTAAGCGGCCAGGACCTACTTCTTTATCTGCCAAAACACATTCAGAATTGGGTGAACATGGCTCTTCTTCCATTAGACTCTTCCTGCCCCTCCTCAATCACTGGTAGCCTCTGCTTCCCATGAGTGCCCTGCCACGTCGTGCTTGTCCTTTGGAACTTGGCAACTTCTGCCTTGTTTGATACAGACATTATGCATGTTTGTCTGACCCCAATGGCTACTTGTTCCCACCAATCCAGGATGGCTCTGTGCAAACCATAGGCATTTAATATCTTCTATTATTTGTAGTTCTACTCTGGGGGCGAGAAAAGCAAAAGTGATGGCAACATGCTGGCCGTGAGGGACTCACGATGCTAATGCAAAGAAACAGCTCATCCTGCCCAGCTATCCCCGCTGACTTCATTCCAAAACATGTGCTGTGGTGTGGATACAGCTCCAGGCTAAGTTTTCACTGTTTACCTAAAAAGATTCATCCTATATTTAAAATGCTTACTTGATATGTGGTCACAAGTTTTTTCTTAAGATATATAGAAGATTGAGTCTGTCATATCTGAATAATAGTAACTAGTTAATAATCTGTTATAAAATAATCTGTTTTCAGCCATCTAAATATATGAGTTCTCTAGGAAAACAATGTTCTGTCTGTTTCTCAGCTTAACATAATCTAGCTTTAATATTGTCTAGCTTTTTAATATATTCTAACTTTAAATCTGGAAACACACACACACACACACACACACACACACACACACACACAGAGTTAATTGTGGCCGATTACATTTTTTCAAAACTCAGTCCATTTCCTAAAGAATCAAGAAGTTTAGGAGAGGTGACTTAGTAACAGAAAATTAACAGTTCACTTATTTTAAACCTTAAAAATCATATCCTACTTGTATTGCTTACAACAATAGTTATGGGAGCATTTTCTGGAATATTGCATCACTGCAAATTATAAAATGTATGGCCTTGGAAGAATATGAATGAGAATATATATTTTTTATCCTGGATGATGGAAAATTTACTCAGCAAAAATGTATTTTCAGGCTACTCTATTATGTTCTCTCTTCCTCTCAGTTCCACTGGGTTTTAAGGAATACAGATATATATTTATTATACTTTTCTCTATTTCTTTGCAGCTAACTTTCAATTGCTGCATGTGTTATTAATCTTTAGGGTCAAACTTGGTTTCTGTTTCATAAAATCTCTGCCAGGGTGCAAGAGATTATGGTCATCAGGAATAGAATATATAACATGAAAAAGTCCATTTATATTATTTCTAAGTAAGCTTATGTTGCTTAAAATATAGTCTTATCTGAGTGTGTCACTTACTAAATAAAGGTGCTGTGAACAACTAAATATTTGAATTAAAAATGTCATTTCTATCATGTTCAAAATCTTGACTCATAGGAGTCTTCCTATGAATTCAAAGACCCTAAGCATTGACTTAGCTAAGGTCACTGCTGTCAAAGCTTAGAGGCGAATGCCCTTTAGTTTCCAATTAAGTGAATGTTTTTGAAGAATGTGCACATGAGGCATAAAACAAGGAAGCAAGATAATAGTTACAGAAGACAAAGACATGTAGTGTGAATTACACCCTCATGTATCCTGAGCCACTGATTAAAATGCTTTAGTTAAAAATAGACAGATAGGGCTCACGAGCGATAGATAGACCAACAGATAAATCAATTGATTGTCACACAGGAAGGCAAGGTCCTAGAACAGCTACAACTATTTTGAAAAAGCAAACTGAAGTGAATATTTTACCCGATAACTAGGTAAAATATTATTTAGCCATTCAAAGAATGATATCCTGTCATTTGCAACATGGATGGAACTGAGGGCCATTATGTTAAGTGAAATAAACCAAGCACAGAAAAACAAATATTGCATGTTCTCACTCATACATGGGAGCTAAAACATGGATCTCATGAAGATAGAGAGTAGATTGGTGGTTACCAGAGGCTGGGAAGGGGAGGAGGATGAAAGGGATAAAACGAATATAAATCTATTTATTACCTACAACTGAACTGTACATTTAAAAATGGTAAAGATGGTAAAAGACATGTGCATGTTTTACCTCAATTAAAAAATAGCTTTTTTTTTTTTTTGGTGTTCAGATGAAACGGTTCTGAATCTTGACTGGTGGTGGATATGTGAACCTGCACATCTAATAACATTATATACAACTACACACACGCACGTGTGCGCACGCACACATGCAGAGAAAACTGGGAGACCTAAGACGGGTGGATCATGTCAATGTCAACATCTTTTTTATTATTATTATTTTTGAGATGGAGTTTCACTCTTGTCCAGGCTGGAGTGCAATGGCGTGAACTTGGTTCATGGCAACCTCCACCTCCCAGGTTCAAGCAATTCTGCCTCAGCTTCCCGAGTAGCTGGGATTATAGGCGCCTGCCACCACGCCCAGCTAATTTTTATACTTTCAGTAGAGACGGAGTTTCACCATGTTGGTCAGGCTGGTCTCGAACTCCTGACCTCAAGTGATCCACCCGAATAGCTGGGATTATAGGCGCCTGCCACCATGTCCAGCTAATTTTTGTATTTTTAGTAGAGACGGAGTTTCACCATGTTGGTCAGGCTGGTCTCGAACTCCTGACCTCAAGTGATCCACCCGCCTCGGCCTCCCAAAGTGCTGGGATTACAGGCGTGAGACACCACGCCCAGCAATGTCAACATCTTGAACATGAAAGTGTAGTGTACTTTTTCAAGATGTTCCCATTGGGAGAAGCTGGGTAAAGGATACGTGGGATCTCTGTGTTATTTTCTACAATTGCATGTGGATCTGTAATTACCTCAAAATGTTTAACTAAAAAATAAATGGTAGTTAGGTCCAGTTTTTATAAGCTAACTCCTTCATATATTGTATTGGGGTCAGCTATCTCTGAGAGAAAAATCATACACAGAAGGCAAAATTAAAGTGAATCACTCCAGTAAAACAAGTATAAAATGATATAAAATATGCTGAAGTTCTTTATCATGGCCAGCTCAATAAAACTAAATTAACGAAAAGATACAGTTTAGGTAGCTTGAAAAGCCTCTTGTTTAAGAAAAAAAAAAAACCTCAAATCATCTTGATTGTGAACATTTTAGTTGCTGTGATTTTCTAAGTTCCTTTTTAATTCCCTATCATAATGGTTTGGCATTCCTAATCTCTTGCTGAATCACGCATAAAATATTCATTCATTGGTTTTGTACTATTCACATTCTGGCTTAATAAGAATTTATGCAGCAAGACCCTGCATTGAATTGTGAACAATTAATTAATATTTCTGAAGTTTCTGCCACAAATTCTATATTTAGGACTTATTATATAATTCTCATTTTTCCGAAAAACAAGAACATCACGCATGCATATTACATATTTAGGAAAAAAATGTAGAATAGGGTGGAACTTGTTAATCTTATGATTGCTATGCATTCCACACGTGGCCCAAGCAATGCTGTTTCTTCAATTTTTAGAGTTTTAGCCAACAAAGGCACAAGGAAGGAGACCAGGAAGACAAAAGACAAGAGATAGGCAAGATATTTAAGTAAGAAAAGCCCCCAGCATTTCTTACCTCCTTCCAATTCCTAAACAGACACCTTGGGCCTTCTGCACTCCCATCCTCCATTCCCCACAGATCAGCCCAGTGTTCCCTTAAAATATACAGCAGGCCGGGCCCAGTGGCTCACGCCTGTAATCCTAGCACTTTGGGAAGCCAAGGCGGGTGGATCACGAGGTCAGGAGATTGAGACCATCCTGGCCAACATGGTGAAACCCTGTCTCTACTAAAAATACAAAAATTAGCCGGGCGTGGTGGCATGTGCCTGTAGTCTCAGCTACTCGGGAGGCTGAGGCAGGAGAATTGCTTGAACCCGGGAGGCAGAGGTTGCAGTGAGCTGAGATCGTGCCACTGCACTCCAGCCTGGGCTACACAGCGAGACTCACTGTCAAAAAAACAAACAAACAAATAAACAAACAAACACCATACAGTAAATTATTTCAGTGTCTCCTTAAAACCCACTGTGATGTTTTATTATGCTTTGAGTAATATCCACCTGCCCTATCAAGGCCAGCCGCTCACCCATCTCTCAGATGCTATCTTGGATGGCTAGACCAGCAGCTGTCTCAGCTTCAGCTGAGAGTCTCTGTTCTCTGCCTGACTGCTCCATCTGCAGGTTTCCATGGTTGTCTCCTTCCTATTATTAAGTCTTGGATCAGATGCTAGCTTCTCGGAGAGTCCTTCCTTGGCTATTCATTTAAAGGCAGGCCCCCTGGTCCCTTCTCTGTCACACTGCTCTGTGTGTCTGCTGTGCGTTTCCCCATTTTGCCCATTCATCTTTTCTTATGTATAATTTGTTTCCCATCTCTGTGCTCTCAATGAATTTAGCCCCCGTGAGAAAGGCCATCTACCTTTTTTACAAATATATTTACAGTACCTAGAAAAGTGCCTGATACGTGGTGTGGTAATACATAATTGCTGACCATCCAATAAATGAATAGGGCACCCTGGTGGATTTCCATATGCATCTTGAGGTGAATTACTATGAACAGTTAATAAGCAATTTACATGTAAATGATTCCTTATGAAAAGATGCCTTTCCACTTCTGAGGTGCAGCTCCTGGAGAACCAGGGCTCAAGAAGCCAAAGACAAGTCTACGGTTCCAGGTGCAGCAGGGCTCTGACCATTGGTTGGGACAGGGCACAGTGGCTGCTTCCCTGTTCCACTGTCTGGGATTCCAAACTACCCTACCCACTGCACCCAGGGGGTTGAGGCTGGCAGGTGAACACTCTCTGTCTCCCTCCTACACATCTGTGCACAGCTTTGCTCCTGTTTGCACCTCGTTCTCTGCTACTCTGAGGCAGGAGTAGTTCTCTCCATTCCCAAGCCTTCTGGCTTTAGTACAGACAGCATATCCTCCTCTCTGCTGGGCTCATGAGAGCCATCAGCGATCTTCCTTCTGCCTCTCAGCCCTCCCTTCATCTTGAAATTGTTGAGCTCTCATCGTGAATAAAAAGGTCCCATCACAGCTCTGTTGTCTGAGTTCCAATCTACTTTGCTTCCTTAGTGATTGCTTCACTGCCTCACTTCCTGACGATCGTCTCTTCTCAGCATCCTCATTGCCACTTCCACCCCCTCAAACCTCAACATTCTACCTTCTGTCCGTAAACTCCACTGAAAGGGTTTCAGCAACGTCACCTTTTCATGTCAAGTCCATTGGCTTTCCTTACAAATTCTGATTGCATTTGAATTCAATGAGCAAGTGGAATTACATAAATGCCTCTTTTATCCACAGATATCCAGGTATTCCAGCATCATTTATTCAAAATCATTAATTCCCCCATTAAGTTGCTATGACACCTTTATGAGAAATCAGTTGATCTTATAAGTGAACGTCTATTTCTGGACTTTTTATTTCTTTTGTTGATCTTTCTTGTCTTATACCAACACCATACTCTCTTGATTACTATAGGTTTTTAGTAACTCTTGAAGTCAACAATTTTAAATCTTTCAACTTTGTTCTTTCTCAAAATTATTTTGGTTATTCTAGATCCTTTACATTTCCATATAACTTTAGAGTCAACTTGCTAATTTCCAAAGAAAATGTTCTGGCAGTTATGATTAAGATCGCCTTGAATGTATGCTCAATTTGGGGAGAACTGACTTCTTTTTTTTTTTTTAGGGAACTATAAGAAGTTTTATTTAATTATTTATTTTTTATTTTTTATCTTATTCTTATTATACTTTAAGTTTTAGGGTACATGTGCACAATGTGCAGGTAAGTTACATATGTTTACATGTGCCATGGTGTGCTGCACCCATTAACTCGTCATTTAGCATTAGGTATATCTCCTAATGCTAGCCCTCCCCCCTCCCCCCACCCCACAACAGTCCCCAGAGCGTGATGTTACCCTTCCTGTGTCCATGTGTTCTCATTGTTCACTTCCCACCTATGAGTGAGAATATGTGGTGTTTGGTTTTTTGTCTTTGCAATAGTTTACTGAGAATGATGATTTCCAGTTTCATCCATGTGCCTACAAAGGACATGAACCCATCATTTTTTATGGCTGCATAGTATTCCATGGTGTATATGTGCCACATTTTCTTAATCCAGTCTATCATTGTTGGACATTTGGGTTGGATCCAAGTCTTTGCTATTGTGAATAGTGCCGCAATAAACATATGTGTGCATGTGTCTTTATACCAGCAAGATTTATAGTCCTTTGGGTATATACCCAGTAATGGGATGGCTGGGTCAAATGGTATTTCTGGTTCTAGATCCCTGAGGAATCGCCACACTGACTTCCACAATGGTTGAACTAGTTTACAGTCCCACCAACAGTGTAAAAGTGTTCCTATTTCTCCACATCCTCTCCAGCACCTGTTGTTTCCTGACTTTTTAATGATTGCCATTCTAACTGGTGTGAGATGATATCTCATTGTGGTTTTGATTTGCATTTCTCTGATGGCCAGTGATGATGAGCATTTTTTCATGTGTCTTTTGGCTGCATAAATATCTTCTTTTGAGAAGTGTCTGTTCATATCCTTTGCCCACTTTTTGATAGGGTTGTTTCTTTTTTTCTTGTAAATTTGTTTGAGTTCATTGTGGATTCTGGATATTAGCCCTTTGTCAGATGAGTAGGTTGTGAAAATTTTCTCCCATTTTGTAGGTTGCCTGTTCACTCTGATGGGTAGTTTCTTTTGCTGTGCAGAAGCTCTGTAGTTTAATTAGATCCCATTTGTCAATTTTGGCTTTGATTGCCATTGCTTTTGGTGTTTTAGACATGAAGTCCTTGCCATGCCTATGTCCTGAATGGTATTGCCTAGGTTTTCTAGGGTTTTCATGGTTTTAGGTCTAATGTTTAAGTCTTTAATCCATCTTGAGTTAATTTTTGTATTAGGTGTAAGGAAGGGATCAAGTTTCAGCTTTCTACATATGGCTAGCCAGTTTTCCCAGCACCATTTATTAAATAGGGAATCCTTTCCCCATTGCTTGTTTTTCTCAGGTTTGTCAAAGATCAGATAGTTGTAGATATGCGGCGTTATTTCTGAGGGCTCTGTTCTCTTCCATTGATCTATATCTCTGTTTTGGTACCAGTACCATGCTGTTTTGGTTACTGTAGCCTTGTAGTATAGTTTGAAGTCAGGTAGTGTGATGCCTCCAGCTTTGTTCTTTTGGCTTAGGATTGACTTGGCGATGCAGGCTCTTTTTTCGTTCCATATGAACTTTAAAGTAGTTTTTCCCAATTCCGTGAAGAAAGTCATTGGTAACTTGATGGGGATGGCACTGAATCTATAAATTACCTTGGGCAGTATGGCCATTTTCACGATATTGATTCTTCGCACCCATGAACATGGAATGTTCTTCCATTTGTTTGTATCCTCTTTTATTTCCTTGAGCAGTGGTTTGTAGTTCTCCTTGAAGAGGTCCTTCACGTCCCCTGTAAGTTGGATTCCTAGGTATTTTATTCTCTTTGAAGCAATTGTGAATGGGAGTTCACTCATGATTTGGCTGTTTGTCTGTTATTGGTGTATAAGAATGCTTGTGATTTTTGTACATTGATTTTGTATCCTGAGACTTTGCTGAAGTTGCTTATCAGCTTAAGGAGATTTTGGGCTGAGACAATGGGGTTTTCTAGATATACAATCATGTCGTCTGCAAACAGGGACAATTTGACTTCCTCTTTTCCTAATTGAATACCCTTTATTTCCTTCTCCTGCCTAATTGCCCTGGCCAGAACTTCCAACACTATGTTGAATAGGAGTGGTGAGAGAGGGCATCCCTGTCTTGTGCCAGTTTTCAAAGGGAATGCTTCCAGTTTTTGCCCATTCAGTATGATATTGGCTGTGGGTTTGTCATAGATAGCTCTTATTATTTTGAGATATGTCCCATCAATACCTAATTTATTGAGAGTTTTTAGCATGAAGGGTTGTTGAATTTTGTCAAAGGCCTTTTCTTCATCTATTGAGATAATCATGTGGTTTTTGTCTTTGGTTCTGTTTATATGCTGGATTACATTTATTGATTTGCGTATATTGAACCAGCCTTGCATCCCAGGGATGAAGCCCACTTGATCATGGTGGATAAGCTTTTTGATGTGCTGCTGGATTCGGTTTGCCAGTATTTTATTGAGGATTTTTGCATCAATGTTCATCAAGGATATTGGTCTAAAATTCTCTTTTTTGGTTGTGTCTCTGCCCGGCTTTGGTATCAGGATGATGCTGGCCTCATAAAATGAGTTAGGGAGGATTCCCTCTTTTTCTATTGATTGGAATAGTTTCAGAAGGAATGGTACCAGTTCCTCCTTGTACCTCTGGTAGAATTCGGCTGTGAATCCACCTGGTCCTGGACTCTTTTTGGTTGGTAAGCTATTGATTATTGCCACAATTTCAGAGCCTGTTATTGGTCTATTCAGAGATTCAACTTCTTCCTGGTTTAGTCTTGGGAGAGTGTATGTGTCGAGGAATTTCTTCATTTCTTCTAGATTTTCTAGTTGATTTGTGTAGAGTTGTTTGTAGTATTCTCTGATGGTAGTTTGTATTTCTGTGGGATCGGTGGTGATATCCCCTTTATCATTTTTCATTGCGTCTGTTTGATTCTTCTCTCTTTTTTTCTTTATTAGTCTTGCTAGTGGTCTGTCAATTTTGTTGATCCTTTCAAAAAACCAGCTCCTGGATTCATTAATTTTTTGAAGGGTTTTTTGTGTCTCTATTTCCTTCAGTTCTGCTCTGATTTTAGTTATTTCTTGCCTTCTGCTAGCTTTTGAATTTGTTTGCTCTTGCTTTTCTAGTTCTTTTAATTGTGATGTTAGGGTGTCAATTTTGGATCTTTCCTGCTTTCTCTTGTGGGCATTTAGTGCTATAAATTTCCCTGTACACACTGCTTTGAATGTGTCCCAGAGAGTCTGGTATGTTGTGTCTTTGTTCTCGTTGGTTTCAAAGAACATCTTTATTTCTGCCTTCATTTCGTTATGTACCCAGTAGTCATTCAGGAGCAGGTTGTTCAGTTTCCATGTAGTTGAGTGGTTTTGAGTGAGATTCTTAATCCTGAGTTCTAGTTTGATTGCACTGTGGTCTGAGAGACAGTTTGTTATAATCTCTGTTCTTTTACATTTGCTGAGGAGAGCTTTACTTCCAAGTATGTGGTCAATTTTGGAATAGGTGTGGTGTGGTGCTGAAAAAAATGTATATTCTGTTGATTTGGGGTGGAGAGTTCTGTAGATGTCTATTAGGTCCACTTGGTGCAGAGCTGAGTTCAATTCCTTGGTATCCTTGTTGACTTTCTGTCTTGTTGATCTGTCTAATGTTGACAGTGGGGTGTTAAAGTCTCCCATTATTAATGTGTGGGAGTCTAAGTCTCTTTGTAGGTCACTCAGGACTTGCTTTATGAATCTGGGTGCTCCTGTATTGGGTGCATATATATTTAGGATAGTTAGCTCTTCTTGTTGAATTGATCCCTTTACCATTATGTAATGGCCTTCTTTGTCTCTTTTGATCTTTGTTGGTTTCAAGTCTGTTTTATCAGAGACTAGGATTGCAACCCCTGCCTTTTTTTGTTTTCCATTTGCTTGGTAGATCTTCCTCCATCCTTTTATTTTGAGCCTATGTGTGTGTCTGCACGTGAGATGGATTTCCTGAATACAGCACACTGATGGGTCTTGACTCTTTATCCAATTTGCCAGTCTGTGTCTTTTAATTCCAGCATTTAGTCCATTTACATTTAAAGTTAATATTGTTATGTGTGAATCTGATCCTGTCATTATGATGTTAGCTGGTTATTTTGCTCCTTAGTTGCAGTTTCTTCCTAGTCTTGATGGTCTTTACATTTTGGCATGATTTTGCAGCAGCTGGTACCGCTTGTTCCTTTCCATGTTTAGTGCTTCCTTCAGGAGCTCTTTTAGGGCAGGCCTGGTGGTGACAAAATCTCTCAGCATTTGCTTGTCTGTAAAGTATTTTATTTCTCCTTCACTTATGAAGCTTAGTTTGGCTGGATATGAAATTCTGGGTTGAAAATTCTTGTCTTTAAGAATGTTGAATGTTGGCCCCCACTCTCTTCTGGCTTGTAGGGTTTCTGCTGAGAGATCCACTGTTAGTCTGATGGGCTTCCCTTTGAGGGTAACCCGACCTTTCTCTCTGGCTGCCCTTAATATTTTTTCCTTCATTTCAACTTTGGTGAACCTGATAATTATGTGTCTTGGAGTTGCTCTTCTCGAGGAGTATCTTTGTTGCATTCTCTGTATTTCCTGAATCTGAATGTTGGCCTGCCTTGCTAGATTGGGGAAGTTCTCCTGGATAGTATCCTGCAGAGTGTTTTCCAACTTGGTTCCATTATCCTCATCACTTTCAGGTACATCAATCAGACGTAGATTTGGTCTTTTCACATAGTCCCATATTTCTTGGAGGCTTTGTTCATTTCTTTTTATTCTTTTTTCTCTAAACTTCCCTTCTCGCTTCATTTCATTCATTTCATTTTCCATCACTGATACCCTTTCTTCCAGTTGATCACATCGGCTCCTGAGGCTTCTACATTCTTCACGTAGTTCTTGAGCCTTGGCTTTCAGCTCCATCAGCTCCTTTAAGCACTTCTCTGTATTGGTTTTTCTAGTTATACATTCGTCTAAATTTTTCAAAGTTTTTAACTTCTTTGCCTTTGGTTTGAATTTCCTCCTGTAGCTTGGAGTAGTTTGATCGTCTGAAGCCTTCTTCTCTCAACTTGTCAAAGTCATTCTCCGTCCAGCTTTGTTCCATTGCTGGTGAGGAACTGTGTTCCTTTGGAGGAGGAGAGGCGCTCTGCTTTTTAGAGTTTCCAGTTTTTCTGCTCTGTTTTTTTCCCATCTTTGTGGTTTTATCTACTTTTGGTTTTTGATGATGGTGATGTACAGATGGGTTTTTGGTGTGGATGTCCTTTCTGTTTGTTAGTTTTCCTTCTAACAGACAGGACCCTCAGCTGCAGGTCTGTTGGAGTTTGCTAGAAGTCCATTCCAGACCCTGTTTCCCTGGGTATCAGCAGCGGTGGCTGCAGACCAGCAGATTTTCGTGAACCGCGAATGCCGCTGTCTGATCGTTCCTCTGGAAGTTTTGTCTCAGAGGAGTACCCAGCCGTGTGAGGAGTCAGTCTGCCCCTACTGGGGGGTGCCTCCCAGTTAGGCTGCTCGGGGGTCAGGGGTCAGGGACCCACTTGAGGAGGCAGTCTGCCCGTTCTCAGATCTCCAGCTGCATGCTGGGAGAACAGCTGTTCTCTTCAAAGCTGTCAGACAGGGACATTTAAGTCTGCAGAGGTTACTGCTGTCTTTTTGTTTGTTTGTGCCCTGCCCCCAGAGGTGGAGCCTACAGAGGCAGGCAGGCCTCCTTGAGCTGTGGTGGGCTCCACCTAGTTCGAGCTTCCTGGCTGCTTTGTTTACCTAAGCAAGCCTGGGCAATGGTGGGCGCCCCTCCCCCAGCCTCGCTGCCGCCTTGCCGTTCGATCTCAGACTGCTGTGCTAGCAATCAGTGAGACTCTGTGGGCATAGGACCCTCCAAGCCAGGTGCAGGATATAATCTCCTGGTGTGCTGTTTTTTAAGCCCGTCAGAAAAGCGCAGTATTAGGGTGGGAGTGACCCGATTCTCCAGGTGCTGTCTGTCACCCCCTTCTCTGACTAGGAAAGGGAACTCCCTGACCCCTTGTGCTTCCTGAGTGAGGTAATGCCTCGCCCTGCTTCGGCTCATGCACAGTGCGCTGCACCCATTGTCCTGTGCCCACTGTCTGGCACTCCCTGGTGAGATGAACCCGGTACCTCAGATGGAAATGCAGAAATCACCCATCTTCTGCGTCGCTCATGCTGGGAGCTGTAGACCAGAGCTGTTCCTATTTGGCCATCTTGGCCGCCCTCCCCTGACTTCTTTATAGTACTGAGATTTCTAATACATTAACATGTATCTATTTTCAACTTTGCTTTTCCTAAACTAGAGGTGGCGACAGTTTCCCATTGTTATTACACTCTGGGTTACCGCCCCATCCTGTCTGCCTTTTCACTTCTTCCATCACCACTTGTATAACCAAATACCTATATTAAGATGGATGTGAAAGAATTCTGAATTATTTTGGAATTCTAAGATTCTAAATGAACCACACTGGAGTCTCCTCTGATCCCTTCCCCAGAAACCGTGTGGTACACCTGGTCAGCTTCTTCCAGATACGCGGTGTCCATTGTACTTCCCTGCTTACCTACGTGGCAGGTAATGGCAAATTCATACCCGGCTACTGCCTTTGCTCTTGCCCCACCCTCATTTTAGCATGAAAGTATCAGGAAAATTGAAGAAATCATGTCACAATACGTGATATTTAAATCAAATACAAACCAGCAAAGAAGTATGTGTGAGTTGCCATGAAAGGAAATCCTGAAACGGCCTCTGAAGGAAGAGAATGCTAGACGTGTGCTCCAGCTGCTACTTCATCAGCACAATTGCACAATTTCAAGGCCTCCTGCTATCCAGGCCTTGGTGAAATCTCATTATCCCACCTTCCCATAGAGCAACACTTACAGACGCCACCGTTTCCGTACCCCAACTCCTGTGTGATTTTCTACACTCACGAGCAGGTTTTAAAAGGAAACTTCCATTTTCATGTTTCTCCTGGGGAAATGATTTTGATGTTGAAAATATAGCCCTGTAAGAATGTGACAAGGTGATGATTTCTCCAGTCATTCTTCCACTGGAAGCTGCAAACCAAGGTCTCTGTGTCCAACACCAATCAAAATTGATTACGGGGAGTGAAGATGTTACTGTGTGTGGTTGCCAGCCTCTGAGTAAAGCACATGCCACAGTGAGTGCTGAGAATGCAGGGGAGTCGGGAAACCTTCATTAACATAAAAGCCACTAGTAGAAACCACACAGGCATCTGATTTTTAGTTTTCTTTTTTTATGATACAACAGCGAAGCATGCTTACGTCAAAACCTTTTGAATATACACAAAACACAAGCCTACAATGAAAAGTACTTATAATCTCATCACCCAGAAGCAATTGCTACTAACATTTTGGTGTTTTTCTAACCAATATTTTCAGAGAACTTTTTAAAAAGTGGGTGCATATAAAATTTTGTATGTTCATTTTTACCTTTTTGCACTATAGCAGCACCGCTGCTAAAATTCTTCATCATTTGTGAACGTTACTTGAAGTCTCATGTTTTATCCTATGCTCTCTTCCATCATTGAGCCTCAATAGGCTATTTACAATATTTAACTTCATATATAACACTGTTGGGACCACCTTTGTCAAGACATTGAAGTATTTCCTCAACTGTCTTACATATTATGTCTTCAGGAATTGAAATTACTGTTCAAACAATAATAATTCTAGAGGTTCTAGCTACATATTTCCAAGTAATTTTCCAAAAAGTAAGTACCAATTTCTGCTGCCAAAGTGTGTCCATCTCACTATAGCTCTGCCAGTATAAAGCACCATTAGTCCTGAAGTATGTTAAATGCTGTCTAATTTTACCTTATTATTATTTTGAACTGCGTATCTCTATTCAGTAGTGTGGATAAAATTTTTCACCTCTTTTTATAACTACATTTTAATTTTTGTGTTGTCTTTTTATATTCTTTGCTTTCCTGTGCCCCTTAAAATGGGTCCTGAATGAGTTTTTAATTATAATCTGTAAATATTTAGCATGTTAATTTGTTAATCATATTTTCCCAGATATTGCTTAGGCTATTTTTTGAAAAATTTATGTTTTAAATTTTTATGAAGGGAAAATAAGTTTCCTTTGTTACTCAGACACTTTAAAAACAAAACTGACACTACATTCTGAAGTACATATTTCTCATGAAAATATTTCAGCTCAATGTTACCATTTTGCTACGTGGGATTTTCTCAAAAATATCTCTTCTGGTAACATAGAGTTTTGACATAAAAATAAAGCAATATGCTTATAGACTATCCAAGAGGTTTTGCTTTCTTTTGTTTTTCTTACTTTCCAGTAGACCTCTGTGGCCCTAAATTCTCTGGGGTTTGGCCCATGAACTCTTATGTGATTTTACCCAGACTTAGGCTTAGAATGATGTGAAAGTGGCATGGTTATTGTGTTTTCAGAATCACTATTAAAAATAAAATTTATAAGATAGATGCAGGTATTCTTAAAAATGCTTTAAACAATATGTACCAAAAAAAAATCCTTTATTTAAGAAGTAGAGCATCCCGTATGAGTTGGCATTATTCCAATATCACTGCCAACACAGGAGACCTGGCTGACCTGCATGCTCTATGCCACCACGTCAGGAACTTTGCTGCTGCCTGGACAAGTATAAAATGTTATAGCAGTAATCTAAAGTGTGATCTTTAATACACCCTGCACACACACTCCACGCAAGTCCTGCTCTGTAATCTCTTCCCCCCATCAAAGTGAGACTTATGGAAGTTCCAAGGCAGCCCCCTGCCCAGGGCAGAGCTTTCTGGGAGCCTCTTTATTCTCCTCCCTATATCCTGGCTTAGCTACACCCGACCCTATATGAGGTTTGCAGGACCTGGAGAGTGGAGGGTAGGCATTATTGCAAAAATATATAGAAACTCAGACTAGACAGGAGATCTGGGCTCTCATCCACTTTCTCAGTAACTTCACACTAAGACCTCATGCAGTCCTAAACCTCTCTTGGCTTCTGTTTTCTGGTCAAAAGGGAACATGAGATACTCTTATGAAGCGCATTAAAAATACAGTTAAAAAGAGACTAAGAGGTATTAACTCATAAGTATTCTTATTCATCAACTTTCAAACTCAAACCTCTTTTCCTTACCTTTTTTCAAGCGTCAGCTTATTTCTAAGTCATTGCCATTTTCAGCCTGTATTCCTTAAACCATGGCTTACATAAGGAAATTGTTTTAATCCTTTCACAGACAGATGTATCTGTCTGATTTTTCTGTCTGGCTTCCTTATTTATAGATTAGGTGGATGAAAGCCACAGCACTGCACTGATTACCACATAGTAGAGATTTCTTTGCATTCATATGGGGCCAAATTGAGAGGCAACATTCTCCAAAAGTCACCAGGACAATAGCCATCACATCTCTGCATCATGTGGGAACATGCTGGACAAGCCAAGCTGCAGAGCCAAAGCTGCAGGCTACAACATCACAACCTCTTCCTGACAGTGCTGCTCTTCGCACAGGAAGAATATGAAATCTACAGAGGTACTGGCAACTTAAAAATATTTCAAACCTAAGCCAAAATACCTCATGCACAAAGCTACATCATTGTACTGGTTATGAGCCATTCCTGCACCTGGAGAAAGAATCCGAACATCATCCCTGGATAGTGTTGGCTGAGCAGGCAGGACCTTGAGTAGGTCTCAGCAGGGACATACAGACTTGGGCCAACATGATCACTGTCATCCAGGTCCCTGGTGCTACAAAAGGCCAGGGCCAGCGAGCATGAGACTGAGCAGAAGTGGATTTCCTAGTGGGCGAGCGGCCATCTCTGGGATGCCTGGGGAAGCTTCCCTAGGCAGGATACAAAGTTATCGCCAGGTCTCTGAGCATCAGGAGACAGTCAGGGTGGCATGCACCCAGAAGGGCAGGCATCCAGTGTCTGGAGAATGAGACACCTAAGCAGGGCCTTGGCTGATGGAGCATCAGTAGGGGTGGGATATGAACGAGGCAGGGAGAATGAGGGAACGTCACATCCAAAATCTGGCTAGGTCAGATATTTCTTAGGGAAGATTTTTAGATCCTAAGAAGCTGAATAGAGAACCTCAAAGAGAATGGCAGCGAAACATCTCCATCAGGTGTGCAATTGTTTAAGATTTCATCTTTAAGAGGCCAGGAGATGGATGGTTATTCAAGAGATTGAAATGTAACATTTTTATTTAAAACATCATAAAAGTAGATGTCTAGGGGCCAAATGGGCAAGTGCTACTCAGTTGAAGGAATGTAGGAACTCAACATTTCAGAATCGTCCCTGCTGGGCTTTGACCATCTGATGGAATTTTGAGACAGCATGATGCGACTAGTTCTAGGGTTAAAAAGACGCACTTTAATGTCACCTGAACATAACACTTCAGAAGAAGGTGATAAACTTTTACACCCACCCAGGCTGAAGCTGGAGGGGAGTGGAGTTTCTGAAGCTGTGGCACATGGTGCACAGGTCCAGCAAGTTCTCGGGCACCAGCAGTGCCCACGGTGGAAGACAGGCAGGACAGACGAGGGTGGAGGAAGGAGCCCAGGGCAGAGCCAGGACAAAGCTTGCTGGACAGTGTCACTCATGGAGTGCCCCTAGCTTCACCCCATCTGTGACAAATATTTTCAAGATTTCCATTAAAAAAATTTACTGAAATAATGAGTGTGTGCTTTTCTGTCTTTAAGTGAGGTTAAATTTCCAAGAAAGATTTATAGACAGCCAGGCCCAGAAGCAAAGTGGAGCTGAGAGCCAGAGGCACCGTCCTGAGAGGCAGCAGCCACTCTAACGGTGTGTTGCCTGCACAGTGGATGAGCTTGCAGTTCAAAGCCCGTGTATAATACTGCAACTCTTAGAGGGCTGCAAAGCCAGAGAAAGAGAGACAGACACGTTCTGCCTCCTCCTAGGACAGGGAACAACTCGGGCCTGCCTTGCCTCTGAGAAAATATCTTCAAGGAGAAATTAAAATTCCAGACCACAATCTCACCTGAGTAGAAAGTTCACATTTATGCTACACAGGTAGCATGGGAAAATCTAATTAGAAGGATTAATATAAAAAGTGGTCCTAGGCCACTGACGATACTGAGTCGTCTCAAATAATTAAACCAAAACCCAAAATTAAATGCAGGAATATTTTATCCATTGAGGCTTTGTGGGATTGAGACACACAAAACAAGCATGACTTGAAAATTATAAAACACATATGGAAAAATCCTATATGAAAATCTTACAGAAAGTACAACTAGGAGTACTAATACCAGAGAAACTTAAAATTGTAAAATACTGAGTTCAAAACCTTTAGCATATATAGGCTTTAAATTATGTAAAATACAAATGTAAGTTATATAAGCTATTTTAAAAAACACAGCAAAAAAAGAAAAAAATGTGTGATAAGAAAAGAAAGTTAGCCATAAGGAAAAACAATAACATCAGATATCTAATTCACACAATATCAACAAAATTCTGGATAATTAAACATCTAATTGTAAACATGAAATGTTAAAAATTTGAGAGTTCTGTTTTCTACTCAGGGATGTGAAGAGTTGGAAGAAATACTGCTCACACTGTTACAGCAAGAACAAAATTAGGCAAATTGCAAGTTCCTGATGATTGAGTTGCACCCATCAGAGAGCTGAGGTCACAGAGCAACTAAAGAACTCAAATTCTAGGGAGGAACCAGTGTCCATAGAAAGAGATGAGACTCCAGCACCTGCTGCCCTGGCTCAGATGCATCTGGACCCAGTTAGTAGAGTTCTGTAGAAATAGTCAATGAATCCTGGTGAAGGCCAAATGCAGGCTGGTGAGAGCCTGTGCTGCACCTGGGGGATGCAAATAATTGGGGTGGGGGTGGGGAGTTGCATCTTCATGAAGATCTTTCACCACAAACTCCACCAGATGCTCCAGGGAAGACTGTGGAGTCCTGACAAAGATGCCGGGGGGCATAGAAAGGTGATGCAAAAATCAACCTGGATCCCTCTGCCCCATTTTCCCATCACAATAAAGTTGTCATCTGCTGGGGGGTAAGATGGGCAACAGAACTGTCTTGCAGCTGAGGGAAGGGAAGAGAATAAAGACTGTCAGCCCTGGAGGAGGGGTGAGAATACATATCAGATCCAAACCTCCAGCTGGAGAAGAGGCATGGTTCTTGTGGAGGCCATGAGACCCAGGGATACAAGCTGTAAGACCAAGGGATAATCAGGACATCAGAACTCCGTCCATCCCAGGGCAGCAAATAAGCATCAGTTAAAAGTAATATTGAAACATTACTAGGAAGCATGCATGAGACAGGCTCTCCCTGAGGATCAGGGAAAAGGGATACGTAAAGCTGAAGATGGGGCAGACTTTGAGAAGAAACCTCTAGAAACTCAGACTCCATACCAAACCCAAGGTATTGCTAGGAGAGTTTGAAGCCTGCAATACTCTGAAGGTAAACACAGCAACAAGAAACCTCAAGCCCAGCACAACTGCTGACTGGATCAAGGATCAGCAAAACATGGCTCACAAGGCAAATGCCTACCCTGCCTACTTGATAAATAAAGTTTCACTGGGGCATGGCCATACCCACATTTTATGTATTGTCTGAGGCCACTTTCATGAGACAGTGGCAGAGCTGTGGTGATCCAATGGCCCACAACCCTAAAATATTTACTAGTTGCCTCTTTACAAAAAAAAAAAAAAATTATCCCGATCTTTTGACTAGATTAACAAAACCCACCACAGGAATGAATGAGCAAAAGGAAAGGTGTACATAGAACTGTTTACCCAGTGTTGAAGTATTCTAGATGTCTTTCAGGCAAAAAAAAAAAAAAAAGCAATAAATTCCCCAAGATACTAAACAGTAAACAAAACCAGACTCAGATAAGACATAGATAGTAACTGACCAAAAATTTTAAATAACTATTATTAATATGTTGAATTTTCCAACAGAAAAAGTATATACCATGAAAGATCGATGAATAATATTAGCAAAGAGGTGGAAACTGTAAGAAAAACTCAAATAGAAATGTGACAAATGGAAAACACTGTAACAGAGATGCAGAATGCTTTCAATGGGCCCATAACACAGCTAAGAGGTGGATCAGTGTACCTGACAATATGTCAATAAAATTACTCAACTGAAACACAGAGAAAAAGACTGAAAAGTAAAAAGAAAGGGGCATCCAAAAGCTATAAAAAATATCATTGGTTATGTGCATCACTGGAAACTCAGAAGGAAAAGAGAAAATAGTGTGTAAGAAATATTTTAGGAAACAATGTCTGACAATTTTCCTAAGTGATTTTCAGACATCAAACCACAGACCCATGAAACTCAGAAACCTTCTGCAGAATATATGCTAAAATATAAAACAAACACGAAACGTCTAGACACATTTTCAAATTGTTGTAAACAAAAGATAAAGAGAAAGGCATGAAAAATGACATATAAAGGAATAAAGATAAGAATTTCAGCAGAATTCTTGTCAGAAACCATGAAAGTAAAAAAAAAAAAAAGCATTGATGACTTCAAAGTGCTGAAAGAAAATAAGGTTTGTCAATACAGAATTTAATGCTCTGTGAAAATATCCCTCAAAAATGTAAGATAAATACTTTCTTAGACAAAAACTCAAGAGAATTCATTGCCAGCAGACCCACTTTACAAGAAGTGGTAACGTCAGCTCTGCAAGGCAGAAGAAATACAATACTGGGTGAAAACTTGAATCTACAAAGTAAAAGAATGTGGAAAATGTAATCAATGTGTTATGAAATTCATGTTTTTTTATTTTCTTTTTCCTCTGAATTGCTCTGAATAATAACTGTGTAAAGCAAAAATTGTAGCACTGTGTGATGTGTTCATAGTATATGTAAAAGTGAACTGTAAGGCAACAACATCACAAATGGTAAGAAGGAAGGATTTGGAATATACACTTTTATTGTTTTTATACTACACATAAAGACATGTAATATTAATTGAATATAGACTCTTATTATGTAAGGATCTACATTTTAAACCCTAAGCTAACTATCAAAAACATGAACAGTTATAAATAATAACTCAACAATAGAAATAAAAATGGAACCATAAAAATTGCTCAAAAAACCCAAGAGAGGGCAGGAAAAGATAAAGGAAGTAGGAGATGGAACAAATAGAAAACAGCTAACAATATGGTGTGTTTTAATGAAAATATCAGTAATTACATTAAATGTACGTTGTCTTAACAAGCTAAGTAAAAATACTGTCAGATAAAATAAAAACAAGACTCAATTATGTGCTATACAAGAAACTCACTCTAAGTATAAACACATGGGTAAGTGAAAATTTAAATATAGGAAAAAATATACCAGATAAACACCAATCAAAAGAAACTTGGAGCAGCTATATTGATTTCATACAAAGTTCTCTTCAGAACAAAAGTATGGTCAGGGATAAAAAGAGACATTACACAATAATAAAGGATTTAATCTTCTAAGAAGGCAGAATGATAATATATGTGTACGCCCGTAACACAAGCACTTCAAAGTAGGTGAAACAAAAACTGATAACACTGAAAGGAAAACAAATCAACAATTAGAATTGGAGTCTTCAATACTTGTCTCCCTATAATTAATAGAATAAGTTAGGACTTAGAATCACTGAAGAACAACTTGATAAACTGGCACTTCATTTGAAAACAGAAGTATATACATTTTTAAAACTGCATATGGGGCTGGGCACGGTGGCTCACGCCTGTAATCCCAGCACTTTGGGAGGCCGAGGCGGGTGGATCATGAGGTCAGGAGATCGAGACCATCCTGGCTAACAAGGTGAAACCCCGTCTCTACTAAAAATACAAAAAATTAGCCGGGCGCGGTGGCGGGCGCCTGTAGTCCCAGCTACTCGGGAGGCTGAGGCAGGAGAATGGCGTGAACCCGGGAAGCGGAGCTTGCAGTGAGCCGAGATTGCGCCACTGCAGTCCGCAGTCCGGCCTGGGCGACAGAGCGAGACTCCGTCTCAAAAAAAAAAAAAAAAAAAAAACTGCATATGGAATATGTATCAAGATTAACCATACTCTGGGCCATAAATAAAAGTTAACAAAGTTAAAAGAATAAAAAATATAAAACATATTTGCTCGAGTCTAGAATTAAAACTAGAAATTAATAACAGAAAGATGTGGAAAAATCTACAAATCTTTGGAAGTTAAACAGTATACAATATAATAACCCATAGGCCAAAGAGGAAGTATACAGGCAATTTAAAAATGTTTTGAACTGAATGAAAATTATGGAGATACCACACATCAAAATTTGTGGCAGCCAACTAAAGAGGTGCTTGGAGGGATATTTCTAAAAAAATGCTCATTTTAGAAAAGAAGAAAGGGCTCAAATCTGTAATCTAAGCTTCCACCTTAAGAATCTAGGAAGAGAAAATTAAATACTTTACTCTGATTAGTACTTTGGTTTCTCACAAGCTATAGATTAGCAATTCTGAACAAAGAAACCCAAATTGAGGGAAATTCTCCAAAAATAAAACTAACCAACGCTCTTCAAGGGTGTCAACTTCATGAAAGGCAAAGAAATACTGAGAACCCGTAAAACGCAGAAGCAGATATGACAACCAGATGCAATGTGGGATCCTGCATCAGATTCTGGAACAGAAAAGGGACATAAGTTTTAAAATCTGGTGAAATCCAAAGTCTGTAAATTCAAAGTCTATCATGTCATTTCTGTTGATAAGTGTAGCTGTAGTTTATTCATTTTCTTTACTACTTTGATTCTATTATTTGCAGATTTCATAAATTATCAGGTGTAGTCACATAGAAAAAGAAAAGTATTTAAAATCATGGTGTATCTTTTATTTTTCATCCAGCCCAAAATGTCAATATGGTATATCTTAATGGGAAAATTATTTCAACAAGACACAAAAATCACTATCATGAAAAAGATTGATACATTTGACCATATTATAATTAAAACTAGATATTACAAATAACACTGGACATGCAGGTGAAGGGACATTCCACAGACCAAGAGAAAACACCATTTACACATTTAACTTTAAAGAAAAAGATTATCTAGCCTGTTCAATCACTCCTGCTTAGATGTATACAAAAAGGCAAATAGTGTATTTGGGGACCAAAAATAATTGTGAACAAATTAGTTACAGAAAAAGGTACTGAATGACCAAAAAGGAGGAAAGATGCTTATTATGAATCAAGGGACTGCTATTTAAAATGATAGTTCTGTTTCATACCCATCAGATTGACAAAAATCAACTTGACTTGCACACCCCAAACGGATGTGAGAGACAGGAAATCTATACCTTGCCTAGGTGAGTGTGAATTAGGCCAACCACTCTGGGGAGAAGCTTGTCTGTACCTGATGTATTAGTCAGGATTTCCCAGAGAAAGAGAGTCAAAAGGATGTGTATATGGAGAAGCAGATATTTTACAAGGAATTGGCTCATGCAATTATTGAGGCTGGCACGTCCAAATCTGACGTGTGGGCTGGCAGGCTGGAGATCCGGGAGAGGCAACAGCACAGTTCCAGTCTGGAGTTCATCTGCTGGAAAATTTCCTTTTGCTAGAGGAAGCTGGTCTTTTGGTTTTATTCAGGCCTTTAACTGATTGGACGAGGCCCAACTACATTATTAAGGGCAATCTCCTTTACCAAAGTTGACCAATTTAAATGTTAATCTCATCCAAAAACACCCTCCAAATTGACACTTAAAATTAACCACAATACCTAGTGAAAATATCCATAACATCCACCCATCATATCCATCAAACCTTGTTGCACAAGAAAAAAACTACATGTACACACATACATACATATAAATAAATGCATACATATAAATCTCAAAAATTGCCATGTAAAAACTGAACATCAGAAGTATGTATTCTATGCACTATATATGTATATATAGTCACATGTACATGTCATAGATAAAATCAAATACAGACAATCCCTGACTTACAATAGCCCAACTTTTCAACCCTTATTATAAAATATGCTTTGTGTTAAGAGAATTTTGCCTAACTGTGGGGTAATGTAAGTGTTTTGAGCACAATTTAAGGTATGCTAGGCTAAGCTATGATGTTTGATAGATTAGGCATATTAAATGCATTTTCTTTTTTTTTCTTTTTTTTCCTTATATTGAAGCAACAATATGTTTATATATATATATTTTTAATTATTATTATACTTTAAGTTTTAGGGTACATGTGCACAATGTGCAGGTTAGTTACATATGTATACATGTTTGTAGGGGCATTTTCAATCTGTAGTATTTTCAACTTAAAATGGGTTTTTCAGCATGGAAACTAATCGTAAGTCAAGGAGTATCTATATATATAACTCATGCAAACATGCATGGAAATGGTGTCTCTTAACCTCAGAAGAACAATTAACTACCTATGGGAAGGAAGGGGGTTAGATTTTAATTGGCTTTTTAACTCTTTACTTCTTTTAAGAAAACTCAGGAATCTAACATTAATTTTCTAAATTTTAAGACTTATTAAATCTGAGCATCTGAGTTTGTCGGTGATTATTATGTTCTATACTTGAAATATTTCACAATTTAGAAAGAAAAATACAAAGATCAATTTGCAGCAGCTTGGTGAGTACATTGAAGAGAAGTTAAGGTGGATGGGGTATGGTCATTTAGAAAACTACTTAACCAGTTTGAGGGGTGGCTTCAAGGCTTCCATTTGGCATGCTATATTAATTTTTGAGAGTATACCAATTCAGATTTTCAAAATTATTATTTTTTCTTTTTATCAGTCTCTACTTGGTGTAAGGGAACACCAGTATGTGCACAAGGAAATCTCTGGCCCCAGGCAAACACTCAGCTGGCAGTCCAATTTGAGTTGTTATGCTGTAATTACCAGGCAAATAAACAGATAGAACTAGAATCTGAGTTAGACCATTCCTTATTAAATTATTCAATTTTCTATATGAAGGATGTGGCCAGTTCATACCCCATAAGGGAAGTCAACCTCAAGAAGACTGGGTTTTCTTTCCTAGTGCTGCTCCTTTTGCAGCTCCAGACCTGTGCGTCCTTGGATGGTCAGTTACGATGGAGTAGACATTAGAAGGCAGCTGGCCAGCTGTCATCTTTCACAATGAGACAGTATAGTGTCCCCACACTGGAACACCTACAAGTAAGATGACAGAATGATAGCCTGGAACAACCTTCGTCCTTTTTCTAAGAAAATTAGATGTGGACCGGAAAACTGCTTGTCAATATTTCAACGTGAATTTATCCCTTTGATTTTTGCATTTCCACTCAAATAATTTTAAACTTAGCTTTGTACAAGACTCCTACATTCAGGTTAAAAATTCCAGCATAACAACTCAAATTGGACTGCCAGCTGAGTGTTATTTATATCAAAATTCTATCATTAGTGGGAGCAATGACACTTGGTCTTAGTGGTTTGTGTGGCTGTAAAATAGAAGAACCCGGGATGTGTTCACAGAAGCAAAGCACCTTCTGGGTTGTTTTTGTTCTCATGACCTCTGAACCCCTTTCAGTCCTCATGCATCACTGTCCCAGCCACAGTCATTGCCCACATGACTGGTCAAGGGGAACTTTGCTGTACTTGCATCCTAGGAGCACCCACTTTCAGCTTATTTCTCTCCTACTGAGGGGAATGAGCAGAGTGACTCCCTTGAAAGGGATAAATGTATTATAGGATGAATGATGATAGTGATACTCGTCCAACTAAAGCTGAACTGTGCTTTACTCCCCACTCCTCCATACAATCATCATAACGAGGAACGGGCAAAATCATTGAATTCAAAGGCTGTCTTTCTGTTCATGCATCTGTCCACAGCTCACCGAGTGCTCCTTGTGTGTCAGAGGTTTTGGCAGGTGCTGGGGCTCCATGGGGAAACACAGCCCCTGGCCATGAGGAGTTATTCACTCAATTGAGGTCACAGACAACTCAGCAAGAGGATTTCAGGAGCCAGGTCTCAGAGAAGAAGGGCTGTGGGAGCATGAGGAAGGAGGGTCTCTGCCTCAGTGGGCAGGCATGGGGGAGGCACCCAGAGGAGCTGCAGCCTGGCTTGGTCTCTGAGGCTGTGGAAAAAGCAACAAAAATGGTGAGGAAGGGGGAGAAACAGAGTTCAGACCAAGGAAGCAGCCAAGGTACAGAGGTGATAAAGAAGAGCCTTGTGCTCAGAGCAGTTTATAACTGGAATGTTAGATTAGAGGCCAGGGAAGAAGTTGGGTGAGGATCCACAGTCAAAAGAACTTAGGGGCCAACCCGCTGGAGAGTGATGGATTCTAAGTTGCTGGAGGAGAGATATATCTTTTGCAGTAACCTGTCTCCCATGTTTTTGGTTTGTCAGTCTTATTATTTCACAATGTCACATGCATCCACCTGAGACCTATTGTACAAAATATATGTGACATAGCAGTGAACATGGTTCACTGATTCTTGCACTCCTGGATTTTCTGCTATTCATCTCTGGCAGTTACCTAAGCCCTTCGGCAGACTCAGGGCATTCATGTGTATGAACGTTGCTTTGGTATTTTCTTCTAGGCATTAGAGCTTGAAAAGTTTACCATTGTGCTATCATTATCTTGTAGGAATTTGTTTCGAAGACATAATATTTAAGTACCTAAATGCAGGATGATCCTTTCTTCCACAGGAGTTTTTGATAAACTCTTGTTTCTGAAAAAAAATGGTAAAATTTAAAACAGTACACCAGTAGACTTTATAGGTATGTTCAAGAGCTGGGTAGTTGAAAAAACAGTATCACAACACCTGAGATTATCTAATCAAGAAGAGAGAATACATCCAGAAATGGGGACACATCATCTTGGAGGCTTAGGAGATAGTAAATACTTATTCAAATCATGGTGACCACTGCCAGCGACATCCCCTGCATCAATTTCACCCCCCATCATTTCCTATGGCCACCGACCCCTCCAGAACTCATTCCTGATGGAAGTATACTATAAAGATGCATGGTTCCATCCTTGTACTGATAAAACAAACAGAAGGAAATTCAGAATATTCTGGGGGAAGGGGAAAATGTGGAGCTTGGAACTTCATGCTGTAACACGGGTCTGTGGACTGGGGCAAGTCCCCTTCCTCATACCTCAGTGTTACTTGCTGTTATCAAGATTACTAGAAAGACAATTCACAAATCAGTGCTTGGTCTTAAGTCTATATTCCAAACATCAGCAACTTGGAGTGGAAGGGTGAAACACAAGATACCTCCCTCTTCTCCTCTTGTAGGCTGGAGACTAAGAAGGAAAGAGGAACTCTCTGTGTTTCATTTTCTGTTTTTCTGGTTGACCCAGATTGGCATTGGATGCCATCTTTATGGCCAGCATCTGCATGCTTGCTCCCATGTGGCACAGTGTGTTTTGCTTCTGGAGACCATGCAGGAAGCCCCACTGCACATTTTCCTAACCTGGGAGATGGTACCTGACTTGCTTCTTCCAGTGACCCTCGGCTCTGGTTCCCCTGGCTTTCTGCAAATTGTCTTCTTAGGTGTAAAAACAATCTAAGTCAGTTTATTGGCCGCTGGGGCCACTAGACCCAAATGAAACCCAATCACCCCTGTGCCATGAAGTGGTGGGAGTGCAGCCTGATTTACTACCACTGGCCCTTTCCCTGACATCCCCCTCCACCCCATGCCCACTCTTGCTTAAATAAGCAGAGGGGTGAATTGACAAGTCAAACTGCAGACCAAGGAGAAATGAGATGTCAGCCTCCCCTTTCTGAATATACCTCCAATTTTTACAAAGTAAGTCTCTTAACACTGTCTTCAGCAAGTTTGAAGAAGCCTTTCCTTGTGGAAAGGAACATAAGCCCTAGCCATCTCCACTAGCCCCATGCGTTAAGTCCTGACTCAATTGTTTTTATTGTCTGGTCGCCATTGCATCACCTCCTCAAATGGGCTGAGATGATGGTTGTGCATGGCAGAGATGGCTCTCAAACCTCCTAATAGGACTTCAGGAACTGTCTGTTTCCCTTCCACTAGGACTACTTATATTATGTCTTACATTTCTTAATGAAAATAAATCAATGGAACCGGGTTGAAAATTTTATTTTAGAGAGATAATATTGAAATCAATCTGAAATACGCTTTGTACATGCAGGCTATCCAAGTTGAATGTCCTATTGACAAGTGGAAAAGATTAGAAATATGTACTCCTAACTAACTAGTTCATAAAAATCTAAGATTGAGGAAATTGTTGAGGGGAAGGGTGGAAAGGAAGAAGAGAATATAAGGTCAAAATGCATTTGTTGAATGACCACTGCTTGAAGTGATGCCAGAGGTGCTTTGGAGGCGTTGAGGATGGGTAAGCAGAAAGGTAGGCATCGTGTGGCATTGTTGAAAAAAAGAGGAACATCTTTTTGAGTCAGAAAAAAAATCCTGAAAAAGACTAGATGGTGATATGATAGTAGTAATATCCTGAATTAAGGCCCAGAAAGAGAAAAAACTACATGATAATAACAATAATAATGGTCATAATGACGACGATGATGATGGTGACAATGAAGGTGATGTGATGGTGATTATGGTGGTGTTGATGGTGGTGTTGGTCATGATATGATCATGATGATGATGATGATGCTTATGATGATATGATAATGATGTTGATGGTGATGACAAAGGAGATGATGATGGTGACGATGATGTTGATAAATATGGTGATGATGATGATTATATGATCACGATGGTGATGATGTTTATTATGAATAGGATGATAATGATGTTGATGGTGATGATGAAGGAGATGATGATGGTGACGATGATGACGATGATGTTGATGGTGATGATGATGATAGTGATGGTGATGGTTATGATGTTGATAAGAGAAGCAGCTAATATTTAGGTAGCAGGTGCTCTGAACTAATACATAATCCACATTTATTGAACTTCACAACCACTCAATGAGGTAAGTAGTATTTTTCTCAACATAATACAGACGAGAAAAGTAAGGTAAACTCTACATTTGGATTTTATAAGAGCTACTTTATGGAGAATTGTTGCCTTTTCTGGTCTCAGTATTCTTCAATAATAACTCACGAACATGCTCTGAGCATGTCTGTAAACAGCCCTCCAGAGCCATTCAAGACTTTGAAGCTATGATCAAATGCAAAGGGAAAAGTAATCTCTTTCCCTCAAAGCACTAAAGAACACAGGCCTGATAATCTGAGGCTCCCAGATATAATATGTTTTTGAAGCTGAGAATGCCTCAAACACTACAGTTGAAAGTAACTTTTGCCTTCAGAAAGGTAACTACATTTGTCTTTGCCATCTCTCCAGCTATCAAAGAAATAATAGTAATAGCTAATGTTTATTATGTGGTCACCCCTATGAGCATGGGAACTTCAAGTCTCACAGCCGGCTTATGGTGGCAGGATTTGAGCTCTGGTGCCAGGGTTTATAAATTTAACTTTTTACCACCCCTGTTTCATATAAAAGCCAATGTCTATGTTTCATCAGAAATCACTGAAGTGGCTGAGATGCCTAAAAAACATCTTTAGTAGATTCCAATTAGCATCTCCAATAGTTTTTTCCCATTCAAGTTGAAGCTGTAAATCTCTCAGAAAAAATGCTTACATTCAAAACCACCCAGAAATGAGAGGTTTATACCGTTTAAATAACATAATGAGCTTGCAGTATCATGATAGAAGTCTTTCTTATATTTAATATCACTGCTGCAGATAATAGAATTTTATTGATGTCAACACAAGTTGGGAGGTCATCTGCCCTTTAGAACAGGACTTCAGGTAATTTTTCAGTTGTCCGTACCAAACGCTACCAAATTTAAAAAGTAATACCTTTCTGGCCGGGCGCGGTGGCTCACACCTGTAATCCCCAGACTTTGGGAAGCCGAGGCGGGCAGATCATGAGGTCAAGAAATCAAGACCATCCTGGCCAATATGGTAAAACCCCATCTCTACTAAACAAACAAACAAACAAACAAACAAAAAAAACATTAGCTTGGCGTGGTGTCGCACATCTATAGTCCCAGCTACTAGGGAGGCTGAGGCAGGGGAATCGCTTGAATCCTGGAGGCGGAGGTTGAAGTGAGCCAAGATTGCGCCACTGCACTCCAGCATGATGACAGAGAGAGACTGCATCTCAAAAAATAAATAAATAAATAAATAAATAAATAAATAAATAAATAAATTTCTATATAAGCTGCCAAGTTAGTTGTAATCTATTCAACAGCAATAGGAAACTAATACATTAGTGAATTGGAAAATAGTTTCTTTAACTCCTGTCCTTCATTTTAGTTTCATTGCTTAAATTTTTCTCAGGACCTCATCTAAACCTAATTATGTCCCAAAGTCCTACCTCCAAATATTATCACATGGTGGGTTAGGGCTTCAACATATGAATTTTTCAGGAAACAAACATTCAGCCCATAACCCCGTGACCATGCTTCTTGAAGAAATTATTTAAAATCTTTTTCATCTTTTTTTCCCACAAATATCAGAACACTCATTCTATAGTAGGTACTCAAGAAATACTTAAATATGGTACCAAGTCTCTCTCTCTCTATGGTACTGTATTAACTTGTGTTGTGGCTACACAGGAATGAACACTAATTATTCCAAATGGTTTCTGGAAATCTTTCATATCCTGGCATATCTGTTAAAAAATGGCACTTAGGAAGCAAGGCACTCAGTCATGTGCCCAGGGAAATGGTACATTTTCTGAGAGAGATATATGATTTTATGGTTTGGTTCCTTACAGGTCTAAAAGAAAACTATGATTCTGTAAGTCTATATCACTACTGTTTACCAGTTGTTCAAACTGACAGGAAGATGGGAGTAAACAGGAAACATTTTTAAATGGATTGAATTTAGTTTACAGGTAGATTTCATGCCAACGTCTCTGAATGAATATTGTGGATAACACAAAATTTGATTGAATAATATTATTTAAGAAGAAAGTTATAATGTAGGTATGATTTAAGAAATAATTTTCTCCAATCATATTGAATAAGTTAGTGCTAGGGAAAGATTGAGAAGTTTAGCAAAAAAATAAAAAATAAAAGCTTTTTGAGCCTCTTGAGACAACGGCAGTAATTTGAAAGATTCTGTAAAAATCTAATGTACAGGTCAGATATCAGTATGAAGAGAGGAACGGAGGACAGGAGGTTGAATATTAATGTGGTTTCTGCAATTGGCAAGCCCTGTAACCTTGTACAATCACCACTTAACCCTCCAGGGCAACAGTTTTCTCAACTGTAAACCAAGGAGACTAAAGTCAGTATCTTTAAAATTATTTTATTTTCAAGATCCTATAACTCTGATATTAAAGGTATTGTATTGGGAATTTTTATATTTTATAAAGATAGTAATAAACATGAAATCTTGCTTAGTTAATGAAATATTGGTTTAGCTGCTCATTTTTTTTCAAACTCTTATTTTTAAAGAGAATCAACTTATAGTAAAAGAACAAATAAGAAACATTTGATTCTGGCCAGGCGCCGTGGCTCACGCCTGTAATCCTAGCACTTTGGGAGGCTGAGGCGGGCAGGTCATGAGGTCAGGAGATCGAGACCAACCTGGCTAACACGGTGAAACCCGGTCTCTCTAAAAATACAAAAAAAAATTAGCCGGGCATAGTGGTGGGCACCTGTAGTCCCAGCTACTCAGGAGGCTGAGGCAGGAGAATGGTGTGAACCCAGAAGGCGGAGCTTACTGTGAGCAGAGATCGCACCACTGCACTCCAGCCTGGGTGACAGAGCGAGACTGTCTCAAAAAAAAAAAAAAAAAAAAATTTGATTCTTAAGATTTGTTCCAAAAACAGTTTGAAAACAAGGTATCTTTTGAAAGTGATGGTAGCGTATCACAGATCCCAGGATTTGAGTTGTCTCGAAACCTCCCCAAGGATCTGAACCTGATAATGACATTCGCACTAAGTAGAAACCTGTCCAGCAAGCCAGGTGGCCTGCAGAGAGGTGTGAAAGAATATTTTGTACTATTAAAGTCACAGCAGTAGGTCATTAACACTTTAATAATGATGAAAATGCTAAGTTTTATATTTCTTAAGAAGAAAAAACAAATATTTTAGTAGGTGTTTGTAGGCTTTAAATGCATTGAGACTATCTGGGGATTTTAAGCAGGAATAACCCCATGTCCTTCCAAAAATGTTATAGCAACTTAGGGTGTTAGAGTGGATTAAATAGTGTCCCACCAAAATTCATATCAGCCTGGAATCTCAGAATGTGACCTTATTTGGAAATTGGGTCTTTGTAGATGTAATCAGTTACGTTACGATGAGGTCACACTGCTCAGACTGGGTCTTAAATCCCATGAATGGTGTCCTTCTAAGAAGGGAAAAAACACACACAGACATACATAAGGAAGAGGTGATGTGAAGACAGAGGTAGAGGCTGGAGAGTTGCAGCCACAAGTCAGGGAAAACAGGATTGCTGCAACACCAGGAGCTAGGAAGAGGCAGGGAAGCATTCTCCCCCATACCTGTCAGAGAGAGCATGGCCCTGCTGACATTTCACTTTGGACTTTTAGCCTCTAGAATATGAGAGAACAAATTTCTCTTGCTTTATGCCACCAAGTTTGTGGTAATTTGTTACAGTAGCTCTAGGGACTCACACAAGTGTTAATTGGATAAAGTGATAGAAAATGGGGGAAGGAGACTACATATGCGGAAGCCTGGGTGTAACTGTGCACTTTTCACACTTTATCCACTTTAATTCTTATAATAACGTTGTAAGTATTATTACCCCCGTTTTACAAAATGAATAAATATATGTTCATGATAATATAGCAGGTAACTGGTGGATAAGGATGAAAACCAGATCCAAGTATCAAAGTTGTGCTTTTCCTACTATTGTCATTAAGAGGAGCAGAGGGCTTGGTCAAATATCTCAATATATGGCAAGTGGAGGAAAGCAACCCAGCTTTGGTTATTCAAGAGGAAAAACAGGAAGATGGGTGGTCCTTAGAGGCAAAAGATGCTGAACATGAGTCTTCATTGGAGGCAGGAAGTGTGGACACCCATGTTCATTGGAGGCAGGAAGTGTGGACACCCATGTTCATTGGAGGCAGCAGGTGTGAACCACCATGTTCATTGGAGGCAGCAGGTGTGGACACGTGCTCATTTGAGGCAGGGGTCACGGACACATGTGTGTTTTCAAGGCAGCAGGTGGCCAATATGAAGCTAGTTTCCCTGGACAGTGGAAGTTGCAGAGGGACAACCTGAAGGCAGCCTGAGCCCCCATTCTCCACAAGGGTTTTCCCAGGCACTGTCTGCTGGAATGATCAATCTGTGTGAAGGAGGCATACATAGAAAATGGAACTGTATGGTCACATAAAAGCAGAAGTGGAAGATTCTGTGTGTCAAACTTGCCTATTCCGATTGCATTATGCCCTCATTATAACTGGCACTGCAGGTATCACAAAGATGGGTACAATTTTTAATCCAGTTCTGTAGTGTAATGGAGGATAAGTCACACATAGACACAGGCAACTCATTCATTATCACCCTCACCGCCGTGCAGAATGATGGTGTGCGTGTCGATGCACCCTCCTGGTATGAATATTCAAGGCCCAGCTCTGTGACAATGGTGTGTTTTCTAGATTTACTGGAAATCTATGTCCCTGTGTCAAAAATCAAATGTGGATGGCCCCTGAGTTGCCCTTTTTAATGCATGGCTCACTTTATGAAATAGCCACTCAAAAAATCTGCCAGGGAAGTGTATTATCTATGGATTAAACAATTTTCCCGTTTGATTATCTGATGAAATCAGAATGCTGGAGTACTAAGATTGAAAAAGATTACATTTCAAAATATAAAACCTTGGATCTATTCTTGAAGAGGAAAGAAACATTTTCTGGTCTTGATTATACTGAACATGTGACATCAGTACTGCTAAGGGAAGTTGTTCCCCAGACTCCTACAAGATCTGGCAGGCCCTGTGGTTGCCTCTGTGCTCCAGTCCTTTCTGTCTGTGTTTTCTGTCTTGTGATTCCTGAACACCATGGATCAGGTCTCTGAATCTCCATAATTCCTGGCACACAGAGAGCACTGAGCAGTATTAATTAACCCTGCCTCACCCAGCCTTATTTAAACATTATCCAAAGCTGGATAATGGCAAAGATGATGAGCATATACCTGGTGATCAAAGGTCAAGTCCACCTACTCAGTCTTAACCATAAATTCTATTATAAAAATACAAACTGCCTACTATTCTAGACAGTCTCCCTGTAAAATTGAGTACAATCACATAAGGGCCAATTTTAGAAACTGTCTGTATTCATAACTTCTAAAATCAACAAAAACCAGGTATATGACCCTGAAAAAAAAAAAACCTGCCTTCTATATTCAAGAGGAAACTGTTAGTGAAAATGTTTTGAAAATGGTGATAATGTCCAAAGCTTTGTCTGCTGGCGGAGTAACTGAAATTTCAGCCACTTCAGTCTCCACCGCCTGTTAAATGTATTCCCCCATCCCCAACTCAAGTGGCTGATAATGGCCTTAATTATAGTACATTTAGGCTCCAAAAGTGGGGGCAAAGGAGAAGAAAACACTGCTTGGTTCCAGCTTACTGGTCAAAGCCAATTTAAAGTGATTTATTTTGTCTAAGAAATAGCAGTCTCATGCAGTGAGTGAAGATCAAATAACTTCATGTTTGTCAGAGAAAGGAAAGGACACCGAGTTCCAGAAATCTCATCTGGAACAGGAAGCTGAGGGGGCTCCTCTGGGATTTGTCAGCCACTGGCAGACATGGGCGTGCTCAGTGGAGCGGGGACAGGTGCCAGCAGGGGCTAGACCGAGGCTGCTTACCTGGACATGGGCCCTTTAATAAGGCAATCAATCTGAAATCAGGCTGGGAGAGGAACCGGGCTCTGGATGTTTTGTTTTCCATTCTCCTTTCCTGTCTACTGCCATTCAGGCCTTCACTTCTATAAATCTCTCTGTTTTCCTCTAAAAAGCATGCTTCCTCTGCCCTCTGGTCAGAATGACTAGGTGGGAGGGTTTTTGCGGGTGTCTTATGGGACCTCCACCTCTCAGACTGAAGGGCCTGTGGGTCTGTGGGAAGGCTGCTCAGGAGCCCTGGATTGGGGGTACCCACAGGAAGACCCCCACTTCAGAGGGCTATAGAGGATCAAAGTCTGACTGCTTGTGGTGGGCTGGTCCCTCTCTCTCAATCAATGGGATGGGAGTCAACTCTGAGACTGAATATGAAGGAATCAGTACCTCCTGGGCCCATGGGGGTGAGCTGGATCTGCACACACAGCGGTGAGCTGAGTCTGGGCCCACAAGGGTGAGCTGGGTTTGAACCCACGGGGGTGAGCTGGGTCTGAACCCACGGGGGTGAACTGGGTCTGAACCCACGGGGGTGAATTGGGTCTGAACCCACGGGGGTGAACTGGGTCTGAATCCACAGGGGTGAGCTGGATCTGAACCCACAGGGGTGAAATGGGTTTGAATCCACAGGGGTGAGCTGGGTCTGGGCCTACGAGGGTGAGCTGGTTCTGAAACCACAGGTGTGAGCTGTGTCTGGGCCCACAGGGGTGAGCTGTGTCTGGGCCCACAGGGGTGAGCTAGGTCTGAACCCACAGGGGTGAGCTAGGTCTGGGCCTATGAGGGTGAGCTGGTTCTGAACCCACAAGTGTGAACTGGGTCTGGGTCCACAAGGGTGAGCTGGGTCTGGGCCCACAGGGGTGAGCTGGGTCTGGACAGAGGGGTGAGCTGGGTCTGCACACATGGAGGTGAGCTGGATGGGCTGGGTCTGCACACAGCCTGGAGACCTTGGCTGGAGAGGCTAGTGAGGAGCCGCAGGCATTTCAACACATTTTTATGTTTGGTTTGGACCAGAGAGACCTGGGTTGAATTACCTGCCACTCAGTAGCTGTGTGACTTGCGGTACCTGAACCACCTGTCACTTCCATTTCCTCATCTATAGAATGAAAGGAAATGGCTCCTATGGCCCATTGCAGTGGCCCTCTGAAGCCACTCCCCTCATACCCATGGTCAGTCCTAGAACTACCATTGCCAGTGATTGGAACACAGCCCATACCTCATCCTAAACCCCTCAATTCTCAGACAGTGGTTTCCAAACTTCACAGCTCACATTCTCTTGGGGTGGATGGTCAAATTAAACACAAGATGCCCAGTTAAATTTGAATTTTATATAAATAATTTCAGATACTTTTTAAAGACTGTGTCCATACAACCCTTGGGGCACATCTATTCCAAAATATTATTCATTTTATCCATAGCATGAATTTCAATGGTGAGAACCTCTGGTCCTATAGTTGGTTGTTAGAGAAAGGCACTGAAGGCTGCGAGCCACCCTGCAGCCCCTTAGATCACATGACATTTCCAGTTATCTCTGTGCAAGGGACTCAGTGGACCAGGAGAAAAACTGTCATTACCAAAATTAGATACATATAGCACACCACTCGCCGAGGGTTACAGATATCTTGTTCTTGTCATGTACCAATATCCAAAACTTGAGCTTGGTGCTACATCAGGGTAAGAACATGGAGGATTTCGGTCTCTAGGTAGTTATGTATGTGTTATAGTTGTTGAATCCTAAATGCTTTGGTTTAATTACAACCGAGGAGCCAGAAGTGATTATTTGGACCTGAGCTGCTCCTGAGCACCACTGTCTAATGACATTGGGAAAAATGCAGTTGGACTTGCTTAGAACACAAGCCCTGACCATTGTCTACTGACAAGACACAATATAAGGTAAGGAAGGAAGGAAGGACAGGAAGAAGGAAGGAAGGAAGAAAGGAAGGAAGGAAGAAAGGAAGGAAGGAAGAAAGGAAGAAAGGAAGGAAGAAAGGAAGGAAGGAAGAAAAGGAAGGGAGGAAGGAAGGAAGGAAGGGAAGGAAAAAGAGAAACAAAAGTCTATGGCAAAAAGTATATTATAAAAATTCGATTATTTGTAACTTCCACCTCTAAAGAATAAATAATAAGTAACTCTTTTTTCATTTATAACTCATAATCATCCTTTCCATTGAAATCTAGGTTGGATTTATTTATTTATTTATTTTTGACATAGGATCTTGTTCTGTCACTCAGTCTGAAGTACAGTGGTGCAATTATAGCTCACTGCAGCCTCAAATTCCTAGGCTCAACAAATCCTCCCGCCTTGGCCTCCCAAAGTGTTGGGATTACAGGTGTGTGAGCCACTGCACCTGGTCTAGGTTGGAATTTAATAGGCAATGCAATGAGGGCTTTAAGCATGGCATCTAGGATTCCCAGAATTCAACCTGCACCTTCCCCTGGGCTTTGCCCACAGTAGTGGGGGTGTCCAGAGCACCACATGTTCTTGGTAAACTTCTCTGCTCACTGCCTTTATGCCCCTGTCCCCCTCTTCCAACAGGATGTCATTCCTCCCAGAACTCACACCACAAACCACCTGAGAGATCAACCCATAAAAAAACAGATTACCTATGTGTGACTAACGGACCACTGGCAGCAGCCCCCAGCCTTGCATCATCCCCATTTACTTCAGCTGAGATGCCAGCCACCCATCAGCACCACCCCTGCTGCCATCCACACTTGACTTCGACATCCCCAGATTTCCCACCCTTCCCTATTCTCTACCCCACCCTAGCTTCACCATGTGCCTTCATGGCATGTCAACTACAGAGGCATCTGTACTTTTATTTATTCATTTATTTTTTTTAATTTTTATTTTTTTTGAGACAGAGTCTCACTCTGTGACCCAGGCTGGAGTGCAATGGTATGATCTCAGCTCACTGCAGTCTTCGTCTCCTGGGTTCAAGCAATTCTCCTGCCTCAGCCTCCCAAGTACCTGCAATTACAGGCTTGCACCACCACGCCCAGCTAATTTTTGTAGTTTTAGTAGAGACGGGGTTTCACCATGTTGGCCAGAATGATCTCGAACTCTTGGTCTCAAGTGATCCACCTACCTTGGCTTCCCAAAGTGCTGAGATTACAGGCCTGAGGCACTGAGCCCAGCTCATCTGTACTTTTAAAGGCTTCTCTCAAGTTCAACGCCACGATTAACTGAAACCTATCTTTACTTCAGGACCCTGCTTCTCCTGCCAGCCTCTCAAACGGAGCCCTCATTTTCTCTTTCCCAATCCCACATACATCTGGATGGGAGGAAGGTATCCTCCTTGTTCCTCATTGCATCCAGGTAGCTATGTCTTCTTTGTCCTTCTCTCTTAAAAACCCAGGTTCCATTAACATGGGTGCCATCAGAGTGTCATTGGCCACCTCTCCTTGGAGGCTGCCTTTCCATGTGGCAGCTGTATACAATACATCCAGTCTTTTCCCACCATTTGCTGGGGATTTCGGCACATGACTCACTGGCTCACCCTCTTCATCACTATTCTCGTTCTCTTTCTTCACAAATTTAGTATCTGTCAAGAAGAAGATGATCCCTTCACAGCCTTGAATTTTTACCTCCTTGGTCACTCCTTCCAGCCCTCTGAAGCCATTCCCCTCATGCTCATGGTCATTCCTAGACCTCCCATTGCCAGCAGTGATGGTTAATATTGAGTGTCAACTTGATTGAATTGAAAGATGCAAAGTATTGTTTCTGAGTGTGTGTGGAAGGGTTTTGCCAAAGGAGATTAACATTTGAGTCAGTGGACTGCGAGAGGCAGACTCATCCTCCATCTGAGTGGGCACAATCTAATCAGCTGCCAGTGCAGCTAGAATAAAGCAGTCAGGAGAAGATGGAAGACCAGACTTGCTGAGTCTTCCGGTCTTCAGCTTTCCCGTGCTGGATGCTTCTTGCCCTCTAACATCAGACTCCAAGTTCTTCAGCTTTTGGACTCTTGAACTTACAACAGTGATCTGCCAGGGGCTCTTGGGGCCTTCAGCCACAGACTGAAGGCTGCTCTGTTGGCTTCCATACTTTTGAGGTTTTGGGATTTTGACTGTCTTTCTTGCTCCTCAGCTTGCATATGACCTATTGTGGGACTTCACCTTGTGATCATGTGAGTCAATACTCCTTAATAAACTTCCCTTAATATACACATCTATCCCATTACTTCTGTCCCTCTAGAGAACCCTAACTAATACACCAGCAATTGGAACACTGCCTATATGTCACCCTAAAGTCCTCAATTCTCAGACAGTGGCCTCTAAACTTCACAGCTCACTTTCTCCTGGGATGGGTGGCCAGATAAAACACAAGATGCCCAGTTAAATTTGAAGTTCAGATAAACAATTTCAGATAATTTTTTTAAGATTAAGCATGTCCATAAAACACTTGAGGCATGCTTATACCAAAACATTCATTTTTATTCTAAAATTAAAACGTAACCGGGATTCCTGTATTATTGGTTAAATCTAGGAATCCTACCCTGCACCTTAATCCCAACAGTCTCTGGCTGCACTAGGTGCTTCAAGCCTTTGTCCTGACCTTTTTCTGGGGCCAACTTTTTTTAAATCTCTTCCTCCCATTACTTAGATTCCACAGTCCCTCCTTACTCACTACTTCCATATTTGCGTGGCAAAGCCCCAATGTTGGTTAAATCCAATTCTCTTCCCACTTTGTGACTGCACCTGGATAGCTTCATATGGATTCATAAAAATATGTAATTATGCTCAGTGATCTTTATTTTTAATCTATGACCATGAATCTTAAGTAGATCCTTAACACTGTCCAATAATTCTACTACATTTCTTTTGCAAATTGTGTTTATGTTCCTAGAGAAGCTGGTTCAAATATCCTGATTTTTCTATAACCTCTAAATACCAACTTCCTTGCTTATTCTCATTTAATGAATCTGTTTTCTATTTCACTGAGAAAACAGGGGAAAAATGAGAGTGACTCTATCTTCCATCACAAATGAACCAACTCTCCCTGCAATGAGGCCATGTGTTCTGTCTTCCCTCCTATTTCTATTTGGGCCCATCCCTCCACTTGTATCCAGGATTCCTTGTCTGTTTGCCCCCTTTAGGTCACTGCTTTTGCTATTACCTAATTTTTTCTATTGTCATTAAATATTTCCATCTTTTTTTAATTTCAATTTTTATTTCAGATACAGGGGATACATGTGCAGGTGTGTTACATAGGTATATTGCATCTGGGTAGTAAGCATAGTACCCAATAGGCAGTTTGTCAACCCATACCCCCTTCCTCCGTCCCCACTGTAGTAGATTGCAGTGTCGATTGTTCCCATATTTATGTCCATGTCTGCTTAATGTTCAGCTCCCACTTATAAGTGAGAACATGCAATGTTTGGTTTTATGTTTCTGTATTAATTTGCTTAGAATTAAGGCCTTTGGCTCTATCCATGTTGCTACAAAGGACATTATTTTATTCCAAAGGAAAACAGATCCTTATGCCAAAAAGACACATGTTCTCATTTGTTCACCACTGTGCTATTCACAATAGCTAAGATCTAGAATCAACCTAGGTACCCACCATGGTATACCATGGAATACTATGTAGCCATAAAAAATGTTTCCTTCTTTAAGAGATCATCCCAATCAGCATGAATATGCATTGTATTAGGTCCTACTTTAAAAAATAATCCTTTACCCAACATCTCCCTTTGCTATCATGGAGGATGGCCTTGTTTCTCTCTACTCATGTATGCAGCAAAACTCCTCAATAGAGTTGCTGACCAACACTTCTTGAAAGTGCATACAAATAATCTAGACACTTTTCTGAAATTCAGGCTCTGATTCAGTAAGTCTCCAGCATTCCCATACTCTCAGCTACTTGAGAGGCTGAGGCAGGAGGATCTCTGGAGCCCAGGAGCTTGGGGTTGTAGTGTGCTATGATTGTGCCCTTGAATAGCCACTGCACTCCAGCCTGGGCAACACAGTGAAACCCCATCTCTAAAATAAATAAATAAATAAATAAATAAATAAATAAATAGAGAGAGAGAGAGAGATTCTGAATACTTAACAAGTTTAATGAGCTCTCAGGTGATGCCAATGGTTCTCCACCAAGGACCACGCCTTGAGGAGCAAAGGTCTGTAGATACTTCCTATTCTCTTTTTGAGCCCCTCCAACCAGGCTTTACCTCTCTCCATTGCCCCCTTGGGTTGCTACAAACTGCTCTGGCCCATTTTAATGTCAGTGCTCAATTCTTCTTGACTGTAGAATTTGACTCTCTTGAGAGGCTTTCTCCTCTTGTCTTCTAGGACCCCTCCTACCTCACTGATTTTGCCTCCTTTGTGGATCCTCTCCATCTTTCCAGAGTCTACACAATGGAGGTTCCAGTGTGGAGATATCCCTTCTCTATCCACAGTCTCTCCTTCTGTCTGTGTGATTGCATCCAGATGCATGACTTCAAATCCTCCAAAAGCTGATAATTCCTGTGTTTGTGCATCCATCTCTAACATCTCCCCTGAGCATCCAAATGTTTCCCTAATATTTCTACCTGGAGATCTCAGGAGTCTCAAACATGTCATGTACAAAACAGGATTTTTAAATTCTCCCCCATACAATCCCCTCCTCTCAGGAATTAGTACCATAATTTACCCAATCTCCTAGACTAGAAATGCAGGATTCATCTTTGTCTTCACTCTTTCCCTCACCTTCCTCATACGGTTCACTAGAAAATTGGACTCTCAAAATATATCTCAATTCTGAGACAACCTTCTAAGATACTACAACCCTTATCCAATCCTTTATCCTCCCTTTTTGAAATGACTGTACTAATCCCTAACAGGGATTTCTGCCTCTACTATGATAAGGTATGGGTCCACCATAAAAAACTATTTTCAAAGACATCTTTGACATACAGAAGCTAAAATGCCTTAAAGTATCCTTAAAAATGTTCAGAATGATATTGGTAAATATCCAGCAGGCCCACCTTCAAGTCATTCCTTTTGTATTGTATCTATTAATTTTAGGTGAGCTTGAATAATTATATGTGATATTCCCAAATGAGCTATCAGTAACACCACCCTAAGAAGAAAGAATACTATATTTTCCCTTTTATCCACTGACTAAAAATACTGTGTCTTCACTTCTGAAATATTATCTTCTAGAACAAGGCAATTATTTTCATTTCCAAGTGTTTTCTGAGAACACAGTCTCATAAACTGTAACATGGAGGAGCATATGAAGGAAAGGTGTAACTTGGGAAGCTGACATTCTCAATACTTCTCAGTCCACTTTAAAAATATCAACTCTGAAACCATAAAGTCAGGGAAAACTAAATTTTGTCCTGAGACCTTTGAGGTCAACAAACTCCAATTCATATCCCTGCCCTTAAAAGTACTTAAGTTAAGCTGTTAAAAATGGAAGTCAGATCCAAGGTACTATATTGATTTTAAGGCTATATTATTGTAAACTTAAATTTCCCCATAGCTAAGTTTTCTTTTTTTGATGTTGCTGTTGTTCTTCTTTTCTTTTTTCTTTTAAGAGAAGATAGATGTCCAATAGCACACCAAACCTGTCATTTGGGGATCAGCAATCTATGGCCTGCTGCCAGTTTTTGCATAGCCCACAGGCCAAGAATGGCTTTTACATTTTTAAAATGGTTTCATATTAAGTGTCTATGTGAGTAGCTATATAATATCCTTGATTGTACCTTTCGGTCCATGAAGCCTAAAATACTTACTATCTAGACCAGTGTTTTTGTTTTTGTTTTTGGTTTTGTTTAGACAGAGTCTCACTCTGTTGCCCAGGCTGGAGTGCAGTGGTGCAATCTCGGCTAACTGCAACTCCACCAGCTGGGTTCAAGCGATTCTTCTGCCTCAGCCTCCTGAGTAGCTGGGATTACAGGCGTGTGCCACCACGCCTGGCTAATTTTTTTGTATTTTTAGTAGAGACGGAGTTTCACAATGTTGGTCAGGCTGGTCTCAAACTCCTGACCTCGTGATCCGCCCGCCACGGCCTCCCAAAGTGCTGGGATTACAGGCCTGAGCCACCGTGTCCAGTCTACTATCTAGACCTTTAAGGAGAAATTTGGTGAACCTTATACTCTAAGCTCCCCTGAGAGTACTTACTTGAACAGAAAATCAAGTAAGTTTTCTGTATATTTCAGATCTTTCGTTCTCCCAAATGTTGTTGCTCTCTTTTTTTTTTTTTTCAGCTTTTCACTTTTTCTCTGATAAGTTACAATGAGTTGCTAGTCTCCCCAGTGCTTCATCTACAGATGTGGCTTCACCCGCAGCTGGGTGTCTCCTTCTCAGCACTCTGAGGGCTCCCACCCCTTAATCTCCCAAGAAAGAAGCGTATTGACAAGCATCCAGCAAATGTCAGGTTAAAGAACATTTTCTGAATCAGGGCACCTGGAGGTGGAAATTCTGGCATGACAGTTGGGGAAGTTAAAGATGGAGTAGTCCTATTTTCAAATGGCAAATGGCTCTCTACTTCTGGTCACCTGAGGCAGAAGTAATGAGGGAAGTGCCTTCGTGTTTTCCATGTGGGTTTCCATCCATGATGGATGACTCCATCATGGTGTGAGGTGACTCCAACATGGCGTGAGATGGCTTCATCATGGAGTGAGACGGCTCCATCATGGCATGACAGGACTCCAACATGGCATGAGATGACTCCTTCATGGCATGAGGTGACTCCGTCATGGCATGACATGACTCCATCATGCCATGAGATGGCTCCATCATGGCATGAGATGACTCCTTCATGGCATGAGATGACTCCTTCATGGCATGAGATGGCTCTATCATGACATGAGATGACTCCATTATAGCATAAGATGGCTCCATCATGGAATGATATGACTCCACCATGGAATCAGATGGCTCCATCATGGCATGAGATGAGTCCATCATGGCACGAGAGGGTTGGTTGGAACCATTTGGATGGTTCTCAGCCAAATACTAACATCAGAGGCACAATGCACAAGACAGAGGAGAGTGGGTTCTGCTGAGTAGGAGTGTCTGAGTCTAAGCTGCTCTGCCTGCCACCCTTTCCTCTAGAGTTGCTGGTTAGTAGTTCTTCCTTCCAGGGTTGCTGGTTAGTATTTCTTCTCCTCTGGGGTTGTAGTTAGTACTTCTTCTCTCTAGACTGAACTAATAATAGAGCCATTTTACACTTATTTGCCACTCCCCAAAATGCTCAGTGATAATATGCACCCCCACCTCTTCTTGAATGCACTGTTTATTTATTTATTTATTTTTTATTTTTTTTTTACTTTTTTTTTTATTATACTTTAAGTTTTAGGGTACATGTGCACATTGTGCAGGTTAGTTACATATGTATACATGTGCCATGCTGGTGCACTGCACCCACTAACTCGTCATCTAGCATTAGGTATATCTCCCAATGCTATCCCTCCCCCCTCCCCCCACCCCACCACAGTCCCCAGAGTGTGATATTCCCCTTCCTGTGTCCATGTGATCTCATTGTTCAATTCCCACCTATGAGTGAGAATATGCGGTGTTTGGTTTTTTGTTCTTGCGATAGTTTACTGAGAATGATGGTTTCCAGTTTCATCCATGTCCCTACAAAGGACATGAACTCATCATTATTTATTGCTGCATAGTATTCCATGGTGTATATGTGCCACATTTTCTTAATCCAGTCTATCATTGTTGGACATTTGGGTTGGTTCCAAGTCTTTGCTATTGTGAATAATGCCGCAATAAACATACGTGTGCATGTGTCTTTATAGCAGCATGATTTATAGTCATTTGGGTATATACCCAGTAATGGGATGGCTGGGTCAAATGGTATTTCTAGTTCTAGATCCTTGAGGAATCGCCACACTGACTTCCACAATGGTTGAACTAGTTTACAGTCCCACCAACAGTGTAAAAGTGTTCCTGTTTCTCCACATCCTCTCCAGCACCTGTTGTTTCCTGACTTTTTAATGATTGCCATTCTAACTGGTGTGAGATGATATCTCATAGTGGTTTTGATTTGCATTTCTCTGATGGCCAGTGATGATGAGCATTTTTTCATGTGTTTTTTGGCTGCATAAATGTCCTCTTTTGAGAAGTGTCTGTTCATGTCCTTCGCCCACTTTTTGATGGGGTTGTTTGTTTTTTCTTGTAAATTTGTTTGAGTTCATTGTAGATTCTGGATATTAGCCCTTTGTCAGATGAGTAGGTTGTGAAAATTTTCTCCCATGTTGTAGGTTGCCTGTTCACTCTGATGGTAGTTTCTTTTGCTGTGCAGAAGCTCCTTAGTTTAATTAGATCCCATTTGTCAATTTTGGCTTTTGTTGCCATTGCTTTTGGTGTTTTGGACATGAAGTCCTTGCCCACGCCTATGTCCTGAATGGTAATGCCTAGGTTTTCTTCTAGGGTTATTATGGTTTTAGGTCTAACGTTTAAATCTTTAATCCATCTTGAATTGATTTTTGTATAAGGTGTAAGGAAGGGATCCAGTTTCAGCTTTCTACATATGGCTAGCCAGTTTTCCCAGCACCATTTATTAAATAGGGAATCCTTTCCCCATTGCTTGTTTTTCTCAGGTGTGTCAAAGATCAGATAGTTGTAGGTATGCGGTGTTATTTCTGAGGGCTCTGTTCTGTTCCATTGATCTATATCTCTGTTTTGGTACCAGTACCATGCTGCTTTGGTTACTGTAGCCTTGTAGTATAGTTTGAAGTCAGGTAGTGTGATGCCTCCAGCTTTGTTCTTTTGCCTTAGGATTGACTTGGCGATGCGGGCTCTTTTTTGGTTCCATATGAACTTTAAAGTAGTTTTTTCCAATTCTGTGAAGAAAGTCATTGGTAGCTTGATGGGGATGGCATTGAATCTGTAAATTACCTGGGGCAGTATGGCCATTTTCACGATATTGATTCTTCCTACCCATGAACATGGAATGTTCTTCCATTTGTTTGTATCCTCTTTTATTTCATTGAGCAGTGGTTTGTAGTTCTCCTTGAAGAGGTCCTTCACATCCCTTGTAAGTTGGATTCCTAGGTATTTTATTCTCTTTGAAGCAATTGTGAAAGGGAGTTCACTCATGATTTGGCTCTCTGTTTGTCTGTTGTTGGTGTATAAGAATGCTTGTGATTTTTGTACGTTGATTTTGTATCCTGAGACTTTGCTGAAGTTGCTTATCAGCTTAAGGAGATTTTGGGCTGAGACAATGGGGTTTTCTAGATAAACAATCATGTCGTCTGCAAACAGGGACAATTTGACTTCCTCTTTTCCTAATTGAATACCCTTTATTTCCTTCTCCTGCCTGATTGCCCTGGCCAGAACTTCCAACACTATGCTGAATAGGAGTGGTGAGAGAGGGCATCCCTGTCTTGTGCCAGTTTTCAAAGGGAATGCTTCCAGTTTTTGCCCATTCAGTATGATATTGGCTGTGGGTTTGTCATAGATAGCTCTTATTATTTTGAAATACGTCCCATCAATACCTAATTTATTGAGAGTTTTTAGCATGAAGGGTTGTTGAATTTTGTCAAAGGCTTTTTCTGCATCTATTGAGATAATCATGTGGTTTTTGTCTTTGGCTCTGTTTATATGCTGGATTACATTTATTGATTTGCGTATATTGAACCAGCCTTGCATCCCAGGGATGAAGCCCACTTGCTCATGGTGGATAAGCTTTTTGATGTGCTGCTGGATTCGGTTTGCCAGTATTTTATTGAGGATTTTTGCATCAATGTTCATCAAGGATGTTGGTCTAAAATTCTCTTTTTTGGTTGTGTCTCTGCCCGGCTTTGGTATCAGAATGATGCTGGCCTCATAAAACGAGTTAGGGAGGATTCCCTCTTTTTCTATTGATTGGAATAGTTTCAGAAGGAATGGTACCAGTTCCTCCTTGTACCTCTGGTAGAATTCGGCTGTGAATCCACCTGGTCCTGGACTCTTTTTGGTTGGTAAACTATTGATTATTGCCACAATTTCAGATCCTGTTATTGGTCTATTCAGAGATTCAACTTCTTCCTGGTTTAGTCTTGGGAGAGTGTATGTGTCGAGGAATGTATCCATTTCTTCTAGATTTTCTAGTTTATTTGTGTAGAGGTGTTTGTAGTATTCTCTGATGGTAGTTTGTATTTCTGTGGGATCGGTGGTGATATCCCCTTTATCATTTTTTATCGTGTCTATTTGATTCTTCTCTCTTTTTTTCTTTATTAGGCTTGCTAGTGGTCTATCAATTTTGTTGATCCTTTCAAAAAACCAGCTCCTGGATTCATTGATTTTTTGAAGGGTTTTTTGTGTCTCTATTTCCTTCAGTTCTGCTCTGATTTTAGTTATTTCTTGCCTTCTGCTAGCTTTTGAATGTGTTTGCTCTTGCTTTTCTAGTTCTTTTAATTGTGATGTTAGGGTGTCAATTTTGGATCTTTCCTGCTTTCTCTTGTGGGCATTTAGTGCTATAAATTTCCCTCTACACACTGCTTTGAATGCGTCCCAGAGATTCTGGTATGTTGTGTCTTTGTTCTCATTGGTTTCAAAGAACATCTTTATTTCTGCCTTCATTTCGTTATGTACCCAGTAGTCATTCAGGAGCAGGTTGTTGAGTTTCCATGTAGTTGAGCAGTTTTGAGTGAGATTATTAAACCTGAGTTCTAGTTTGATTGCACTGTGGTCTGAGAGATAGTTTGTTATAATTTCTGTTCTTTTACATTTGCTGAGGAGAGTTTTACATCCAACTATATGGTCAATTTTGGAATAGGTGTGGTGTGGTGCTGAAAAAAATGGATATTCTGTTGATTTGGGGTGGAGAGTTCTGTAGATGACTATTAGGTCCACTTGATGCAGAGCTGAGTTCAATTCCTGGGTATCCTTGTTGACTTTCTGTCTCGTTGATCTGTCTAATGTTGACAGTGGGGTGTTAAAGTCTCCCATTATTAATGTGTGGGAGTCTAAGTCTCTTTGTAGGTCTCTCAGGACTTGCTTTATGAATCTGGGTGCTCCTGTATTGGGTGCATATATATTTAGGATAGTTAGCTCCTCTTGTTGAATTGATCCCTTTACCATTATGTAATGGCCTTCTTTGTCTCTTTTGATCTTTGTTGGTTTCAAGTCTGTTTTATCAGAGACTAGGATTGCAACCCCTGCCTTTTTTTGTTTTCCATTTGCTTGGTAGATCTTCCTCCATCCTTTTATTTTGAGCCTGTGTGTGTCTCTGCACGTGAGATGGGTTTCCTGAATACAGCACACTGATGGGTCTTGACTCTTTATCCAACTTGCCAGTCTGTGTCTTTTAATTGGAGAATTTAGTCCATTTACATTTAAAGTTAATATTGTTATTGTGAATTTGATCCTGTCATTATGATGTTAGCTGGTGATTTTGCTCGTTAGTTGATGCAGTTTCTTCCTAGTCTCGATGGTCTTTACATTTTGGCATGATTTTGCAGCGGCTGGTACGGGTTGTTCCTTTCCATGTTTAGCGCTTCCTTCAGGAGCTCTTTTAGGGCAGGCCTGGTGGTGACAAAATCTCTCAGCATTTGCTTGTCTGTAAAGTATTTTATTTCTCCTTCACTTATGAAGCTTAGTTTGGCTGGATATGAAATTCTGGGTTGAAAATTCTTGTCTTTAAGAATGTTGAATATTGGCCCCCACTCTCTTCTGGCTTGTAGGGTTTCTGCCGAGAGATCTGCTGTTAGTCTGATGGGCTTCCCTTTGAGGGTAACCCGACCTTTCTCTCTGGCTGCCATTAACATTTTTTCCTTCATTTCAACTTTGGTGAATCTGACAATAATGTGTCTTGGAGTTGCTCTTCTCGAGGAGTATCTTTGTGGCGTTCTCTGTATTTCCTGAATCTGAATGTTGGCCTGCCTTGCTAGATTGGGGAAGTTCTCCTGGATAATATCCTGCAGAGTGTTTTCCAACTTGGTTCCATTCTCCGCATCACTTTCAGGTACACCAATCAGACGTAGATTTGGTCTTTTCACATAGTCCCATATTTCTTGGAGGCTTTGCTCATTTCTTTTTATTCTTTTTTCTCTAAACTTCCCTTCTCGCTTCATTTCATTCATTTCATCTTCCATTGCTGATACCCTTTCTTCCAGTTGATCGCATCGGCTCCTGAGGCTTCTGCATTCTTCACGTAGTTCTCGAGCCTTGGTTTTCAGCTCCATCAGCTCCTTTAAGCACTTCTCTGTATTGGTTATTCTAGTTATACATTCTTCTAAATTTTTTTCAAAGTTTTCAACTTCTTTGCCTTTGGTTTGAATGTCCTCCCGTAGCTCAGAGTAATTTGATCGTCTGAAGCCTCTTCTCTCAGCTCGTCAAAATCATTCTCCATCCAGCTTTGTTCCGTTGCTGGTGAGGAACTGCGGTCCTTTGGAGGAGGAGAGGCACTCTGCGTTTTAGAGTTTCCAGTTTTTCTGTTCTGTTTTTTCCCCATCTTTGTGGTTTTATCTACTTTTGGTCTTTGATGATGGTGATGTACAGATGGGTTTTTGGTGTGGATGTCCTTTCTGTTTGTTAGTTTTCCTTCTAACAGACAGGACCCTCAGCTGCAGGTCTGTTGGAATACCCTGCAGTGTGAGGTGTCAGTGTGCCCCTGCTGGGGGGTGCCTCCCAGTTAGGCTGCTCGGGGGTCAGGGGTCAGGGACCCACTTGAGGAGGCAGTCTGCCCGTTCTCAGATCTCCAGCTGCGTGCTGGGAGAACCACTGCTCTCTTCAAAGCTGTGAGACAGGGACATTTAAGTCTGCAGAGGTTACTGCTGTCTTTTTGTTTGTTTGTGCCCTGCCCCCAGAGGTGGTGCCTAGAGAGACAGGCAGGCCTCCTTGAGCTGTGGTGGGCTCCACCCAGTTCGAGCTTCCTGGCTGCTTTGTTTACCTAAGCAAGCCTGGGCAATGGCGGGCGCCCCTCCCCCAGCCTCGCTGCCACCTTGCAGTTTGATCTCAGACTGCTGTGCTAGCAATCAGCGAGATTCCGTGGGCGTAGGACCCTCCAAGCCAGGTGTGGGATATAGTCTCGTGGTGCGCCGTTTTTTAAGCCGGTCTGAAAAGCGCAATATTCGGGTGGGAGTGACCCGATTTTCCAGGTGCGTCTGTCACCCCTTTCTTTGACTCGGAAAGGGAACTCCCTGACCCCTTGCGCTTCCCAGGTGAGGCAATGCCTTGCCCTGCTTCGGCTTGCGCACGGTGAGCACACCCACTGTCCTGCGCCCACTGTCTGGCACTCCCTAGTGAGATGAACCCGGTACCTCAGATGGAAATGCAGAAATCACCTGTCTTCTGCGTCGCTCACGCTGGGAGCTGTAGACCGGAGCTGTTCCTATTCAGCCATCTTGGCTCCTCCCCCCCTTGAATGCACTGTTGATGCCTAAAATTTATTCATTTTTGTTATGGAGCTATGCTGCACCCTTGGTGCCAAGGTTCTTTATAGTTCACATGAGGTTGCTAGACATTATATGATGCCAAGAGCTCTGGAGACAAACATCTTTGATTAGTGATGATTCAAAAGAATGCCCACAGTTATAGTGATGGACAATGGCTGGAATTCAGAAAGAATCATAAAACATTGTAATGAGAGAAGAGTTATTTTATTTCCCTGTAAGTTATATGCTTTTTTTTCAAAATACACCATTGTGAAATAGTTATTCTATCTTCTTAGTCTATGAGTCAAATATTATAACATCAACAAAATTTTCCAAGAAGTTCTAATACAGACAGACAAACCAAAAAGAGATTCTCAGATGGATAATAGAAATACCGTCAACTTCTCAAACCTGTGTGGCCTAAGTAGCTAGCAATGCTACTACTAAGTGGCATTGGCTACTAATATTGTACTAATGTTGGCTAAGGACCCATCTGTGTGCAACTCAGAACTTTTAAAAAGAAAGAACTTTTATTGAAGAATATAAATGGTGGTTCTGTATTTCTAAAAGTGCTAAAATTTTCAAGAAAAAATATACTTTAAAATTTTCTTTTTATTTAAATATAAATTCAGTCACATTTGTGACATTGGTCTTCTGACATTGGATGCCAGGAAACCTTGTTGTTCAGTATTAGTGCTGTAGACACATGGCTGGGAGAAGGTGAGGCGAATGATATCTACACCCTGCCTCTACCTTTTGGAAATAAAACGACAGCAGTAAATTTTCCAGCATCATATATGTGTTCATGATATGCCTGCCCCTCCTCACTTTCTCCTAAAACATAGTTGGGAAACATCAAGTAAGGACTGTTTGGGAAATCCAGCAGAGATATAGTAGCACTTGCTTGCTCTGTGCTGGGCACCTCCTCCAACCTTTAACTTATTCAACAACAGTAAAGTCCCTATTCATTCTTTAGCATGTTCTAGGCACTCTCATAAGCATGAAGGATACAGGAGAGAATTAGGCAGACAAGGTCTCTGTTCTCATGCATCTTCAATTATATGAGCTGCTCATTTAAGGGGAGTCTCATGGGCTGAATTGTATCAGCCCTCAATTCATATGTTGAAGCCCTCTCCTCCAATACCTCAGCATGTGGCTGTATTTGGAAACACAGTAGCATCTTTAAAGAGGTAATTAAATTAAAATAAGGTCATTAGGGTGGACCCTAATCCAATATGACTGGTGTCCTTATAGGAAGAGATTAGGGTAGACTCACAGACGGAAGACCATGTGAAGACACAGGGAGAAAATAGCTACTCCACGCATGCCAAATGGAAGTCTCTTTATTCTTCAGAATGCTTCGATAAGCCATCCTGTACAAATTTGGGATGAGATCCTTGTTCTGAATAAGTGAAAGAATGAAAGAAAGTAATCTTCATAGAGCCATCCTGAAAGGAGAACTGAAGAGCTGGGAGAGGTGGATGAGAAAGAAGCCAGCTGGGCTGAGGAAAGCTGCCCCACTGCACTGTGACCCTCTCCCAAAGTCCAAGACATTTCCCAAGCTCACTAAACTAGAAATCAATGGCATACGTGGATTTCTTATGAAAACTGGTGAAGGGACTGTGGTTATATCTAAACTGATATGGGGTAAAACAGAGAGAGTGGACAAAAGATGGGAGGAGGTGGAATTTTGAGAATCTAGATCTTCTAGCTTTGCAGATGCTGTGGAGAGGATCGTGAAATGTCCAGGCAATGAAATGAGAGTGTAAACCCAGTTTAACTAGTTTTTTTGGCCTCTCTTTTCTGCCATATGATTATACTTAGAAGCACATAAAAAGAGCAATATACCATCCTGACAAACATGGTGAAACCTCGTCTCTACTAAAAATACAAAAATTAGCCAGGAGTGGTGGCAGGTGCCTGTAATCCCAGCTACTTGGGAGGCTGAGGCAGGAGAATTGCTTGAACCCGGGAGGCGGAGGTTGCAGTGAGCTGGGATCGCACCACTGCACTCCAGCCTGGCGACAGAGTAAGGCTCTGTCTCAAAAAAAAAGAAAAAAAAAAGCAATATATGTAATTAAATCCAAAATGAGTTTTGGATTTTAGATCATTGAACACGAGTTATGATGTGTGTGTGTGTGTGTGCCTGTGTGTGTGTTTACAAAAAGAGTAATGAACACATTCCACACATCATCCCACATCTATAATGGCAGCAGCTGTGACGATGGACTGTCATGGAGGTGAGGCAGAGCAGGTTGAAGAATACCAACACAGTAAGTCTATGTTTTGAGAAAGGAAGACCATGTTCAATCTTGATGGACCCAGCATTATAAAACTAAGCACAACATTTTCTTCCTTTGATCAATAGCAATATTTGGCAAAAATCCAAACATAAAGAGAGTTGAAAAAAAAATCAGGAGTTATGGGATAGTACCTCAAAGGAAACAGAATTCTTAACTCCAGCTGCCATTCAAAAAACATGGGTGAGTGTGATATCTAAAGTATTTTAAAAACTATCAAGATGAGCTTTATAGGAAGTTTCTGGAGCTCAGCATTTCTTGGCACCGAATAAAAGGAAGCCGTTTTAAAATTTCTGGAATGATTATGTGACCTTGAATCTCTCTACTGAATCTCAAGAGAACAAATTTTCTTGTTGTGTTGATGCCAGGTTTCTAATGCACTTGAGTATTAAACAAAAAGCATCTTATCTTACAAGTTTATGACAAACTATTACTGGCTATTAAAAGGCTCATGATGGTTCTATGTGTGCTGGGCAAATCACAGAAATGTGCGTAAAAGATACTTGCCGTGTCACAGCTGAGTCCTCACAGTGAGCAAAACGGCTGGAACGTAGAGAGGGAGGGGCTGCCTTTGCTCACTTGGCCCAAATTCAAAGCCATCCATCTACTGTCTTAATGGTAGTAAGAATTACAACCACTTGTGTCTATGCAAGATTTGCCAATATTAATGGCCTGAAAAAAAAAAACAACAGCCAACATTTTACCCTAAGCAAGCAGGACATGGCAAATACAATTTTCTGCATAACAAGCAAATGTGGGTTGGATTTGTAGTTCACACATGGAGAATTTTTATTTTTCAAAGCCTTGAGTTGACCTACTGGCATCTGATCATCTTACATCGGACTTTACAGTGGCTCAGGGAAGAGCTAATTCATGAATGATAAAACACTAAAAGAAGCCTTGTTTATCCTTCACAAATACAGAAAATAACTAAATGCAGAAACTCTGCACAGAGAGTCACCCCGGGGATGGTGAGGGACACACGTGTTCTATGTAAGGCACGTCAATTAGGTTTTCAACTATGATGTCAGAATCTGAGTAGACTCTGGAGCTGCTTTTGTCTCACTGTCTGGCTTCTTAGACTCGGGGCTGGGAGGAAGTATTTATCTCTGTGCTGTGAGATTTCCCAAGAAGCACTCTCCTGCCCTCAGCTTGTTCCCTTTCATTGGGTGTCCTCTTATCAAGGAATGTGGCTCTGAGAAGGTCAGACAGAAACTCTCAGGTGGTGTCACTACTTACTGACCATGTGACCTTGGGCAAGTCACTTCTCCTGGCCTCATTTCCTTATCCTAAAATGAGAATGGAAGGCTGGGCGCAGAGGCTCACACCTGTAATCCTAGCACTTTGGGAGGCCAAGGTGGGTGGATCACCTTAGGTCAGGAGTTCCAGACCAGCCTGGCCAACATGGTGAAACTCCATCTCTACTACAAATACAAAAATTAGCCAGGCGTGGTGGCAGATGCCTATAATCCCAGCTACTCGGGAGGCTGAGGCAGGAGAATCACTTGAACCTGGGAGGCGGAGGTTGTGGTGAGCCAAGATCATGCCATTGCACTCCAGCCTGGGCAACAGAGTGAGACTCCCTCACAAAAAAGAAAGAAAGAAAGAAAGAATGAAAACAGTGGCTGCCACATAGGATTTGTATGGGGATTAAGTAAAACCATGCTTAGAAAGCACTTGGCAGAGCCTGATACGTAGCACATTTTTTCAGCAAGTCGTTGCCTTATCTTTTTATTTATCATCACTGCAGTTGTCTTTTCTCAATTCGGCAACCATTTACTGAAAGGCAGCTTTCTATCATACAGCAGGCTAGCTTTTATTTCTTTAGCACATGTGATACCTGTCTAGTTGGTTTCTTCTCTGAGTCTCACAATTAATCCGCAGAGTCCTGCAAACCTTCAGAACAGGCAGGATATAACATTTATTAGCACATTATCTTAACGTTCATTTCAGCGTTATCCTTACCAACATTCATCCCTGGAGATTTGAAACCCCAAATGCATTATCAGTGCCTAAAAGTTATGAAGAGCTTACAACCAGGGGCCACTGAACGTGGGACTAGGTCTTTCACTTAGTAATTTCCCACTAAAGCACAATAGAATTAAAGGCATTTTATAATAAAAGGGGAAAAAGGCATTAAAAGCCTAGGTGTTATCTTTGGATTGATAATAGCTGTGAAGTATTAATTGATGTTTATTTCTATGCATCTATTATTATCCTAACGCATTTGAAAAGAGAAGGGCCATATCTGCTGTATCCACTTGCTGAAGCTCTATTGGAAATGTGTCTCTATGGAGCCAATTTGCCTCTGTTTTATGTTTTCTGTGGATTCCTGAAAGACTTAATGTAACTTCTTCAGTAAAGCACAGTATGAGCATTGGGAAAAATCGGAGCTACTCAATCCATCACTCAGTTCAAACTGTATGTTTCACTGATGAGAAAGCTATGTGTCAAGAGAAAAGCATGAGACAAATACAAATTGAGGCACATTCTGCAAAATACCTGACCACTATTATCAAGGTCACCAAAACAAGGAAAGTCTGAAAACTTGTCACAACCAAGAAAATCCTGAGTAGCCATGATGACTAAGTATAATGTGGTACCCTGAAGGGATCCAAGAACAGGAAAAGAAAGTCAGATAAAAAACTAAGGAATATGCATAAAGTGTAGACTCAAGTTAATAATGATGTATCAATATTGTTCCATTAATTGTGGCAAACAGATACCACACTAAAATAAGCTATTAATAATAAGAGAAACTTGGCCAGGTGCGGTGGCTCATGCCTGTAATCCCAGCACTTTGGGAGGCCGAGGCGGGTGGATCCACGAGGTCAGGAGTTTGAGACTAGTCTGGCCAACATAGTGAAACCCTGTCTCTACTAAAAATATGAAAAAAAAAAAAAAAAAAAGGCCAGGTGCGGTGGCTTATGCCTGTAATCCCAGTATTTTGGGAGGCCGAGGTGGGTGGATCATGAGGTCAGGAGATCAAGACCATCCTGGCTAACATGATGAAACCCCGCCTCTACTAAAAATACAAAAAATTAGCCGGGCTCGGTGGCCAGCGCCTGTAGTCCCAGCTACTCGGGAGGCTGAGGCATGAGAATGGCCTGAACCCGGGAGGCGGAGCTTGCAGTGAGCCGAGATGTCACCACTGTACTCCAGCCTGGGCAACAAAGTGAGACTCCATCCCCCACTGCCAAAAAAAAAAAAAAAAAAAATTAGCCAGGCATGGTGGCACACGTCTGTAGTCCCAGCTACTCAGGAGGCTGAGGCAGGAGAATTGCTTGAACCCAGGAGGCAGAGGTTGCAGTGAGCCGAGATCACGCCACTGCACTCCAGCCTGGGCAACAGAGCAAGACTCTGTCTCAAATAATAATGATAATAATAATAGAAACTCTATATCACCTTCGTTATTTTCCTATAAACCTAAAGCTATTCAGAAATAAAATGTTTATTTTTAAAAAATATATAAAATGTTCATGATGGAAATACCAAAAGCAATGGCAACAAAAGTCAAAATTGACAAATGGGATCTAATTAAACTAAAGAGCTTCTGCACAGAAAAAGAAACTATCATCAGAGTGAACAGACAACCTACAGAATGGAAGAAAATTTTTGCAATCTATCTTTCTGACAATGGTCTAATATCCAGAGTCTACAAAGAACTTAGACAAATTTACAAGAAAAAACAAACAACCCCATTAAAAAGTAGGCAAAGGACATGAGCAGACACTTCTCAAAAGAAGACACTCTTGCAGCCAACAAACATATGAAAAAAACCTCAACATCACTGATCATTAGAGAAATGCAAAGCAAAACCATAATGAGATACCATCTCACTCCAGACAGAATGACTATTGCAAAGTTAAGAAACAACAGATGCTGGCGAGGTTGTGGAGAAAAAAGGAACGCTTTTACAATGTTGGTGGGGATGTAAATTAGTTCAATCATTGTGGAAGACAGTGTGGCGATTCCTCAAAGATCTAGAAGCAGAAATACCATTTGACCCAGCAATCCCAGTACTAGGTATATACCCAAAGGAATATAAATCATTTTATTATAAAGACACAAGCATGCGTGTGTTCATTGCAGCACTATTCACAATAGCAAAGACATGGAATCAACCCAAATGCCCATCAGTGATAGACTGGATAAAGAAAAGGTGGTAACATACGCACCATGGAATACTATGCAGACATAGAAAAGAATGACACCATATCCTTGCAAAGGATATGAACTTTGCAAATGGATATGCATATGAATCCTTGCAAATGGATAGAACTGTTATCCTTAGTTTGCTAAGCATCCATGTCCTTTGTTATCCTCAGCAAACTAACACAGGAACAGAAGACCAAACACTGCATGTTCTCACTTGCAAGTGAGAGCTGAAAGATGAGAACACATGGACACATGGTAGGGAACAACACACACTGGGGCCTGTCAGGGGCGGGTGAAGGGAGGGAGAGCATCAGGAAGAATAGCTAATGGATGATGGATTTACACCTAGGTGACGGGTTGATTTGTGCAGCAAATCACCATGGCACACGTTCACCTATGCAACAAACCTGAACATCCTGGACATGTACCCCTGAACTTAAAATAAAAGTTGAAGAAAAAAAAATCTATGAAATTAAATGCAAACAAGTGAATTAGCTACTGAAATTAAAGAAAAAAATATGTTCATGAACATTTTTGAACTAAAGCTTATACTGTGGCTTTAATGTCAGGGATTCCCACAGGTTATAGTAACAGCACTTGTGGTCTGGACTACTGGAAAGGCTGTGAGCTAATTTCCGTAGATGCGTGCCTCTCTGCATCTCACTGCACTCAGTAGTCAAACCATAGTAATTATAACTAATTATAACTACTTCCTAGATTATATGTGAAGATTCAATTCACCACTGTGAACCTCCATGCATAGTGTCTGACACACAGTAGGTACTCAGTTAATATGAATTATCTTCTCATTCCCTTAACCTTTTTTCCAATATGGGATTAGTTGTGCTCTGGTTTTTATTTCTATCATAAGGACTTGATCAAAAATTACAAATTGTTTTGGCCGTTCTATGCATTGATTGTCCCATAGGAGATAATGCTCAAATGTTGAATCCTTATTGATTTTTAATCATCTGTGTACTGTCTGAAAACAAAGCTAGAAACTCTAAAACTAAAATGTTAAAAGGCTTAAAATAATCTGGTTGAGATGTTGCTTTTGCTTCTTGTTTTGGAGAGAAAATATTGAGGTAGAACTTGAAGTAACTATATGTTCCAAAAAAGACAGTGCTGTGTAGAAATAAATTAATCTACCTGCGTTTACAATTTTTCTGAATTAGGAAAGATAGGTAGAGAATGGAGATAAACATACCTATTCCGATAATCTATAGCTCTCCCTTGAGGGACGTGGATGATTCAAATGGAATTTTACTTACTCATTTAAGCAACTAACTTTTCTTTTAACTTTTATTTTAGGCTTAGAGGTACATGTGCAGGCTTGTTATATGGGTGCATTGCGTGTCATGGGGGTTTGGTGTACAGGTTATTTTGTCACCCAGGTAATAAGCACAGTACTCGATAGGTGGTTTTTCGATCCTTACCTTCCTCCCACCCTCTACCCTCAAGTAGGCGTTGGTGTCTGTTGTTCCTTTCTTTGCATCCACGTGTACTCAATGTTTAGCTCCCACTGATAATTGAGAACATGCAGTTAGGTTTTCTGTTCCTATGTTAGCTCATTAAGCAACTAACTTCCAACAACCCACTAGATGTGAAGTTCCTTGCTTGATGCCAAAGATAGAGGCAAAGGTGATCTCAGCTATGGAGCTGCTCACAAGGTGATCTAGTAGATTCTACATGGTAAGACTTGATCCTTGGTCAAGGTTGGGGGTCAGGGAAGTGCTTGACAGTTCGCAGTTCTGCTGGGTTTTAAAGGCTGTCTTGAAGGAAACTGGGCATATGAGGAGGATGCAGGTTTAACCCCAAAGCCCATTCCCCCAATTCCCCCAACTGCAGACTGCTGCTGGCAGAAGTACAGAATGTAAAGGGATGGCTGGCAGATGAAGCCCAAGAGCAGGCAGTGGCCAGGGCTTCAGTTCAGAATCGCTCAGTTTGGGAGTTAAGAGAAGAGTCTTATGCCCACGATTCCAGTGTAGACAGAACTCTGTGACTGAGGGGTGGGGGATGAACTGAAGTGGGCTGATTGGAAGCAGAGTGTGAAGACTCTTGATAAATCTCAGGTAATAAGTGATGATAAATTAAATAACATAATAGCCAAAAGAGGAAAACCCAAGCCTGTGTTGGCATTGATGACTTGGTGACCAACTGAATATGGAACCAATTCATCCATATTGAAAGAATGAATTCATATTGAATAATATGGAAAATTAATATTAGATAATAATCTTTCTCAAGAAATTCACATTTCATCAATTATATTAACATATTTCTGACATTCTATTAATGTTTCATGCATTAGAAAGTGCGTGTACATATGTGGCCTTATTCATTTTCAAAACAGCATTTTGAGATAGGATATCTCCCAGGTTTCTGACTCAGGCTACTGAGACAGAGTGAAATTATCAACATAGGAAATGGAACAGGTGTGGAGGGGAGGATGATTATGAGAGCTTCAAATATGAAAATGCTGAGCTTGAAAAACCTGTGAGATGTCTGAGATACAATTGAACATACAGGCAAAAAGAAAGCAGTAACTCTCAAGAAGGTGATAGTGATGGCAATAAACGCCATTTGAATTGGGAAAATATCAGGGAAGGTGCTGATAGTGAAAAACTTATTTATGGTGATTTCTTTCTTAAATAAGAGGAAGTGAAATGAATTTCAATAAAATATTGGCTGTAAGAATGTAGACCAAGAAAGCATTATTTAAGAAACAGTTGAGAAAGAGGAATCTGGGACCACTAGTGGAGAGGTGGTCCTTAAAGTGCAGGTGGGAATCTGTTTGTTCACAGGAAGTACAGTAGTTTCATGGGAAAATAATTAGTCTGTATCTCTGGCCTGTTTGCCATGTATTTGAAAAATGCATAGGACTGGTTTTAGAGAATTTGCTTCAAACCGAACAGTAAAACTACGATGCAGAAAGCAGATTGAAAATGTTCTGGCCAGGCACGGTGGCTCACACCTGTAATCTCAGCACTTTGGCAGGCCGAGGTGGGTGGATCACCTGAGGTCAGGTGTTCGAGACCAGCCTGGCCAACATGGTGAAATGCCGTCTCTACTAAAAATACAAAAATTAGCTGGGCATGATGGCGCATGCCTGTAATACCAGCTACTCGGGAGGCTGAAGCAGGAGTATCACTTGAACCGGGGAGGAGGAGATTGCAGTGAGCCAAGATCATGCCACTGCACTCCAGCCTGGGCGACAAGAGCAAAACTCCGTCTGGAAAAAAAAAAAAAAAAAAAAGGAAATGTTCCGAGATGTCAAGATTTATCCTGTTCATCCTCAGTGATCCTCTCCCTGCAAGCTGCCAGGCCTTGTCCACTGACGATGGGCAGCAAGAAACAAGATGTGCAGGAGTTTCCATCTGAGCCTCTACCACGCAGGAGAGTTGAGATTAGATTTCTAGGATGAGTCAACATTGATTACAAGCAGAAGCAACACTCCACAAAATTCGTGTTCAATGAAAACAAAAGCAAGAATATAGCAATAAAATAGAATGTTGTATTCATTCAACTATTAGAAAACTTTATAAAGGTATTATGGAAAAAAGCATGTGACAGAAAACCCAAAATAACAGTGGCTTAACAGTGGCTTATGGGGCTGTGCATCATGATTGTCAGGACCTCAGGCTCCAGCCATGGAATTGCTCCATCATCTTGAACATGTGGCTTCTACCTCCTGGCCTCTGGTGTTCCAGCCATCTCACGCACATTTAGGCAGAGGGAAAGAGGCAAGATACCTACTGAACTTGGACAGGAGACGTTCCCCTCCACCTACTGCTCAGATCCTAACCACATGGCAAGGTCTAGCTGCAAGGAAGATTGGGAAATGCAGTCTTTCCTCTAAATGGCCATGCACCCAGCTAAAAATTGAGAGTTTTATCACCAGGAAGGAATGGGGAGAATGTGTATTAGGAGCGTGATCATTGTCTACCACACCATGCTCCTTAAGGTCGGGAGGGTCAGATTTGACAAAGTGTTGAGATATAGACAGACAGACAGACAGGCAGACATACAGACAGATACACACACATCCGTATATTATATTCCATCCAAATACTACATATTCAGCCTCTATGATGTACCAGGCATGTTTGTAGACAATAAGGAAGCAGCAGTGAACAAAACAGAAAAGAAAACAACTTTCTCCTCATATAACTTGAATTTTAATGAGAGATTGCTCTATTTTTATCCTCAGGATTAGGCCAACATTTATTCACAACTGAGACAAGGGGTGCACAAACCTTGTCTTTTTGTGCTTGAACTAAGAAGAAGATAAGGTTGACAATCCCAAGGTCAGTCAGAATAACTTGCATCTAACACACAACTTCATTGGAGAAGAATAATACTTTCCCAAAACAATGTAAAGGTGAGCCTCTCCAATCCCAGCATGGGATGCCTTCAAATCCTGTATCTGTTGAACTTTTAGCCACAAAACAGAGAGGTAGCAGGGTTCAGAATCTCCCTTGTGTCCTCTGTCATGCAACTAGTTGGTGTGTGCCACTATGGAGTTCTTTGGTCTTGCGTGCCATGAAATTATTTAAGGTGAGAATGGTCCCTTTGGGGCTCGCCATGTAACATGGGGTCATCAGGTGCTGCTTCTTGGCCCACAATGGGTAGAATAGGGTGTAATTTTGAACTACTCTGGAAAGAAGAGGGAGGGGTCAAGCTTTAGATATAATATCAGGAGTTCATCTGTCCCTCTTGTGTCTGTCACTAATTACAGGTCCATGAACTTTCCATTCTTCAGTCTAAGAAATGATGAGAAGCAATGTGGAATAATGGAAACTTTGGTTTGCTATATTTTCGTGAGCCAGTTATATACATTATTTGAAATGTAATTTTATCATCTATAATTTTAAAAAGAAAAAATAATATTTCTTACCTCAAAATGCTGTTTTGAAAATGAATAAAGTCACATATATACACACACTTTCTAATCTGTAAAACATTAATAACATGTCAGGAATATGTTAACATTATTAATGAAATGCAAATGTCTTGAGAAAGATTATTAGACTAAGATTTTACAAGTAATGTTCACCATAATTTATCTTTTTAGAAAAGATAATCATTCAAAGGGTTTTTATTTTTAGTAGGCGTTTAGATAAGCTTAGTTGACCTTTTCCCAAATCTTGACAATTAGTGATGAAACAAGATATTCCCTGTGAGGAGAACACAGGGTGTACTTTGCTGCCCTAATAAGACAAACAGGAAAGCCAATACCGGGTAGATTGCTGTGAAGGCAATTAAACTTTGAAAAGGGTGACAGTGCAACCTTTGACCAAGCAAACAGCAATCTCTGTACCAAGTAGTGCTTTGATTTGCCACCAGTCCTTTTATTTTCACCTGTGAAAGAGCTGAAGTTGTTTTTGCTGGATACATTTCCTATTTCTCCAGAACAAAGTTTATTTTTGAGTTAGATATTCCAAAGCCTTCAGGTTGGGGTCATCTTTTACATTTGTAGAGTGTTCTGGTGGCTGCCGTGACTAAGCTAGAAATCTTGTTGAGACATGTGTTGTATTTTTACAGATACAACAGGCTGTTACCCCAACATGAGGGGTAGGCTGGAGAAAGGGGATGCAAAGGTTAGCGGATGGCAGCAGACAGAAAATCCCGAAAAGAATGGCTGGGAGAAAATAACAGAGACCTAGCAATGCAAAGTTCTTCAAAGCCAGAGAGACGATGATTCTGACCTGTTTTTAGAAGGAACAGTGTTGGCCTTCTATTGCAATTGTTGGTTGCTTGCTTTGATGTTTTCTTTTAAAAGGGTGACACCATTTCCTTAGAAGACCAGCCCAAAGTTCTGTTGATCTTAGCATATTATACTGATTTTTTTTCAAGAAAAAATAAAAATTGGGTTAGGCAAAATGACAAGACAACAAAATGTCTTGCTGGTTAAAGTATCACCAAGAGATCAGAGAACTAGAAAACTCATTAATAATTCCTGGAAGATGGGAGAGTTATCTGTCAAGAGAGAAAGAATTCAGAAACATCTGCCATGAAAAGGTCCCAGACAGGCCTATATGATTTACTAAACATTCTTGATTCCAGAACCTCAGGAAAGACATACCTCAGGGAGATGAGTGAGGCTGTGAAAGGGAGAAGTCGGGCCCTGGGACATCCTGCAGCTGCCAGGCAATCATCTGAGAGTGATGGTGAGATGGACTCTCCAAGCCCAGGGTGAGGACCCCTCCAAGGATGTCCCTGTTGGCACCCTAGCCCTCTGGAGGACCCTGAGGGCTTCAGGACCAATGAGCTTCCTGTTATTAAGTGGCCCTCCCATGGAGCGTCTATAGGAACAGCCCCTCAGTCTTCCCCTAATTGGAGTTCCACCTCTCAGCACTCCAGAGACATCCTCAGTAGAAATGGAAAAGGGTTTGGCCCTAGAGCACAACTTGAGGGAGCTAAGTCTTCCCCACTACACAATCAGATTTCCACATTTGGTGGAGATGATTCTGCCTTTTCTTTAGATTATAATGTTCTGAAGTCTAAAGAGCTCGTTGTGCAGGATGCGTTATTACAAAGAAAGGAAATGCTGCCCAGAGAGAAATCAATTAAAAAGGAATTATCCTCTCTATGAAATGTGCTAGAAGGCAGCGGTGGGAAGTGGGCAGATAGATTAGAGGGACTTGAACATTAACTTAGCTCTCTAGATGTAATACTTTTTAAATGCGTTTAATACCATTTACAAAGGGAAATACACAATTGTCCTGGGCTTTCCTTTTAAGATTTGGTCCTTAGGATGCCAAGTGTCTCCTATGACTCTCATGACCCCTGCAATATGTCACCGTAGCCCCTCTGTTGTCATCCTCCCATGTGTTGCCATATTTTCTTTTACATTTTACACCAAATATTCCAATGAAACTGTGATCACAGAGCCACCATCTCCTGTCTCAGGAATAGCTGCTGATGGAGTTGTGCCCACCCAAAGGTTATCACACACCACGAGGCAAGCCATTTTCTCTGAAGCTATGGTAAAGTTAAATTAGTTCATAAGATAAGGAGAACATGTATTCAAATAGTTTGGAAAATGTACTCAACATGATTTTTATTAAATGAATCCAGATCTCAAAATTCAAAATTATGAGTAGACTCAAATTAATGTTTTCCCACTAAATACTACTATCAATATTTTATTTTATTTTATATTTTTCATTTATTAACAGACAGGCTCTTGCTCTGTCACCCAGGCTGAAGTACAGTGGTACAATCATTGCTCACTGCAGCCTCAAACTTCTGGGCCCAACTCATCCTTCTGCCTCAGCCCCCTGAGTAGCTGAGATTACAGACTTGCACCGCCATGCCCAGCTGTTTTTTATTATTATTATTTTTGGTAGAAAGAGGGTCTGGCTCTATTGCCCAGGCTGCTCTCAAACTCCTGGCCTCAAGTGATGCTCCTGCCTCAGCCTTCCAAAGTGCTGGCATTATAAGTGTAAGCCACTGTGCCTGGTCAACTGTGCATACTTTAAAACTAGTTTTTGTACTTTAGTGATTCATATCTCAAGGAAAGGGGCATATTTCAATGTGGAGAAGTGAGATAGAGAGGAAGGTGGTATGAAATAACAGTGGAGTTGTGGCTTTACAAGCTACCTCGAGTTTTTAAGATTTCTCTGTGTGACTTTTTATTGTTTTATCAAGTTAAGCACAGAAGCCTACTAAGTAATCATAATCCTCCAGTTATAGGGTGTCAAAGAGCACAGAGACTCAGTGACTCAGAAGAGAAGACAGAAGCCTGGGGAAGTGCACTTCAGCTGCTTGGAGGACAAGGCACATTCATCCTTCGCTTGTCCTCAACTTGTGCTAATGAACTGTTATCAGTATTGACCTTACGTATTGAGTTTTCCATCTTCTGTTTTTATTAAGCACCCATTGGAAAGTAATTGCTGCAGGCACCTGCCACAGAGGCAACTTATGTGATTCATACCCAGTGGACTTTTTTTCTTTCCTATTCAACATAACAAGAGGGCTTCTAGTTATGTTGTCTTTTCTGACCCTAACATTTTACTTGAGTCTTAGCAAGCTTTAGATTAGTATTACATGTAAACAATATGAAATAATTTTGTGTCCAAGATCTTGACACACATTCTTGTAATTGTCTATTTGTTCTTCCTCTATAGTGGTTACTAATACCAGCAGGGATAAGTCAGGCAAACAGAGGTAGATAACCAAATATTTTACCTTACTAGGCAAACATTCTTCCTCTTCAGGCATAGATATTGATAGAGACCAGTTGTGCAGTCAAACACAATCACATGATATTCTGTTTTCTAGTGACCTGACTCTTCATATCTATGGGAGAGATGAAGGAAATAAAAGAAAATGACGTTCACTTCATTTCCTGGTTGCTTTAGATCCACATAATCACGGTGCAACAACAAGAAAATGGGTAACAACATGAATGTCATTTGTGATCTGCTAATAGGATAATTTTATTAACCAAATTATGTAATGCCATAAGAAAGATAAAAACTTAGACTGGATGTCAGGAAATGTTTCTTGTTAATAGGAAATATTTGATTAATAGAAATGCTCTCTGGAGAATGGATAGAAAGGAGTTCTACCACTCAGGACATTTCAAATTAGATTCTAAGCCAGAAAAAATGGAAGCTGAGCTTTGTTTACATTAAATATCTCTTGGGCTTTCCTCATCCAGACCATCCAATATATGAGTGAGAATATTCTATGTTAATCTGGACAACACTGTACAGTAAGCAGGTTGTTGATGGCAATATTCTTCTAATACTAACTGCACTTTCCAATTTCTGAATGAAAGCCATCTTTGCAACACAATTCAAAAGGAATGTTTTTTTTATTTAAAAATATATATTTTATAATGAAATATTTCAAACATGCAGACAAGTATAGAGAATAATATAATAAAAATCCATGGACCCATAACACAATTTTATCACATCTTAACATTGCACTTTAGGTGTGTGTGTGTGTATGTGTGCTTTAAAGAAATAAATCTCATAGTTAATGGGTGCAGCACACCAACATGGCACATGTATACATATGTAACAAACCTGCATGTTGTACACATGTACCCTAAAACTTAAAGTATAATAAAAGGAATGGTTTCACTGAATCTAGGAAAATAAAAGGATTTACAATATACTTTGGCTTAAGACCTGGGCCTTTTCTTATATCTTTTACATATGTCCATCATGGCTTTGAAGTTGACCTGTGAGGCAAGATTTCCTCTTTTCCATAAAGACTTTCAGTCAGCTTCTGAGAGTGTACGGGTAATCTCTTTCAGGATTTAAAAAGCCATCACTTACTGAACACATTGGTGCACAGCTGTTTTGCTCTTATGCGCTGATGTGCAGCACTCTTTACATAGAAAGGCTCATTGGATGGCAGCGCCCACTCTGTGAGATGCGTAGCAGGCCTATTTGTTTAACTTTCCACTTTAATCCTTATGTGAGTTCTTGAATATATTCTTATGTTTAAATATTTAAACAAGGAAGAAATGCAAAATAAAAAGTTAAAGTCTTTTCTCTCACACACTTACCATCCACACTCCAGATAGGTATATATCGTTTCAGAACCTATTCTTTTAATAACTCACACATACACTTATGTGCACAGGCAACATGCTTTTAACTTAAATAGAATCATTCTATTTTTATTGTTCTGTATCTTTCTATTTTTCATTAACAGTGTATCCTTGAGATTTTTTCCAGACTAAAACATATGGTTCTATGTCATTCTTTAAAAATACTACATAGTCTTCAAAATATTGGCATTATTTATATAGTCATTTCTTAAATTAACAGACATTTCTAATTTTTCACTTGTACAAAGAATGCTGTAATGAATATTCTTGTTTCTGTATTTTATGCATGAGCATGAACATTGTATAACACTATATAGCATTTCCTATATGCCAGGCATTGCTCTTTGCATTTTGCAAATATTATCTTATTTATTCCTTACAACATCCTTATGGTGCAGATACTGTTATCATTCCTAGGTGAGTAAACTGACACAGGAAGAGGCTAATTTTACCTTCCCACAATGGTAGCTGGGCTGTAAACCCAAGCATACTAGTACAGAATGTAGGCTTCTCAGGTTCTGCTATATCTCCAGTAAAGCAATATTTTTTAGTATTTGTTGCTCCCACAATTGGGACCCTTTTTCCACTAAATATTCTAATTGGCTATTACTGGTTTATTTGAAAACTATTTTCAAATATCAATATTTTAGTGAATATTTGCATTAAACTTACTCATATGACTTAATCATTTTGGTTGATTGCTATGATTTGTTTTAAAAAGGTTCATTGAGATATAAATTACACATACTGTAAAATTTGCCTGTTTACACAATTGATAACTTTTAGTAAATTTACAAAGGTGTGCAACTAGTAGTATTAACTAATTTTAGAACATTTTTATAACTCTGATAAGATCTCTCTTGCCTCTTTATATAGTGAATTCATTCCTGTCTTCAACCCCAAGCAGCCCCCAGTGTACTTTATGTCTCTATAGATTTGCCTTTTCTGAACATTTCGTTTATATGTAATCATATAATATGTAGCCTTTTCTTTTTTTTTCTTTTTTTTAATTTTATTTTATTATTATAATACTTTAAGTTTTAGGGTACATGTGCACAATGTGCAGGTTAGTTACATATGTATACATGTGCCATGCTGGTGTGCTGCACCCATTAACTCGTCATTTAGCATTAGGTATATCTCCTAAAACTATCCCTCCCCCCTCCCCCCACCCCACAACAGTCCCCAGAGTGTGATGTTCCCCTTCCTGTGTCCATGTGTTCTCATTGTTCAATTCCCACCTATGAGTGAGAATATGCGGTGTTTGGTTTTTTGTTCTTGTGATAGTTTACTGAGAATGATGATTTCCAATTTCATCCATGTCCCTAAAAAGGACATGGACTCATCATTTTTTATGGCTGCATAGTATTCCATGGTGTATATGTGCCATATTTTCTTAATCCAGTCTATCATTGTTGGACATTTGGGTTGGATCCAAGTCTTTGCTATTGTGAATAGTGCCGCAATAAACATACGTGTGCATGTGTCTTTATAGCAGCATGATTTATAGTCATTTGGGTATATACCCAGTAATGGGATGGCTGGGTCAAATGGTATTTCTAGTTCTAGATCCCTGAGGAATCGCCACACTGACTTCCACAATGGCTGAACTAGTTTACAGTCCCACCAACAGTGTAAAAGTGTTCCTATTTCTCCACATCCTCTCCAGCACCTGTTGTTTCCTGACTTTTTAATGATTGCCATTCTAACTGGTGTGAGATGGTATCTCATTGTGGTTTTGATTTGCATTTCTCTGACGGCCAGTGATGGTGAGCATTTTTTCATGTGTTTTTTGGCTGCATAAATGTCTTCTTTTGAGAAGTGTCTGTTCATGTCCTTCGCCCACTTTTTAATGGGGTTGTTTTTTTCTTGTAAATTTGTTTGAGTTCATTGTAGATTCTGGATATTAGCCCTTTGTCAGATGAGTAGGTTGCGAAAATTTTCTTCCATGTGTAGATTGCCTGTTCACTCTGATGGTAGTTTCTTTTGCTGTGCAGAAGCTCTTTAGTTTAATGAGATCCCATTTGTCAATTTTGGCTTTTGTTGCCATTGCTTTTGGTGTTTTAAACATGAAGTCCTTGCTCATGCCTATGTCCTGAATGGTAATGCCTAGGTTTTCTTCTAGGGTTTTTATGGTTTTAGGTCTAACGTTTAAGTCTTTAATCCATCTTGAATTAATTTTTGTATAAGGTGTGAGGAAGGGATCCAGTTTCAGCTTTCTACATATGGCTAGCCAGTTTTCCCAGCACCATTTATTAAATAGGGAATCCTTTCCCCATTGCTTGTTTTTCTCAGGTTTGTCAAAGATCAGATAGTTGTAGATATGCAGCATTATTTCTGAGGGCTCTGTTCTCTTCCATTGATCTATATCTCTGTTTTGGTACCAGTACCATGCTGTTTTGGTTACTGTAGCCTTGTAGTATAGTTTGAAGTCAGGTAGCGTGATGACTCCAGCTTTGTTCTTTTGGATTAGGATTGACTTGGCAATGCGGGCTCTTTTTTGGTTCCATATGAACTTTAAAGTAGTTTTTCCCAATTCTATGAAGAAAGTCATTGGTAGCTTGATGGGGATGGCATTGAATCTATAAATTACCTTGGGCAGTATGGCCATTTTCACGATATTGATTCTTCCTACCCATGAGCATGGAATGTTCTTCCATTTGTTTGTATCCTCTTTTATTTCATTGAGCAGTGGTTTGTAGTTCTCCTTGAAGAGGTCCTTCACATCCCTTGTAAGTTGGATTCCTAGGTATTTTATTCTCTTTGAAGCAATTGTGAATGGGAGTTCACTCATGATTTGGCTCTCTGTTTGTCTGTTGTTGGTGTATAAGAATGCTTGTGATTTTTGTACGTTGATTTTGTATCCTGAGACTTTGCTGAAGTTGCTTATCAGCTTAAGGAGATTTTGGGCTGAGACAATGGGGTTTTCTAGATATACAGTCATGTCATCTGCAAACAGGGACAATTTGACTTCCTCTTTTCCTAATTGAATACCCTTTATTTCCTTTTCCTGCCTAATTGCCCTGGCCAGAATTTCCAACAATATGTTGAATAGGAGTGGTGAGAGAGGGCATCCCTGTCTTGTGCCAGTTTTCAAAGGGAATGCTTCCAGTTTTTGCCCATTCAGTATGATATTGGCTGTGGGTTTGTCATAGATAGCTCTTATTATTTTGAGATATGTCCCATCAATACCTAATTTATTGAGAGTTTTCAGCATGAAGGGCTGTTGAATTTTGTCAAAGGCCTTTTCTGCATCTGTTGAGATAATCATGTGGTTTTTGTCTTTGGTTCTGTTTATATGCTGGATTACATTTATTGATTTGCATATATTGTACCAGCCTTGCATCCCAGGGATGAAGCCCACTTGATCATGGTGGATAAGCTTTTTGATGTGCTGCTGGATTCGGTTTGCCAGTATTTTATTGAGGATTTTTGCATCAATATTCACCAAGGATATTGGTCTAAAATTCTCTTTTTTGGTTGTGTCTCTGCCCGGCTTTGGTATCAGGATGATGCTGGCCTCATAAAATGAGTTAGGGAGTATTCCCTCTTTTTCTATTGATTGGAATAGTTTCAGAAGGAATGGTACCAGTTCCTCCTTGTACCTCTGGTAGAATTTGGCTGTGAATCCATCTGGTCCTGGACTCTTTTTTGGTTGGTAAACTATTGATTATTGCCACAATTTCAGAGCCTGTTATTGGTCTATTCAGAGATTCAACTTCTTCCTGGTTTAGTCTTGGGAGAGTGTATGTGTCGAGGAATTTATCCATTTCTTCTAGATTTTGTAGTTTATTTGAATAGAGGTGTTTGTAGTATTCTCTGATGATAGATTGTATTTCTGTGGGATCGGTGGTGATATCCCCTTTGTCATTTTTTATTGCATCTATTTGATTCTTCTCTCTTTTCTTCTTTATCAGTCTTGCTAGCAGTCTATCAATTTTGTTGATCTTTTCAAAAAACCAGCTCCTGGAGTCATTAATTTTTTGAAGGGTTTTTTGTGTCTCTATTTCCTTCAGTTCTGCTCTGATTTTAGTTATTTCTTGCCTTCTGCCAGCTTTTGAATGTGTTTGCTCTTGCTTTTCTACTTCTTTTAATTGTGATGTTAGGGTGTCAATTTTGGATCTTTCCTGCTTTCTCTTGTGGGCATTTAGTGCTATAAATTTCCCTCTACACACTGTTTTGAATGTGTACCAGAGATTCTGGTATGTTGTGTCTTTGTTCTCATTGGTTTCAAAGAACATCTTTATTTCTGCCTTCATTTCGTTATGTACCCAGTAGTGATTCAGGAGCAGGTTGTTCAGCTTCCATGTAGTTGAGTGGTTTTGAGTAAGTTTCTTAATCCTGAGTTCTAGTTTGATTGCACTGTGGTCTGAGAGACAATTTGTTATAATTTCTGATCTTTTACATTTGCTGAGGAGAGCTTTACTTCCAACTATGTGGTCAATTTTGGAATAGGTGTGGTGTGGTGCTGAAAAAAATGGATATTCTGTTGATTTGGGGTGGAGAGTTCTGTAGATGTCTATTAGGTCCACTTGATGCAGAGCTGAGTTCAATTCCTGGGTATCCTTGTTGACTTTCTGTCTTGTTGATCTGTCTAATGTTGACAGTGGGGTGTTAAAGTCTCCCATTATTATTGTGTGGGAGTCTAAGTCTCTTTGTAGATCACTCAGGACTTGCTTTATGAATCTGAGTGCTCCTGTATTGGGTGCATATATATTTAGGATAGTTAGCTCTTCTTGTTGAATTGATCCCTTTACCATTACGTAATGGCCTTCTTTGTCTCTTTTGATCTTTGTTGGTTTCAAGTCTGTTTTATCAGAGACTAGGATTGCAACCCCTGCCTTTTTTTGTTTTCCATTTGCTTGGTAGATCTTCCTCCATCCTTTTATTTTGAGCCTATGTGTGTCTCTGCACGTGAGATGGGTTTCCTGAATACAGCACACCGATGGGTCTTGACTCTTTATCCAATTTGCCAGTCTGTGTCTTTTAATTGGAGCATTTAGTCCATTTACATTTAAAGTTAATATTGTTATGTGTGAATTTGATCGTGTCATTATGATGTTAGCTGGTTATTTTGCTCGTTAGTTGATGCAGTTTCTTCCTAGTCTCGATGGCCTTTACAATTTGGCATGATTTTGCAGTGGCTGGTACCAGTTGTTCCTTTCCATGTTTAGTGCTTCCTTCAGGAGCTCTTTTAGGGCAGGCCTGGTGGTGACAAAATCTCTCAGCATTTGCTTGTCTGTAAAGTATTTTATTTCTCTTTCACTTATGAAGCTTAGTTTGGCTGGATATGAAATTCTGGGTTGAAAATTCTTTTCTTTAAGAATGTTGAATATTGGCCCCCACTCTCTTCTGGCTTGTAGAGTTTCTGCCGAGAGATCTGCTGTTAGTCTGATGGGCTTCCCTTTGTGGCTAACCTGACCTTTCTCTCTGGCTGCCCTTAACATTTTTTCCTTCATTTCAACTTTGGTGAGTCTGACAATTATGTGTCTTGGAGTTCCTCTTCTCGAGGAGTATCTTTGTGGCATTCTCTGTATTTCCTGAATCTGAATGTTGGCCTGCCTTGCTAGATTGGGGAAGTTCTCCTGGATAATATCCTGCAGAGTGTTTTCCAACTTGGTTCCATTCTCCCCGTCACTTTCAGGTACGCCAATCAGACGTAGATTTGGTCTTTTCACATAGTCCCATATTTCTTGGAGGCTTTGTTTGTTTCTTTTTATTCTTTTTTCTCTAAACTTCCCTTCTCGCTTCATTTCATTCATTTCATCTTCCATTGCTGATACCCTTTCTTCCAGTTGATCTCATCAGCTCCTGAGGCTTCTGCATTCTTCATGTTGTTCTCGAGTCTTGCTTTCAGCCCCATCAGCTCCTTTAAGCACTTCTCTGTATTGGCTATTCTAGTTATACATTCTTCTAAATTTTTTTCAAAGTTTTCAACTTCTTTGCCTTTGGTTTGAATTTCCTCCTGTAGCTCGGAGTAGTCTGATCATCTGAAGCCTTCTTCTCTCAATTCGTCAAAGTCATTCTCCGTCCAGCTTTGTTCCATTGCTGGTGAGGAGCTGCGTTCCTTTGGAGGAGGAGAGGCGCTCTGCTTTTTAGAGTTTCCAGTTTTTCTGCTCTGTCTTTTCCCCATCTTTGTGGTTTTATCTACTTTTGGTCTTTGATGACGGTGATGTACAGATGGGTTTTTGGTGTGGATGTCCTTCCTGTTTGTTAGTTTTCCTTCTAACAGACAGGACCCTCAGCTGCAGGTCTGTTGGAGTTTGCTAGAGGTCCATTCCAGACCCTGTTTGCCTGGGTACCAGCAGCTGCGGCTGCAGACCAGCAGATTTTCCTGAACCGAGAATGCTGCTGTCTGATCGTTCCTCTGGAAGTTTTGTCTCAGAGGAGTACCTGGCCGTGTGAGGTGTCAGTCTGCCCCTACTGGGGGGTGCCTCCCAGTTAGGCTGCTCGGGGGTCAGGGGTCAGAGACCCACTCGAGGAGGCAGTCTGCCCGTTCTCAGATCTCCAGCTGCGTGCTGGGAGAACCACTGCTCTCTCTCTTCAAAGCTGTCAGACAGGGACATTTAAGTCTGCAGAGGTTACTGCTGTCTTTTTGTTTGTCTGTGCCCTTCCCCCAGAGGTGGAGCCTACAGAGGCAGGCAGGCCTGCTTGAGCTGTGGTGGGCTCCACCCAGTTCGAGCTTCCTGGCTGCTTTGTTTACCTAAGCAAGTCTCGGCAATGGCGGGCGCCCCTCCTCCAGCCTCGCTGCCGCCTTGCAGTTTGATCTCAGACTGCTGTGCTAGCAATCAGTGAGACTCCGTGGGCGTAGGACCCCTCCGAGCCAGTTGCGGGATGTAATCTCCTGGTGCGCCGTTTTTTAAGCCTGTCGGAAAAGCGCAGTATTCGGGTGGGAGTGACCCGATTTTCCAGGTGCCATCTGTCACCCCTTTCTTTGACTAGGAAAGGGTACTCCCTGACCCCTTGTGCTTCCTGAGTGAGGCAATGCCTTGCCCTGCTTTGGCTCGTGCATGGTGAGCTGCACCCACTGTCCTGCGCCCACTGTCTGGCACTCCCTAGTGAGATGAACCCGGTACCTCAGATGGAAATGTAGAAATCACCCGTCTTCTGTGTTGCTCACTCTGGGAGCTGTAGACCGGAGCTGTTCGTATTCAGCCATCCTGGCTCCACCCCAATATGTAGCCTTTTCTATCTGGTTTCCTTTATTTGGCATAATGTTTTTGACATTTATTCATGTTATAGAATGTCTAAGTATTTTGTTGGCTTTCATTACTGAATGTTATTCCATTGCATGAATAAATCACATTTTGTTTATCCATTTACCAGTTGATGAACTTTTTGATTTTTCCACATTTTGCTTATTATAACTAATATTGTTATGAAGATTAAGATGAAACTTCAATTTGAGTTCATGTGAATTCATTTCTGAATGGATCTACCAACTATCCAGCAATAGACATATGTTTTCACTACTCTTGGGTAACTAACTAGAAAATAAGTACTGGGTGATAAGATAAGTTTATGTTTAACTTCTTAAGATACAACTAAACTGTTTTCCAAAGAGCTACGTTTTACATTTCCACCAGCAATGCCTAAGGGTTTGATTGCATTAATGTTCTAGATAAATAATTAATTTTCTTTTTATAGCCAATAAAAATCAAGGTTTAAAGAAATCGAGTTACTTTTTTTGGTCCCATTCTGTAAGTGGTAGAGTTAAGAATCAAAGTTGGGTCTTTCTGATTCCAAATTTCACACTCTTAACTACGGTAAAATTATCACCTTCAAGATAATTGTCAACTATTCTCTTGAGGGCAAATTCAGTGTTTCTAATGATCTGTTTTTCAAAAAAATTTTAAGTCATATACATATAAAATTGTTAGCAGTCTACTTGTACTTAGCGGAAGGAAGATGAGTCATTAGAAGGAAAGAGAAAATGAGGAATGACGTTGGTAGTAAGAACCTATGTAACGAAGACAGGTCAGACACCTCTCCCAAGTAGCTCAGTCTCTGTTCTGGCTGATTCCTCTGTCTGAATCATCACAGCTCCACTTCCCTCCTTTCATTTAGGTGCTCATACTTGTCCTTCAAGACTTAACCTTTGCATAAGAGGATAGCAGGCTAATGGATCACCCATTCATTGTTGATGTGAGTAAGTTTGAACTGAGTGATGTTATATAAGCTAAAATCCAGAGACAACATCCTGTCTTTACCTGTAACATCTCTCCTGAGCAACTGCCATCCAGTGGCCACTGGCCCAATGCTGTCCTTCTCAGTGTAGCAACATGTCCTGGCCACAGGGAGCCCAGAGAATGCCCTAGCCCACTCTCTGGATGATGTGATCAGTGCTAAGGCTTACCTAGCTTAGTTGGACTCTTAGAGAAAAAAAACAGAGATTTCTACGTATCTTACTAAGTAGGCCTTATTTTATTCAGCATTCTCAATATTGTCCCACTTTTTCCCCTTTCAGGAGCTACTGTATAGTTGATAGATCAATTTAGAAATTGATTCACATGAATTTAAGTTGAAGTATTACCTTATACATTAAATTGAATCGTATGAAATCCCCACTATACAGGGCAAAAGCAGGCAAATAACTGCAATTTCACATAGTTCAACCAAATAACTGAACTCATCTCAACCCACAGGTAATTCTATCATACTCATAACACAATACTATCCCAAGCCTGTAACATGCTGTGCTGACTTGGATAGTATAATAGAATAGCTAAGTTGAGAATTATAACAAGTCTTTTTTTCAAACAGCCAAAGCGTTGGGTCTCTCTGACTATTCTAGACATTAATTTATTAAATCTATGAGTTAAACACCAGCTTCACACAGGGTCTTCACAAGACTTGCTTTATTCTAAACAGTTTCAGGAGAATCTATATGTGCAAATACAAAAAATGGGCAAATAAGATGATTTTCTAGCAGTAACACAGATCATTTACTTAAACTCTGTCAACTGAACAAAAAATTTTCAGCATGTTTATTAAAAATATAGATGGATTTTCTCTGAATCCCTTGGAATTTTAGCAGAAATACCAATGATACGCTCAAGGAAAATACGCATCTGGCTCAGAGGAACTAAAAGGAGACAGAATGGTTTTTAATACACACTCTTCCCCATCTCTGTCCCTTAGGGGTTTAAAAAGAAAGCAAATGATGTTAAATAAACCAAATGAACAGCCAGGAAGAAACCAGAGAAGGCCGTTGGGGATACATTTTACATTTTGCTGACAGCTTCCAAATTCCACTGGTGAAATAAGATGTAGTTGGTGGAAGGCAGCTTCCATGAGCTGTTCCTGGTATTATTTCAACAACTCGATCTTTGGCTCTCCCAACAAGTAGCTCATACCTGACATTCCTTGGTGAAATTTTAGGAAATATCTTCTTTTCAGTCACCTGTATGTTATTCATATTTTGGATACCAAACATGTTGGTTTAAAAACTCTCGCTTTGTTTTCAAACATTTACTTGTGTCCCTCACTTAAAAATGGGCAGAAAAAAAAACCACTTTCATTAGAAAAGAATCCCACAACAAAGATTCTGGCATAACTCTGTAAGCATAGCATGGTTTATTCTTTTTATGGGTTTGAGGTGGATGAAAATACTTATGATAATGGAAATTTTTTAGAAGAAAAAATTTTGAACATGAACCCATAATAAGTAATTAAAAATTTCAAGAGTTATTGGGATTCCATTAACTTCTCCATCAAATGTTGAATTAACTTATGATAATAAATAGAATACAAAGTATTAAAATATTTCAGATATTTAATGTATAGTAGTTTTATAGGTAAACATACAGAAGCAGTATCTGTGGTTCGATTATCCTGTGGTCAGAATTTTGTGGGTAAGTTTTAAATGCTATAAAAAGCTCTATGGGCATCTTTTGGACAGCACACATCCCTCTCTTTCCAAAGACTCCTTCATAAAATTCAATTCATTTGCACAGAAATAGAGCCAAAATCATAGTTTGGGAGAAAATGTCACGTAAGGGGATTAGAAGAAATGTGAGCTTTTAAAAAACCTTCCAGAGGAAAATCAGAAATGGAATGTTGTTGTATCAGCTGCCCTTCTAAAGGTTACCATGTTACTCTTCAAAACCTCAAAAAGGCCAAAATGTATCAGTGCATTTATTGCCATTACCACTGTCAACAGCAAACAATGCGCTTGAATAAGAGCACATAATTAAACTGAATGATTTTCTCAGTGGAGTAAAGTGATTTTCTCAATGGAGTATACATGCACATACACACGTATAAAAACTATACATATCAACATATTATTTATGTATACATATAAACATACTAACATTTTAAAACAGGATATTCTCCATTGAGGGTGTTAGAAGTAGACACGAATTTCCTCGTTCTATAAAGTCTTATCTAAGTTGCAAGATACATACCAAATTGGGGAAGCAGCTTCTCTTCCCTTAAAGAAGAATCCTGTTTAACTATGCATATTCTGTATGTGAATATCCTATAACCCATACACAGTTCTTAAGATGCAGTGAGTTTAGGAAACAGCCACTCTCTGAAACAGTGATTGCAAGGAGCGATGTTGAAAGTGTGAGCCTAGTTATCTGCAGAGCAACCTATTCTAAGATATTATTTCTATGTAGGAGTGAAATCTCTATCAGTAGCCCAAGGGAATATTCTCAGGAAACACAGCTGGCTTGTGATAGTGCCGTCTTCTGTTACCATAAGCCAGTTCTCAATTGATGATGTCTCTGCCAACATCAAGAAGAGTGTCTAAGCTTGTGGCCTTCAAAATTCCTTTTATGTTTAAGTGCCCCCCTCTATGAACAGACAGATTCACTTTTCAAATGGGGTGGCCCATGTAAAAAGTGAGGCGCTCTGGTTGAAGTGTTCAAGTATGTGGGAGGTGGGGCTTGGGGAGCAGAGGGACAGTGACTCACCTAAGCCACCTCCATGCGCTTGGTACTACTAAAACATCTTGAAATCCACTCCCTGAGCAATTTGCCCAAGGAGGCAGATGCCCATGGTTGGAGGTCTTAGAAGGATTTTTTTTTTTTTCAGACAGAGTTTCACTCTTGATGCCCAGGCTGGAGTGCAATGGTGTGATCTCGGCTCACTGCAACCTCCACCTCCCAGGTTCAAGCGATTCTCTTGCCTCAGCCTCCCGAGTAGCTGGGATCACAGGTGACCACCACAATACCCAGAAAATTTTTTGTATTTTTAGTAGAGATGAGTTTTCACTATGTTGGCCAGGATGGTCTCGAACTCCTAACCTCAGGTGATCCACCTGCCTCAGCCTCCCAAAGTGCTGGGATTACAGGCGTGAGCTATCGTGCCGGCCCAGAAGGGTTTGATACATCACAATGTGAATTTGTCTTTAAGATTCTCTAACTACCCACTTGCCTCATTTTTCAACTCACCAAACATTGTCAGCTTTATTTTCTTTTTTTTTTTTTTGAGACAGAGTCTCGCTCTGTCACCCAGGCCAAGCTGGAGTGCAGTGGCAGGATCTCAGCTCACTGCAAGCTCCACCTCCCAGGTTCATGCCATTCTCTTGGCTCAGCCTCCGGAGTAGCTGGGACTACAGGCTGCTGCCACCATGCCCAGCTAATTTTTGTATTTTTAGTAGAGACGGGGTTTCACCGTGTTAGCCAGGATGGTATCTATCTCCTGACCTCGTGATCCGCCAGCCTCAGCCTCCCAAAGTGCCGGGATTACAGGCGTGAGCCACTGCGCCCGGCCATCAGCTTGATTTTCTTAGGGAGTCATATACTTGAGAGAGAATGTATGGAACTTTTGATAACAATGGTTTGGTCAATAAGTCCTTTTTCTTTTTTTCTTTTTTTGATGAGTCTCACTCTCTCGCCTAGGCTGGAGTGCAGTGGCGTGATCTCAGTTCACTGCAACCACTGCCTCCCGGGTTCAAGCGATTCTTCTGCTGCAGCCTCTTGAGTAGCTGGGATTATAGATGTGTGCCACCACGCCTGGCTAATTTTTTATTTTCAGTAGAGATAGGTTTCACCATGTTGGCCATGTTGGTCTCGAACTCCTGACCTCATGTGATCCAGATCTTCAAGTGAGGCGGATCCTGCCTCAACCTCCCAAAGTGTTGGAATTACAGACGTGAGCCACGGTGTTTGGCCTGGTCAACATTTCTAATGATAAGTTAACAAATGGGCATTTTGTTTGTCAGGTGGAATCTTTGGATACTGCGAAACAGATGTTTTATGCTGGACCAAACCTTTTATGAATTTAAATAAAGTTTTTGAACTTGTAAAGCTGAAATCCAATCCCTAGACAAAAGGTAACAAACTTGCATTCCTACAGGAGCAGGCAGTTGAGTGCATGAATAGTGGGCAGGTTGGTACCTACTGCAAACTGAAAGGAAAGGGAACCACTGTTTGCTTTGAGCCAGTGGTGACCCTCTGGGGATTTAAGACCTCTCTGTGGTCAGATCCTCTGATTTCCAAGAGGAGATAAATATCCAAGTTGTTACGTGAATACTCCTAATATTTAAATGTTAGTACAAACTTTCTGTAATCATCAGTTGGGATAAAGAAAACCTACCTGGAAGCAGGACTTGGCCTGCGGATAAAAAGGAGGTGATTCTGCACTAGCCTTGTTCTAAAAGGAAGCAGTCCTGTTTGGATTTCAGGAAGCCTTCTTTGCTTACCAACATTGTGTCTCTAATCTAAAAATGACCAACAGGTCTCATGTATTCAGAAGAAATTGTACAGTTCAGTTAGTTTCCCATCTTTAATCCTAGATAAGTTAGCAGTAGGTATCAAAATAAATAAATATGAACACAATTACAAATAATACTTTCTGTACACATGTATAATTTTATAATTATATATTCATACTTGCACAACTGGAGAGTCTTTTCATCCCAAGGAACCTAAATCATTTTCCCTGTTTTGTTATTTTGAGTTAGAAATGTTAAGACACAAAGATCTGCAGTGGCTTTTCCAACCATAAAGAGTCTCCCATGTGTGCTGTCAGATATAATACTTCTAGACAATCTGCAAGGTCATCTTTCTCTGTTGTAACACATAAAAAGGGAGATGAATTCAACTCTTTTAATAAATGGGATGGATGTTTTCCAAAGAAGAGTTCACAGCAATGCCTTTGTAATGATCTCAATATCTCATTGTGTCTCAATGCCCATAGAGCTTTTCACTGATCCTATCAATTAACCTCTCCATGGGTATGTGTTCTTGCTCATCTGTTTGATCTGAAATAATAGCGATGTCTTTACAAATTGTCTAGATCAATCATTGCCTCATCTGTGTTTTCTGCCTCATGTGCTGCCCAAATATTGTCTTGTTTTACTTTATGTACAATAACAATATAAAGAAATAAAATCAGTCTTATTTGCCAAAAATCTCAAAATGAGGCAGAGTGTGGGGGTTCTTACTTAACTCTTGATTCAGTGATGGATCTTAGAGGGATTGCCTCATTTCACCTTTCTAATGATGAAAGTTAGTTAGTTAGCTCATGAGGTGGTGTTTATAAGCCAGGGTGGATATGTTGGGAGAAAGAAGTCAAACTCAAGAGCTTTCACTTCAGTCTCCTGGTCTACACAGGGTGCAGAGTGGAGGTGGGGATGAGAAAGGATGGTCCATAACCTCTCTGCCTCAATTTCTTTCTGTTATAGTTGACCAAACAAACTACAGATTATATTTTAGACTGTATTTCTCTCTTCATTACCTCCTTATCAATACCTTCTTTTGTTCTTAAGCAGCCAATATGGTGAGGCTCTTTCAACCCTTGTCATAATCTGAAGTATCTGGAAAAAAATTTATGTGGAAATATTAGTAATATAGTGGAATAATTATCACCAAACTTGAACTTTAAGAGTGTGAAATGGAGAATTATATAATTTAGTAAAATTACTGCCTAACAGTTATATCTCTGCCACTATGGTTCTTAGATGAAGTAGAAAGGGAGAGAACGAGAGAGAGAGAGAGTGAAAGTATCGTCTTAGGATTAGCTTATATCTTGTTGAAAATCAGATCATGGGCCAGGCAGGGTGGCTCATGCCTATAATCCTAGCACTTTACCAGGCCAAAGTGGGAGGATAGCTTGAGCTCAAGAGTTCAAGACCAGTGTGGGCAACACGGTGGAATCTAATCTCTACAAAAAGTAAAAATTAAAAAATTAGCTGGGCATGGTGACATAGCCAGGTGTAGTGACATATGCCTTGATACTTGGGAGGCTGAGGTAGGAGGATTATTTGAGCCCAGGAGTTCCAGACTGCAGTGAGCCATGATTAGGCCACTGTACTCCAGCCTTGGGGACAGAGTGGGACTCTCTGTCTCAAAAAGAAATCAGACCATGAAGATAACAACTTTCTTAAAAATCCACAGCAAAAAGACAAATAATAAGACTCTTGACCAAATTTTATCAAGTCAAGTCAGCAAAGCAGCATTTCTGCTAAACTGTGTGCTAACTGACAAGTACAATGGCAGTTAAAGACCCAACATGAAGGAGGGCTGGCAGGATGGCCAAATAGAAACAGCTCTGGTCTGCAGCTCCTAGCGAGACCAACACAGAAGGCGGATGTTTTCTGTATTTCCAACTGAGGTATCCGGTTCATCTCATTGGGACTGGTTAGACAGATGGCCAACAGAAGCAGGGTGGGGCATCAGCTCACCAGCAACATGCAAGGGGCCAGGGAACTCCCTCCCCTAGCCAAGGGAAGCCATGAGGGACTGTGCCATGAAGGATGGTGCTATTTGCCCAGATACTATGGTTTTCCCATGGTCTTCACAACCTGCAGACCAGGAGATTCCCTCAGGTGCATACACCACCATGGCCCTGGGTTTCAAGCATAAAACTGGGCAGCCATTTGGGCAGACACTGAGGTAGTTGCAGGATTTTTTTTCATACCCCAATAGCGCCTGGAATGCCAGCAAGACAGAACCATTCACTCCCCTGGAAAGGGAGCTGAAGCTAGGGAGACAAGTGGTCTTGCTCAGCAGATCCCACCCCCATGGAGCCCAGCAAGCTAAGATCCACTGGCTTGAAATTCTTGCTGCCAGCACAGCAGTCTGAAGTTGACCTGGGATGCTCAAGCTTGGTGCGGGGAGGGGTGTCTGCCATTACTGAGGCTTGAGTAGGCAGTTTTCCCCTCACGGTGTAAACAAAGCCACCAGGAAGTTCGAACTGAGCAAAACCCACCGTAGCCTGGCAAAGCCACTATAGCCAAACTCCCTCTCTAGATTCCTCCTCTCAGGCCAGGGCATCTCTGAAAGAAAGGCAGCAGCCCCAGTCAGGGGCTTATAGGTAAAACTCCCATCTCCCTGGGACAGAGGACCTGGGGGAAGGGGCAGCTGTGAGCACAGCTTCAGCAAACATAATGTTCCTCCCTGATGGCTCTGAAGAGAGCAGCAGATCTCTCAGCACAGCACTTGAGCTCTGCTAAGGGACAGACTGCCTCCTCAAGTGGGTCCCTGAGCCCCGTGCCTTCTGACTTGGAGGCACCTCCCAGCAGGAGTCGACAGACACCTCATACAGGACAGCTCTGGCTGGCATCTGGCGGGTGCCTCTCTGGGATGAAGCTTCCCAAGGAAGAAGCAGGGAGCAATCTTTGCTGTTCTGCAGCCTCTGCTGGTGATACCCAGGCAAACAGGGTCTGGAGTGGACCTCCAGCAAACGTGCAGCAGAGGGGCCTGTTAGAAGGAAAACTAACAAACAGAAACCAATAACATCAACATGAACAACAAGGACACCAACGCAAAAACCCCATCCGACGGTCACCGACATCAAAGATCGAAGGTAGATAAATTCACAAAGATGAGGAAAAACCAGCGCAAAAATGCAGAAAATTCCAAAAAGCAGAATGCCTCTTCTCCTCCAAAGGATCACAAATCCTCACCAGCAAGGGAAAAAACTGGATGGAGAATGAGTTTGATGAGTTGACAGAAGTAGGCTTCAGAAGGTGGGTAATAACAAACTCCTCTGAGCTAAAGGAGCATGTTCTAACCCAACACAAGGAAGCTAAGAACCTTGATAAAAGGTTACAGTAACTGCTAACTAGAATAACCAGTTTAGAGAAAAACATAAATGACCTGATAGAGCTGAAAAACACAACATGAGAACTTCGTGAAGCATACACAAGTATCAATAGCTGAATCAATCAAGTGGAAGAAAGAATATCAGAGATTGAAGATCAACTTAATGAAATAAAGCATGAAGACAAGATTAGAGAAACGCAAAGGAATGAACAAAGCCTCAAAAAAATATGGAACTATGTGAAAAGACCAAATCTACATTTGATCGGTGTACCTGAAAGTGACAGGAAGAATGTAACTAAGTTGGAAAACACACTTTAGGATATTATCCAGGAGAACTTCCCCAACCTAGCAAGACAGGCCAACATTCAAATTCAGGAAATACAGAGAACACCACAAAGATACTCCTTGAGAAGAGCAACCCCAAGACACATAATCGACAGGTTCACCAAGGTCAAAATGCAGGAAAAAATGTTAAGGGCACCCACAGAGAAAGGTTACCCACAAAGGGAAGCCCATCAGACTAAGAGCAGATCTCTCCACAGAAACCCTACAAGCCAGAAGAGAGTGGGGGCCCATATTCAACATTCTTAAAGAAAAGAATCTTCAACCCAGAATTTCATATGCAGCCAAACTAAGCTTCATAAGTGAGAGAAATAAAATCCTTTACAGACAAGCAAATGTTGAGGGATTTTGTCACCACCAGGCCTGCCTTTCAAGAGCTCCTGAAGGAAGCACTAAATGTGGAAAGGAAAAACCGGTACCAGCCACCGCAAAAACATACCAAAGTGTAAAGACCATAGATGCTATGAAGAAACTGCATCAACTAATGTGCAAAATAACCAGCTAGCATCATAATGACAGGATCAAATTCACACATTAAAATATTAGCCTTAAATGTAAATGGGCTAAATGCCCCAGTTAAAAGACACACAGTGGTAAACTGGATAAAGAGTCAAGACCCATCCGTGTGCTGTATTCAGGAGACCTATCTCACATGCAAAGACACACATAGGCTCAAAATAAAGGGATAGAGGAATATTTACCAAGCAATGGAAAGCAAAGAAAAGCAGGGGCTACAAGCCTAGCTCTGATAAAACAGACTTTAAACCAACAAGGATGAAAAAAGACAAAGAAGGGCATTACATAATAGTAAAGGGATCAACGCAACAAGAAGAGTTAACTATCCTAAATATATATGCCCCCAATACTGGAGCACCCAGATTAATAAAGCAAGTTCTTAGAGACCTAAAAAGAGATGTAGACTCCCTCACAATAATAGTAGGAGACTTTCACACCCCACTGTCAGTACTGGACAGATCAATGAGACAGAAAATTAACAAGGATATTCAGAACTTGAACTCAGCTCTGGACCAAGTGGACCTAATAGACATCTACAGAACTCTCCACCCCAAATTAACAGAATATACATTCTTCTCAGCACCACATCATACTTATTCTAAAATTGACCATATAATTGGAAATAAAACACTCCTCAGCAAATGCAAAAGAACAGAAATCATAACAAACAGTCTCTCAGAACAAAGTACAAGCAAATTAGAACTCAAGATTAAGAAACTCACTCAAAACCACACAACTACATGAAAACTGAACAAACTGCTCCTGAATGACTACTGGGTAAGTAACGAAATGAAGGCAGAAATAAATAAGTTCTTTGAAACCAATGAGAACAAAGACAAAACGTACCAGAATCACTGGAACACAGATAAAACAGTGTTTACAGGGAAATTTATAGCACTAAATGCCCACATGAGAAAGCGGGAAAGATCTAAAGTTGACACCCTAACATTACAATTAAAAGAACTAGAGAAGCAAGAGCAAACAAATTAAAAAGCTAGCAGAAAACACAAAATAACTAAGAGCAGAAGTGAAGGAGATAGAGACACGAAAAACCCTTCAAAAAATCAATGAATCCAGGAGCTGGGTTTTTTAAAAGATCAACAAAATAGACTACTAGCCAGACTAATAAAGAAGAAAAGAGAGAAGAATCAAATAGACACAATAAAAAATGATAAAGGGGATATCACCAATGATCCCACAGAAATACAAACTACCATCAGAGAATACTATGAACACCTGTATGCAAACAAACTAGAAAATCTAGGCTGAGCACAATGATTCATGCCTGTAATCCCAGCATTTTGGGAGGCTGAGGCAGGTGGGTCACAAGGTCAGGAGTTTGAGACCAGCCTGACCATCAGGGTGAAATCCCGTCTCTACTAAAAATACAAAAATTAGCTGGGCACGGTGGAACATGCCTGTAATCCCAGCTTCAGGAGGCTGAGGCAGGAGAATTGCTTGAACCTGGGAGGCGGAGGTTGTAGTGAGTCGAGATCAGATGGAAAGGACCTCTTCAGGGAGAACTACAAACCACTGCTCAAGGAAATAAGAGAGGACACAAACAAATGGAAAAACATTCCATGCTCATGAATAGGAAGAATCAATATCATGAAAATGGCCATACTGCCCAAAGTAATTTATAGATTCAATGCTGCTCCCATCAAGCTACCATTGACTTTCTTCACAGAATTAGAAAAAACTACATTAAATTTCATGTGGAACCAAAAAGAGCTTGTATTGCCAAGATAATCCTAAGCAAAAAGAACAAAGCTGGAGGCATCGTGGTACCTGACTTCAAACTATACTACAAGGCTACAGTAACCAAAACAGCATGGTGCTGGTACCAAAACAGATATATAGACCAATGGAACAGAACAGAGGCCTCAAAAATAATGCCACACAGCTACAAGCATCTGATATTTGACAAACCTTACAAAAACAAGAAATGGGGAAGGAATTCCCTATTTAATAAATGGTGCTGGGAAAACTGGCTAGCCATATGTAGAAAGCTGAAACTGGATCCCTTCCTTACACCTTATACAAAAATTAATTCAGGATGGATTAAAGATTTAAATATAAGACCTAAAACCATAAACACCCTAGAAGAAAAACTAGGCAATACCATTCAAGACATAGGCATGGGCAAAGACTTCATGACTAAAACAACAAAAGCAACTGCAACCAAAGTTAAAATTGACAAATGGGATCTAATTAAACTGCACAGCAAACAAACTATCATCAGGGTGAACAGGCAACCTACAGAATGGGAGAAAATTTTTGTAATCTATCCATCTAACAAAGCGCTAATATCCAGAATAAACAAGGAACCTAAACAAATTTACAAGAAAAAAAATAAACAACCCCATCAAAAAGTGGGAAAAGGGTATAAACAGACACTTTTCAAAAGAAGACATCTATGTGGCCAACAAACATATGAAAAAAAAAAAAAGCTCATCATCACTGGTCATTAGAGAAATGCAAATCAAACCCACAATGAGATACTATCTCACGCCAGTTAGAATGAGCCTGCTTACATGCCCAGTACATTGCTACTTGAACCAACATTTGAGAAAGCCATCACACAAAGGCTATCTATAACCCAAGGAAATCATACAGAGCCTTGGTCCCTGGAAAACACCCAGAATCAAAGCCAAATGACCTACACAACATACATTAACAGTCACATTCTCAAGGAGGAAAGATAAAAATTTTTAAAGTCCAATTCGAACAAAAGTAAATTCAAAAATAAAAAAGTCAGCTTCTGCAGATAAGAAGGAACCAGTGTAAGAACACCATGAATATGAAAAAAACCCAGTGTTTCAACACTTCCAAAAGATCACACTAGTTCTTCAACAATGGATCCAAACCAAAATGAAAATTCTGAAATGACAGGTAAATAATTAAAATGTGAATTGTAAGTTCAATGAGGTCCCAGAGAAATTTGAAAACCAACACAAAGAATTCAGTAAAACAATTAAAGATATGAATGAAAAAATGTATGTAAGAGATACTTTTTAAAAGATCATGCAGAATTTCTGAAAATAAAAAATTCACTGAAGAATTACAAAATACAGTTGAAAGCTTAACAATAAACTAAACCATTCTGAAGAAGGAATTTCAGAACTTGATGACAATTCTTTCAAATTAACCCAGTCAAACAAAAATGAGGAAAAAAATTTAAAAAACAATAAAAGTCTTTGAGTAATATGCAATTATTTAAAGCAACCAAACCTTTGAGTTTCTGAGGGAGAAGAAGAAAAAGTAAAGAGCTTGGAAAATCTATTTAAGGGACAAATTCAGGAAAAATTCCCTAGTCTTGCTAGAGATTTAGACAGTGAGATAAAAGAACTGCAGAAAACTTGTGGAAGACTCTTAGCCATAAAAACCTCACCAAGGCAAATAGTCACTAGACTATTCAAAGTCAACATGAAGGAAAAATAAATCCTAAATCAGCAAGAAAAAAGTGTCTAATCATGTGTAAAAGAAATCCCATCAGACTAACAATCAACTTCTTAGTAAAAACCTTATAAGCCAGAAGAGATTGAAGTCTTATTTTCAGTCTTCTGAAAGAAAAAAAAACTGCCAGCCAAGCATTTTATATCTTGCTAAACTAATTATCATAAATGAAGGGGAAATAAAATCTTTCCCAGACAAGCAAATGCTAAGGAAATTAATCACCACTAAATTTGACCTACAAGGAATGTTCAAAGGAGTTCTAAACATGGAAACAACAGGGCAATACTCATCATCATAAAAGCACATGAAAGTATGAAACTGATCTTACGAAGCAATCACACAATTGAGACCACAGAGCAGCCAAGGAACAATTAACATTATGACAGGAATAAAACCTCATATATCAATATGTAAATATTGAATGTAAATGGACTAAATGGTCCATTTAAAAGATATGGACTGGTGGAATTGATTTAGAAAACAGGATCCAACCATATGCTGCCTGCAAGAAACTCACCTAAAGGGTAAAGACATTTACAGACTCAAAGTAAAAGGGTGGAAAAAGAAATTTCATGCAAATTGAAGCTAAAAGTGAGCAGGGGTACCTACGCTTTATCAGATAAAACAGTCTTTGAATCAACAACAGTGGGAAAATACAAAGAAGATAATTATATAATGATAAAGAAATCAATTCCATGAGAAGACATAATAATCCTAAATATAAATGCACCCAACACTAAAGCACCCAGATTCATATAACAAATACTACTAGACCTAAAAAAAGAGATAGACAGCAATACAATAATAGGAAAAAACTTCGACATCCCACTGGCAGCACTAGACAAATCATTGAGACAAAACATCAACAAAGAAAATCCAGATTTAAATTGTACTCTAGACCAAATGGACCTAACAAATTTTTACAGAACATTCTACACAAAAACCACAGAATATACATTCTTTTCATCTGCACATGGAACTTTCTCCAAAACAGACCATACACTAGACCACAAGGTAAGTCTAAATACATTTTTTTAAAATGAAAATTATATCAAATATCTTCCTGGACCACACTAAAATAAAACTAAAAATCAATACCAAAAGGAACTCTCAAAACTATAGCAATAAATGAAAATTAAACAACCTGTTCCTGAATGATGATTGGGTCAATGATGAAATTAAGACAGAAAGTAAAAAGTGTTTTTAAATGAATAAAAATAGAGACCAAATATACCAAAATCTCTGAGATACAGCAAAAGCAGTGCTAAAAGAAGTGTATAGCACTAAATGCTTACATTAAAAAGATAGAAAGATGACAAGTTAACAATCTAATGTTGCACCTAAAGAAACTAGAAAAACAAGAGCAAATCAAACCCAAAGCTAGCAGGAGCAAAGAAATAACAAGGATCAGGGCAGAACTAAATGATATTAATACAAAAGAAAAGGATCAAGAAAATGAAAAGTTACTTCTTTGAAAAGATAAACAAAATTAATAGGCTACTAGCTAGATTAGCCAAGAAAAAAAGAAAAGATTCAAATAAGCACCATCAGCAATGATAAAAATGACATTATAGCCGATGCCACAGAAATACAAAAGATCATCATCAGAAAATACTATGATCATATCTACACACACAAACTAGAAAACCTAAAGGAAATGCATAAATTCTTAGCAACATACAACTTCCCAAGATTAAACAAGAAAGAAACACAAATCCTTAACTGACCAATAATGAGTAGTGAAAATAAATCAGTAATAAAAGATCTCCCAAGAACAATAAAAAGAGCAAAGGACCAAATGGATTCACAGCCAAATTTTACTAGATGTACAAAGAACTGGTACCAATCCTACCGATAGTATTCCCAAAAAATCAAGGAGAAGGGAATCCTCCCTAATTCACTCTGTGGAGCCAGCGTCACCTTGATACCAAAGCTAGACAAGGACACAACAACAACAACCAAAACCTATAGGCCAACATCCCTGATAAATACAGCTGCAAAAATCCTTAAAAAAAAAAATACTAGCAAACCAAATCCAACAGCACGTCAAAAAGATACACCATGATTGAGTGGTATTTATTCCAGGAATGCAAAGATGGGTCAACATATGGAAATCAATAAATATGATTCAGCAAATAAAAATAATTAAAATTTAAAACCATATGATCCTCTTAATAGATGCAGAAAAGTATTCAATAAAATTCATTATCCCTTCATGATAAAACCCTCAACAAACTAGACATCAAAGGAAAATACCTTAAATTAATAAAACGTATACATGACAAATCCACAGCCAATATCATATTAAATGGGGAAAAGCTGAAAGCATTCCCCCAAGAACTGGAGCAAGATAAGAATGCTAGCTTTCACCACTCCTATTCAACATAGTACTAGAAGTTTTAACTAGAGCAATCTAGCAAGTGAAAGAAATAAGAGTTACTGTTTGCTCCATGATACAATCTTATACCTAGAAAACTCCAAAGACTCCTCCAACAGACTCCTAAGTTTTATAAATGACTTCAGTAAAGTTTCAGGATACAAAATCAATGGTATTTTTATACATCAATAAAGATCATGCTCAGAACCAAAACAAAAGCTCATCCCATTTACAATAGCTACAAAACAATAAAATCACTAGAAATACATTTAACCAAGTAGGTGAAAGATCTCTATGAGAAGAACTACAAAACACTGATGAAAGTAATAGTGGATGACACAAACAAATGGAAAATCATTCCATGCTCATGGATTGAAAGAATCAATATCATTAAAATGACCATATTATCCAAAGCCATCCACAGATTCAATGCAATTTCTATCAAATTACTAGTGTCATTTTTCACAGAATTAGAAGAAACAATTCTAAAATTTATATGGAATCATAAAAGAGCCTGAATAGCCAAAGCAATCCTAAGCAAAAAGAACAATATGGAAGGCATTACATTACCTGACTATAAATTATACTACAAGGCTACAGTAATCAAAACAGCATGATACTGTGCATAAAAATAGACACATAAATCGGTGGAACAGAATAGCAAACCCAGAAATAAAGCCACATACCCTCAACCAACGGATATTCAACTAAGTTGAAGGATACCTTGTGCAAAGGACACCCTATTTAATAAACAGTGTTGGGAAAACTGGATAACCATGTGCAGAAGAATGAAACTAGATCCCTATCTCTAACTATATACAAAAATTAACTCAAGATGGATTAAATACTTAAATGTAATACCCGAAACTATAAAAATTCCAGAAGAAAACCTAGGAAAAATTCTTCTGGACATTGGCATAGGCAGGTAATTTATGACCAAGACCTCAAAAGCAAGTGCAACAAATATAAAAATAGGCAAATGAGACTTAGTTAAAATAAAGCTTCTGCAAAGCAAAAGAAATAATCAACAGAGTAAACAGACAACCTACAGAACTGGAGAAAATATTTACAAACTATTCATCCAACAAAGCCCTAATATCCAGAATGTACAAGGAACTCAAACTACTCAACAAGAAAAAAAAACCCTATTAAAAAGCAGGCAAAAGACATGAAAAGACATTTTTCAAAAGAAGACATTCAAGCAGCTAACAAACATAAGAAAAAATGCTCAACATTACTAATCATCAGAGAAATGCAAATTAAAACTACAATGAGATTTCTCCTTCCACCAGTCAGAATGACTATTATTATAAAGTCTAAAGACAACAGATGTTGGGGAGTGTGCAGAGAAAAGGGAACAACTGTACACCATTTGTGGGAATGTATATTAGTACAATCTTTATGGAAAAGAGTATATCACAGCCCTATTCACAATTGCAAAATCTTGGAATCAACCTAAGTGTCCATCAACAGAGATTTGGTAAAGAAAATATATATATAAATTTTGTCTGAATTATTAAAAATCTTGTCTGAATTCATATTCCATTATATATATATGGAATAGTATTCAGCCATAAAATAACAAAATCATGGTTTCTGCAGCATCATGCATGGAACTAGAGGCCGTTATTCTAAGTAAAATCACTCAGAAATGGGAAGTCAAATGCCATGTTTTCTTCTGTAAGTGGGAACTAAACAATAGGTACACATGGACATACAGAGTAAAATAATAGACACTGGAGCTCTGAAGTTGGGAAGGTAGGAGAGAGGTGAGGGTTGAAAACTGCCTACTGAGTACGGTGTTCATTATTTGGGCAATGGGTACAACTAAAAGCCCAGACTTTGCCACTACACAGTATATCCGTATAACAAAACTGCACTTGTATCCCCTAAATGTATAACAACAAAACAATAAAATGGGGAAAATGATACTATACAAACAAGAGGGCTTCAAAAAGTTCATAGAAAATGTGCATTATAAAAAAACTATGCACGTATTTCAAAATTTTTTGCACCAAAATAAACTCATACTAACTTGTTATTACCTCACTGAATAGGATCTAGTTTGAGGCATTAGGAAGCATAAGGTATCAGTTTGAAAAGATTCCCTACCAAAGCAACATAAATTCTGCTAAAACTGGAGCAAAAACAAACACCAAATTTATGGTGAAGCTGGGGTTGAAGAATGGTAAAATCATTGACACTTTACAAAAAGCTTATGGAGGCAAGAGTCCCAAAGAAATCAGCAGTTTATAAATAGATAGCTTGTTTTAAGAAGACACAAGATGATGCTGAAAATGCGGCCCACAGAATCAGACCATTCACATCAATTTGCAAGGAAACAATTTAACTTTTTATGCCTTAATTGAAGAGCACCAATGATTAACAGCAGAAACAATAGCCAACATAGACATCTCAATTGGCTCAGTTTACACATTCTGGTTAAAAAATTAAAGTTAAACCAACTTTCTACTCAATGGGTGCCAGAACCATTGTGCCCAGGTCAACTGCAGACAAGAGCAGATCTTTCAATGGAAATTTTAAACAGGTGGTATCAAGATGCTGAAGCTTTTCTTTGAAGAATTGTAAGAAGAGATGAGACAAGGCTTTACTCATATGATCCTGAAGACAAAGCAAAATCAAAGCAATGGCTACCAAGAAGTAGAAGTGGTCCAGTCAAAGCTAAAGCAGACCAGTCAAGAGCAAACATCATGGCAACAGTTTTTTGTGATGCTCAAGGCGTTTTGCTTGTTGGCTTTCTGAAGGGCCAAAGAATGATAGCATCTGCTTATTATGAGAGTGTTTTGAAAAAGCCAAAATGTTAGCAGAAAAACGTCTGGGAAAGCTTCACCGTAAAGTTCTTCTCCATGACAACAATGCTCTTGCTCAGTCTTCTCATCAACAAGGGCAATTTAGCAATAGTTTTTCTGGGAAGTCATTAGGAATCTACCTTACAGTTCTGATTTCGCTCCTTCTGACCCTCAGTTCTTTAGGGATGAACTAAATAGCTGGTATTATTGCTTACAAAAGTGTCTTGAGTTTGAGACTGGGCTGAGCAACACAGTGAGACCCCCATTTCTATAAAAATAAAAAATTAGCTGGATGTGCCTAACCGCACCTGCAGTCTCAGCTACTTGGGAGGCTGAGGTAGGAGAATTGATTGAACCCGGGAGGTTGAGGCTGCAGTGAGCTATGATTGCACCACTGCACTCCAGCCTGGGCAGCAGAGTGAGACCCTGTCTCAAAAAATAATAATCATAATTGTCTTTACCTTGATGGAGCTTATGTTGAATAATAAAGTTTATATTTTTTATTTTTATCTTTTAATTATATTTTCCATTAACTTTTTAAAATCCCCTCATTTAAGAGGGTTCTTTTGAGAATTAAATGAATTAATTAATGTAAATGCTTATAAGAATGCCAGGCATTTATTAAACACTGTATAAACCTCAGCTATTATTATTAAGATCATATATACTTGTAAGACAGGTGATTAACTTGTTAAAAGTAACTTGTGGAAGTTCCAGATTGCTGATAAATTAGCACTGGGAATTACCGTATTTTATATACGTGCCTTGCTATTTTTCAGATCTGGGAGAAAGTACAAAATTCGTCCAAGAACAACTTTCTAATAACTTATTATGATTGATAGAATCTTCTTGGAATAATCCAGTGGCTGACTAGTCATCTGACCAACTGATAAATGCAATTTGTAATCAATAACAAGCATCCTCCAGTTGATGTAATTTACAATGTTATTTGTTAGCTGGATGAGTTTGGAAAAGTTACCTAACCTCTCTGAACATCTGTAAAATTGAGATGTGGTATGTGGCATCACAGATGGACAATTATATGAAAACTGTAGAGTCTGGATGTGGTTGTTCACACCTGTAGTCCCAGCCACCCAGGAAGCTGAGGAAAAAAGATTGCTCAAGTCCAGGAGTATGAGTCCAGCCCTGGCAACATAGTGAGACCTCATATAGTCCATGTAAGCCACTTACCAGCTTCTAGTGGATAGATTCATCACCAGATAGTCCTGATTTGAACTCTCGGTTCTGAAGAAGTCAGGGATCCCTGTTGTATAACTGCCCCAGAGATGGTGAACTGTTACGGGAACTCTTCACATCATAAGTGTCTTCATTGGAGCCAACCCGTCTTCCTCCTTTCCCTTGGGAAATTATTGCTGCTATATTACTCAGAGTCCAGCCAGGGAAACAGAAGCCACTCTAAATATGTACAACAACAAAAAAGAGGATTTAATTTGGGAGAATGGTAACTTGATAATGAAAGAAGTTGAGAGGCCAACAGGACATTGTGGGGAGACCCAGCTATTGGCAAACACATGAAGTCACTCCCACCGCTAGGCTTGGCTGACCTAGGGAGGAGGCAACACTGTGAGTCCAGAGACAGGAGTGGGGCCACCAAGTCCTCTCTGGTGGGATCTGGTGCTGCAGTCAAGGCTGAGACCACACCTGTTCTCTTCTTTCCACCCTTTTATCTCCTGCCATTGGCTGAACTAGGTCAGGAGCCATCTAAGCTGCCTCCAAGGCAGAGACTGAGGATGTGGAGGAGAACAGGCAATGGGATGGGACTGGGGGGAAACGGATAAGGGCTGGAGGATTGCCTGCTTACACTGTTAAATCAGTACAAACCCCTGTTCACCACAAAAGCCACACTCTGGAAACAGAAAGCTTCATTCAGTAGGTAGAGGTGTACAGGATAGATTTTATGTAGGAAAAAAATGTTATATATGGCAGCAAAGGCCTGATGGGATTTTATGCCTGATCTTTCAGCTCATATTTGGATTTTTCAAATGTTTAGGGTAAATATAACCTTAAAGAACTACAAAATTGTTCTTTTCTGGCTTCTAAAATGGTGTCAACAAAATATTCAATTAGTCTTTATTTTATAGAGGTGGCTAGCTTCCTCTAGATAAAAGTGTACAGAAATGATTTTCTGGTGGTTTACAGTGCTTTTACAGTGGTTTCTAGAAATGTATTTTCAAGCACTTTAGTTTTTTCCATAAAATACATAGGTTGGTCTATATGTGTGCAAAGTCAACTCTTTCAAAAAGTTAGTTCCCCCATGCCTTGCAAATTCTTGTAATCTACTATTGCTTTGTAATGATTCATCCCTTTGGTAATTCAATATTTATTCTTTAGCTTTGTTTGATATACAAATATGAATAAGAAATCTGCTGCCATAAAAATGTATAGTTTATTTAGCAAGGAATGTAGGACAAAAGAACAAGAAAATTATGACGTGAAAGTATAGTAAGGTAAAAAAGCAAGAAAATCCTAACATTTTCGACAATGTGGAACAACCAAGAGGACACAGGTTGAGTGAAATAAGCCAGGAATAGAAAGAAAAACACCACATGATCCTCATACATGGAATCTTAAAAAAACAAATTCATAGAAGCAGAAAGTAGAATGGTAGTTACCAGAAGCTGGGGGTGGGGAGAGACTGGGGAGAGGTTGGTCAAAGGATACAGAATTTCAGTTAGACATGGCCAACAAGTTACATAATCTCTCTAAGCCTTTCAGCATGATTTGTGGTGATAATTAGAGAATATGAAGCATCTACTGTAGGCCCCAACCTCCATTGTAAATACTTAAACAATGGAATACTTAAAAGATTCTGTAGAGATGGGAATTTGTATGTGTTTGTTGTGTATGGGAGAAATGAAGACCAAGAAAGATTTGGTTTCTCTAAACATATTATAAAATACTAACTGGTTCTTGATGCATAATCAACCAAAAATATTCAAATGTGGCCATAGAGATTTCTTGGTAACTCCTTCCTAGTGCTGGATAGGATGTAGGGCTATGAAGAAGGACACTGCACATCTCTCTGCATGAAATGGGAGAATCTCTCGTGGGGTCAGAACAGAAAAGCTTCCTTCTGGGGAACTAGGTCCTTTGCACCCGGTGGACCTGACAAATTGACACCACCGTTTAATGGAATAGGCTGGACTCTGCAGGCTACAATCCTGGAAACAAATAATTTTTGCAAATAGGCTTAGCCAGTTCTCCCTGTGCTGTGTATGAAAGATACCTTGGATGGATTCCGAAGATTTTGGGTTCCTTTCGGGTATTAGAACAGTCTCATTATCAGATATCATAACATTAATAAAATCTAAAAAAACTCCTGTTTTTCATTCACTTTTCTCTACACCAAAGAGAGGAAAATGTTTAGTCTTTCCTAGAATTTACCTTGCTGCTTCTCTTTTTTCATTGGATCCACCTTCAGGATATAGGGTCTGGGATAAGAGAAAGAAGAAATAGAAAAACATTAATACAAGACATTTTATTCAGCTGGTGCTTTTTAAAAATTATCTTGGCTACCAAAGGCTGTCAGGAGAGACATACCAAGGGTTCCCACCTCCTTAGGTGCTTGTGTGACTCTTTGTAGACACCCCTCTAGGAATCACAAACCTACGCAGTCTCATGAGCCAAGTGACGTCACCTCAGCAGGCCTCGTCAATGCTCTCTCAGCACCTCCCCGCTGAGGTCCCACCACACAGGCCCCTTGCACAGGCTCTTTCAAGGCTCCTTGGCTGCCCACCTTCCCAAGGCATAGCAGAAAAGGTAGCTTTCGCTGCAGCCCTCTTACCTGGAACCTCCATTGTAACAGCTCCACAGCCAGCTTCCCACCTTCAGTTTCTGGAGGCAAAGGGTAGATCCCAGTGTCTACACCCCCCAAACTTGGAGTGGGGACACCAGTTCAGCTATTGTGCTACATTTGAATAGCACCGTTTGAACAGGGTGGACTTGGAATAACCCATGGCTCAGCAGGCATCCAGCCAGGATGAGATGCTACCCTTCCTTTTTGCAAGCCACTCTCCTCCTCCCTCCTACCCCCATGTCCATCTTTTGGCTTGGGGAGGCTGGGAGGACACGAACATTGGAAGACGAAAGAAACAATGTCAACTTTCTACCTCTTTAAATGAATTTCTTCCACTGAAGCCTTGGTCTTCTCTTAGGTGGTTATTGGCGATGGTGTTCATGAGAATCAAGTTGGCCATCGCTGGGCAATTTGGTAGGAAAGTATCCAGTGCTTCCCTTTAGAATGTGGGCTAACTTATTACCCCATTATTCTCAGCTTCAAGACATTAGACAAAATTCAGGACAGCAAAAAGCTCTCAGTCTATGTTTGATTGCATTAGAAATGTACAAATTTTTCACTGCGGAAGCAAGAAAGCACAAAAATTCTGCAGCTCCCTGGGAGTAATGGTTTCATGCCTGGAGGGCTTTGACTGCTGAAGGCCTCGCCATTTTCTCTTTGCCTTGTATTTCCTGCAGCTCAGTGTCATCATTTATTTGTCTTTAATCTGTTGTTTCATGATCCTATGTTGAAATAAGGTAGGATTTAAATAAGTCCATAAATGTGACCACTAAATTTCAATCATCGGTTTTATAAAGCATAAATGAAGAATACAGCTATTATTATCTCCACTTTACAGGTGAGGACCTGGGGTAAAGTTAGTTTAAGTGAGTTGCTCGAGGTCACCAAGCTAGTGACTGGCATTCCAGATACAAACACTTTCGAGCTCTGGAGTCTGTGCCCCTAACTCTGTAATATAAATACAACTTAAAAGGAAAAATAAATGAGACATGGCCTTGATTATGTGCCTGACTCCATTGGGGGAGGTCTTGCTATGGAATGTTGTCCTTGTAGCATATTTGTTAAAACTTAGGTGCCCATAAAAGCATGAATTTAGCTTGAATCCTATTCCCTCTGTTGAGAACCCTTCCAGAGACTTAACTGAATACATAAAGTCTCCCTGGAAATCCATGGCCCTTTTATCCCTCCTGAGAGGTCAGGAGCTCCATGGCACAGCTTATCAAGTCAAATGCTCCAAGTCTCAGAACTTATGTGGGCTAGCTTCCTGGGCAGGTGGTTGGGATGGGGTGTGGCAAACTGGGAGCAAAATTCTTTGTATTGTCGCAGGCTCAGTAATGAAGAAAGACTTGTTTTTCCACTTTCAGTAGGGCTACTTTCATGTGAAATCTGTCTGCTTCTACATATATTTGGAAGAAGTTGAAAAATGTGGTATAATAAAATGTGCTTGGCATCTCCTAATTATTACAGCAAGAAGGTAAGAATAGCTTCTACCTGATCCAGATATCCTTCCCACTTTCGTTCTATTGAATGAATATCTACTTTATAGAAAAAAAAAAAGAACATTAAAAACCAGCTCCCGGCTATCCGCAATATGACCTGGGTTGTTCAATTAATTTGTTAAAAAAAATACACACGTGTCAGTTTTCTGGGGAAGTGGACAGAACATTTTTGTAGGACTCAGGAATCTAGATTTTAGTACAGTTTCTTCCACTGACAGATGATACCTTTAACTTAATTGCTATGAGACTGGAATTCTCAAATGTAAAATAGGAGAGAAGGACCAGGTCCAAGATTTTTAACTTTCTTTAACATCTATTTGAAAAATTTCAATCTTACAGAACAGTTGCAACTATAGTACAACTATATAAGCTCCAGGGTCCCATTTGCCTAGATTCATAGACTATTTATATTGTCACATTTGCTTCTTTCTCCTTATATAATAACAACAATAATAATGGGAGTATATAATTATTAATATTTGACAAACTACATGAGAGTAAGTTAGAGATCTTTTGCCTTTTAGGCCAAATACCCATACTTCTGTGTACATGAACAAGAGCAACCACTTCCAGAACCATAATGCAATTATCAAATTCAGAAAAATTTACATCAACATCATGGTGAGTGTAAATTAACCATAAGCCCAGCTGTAAAATTCCTCTCTTTGTACTCTTTCTCTTTATTTCTCAGACCAGCCGACACTCAGGGAAAATAGAACCTACATTGAAATATTGGGGGCTTTAATTCACAATCCATATTCAAATTCCACCAAATGTCTTAATAATGTACCTTGCAGCAGTTTTCCCCAGTTCTTAGTGGAGCCCAGGATCTCACTTTGGTATCAGTTGTCTTGCCTCCTTGATCTCCTTTAGTCTGAAGCACTTTCTCCTAATTCTTGGTCTTCCATGACATTGACCTTTTCGAAGAGTGCAGAGCAGAGATTTTATAAAACAGTCCTCAGTTTGAGTCAGTCTGAGGTTTCTTCATGCTCAGGTGGCACTGAGCATTTTGGGTGAGAAGACAGTGGGAGTGAAGATGTCTTTCTTGTACATCTCTTCAGGAGGCTGAAAGGCCAGTTTGTCTTGTTGGTGACATTCACTTTGCTGACTTGGTTAGAGAGGTGTCTACTGTGTTTCTTCACTGCAGAGTTAACATTTTTCCCTTTATATAAGTAGTAATTGATCCATGTGAAGACACCGTAAGGCTGGGTACATATTCTTTCCTCATGAAACGTGCATCAATGACTTAAGCTTTCTTTGATGAATCATGCAGGTAGCAATCAGTCTCGTGATGGATGTATAGATTTTTTTCATCCTTTCTTCTACATTTAAATATTGGTCTTCTGCTATAGGAAGAAGTTTCTCCTGTCCCATTTAGTGACTTATTGACCTGTCTATTTATTTTTTATCATTATGGACTTATGGTTCAAATTTTGATACAGACATGTTTTTAATTAATTACATAATGGACTGGCTCCCTAGTGAAGAAAAACACACACAGACACTAGCCAAAGTGCATATTTTTCTGGTGCTAATGGATCTTCGAAGTTTATTCATGGCCCAAACCCTCAGGTACCTTGAACTTTGTATAGTGACATTTCTGCCTCTACAATGCAATGATATTTCTGTCTCTGTTGAAATGACTTGAAAGGAAGCAGATAGTTGGCTTCAATTATAAAAGTTTCTTAGAATGATGGTTTCCAGCTTCATCCATGTCCCTACAAAGGACATGAACTCATCATTTTTTATGGCTGCATAGTATTCCACAGTGTATATGTGCCACATTTTCTTAATCCAGTCTATCACTGTTGGACATTTGGGTTAAAAACCAAATAACGCATGTTCTCACTCATAGGTGGGAATTGAACAATGAGAACACATGGACACAGGAAGGGGAACATCACACACTGGGGCCTGTTGTGGGTTGGGGGGAGGGGGGAGGGATAGCATTAGGAGATATACCTAATGTTAAATGACGAGTTAATGGGTGCAGCACACCAACATGGCACATGTATACATATGTAACTAACCTGCACGTTGTGCACATGTACCCTAAAACTCAAAGTATAATAAAAAAAAAGTTTCTTAGAAAGCAGGCTATTTGGTTTTTTCAGTGAATATTGCTGCAAAAGTGCTTTCATCCGTACCTTAAAAGCTTTGCAGTTTGACTTTAACGCTCAGAAAGTTAGAGAAACCCTCCCTTTGGCTCCTCCTTCAACCACCTTCAAGCCTCAGCTTTTGGGTCCCTGTTGCTTGGAGAATGGCGTGTGCAGGCTCTGTTGATTCTATCACAGATATGTGAGGCTCCAAGTCATGTTTCATTCTCAGGCTGTCTACTGCAGGAGACAGCAGGAAGAGATCTCCCAAGAGTGACCTCCACAAACTATGTCACATTTATGTGAAAGAAGGAGCAATATGGTCAATAGCAGAAGTAATTAGTGTCTCAGGCTCTGCAAATAGACAGACCTTATTTCCAGCCCCAGGTAGAAGTAGAAGTCTCTAGCCTCTGCCAGATAGGCCTAAGCCCTAAGTCTTCATTTGCTCACATGGGTAATGGGGATCATAACTGCGTCCCTGCATTGGGTGGTAGCATGTAGCAGGCATGCCATGGATGATACCCTTGGAGCCTTGTTTGCCCCATGCCTGGGGCCTCCCCACTGTACATTGTGTGTGGGCAGCTCAGCCCAGCCCTGTTCATTTTGGAAGGTTCGCCTGGACCTGGTCCATGTCTCATTTCCACTGCCTGGATTGCTGTGAGGCTTACATCAAATGAGCCAAGTTTTGGTCCTCAGCCCTTCAAATTCAGCTCCTCCTAGCTTTGCTAAGTGGTAAATAGCTAATCTGAAGAAGAAATCTAAATCATCCAACTTCTGCTGCTCCTTTCCTTGTTCAACCCAGAGGAGTGGAGGTGGCCACTGTAGTGTCGGGAGGGCAGGCTTGCAGCCGTGGAGGGGGAAGAATTGGGGACTGGCAGTGACTCAGCCTCATGGGATGCAGGGTCCCCACTTGATCATTCAATCTTTGAATGTCTCTTTCCTTCCTTTCTTCCATCAGCAAACATTTACGCAGAGAAACTATGTGCTGGTAAGTATATGAAGTACAAGTTCTGGCTCCTTATATTAAGGAAAAAATATCAACTATAAATATAGTAATGACTTCTTTGAGAAAAATTAAGCAGGTTCTATGCTCCTTGAAGCTTTCTCAATGTCAAGAAATTATGGAATATAATTTCCAGAAATGCCGTATGGTTCTACATTACTATGTATTGTTCAGATCACTTATCTCTACTGTTCCTCATTTTTTTCCTATCAAAGATGATTTTGGATAATCATCTCATTATCTTCATTATTATAATATTCTTACTATTTTAGCATAAGGAGCAGAAATTTCCACTGCCCACACTTCCTCTCATTGGCAGAAATTTCCTGCTTCTCTGACAAAGTAAAATGAGAAAAGAAAGGGAAAGACTACGGAGGAAGACTGGCGCTGGGGAGCATCAGTGTGCCTTTGAAAGCAAGTGATTCATTTAAGAAGATATCCTCAAGTAATAAGCACTATACTAGGTGTCTAAATTACCCAAAGTGTGAATTCAAGTATCTCTCTCTCTCTCTCTCTCTATATATATATATATATACACACACACACATATATATACACACATATATATACACATATATATACATACCATATATACACACACACACACACACACACACACACACATATATACACATACCAATCAAAAGATGAGATTGTATTACCTATTTTTTTTATTATTATACTTTAAGTTCTGGGGTACGTGTGCAGAACGTGCAGGTTTGTTACATAGATATACACAGGCCATGGTGGTTTCCTGCACCCATCAACCCGTTATCTACATTAGGTATTTCTTCTAATGCTATCCCTTATCTAGCCCCCCACCCCCCGACAAGCCCTGGTGTGTGATGTTCTTCTCCTTGAATTCAAGTCTTTACCTCCAGATTATTCACTCCTTGATTAAAAAATAGATGTTATTATGTCAGAGAAATTCAGAATCAGATAGAGTCCACACCATATTCGCTGAGGATGGACTGTGGTAGTTGGTGGAAAGGAGGGACCTTTTTTGAAAGATGTGGTGGGGTGGGGGTGGGAGTGGAAGAAGGGGTTGGGGGTGGGTGATGAGAGAACTCATGACTTGGAGTTAAATTAACATCTGGCTCAGTCACTTGATAGTATTGCTACCTTAAAATGGGGACAAAATGTCCTATGCCTTTACTACATGGACTACTTGTAAAAATCAAATGAGGCAATGTGGGATGTTTATATAAACGTTAATGTGATGGACAAATATAATAACTTTTAGGAAGGGTTTTTAAATTCCGGAGAAATACCATATGATCGCCACATGGCCATAACATTGTTTGCTTTATGTCCACTCAAGGTGAAGAATTACAAATGACATTCCCTGCAAAAATTTGCACATGATTGAGCTTGTTCTAGAAAACATGCCATATTAAAGTGTTTTAAGACAATTGGATGAAACTGGTGTTCATCCACTAGTGGACTAATCACTCAGCACTGATGGAATTTCTACTATCATCTAAATACCAGGCTAGGATTCAGAAAGCACAGGACAAGTGTCAGATGAGGACAGACAGCAAGAGAGGAATTGTAATATGGTTTGATTACTAGGGACACGGCCTTGGGGTGGTGGTGGAACTCCAGGAAGATTTCCTGAGGGAGTGAGGCTGGCACAGAGACAGTATTTGAACTGAGAAGGGAAGGAGTGAGAGAGTGCCTGAGAAGAGGAGTGAGAGAGTCAGAGGACATGTGGTGGGCTGAGCTGTGATTCCCGGTAGGAGAAGTACCATGTGCACCAACCAAGGTGAACTTAACAGTTCCCTTAGCTCAACTAAACTGCAGACAGGTTTCTTCCTGACTCTAGACCCCTGGCCTTTCTTTTCTCAGAGCATTTACTTTAGAAATCTTGCCTCTATACATTTTTTTCTACCCCTTTCAAATGCAGACCTTCTCCCAGTCTCTTGCTAGTTTTACAACCCAGAAAATGTCTTCCCGGTGGATCTTGGAGCTAGGCCTTTGAAATGTAATCACTAAGAAAGATAGGGCTCCTATCTCCAGTCTCCTTGCGAGGACAGAACCCTAACTTCAATAAGCACCAATTAGCAAGCACAGATGGCCTCATCACATCAACCAGCCTCTCTCCCTGATAGACACTTTCAATACTTTTCTGCTGACTCACCCCAGAGTTTAAAAACCTTCCATGTGTTTTTTGGCTGCATAAACACATGGAAGGTTTTTAAACTCTGGGGTGAGTCAGCAGAAAAGTATACACCATGGAATACTATGCAGCCATAAAAAATGATGAGTTCATGTCCTTTGTAGGGACATGGATGAAATTGGAAATCATCATTCTCCGTAAACTATCGCAAGAACAAAAAACCAAACACCGCATATTCTCACTCATAGGTGGGAATTGAACAATGAGATCACATGGACACAGGAAGGGGAATATCACACTCTGGGGACTGTGGTGGGGTGGGGGGAGGGGGGAGGGATAGCATTGGGAGATATACCTAATGCTAGATGACGAGTTAGTGGGTGCAGCGCACCAGCATGGCACATGTATACATATGTAACTAACCTGCACAATGTGCGCATGTACCCTAAAACTTAAAGTATAATAAAAAAAAAAGAAAAATTTAATGACATTAAAGAGAATAATGGAAAATAAATAAATAAATAAATAAATAAAAATAAAAACCTTCCCACCTTATGTTTCAATGGAGTTGAATTCAATCTCTCCCATTGCAATAGTCATGAATAGTCTTCCTTGCCCATTTAACTTGACTGGTGCAACTTTTCTTAGACAATGCCCACGGCCCTGGCCTACTCCTTTTGTTCATCACAGGAAGCAGAACATTCTAGATGGCAAATGTTTTATCTGCAAGCTGCCTATTCTTCCAAGTCAGCAGGAGCAATGCCCACTGGTGCCCTGGATCCTTGCTAATTACATTGTTCTGCCAATTGAAGACAGGACTATCTGCTGCACTGCAACACTTGGGAACTCAGGGAAGCTTCTGGGCCACAGCACTGGTCGGGGAGAAGCTCATATCCTGCACTCTGGGGCTGAGCCCCTGCAGAAATCCTGGATCATTATTAGCAGAAATCACAACACCACTCTCATTTGAATTGACCACAAGCCAGGAGGCCAGTGGTTTACCAACTCCCTGGGCTGGATCTGACATCTAGTTCACTTTGGCATAACATCACTGGCATCATTTAAGGAAAAAAAAATGAGGAGAAATTAGAGTTTGTATGAAGTCCTTCCTGAGCTTTAAGGCTTTCAGAATCTAATTCCTATCTACAAGTAAAGAAAGCCCAATGTGTAAACTATTTGCAGGCATGACTTTGAGGTTAATTCAGAAATTGGGTGGCATATAACATCTTGATCAAAAGTGAAAAGTAGGTAAGACTTATGGGTCTGCATTTTATACTAAGCTTTCCCATTAAGGAAGAAGTCTTAAAAATTCTAGAAGTAATATCAAGGAGAGAAAAAAATGAAAAAGATCTTAAGAAACAGGGTTTTCAAAATTTACTAGAAGAGCTTCTTTATAAATCATATTTATAAGCATATTAGGGAATTTTAATCAACTCAGTCAAATTTCCTCTGTGATCCACATGAGTTTTGTCTTATCAAACTCACTAATTCAAACCACTAGATAAAAAGGTCGCAATTGAAATTTCATTAAAATTCAGTTTATGTGTATACACATACACTGTGTATCACTAAAGATTTATGTTGAACATGAATTTAGTGGGATCTCTTAGAAATTCATGTTTAATATTTCCTTCAGTGGTGTAAACAAGGTATCAATTCAGAGTGTGAGTGGAAGACACCAATACTAAATAAGAGAATGGCACAACATTTTGTCGGCATCACCACATCCTTTTGTAAAATTTTGATGCTGAAATAATCAAAGAGAATGACCTTGAAATCAAAATATCTGATGTTGTCTACCATGAGGAAGGTGACGGCAGAAAGCAGCAAGCTGAAGGGCTGGGGCTGCTTCAGTGTGCACTGCCTCAGTTTCCTCATTTGTTAAAAGTAGATATTAAAAGTCCCTCTCACAGTTGTGTTTTGTGAGAATGAACTACATGTGATTACAGTTAGCATGGGTAAGGTGTTTGGAACAATTCCTGGCACATTATAGATGCCCAATAAAGGTTAGCAATTACATGATTTTTGTTAACTACTGAAATCCTGTTATGGGCTACAACACAGACACTTCCAAGTTCCTTCATGGGTCCTCTCACCACTGTACACCTAGATAAGTATATGCCTGGACACTGGAATTATTTGTGTGTGTGTGTGTGTGTGTGTGTGTATATATATATATGTATATATATACCTGTATAGTATAGTATATATATACAGGTATATATATACATATATATACACGTATATATATATACACAATATATATGCACGTATATATATGTGTGTATATATACACGTGTGTATATATATATATATACGTTCAAATATATATATATATATTTGAACAAAGAAGGAAGACACTATCTATGTCTTCACAGACACATAATGTCAGTGTGGTGGGGAGTGCTGGGTCTCCCCAGTATCTGATCTGCCTTTTTACCCTTAGTAAAATAAAGAATTAAGATTTCTGGCTGTGTACACAGCTGCCAAGTTTAAAGACCACATTTCCCAGCCTCTCTTAGGCTAGGGATGACCATATGAGTAAGTTGTGGCCAAAAGGAGGTAGGAGAAATGTTTTGTTCAACTTCCTGGAAGTGTTCTTAAAATCGAGGGCTCACTCTTCTTCACCTGCTTTCTCCTTCCTGTGGAAGGAGCCCCAGCAGTGTGCAAACAAGCCAGGGATGAACAGTCATCAGGGAGGAGAGGTCTGGGTCCCTGATGACCACAGAGAGGCTGGTAGTCTGTGGCTACTTATATTGGGTCTTCGTTATGCAAGATTTTAAAAATCTTGTTTAAGCCACAGTTTTATTATTACTTTTGCTTGAATTTTTAATAATTTGCAGCTGAACCTAATCCTCCTAGCAGACACTGTCTTTTTCAAACTGTAGTAAAGCATTCCATTTCCACCTTGCTTGAATAAATTCCTTGCATTTCTGCAGTCATACTACTTGGTAAAGTAATTTTAACCAGTGGGCATAAATAAATATATATCACTTACGATATCTTTCTTAGTTCTGTTGCCAAAGATAGACCCAAGCATGTGAATTCTTACAACTTATGGCTTTATTTGTCAAGGAAATATGACATATTACTTTTCTTTTTATTACTCTTATCTTTCCAGGAGATTATGGGAGTGATGGATGACCTTATCTTTGAATAAATGAATATTGGCTTTAAAATTAAATTTTAAGTGGAAAAGGATGATGGTGTGTTAGAGAACTTAGTAAAAAAAGAAAAAGTTTTTTTGAAAAAAATGATTGAAGTTTAGTTTATCTATAGGTAGACAGTGATTTGTAAGTGCGCAAAAATAAAAAAGATACCCAATAACTCAATTTGTAGGTAATAAACATTGACTACAATCTCCAAAAGAAAGAAAAATTCGTAATTAGTGAAGATATACTTAGGTCTGTGGTTATTCCAGATGGCAGAAGAAAAAGCAAAATAATTCAAATCAATGTAAAAAAGAAATAGAAAGTGGGTGAGGCCTATGAATCCTGAGGCCAGCTGGCAGGAAATCACTGTGACATAGCAGTACCTTGGCCTCACAGCAGAAGCTGATGCTGAAGGGATGATGAGCATGGGTTATTTGGTCCATGGCCAGTGGGTAAGAGCCGTGAGAGGAAGAAAGGTCAGTCCACTGTTACCATAAGAAAAATGGGGAAGAGTGATTAAAACAGCATTACCATTCCCCTCAACTTAACTAAACTTTCGACAGGTTTCCTCTTGACCCTAGGCTTCTTGCCTCCTGATATGATTTGGCTGTGTCCCCACCCAAATCTCATCTTGAATTCCCACATACTGTGGGAGGGACATGGTGGCAGGTAATTGAATCATGGGGGCAGGTCTTTCCCATGCTGTTCTCATGACAGTGAGTAAGTCTCATGAGATCTGATGGTTACTGTAAGAGGAATTTTTCCTGCAAAAGCTCTTTTTGCCTGCTGCTATCCATGTAAGATGGGACTTGCTCCTCCTTGCCTTCCACCATGATTGTGAGGCTTCCCCAGTCATGTGGAACTGTAAGTCCAATTAAACCTCTTTCTTTTATAAATTGCCCAGTCTTGGATATGTCTTTATCAGCAGTGTGAAAATGGACTAATACACCTCCCTTTTCTTTGAGCATTTATTTGAGAAAACTTGCAATTTTAAATCCTTTCTCTGCCCCTTTGAGATGTAAATCTTCACCCAGCCTCTTGCCAGTTTTGCAACCCATTCTGTCTTTCCCAAGGACATGCAACTCATCCTTTTGAAATGTAACCATCAAGGAAGATATCATCGACCCTATCTCCCAGTCTCTGTGAAAAAGCAGGAGACTAAATTTGATAAGTACCAATTAGCAAACACAAATGGTCAAATTTCACTAATCAACTTATTTCCTCCCAACCTTGAGTACTTCACTAGCCCATCTCAGCACTTAACTCCCTCCTTTGTTTCCAGTGTTGAATTGAAGCTCTCTCCTCTGTTGTAATCATTTTGAATAAAGTCTTCCTTGCCTGTTTAACTGGTTCAGCATAATTTTTCTTTTATAAGCCAAACACAGAGGAATGAGGACAGAGAGAGATAAACAGAAAATTATAACAAACATGGATGAGCTGTAGCTCCTGCGGTCGCTGGAGCTGCTTAGATTCTGACATGCTTGTAGTTCTATGTTCCAGGGCCTGGGCTTCCAGGGCTGTCACGGATGCCGGTTTGTTCAGCTACATCTGCCTTGACAAGAGGAAGCCCCATATGAAAAAAACAACATTTCCCACATCACTGGGCTACTCACAATATATAACTGCCCTGAAATATATAGCCACCACCTACCAGTGCATGATTCAGAAAGCTAGAAGACACTTTCCCAAAGGATGCAGTTGGCATTGGCTTTGAGAAAAAATGCCCCAATTTTTAAACATTGATGGATTGGAACTTTTGTGCTCTGTAACTGGGTTACGGTGCCTCAGTGGCATGGAGAGATAGAGCAGTAATAAGAAGAGAGGAATTGGGAGTTAGAATAGCCGGAGTGGTGTGCACAGGAAAAGAATCACGCCTTGGTCTCTTCATTTGTGCATTCCTTACAGTGTCCATTTGGTGCAGTAGTTACAATTCCATCCCCAGTTTGTTCTTCAGTGGTGCACTCAGGTGCTCAGCAGTTAACTTAGTTGACCTGCTGGTGGCTAGTGATCAGCCTGGTCTTTTGAATCACCCTGGATTCCAAGTCACCAGTGCTTTGTAATGGGGTTACCTGACTAGACATAAGAGGGACCTCAACCAGCACTGGTGTTTCTGGGTGACCCTGGTGGATGGTGGCTGTGTGGCCAGAATTGAGGAGTTTTTTTTGACAGGCTTCCTGTGGCAACTTACTATCCTTAGCATATTGATAGCCATCGGCCATTGTTGGTTATATCTGCTCATTGATATGCACCAGCGGTTTAAACCTACATAATCTTTTACCTGTGTTGGAATCTGAAAGACCAATGTGTATAATCAGAGGCTTATCATAAAGTAATATCCAGCTAGGACTACAGGTACCTTTTCCTTCTAGCTGCTGGGAATTGAAGGAATAATATCTCACAATAATTTCTGCTCAGATTTTCTTTTTCTCAGCTATAGTTTCTAATGCTGTCGATCTTCTGAAACTTTTTTCCCTTTCCTGGCTACCTCGAAAATGAATTTTTGTGTTCACAATCTATAAATCAAAGATTCCCCTAGTCATTACCTGAAAGTGTATGGGTACTTGAGAGGAACAAAAAGTTTCCCAGTGCTGAAAGGGTATCCTTCAGTCCTCAACAGAGCAATAAGGCACTAATTGATTCCTTAATAAGTTCCCTGCACCCTAAATCTACTAAGGAAACTAAGGAGTCTATGCAAAAAAAAGACCTCTATTTAAAGATGGCATTAATGTATCCCAAAATTATTTTTGGAACTTAGCCCCTTTGGAATATCTCTTTTCCTACTAGAAGAAAGGCTTGGTGCTTGTGGGCAAGGCTTAAACAGGTGGTGAGTTTAGGATCAATCCTGCCATTGAATTGTCATGTGATCAAAGGTGAGCTATTTAGACTGTAGGTATCTATGAAGACTTTGGCATGGGGCCCAGTTTGGTTTCTCAATACTCAAGCAATATGGGCAGAAATCAGGTATTTTTAAAATGCCCATCTCTTGGCAAAATTCAACCAAAATTTGTTTCATTGAAAGAATTTGAACACATTGAAGGAGAGTCCACCTCACTGAAAAATGTCCATACATTTTTTTCTGAAATATTAAATCCTGAAATAAAAGGTAGTCATAAATCAATCTCAATAGCTTCATGTAGAAACACTAAATAACAACTTTAAAATTGACATCACCTGATATCCAATTCTGTGAGTAGAAAATAATCATAAGCAATAGGATAGGCAAATCCTTTGCCTGAAAACAGGTGCATGTTTTAACTTCCCCGGAGACCAAGGATCTGGCTGGTTTGTCTCCCCCAACTTCTCCCTTACCCCATGATCTTCAGGAGATCACCTCATGATCTTCGGTAGCTTATTCTAGTATTTTGGCCAACTAATTGTCAGAAAGTTCCTCCTTAAGTTTAATCTGTGTTTCTTCTATTTTAATTTAAACATTATTTGGATTTATTTTAGCTGGTAAATAAATATCTGTCTGAGATTTCTTAGCCCGACATAACAAAGTACAATAGACTTGGTGGCTTAAACAACAGAAATTTACCTTCTCACAGTTCTGGAAGCCGGACTTTCAAGATCAGAGCACCAGTAGGGTTGGTTTCTGGTGAGTGCTGACACAGCCTTTTCTCTGTGCAAGCAGGCGGAGAGCAGGAGATCAAGCTTTCTGGTGTCTCTCTTCACATGGGCCCGCTAATTCTGCCAGAGCAGAGCTGTACCCCCATGGCCTCATCTAACTCTAATTACCCTCTAAAGGACCATCTTTAAATATCATCACATTGGGAGTTAGGGCTTTAACACATAAATTTACATTTAGTCCATAACATCATCCTATCTCTGTATTTCTTTCCTTTAGGTTTAATAAATCAGAAATTCTAAATATTTCAGAAGACTTACTTTATATTCTTTGAAAAAAATTAATTAATGACTTTCTCTTAGTCCTGTGTATTTCTTTCACCTTTTTAAACATGTGATGCTGCACAACTATATTTAACACATATATACACAAACACATATGCGTGTGTACTGTCTAGCTAGCACCCAAGAAAAAATGATAAATTTGGATTCATATTGTATTGATTACATCAAAATAACCCCCAGACAAATATAAAAAGATAATTTAAAAAACTAAACCTTAAAGCCAGGCACGGTGGCTCATGCCTGTAATCCCAGCACTTTGGGAGGCCGAGGCAAGTGGAGAATCTGAGGTCAGGAGTTCGAGACCAGCCTGACCAACATGGTGAAAACCCCTCTCTACTAAAAACAAAAAATTAACCAGGCGTGATAGTGCATGCCTGTAATCCCAGCTACTTGGGAGCCTGAGGCAGGAGAATAGCTTGAACCCAGGAGGCAGAGGTTGCAGTGAGCCGAGATTGCACCATTGCATTCCAGCCTGGGCAACAAGAGCAAAACTCTGTCTCAAAAACACAAAAGCAAAAACAAAAACACAACAACAACAACAAAAATTAAACCTTAAAAAGCACCAAGAGAATACAGAAATTTTTCTAAACTGACAGTTGAGGGGGATTTTAAGCAAAATTAAAAACTCAAATTGACAAAAGTTAGATGACATTTGTCATGAAAAGTTAAATAGACAACATGAAAAGTTAAAATTTACTGCATGACAAAAAAATACCAGAAATAAAGTACAAAAAAATTCAACTAAAAAGATATTTATAGCATATATTACACACAAAGAGCTGATATTTTTAAAACACAGAACTTTTACAGATCAGCAAGAACAAGAAACAATCCAATAGAAAAATGGGCAAAAGATGTGAAGAAATACTTTGAAATATACTTTTTAAAATTCAACTTCACTTATTAAAAAATAAAATAACTAAAAGGGACATCATTTTCAATTATTAGATTATTAAAAACATTTGTTTCAATGTGACAAATGTTGGCAAAAGTATAGAGACATCTATTAGTATATGTTGCTAGTTGAAGCATTCATTAATGTTGCTTCTTGAAGAGTAATATTACAATACTGTATTATCATACTTTAGAAAGCTGGTATCCTTTGACTTGGTGACTGTCTCACAAGAGGTCATCCTGCGGACATGCTCACACATATGGGAAGGGATGCGGCCCAAGAACCCATGCTGGAGCATTGCCTGGAGTGGCAAAGACTAGAAATCATCACATGCTCATCAGTGTCTACCTGGTTTAGCAGTTAATTGCGTTCAGTGAAATACCATGCAACCTTTTAACAAATGAGAAAGGCTCGCTTTTTTAAATGTTTTACAGTGTGAAATAGGTTTCGTTCTAGTGTTTTACATTAAAAACTAATGCATCAATTACAGCCCTGATGACACTTTCTGTGGAAAAGAATTCTATCCAGGAATATAACCAGCCTGAAACATCCCATACTCCTTGTTTCCAATTAAGCACATCTCAGAGTTATGAGTGTTATTGTCCTTAATTAGCACTTGTTCATGTCCCATCTGCCCAATGGATGAGACTTAGTGTATTGCTGAATGAATAGCAAATATGCATTCATTATTGTCGAGGGTCAATTTTGTATCCATTATTTGGTACTTTCCACAGAAACCTACATTTGCTGAATGCCCGCTGCGTGCCAGCCCTTGCTAGATACATAATGCTAACACTAAAACAAAGAAAGGGAAGGCGTCATAAAAGTCCAGTTGGTAGCAATAACTCAATTTGAACAAAACTTCCCCAATAATTAGGTAATAAATAGGACTTCCTTGGGGAAATATTTTTGCACATCTCAATTTCCAAAGTTGGAAATAATAATGTAATAATTATTTTAATAGCCAAAACAATAATTTTTCTTGTGTAATAATAATGGTATAATTATAGACAGTTGGAAGTCATGAAACAACAAAACTGAATACTGAATTTTGCTTTGAGGTTCATTATTCACTCAAATTCTTTTTCTAAGGTTCAAATGGGCTTTTTTTTGTTTTACTTCTTTTTCTTTTTCTTTTTTTTCTGAAAAAAGCAGCTAAGCTCAACTAGGTCAAGATGGTTAAAAAATAAAATCATTTTTAGCCAGTTAGCCAGAATATTTGTTGAAAGTGAATTTTCTACCACCAAGAAATGCTGTGTAATACTGCATTTTTTTCAGTACATGGTATTTGGAATTTTATTTCCTGGAACAAATTCCCAGTGGAGGAAAGTCCCCATTGACTTCTTTTTCACATTGCTCTGTTTCGACTCATCTACTTTTAAAAATACTGTCACTCTTACTAATGTAGAAATGTCTAAGTGTGGATTATGTTAATGTGAATTAGAGTAATCCTTGACATAAATTATCAGACAGCAAATAATGCAAAATAATGATTTAATTAATATGTATTATAAACTGTGTTAGCATTCCATTATTTTTATTTAAAAACTTAAATTTCCAAAAAGAATTAAGGACATAAATTTGTTTTTTTAAAATGACAAAATTTGGAACCTGGAAAACTCCAAATTGTGTAGTGCTCTGTGGCTGTGCCCTTGGAGACGTGAACATCTAGATATATTTTTCAATAAAAAATGTAATTAGGAGACATCATAAAATCATTATGTATTTGAGCTGACTGGAAGCAATTCTTTGTTCATTTTCTCTCTTGCACTCTGGGATATTAACCTTCAGAATATTTCCCAGCAGACTAAAGTCATTACTTTTATAGAAAAGGCCAATTCAGCTTAGCTGTGCAGCGTGGTTCTATATTTACCACTCAGTTGATGCAGCTCTGGGTGGAGCTGAGATGTTTAAAGGTGAATCAAACACTGTCAAGTCTGGTTAAAGGAGATGCATCACCCAGCAGGGTGCTTCTTCAAGGAGCAGCAGCAAAGCTCACGTGTCCAACCCTGCACTTTGTCGCCCAAAATGTCTAGACAGGAAAGGCAAATACGGGGCTGAGGGGAACTACGTGTGAAGCTTCCTGTGGGACAAAAAGACCATGATGCTTTCAGCAGAGGCCAGGTGGCCTGAAAAGGGGTGCAAGTGGACGAGATTATGGATGTGGGGTAGTGGAGGAGAGAGATCAAGGGAAAGGTGGATTGAGACGCCCAGATCATAGGCCTGGGACTGTTGGATAGGCACTGGTGTTATTAACATCAGATTTCTAAAATACACTTGAAGGTACTAAAAGTCTCCAAATATTAGTAAACAAGTCAGTGGCAAACACAACAAATCACTCCTACACTGTAGAACTGCCTCATTGCCATGAGCCACATCTATACCAATCCTCAGGCATTGAAAATTGTCATCACTGAAAAAAGGGTGCGAGGGGAGGAGCCAAGATGGCCAAATAGGAACAGCTCCAGTCTACAGCTCCCAGCGTGAGCGACGCAGAAGACAGGTGATTTCTGCTTTTCCATCTGAGGTACCGGGTTCATCTCACTAGGGAGTGCCAGACAGTGGGCGCAGGTCAGTGGGTGCACGCACCATGTGCGAGCCGAAGCAGGGCGAGGCATTGCCTCACTAGGGAAGCACAAGAGGTCAGGGAGTTCCCTTTCCTAGTCAAAGAAAGGGGTGACAGACGGCACCTGGAAAATCGGGTCACTCCCACCCGAATACTGCGCTTTTCTGACGGGCTTAAAAAACGGCGCACCAGGAGATTATATACCACACATGATTCAGAGGGTCCTACACCCATGGAGTCTCGCTGATTGCTAGCACAGCAGTCTGAGATCAAACTGCAAGGCGGCAGCGAGGCTGGAAGAGGGGCACCCGCCATTGCCCAGGCTTGCTTAGGTAAACAAAGCAGCCGGGAAGCTCAAACTGGGTGGAGCCCACCACAGCTCAAGGAGGCCTGCCTGTCTCTGTAGGCACCACCTCTGGGGGCAGGGCACAAACAAACAAAAAGACAGCAGTAACCTCTGCAGACTTAAATGACCCTGTCTGACAGCTTTGAAGAGAGCAGTGGTTCTCCCAGCACGCAGCTGGAGATCTGAGAACGGGCAGACTGCCTCCTCAAGTGGGTCCCTGACTCCTGACCCCCGAGCAGCCTAACTGGGAGGCACCCCCCAGCAGGGGCAGACTGACACATCACAGGGCCGGGTACTCCAACAGACCTGCAGCTGAGGGTCCTGTCTGTTAGAAGGAAAACTAAAAAACAGAAAGGACATCCACACCAAAAACCCATCTGTACATCACTATCATCAAAGACCAAAAGTAGATAAAGCCACAAAGATGGGGAAAAAACAGAGCAGAAAAACTGGAAACTCTAAAAAGCAGAGCGACTCTCCTCCACCAAAGGAATGCAGTTCCTCACCAGCAACGGAACAAAGCTGGACGGAGAATGACTTTGACGAGCTGAGAGAAGAAGGCTTCAGACGATCAAATTACTCCGAGCTACGGGAGGAAATTCAAACCAAAGGCAAAGAAGTTGAAAACTTTGAAAAAATTTAGGCGAATGTATAACTAGAATAACCAATACAGAGAAGTGCTTAAAGGAGCTGATGGAGCTGAAAACCAAGGCTCGAGAACTACATGAAGAATGCAGAAGGCTCAGGAGCCGATGCGATCAACTGGAAGAAAGCGTATCAGCGATGGAAGATGAAGTGAACGAAATGAAGCAAGAAGGGAAGTTTAGAGAAAAAAGAATAAAAAGAAACGAGCAAAGCCTCCAAGAAATATGGGACTATGTGAAAAGACCATATCTACGTCTGATTGGTGTACCTGAAAGTGACGGGGAGAATGGAACCAAGTTGGAAAACACTCTGCAGGATATTATCCAGGAGAACTTCCCCAATATATCAAGGCAGGCCAACATTCAACTTCAGGAAATACAGAGAATGCCACAAAGATACTCCTCGAGAAGAGCAACTCCAAGACACATAATTGTCAGACTCACCAAAGTTAAAATGAAGGAAAAAATGTTAAGGGCAGCCAGAGAGAAAGGTCGGGTTACCCACAAAGGGAAGCCCATCAGACTAACAGCGGATCTCTCAGCAGAAACTACAAAACAGAAGAGAGTGGGGGCCAATATTCAACGTTCTTAAAGAAAAGAATTTTCAACCCAGAATTTCATATCCAGCCAAACTAAGCTTCATAAGTGAAGGAGAAATAAAATACTTTACAGACAAGCAAATGCTGAGAGATTTTGTCACCACCAGGCCTGCCCTAAAAGAGCTCCTGAAGGAAGCACTAAACATGGAAAGGAACAACCGGTACCAGCCACTGCAAAATCATGCCAAATTGTAAAGACCATCGAGACTAGGAAGAAACTGCATGAACTAACGATCAAAATAACCAGATAACATAATGACAGGATCAAATTCACACATAACAATAGTAACTTTAAATGTAAATGGACTAAATTCTCCAATTAAAAGACACAGACTGGCAAATTGGATAAAGAGTCAAGACCCATCAGTGTGCTGTATTCAGGAAACCCATCTCACGTGCAGAGACACACATAGGCTCAAAATAAAAGGATGGAGGAAGATCTACCAAGCAAATGGAAAACAAAAAAAGGCAGGGGTTGCAATCCTAGTCTTTGATAAAACGGATTTTAAACCAACAAAGATCAAAAGAGACAAAGAAGGCCATTACATAATGGTAAAGGGATCACATCAACAAGAGCTAACTATCCTAAATATATATGCACCCAATAAAGGAGCACCCAGTTTCATAAAGCAAGTCCTGAGCGACCTACACAGAGACTTAGACTCCCACACATTAATAATGGGAGACCTTCACACCCCACTGTCAACATTAGACAGATCGACGAGACAGAAAGTCAACAAGGATACCCAGGAATTGAACTCAGCTCTGCACCAAGCGGACCTAATAGACATCTACAGAACTCTCCACCCCAAATCAACAGAATATACATTTTTTTCAGCACCACACCACACCTATTCCAAAATTGACCACATACTTGGAAGTAAAGCTCTCCTCAGCAAATGTAAAAGAACAGAAATTATAACAAACTATCTCTCAGAACACAGTGCAATCAAACTAGAACTCAGGATTAAGAATCTCACTCAAAACTGCACAACTACATGGGAACTGAACAACCTGCTCCTGAATGACTACTGGGTACATAACGAAATGAAGGCAGAAATAAAGATGTTCTTTGAAACCAATGAGAACAAAGACACAACATACCAGAATCTCTGGGATGCATTCAAAGCAGTGTATAGAGGGAAATTTATAGCACTAAATGCCCACAAGAGAAAGCAGGGAAGATCCAAAATTGACACCCTAACATCACAATTAAAAGAAGTAGAAAAGCAAGAGCAAACACATTCAAAAGCTAGCAGAAGGCAAGAAATAACTAAAATCAGAGCAGAACTGAAGGAAATAGAGACACAAAAAACCCTTCAAAAAATTAATGAATCCAGGAGGTGGTTTTTTGAAAAGATCAACAAAATTGACAGACCGCTAGCAAGACTAATAAAGAAAAAAAGAGAGAAGAATCAAATAGATGCAATAAAAAATGATAAAGGGGGTATCACCACCGATCCCACAGAAATACAAGCTACCATCAGAGAATACTACAAACACCTCTACGCATATAAACTAGAAAATCTAGAAGAAATGGATAAATTCCTCCACACATACCCTCTCCCAAGACTAAACCAGGAAGAAGTTGAATTTCTGAATAGACCAATAACAGGCTCTGAAATTGTGGCAATAATCAATAGCTTACCAACTAAAAAAGAGTCCAGGACCAGATGGATTCACAGCTGAATTCTACCAGAGGTACAAGGAGGAATTGGTACCATTCCTTCTGAAACTATTCCAATCAATAGAAAAAGAGGGAATACTCCCTAACTCATTTTATGAGGCCAGCATCATCCTGATACCAAAGCCAGGCAGAGACACAACCAAAAAAGAGAACTTTAGACCAATATCCTTGATGAACATTGATGCAAAAATCCTCAATAAAATACTGGCAAACTGAATCCAGCAGCACATCAAAAAGCTTATCCACCATGATCAAGTGGGCTTCATCCCTGGGATGCAAGGCTGGTTCAATATATGCAAATCAATAAATGTAATCCAGCATATAAACAGAACCAAAGACAAAAACCACATGATTATCTCAATAGATGCAGAAAAGGCCTTTGACAAAATTCAACAACCCTTCATGCTAAAAACTCTCAATAAATTAGGTATTGATGGGACATATCACAAAATAATAAGAGCTATCTATGACAAACCCACAGCCAATATCATACTGAATGGGCAAAAACTGGAAGCATTCCCTTTGAAAACTGGCACAAGACAGGGATGCCCTCTCTCACCACTCCTATTCAACATAGTGTTGGAAGTTCTGGCCAGGGCAATTAGGCAGGAGAAGGAAATAAAGGGTATTCAATTAGGAAAAGAGGAAGTCAAATTGTCCCTGTTTGCAGACAACATAATTGTATATCTAGAAAACCCCATTGTCTCAGCCCAAAATCTCCTTAAGCTGATAAGCAACTTCAGCAAAGTCTGAGGATACAAAATCAATGTACAAAAATCACAAGCATTCTTATACACCAACAACAGACAAACAGAGGGCCAAATCATGAGTGAACTCCCATTCACAATTGCTTCAAAGAAAATAAAATACCTAGAAATCCAACTTACAAGGGATGTGAAGGACCTCTTCAAGGAGAACTACAAACCACTGCTCAAGGAAATAAAAGAGGATACAAACAAATGGAAGAACATTCCATGCTCATGGGTAGGAAGAATCAATATCGTGAAAATGGCCATACTGCCCCAGGTAATTTACAGATTCAATGCCATCCCCATCAAGCTACCAATGACTTTCTTCACAGAATTGGAAAAAACTACTTTAAAGTTCATATGGAACCAAAAAAGAGCCCGCATCGCCAAGTCAATCCTAAGGCAAAAGAACAAAGCTGGAGGCATCACGCTACCTGACTTCAAACTATACTACAAGGCTACAGTAACCAAAACAGCATGGTACTGGTACCAAAACAGAGATATAGATCAATGGAAGAGAACAGAGCCCTCAGAAATAACGCCGCATATCTACAACTATCTGATCTTTGACAAACCTGAGAAAAACAAGCAATGGGGAAAGGATTCCCTATTTAATAAATGGTACTGGGAAAACTGGCTAGCCATATGTAGAAAGCTGAAACTGGATCCCTTCCTTACTCCTTATACAAAAATCAATTCAAGATGGATTAAAGACTTAAACGTTAGACCTAAAACCATAAAAACCCTAGAAGAAAACCTAGGCATTACCATTCAGGACATAGGCACGGGGAAGGACTTCATGTCTAAAACACCAAAAGCAATGGCAACAAAAGCCAAAATTGACAAATGGGATCTCATTAAACTAAAGAGCTTCTGCCCAGCAAAAGATACTACCGTCAAAGTGAACAGGCAACCTAGAAAATTAGAGAAAATTTTCGCAACCTACTCATCTGACAAAGGGCTAATATCTAGAATCTACAAAGAACTCAAACAAATTTACAAGAAAAAAAACAACCCCATCAAAAAGTGGGCAAAGGACATGAACAGATACTTCTCAAAAGAAGACATTTATGCAGCCAAAAAACACATGAAAAAATGCTCACCATCACTGGCCATCAGAGAAATGCAAATCAAAACCACAATGAGATACCATCTCACACCAGTTAGAATGGCAATCATTAAAAAGTCAGGAAACAACAGGTGCTGGAGAGGATGTGGAGAAATAGGAACACTTTTACACTGTTGGTGGGACTGTAAACTAGTTCAACCATTGTGGAAGTCAGTGTGGCGATTCCTTAGGGATCTAGAACTAGAAATACCATTTGACCCAGCCATCCCATTACTGGGTATATACCCAAAGGACTATAAATCATGCTGCTATAAAGACACATGCACACAGATGTTTATTGCGGCATTATTCACAATAGCAAAGACTTGGAACCAACCCAAATGTCCAACAATGATAGACTGGATTAAGAAAATGTGGCACATATACACCATGGAATACTATGCGGACATAAAAAATGATGAGTTCATGTCCTTTGTAGGGACACGGATGAAATTGGAAATCATCATTCTCAGTAAAGTATCGCAAGAACAAAAAACCAAACACCGCATATTCTCACTCATAGGTGGGAATTGAACAATGAGAACACATGGACACAGGAAGGGGAACATCACACTCTAGGGACTGTTGTGGGGTGGGGGGAGGGGGGAGGTATAGAACTGGGAGATATACCTAATGCTAGATGATGAGTTAGTGGGTGCAGCGCAGCAGCATGACACATGTATACATATGTAACTAACCTGCACATTGTGCACATTTACCCTAAAACTTAAATAATAATAAATTAAAAAAAAGAAATTATGCTGTGCCAAATTCAAAAAATAAAAAATAAATAAACATATCCACTGCTAATGGAAGCCCTAAAAAAAAAAAAAAAGAAAATTGTCATCATTGTCGTCATCAGTAAATAGATACAGTGATGCCGCTGATGATGTTTGGTTCTGTATCTAAGATTCCTCCTGTGTTCTAGGAAGTGCATGACTCCTGCATACAGCAGCCCATGACTGACTAAGCTCACGATCGCACGGCTAGCATCTCTTCATTTGTGCTCAGCAGACCTCTCCACCTTTAGGGATGGTCTGGCTCTAGCTCGCAGGTGTACTCAGGTATGTTTTCAAGGCTGTACCAGGCTGATGATGATCCTCCCTTCAGTGCACACCTTCGTTCAATGGCTTTCAGCCCCAGGCTGGTCAGAACCATTTCACAATTGGAGAAGACCAGGGGCCCTAGGCTACAGCCTCCTCAACAGACTGTGGAGGAGCAAAAGTCAGGGAGCCACAGGCAACTTTACCCTATTGCCTCTATAGCACCACTAAAGGTCTCTACAGGACTCTGAGTTTAATAAAAAATAGGGGTTGTGAAAAGGGAGTTATATCATCGGAAGAGAAAATTATAAACTATGAGTCTCAAATGATTGTTCCCTTAATTCAATGAAAGAGCCCTGATAGAAGTTAAATTGCATCTGGAGGACCCTGCGTCCTGGCTGTGTGTCAGGCTCTGCTCACTGCTATTGTTTCTGCCTCTGGGATAGGACAGTTCCCACCAGACCTGCAAGAGCTGCATTACCTCACCTACCAGGTGGCCCAAAGACAAAGAAATCCCCAGCAGAATCTTTCCCCTTGTAGTCAGTTCAATTGTGTCCCCTAAAATGGTATTTCCAAGTCCTAATACACAGGTAAAGATTGGATTGATGTGGCCACAAGCCAAGGAATGCCAGGAGCTACCAGACCTGGAAGAGCCCAGGAGGTTTTCTTCCCTAGAGCCTCTAGAGGGAATGCAGCCCTACTGGCATCTTGATTTTGAATTTCTGACCTCCAGAACAGTAAGAAAATAAATTTGTGTTGTTTTAAGCCATGAATTTTGTGGCAATTTGTTGTGGCAGCCCCCAGGAAACTTGTGTTTCCCAAGTTTTCTGGGGCTGCCACAACAAATTGCCCCAAATTTGTGTTTTTTAGTCTAGGATAGCTTAACACCATGGCAGGCAGAAAAGAAAAGTGGGCAGAAATTAGTGGAAGGGGCTGAGCCTTAGAAGAACATGAGAGGACACACCATGTAATGACAAATTCAGTCTTATGTCAAGTACTTTTGTGTTGAGCATGAAACATCATTTTTCATATACATTGAACTGGATAAAATTGGACTGAATTGCCACTGAATCAAAGACCACTCAACAATCACAAGCAATGGGGGAGAAGACTCCCTATTGAATAAATAGTGCTGGAATAACTGGCTAGCTATATGCAGAAAAATGGAGCTGGACACCTATCTTTCACTGTATACAAAAATCAACTCAAGATGGATTAAATGTAAAACCCAAAACTGCAAAAATCCTAGAAGAAAACCTAGGAAATACCATTCTGGACATTAGCCTTGGCAAAGAATTTATGACTAAGTAGCCAAAAGCAATTGCAACAAAAACAAAAACTGACAGGGGGCATGTAATTCAACTAAAATCTTCTGCACAGCAAAAGAAACTGTCAACAGTTTAAACAGACAGCCTACAGAATGGGAGAAAATATTTCCAAACTATGCATTGATAAAGATCCAATATCCAGAATCTATAAGGAATGCAAACAATTCAATAAGCAAAAATACAAGTAACCCTATTAAAAATGGGCAGAGGACATAGACACTTCTCAAAAGAAGCCATACATATGGCCAACAAACATAGGAAAACATGCGCAACATCACTAATTAGAAAAATGTGAATCAAAACTGCAATGAGATACCATCTCACACCAGTCAGAATGGCTATTATCGAAAAAGAAGAAAAATAACAGTGTCAGTGAGGTTACAGAGAAAATAAAATGCTTATACACTGTTGATGAAAATGTAAATTAGTTCAGCTACTGTGAAATGCAGTTTGGAGATTTCTCAAAGAATTTAAAATAGAGCTACCATTGGACTCAGCAATTCCATTATTGGGTAGATACACAAAGGAAAATAAATCATTCTACAAAAAATACACGTGCACTTGTATGTTCATCACAGCATTATTCACAATAGCAAAGACATGAAGTCAACCTAGATGCCCATCAACAGTGGACTGGATAAAGAAAATGTGGTACATATACACTATGGCATACTATGCAACCAAAAAAAGAAGAAAATTATGTCCTTTGCAGCAATGTGGATGCAGCTGGAAGCCATGATCCTAAGCAAATTAATGCTGGAATAGAAAACCAAATACTTATAAGTGGGAGCTAAACATTGAGTACACATGGGCATATAGATGGGAACGATAGACACTGCGCACTGGGAACTACTAGAAAGGTGGGGTGGGAGGAGATGTCTGAGGGTTGAAAAACCACCTATTGGGTGCCATGCTTACTACCTGGGTGATGGGATCATTTGTATACCAAACATTAGTGGCAAACAATTTGCCTATGTAACAAATCTGCACATGTGCCCCCCAAACTTAAAAGCTGGAAAAAAACCGTTCACTTACATATCCCAAAGATAAATCCTGAAAGAGGGTGGGGTCTACTTCAACATAAAGGAAGAAAACCCTTTCCCCAGAGGCAGGAAAACCTACTGAACTCATTTTGCAGATAAGAAAGCTGGACATTGAAAGTGACTTGTTCCAAGACACACTGTGCTAGGAAACAGCAGTGCTTCAGTCTCAACCTATTCCCTCAGAGGAGGACTCTTATGAGTTGGATTGAGTCCCCCAAAACAGATATGTTGAAGTCCAAAGCCCCACGACCTGTGAATGTGATCTTGTTTGGAAATAAATAGGGTCTCTGTAGATATAATCAAGTAAACATGAGGTTATTAAAATGGGCCCTCATCCAACGTGATTGGTGTCCTTAAAAGAGGAGGTCAGAACACAGACACACAGAAGAGAAGGTCTTCTGAAGACAGAGGCACAGAGAAAAGATGGCCACAGGATAATGGAGGCAGAAACGGAGGTGACACTACGACAACCCAGAGAACACCTGGCTCATCCAGAAACTGGAAGAAGTGGGGAAGGATCCTCCACTAGAGTCTTCAGAGCAAGCAGAGCCCTGCCAGCACCTTGACATTGGAATTCTGGCCTCCAGAAGTGAGAGACAATAAATGTGTGAGGTTCACAACTCAGGTTGTGATGCCTTGTTACAGAAGCCCTAGGAAACAGTTGTAGAAACCTAGTGAAATTACTAATTTTTTCTCCTATTTGTATTTATACTTTTTATTGTGAAATATGATATTTCGAAAAATAATAAACCGTTAAGTAATGTAGCAAGCACCCTTGTCATCACCTCCCAGGTCCAGAAATACAAAATTTTCCAGGACTTCAGAAGCCTCAGAAGCTCCATGCATGGATAAAACTATTCCAAATTTTACAGTGATCGCTTTCTTGCTTTTTGTTTTGAGATGTGTATATATACAACATGGTATCTTTTGTACCTGGCTTCCTTTGCACACTACTACGTTGATGAGACTCATCCACACTGTTGCATGGAACTCACCAGTAGACAAAGTTCTCTTACTGCTTCCTTCTTTAAGAGGCCTTGGCTACTATTGGCTGTCTTTCTTTCCATAAAAAATTTAGAATTAGCTTGCTAAATTCCATTTAAAAACAGCTGTTGGGATTTTTATTCCATTTCATTGACTCTATAGATAATCATGGGGAGAACTACATCCTTTGAAACAGAATATTCTAACATAGAAACTTAAACACCTATTGATTTGTTTACTTCTTGTTTCTTTGTCAAATATATTTCACAGATTACTGGGTAGAATTATTGTGCCTACTTTATTAGAATTATTATTAACTACAATCATTCCTTGGTATCCATGGGGAATGGGTTTCAGGACCCACCTCCCACCCACAGATACCAAAATCCACAGATGCTCAAGGCCCTTATATAAAATGGCGCCGTATTTCCATATAGCCTATGCATACCCTCCCATATGGTTGATATCATCTCCAGATTGCTTATAATACCTAATAGAGTGCCTACACATCACTTTGTTCTCGTGGATTCAAGGTAGTACTCAGCACATGGCAAATTCAAATTTTGCTTTTTGGAACTTTGTGGAATATTTTTCTGAATATTTTGAGATTTTGATCCACAGCTGGTTAAATCCACAGATGCAGAACCCATGGATACAAAGCTGACTGCACTTGCTGTTTTCATGATTTTACATATTTTTTTTAATTTCATGTTTTGCTTGTTTCTTACATATGGAAAGAATTTATTTTTTAATTGACCTTGTCTTAATATCAGCCAAACATGTTAAACATACTTATTAACTCTAATAATTTGACTAGATTCTATTTTCTATATATTTATATAATATACCAGTATTTACGTTTTTTTCTTCCTTTCTAAGGATTACACATTGTTTGTTATTTTCCTCACTGCTCAGGCTAGGACCTCTAGTACAATGCTAACTAGAAGTGGTAAAGTGAAGATTCTTGTCTTGATCTTAATCACAGAAAGAAATATTGCAACGTTTTGCTATTTCGGTGATATTTTCATTTAAGTAAACAATGTTTACTACAGTTTTTAAAAATATATCTTTATAAGTTTAAGGAAATTTCTTTCTATTACTGGCATGTAAAGATTTTTTAAAAATAGCAAATACTCATTATTATGTACCACATTTCCTGCGTCTATTGAGATGATCATACTATTTTATTATGTCTTCAACTCTATTCATGTGCTGAATTAGAATACTGATTTTTAAAAGATCATCAATTTTGCATTTGTAAAATAAATTCAGTTGATAGTGATATATGGTCATCTATATTGTAATGGAAAAGGCAGACATTTTCAGGAGTTCTTCCATCTTCAAGGGAGCACATCTTTCTCACCATGTGAGTTACAGTATCAGAAAAACTTTAAAGGAGGTGATGTATCCTAGGCAAAAGCAAAACTGGTGTGAGAAGAATCTTGTGAAAAGGGAAATTACAATAAAGTAGTGATGATGATTCTCATGCAACAAGGGTAAGGGTGAGGAAAATAAAGAAGGTAAGAAAATTAACTCATGTTGAAGAGAATGAAGAGGAGTGTGAGGAGGACAATGAGACACAGGTGGAGAAAAGGGTGGGGATAGCGATTGGGCAAGTGAGTGAGAATGAAGCAGAGATGCAGGTGTGGATCCCAAAAAAGAAGTGGAGCACAAAGACTAAAAAGCTGTCCAGTTGAATTACATAAATTCTGGCTTCCCCAGAGTTCCTGGAGGAAGCTGATCTCTAAAAGTTTGTCAAGGGTCAACCCTGGAAAACCTTCCCAAAGTCAGGCTGTTCTTGCCCCTGGCACACCTAAGGCTGAACTGTGTAAATAGTGGTCCATTTGGCTGTTCATGTATTCCACATGGTGGATAGAAAACATGTATACATATAGGTGAACATGGCCAGCCCTCCAAATACAATTTCTAATCTAAACTAGTAAGTATATGCATATCTTATCAAGTAGTTTCATTTTTAATAAATATCCCATGTTTGTTCATCATTCCCATAATGAAATAGGCAATATCATATTATGATTGTTGGAATATAAATTATTATAACTGTTTTGGGAAACAAGTAAGCATCATTTACCAAGACCCTTCCCATTTTTCTTTCCTCTTTCCTCATTAGTGCTAGCCATAGGTAATTATATTAAGGAAATGATCACTTAGAGATGTGCACAAAGACTTGTATTCAAAGATGTTCATCAAAAACAACTTAATTATACAAAAGAGTTGATTGGTGAAGTCAATGGTATGGGTGACCTATTCATTTTTGCTGCATAACAAACAATTCCAAAGTTTAGTGGCTTAAAACAATAACCATTTATTCTGCAGGTTGATAGTTTGGGCTGGGCTCTGCAGGGCAGTTATTCTGGCATCCTCTGAATTTGGCTCTCTTGGCTGCTTTGCTTGTCATATCTGATGCATCACTGGGAAGAATGGGAGGTCTGGGGCTTCTCTCCACAGGGTCTTCATCCTCCAACAGGTTAGCCTGGCACCAAAATGTGAGTGTGGAAATGTGCAAAGCCTCTGTAGGCCCAACCTCAAAACTCACAAAATATCATTCCAGCCACATTTTATCAGACAAAGCAGTTCACAATCCAGCCCAGATTCAAGAGTGAGAGAATAGACTTCATCATGAGAGGTGCCCATTTTTGCCTTCTACCACAGGAACATTCTCCAGCATGGCTTTTGGATCCCAACAACTAAAATACTCTGAAACCATGAAACATAGTGTCTGTACAGTCACACTATGAAAAAGCTTATGGCAATGTTAAATAAGAAAAAAAACAGGTCAAGTGATAGATGTATTAATTAGCTTGTTTTCATCATTGTACAATGTATATATGTATCAAAACACAACATTATACCCCATAAATATACACAATTACTATTTATTGATTAAAAATAAAAATTTTTTAAAGTGGATGCAAATTTGAATATACAACATAATAGAAAGTGTATTAAATATAAGCACTTGCTAGAAATATAGGAAATAATATAGTTGAAAGTTAACAGTGATTGTATTTTGGTGGCAGAATTATGGAAGATGTACTGTAAGAGTACTACTATACATGTGAACACCTGTTTCTGTATATGTGTGTGCAGTATTATACACTATCTTGCACTATCTCCAAGTGGATAGACACGTATTTTGTGGCAGAGTAGGGGAATGGTGGGGACATTTTCAAAATGCATTATAGCTCAGCTGCCTCACTATTTACAAAAGCAGTTGTTTGCTCCTAATAGGGAAGGGAAAAACACTAAATCTACCTAACTGCTTTCAAATAGTGTGTCAGAAAACCTTTAAAAAAAGTTACAAGCATCATTAAAAGAGCACATATAATTAAAATGTAAAGAGGAAAACTGAGAACAGCAGGGACTCGATGCAAGCAGCATGGATGCTTTTCCAATGGAGCTAATGTTCTAAATATATGTGTGGTTGAATTCTTCCTCCGGGAACACAGAGCTGCAAATAAGAGCCCGCGATACCCAATAACACTGTAATGGGCCAACAGAAGAGCAGAGAGCATGACTTAACGTCTGGGAGGTGAAAACCCGAAAGGGATACTGTACCAGCTGCTCATTCAAGCTCTAAAGGCCTAAATCACAGACAGAGCCTAATGTTGGAAAAAGAGATTATTTGTAGAAGAGCAGATCTCCAACCAGTCTTGATGTTTATAATGAAAACGTTCAAACTAAATGTCTTTTAGACAGAAGAAAAACCAGAAGCCCATCATGAATTAATAATTAATTAATTAATTAAACAATTGTCTTCTCACTGTGTCCTCAGATAGCAGAAGGAACAAGGGAGTCTCTGGGACCTCTTTTATAAGGACACTAACCTCATTCCTGAGGGCTGCACCCTCACACCCTAATCACCTCCCAAAGGTCCCATCTCCTAATGCCATTACATTGAGGGTTAAGATTTCAACATATGAACTTGTGGGGAGGCACCAGCATTCAGTCTATAGCAGAACAGATCATGAAAATGGAGCCAACACACTTAGCTGACAGACTTAAAATGTGGGGTGTCAAAATACTGAGCCAAAGCTGTTGGCCTAAGTAACTGAAGTCCCCTTTCATTGAGATAAGCAATCGTAGCTTCTTGGGAGGAAATCAAAATTTTTTAAAAGGCATGTTAAGTTTGAGATGTGTAATAGCCATCCAAGCTGAGATCACAGGTCAGCTGTTGGATCTATAAGCCCAAAGTTCAGACAACAAGGTAGGAGCTGGAGATAAAAATTTGGAAACCATCATTATATAAATGGGGTTGAATGAGACCACCTGAAGAATAGATGTATAGAGAGTAAATCATGAATCACATGGAGATAAATCTTGTCCACAGAGAGAAAATTAGTATTGTAAATGTCACTTCTCTTCAAACTTACCTATAAATTTGATGTTACTCCAATCAAAATCCCAAAGGAATTTCTATGGAACATAAGCCACTAATTCTGAAAAGTATATGCTGGTGAGGTTGCAGAGAAAGGGAATACATATACACTGCAGGTGGGAATGTAAATTAGCTCGGCCATTGTGAAAAACTGTTTTCTGATTTCTCAAAGAACTTAAAACAGAAGTGTCATTTGACCCAGCAATCCCATTATTGGGTGAACTCCCAAAAGACTATAAATCATTCCACTATAAAGACACATGCATCATATGTTCATTACAGCACTATTCCCAATAGAAAAGACATGGACCCAATCTAAATGCCCATCAATGGTAGACGGGATAAAGAAAATATGGTACATATACGCCATGGGATACTATGCAGCCACAAAGGAAGAATGAGATCATGTTCTCTGCAGCAACATGGATGAATTTGGAGGCCATTATCCTAAATGAACTAATGTAGGAACAGAAAACCAAATACCACATGTTCTTACTTATAAGTGGACGTTAAACATTGAGTACACATGGACGCAAAGAAGGGAACAACACACACTGGGGCCTACTTAAGGGTGGAGGGTAGGAAGAGGGTGAAGACTGAAAAACTACCTGTTGGACACTATGCTTATTACCGGGGTGATGAAATAATCTGTACGTCCAACACCTGTGACACTCAATTTACCTGTATAACAAACCTGCACATGTACCCCTGAACCTAAAATAGAAGTTTTTAAAAAGTATATCCACCTATTTCAAGAGGCTTTGGCTTCAAGTAATAGACAATCCAAAGTAGTTTAGGGGAAAAGGTTATCTTCTGAATCGTTTATCTGAAAGTTCAGTGACGGAACTGCACTAGATTGATTTATTTCATCAGGGCAGGATTCGTTTTACTTCAAGTTGCTAGGCTATATTTTCCTCTAAATACTGTCTTCACCTTCGGGCTGGTTTCTCGGAGTGCAAAACTGATGTTGCTGTGCTAGCTTCATGGCATATTGTGAATACATTCCTGAGAAAGAAAGAACACCTCTTATGGGTCCTCTAGAGATTCCCTCCTAAAGTCAGGGAATCTCCCCTTGGAGCTCCTCCCAGGAAACCTTCTTGCACTCATCCTTGGCCTGCCCAGGGTGATGCCCCCACCAATCACCCATTCCTGGGGTACAATCAATATCACGTGGGTGCTCTGAACAATCACCTCCTGGAGCGAGGCTGTATCAACCTGTCCTGAGCAACACGGGTTGCCTGGCAGAGGGGAGGCCACTGAATGAAAATTGGCATATATTTGGGGGAGTGAAGAGGGCAATGGGTACTGAGTGGGAAACCAATAATTATATTACTGCCTCACAGAAAAAAATGCATGCAAAGAGCAAATAAATGTTTAGAAAGAAAGACAAGAGAGATTTACATTCCTAAATAACAAAACAACATATAAAACTATAGTGATAAAAATGTTGCCTCTTGCTACAGGATTGGACAGAGACATCAGTGAAAGATAGCAGAGCCCCATACAGACCCCGATACAGTGGACAAGTTTAGTACATGATGGACAGGGCATCTCAAACCAGTAGATGATAACAAACGGACCATTCAGTGAATGGCATCATCTGATCATCTATCCATTCAGGAGAAAATTAAGCTAGTGCCCAGCTTCCCAACAGACACAAAAATAATCTCCAAATACAAATAAAGGGCTTAGGATAAAATATGTGTCTTAATTCGAACAGAAATGAGAAAGTATGTTTACAATGTTTTGGTGAGGAAAAGCATTTCTAAGTAAGTCACAAAGCCCAGCAAGCACAAAAGAAAAGGCTGTCTAAGATATGAAAATTGAAAAAAAAATTGGATGACAAAGATGACATTCCAGGTTTAAAAGATAACCTTGGAAAAAAATATTGGCACTTACGGGGAAATAAGTTATTAGTTATTTAACTGATACTCAAAATACAGAAAGAGGGTCTATGTACTTTTAAGTCAAAGGCCTTCAAACTAAGAGAAGTCCCTGCTCATAGCTGACCTTTTCTGGGAGGCTTTGGAGAATGTCCTCAGTTGATAGAAGCCCCTCAGAAATCCCCTAGAGACAGCAGGCAAAGGACCAGAATCTGCCTCAAAGAGGACCACTCTGTGGTGTCATTCAGAAACTCCCACCTTCAAACCAGGGCCAGTTGTGGCTGAACACCCCCTGTTGCTTCATCTTGCTCAGCTCCTTCCCTTCCCTGTCCTGCTATTCTCCTTTGCTCGCTGAAGAGCCGGCTCTCAATAGTTCCATGCACCTGCATCCCATGGTTTCCACCCTCAGAACCTCCCTCCCCCTACTGCCTCCTGCATCCTTCCTCCTTCAAATAAAAGTCACTCCAAAGGGCATCCCCCTGACCCTCCAGACTAACACAGCTCCCTCCGTTATGAGCCCCATAGCTTCCTGAACATTTTAGGTGAGACACTAGCAGGATAAGCTGAGTAGAGGGCCGCAGAAAATAATGCCCCATGCCAGCAGCTCCCTTCAGAGGGGAGGCAGGGAGGCCAGGGGTTGGGGCAGGAGAGGCATTGGAGAAAGTCCATTTCTCTCTTTATGTCTATATATCTATATAGACACACACACATACATGCACACACACATATAGATACACACACATATACTCATATATGTTTTTATATATATTTAACTCAAGCACTTCAAAACTGATTCAGAAATGTCACTGCTTTAAGATATAATGTATTGTTGCTTACTTCTTTCAGTTAAGACTATGTTGCTTCTATAAGATACAAAAATCTTTTATAAAGCCTTGGCTTAATCGTTGAATGTGTTTGAATTAAAAAGGAAATGTCAGATACTGCATGTTTGCACTTACAGGTGGAAGCTACACAATGTGCATGCATGGTCCTAGATTCTGAATGAAGCATGGGAGGGTCGAGGGAGGATGAGGGCTGAGAAATCACTCAATGGGTACAGTAAACACTATTCGGGTGATGGCATGGACATAGATTATGGATGAAGCACAGGAGGGTCGAGGGAAGATGAGGGCTGAGAAATCACTCAATGGGTACAGTGAACACTATTCGAGTGACCGCACAGACATAGATTATGGATGAAGCACAGGAGGATCAAGGGAGGATGAGGGCTGAGAAATCACTCAATGGGTACAGTGAACACTATTCGGGTGACGGCATGGACATAGATTATGAACGAAGCATGGGAGGATAGAGGGAAGATGAGGGCTGAGAAATCACTCAATGGGTACAGTGAACACTATTCGTGTGGCTACAGTAAAAGCCCAGACTTTGACACCATGCAATGTATCCATGTAACAGAACTGCACTTGTACCAATTAAATTTATGCAAATTTTAAAAAAGAAAAAAAAGGAAATACAGTTAGACACGCGAGAAGAAAACAGGAATCTTTTCCAACTCTCACTTCATAGGTTAAAACTGAGATCTGGTAAAATTTACATTAAATGTAAATATCACTTAGCCTTGGATCCCAAGCCCACTGTCCCCAGGCTAGAAAGGGAGGGGGCTTCTGAGTCTGGATCCCAGGTATCTGCAAGTGGCTGAGGCAGGATTCACCTCCACTGCCAGGGCACAGGAAAAGGAGAGCCCATATGAAAGACAGGCCCTTCCTCTTCTGGGTCCTTTGGGCTTCTTGGGCCTAAATGTTCACTGACGGACGAATGGATAAAGAAAATGTGGTATGTGTATGCAATGGAATATTACTCAGCCTTAAAAAAAAGAAGGAAATGCTGACACATGCTACAGCATAGGTGAACTCTGAGAACATTATGCTCAGTGAAATAATCCAACCACAGGGGGACGAATACTGCAAGAGCCCACTGATATAACACATCTAATATAGCCAAGCACATAGAAGCAGAGAGTAGAATGGTGGGTGCCAGGGGCTGGCAGGAGGGGAAAATGGGGAGTTGCTTATCAATAAGGATGAAGTTTCAGCTAAGCAAGGTGACTATGTCCTAGAGGTCTGCTGTACATCATCATTACTATAGTTAACAATACTGTGCCCTGAAAAATTTGTTAAGAGGATAGATCTCATGTCAAGGTTCTTACTGCAATACAAAACAATACAATACAATACAAAATACAATACAATACAATACAATACAATACAATACAATACAATACAGTATAGTACAGTACAGTACAGTACAATACAAATTTTAAAACAGGTTTTTCCTGCACTAATTAATCCCTCCTACATCATTGACTTAGAAAATCATCACAAGCACAGAATCCAAAACTTTTTATAACAAATATGTATATTTTACTTAAGTTTAGGTGGTTTAGTGTGTGTGTGTGTGTGTGTGTGTGTCCCATGTGTGAAATTACATTGAACAGTTTTTAAATTTTCCTGTCTTCATTCCCATTTTCTTCCCTCCCTCCTTTCCTTTCTTTTCCATCAGTAAAAATGTATGAAGCATTTACTTTATACTAGTCTCTGTTCTATGCCCAAGAAGTGCAGCAGTGAACAAAATACACAGCAATGTCTGCTCTATGACTCTTACCGTCAGGCAAATAAATGAAACATGGAAGAGGTCAGTGGGCCACAAATGCTATGTGGGCACAAAAGGCTAGGGAGGGAGCTTTAGCTTATACAGGTGAATATGGAAGGATTATTGCTTGTGCATGGTACAAAGAAAAGTCCAACATTTAATTTGTAATATTGTCAAAGTTGAGTCAGCTGTGTACATATGATTGCTGGTGTCTTAATTCACAACCGAACTGGATAAAAAGAAAGGTACTAATAGAACTTCCCTTAGTAATATTTCCTCATGATAACATCTCTCCTGAAATGATAAAAGAGTAAGAAAAAGGCTAGGAAATAGGGAAAAAAAATGGAAAAAACACGGAGAAAGGTTGCCACCCAAATGAGTAAAGTCAAGTAAACTCCCCAATTCATTTCTGAGAACAGACTAGATTGAAATCCAACTGTAGTGAGTAGAAACCATTTGACTGGGCCGGTCGCGGTGGCTCACACCTGTAATCCCAGCACTTTGGGAGGCCGAGGCGGGCGGATCACGAGGTCAGGAGATCGAGACCATCCCGGCTAAAACGGTGAAACCCCGTCTCTACTAAAAATACAAAAAAAAATTAGCCGGTCGTAGTGGCGGGCGCCTGTAGTCCCAGCTACTTGGGAGGCTGAGGCAGGAGAATGGCGTGAACCCGGGAGGCGGAGCTTGCAGTGAGCCGAGATCCCGCCACTGCACTCCAGCCTGGGCGACAGAGCGAGACTCCGTCTCAAAAAAAAAAAAAAAGAAACCATTTGACTGGTAAATCGATTTTTTAAAAACAGCCAAATGGACAAATAACAGAAAGTATGACAGGAATGGTGAAAAAAACATAATGAGTCCTTTGGAAAACAGATCTAACAGCAAAGAGAGATCGATTCCCCACTGTGAGAAGTCACCCTCACTCTTACAGAATTTCCCTTGGGCACTTCACTGGGTCACTAGATCTTAGTGACAGGAAGATGCTATTGGAATGAACAAGAAAAAACATAAGCTTAGGGACTGCTGATGCCTAACATGTATAGCCCATTGGACCGAATATTTTTACCTCTTATATGAGACTCTCTTGACATACAAAGGCTGAGTTTGCATCTATTTAATAACTTTTCTCCTGCAGTTGTGAATTCACCCTCTCCACACCATCAGTTAATCTTGGTTGTCTTCCACAGTTGGAAGGATGCCGCCATGGATTTGAATTACTCATTAAATTATCACGAACATGGGAGTGATTTTTTAAAACATATTGCTTGAATTGAAGGGAATTCTCCTGAACTTAATGTCTCAAAATACCTGCATAATTTCTCACAAAGGAAACCTACAAATCTCCAAAACAGAAGGAAACTAACAGGCAAAAAATCATAGGCAGGAGGGAGATTAACTGCACAATAAATGTTATGGAAATTATATTGCATACACATTGTTGTGGAACTGTGAAACACTTTCCAGACTACCAAAGACAAAAAGAGACTATACATAAATATATAAAGATATATCAGATATATTATATGATATATGTAATGACTAACTATTGTGAATTGCACAGAGATTCAACACAAAAGCAGTATAATGATTAAAATGCATGTTAAAGATAAACATTTCCATTCAGATTCCAATTAATAATTTTTAGACTGCTTACAGACTTTATTTTTTAAAGCATCTTCACTTTTACATAAAGTTCAGAGGAAGGTACAGAGACTTCCCACAGACTCTTGGTCTCCATACATGCATGGCCTCTCCCATTATCAACATCCCCCACCACAGTGACACATTTGTTACAATGGGTGAACCTACACTGACGCATTATTATCTTCTAGTACCCATGGTTTACATTAGGGTTCATTCTTGGTGTTGTACCTTCTATGAGTTTGTATAAAACTATAATGACATGTATCTGCCATTATGATATCGTACAGAATAGTTTCACTGCCCTAAAAATCCTGTGTGTTTTGCGTAGCAATCCCTCCCTCCCTCCCCACTAACTCGTGGCACCACTGATCTTTTTACAGTCTCCATAGTTTTGCCTTTTCCAGAAGTGCTGTAGTTGGGTGTTAGTCTCTTCAGGCTTCTGTAACAAAATTTCAAACACTAGCTGGCTTATAAACAACAGAAATTTATTTATCAGAGTTCTGGAGGCTGGGAAGTCCAAGATGAAGAAACCCGCAGACTTGGTGTCTGGTGTGGAACTACGTTTTCATAGATATCTGTCTTATTCTAACCTCATATAGCAAAAGGGTGAGGGGTCTCCCTCAGGCCTCTTTTATAAAGGCACTGATTGCATTTATGGGAGCTCCACCCTCATAATCTAATCACTTCCCAAAGGCCTCACCTCCTAATATGGGGGTTAGAATTTCAACACATGAATTTCAGATCATAGCAAGTTGGAATCATATATGTAGCCTTTTCTGATTGCTGCTTTCACTAGTAATATGCATTTAAGTTTCTTCTATGTCTTTTCATGGCTTGATAGCCCATTTCTTTTTAGCACTGAATAATATTCTTTTGTCTGGATGTATCCAAATTTATTAATCAATTAACCTACTGAAGGGCATCTTGGGTGCTTCCAAGTTTTGGCAATTATGAATTAAGCTCCTGGAAACATCTGTGTGCAGTTTATGTGAAAATACAATTTATTCTCTTGGGATATGGCCATTTTTTAAAATAAAAATAATAAAAACTGACCTTCCCCACTGGGCTGTTAATGAGCTAATGTATGTCTGTGTGTTAAACTCAGAGCTTGGTTTATGTAGGTGGTGAAGAAATGTTACTTTAATGTGAAGAGTTATCATTCAGTCCTTTGTTAAGAAATGCCGCATTGCCTTCCTTAGGGTCAGTGTCTCCGAGCAGTTGGGCATTCCTATACATGTCTTCCTATCCTCCCATGTCTTCCTCGCCATTTCCTTTATCCTCACTTCCCTGCTCTTACACCTTCCAAATAAAATATTAGCACTGTATTTTTTTGTTTCAGGTTTTGTCTTTCTAAAGGAAACTGAAACACCATACGTACCAGACTAGCATTTGACAAGCAAGGCCAGAGGCATGAAGAAAAGTTCCAGTAGAATCTGGATGTTGAAAGTCAAGTTGAATAGGATTTGCCTTGGTCATTATCTGGCCTGGATTTTTTTTTAAACAACTCATGGGCAAGAGGATTGGATGTTTAATATGAAGGCAATATTGTGTATTATTTACAAACTATTGCATAAAGTTGCAATTACATAGGTACTGCTGCAAATAGATAAGTGAATGCCATTTATTAAAGACTGAGGTGCCCAGGTTGGGTACTAAATAGCATAATCTAAAGTAGAGCCCAATTGGGGATTTTTCTTGCCTGGATGAGTTACACATCACAGTAGAAACTTCTAGGAAACATAAAACCAGGCAAGGTAAATCACTCCCATCCTAATTCAGTACACTGAGCCTGTCAGTACTAGGCTGGCACAGTAAATCACCTGGATTTGTGATATAAACTATTAGTGGTCATTTGGCAAATGGCTCTAAAGATGTTTTGTCTTTCTTAGCAAAAGAGAAATATGAGTCTATTGTCTTCGGCATAATAGTCTGACTTTTATAGTTCTACAGAGAAATTCTTTTAGAGAAAAGGAAAGCTGTTGTGTAGGTCAAAGATTATTCTCAAGAGATGATGAACTAGCAGTGAGCCGCAGCCTCAGAGGGAGCTAAGTCTTACTTTTCAAAAATGTGACAATGAAATCAAGCATGATCAGGAAGCTGATGATATCAAGTTTTTTACAAAACCCAGAAAAAGATTTTAATTACTTATTTATTAAACTTTCATTTCTACTGTTTACCCACTGTCCCCATTTGCATTCTGAGGGAAATAAACATAAAACCAGACATCATTTCTAAGTTAAAAAAAATAAATAAAAATTGCCATGCAGTTCAAGCATAGTTTTAGCAACTGGTTCACTAAATCTATGTATAGACTGCTAATATATTCTACCAGAAAAAAAATGTCACAAACAATTGCAGCCATGCTTTCTGCTGAAATGCAGAATGAATCATATGAATCTGTTACAATGCCCTTTTTAAAAATCAAAGTTTTCCTATAGAGAAACTTCTGTTGGAAGAGAAGAGAATGACTTCTTGGTCATTTTACATGTGTCTATAAAGAAGAGAAAAGTGTCAGAAAATTTTCTCCAAATTAACCAAAAGAATGATCCAGAAATTAGAAGACCTTAAATTATGTCTACAGGAGTCTCTGCTTTAAGTTCACACTCTTTGAAATGCCTCACATTATTTTCCAAGTTCTCTCACATTTGCTGTATCACTGAAGTTGAGGAATTTGGAGGGAATAGGTGATAAGGCAAACTTTTTAATTATTCCCTCCATTTTATTAATATTCTAAAGATCCAGTTCACAATATTTGATTTGAAAAGACCTATTCCGAAACTCTTGGTCGAAAGTAGCAACATGATTCAAGGGTGATGTTAAGAAACATAGGACCTTGGAGAGATTTTCTGGTCTAAGATTTTGAATTTTTCTATTGCATTATTTTTATGTCAGTTAAGATCTTTCCAAAGTAAGAAATGTCCAGATTATAACTGGACATCCTAATTCTTCTTTTTTTCTATTCTAATTTACTTTTCTCTCTGGTATAGAAAATGTAACAGACCTTTTAATGATCACCATTCTAACTGGCGTGAGATGGTATCTCATTGTGGTTTTGATTTGCATTTCTCTAATGACCAGTGATGATGAGCTTCTCTTCATATGTTTGTTGGCCACATAAATGTCTTCTTTTGAAAATTATGAGTCCATATCCTTTGCCCACTTTTTGATGGGTTTGTTTTTTTTCTTGTAAATTTGTTTTAAGTTCCTTGTAGATTCTGGATATTAGCCCTTTGTCAGATGGATAGATTGCAAAAATTTTCTCCAATCTGTAGGTTGCCTGTTCACTGTGATGATAGTTTCTTTTGCTGTGCATAAGCTCTTTAGTTTAATTAGACCCCATTTGTCAATTTTGGCTTTTATTGCAATTGCTTTTGTTTTTTTTTATTATTATATTTTAAGTTTTAGGGTATATATGCACAACGTGCAGGTTAGTTACATATGTATACATGTGCCATGTTGGTGTGCTGCACCCATTAACTCGTCATTTAACCTTAGGTATATCTCCTAATGCTATCCCTCCCCCCTCCCCTCACCCCACAACAGACCCTGGTGTGTGATGTTCCCCTTCCTGTGTCCGTCTGTTCTCATTGTTCAATTCCCACCTATGAGTGAGAATATGCGGTGTTTGGTTTTTTGTCCTTGCAATAGTTTGCTGAGAATGATGGTTTCCAACTTCATCCATGTCCCTACAAAGGACATGAACTCATTATTTTTTTTATGGCTGCATAGTATTCCATGGTGTATATGTGCCACATTTTCTTAATCCAGTCTATCATTGTTGGACATTTGGGTTGGTTCCAAGTCTTTGCTATAAATTTACAAGAAAAAATCAAACAACCCCATCAAAAAGTGGGCAAGGATATGAACAGACATTTCTCAAAAGAAGACATTTATGCAGCCAAAAGACACATGAAAAAATGCTCATCATCACTGGCCATCAGAGAAATGCAAATCAAAACCGCAATGAGATACCATCTCACACCAGTTAGAATGGCGATCATTAAAAAGTCAGGAAACAACAGGTGCTGGAGAGGATGTGGAGAAACAGGAACACTTTTACACTGTTGGTGGGACTGTAAACTAGTTCAACCATTGTGGAAGACAGTGTGGTGATTCCTCAAGGATCTAGAACTAGAAATACCATTTCACCCAGCCATCCCATTACTGGGTATACACCCAAAGGATTATAAAACATGCTGCTATAAAGACACCTGCACACGTATGTTTATCTCTTTTGGTGTTTTAGTCATGAAGTCTTTGCCCATGCCTATGTCCTGAATGGTACTGCCTAGGTTTTCTTCTAGGGTTTTTATGGTTTTAGGTCTTACATTTAAATCTTTAATCCATCGTGAGTTAATTTTTGTATAAGGTGTAAGGAAGGGGTCCAGTTTCAGTTTTCTGCATATGGCTAGTCAGTTTTCCCAACACCATTTATTAAATAGGGTATCCTTTCCCCATTGCTTGTTTTTGTCAGGTTTGTCACAGATCAGATGATTGTAGATGTATGGTGTAATTTCTGAGGCCTCTGTTCTGTTCCATTGGTCTATATATTTGTTTTGGTACCAGTACACAACAGATTCTGGGGAGAGGATGGGAACGCTTTTACACTGTTGGTGGGAGTATAAATTAGTTCAACCATTGTGGAAGACAGTGTGGTGATTCCTCAAGGATCTAGAACTAGAAATACCATTTGACCCAGCAATCTCCTTACTGGGTATATACTCAAAGGATTATAAATCATTCTACTATAAAGACACATGCACACGTATGTTTATTACGACACTATTCACAATACCAAAGACTTGGAACCAACCCAAATGCCCATCATTTTTCAAAATTTTGATCGTTATTCATGGCTTACTTCCTCTGTGAGGGTTAGCTGTATTCTTCCACATGCACAGACACCATCTTTCATCTTTTATTATCTGAAACATTTGTGACAGGCAAGGGTCAAAAAGAAGAAGCCAAGACATAGGACATAGTGTCAGACAAAACTACAAATAATATATTGTTGGTCTTGTTTTTCTTGAGTGTAGCAGTTTTACTTTGCGCTTAAATCTTTTTAAGATTTAAGCAAACTTAAATCTTAAAAAACTGCTCTTGTAACATTTACAATAAAATTCAGCTGGGCAGAATTTGAGTTCAGTGCCTATAGAATCCCTAATTCATGCTAAATGATGTTTCACTAAGTGATAGCCATGAAAATCAGTGCAACTGAATTAAAAAGTGTGGAGAGGGCTTGTGACAGCAATGATTCAGGCTCACTGATTAATCAAGCACCCATTTATCAATATCCTGGTTTCTATCCTGCTGCTATTTTCAACCCCACTATGAATGGAAGAATCTGTAAGGGTGACTATTTTCTATACTTTAGATCTAATTTCCCTAGAGGAAGGGTCCCCAACCCCCAGCCACAGACCAACTGCAATCGGTGGTCTGTTAGGAACCAGTCAGCACAGCAGGAGTGCAGGACTTGAGTGGCTGGCAAGTGAGCGAAGCTTCATCTGTATTTATAGCCACCCTCTATCATTCACATTACCACCTGAGCTCTGCCTCCTGTCAGATCAGTGGCAGCGTTAGATTCTCATAGGAGCGCAAATCCTATCATGAACGGTGCATGCAAGGGATCTAGGTTGCATGCTCCTTATAAGAATCTAACACCTGATGATCTGTCACTGCCTCCCATCACCCCCAGAGGGGACCATCTAGTTGCAGGAAAACAAGCTCAGGGCTCTCACTGATTCCACATTATGCTGAGTCGTATAATTATTTCATTGTATACAATGTAATAATAATATAAATAAAGTGCACAATAAATGTAATGCACTTGAATCATCTCAAAACCATTCCCCCTCCCCACCTCCACCCTACCGTCCATGGAAAAATTGTCTTCCATGAAACTAGTCCCTGGTGCCAAAAAGGTTGAGGACTGCTGCTCTAGAGGTCAAAAGACATGATACATTTAGTTACCATACACTGCAGGGTTAAAATTAACAAAGAATAAAATCAATGACTGAATTTGCTGCAAAGTGGTTTCCAAACACTTTCAGTACTTTAAATAAAATACTAAGACTCTGTTTTCAGTGAGCCATAGATGTAATAATTTAACTATTATTAGTGTTTACTTTTTTAAAAGTAGTTGCTAAAGTGGCTGCTTATAAAACAGAAAAAATAAAATATGCATATAAAGGTAGCATAGTTGAGGTACTATAACGTTACCCTATTAACCAAAAATACTTGACTACTTTAGAGTAGTTTAGAAACATCTGCTGAAAGATCTTCATAAAAATTCAAATATTTGTCTTTAAAAAATGTGCCCCACTAGAATAAAATGTTATTTTATATAATTTTTTAACTATGGGAGTTTATCAGAAAAAAACATGGCATTGATGATACATGCTGTTTTAAAAATATATATATATCCTAATTTTAAAATGCATGTTAAAACAAAAATTATGTACACATCAAAAAAAGTTATTTAGAATCCAAGAGTTTTGAGGAGTTGACAAGAAGCAATACAGCATGGTGAAATAGAAATTAGTAAATCTAAAATAAAATTTAATTTTTAAGCATTGAGAGGTGGTAGAAACAACAGGATAGGAAGATAATTATTAAAAAGGAAACAAATATACATTAAAATATGGTGAAATAAATATATATATGTTTCACATATATTCTTAAATTTATAAATATTACTGGTTACTGCTAACATCAGTACTACACTGTCCACAGAATCCATTCAAGCCAAGTAACTGTTGACATTTCCTGGGCCATGCTTGAGAGAAAATTCAAAGTTCAGAATCCCCAAGCCTACTTGTGTTGTCCTCCCTCAAGATTATCACCAGTGATCTACGTTAGCAGACACATGGTATGTAATAATATTCCAAAAAAACAAGAAAATTTTGACAAAATGCATAAGCATATAGATCTCACAACATCTTATTGTAATGCCTGTAATTCCTACTACATCAAGCAAAATCTGTTCTTTTTTTGCTTGGTGCACTTTAAAAGAGTGTTTAATACAGAAGATAGCCCTGCCCACACTCACTTACAGCTCAAAATCATATTCCTAGAAGTAGATGATCAGGATAGATCCAAAGTCCACCATAGTACCATTCCTACTGCTATTATTTCACTGTTACTTGGTTCTCTCGTAGAGCCATTTAATCCTCACTGTTCTAATAAGCCTGCTCCCTATGATTTTAATATTCATATTTTAAGGGTTAGTGGTTATCACATAATTATACAAAGATTCTCCAAAGGCCATTATAATAATAACGCTTATAATAATATAATCACAAATTTGTTTCTGAAATTAACTTAGTAATTATCAACAGATTTGTAAAACAAAAAGAAAAAAATTGATGATTTAATCTGAAGTCTCATCAGAAACTGTAACATTCTTCCAAGTAATGCTGGAAGATAATGTTTTAACAATTATGTTAGAGGCGACTGAGTCCAGTGTTATGATCAACTGACAAGACCATGGACTGGAAAAGTCTGGAAACCGCTTCCTCAGGAAACTGAGTTATAGCAAACCCCAAGAAACAATTAAAATCTTATTGATCCAAATACTGAGTAGAATAACAGGAGCATAGTGATGTTGAAATTTTAACATTGTAATCAACTGACAAACAAGTGAAAAAAGGAAAAGACCCTGAACCAGAGCCCGCCAATTAAGCTGTTCCCAAATTCTTGATCTGTAGAAACTCTGAGATAATAAATGCAAATGGTTCTAAGCCACTAAGTTTTGAAATATTTGTTAACAGCAATAGATAACTAATACAACAAACCTCACAGAGTATATATGAATATTTGGTGTGATAATGTCTATGAAAATCCCTGGGATAGAAATATTTAGTAATTTAAGGCTTTACATAAATCTTCAGTAATCAAGATCATCTATATATGGTGGTAGCTGTAGTGACAGTAGAACAGCTTTAATGCTCTAGGAAATGCGCCTATACCAAGTTTTTAACCCATGAAGGCCAGGGCTGTATAAATCCTCCCTCAGTTCCTTCAGCACTGATGCCATTTCTGAAACAGAGTAGCTTATTACTAAAGATTTGTTAAGTGAATGAATCAACCAATTCTGAGCAAAGCATTCATATTCTCTGAACCCCTGTTGTAAATTTTAAGGTTGTACTAAATGGTCTCAGATATTTGTCTTGGCTAAAGTTATTCTAAAAGGCAGTAGGCATAGAATCATATAATTACTTTTTTATTTTTTACTTATTTTTTTTTTTTAGAGTCTTGTTCTGTTGCCCAGGCTGGAGCACAGTGGCACAATCATAGCTCACTGTAACTTCACCATTCTGGGCTCAGGCGATCTTCCTGCCTTGGCTTCTCAAAGTGCAGGAATTACAGATGTGCAACTGTGCCTAGCCTTACCTTTTATTTCAAACATTTATTGAGTTCTTGTTATTTGCTATGTGCCAGGCAGTATATTAAGTGTTATGCAGGTATCTCCTTAACTTATCCTCTCAAACACCCTAGGAGATGAATAATATTATTTTCCTGATTTTACAAATAAGAAATTTGTGGCACAGAGGAGTACCATGTCCTTCCTGAAATTACACAGATGGTAAGTGTGAACTACAAGACTGACCACGATAACCCAAAGATGAACCTGTTTGAAGTCTTTGACTTCATGGTACGGTCAGCTAGTATGTCTTCATGATAGATGTTAAGTTTCTTAGGACAAGGGCAGTTTCTTATGAATCATTGTATTCTAAATGCCTAACACACAGCAAATGGTCATTAACTGCTTATTGAATAAATGAATGCATGCATGCATGAATGAACAAACACACATGAGGTGTGGATATATCTTTAGCTCACACTAAATGTGGTTGCAGAAGTGATTAAGTAGTTAAATACTTAGAATTTCATAAGTTGTTCACTTGTTTCTCTTTAGTTACTAGGACTCCTAATGAGTGTTATAGAGAAAGCTGACCTAGTCCTCTCCCTAAGCCCACCTAATCATCAGATTGTTGCTATACACTCTGCCAACATAAATGAGCCACAATTTAGAGAAATGTCATTATTACATTTCAATACAGGGAGTGGAGTAGGTACCAATCATGAAGTTATGAAAAGTCCCAAAGTCACCTCTCTCTAAAGTGAAGAGATTCCATCAAATGTGCCCTGATCAAGCCTGCTGTTAGCTTGAGTGTGGAACTGGAGGAACTAAGAATTGATGAGAATCTTTACATAAGAATTTAAAATTTCAAAACTAGCCATAATTTGAATATTATATCCCCCTTTTTAGGAGATGGATCACTGAAGTCACTAGAAAGGATGGCTTCCAAATTGCACTAAAACAGCAAATGCACCACCAGGATTTTTTCTCTCTCTTTCAAAACTGTGAGGGAAGATGCACGGCAGTCTTAGATGAAAGACTTTGGGCTGAGAGAGCTGTCGGAGAAGAGGTGAGGTGACAGGCTGCATCTGACATGCCAGCTTGCTTACGAGGGACAGACATGGAGGGCACGATACTGTGGACAGAAGTAGGAATCTTGCAATGGAGGAAACAGATGATAATAAACATGACATTCTACTCTCCATGTGATCAACTGTACTTCCAAAATTGTGTTCTGTGAGAAAATGTCAAGTTGTGTTTTTTTTTTTTTTTAATTTTGGAAATGAAGACAGACCTCACCCTGGCCCCAGACCTATAAGTCATTTTTGCTCAGTTTTATGGATTCTCTGCTTTTCCCATTGCTTCTTTACTCAAGTTATTTATTTTGATTCTTCATTAATTGGGTAGACTCATGATCTAGTCTTTTACTCCATAAGGACTTACCTTATTGTATGTGTCTCTGCGTTTGTATGCATGCATGTGTATGTATACGTGTGTGCATGTGTATTTGTATCTCCTAAGCTCTTTTGTGCTTACATGTCTAAATCTGCAAGGATGATTTGACAGACACTAATATCCTTTCATTCTTTTGTTTGTTGGGAACATTGCAGATACTGAATCTTGCTCTGGAGTAGTCATGGCCCAAAGCATCTTCCCCCTTAAGATTGACTTACCCTCTTTTCCTTTGCCCTTGACGTCATCCCTGAATTGGCTTTGTGTTAAAGATTGCATAGCAATTTTTTTGACCCCAGTGTGCACATCAAATCTGTGGATTCAGTTCCTTTTCCAGTTCAGGGATTTTTCAAGTAGCTTTGAAGACTACTGTGATTTCAATCTCAAGGACAGCAATTAAGTTAAATAATTTTAGTCTACTTTTCATATCTACTACCTTCTCTTATAATGAAATGCTTGTTTTGATTACTTGCACTTTGATCATCTCTGATCACCTCAAATCTTCTCAGGGAATAATCTGATTTTAGTGTGGGTTCCATTCTTGTCCTCACAGTCTCTTATTTTATGTATTATTTCAGTAAAAATATTATAATTCTTAAATGTATTGTCTTGGGCATGCCATCTTCCTTTTCATCTCATTGTCTTGTTTATTCATCTTGTCTTTGAGCTGGGATTTCTTCGAATATTTGTGTTACTAACTTGTCACACAGCATGACACAACTGTGATGTATTCTCTAATGAATCTCAGATTTTGTTTTCTTTTTGACTTTTTCATCTGTCTTTTACAGGGCGTGTTCCTCTCTCCTGTGTTTTGTGACGAAGTGTGTCTGTAGAGTTTCCAGACGAATGACTTTCATCTTGCTTATGATTGGACAGCTGTGCCAACTCACTCTAGACTCTGCTCTGATGTGATGCTGCTGATTTCTTAACTTTCTGACTCTTTTCCTCTTGGATCCAGAATGGTTTGTTTTTCCATTTGAACTTGAGTTTGAGGTCTGGGTATGAGGAGTGCTATTTGCCCTTTCTGTAGCCTAAGGGCATTGACCAGAGAGAAAGACGGTTTGGCTGATAAGGTGGTATCTCTTCTCTCACCTTTCACATTGCTCATTCTATTAAATGCCCTGTACTTGACTGGGGCTGAAGTGCAGCCCATTCTCACAGGGCGATGCCCCAAGCCTCAGACCTGGGCCCCATGCCATGGACCATGGAGTCCTCACTTCCCTTGCTCCCTTAGCCCCTCTCACCAGTTTCTCCCCAACAGCTCTTTCCAATGCCTTTCATTGAGGAGGGGAGACACAAGGATGCCTCTTGGCTTGAGCAACCACAGATTTGATGAAGTAGAGATAAAAATCTCATGATATGTGAAATCGCCACATTGCTTTTTCGGGAACATCACAGAGTTAGGAGTGAGCAAAGCTGTACTTTACTCGGAATCATAATCCTCTTTTGGTTTCAAGTTTGGGGTGCTTATGGAATCCCTGTAAGGGGATTATATCCCTCCTTGTTTGCTGTAGGTACTTTGCGGTGGTTGTTGGGTTTCTACTAAGTGTTTGCTCTTCAGATACAAGAGGAGAGATCTTCTATAATACAATTTAAATTTCTATCTTAATTTGCAAGCTGATCTTTACAGCAAACCTCCAGCATCTCTATTTTAAAACTTTTCTCTTTATTTTGGGTATCTTTTTGTGGATTTATCTTTTGTAAAAAACCAAATGATTCCTTTTTGAGATGATAGCAATATAGCTGCCTTGGTTGACTTAAGGAAAGAACTCCATTTTTTACATTTCTCTTTTTATTGGTATAAATACAATAAATGCTCATTGTAGAGTTGGAAAGGAAATGCAAGTGATTTAGATGCTAAAGTGTATTTTATATACGTTAACAAAATAATTGAGAGGGAAGAGAAGTCAGATTCTTCCTCTGTTCTTTTTGCCAACGTTCTAGCAGAGCAGAGTGACTGTGCTCTTTGTGGATGGATGGACAAAAAAGTACATGAGAAAGTGGACTCTTGCTGCTCCCCTAGCCATCCTTATGAGTCTCAAGAACATTGGAGAGTAATAGTAGTCCCTTACAGAGCAAGTGCAGCCTTAAATTGGCTATGCAGTTCCAAGCCTTGTGTCCGGTGGCCTCTGTGTCATGGCTGACCTTTCATATCCAGGTACACGGGCGTCCTCTCTGCTCTTCCAACCTGCTGCAGTCTTTCCCGCCTCTTCTTCCTCCCTGCAATGTCTGTCCCCAGCTCTCCCAGCAGCAGCTTCCTCATCTCTTACGTCACCTCCACAGGACTCCATTCAGTACCCTTGCAGGAGTCACACCCCTCGAGGGAATCCACATCACCTGGCATTTTTCTCTTTGCCATCCCTGTGAACATCTGCAGTCGCTGCTTCATTGAGGCATTTGCTGTGTCCACCAGAATGTGAACTCTGTGATGACGGAGACCTGATCTGGCTTGTCCAATGCTCCATTTTCAACATGAAGCAGATGTTCCTCATCAGATGAATAAAGTGAATTTCTGAAACATCACTCAAGTCTGCAGAACTGGTCCTGGGCCTCAGCCTCCTACTTGACTTTCAAGTTCTCACCCAGCTTCTGAGCTCCCTAAGCCCGCCCCTCACTTGGAACCTCTCCATTTTCCTGGCTCATGCTTTCCCCTGGGATCCTGCTCAGCCCTGAATATCCATCCCAGCCAGCAGCTGTCCTTACTGAGCCTGGTGAAGACCCTCATCCACATGCATCCCTGTAGCTGTGCCTGCATCACAGTGACACTGCCAGATCCCTGGACCTCACCAGGTCAGGTTGGACTCAGTGAACACTTCAAGAAAATGAGGGGAGGGTGACAAGCAAAGGGTCACAGTGGCCCACAGCTCTGATTTTAACTCACATCTAAAACCTTTCCTGGCCACTCTGGGATAGCACTGATGGTCTGAGTTTGACTTTTTGAACATTCTGCAGCCAGAGAGGACAATTCTCTGATCTGCTGCTTAACACCAGCCACTGGGCCTTCTCTGTGCTTCACACCATATTCCCCAGTGCTGAAGTGCTGAAGGATAGAGCTGGCCACTCTCCGACAACACATTTCACTGTAGAGTTAGTACAAGAAAGCTTTAGGAGCAAGGTACCAACTTTGTTTTTGTTCTAGCATGCAGCTCTTTGCAGGAGAACGTTGTTGCAATTCAGAAAAAAAAAATTGATGGTGGCTTTGTCTCTGTCACTGTTTTTAATTGTATCTTTTGTGTTCAAGCCTACGACAAGTCTGCTGGGGCTCACATCCAACTGCCAGGCACAGCACGAGAGCTTTGGTCTCTGAATGTCACAGGTGTTCCTTGGAGCCAGCTGGGGGGGCCTGCTGGAGACAGTGGCCTACTACATAGATAGAATCCAAGAATTCCATCTAACATAACAGCCGAACCAGAATCCCTGCAGAATCCCCCCTCTTCTCTCTCCTCCAATTGACAGGCAGTTTCCTCCTAGTAGAGTCACGTCCCAGAAAATCACTTCCAAGAGGGCTTTGACTTCACAAGACTCAAATGGGGAGGAAAAGAAAAAAGGGGATTGCCTGGCTTCTCTACTGTCCCCAAGAGATCAGATGAAATTATTTTAAGCTCACATGTGGAAATGTAAGTCAGACTGTTTTCACCTGCCAGCAGGAATAAGCTTCAGAGGGAAGGTTTGGGTGGAAATATAGGATTAGGTATAGAAATAGGAGTCAGCACTGAGTGACACACTCTTTGCTTTTTATATCTGAAGAGCCAGATCGCCTTTGCTATTTATTCTATTTATAAAACTTGCTTCTAGTGAAGTCACTTTTAGTACCTGCTGTAAATTGGAGGTGGATGATTTCCGGCACTGTCACCTCTCTGAACAATCAGGAAAGTCTCTTTGTTACAGCTTTTAGACAAGGAGAAGGGGCAGTCAGCACAACAAGAGGCATGGCTTGGTGGGGCCCGCAAGTATTACGAGGGTTTGCATGAACAAGTCAGCCAACACAAACCACGGAGCTTGCATCTCGTACCCAGTCCTAGGCTAGAGGCTGATGCTGGGAATTGGAGAAAAATACAGCTGATGGTCTTTAGCCCGAGGGAGTGCACCAGTTCACAGGTGAAGGGGTTTCCAAGGTGACTGTGAGTGACGGACATGGAATTCCAATCAGAGGAGTTCTGTTTACATCTCAGGGGAGCTGAATGTTGAAGTTCTGTTGTACTATACTTATAATATTTTATACTGTTGCTATAAAATCTATTTATTACTAATTAGAATATTATTTTAAACATCTATAACCTGTGGAGATCCTGCATGAGCTATTAAAATTATTAACTCTGTTTTAAAATAGAATTTTTAGTTACTGGGACATCAATAAACAGCTTCTTAACTGCTGGTAACCTGAGCAATAAAAAGCTAAAATAAATAAATATAATCTAACAATTAAAGAAGATAAAGGAGACAGAGCACTCGTTTAAGAACACTTTACCTATTTATAATTATTTTCATCAGACAGATTGTCAGATTTTTTGTGGTCAGATTTGTTTTTAAGAAATTGGATTTAAGTGGAGTCTCAGCCTCTACCACCAGTGTTGTCAGGCATGTATTTACGTGTGTATCTGCATGTGTAGGTGTATATGTGTGTATGTGTATCTGTGTATGTGTGCATTGTGTATGTATATGTGTAAGTGGGCATATGTGTGTGCATCTGTGTGATAATGGGTATATGTGTCTCTGTGTTGGTATGCATGCATGTGTATGTACGCATGTGTGTGCATGTGTATTTGTATGTGTGTACATGTGTGTCAATGTCTGTGTGCATGTGTGTATGCACATGTGTGATTGTTGTGTGTGTGTTTGTGTGTGGGTATGCATGCATGCATATATGCATGTGTGTATGCCTGGGTACCTGTGTACATTTGCATATGTCTGTGTCAATGTGTGTGTATGTGTGTGTATGTATATGTGTCAATGTGTGTATGTGTGTGCACATGCAGTTCTCTGCACTGTGATCCCATATGTGACCACCACCACAATCAGAATACAGAACTGTTATGTCACCAAAAAAGGCATTCCTCAGTGCTGTCCTTATAAAGTTGCACCAACCCTCAACTGTGTCCCTGTCCCCTGGCAACCACTAAGTGGTCTCCTAGTTAGATTTGATCTTAACTATCCTATTTGGCCCACCACACTGCCTTGGTCTTGATAGAAAATCTCAGCTAGAGACTGCTTAGCATCCAGATGAATTAAACATTAAAGAAAAATCAAAGTGAGACAGGGTAACCATCTAGAAAACTAAAGAAGGTAACTCATTTACTTTGCTGTTCTTTTCCTTTTTTTCTGGTAGAATACATTTTGGTTGCTCTTTTCTGTAAGTGCAGAAGGTAAGCTCTTCAAAGAAAATGTAAAAGGAAAAGGTCAATTTATAGAAAAATATAACAGTACAATTTCATTTAAATTACAAACAAATATATTCTTCAATGCTTTAGCAAAACACCTATCTTAAGGATGATAACAAACATTATTCTCATAACTTAACAAGAGTTTCATAATGTCATTATTCTCCCAATTGTTAGAAAAAACTCCAAATTCTGATCTGACCCTCAAGTCATTCTTATCAAAATCACTTCTTACCATTTTCAAATAACTACATAAGAAGTTCCTAAGGGATGTTTCAGCATTTGTAAACCAAAGAACCAGCTTGAAACATCTGGATATTTGTAATTAAGTTTATAGTTTTAAAAGTGTTTTCACGCAACTGTTTGGCAAGCTTACATTTCTGAAATATAATTATTCTTATATAATATTTAGATGGTGGTTATATGGTTACTATGTATATGTACAATAATAATATAGAACACATTTATGTTAATGTTATATAACACATATTTAAATATAACTTATATTACGTAGTACTAATGTGTATATTTTATATATAATACAAATATGTAATATGTCATTATTAAATACAGTACAAGTATATATAGTGCTATGTGTAGCACTTACTATATATTATTATTTATATATTTTTATATGTAATATGAGCCATTCACAACATACGAATTTGAGAACATTGCTGTATATTTGCATTTTGCATTTGACATGTGAAAGGATATTCAGGTAATCAGCTTTGCAAAGTGACACCAAAGGCATTTAACAGGAGAACAGACCTTGCATTTTCCACAGGGTACTGAGCACCTGAGTGTGCAATTAGTATGCGTTCATTCAGCTTTTTGATTGGGTCTGTTGGGGCCACATCTTACTGCTTTCTGGATTCAAATAATGTCCAATCACAGTGCCTATTAGGTGTGTAATGAATGGACAAGTTGGATAAATGGTGGTTAAAATATTTCTGCTGAAATGAAAAACAATTCAGTCTAAAGATTGGCGGGGTGCTTTCTCCTGTAAAAGCCTTGAGGTTTCCAGTGCAATGTGAAAGGGGTAGTGACACATTTGTCACTTGTCACTGTCCTTGGTGCTGACCATGGCTCATTCTGCTGGTCCCAACACTAACGCCTAGCAAAGATGTTTTATTTGGGCCCATTTTCTAATAGAAACTGTTGCTCCTTGCAACTGTTCTGGACTCGTAACCATGAATTATGTACATCATTGAGGCTAAATATTTAATTCAGTCTGACTACACTAGAAAGTGCCTTCTTACTTGTTTTCTAATATTTCATTTTAAGAATATTGAAACAGAAAGACAAATACCCACAAGACTACCACTTACATTCGATTTTTACTGTTTTTTTTTACTATATTTGCCTCACCACGTCTCTCCATCTATCAACCCCTCTATCCATGTATCAATCTATCCTAATTTGTACACGTTACAAGCTGTTGGCATCATTACACATTATACCTAAACGCTTCAGCATATGTTTTATAAATTAGAGTTCAATATTTTTAATAGTTATTTTTATTAGAACACCTTGTTTATAAAAGCCATTCCTCCCATAGTTTGACATTGTGCTATGAATATTACAGATAAAATCAATCTAATATCACTTTTGTTGATGCATATTGCCTGGTTGAGATATCTGGGTCTAATTTCAGACAAAGTGAGATCACCCCAGATGCACAGTCACGGGCATGTTCCTTGCCTTCCTGAGAGGGAACTCTGTAACACTCCTTCCCGGGAGTCTCCTTGCAGGGTCAGCCAGTGTAAGGCTGGCCTGGTGCCATGGCAAGGAGCCATAGCTCCCCTCTCTACCTGAATCAGGGTGGGGTCCCAGTGGGACCCAGGGACCTTCTAGAAGAAGCTACAGCCCTACTCCCTGCCCCAGACATGACTTTCCTCCACGGAGAAAAGGGCTTTGGGGAAAACTACCCTCTAGCCTGCATGGAGCTCATGCGTCTTTACATCTAAGTGATGCGTCCCCCTGTGCTGCTTCCTCTGCCATGAGCGCTCCAAGTTTTCCTGTTACTCATTTTCTATATGGGCTCCCTAGAGCACGTTCTTTAAAATGGGTGATGTAGTTATTTGAGATTACAGTGCACAAATAAAACAATGTGTGATTCCTGTGGTCTGTAACAGAAACTGGCCTTCTGGTGAGCCACATTTTGGATGGCCAAAGGGGCCCATCTCCCAAGGACACACAGGTCCCCAGACCGGATGTCTAGAATTTTCCCAGACTTAATACAAAGGTTTACTAAGTTCTATAGCTTCCTCTTTTTCTAACAGAAAATGAAACAGGTCATTTAATAAAGTTCTTTGCCAATACCTCTACATATTAGCTTTGAGCTACTTCTTTTTATGGGACACATCAAAAAGAGCCTAGAGATTATTTTGTATAAAAAGATTAATAACAGCAATACTGTAGAGTACACATTAAATACTAAAATATGCCAAACCCTATCTAAGTGCCTTAAGTATATTAACCTATTGAATCCTTTCAGCAACGCTATGGACTGGGAACTCTTACCATCAATATCTTACAGCTGTCGAAACCAAGGCCAAGATAAAGAGAGTAATTTATTCATCCAGAGGCACACACCGAGGGAAAGGCCAAGCTGGGGTTTTAAACTGGGTCACTTGTTCCAGTTTAACGCATTCTGCTGCCTCCAAATCTAGGTCCTAAGGAGGACACCTTTCCCAAGAGAAGAGGCTTTAAGTGCACCCTTCTAAAGTGGACTACTCTATCATTTTTCAGAGCACTCAACTAATCCCATTCTCCGCTAGCTTTAATGGAACACAGTCTGACTCTGTTCTTGATGTTTCACCACTGACTTCTCTGTAAGCCTCACCCTCCCTTTCCTCTTCTGCTCCACGTCTCAACAAGCCCCTAAGAACTCCTGCATTGTAGCCTCCTCCATTGGCTCTGGTGGGGAATTGAAGCCTCCTTTTCCCCATTCCCACCTGCAAGCCATTAAACAGGCTACTCGTTTGGTTTTCTCCATGCCAGCCTGGACCTCAGTGTGCTGCCCAGACATCCCAGGAGTAGCTGTGTGACCCAGAAGCTTCCTCTCCAATTCTCTCTTGGTGTGTAAAGTGTCAGAAGCCTCAACATCCTGGCCAAATTTATTTTAGGGAGAATCACTCCAATTCTGCCAAATTCCCACAGATCACTTTTAAAATCTTGGTTTAGCCCAACGATTAGGTCTTTATTATTCACATCATCTCTTATAATTATACAATATAGAATTAATTAAGATGCATTAAGGTAACGACATAGAATTTTACTCTCCCAAGACTGTTATTACAATTTTCTCCAAACTGCTTTTTATGAGTCTATTGTTTCAAATCATATATTCCTATTAATCTCCTGATCTCTTTATGGCCTCTTTATCTGCTGACTGCCACAGTATCCCTGGTGCAGAGGCAAGGATCACTGAGTAATCAGGGCTTGCCTTGACCTACACAGGTGTCCCTGCCACTAGAAGGCCGAAGTTCATATGTTGATGGACTTGCAGGTGGAGAAGACCTGCAAATGTCTTTATGCTCAAGGGACTCAGCAATGCACAGACCGCAACACTGGTTTCTATCACAAATTGCAAGAAATATGTTGTGGGTAATCTCTAATCTCATAAAATTCTCATAAAATTCCTGTGTCTGCAATTTCATTAAGGAAACTCTGTTTCTCTCCAAACTGAAACTCTCTCAGAACGACAGCCTCATATATACAATGGACTACTCCGCATTTACATTTGGATCCTGAGACAAAGATTGGGGATTGTCCCTCAAAATATCAATTAGATAGACCCCCAAGTTGTAGTTAGGCAGAGGGCCACTCCCTCAGAGAACACATATCCAGCCTCCCCTGCAGGTAGCTGTGGCCATGTGACTGCATGTGGCTGATGAGGTCCAAGCAGGTATGGTGAGGTTTCCCTTCTGCTCCCCTTTCCACTCCCATGGCTCCAAAAAAATGCACAGGAGGAGAACCTAACCCCCTAGAAGACGGGGCGGTGGGACAGCAAAAATGGAGGAAACTGGTTCCTAGACTACCCAATGGAACATAGTGCCTGCCTGCATCTCCAAAGCCCAGGGCCACCCAGGCTGCCTCTGGACTATGAATGGTGTTCCACAGGCAGAAATCACTCAAAACTCTTGCTCTTTGGGCTGCCTGTCTTAATAGTATCTACATCCATCCAGTGGCTCAAGCCAAAACTGCAACAATCGTCTTTTCCTCATTGCTCACATTTGGCAAAATTCCATACTGTATCTGTGTCACCATTATCTCACATCTTATGGCTTCAGTGGCTTTCCAAAATTATCTCCCTGCCTTTGCTTCCACCCTCCATCCCAAATCAACCCTCCACTTAGCAGAGTAGTCTTGCTAAAAATATGAATGCAATTGCCATTTCTCTCTGTAAAACCCTCTGATAACAGCATTTTACTTAAAATGAGTCCAAATACATTACCCTAGTTATATTGGTGTGAATTTTTTGATATGCTGGAGATAGATGAAGAGAGGATTAATTATAACTAATTGGGTTTTAAATCAATATCCAAATGACTAAGGAGGATAAACTTTACAAATTAGTTTTCCTTAAGCTCTTTAAGTTCCAATTGTAGAGCTGTTTATATTATCAACGCAGCTAACAAAATAAAAACAATCACCTTCTGATAATTATTATTTTATTAATATTAGACTAGCTCAAGCCTTAGCTTGACTAAACTTCCTTAAATTATGTATATCATTTGCAAATTTATTTAATTAAATTTCCTTGAGAGTGTTAGCTACATTTATACAATTAGTGGTCTATATTAACTAAATATTTCCAATAGCTGACTGGGCAAGTGTAAGATCATAGTGACTTTCCAAGCATTGACAATTCTGTGCCTAATACTAGGAGGAGAAAACTATGGCACCCAGGTCAGACCCACCTGCTGCCTGTGTTTGTACATAAAGTTTTATTGGAACACCAGCACACTCAATTGTTTACATATTCTCTATGACTGCTTTTGTGTTACAATGCAGAGTTGAGTAGTTGCAACAGAAACCATATAACCAAAAAGTGTTTAATGTCTGACCCTTGAGAGAAAAAGATTGCTAACCTCTGGTCTAAGATTTAAAAAAAAAAAAAAAAAATATATATATATATATATAACAAATCTCAAATTGTCCTAATTATTATATTACTTCATACAAACTAAAATCCCATCTCTATTAAAAATACAAAAGAAACTAGCCAGGTGTGGTGGTGGGTGCCTGTAATCCCAGCTACTCGGAAGGCTGAGGCAGGAGAATTGCTTGAACCGGGGAGGCGGAAGTTGCAGTGAGCCAAGAGTGCAACATTGCCCTCCAGCCTGGGCAACAAGAGCCAGACTCCATTTCAAACAAAAGAAAAGAAAATCTTCAAACATACAGAAAAGTTAAAGAATTGTACAGTGCTCACCCCCCTGTCTCTACAACGTTCTATCTTGCTATGTTTGTTTTATGGCATTTCTAGCCATCCATCTATTTTTTAATCTGCCCACCAACTCATCTCTCTTTTTTTTCCTTGGATGTATTTCAAAGTTACATATCAGTACATTTCACCACTAACAAACCAGGCCCCACCTCTCCAAGCTACCTGCTGTACTTGGAATTCTTTTTCTAGATCCATATTTGCATGGCTGGTTCCTTCCTACTGTTTAGGTCTCAGCTTTAATGTCAGCATTCAGAGAGGACTACCCCGACCTTGCAATCAAAAGAAGCATTCTGGTTTTGCTGCTGACCATTTTTCTCTTTCCTCCTGAGTTCTGTATTTTGTTGTTTCACAGTTTTCTCTCCTTCTTATGCCTTGCAGTGAGGTCTGTGTCTTTTTCACTGCTGTAGCTGCAGAACCTAGAACAAGGCTGGAGCAGAATGGGTAGACAGGGCACACCCCACGAATAGTGAAGGAGTGAATGAATGAATGAATGAATGATTTGGTGATTTGCTTTTATTTGATAGAACAATGGTCTAACACTGACTAGAGCTAACATTTCTCAGGAAAACAAAACAAAGGCTAACCTAAATAACCCATCTAAATTTCAGATCTGGATAAATCATGTCTATTTAATGACCCCGCAATTCAGGAAAAGTCTCCACATTGGTAATATGATGGTCTCCTTGCCTGAACTGTTCTTTGCAAGGGATTTCATGTCTCTAAGACAGCTGTCACAGGCCAGGTGGCTTCAGCCATCATTGTCTGGGTTCCACTTGCTTGTTTGGTTTGTTTTGAAGACATTCTTTGTCCATGTGGGTAAAAGGTTTTGAAATGGAAATGAAGGTGGACCTGGTAACATTAGCCCTGGGACATTCTATGCAAACCACTGAAACCTAAATGATAATCCATGCCAATCGAAACACTATCAAGCCCTGCCAAAGAAACATTAATAAGATAGACACATCAGAGATGTGCACAACAGGCCATATGTCTGCTGTCCCAGAGCCTGATAGCTTTTGTGCAAAAGAGAAATCAGAATTTTAAAAACTCAAGCAAGTGTGTATACTAGAACTGGAAAACAAATATGGGTTAAAAAAGAGGGAGCTGGAAGTCAATGACACGGATGTTGGGTATTGATTTGGGAGGCATGTGAGTCTGTTGTTTCAAAGAAATCTGAACTCACATCTTCCAAAAGAATCTCAAATCCTAAAACTATTGGAATTTGAAAGTTCTAGCTGTATTTCTCATTCCTAATTTCCATTACAAGACATCTTCAGGCCATAATGGCCAGCTGTATCCAGCACTCACATTGGTGAGATAATGCTCCTGCAATTTCAGATGTTAATTAAGCATTAGCTGAGGGTAGACTGTCATCAGCTGCCTACTGAGACTAATGACAGACACGGCAGAACTTGTGAGCAAATGTGGGCCGTTATCTCAAGGGTGTCATGTTGAATTGTGAGGGTAATTACAACTCCCTACTCCAAAAAATACAGCATCTGAAGACTCAGGAAATGGCCTCTTACTCATCAGTATCACAGCATCTCAGGGAAGAATCCAAACACTCCGTGAAGAATGTGAGCATCAAAGACAGAGAAAACCCTGACTACGATATCCCCTGGATCACAAAATTAAAGTAATAAAGTATTAAATTGTTTAATACCACACATTCTCACTTACAGGTGGGAGCTAAACCTTGAGTTCCCATCAACATAAAGATGGAAACAATAGGCCGGGCATGGTGGCTCACGCCTGTAATCCCAGCACTTTGGGAGGCCAAGGCGAGCGGATCACCTGAGATCAGGAGTTCGAGACCAGCCTGGCCAACACGGTGAAACCCCGTCGCTACTAAAACTACAAAAATTAGCCTGGCGTGGTGACAGGCACCTATAATCCCAGTTACTTGGGAGGCTGAGGCAGGAGAATCGCTTAAACCTGGGAGGCGGCGGTTGCAGTGAGCTGAGATTGTACCATTGCATTCCAGCCTGGGTGACAAGAGCGAGACTTTGTCTCAAAAAAAGAAAAAAAAGATGGAAACAATAGACACTGAGGACTCCAAAAGGAGGGAGGGAGGCAGTGGAGTGTAAGGACTGAAAAGCTTCCTATTGGGCACTGTGTTCACTATCTGGGTGATGGGATCCACAGAAGCCCAAACCTCAGCATCATCTGACGTGACATTTTTCTTGGCCCCTTCACCAGACTTGCAGAAGGGGCATCCCATTTACTCGGCCTGCTGCAGTCAGTCCCTTGTGGGAGGGAGCACATGAGTGAGCAAGTGTGGGATCCAGCCATCTGCTCCAGGTGCTGACACAAAAGCAAGCTCCATGCGGGGCCCACGGCCAGACCAGGCATGTCACCTCAAGGGGAATGCAGCAGCACCCAGATGAGGGTGCCTGCAACCCCAAAGCCCCAGAGGGGGTGTTACAGTGCTCTTTTAGTTCCATTGTTAGCAGTCCAATGGATGGCAGTGTGTTAGCAGCTCAGTTGGCCCCTTGCTTCATCAAGTGAGGCAGCTGCCCTCTGCTGGCAAGGGCAAAGGGCCAGTGTGACAGCCTTTCTGGGTACCTGCACTCAGCAGGCCCCAACCTCTTGTCCAGTATCCAAGAAGAATGAGGTCATGTGGACAAGTGAAGGATTGTGAAAGCAGAGAATTTTATTGAGTGATGAAAACGGCCCTCGGTGGAGAGGGAAATTGGAGAGGGTTGCTGGAGAGGGCACAGGAAGGGCAGGTCATCTTCCCTGAAGCCAGATTGTCTCTTCCACAAAGTCAAGCCATCTCCCCTTTCCACCAACTGAGTCCAGGGTCTTTATAGGCACAGGATGGGGAGTAAGTACTGATTGGTTTGTGAATATGCAAAAATGGTTAAAGTGAAGATACCACTCAAAGGTGGGCATGACAGTGTAGAAAACCAATTAGGAAAGGATAGATATATATAAAATAGGTGGAGGGTGGAGATCAATCAGAGGAAAGTGTGCTAAACAGACGACAAGCTCTCAATCCAGTCAGAAGATTTAACTTATAGTTTAACTTTCGGGCTTTAAACTATCTTCAGCTTGGAGGTGGAGTTTCGCTGGGTACCCCATCTGCCTAGGCATTTGGCTGCCTTTTGTTGCTATCAATGCAATATACCTTTGTAACAAACCTGCACATGCACCTCTTGAATCTAAAAACAAACAAACAAACAAAAAACCCAAATATTTTCAAAAAGCATTTCATTTTATCAACTAAAAGAAAACCATGACCAGATTATCACAGGCCCTTTGCCTATTACCAATGGGCCTATTACTAAACTCCTCTTATTAGGAAAATCTTCAGAGTGAAATGAAAAATCACAGGCTTATGTCAAGAATCTCTATGTGCTATACAAGAATCTACTGTAAAGGAAAAGTTTATAAGTCTTTTTAAATTTATCTTATCTATGTCAATTCTCCAAACTTAAACATGAACCCCAAACATATATTGTTGGGCAGCAGAATGGAAAGCTGGCACTTTGCAGATAAAAATGAACATTGGAGTAAGATGTAGGTGTTGAGCTGGGGAGCCTTGACCATCTTAAGCAGAAGGAATAGATGTCCAAGATTTCTCATCTTTTCTGTTCACGGACATCTGTAGGAACTGACCTTGGGGACTGTGAGGGAGAGGAACAGGAATATTTTTGTACCAAACCACGAGGGTTAGAACAGGCAGCCCCTAAATCAAGAACAGTAGCATTCAAGTATCAAGCTGAATTGTTCATCCTCTTCCCCCAATTCACCGTTCTCAGGCCTGATTGCAATCATGCGAATCAAATAAGAGGAGTTTTTTTTTGAGTGATGAATGAAGGAGTCAGAATTAACCAGGCCCACCTTTCCCTCTGTCACCAGGGCATTTTGTTCCCATTCCGGTACAATCAGTTACCATGCTGAGTTTTACGGAGTGGAACCTGTGCTGCCTTCTCTACTCCCTGAGTTTCACAGAGGCTGGGAGGGGCTTCATTGTCCCCCTACCCTTAGCACAGTGCTCAGCAACCAGTAGATTTTTGTTGAACCAATAAATATGAACAAAGTGCTGATTTTGCAGCGAAATTTTTACTGCTGGATGGTCTTGATTACAAGTATCCCAGGTTCTTGGCATGCCGAACAAAGAACTGGACAAAATGTACAATCACAGCAATGAAAGAATGAAGCACAGATTTCTTGAAATGAAAGTACATCCCACGGAGCAAGTAGCTCAAGAGCCCTGGCTGCAAAATCTTCTGGGGTTTAAGTACCCATTAGAGGTGTCCTATTGTTTACACCCTATGCAAATGAAGGCTTGGCCGGTGACCAGTTGGAGGCTGAAGTTGAGGCTCCCTATCTCCAGACCCTATGCTTCTGCCTCAAAATGAGTTTGTACTACATGGACAAGGAATTTTAAAAGTACAATCACAGCAACAGGAGAAGCAAAAATCTAGACAATCACTTAAAGAACATAAATGTAAGTATATTTGGAGCCTCCTGAGAGCTGGTAAGAGGTATCAGATGCTCTGTGGATGGTAAAGAAGCCACTAGCATAGCATCTGACTGATATTCATTATTTCTCTGGGGCCTAGAAATCAGGTACCCGCTTCCCCTAGCAGTTCCCTCTTCTGCCCAGAGACCTCCCATAACCAGCAGGGCCATCGAGCAGGCTGGAGGAAGTCAAGTAAATGGGCTGCCACAGGGTGTCATTCTCAAGTGCAATTTTGAGCCTTAAGAAAACATTAAGTCCTTATGATCAAGCATTGGATTTTTCATAAAGGCTAGGGAGCAGGGTTTGAAGGTCTGCCTTCTCTAAACTATCATGCCCACAGTCATGCCAATGACAACACAGTCAATCACCAAAGTCATCAATCCTGACCCAGCTCTTGCAGGGGTTGGGCGTGGGCACAGGGGATGGGGTGTACAGGGCACAGCTGCTGCTTCTAGCATAGTCTGGCTGCTGTAAGATTCAGAATCAGGCAAGTGCTCCACGCTACTCCACTCGGAATGCCTACAGCAAAGGCATTGTTCATATCCACAACTTATCAAATTGTCTTTCAGTGTCACACCCATCTCAGAGAGTCCACAACGCACTGTACTCACTCTGCTCCACTAACTCCACTGCACACAGTTCTTTTTAGGTTGCTTATCTGTTTTAATAGAAAACAGCCCTAAATGTTGCAACTATGTTGCATGTGTTAATAAATAGGTCACTGATGATGAGCATTTTTTCATGTGTCTTTTGGCTGCATAAATGTCTTCTTTTAAGAAGTGTCTGTTCATATCCTTTGCCCACTTTTTGATAGGGTTGTTTGTTTTTTTCTTGTAAATTTGTTTGAGTTCATTGCAGATTCTGGATATTAGTCCTTTGTCAGATGAGTAGATTGCAAAAATTTTCTCCCGTTCTGTAGGTTGCCTGTTCACTCTGATGGTAGTTTCTTTTGCTGTGCAGAAGCTCTTTAGTTTAATTAGATCCCATTTGTCAATTTTGGCTTTTGTTGCCATTGCTTTTGGTGTTTTAGACATGAAGTCCTTGCCCATGCCTATGTCCTGAATGGTATTGCCTAGGTTTTCTTCTAGGGTTTTTATGGTTTTAGGTCTAACACTTAAGTCTTTAATCCATCTTGAATTAATTTTTGTATAAGGTGTAAGGAAGGGATCCAGTTTCAGCTTTCTCCATATGGCTAGCCAGTTTTCCCAGCACCATTTATTAAATACGGAATTGTTTCCCCATTTCTTGTTTTTGTCAGGTTTGTCAAAGACGAGACGGTTGTAGAAATGCGGCACTGGCCATCAGACAAATGCAAATCGAAACCACAATGAGATACCATGTCACACCAGTTAGAATGGCAATCATTAAAAAGTCAGGAAACAACAGGTGCTGGAGAGGATGTGGAGAAATAGGAACACTCTTACACTGTTGGTGGGACTGTAAACTAGTTCAACCATTGTGGAAGTCAGTGTGGCAATCCCTCAGGGATCTAGAACCAGAAATACCATTTGACCCAGCAATCCCATTACTGGGTATATACCCAAAGGGTTATAAATCGTGCTGCTATGAAGACACATGCACATGTATGTTTATCGCAGCACTATTCACAATAGCAAAGACTTGGAACCAACCCAAATGTCCAACAATGATAGACTGGATTAAGAAAGTGGCACATATACACCATGGAATACTATGCAGCCATAAAAAATCATGAGTTCATGTCCTTTGTAGGGACATGGATGAAGCTGGAAACCATCATTCTCAGCAAACTATCACAAGGACAAAAAACCAAACACCGCATGTTCTCACTCATAGGTGGGAATTGAACAATGAGAACACATGGACACAGGAAGGGGAACATCACACACCGGGGCCTGTTGTTGGGTGGGCGGAGCGGGGAGGGATAGCATTAGGAGATATACCTAATGTTAATGGGTGCAGCACACCAACATGGCACATGTATACATATGTAACTAACCTGCACGTTGTGCACATGTACCCTAAAACTTAAAAAGTATAATAAAAAATAAAAAAATAACAAATAGATCACATGAGATTCAAGTGACATAGCCATCCTAACAGTTGGGATGAAAGAGAGCAGTGTTTAGAGAACGTACATTAAAGAGAACTGCTTTAACACAAATGGTTTGCAGCAGGGCAAATCTTATCAGCTGCCCTGCTAACGAAAAAGTGCACAGCTGACCAACTTTGCTTCAAGCAGCAGGTCTATGTTTGTTGTTTCAATCTGGAAGCTGGTGGATTCTTAGAAAGGAAAAAAAGAAAATGCCCCTCCCTTTGTTTTGCATACTGTGCAGAATTTTTGAGATTGTTTATTAAGCTCTTCTCAGTGCCTGTAGAAGGCATCTCACTGCATCCAGATGCAGATCCCACACCTTGCATGTGATTTTTCCAGCTTCCAGACCTTTGACTTATTATTCCCTTTTGCTCAGATATATTCTCCAGATCTTTACAGAGCTACCTCTTTCTCAAAATTCAGGACTTTCTGCCTATTTCATCTACTCAAAGAGACCCTTCCTAGTCTCTCTAAATAAAACGGCCCTCAACCACTCACCCATCCAGTTACTCTGCTAGGTTTTCTTCAGAGCACTTGTTCACTACTGTGACTACCTATGTCTTTATCTTTTTCCTTCCTGGACAGAAATGTCACTCCTGTGAGGGAAGGAGGTGTCTGTCCTGTTCTGTTTGAATCCTGTGTGCCTGGCATAGAAGAGAATGCTCCACACGTGTTTCGGAAAGATGGGGAAATGACGCCTGCTGCTCCACATCCTCATGCCCCAGAGACACTTTCAGGATGAAGAGTTTGAATGTTTCCCTGAGACCTGCCCTTTCTTCCCCAGTGTCCACACTGCTCTCACATGTGGGGCTGCCTGTTTTTGCTTGTTTCTGGGGAAAATTAAAGTCTAATTTCAGGTAAACGAATGGCAAAAGGAAGGTTAATAGTGTGACAAGTAATGCAAATCGTCTGATTTACTTTTGGAAACCCCCCCCTCCCACCACAGATGCTCTGAAAAGCCATTTACACATTTAAGGGTCCCATAGAGTTTAACTGAAATTAAAATGATGAAGGGATTTATGAAGCACAGATTCCCCTTTCACTTTGCTTTATTCTTCTAAAACCTTAAAACAAATGGAAGAATTCAAGCATTAATCACACAATAAGTGTTCATCGAGTGATGAGTTCATGGGAGAACATCTGAAGTGGTTCTTTGCTTCAAGACCAAACTTAATTTATAGGAGCAACGATCAGGAAGGGGAACCAACAGAATCCATAAAAACTGAGTCCTGTTTCCAGTTTGTTCCTCAACAGGTGAACATTTGCACCATTAGCAAAATTAAACAGAGATCAAGCCACCAAGGAGGATCTTGGTTTCCATTACCCTAAAACGTAATGGAAATGACCCTAAAGTCTCCTGAATCTGTCTCTAAAGGTAGCTTTATATTGCCATATTAATTAATGCTTCTTATTTTTACTTTCTTTAATTTCTCCTTTGCAATCTCATAAATGAGCGTTTGTTTTAGGTATTGGGAAACCTAAAACAGCAAGGTTTTGTTTCTCTGTTCTAAACTGGGCAGAAACCAAGCTCCCTCTAAGGACTCTGCTCCTCTTCCAAGTTGAATAACCCAGCACACCAGGACTTTCTGCCACCAACATTGTGTGTTTGGCTTATAAGTCATGTTTTTCATTGCTATTGTTAATTTCTATTTTTGAATAATTTTATATTTACAGAAAAGGTGCAAAGATAGTACAGAGTTCCCACAGTGATGAAAACGATTTGGAACTAGATAGAGGTGATGGTTGCCCAACGTTCTCAATGTACTCTATGACACTGCATTGTACACTTTCAAATGATTACTGCTTTTAACATATTTGTTTGGTGTCAACTGCCTTACTAAATTTATACTCACTTAAAATAGGTTTTTAGCTGCCAATCCATTATCTACAGCCAATCCATTATCTTCCTATAATGCTAAGTTTCCTTTTCACATTCAGATCTTCTTTTTTTTCCTCCTTGTATTACACTGGTTGGAACTCCAGGATGCCAATAAATAATATCAGTGATGGTGGACTTTCTTTTATTCTTTAATATTTAAAGGGGAATTCTCCTATTGTTCCTGCCACATGGTTCCACAAAGACATTTTTGGAGGTAAATTTTGTTGTTGAATTAATTCCTTCCTTAGTTACTGATCTGTTATCTTCCATCCTGAGTCAGACACTGTTCTCTGTTCTGCTTCTGCCCTCTTTTCACATTCCACTTCACGCTTTGGGGAATAGAAGCAGCCCAGCCTCAGAGTCCCTCATACACTCAAGGACGCTTTTAACTCCAAGTGCAAACATCTGCCTGCAGGCCACTGCTCCAGCCTCCCTCTTACAGCACCGCCAGCCAGGGGACACTCACTGCCTGGCAGTGCTGAGCTTTACTGGTGCTACCCCGATGTCTTCCTCCCCTTCCACCCACTCCCTGTCTTGGAGACCACTGCATGTGCACAGTCTTGTTGGTGTTTGGGTTGGGGCAGTGATCCTGAAGTGCATGCTTTATGCTATAGGTTTCAAGCCACTATTGAAAGTTTTAAAATGCACAGATGAATGAGAAAAGTAGTAGTTGGGGAGAATACATTTTCAGTGGCATGCAGGAGGGTATGTAGAAAGAGATGCCAGCACAAATGCCGAGGGCTATATGGAGAAGATAGAGGAGGATTATGACCTCTGCCCTGATGTAGCTCATAATCTTTATTGGCAGGCAGAACTAGGGCATATAAAATCATTTCAGCTGTTCTCTGAAATTAGCTGGACACTGGCACTCTCTAATAGGGGCTCATTTCATCACATAACCAAAAAAAAAAAAATGAGAACAATACCTCAGTAAGTTAGTGGAATGAATGGACAAGAATAGTCACGTGAATTAGTAAATGCAAGATACCAAGCAATGTGACCTTACTGAACACTTGAATCCTTATCATGGACACCAAATGAAATTGAAAAACAAAAACAAAAACAAAAACTCAAGGAAAAAAGGCAATATGGCCTTAGGAGAAGGTTGCCACTCCATTGTGGAATAATGGCCCTCTTACAGATCCGCATCTTTGCCGGTGATCTCCCTGTGCATGTATCGGTTTAGGAGGAAGAAATAGGAAGCAGTTTGAATTTAAGGATACAACATGAAAACAAAGGGTGGATCCACAGAAGCACCCAGGTTAGACAGTGCTCAGCTGGCAGTGTTGCTGTCAGAAGGCAAAGATCATCAGGACAGCCGCAGTCACGCCCACAAAGCCTGTAGAGAAGAGTGGCCTGAGTTTGTGAATCAATGCTCCGTGTGTGTATAGATCAGTTTCGCCTTGTCTGCTACCTGATTCAGTCTACATTTTACCTACTGGCTGCCATTTTTAAATTTTTTTCAATGTTAAATTATTTATTGTTTAAACTTCTTCATATTCACCCTGAAGGGACCATAAATTACTCCTGTTCCTTTTCCCCTACTCTATTTTTTTTTGACTAGCATTTTCTCTTACTGCAATTACCCTAAGGTATTAAATGGATATATTATTTCCTTACAAGAAAGCTAAAGAAGAAAGCAACATAAGAAGAGAAAAGCAGTGTGTGCTTTCATGAAATAAAAGAATGCCAAAAATGGAGAAACATAGACCAAACTTGTCAGCACTGTTTACACAAGAGATTGCATCATATTTTAATGAAAATCCTTTTTTATAAAGGAAATTACTAGGCCAGGACTATTTCCCCAAATATGCAGAAAATGCACTCAATGGAGCTGCCAATATAATATTATAATGGATGCTTCTCAGATGTAGTCTAGGGTTGTTATAAAAAATAGGGAATGGTGTTTAAAACAAGACTGGTTAACAGTAAAACACACACACACACACACACACACACACACACACACAAAGCCTCTGAAAACAATACAAAGAGGAGTGAAAGATTTTGACCTTCCCCCTTCTGGGAAGGGAAGGCTTTTGTCAGAATTCTCCCTGTGAGCTCTCTGTGGACGTGCCATTCTCCCTGCTTAACAAGGAAAGACCACCTCAGAATTGAATCAGAAAAATGCCCCCTACAGAAGGTGTATTCTCCAGTGAGCGAATTCTTTTGAAGGGAAAGGGTATTATTTACTTCTGTAATCAGATATGCAGCCTCCGAGAAAGGTAAATTTTGCTGGCAAAGCACTTTGCGCCTCAGATGGTGGAGCCCCTTGTTCTATGAAGCTGCCAAGTCGTCCCACACAGAATGCTGTGGTCGAAGATTCGGGGGAGTCTCCTTTAGGAGAAACTGTACCCTTTGGGGGCATACTCACACCTTTCAGGTTTCTTTAAGAGTCCAAGCAAAAATTAAACAATCAATGGGTTGATATGTCAGCATTAATACAAAGTTTTAAAATTTTACACAGCTACAAGCAATTTGGAAGAAAGCCACGGTAAGTGGAAAAAGAACCCAAGAAAGGCTCTCCCGATGGATACTAAGGGTGTCAATGGATAGAGATGTAGAAAAAAGGAACAAAAGAAAATTCACCAAGACTGTGAAATATGAATCATTGCTATCTCTGGGTTATCGGATTGTAATCAATTCTCATGCTGCTTGGATCCTTTTGTAATTGTTGGCAAGGGGTGTGCATTAATTTATCACAAGGGGGAAATTAAAAACAAGCTACAGAAGTTTGTTTTTAGACATGGAAAGGTTTTTTCCTTCCTTTCCGGATCACCCACAGAAAAGCATTTTCAGTTGAGAATTAGGAGCAGCCAGTGAGTGGGGCTTTCTCTGATGGTTGAGATGGAAGGTTTGACCTTTCCAGGGGAGCTTTATGTGGCCCAGTGGTGCCCTCTGCTGATAACTGGGTCGTGGCTTACTTAATTCATACATTCTTTCACTCCGTCACTAATTTGCAAAAAGCTATTGAGCACTTATCTGTGCTAGAGATGGTGATTCCTACGCTGTGGGTACTAAGAGAACCAGAAATGCTCCCTCTCCGTCCACGGAGCCAACCGGCTACGGCAGGAGGAGATGTGACACACTGGCGTCTGAATCATAAGAAAGCCTGGCCCTGCCAGGCTTTGAAAACCTGCACAATACCTTTGAAATGAACTCCAAACGTGAGTCTATGCTTTCCATTCTTAATACACTGAGAATAAATATTGCCTGTGAGCGAGCTTACTTCATTTTCACTGTTATCTCCTTCAGAAATGCTGTGTGCCTGTGTTCAACTTTTTAAAATTAATATTCATAAACCTCATTCATTCAAATGCATGAGGGGAGAAACAGAACAGATATGATGTATTTTTTGACCTCAAAGAGCATACAATCTGGGAGGAAGGATATCCTTAATTTGAAGGAAACCACTAGAAAAACATACATGCTAAAGTGGAGCACGAGACATTTATATCAAAGAGCGGTGAGGAGGTGGAAGAAGTGGGCAGTGCATAGGGTGAAGTAAGTCAGGAAAAAACGTCTTGGAGGTGGAACATTGCTCTCTGAAAAGAAATGAACGTGACAGTAGACAAGGCTATGGAAGCTTCAGATCCTGGGAGGGGCTAGTCTTGGAGGTAGCAGAGCCCTGCTCACTGGAAGGGGTGTGCCTGGCTACACAGGCCCCTTTTGGCTCACAGCAGCGCATCTGTGGAAACCCAGGTTACCACTGTCTGTGCCTCATCAAAGTCTGCCTGCTGCTTGGCGACATCACGCTCCAGACCTGTCTCTAGGAGCCGTGTGACTGAAGGTCAAGGGTGTCTCCAGGGAGCTCTCACCTGCCTGGTTCGCCCCTGCCCTGCCCTCTGATTGGTTATCCACACACCCACAAAGTTGTTTCACTCTCTGCTCTAAAACAGTACAGGATTTCTGGTGGCAAGGGATGCAGCCTTCATTACCACCCCCCAACCCGCACCCCAACACAAAGCAGAGGATACAAAACAAATGGAGGCTTCATATGTTCTGGCAGCAAGTCCTCGCCCAGAAATCTGGAGATGCAAATAAAGGCCCCCTCGAACAAAACTCGCTAAACGTGCTGAGTGGCCACGAGCCCATCCAAGATAAAACTAAACTAGAAAACATCTAAAGGCATGGAAGAGGAGAAGGAAGCCAGGCTCTCAGCCCTGGCTGTGGAGGAGCTCCGCTCCGAAGGGCGAGGTCTGTCCACCAGGGAACAGGGGAGCCTGGTCTCTGGAGCGTGGAAACCACACCTGCCACCTTCCCCCGCGCACCATGGTGGATGCTACAGACAACAAAAGACTAGCTTTATTATTATCTCCTGGGAAAACCCCGATTACTTCGCTCTATGACATCCCCACTGAGAACTGCCACCAGCTCTACAGGTGATCAGTTCTCACATTAGGACTCAAATGGAAGAAGGCTTTCCCCAAAAGTTGTCAAAATTTAATATTCAAACTCGTATAGCTATCTGCATCCGATTCATCTCACAAAGAATCTTCTCCACAACCCAGGGTCTCTACAAGAAGCCAACAACTTGCATGTGCTTAGAAATCTCTGAGCAACCAGGGGTTCGTGTGTGCATCCCTGGACACCGGGACTGCCTTCGTGATGCTGTAAATGGGCCCCGTCGTCCCAACTGCTAAGGTGCTTGGGAGCAGCCTGCGGAGAGGGAAGCACTGAGAGTGAGCCTGGAGGGAGCCTGGGGTCACTGTCACAGAGTTTGTACTTGAAACCTCCCCTGGGGGGTGCCAAGTCAGTAATCCGGAAACCCTGGCACAATCAGGAAAGGAGGGTGAAGGGAGGGGCGGTGGGAGCCACTGAGGACAGAGCCGGGTGGGGGGTCCACCTGGCTTCTTGCCTCCCTGAGCAGTTTTTGACTGAATACTGTCTTTCTAGATTTTGATTTCCTCATCCTTCAAATGCAAAAGACCTGAATTAGATATCCCAGCTGTAGCATTCTCTGACTGGGGGAATTTTAAAGAACAGGATGTGCGCGCATCCCTTATGGAATTTCTTATTCGACAGAATTCATCCTAGAAACCCTGTTCCTGCACTGGTAATGGATGTTGAGAACATGAGGGGAAAAGGAAACTTATTTTGTTGATTTTGAGTTTATACTTTATAAATGATATTAAATTAATATAACCTAGATAATATATTAATTATATGTAATACATGAATAATATGTATTGTACTCTATAAGTCTAATTATCCTATATATGTATATACTTGTATATGAATAGGATATGCCTATACAGTACCTGTATAGACATAGTGTACATACACTATATGTGTCTATTATACAAATATAACTAATATGTACTATATATTATATAGTATATACATACTATATATTATATATGTTATATTGCATATAATTATAAGATATGTTATATATTATATAATTAATATATATATTAATTAATGTAAGATTTTACAGGAATATTAAGACATTTTGTCTGTGCTTGTTTCCTTTAAACCTTTTTTTCTGAATGATGAAGCTCCCAACAAATAATATTAATGATGTAATTTGTTTCTCCCTAGCAAATTTATCTGTGAATCTTGTAAAATTTCTCTATAAAGTGATCTGGCCTGAGTTTCAGCATAGCAAGTAGATGCTGACATATTTCTCCCAGATTGAATTTTTTAACCCAAACAAAAATTCAGATGAACTGGAGAAAGTTCCAAGAATGAACATCTTGCCCAGCAAAAAATACTACACTGATAGGTTTTTTGTTTGTTTTTTACCAATCCAGCCCTAAAAATCATATTGACACCTCACAAAAATAAATGGTTTCTAATCAGTGGCAAAGCCCAAGAGTAGAAAATACATGGTATATACATTTTAACACTTTCCATTTTCTAGGAGGCTGCCTCTACAAAGCAAGAGAGGAATGTACCATCTCACAACAGTCTTACAGTCTTACAAGGTAGACCATTGCTTTTGTCATTCTTAAGGATTTTGATCAATATAGAAAGCCTTGCTGATGATCCGTGACCATACTCTGAAAACCTGCACAATACCTTCGAAATAAACTCCACATATAAATCTATGCTTTCCATCCTTAATACACTGAGAACAAATATTGCTTGCAGGCATGATTACTTCATTATCACTGTTATCTTCTTCAGAAATACTGTATGCCAGTGTTCAACCTTTTTTAATAAGTGTTCATAAATCTCATTCATTCAACAAACCATTTAGTGAGCATCTACTATGTAGAGGGCATTGTGCTATGTGCTGGGTAAAAAATAAAGAAACACTCCTGGCCATCACTAGCACACAGCAGCTGGGGAGAGGCATTTCAATACACAACAGGATCTCAGCATCAGGAGGCCTATAGAATAGCATTGCTATTTCTCACTGAGGGAGGCTAAGAGGAACAACAGCTCTGGAGTAAGAGGAGCAGAGTTCTGCTGTACGAAGGGCTGATTTTATGAGTTTATAAATCATACAAATTGAAGATCAATAGAGATGTGGGTTTGGATCTTGGGAGGAGGGGCTACAGAGTGCAGCTAGAATACAGCTGATCTCAGGATGCCCAGGAGTGAGGGCCTGGGGCAGGGGAGGCCTGACATGGACACCAGTTAGCTGAGTGGAATGCCTGGCCCATTGCCTGTCTCAGTGTTCTCAACTAAATTGAAAGTACAGATACAAAAGCTTTCATTTCTATGGAAAAATAAGTGTGAGTGTGTGTGTGTGTGTGTGTGTGTGTGTGTGTGGTGAGCAAGGAGAAAGACAGGAAGCAGGCAGAATCATTTGGCCTCATTTTAGTTAAAATACCCGAATGGGCCATTTAGCCACAGACACCATTTCTCCCTTCTGATGAACAAGTGAAGATTTTAGACAGAATGATTAACTTTCTTTTCCTTGTTTCTCCACTACAACCCATACACTAGGGTTAGACAGCCACTGATTTATGAGTTTTTCTTACCTTAGATATCTGTACTCAAAGTGAATTCAGTTATTTGTGAAAATGCTTTGTTTCATTTTATCTTTGTGAAAATTCAGTCTAAATGTATCCCAATTTAAATTTTTTAAAGGATGGAGAGAAGGAAGTTCTTTTTAAATTGGTACTTTAAAATATGTATTTTCTACTCAAATCAATTTTAAAACAATAAAAATAATTAAAATGTTATGGTAAATGAAATATAGTAGACGTATAAAATGAATTTTAACATGGTTTTTATCTTGACATTCCTAATCATTTAATTCCATGAGATTTCCAAATTAAAGATTTGCTATACATATTGTGATTTAAAAAAAATCCACCTAGTATCCACCCAAAGATTAGTATTTTAAGTATTTAACTCCTATGTTCATATGTTTCTTTGAGAAATAATTTGGAGGAGCTCAACCAAAACACCAAAACCTACGGCAAAGGGCTATGAATTTGCAGTTAGGGAAAAGAAGAGGAAAGACCAAGGAAGAATAGAGTTAGGGCTGAAATAAAGCTAAGACTGTCCTCTGTGACAGCTGGAAACACAGACCTCACCTCACAGTGGGTAACATCTGCAGACATTTAAAATATCAACAGCAAGGACCCAGACATTTAAAATATCAACAGTAAGGACCCAGACTACCCGGGGCCCTGAGGGTTTACACCTGCCTGTGGTACTGAGATTGGAAAGAGATTAGATTATCTGAATGGTTGGCAGAGAACATGATCAGTGCCCTTCACAAGTACCTCAGGCATCCTCCAGTGGGCACTGCAGGGGGCATAGGGCTGGTTCTTTTTTTCTTTTTCTTTTCATTTATGTATTTATTTATTTATTTATTTTTTGAGATGGAGTCTTGCTCTGCCACCCAGGCTAGAGTGCAGTAATCCTGGCTCACTACAACCCCTGCCTCCTGGGTTCAAGCAATTCTCCTGCCTCAGCTTCCTGAGTAACTGGGATTACAGGCATAATTTTTGTATTTTTTAGTAGAGACGGGGTTTTACCATCTTGGCCAGGCTGGTCTTGAACTCCCGACCTCGTGATCCACCCGCCTCGGCCTCCCAATCTCACAACTGGGATTACAGATGTGAGCCACCATGCCCGGCCAGGGCTGGTTCTTATGAAGACCTTAGGACAGGATGAGGGCTCTGGTGCTATGTACGCATGTGTGTGGTGTCTATGTGGTGTGTTTGTGTGTGTGTGGGGGGGTGGTTGTGTGTCTGTGGGTGGGTGTTTATATGTGTGTGAGTGCATGTATGAGTGTAAATATGTGTGGTGTGTGGATATGTGTGTTAATGTGTGGATATGTGTGTGGGGTGTGTGAATGTGTGAGTGTCTGTGCTTAGAAGGAATGTACAGCATGACCCAATAGTGTTATCCTGCTCTCAGCCCATCTGCCTTGATATCAGGATTTATCTGTGAGCATCTGGGTCATTAAGTTAATTTTCTTGGAATACTATATTTTTTCTCAATGGAGGCTTGGATGAAGATCGAACGGAGAGATATTAAAAACACTCTTTTGTACATAGTCAAACAAAAGGTGTCATATGATTTCAGCTGAGCCTAGCCCTCAATATAGAGTCTGGATGGAAGATCACACACCTTCTGCATGCAGAGGGCCTAGGAGCTAGTCCTGCCAGCAAGGCAGGGCTTGTCTTTATAATTTAGTTTGAGTCTGCTCAATTGCACAGTGGAGGATGGCTGAAGCCTCACATGGCTGGTCCACCTAGCATTCCCAGAATGGTTGTAGCTAAACAAAGTTTAGAACAGGCTTCATCAGACACCCACCTCTGTGAAAAGGGAACCTCAGTGCAGCATCCCTGAATGTCTGAGCTTCAAGCATTGCTACTTCCCTGTACAGCCTCTATGGTTCACTATTGGAGGACACACCAAAGATCAGCAGATGAAGTACTTTGCCCATTATTATCTATATAGGAGTTACAAGCTAGAAAAGTGAATACCAGATTGACTATGTGGCTCTGTCATCCCTCCTGGCAATAGTAAGATAGTGGCATTCATTGAATTGAACCTTCCAGAGAACTTGGTAAACTCTATTCTTCTCTATGTTCTCAGATACATAATCATCTAAGGGGAGTTTCCAGTAAGGGGTAATGATCTGAGAGGAAAAACGCTGGGTCAGGGAAATGTAGGTGTTTGTCTCAGCTTCATCATTTATTAATTGTGCTCTTGGCTGAGTCATTTGTCCTCTCCATGCTCTCCCTCATGGACGTGGATGGGATGAAAATGTCCCCTTAGTCCCATTTGCATGGGTGTCATAGAGATAACGTGATCTTTACACAGAAAAATTAAAAGTATGATATAAGCGAAACTGCTGGATTTCACTTCATTTCTCTGGCTGCAGAGGCCATCACTTTCTTGTAAGTTAGGTAGTAAAATGCTTGAGATTTTTTTTAAAAATTGGGTCCCTTTAGAATCCTTAGAATAAATCTGCATTAAAGGACCTCTCAAAAAAATGCTGGTTCTTCATTCAACCTCTGTCACCTTAGCCCACCCACATGTCTCTAAAATTACCTTCAGCTATTCTAGTGATTTATTGGAAAGTAAGGCTAATGGTAAGCAATTTTCAGTGACCACAGGGTGTTATAAAATGCAATTTCCTTGAATTCAGCCTGACCATGGGAGGTAACACAAAATTGTGCTGATTTGTTCAGAGGCATATTTTGAGTAACTTGAAACTTCAGCCCGAGTTGTGCTAGGCCTAATTGGAGAGCGTATGTGTTTGCACATTTAGATTTCACAGCAGTCCACAAAATGAATTTTCAAAGAACTAAGTATGCAGAACTATTTTAGTCTCACATCATTGAAAAAGTCTGTTCCTGCAGATAGGAAGGGTGCTCCGAGTAGCAGGAAGAAGGGTGGGCGTGTTTGTGGGTGAGCTCATTCCTATAGGGACTGGACTGGTTTGTGTAAGGTGAGGGCTTCGATTCCATTTCTTTGCAGGTGAGAACACGATCAAATGATGCTGGAGTAGGAAAATTAATTTTTAAGAGTATCATGTGACCACGTTTTCATTTGAAAGGGTCACATGATAGTTCTCAGAAGACGACTGTGGCAAAGAAAGGGCAAGCCTAGGTAGCAGGCTGCAGCGGAGGAAGGCCAACTTCAACTGCCTGTGCTGTCTCCTTCTCTTTGCAAATTAATCCATGGTACAGATGTGAAAAGGTGGCATTTTTAGTCATGAGTACATGACTATTTTATTAATTCTCCTTTTTTTTTTTTTTGTATTTGTTCACTTAGAAAAAGAAAAGGAAAGCCAGATGCACTGACTCATGCCTGTAATCCCAGCACTTTGAGAGGCTGAACGGGAGCATGACCTGAGGTCAGGAGTTCAAGACCAACCTGGCCAACATGATGAAACCCCGTCTCTACTAAAAGTACGAAAATTAGCTGGGTGTACAAAATTACAAAATTTAGTACAAAAATTCACCTGCAGGAGAATCACTTGAACCTGGGAGGCAGAGGTTGCAGTGAGCCGAGACTGCACCATTGCACTCCAGCCTGTGTAAAAAGAGTAAAATTCCACCTCAAAAAAAAAAAAAAAGGAAAAAAGGAACAGAAAAAAAAAAAGGAAGACAAAGCTAAGGAAGACCACGATAAAGAAAATAAAGGAGAAGAGATGACTATGATGACCGTTCGCACAACTGTCAGATGCAGGTCATGGTGGTTAAATGCAACAAAGCCCAGAGATGTCTTGCCTGCCTTTCCTACCTTTACTAATCATCAAATATATCCACAACCAGTTGCTCTTCATCAGGATTTGCTGGGTGCTAAGACTGAATGCTTATGTCCCCCTCACAATTAAGGGATTGAGTGTTCTTACAAAAGAGACTCCAGAGAGATCCTGTGTCCCTTTCACCAGCATGCTCCTCCACCTGTCTGCATGTCGGTTGCTGCGTCCATATAAAGTGCTGCAGGGATATTTCGAGAAGCTAATAAGACAAGTCAATGTGCAAATACCTTGCAAGTATCTAAAATGAAAAATGTGAGCTCTTCTTCCCCAAGCAAAGAAAAGACCCAAATAAAAAATAACACATATGTAGAGGTTATCTATGATATTTTAGATTTTATGAGCTCTCTATAAATGAACATTTGTTTCCTTTGTTCCTGAAATGAAACCATTACCTGTTTTTCTTGTTTGCCTTTTCCAGCCTATCTGCCAAAAGTTATTTTATTTTACAAAATGTCTTCCTAAATTATCCAATCCTTTTCCTTCTGAACATTTAAAACCATTCAAAAAACCCAAAGTACATTTTGATCTAAGCAATTAAGTTTCTTTACATCAGTAATCCCAATGTCATGTTGCGAACGTCATTCTAGAAAATGTCCCACAGCAAGTTTTTAATGGCCTGTAAGCAGAGGCTTTAAAATAAGGACATTTTTAAATGCTGGGTCAGGAATAACTTCAGTGAGGCTCCAGCCCCCTGCCGCGACCTTTCTGCTGACATGTCTCTGTTGACGCCAATATGGAAATCCACTTGTTTCCAGGCTTTCTCTCTTCATACCTCATTAGGATTCTGCACTGTTACAAAGTAAAACCACTGCCAGGACCATGAAATATGAGGCAATGGAATACTCTAAAATCCCACACCATTCTTCATTTACTGTCTTTCCATCAAGTCACCAAACCAAAACTATCAAATTGATTGTACAAGGCAAGAGATATGACAGAGTTAGATGCCCAGAACATTTTTTGCAATCCTTCTTTTCTGGCGGGGTGGAGATCTGAAAATGTATCCCTTCTAGGTTTCTGTAAGTAATCAGAAGAACTGCAAATTATACTTTTGTTTTTGCCAAACTTTTAAGCTTGACATGATTGAAACTTCTAGATTCCTCTAGTTTTCTCCTCTAAAAGCAACACTTCCAGCTAGGTTTAGCTGCTTCGCTGGAGAGCATGCTGCAATGTACCCAGCTTACCATGATGTCCCAGACATGCTTTAATATACAGCTAGCATAAGCATGCCTATTTTACTAAGGATTTTCATTTAATTTTGTCCTTCTATAAAACTATCTAACCTTGGACAGTATTACAGATGACTCCTGGTCATGTGAGTAGGCCAGGGATTAGGGATTTGGATATGAGGTGCTCCTTAGGATTTCCCTGCCAAAGCATTCCCTGCTGGTGTGTTCCAATCACAAAAGATAGCAGTGCTGTTGGAAAAGGCGGTGGCATTTTTGCCATCCAGGATCCAGATGCTTTCTTCGCTCCTGGGATGGTAGCAAAAAAAACCTCAAATCTTCAAAGTGAATACCAGCATTGATCTTTAAGTTCAGTGATGGAATTACTCTCAGAGGCTTCCATAACTAAATTGAAATCTCCCCAATTCAAAATTTCAAAATAGAGTTTTCTTCTTACCTTCTGTTTTTGTCTGAATGCAGTTCCGTCTCTCTCTCTGCACCATAACAAATCTCGGAATTGGCTTCCCCAATTTCCACCAATCACCCAGCACTGGAAAGTCTAGTCTGTGCCCCCACCGGACCACAGTGACCACCACCGTGTGGCTAAGCCAACCTCTGCTCCACGTGGGGGCCCCTCTGGCCACGCCAGGACCTTTCATCTCAACCACCCACCAAAGCAAGTGTCAACATCTCCTTACAGATTTGCATCAGAAATGTTAAGAAATGTTACTACAGGCAGCAGAAGAGCCACTCCTTACCTCCTGTTAAAACATTATAAAAAGGAAATGTGTGAGGAAGAAGAGCATAGGTTTGTGTACTAAATCTCAGAAGAGCAGCTTTTCAAAACTCTGTCAGGCCTGGGAGACAAAGGAAATATATCTTGACCTCACAGAGAGCATTCAGGTGGAAAAAAGTAATTTTTTTAACTTGAAATTTACATTTAACTAAAATGAATTTGTCTCACAATGAAGAAAGACTAAATAAATCATGGTATAGCCTAAGTGGAAAATGGTTCCACTGTTAGAAATCCGCATTGATAAAAGCCATTCACTAACGTCGGTGAGGCAGGAGAACAGTGGCTGGAGGGAGAGAACATAAGGCCGATTCACGCTGATTTCCTAGAACTAAATCAAATGGAAACACTTCAGTGATGACAGGTAATACCCTCTCCATTTACATAGGGCATACACAGAGTAAATGACTTTGTAACTTAACTTCATGCTCTTCATTACACAGGGCATACACCAATATAAACCAATGGAAGTAACCAATGGAAACCTCTAGAGGGTATTTAAACCCCAGAAAATTCTGTAACTGGGCTCTTGAGCCCGTGTGCTAGGACCACTCCCACCCTGTGGAGTGTACTTTCATTTTCAATAAATCTCTGATTTTGTTGCTTCATTCTTTCCTTGCTTTGTTTATGCATTTTGTCCAATTATTTGTTCAAGATGCCAAGAAGCTGGACACCCTCCACTGGTAACATGGGGAGATTTGTGCATGAAACAAAGTCAAGCAGGTTAGGACAGGGTGTGCTGTGGGGACAAACAGCCCTGATCTCAGTGGCTCTGCACGCTCACAGCTTATTTCATGCTCGTAGGAAATCTGACGTCAGGTGGGGCTCTCCAGCCTGGCTCCCCTCCATGCAACTAGGAAGTGCCTGATGTGGAATGAGTGTGGCAGGTTCTGCAGATAGAAAACTAGAGGGGAATGGCATAATGGCCAACAGGGCAAGGCGGGGAGAAGCGCCAGGTTGCTAGGGCAGGGCTTCCCACCTCCTGCACTGCAGATATGTGGGCAAATCCTCCCTTGCGGTGGGGCTGTCCCTTGCCCTGCAGGGTGCTGAGCAGCGACCTTGGCCTCCCTGCACTCAATGCCAGCAACACCGCTCCTTCTAGGTTTGGTGACGAAAAGTGCCTACAGACACTGCCAAGCCTCCCCCTGGCCTGTTTGGGAACCCTCAGGGCAGGGTGGGATGAGCCTGGGAAATGCATTTATATTTGACTGGCACTGCAGTGGGAAGCCAGTGGATGGTAGCAGACAGTATAATGATGTGACCAGATCTACACCTTAGCAACATGATTCCAGGCAGCACAGGAACCAGTGAGAACACTCACTAAGCTGTTTCTGTTGTTCCATCAAGACACAATGACTGCTTTGCTCAGGAAGGTGGCAGGGTAGGTAGGTGGTGTCATTGGTCAGATTCGACATACATGATGTTGGTGAAAGCTAAGGAGCTTGCTGGTGTTTAACATTACATTTGAAGGAAGGAGAGGAATCAATGATAAGGAATCAATAATCGTGATAGATACCCATGGCTCCTAGAAACCTGTGTTTCAAATTGGACTGAGTTGGTCTTATAAAAAACCCCTAGGGAGCTTGTTAAAATTATAAATTCTTGAGTTGCACAATTGAAAACCTGAATTTATTAAACCTGGCCAGTGGCCCAGGAATCTATTTGTAACATATTTCTTCAGGGATTCTGAAAGGAAGTTGGTTTTAGGGCTCCTGGCAGGCATCCTGTGAGTTTATGTGGGAATATACCACTGGTGGGTCACTATTGTATATTATTCTATTTATACAGTAACATCCCAGAATAATAACTGGAGTTACTTCTGAGATATGGAACTAGGGGTGCTTTTTGCCTTATTTTTCACATCTGTCTTGATTTCAGGTTAATAATAAGCAATGGCTAGTTCATAATCAGAAAAGTGTATATTATATATAATAATGTGGCTAGAGTCTACAAAGAAACAGAAAACCTAAAATATAGTAAACAAAATGATGTTTAGCATACTTTCAAACACAGGCTCAATATAGATGGTATGAAATGGTTATTTGGTGTGGGAAATATATTTTTTAAATTCATGTTATGAGCCTGTTTACTAAAACATATATGCTGAGAAATATAAGATCCTTAATCGAATGTTACTGATTCCTGAGGAAAAGTACCTGCCACTGAAAAGTCTGCTGAAAGGGAGATTTACATAGATATTGAAGGTACAGTCTGTGAGCTCTGAAAATACAGCTGGAAACATAGCTGTGTGTCTCTCAGAGAAGTATTCTGTTTCTCAGAGCAAGAGAGATTTACACACTGACTCACATCCTTTCTTCTCTACTTCCAGGAGTAAACTCCCCACCCTCAAAGTGAATGGCAGCCATTTTTCTAGCTACAGAAGAGCAAAGCGCAGTACCACGTGCTCCTCCAGGCTGGAGCTGTCCTTGCTGGCGCTGTCTCTCCATTTCTCTCTTATTCTCCTGTGACGATGGTGGGTGCACATGTTCACATGGAGATGTCCAGGATCCAAGCAAGTGGTCTGAAAGCCTGAGCCACAGCCCGTAAGGCAGGCACCCGGACAGGAACCCAGACCCACAGCAGACTTTGTCCAAGCAATAGCGCTCCTATGTCACGCCACTGAGAATGTGGTGTCATGTGTCACCGTAGCATAATCCAGTCTAACCTGACTGATACCTCTGTTTTGAAAACAAACTGCTACAAGAATTGCCTTGGGGGTTCAGTGCATGATCCAGAAATTCACTGGTGACCCTCTGAGGCATCTAGATTGGCATGAACTGTGTCTCAAGGGAAGAGAAGCCACTGGCGTTGAAATGGTTAATACATGTGATAGAAATTAAGGCAGCAGCCTTGAAAGACTGCCATGGATATTGAGAGAACATAAGAGTTTCTAGAACACACCAACATGAAGTTTGAGATATTCAAAGATCACTGAAGACTTCACAAACCCGGTCTATTGGGATGTATACCTACCCTTCCAGAATGCAGAATATTTTCAGGAAGAAAGAATACTCTTAGAAAATAATTCGTATTTGATTCACCAAGGTGACGTCTAGGATTGTGATCTTAGTTCTCATTCTCTAGAATCATGTACCCTTCCTGTGATACTGAAATGTTGAATTTGTGTTCAATAAAACTTGAACATAATTTGAACAAAAACAAGGATCCTACATTAAAAATCCTCACTATAATGAGAAATGGACGTACTTACACATCTCCAGGAGGAAAAACAGGAAGTTGACCATAATCATAGGAGTGATTTATCAAGAATTCCTATCAATACTTTCAATAGTATGTTTTCACAAGGGCTTCTTCCAAACTCTATTGATGTTGAAATGCATTTTAAAAGATTATAATTGTCCTGTGGCTGATGCTAGGAGAAGCTGAGCTATGAAAAGCAGCTGAAAACGTGCTTCTTGGTGAATAGTATGATGCTGAATCTCCTGGTCAAGGAGCTGGCTCACCCCGTGGTGACCTCTGCCATCCCAGCCAGGTGCCCGTTCATGAAGACCAGCCCCACAGCAGTGGAGTTTCTTGAGATTTTCCCAGGAATGCTAAAAACAGTGGAGCTACTTTAAGGAATCAACCCATAATCATTAGCCTATCCAAATCTAAGCCCCACCAAGTTACTTGGAAGCTATAAATGTGTCTTTGAGTATATACAAATAAAGATGCTGTTTATCCGGTCATCTCTACGTGCATTGTGAGCCTCACAATGCCAGGGCCTCCCAAACACTTGATACGGTCAGGGTACTATCACTGGCGCAGAAATGTAAGAGTGACACCACGTGCATGGGTCTCTCCTGGGTGCTTTTGCTGAGGGAAGAATTTTTCTAAACTTGACCTTGACTGAAATTACAGTTGATTGTGGATGATGCTTCTGGAGACGCTCAAAATCAGGACTCAGTCTTTCCATGGGACTTTTCTGGGTCTTGTGGAGAAGGGGATAGAGAGGTTTTACTCTAGGGCTCTGTTATGGCACGGTAATTCTATTTATTCTGTCATGGAATCACTAGAAAATAAAATTCTGGAAGTCTGCTAGTATTTTGCTACATCAGCTGTCCAAAGGAAAAAGAGACATGAGATATATAATCTGCTTACTTGGCCATATCAACACTTCTGATGTTACTTCCACCCAAGATGAGTTCCACCTGCATGTGAGTCTCACCACCTCCTCCAAAGGACTTCCACCGTGTTCCTCCCACAAAGTGGAGTGTTGTACCAGTCCATTACTGGTTAGAAAATTCATCTCATAGGACTAAACTCTCCAGCTTTGGATGTTATTAACATACCATGGAATCAAATTTGAATTTATTTTGGCAAATTATTAAATATATGAAAAATTCCAGTTTTGGCTAACACGGTGAAACCCCGTCTCTACTAAAAATACAAAAAATTAGCCGGGCGTGGTGGTGGGCACCTGTAGTCCAAGCTACTCAGGAGGCTGAGGCAGGAGAATGGCGCGAACCCAGGAGGCGGAGCTTGCAGTGAGCCGAGATCCCGCCACTGCACTCCAGCCTGGATGACGCAGCAAGACTCCATCTCAAAAAAAAAAAAAAAATTCCAGTTTTGTATCCTTTATGCTTCATCCTTTTTTATTAGAAACACTAGCTAGTATCAAAGTATATTTTTTTCAGAACAATGCCAATTATGAACAAGTAAGAACTTTTTTAAAAGTTTCCACTGGCCAGGCTCAGTGGCTCATGCCTGTAATCCCAGCACTTTGGGAGGCTGAGGCAGGCAGATCACTTGAACTCAGGAGTTCAAGGTCAGCCTGGACAACATGGTGAATCCCCGTCTGTACTAAAAATACAAAAATTAGCCAGGCATGGTGGTGTGCGCCTGTAGTCCCAGGTACTCAGGAGGCTGAGATGGGAGAATTGCTTGAACCTGGGAGACAGAAGTTGCAGTAAGCTGAGACTGCACCACTGCACTCCAGCCTGGGTGACAGAGCAGACTCCATCTCTAAACAACAAAAAAAAATTCTACTGTTACCTCAAAGGGCAAGACAGCAAGACAGTTCTTAAGTGCCTCTAAGATGTTTTGAAACGTATCCTATCTATAAGTTTGGTTTTGGCTTATTTAAAGGGGTTATTACGATAATATTTTTCAATGCAAGTCACAAATATAATTGAGTATTAAAGCAATGAAAATCACCTGTAGCTTCCCTTTAAGCTACTACCACTTTTACAATTGGGAAGATGGCTCTAAATATTTTGTGTGTGTATTTATGCCCTTACGTAAGTTAAATGAGGGTATTCTGTATATATTATTTTATTATTAGCTCTTTTCAGTTGTATTACTCATTTTACATACCTACATTTTCTATACCATTTCTTTACATATCATATATCATCTGTACATATCAAGTACACTTTTCCACACAAAAAATTGGTAAATTGGCAAATTGATAAATTGATAAATATAAAATACATTAGTACCATACTTCAAAATGTAGGATTTTAAAAATGTACAAGTTAAACCTTCTTCCTTCCATCATTAACTGGATAATTATATTTCAATGAGACTTCTAAGATGCAAGAAATTGGCTGAACCTAGTGGGTCTGACTCTTCTCTCTCTTTTGTTCTCTGCATAAGGACAAATTCTTCCTCTGAATTTCCTCATAATTAACGCTGTCAGGCCTCTGAGCCCAAGCTAAGCCATCATATCCCCTGTGATCTGCATGAATACATTCAGATGGCCTGAAGGAAGTGAAGAATCACAAAAGAAATGAAAATGGCCAGTTCCTGCCTTCACTGATGACATTCCACCATTGTGATTTGTTTCTGTCCAACTGAGCAATTAACCTTGTAAAATTCCTTCTCCTGGCTCAGAAGCTCCCCCACTGACCACCTTGTGACCCCTGTCCCTGCCCACCAGAGAACAACCCCCTTTGACTGTAATTTTCCACTACTCACCCAAATCCTATAAAACGGCCCCACCCCTATCTCACTTAGCTGACTCTCTTTTCAGACTCAGCCCACCTGCACCCAGGTGATTAAAAAGCCTGTTTGGTGGTCTCTTCACATGGACACGTGTGACATTTGGTGCCGTGACTTGGATCAGGGAACCTCCCTTGGGAGATCAATCCCCTGTCCTCCTGCTCTTTGCTCTGTGAGAAAGATCCATCTACGACCTCGGGTCCTCAGACCAACCAGCCCAAGGAACATCTCACCAATTTTAAATCGGGTAAGAGGCCTCTTTTTACTCTCTTCCCCAACCTCTCTCACTATCCCTCAACTTCTTTCTCCTTTCAATGTTGGTGCCACCCTTCAATCTCTCCCTTCCCTTAATTTCAGTTCCTTTCCTTTTCTGGTAGAGACAGAGGAGACGCGTTTTATCCGTGAACCCAAAACTCCGGCACCAGTCACGGACTCGGGAAGACAGTCTTCCCTTGGTGTTTAATCACTGCAGGGACGCCTGCTTGATTATTCACCCACATTTCAGAGGTGTCTGATCACCATGGGGACACCTGCCTTGATCCTCCACCTTAGTGGCCAATACACTTTCCTGGGGGGGCAATCACCCCCCACCCACCCCCTCTCTCTGTGTCTCTACCCTCTCTTTTCTCTGGGCTTGCTCCCTTCACTATGGGCAACCTTCCACCCTCCATTCCTCCCTCTTCCCCCTTAGCCTGTGTTCTCAAGAACTTAAAACCTCTGCAACTCACACCTGACCTAAAACCTAAATGCCTTATTTTCTTCTGCGATACCGCTTGACCCCAATACAAACTCGACAATGGTTCTAAATAGCCAAAAAATGGCACTTTCAATTTCTCCATCTTACAAGATCTACGTAATTCTTGTCGTAAAATGGGCAAATGGTCTGAGATGCCTGACATCCAGGCATTCTTTTACACATCGGTCCCTCCCTAGTCTCTGTTCCCAATAAAACTCATCCCAAATCCTCCTTCTTTCCCTCCTACCTGTCCCCTCAGTCCCAACCCCAAGTGTTACTAAGTCTTTTCAATCTTCCTTTTGTACCGACCCATCTAACCTCTCCCCTCCTCCCCAGACTGCTCCTCCTCAGGTCACTCCCCATGAGGCTGAATCAGGCTCCAATTCTTCCTCAGCCTCCTCTCCCCTACGCTATAATCCTTCTATCACTTCCCCTTGTCACACCTGGTCTGGCTTACAGTTTTGTTCTGCGACTAGCCCTCCCCCACCTGCCCAACAATCTCCTCTTAAAGAGGGGGCTGGAGCTAAAGGCATAGTCAAGGTTAATGCTCCTTTTTCTTCATCCAACCTCTCCCAAATCAGTTAGTGTTTAGGCTCTTTTTCATCAAATATAAAAACCCAGCCCAGTTCATGGCTCGTTTGGCAGCAACCCTGAAATGCTTTACAGCCCTAGACCCTAAAGGATCAGAAGGCTGTCTTATTCTCAATATGCATTTTATTACCCAATCCACTCCTGACATTAAATAAAGCTCCAAAAATTAGATTCTGGCCCTCAAACCCCACAACAGGACTTAATTAACCTTGCCTTCAAGGTATACAATCAATAATAGAGAAGAGTTGCAATTACTTGCCTCTGCTGTGAGAGAAACTGCCTAAGCCACAGCGGTCAGCCATTCTTTCAGGACCTCCTCCATCAGGATCTTGCTTCAGGTGCCAGAAATCTGGCCACTGGGCCAAGGAATGCCTGCAGCCTGGGATTCCTCCTAAGCCGTGTCCCATCCGTGCGGGACCCCACTGGAAATCGGACTGTTCAACTCACCCAGCAGCCACTCCCAGAACCCCTGGAACTCTGGCCCAAGGCTCTCTGACTGACTCCTTCCAAGATCTTCTCGGCTTAGTGGCTGAAGACTGATGCTGCCTGATAGCCTCAGGAGCTTCCTGGACCACCACAGATGCTTTCGGTAACTCTTACAGTGGAGGGTAAGTCCATCCCCTTCTTAATCAATACGGAGGCTACCCACTCCACATTACCTTCTTTTCAAGGGCCTGTTTCCCTTGCCTCCATAACTATTGTAGGTATTGACAGCCAGGATTCTAAACCTCTTAAAATTCCCCAACTCTGATGCCAACTTGGACAACATTCTTTTATGCACTCCTTTTTAGTTATCCCCACCTGCCCAGCTCCCTTATTAGATTGAGACATTTTAACTAAATTATCTGCTTCCCTGACTATTCCTAGGCTACAGCCACACCTCATTGCTGCCCTTTTCCCCAGTTCAAAGCCTCCTTCGTGTCTTCCTCTCATATCCCCCCACCTTAACCCACAAGTATGGGACACCTCTACTCCCTCCTTGGCAACCGATCACATCCCCATTACTATCCCATTAAAACCTAATCACCCTTACCTCTCTCAATGCCAGTATCCCATCCCACAACAGGCTTTAAGGGGATTAAAGCCTGTTATCACTCGCCTGCTACAGCATGGGCTTCTAAAACCTATAAACTCTCCTTACAATTCCACCATTTTACCTGTTCAAAAACCGGACAAGTCTTACAGGTTAGTTCAGGATCTGCGTCTTATCAACCAAATTGTTTTGCCTATCCACCCTGTGGTGCCCAACCCGTACACTGTTTTGTCCTCAATACCTTCCTCCACAACTCACTATTCCATTCTTGATCTTAAGGATGCTTTTTTCACTATTCCCCTGCACCTCTCCTCCCAGCCTCTCTTTGCTTTTACCTGGGCTGACCCTGACACCCATCAGTCTCAGTGACTTACCTGGGCTGTATTGCCACAAGGCTTCATGGACAGCCCTCATTACTTCAGTCAAGCCCTTTCTCATAATTTACTTTCTTTCCATCCATCTGCTTCTCACCTTATTAAATATTTTGATGACCTTCTACTTTATAGCCCCTCCTACAAATCTTCCCAACAGGACACCCTCCTGTTCCTCCAACATCTATTCTCAAAAGGATATCTTGTATCCCCTTCCAAAACCCACATTTCTTCCTCATCCATTACCTATTTTGGCATAATTCTTCATAAAAACACATGTGCTCTCCCTGCTGATCATGCCTGGCTAATCTCCCAAACCCCAACCCCTTCTATAAAACAACAACTCCTTTCCTTCCTAGGCATAGTTAGGTACTTGCGCCTTTAAATACCTGGTTTTACCATCCTAACAAAACCGTTATATAAACTCACAAAAGAAAACCTAGCTGACCCCATAGATCCTAAATCCTTTCCCCACTCCTCTTTCCGTTCCTTGAAGACAGCTTTAGAGACTGCTCCCACACTAGCTCTCCCTGACTCATCCCAACCCTTTTCATTACACACAGCTGAAGTGCAGGGCTGTGCAGTTGGAATTCTTACACAAGGACTGGGACCGGGTCCTGTAGCCTTTTTGTCCAAATAACTTGACCTTACTGTTTTAGGCTGGCCATCATGTCTCTGTGCAGTGGCTGCCACCACCCTAATACTTTTAAAGGCCCTCAAAATCACAAACTATGCTCAACTCACTCTCTATAGTTCTCATAACTTCCAAAATCTATTTTCTTCCTCACACCTGACACATATACTTTCTGCTCCCTGGCTCCTTCAGCTATACTCACTCTTTGTTGAGTCTCCCACAATTACCATTGTTCCTGGCCTGGACTTCAATCCAGCCTCCCACATTATTCCTGATACCACACCTGACCCCCATGACTGTATCTCTCTAATACACCTGGCATTCACTCCATTTCCCCATATTTCCTTTTTTCCTGTCCTCACCCTGATCATACTTGGTTTATTGATGGCAGTTCCACCAGGCCTAATCACCACTCACCAGCAAAGGCAGTCTATGCTGTAGTATCTTCCACATCTGTCATTGAGACTACCACTCTGCCCCCCTCCATGATCTCTCAGCACGCCAAACTCATTGCCTTAACTCGGTCCCTCACTCTTACAAAAGGACTACGTGTCAATATTTATAGTAACTGTAAATATGCCTTCCATATCCTGCACCACGATGCTGTTACATGGGCTAAAAGAGGTTTCCTCACTATGCAAAGGTCCTCCATCATTAATGCCTCTTTAATAAAAACTCTTCTCAAGGCTGCTTTTCTTCCAAAAGAAACGAGTCATTCACTGCAAGGGCCATCAAAAGGCATCAGATCCCATCGCTCAGGGCAACGCTTATGCTGATAAGGTAGCTAAAGAAGCAGCTAGCCTTCCTACTTCTGTCCCTCATGGCCAGTTTTTCTCCTTTTCATCAGTTACTCCCACCTACTCTCCCACTGAAACTTCCACCTATCAATCTCTTCCCACACAAGACAAATGGTTCTTGGACCAAGGAAAATATCTCCTTCCAGCCTCACAGGCCCATTCTATTCTATTGTCTTTTCATAACCTCTTCATTGTAGGTTACAAGCCGCTAACCTGCCTCTTAAAACCTCTCTTTTCCTTTCCATCATAAAAATCTATCCTCAAAAAATCACTTCTCAGTGTTCCATCTGCTACTCTACTACTCCTCAGGGATTTCTCAGGCCCCCTCCCTTCCCTACACATCAAGCTCAAAAATTTGCCCCTGCCCAGGACTGGCAAATTAACTTTACTCACATGCCCTGAGTCAGGAAGCTAAAATACCTCTTGGTCTGGGTAAACACTTTCACTGGATGGGTAGAGGCCTTTCCCACAGGGTCTGAGAAGGCCACCATGGTCATTTCTTCCTTTCTGTCAGACATAATTCCTCGGTTTGGCCTTCCCGCCTCTATACAGTCTGATAACGGACCAGCCTTTACTAGTGAAATCACCCGAGCAGTTTCTCAGGCTCTTGGTATTAGTGGAACCTTCATACCCCTTACTGTCCTCAATCTTCAGGAAAGGTAGAATGGACTAATGATCTTTTAAAGACACACCTCGCCAAGCTCAGCCTCCAACTTAGAAAGGACTGGACTGTACTTTTACGTCTTGCCCTTCTCAGAATTAGAGCCTGTCCTCCAGATGCTACAGGGTACAGTCCATTTGAACTTTTATATGGACGCACTTTCTTGCTCGGCTCCAACCTTGTCCCAGACACTGGCCCTCTAGGTGACTATCTTCCAGTCCTCCAGCAGGCTAGACAGGAAATTCGCCAAGCTGCTAATCTTCTCTTGCCTACTCCAGATTCCCAGCCATATGAAGACACCCTAGCTGGATGATCAGTTCTTGTTAAGAATCTGACCCCTCAAACTCTACAACCTCGTTGGACCAGACCCTACTTAGTCATCTATAGTACCCCAACTGCCATCTGCCTGCAGGATCCTCCCCACTGGGTTCGCCACTCCAGAATAAAGCTGTGTCCATCGGACAGCCAGCCTAATCTCTCTTTCTCCTGGAAGTCGCAAGTCCTCTCCCCTACTTCGCTTACACTCACTCTCATTTCTGAAGAACAGTAATAACCCTCATGAGTGTAATATATCCCTTCATTCTATTAAGTCTATTCATCCTTACCCTACTTTTTGCAACAGGGCTTTATGCAGTCACCCCCACTACTTGGACTGAGCCCCAAAAACTTGTCATCCTTACTATCTTCTGTCTAGTCATACTCCTATTCACTGTTCTCAACTACTCATAAATGCCCTGCTCTTGTTTACACTGCCAGTTTACACTGTTTCTCCAAGCCATCACAGCTGGTATCTCCTGGTGCTATCCCCAAACCACCACACTTGACTCCCTCTTGGAGTGGATAGATGATCTTTGCTGGCAGGGCACCCTCCAATACTTTCACCCTGATGAGGTTCTATTCTTTACTTTTATACTCACTCTTATTCTCATTCCCATTCTCATGCCACCCTCTACCTCTCCCCAGCTATCTCCACCACACTATCAATCTCACTCACTCTCTCGTAGCCATTTCTATTTTTTTTTCTAATACTTTTTCTTTTTTTTTTTATGATACTTTAAGTTTTAGGGTACATGTGCACATTGTGCAGGTTAGTTACATATGTATACATGTGCCATGCTGGTGCACTGCACCCACTAACTCGTCATCTAGCATTAGGTATATCTCCCAATGCTATCCCTCCCCCCTCCCCCCACCCCACCACAGTCCCCAGAGTGTGATATTCCCCTTCCTGTGTCCATGTGATCTCATTGTTCAATTCCCACCTATGAGTGAGAATATGCGGTGTTTGGTTTTTTGTTCTTGTGATAGTTTACTGAGAATGATGATTTCCAATTTCATCCATGTCCCTACAAAGGACATGAACTCATCATTTTTTATGGCTGCATAGTATTCCATGGTGTATATGTGCCACATTTTCTTAATCCAGTCTATCATTGTTGGACATTTGGGTTGGTTCCAAGTCTTTGCTATTGTGAATAATGCCGCAATAAACATACGTGTGCATGTGTCTTTATAGCAGCATGATTTATAGTCATTTGGGTATATACCCAGTAATGGGATGGCTGGGTCAAATGGTATTTCTAGTTCTAGATCCCTGAGGAATCACCACACTGACTTCCACAATGGTTGAACTAGTTTACAGTCCCACCAACAGTGTAAAAGTGTTCCTATTTCTCCACATCCTCTCCAGCACCTGTTGTTTCCTGACTTTTTAATGATTGCCATTCTAACTGGTGTGAGATGGTATCTCATTGTGGTTTTGATTTGCATTTCTCTGATGGCCAGTGATGATGAGCATTTTTCCACATATCTACAACTATCTGATCTTTGACAAACCTGAGAAAAGCAAGCAATGGGGAAAGGATTCCCTATTTAATAAATGGTGCTGGGAAAACTGGCTAGCCATATGGAGAAAGCTGAAACTGGATCCCTTCCTTACACCTTATACAAAAATCAATTCAAGATGGATTAAAGACTTAAACGTTAGACCTAAAACCATAAAAACCCTAGAAGAAAACCTAGGCATTACCATTCAGGACATAGGCATGGGCAAGGACTTCATGTCTAAAACACCAAAAGCAGTGGCAACCAAAGACAAAATTGACAAATGGGATCTAATTAAACTAAAGAGCTTCTGCACAGCAAAAGAAACTACCATCAGAGTGAACAGGCAACCTACAACATGGGAGAAAATTTTCGCAACCTACTCATCTGACAAAGGGCTAATATCCAGAATCTACAATGAACTCCAACAAATTTACAAGAAAAAAACAAACAACCCCATCAAAAAGTGGGCGAAGGACATGAATAGACACTTCTCAAAAGAAGACATTTATGCAGCCAAAAAACACATGAAAAAATGCTCTCGTCGCCATTTCTAATCCTTCTTTAACAAACAATTGCTGGCTTTGCATTTCTCTTTCCTCTAAAATCACAGAGGCCCTGACTTACTAACTGCTTAAAAAAAAGGGGGGACTCTGTATATTTTTAAATGAAGAGTGTTGTTTTTACCTAAATCAATCTGGCCTGGTACATGACAATGTAAAAAAACAAAACAAAACAAAAAAAACACTCAAGGATAGAGTCTAAAAACTTGCCAACCAAGCAAGTAAGTAAGCTGAACCCCCTTGGGCACTCTTTAATTAGATGTCCTGGGTCCTCCAATACTTAGTCCTTTAATACCTGTTTTTCTCCTTCTCTTATTTGGACCTTGTGTCTTCTGTTTAGTTTCTCAATTCATCTAAAACTGTATCCAGGCCATCACCAATCAAGCTATATGACAAATGCTCCTTCCAACAACCCCACAATATCACCCCTTACCACAAAATCTTCCTTCAGCTTAATCTCTCCCACTCTAGGTTCCCATGCTTGGACCTTGTGTCTTCTGTTTAGTTTCACAATTCATCCAAAACTGTATCCAGGCCATCACCAATCACACTATATGACAAATGCTCCTTCCAACAACCCCACAATATCACCCCTTACCACAAAATCTTCCTTCAGCTTAATCTCTCCCACTCTGGGTTCCCATGCCACCCCTAATGCCACTGGAAGCAGCCCTGAGAAACATTGCCCATTATCTCTCCATACCAGCCCCCAAAAAGATTTTCACTGCCCCAACACTTCAATACTATTTTATGTTATTTTTCTTATTGATATAAGAAGACAGGAATGTCAGGCCTCTGAGCCCAAGCTAAGCCATGATATCCCTTGTGACCTGTACGAATACATCCAGATGGCCTGAAGCAAGTGAAGAATCACAAAAGAAGTGAAAATAGCCGGTTCCTGCCTTCACTGATGACATTCCACCATTGTGATTTGTTCCTGCCCCACCTTAACTGAGCAATTAACCTTGTGAAATTCCTTCTCCTGGCTCAGAAGCTCCCCCACTGACCACCTTGTGACCCCTGTCCCTGCCCACCAGAGAACAACCCCCTTTGACCGTAATTTTCCACTACCCACCCAAATCCTATAAAACGGCCCCATCCCTATCTCCCTTCACTGACTCTCTTTTTGGACTCAGCCCGCCTGCACCCAGGTGATTAAAAAGCTTTATTGCTGACACAAAGCCTGTTTGGTGGTCTCTTCACATGGACACGCATGACAATACCATGCTGGTTGTGGGCTCTGCAGATTTGAAGATGCATGTGTCTCCAGTCCTGGAAGAGAAAGGACTGGTCCTGATGCCAAGGAGTTGCAGCTGCAGCATGGGTGCTCTAGTGACATTTTCTCCACCATAGGTTTCTATGTTTAAAAAGGCCTCCCCGGCCGGGCGCAGTGGCTCACGCCTGTAATCCCAGCACTTTGGGAGGCCAAGGCGGGCAGATCACAAGGTCAGGAGATTGAGACCATCCTGGCTAACATGGTGAAAACTCGTCTCTACTGAAAATACAAAAAAAAATTAGCCAGATGTGGTGGCGGGCGCCTGTAGTCCCAGCTACTCGGGAGGCTGAGGCAGGAGAATGGCTTGAACCCGGGAGGCGGAGCTTGCAGTGAGCGGAGATTGCACCACTGCACTCCAACCTGGGCAACAGAGTGAGACTCCGTCTCAAAAAAAAAAAAAAAAAAAAAAGGCCTCCCCTGCCTGGCTCTTCAGGTGACGGAATCACACCCTTACTTAGGGGGTGGGGCACTCAGTGGAGAAATGGCCTCAGAAAACCCAGCCATCTGCACCATTAACAGCAATCTTTCACAGCAAAAGATCCTTCTGGGAAAGGCAACTCGCAGGCTCAGAAATTTACACCTAATTCTCTTGACTACATCTGACACATAGTAGGAATTCAAGAAGTATGGAATTAAATAAAATTAAATGCCTAAATTGTTAAAATACTGGATTAAAATGGTATCTGACTAGTTTTCTATAAAGGTTTCTGAAAAATCACATTAATTTTCAACTGAGATCTAAAGAGAAAAACGCCTGCCTAGGATGTAACTAGGATGTACAGTCAACCAGTCCCCAGAATTTGGATGAATTTCCACTAATTATATGAACAAATAAGTAGGATTGAAAAGCAAACAAAAAAAATAGATTACTTTACTTCTTCCTCTGGCTAAACAAGCACGGCTATCAGAAAGTATTGTGTTTATTGAGGGAAAAGTCAAATTCTGGGCAGTGTTCTAAAAATATCTCTACTGTACTAACCACTCATCTTTACCTGAAGAGTACAAAGAAGAAAAGGATGGCTTTTCCTAAATCCAGTAGGATATGAACAGGTTTTATTCCAGTCTATTCCACTTACTAGTAAGGTCAGTGAAATATTCAATAGGGTAAATATTGCAAGATTCAACTTTCTGACACAGGATTATAATTATTAACTACAATTTCCAATAACAAACAAGTAAAAAAAATGAACAACTCAAAGTTAAAAGTTCTGCAGGAATCACTGGAGTTCAAGCAGCAGAGTTTCCTGCAAACAAACACTCTTATGGAGACAAGACAGAACAATCGTCATTGATAGAAATACTAATAGAAATCTTGTACACTTCCACTTTGCTATTCTTTATATTCTTGTGTTGGTAAATACTTTCCAACTTTATTCATTGCAATAGGAAGAAGAATAAGCCCCCCTACCCCCCACCCAAAGAGGTTTCCCTTTTAATCCCCAGAATTTGTGGAAACTTTACCCTAGATGGCAAAAGAGACTTTGCAAATTCAATTAAGATTAGGAACCTTGAGACAGAGAAATGGTCCTTAATTATCTAGGTGGATCTAATGTAGTCACAGGTGGAGACTTTCCCAACTGTAATGAGAGAAGTGATGACTGAAGAAAGGTCAGAGAGATGTGATGTGAGTCAAACTTGTCATTGCTGGCTTTGAAGACAGAGGAAGAGGCCATGAGCCAAGGAATACACATTTCCTCTATAAGCTGGAAAAGGCAAGAAAAGAAATTCTCCCCTAGAGCCTCCAGAAAGAAATACAACTTTGCTGACTTCTTGATTTTAACCCAGTGATACAAAAGTTGTCAGACTTCTAACTTAAAAAACTAAAAATAATGAATTTGGATTATTTAAAACAGTGTGATAATTTGTTACAGCACAATATAAAAACTAATCACTCTTATCTATAAAAGCAAAGCAATGAATAGCTTGGAGCATTTCACTATCCATGTCTTATGTCAATAATTCTGAGTTTCTCCATATTTCAAGAACATTTTTACTAGAATGTGTGTTCTTTTTTGTTAAAAATTCATTTAGCTTTTCATTGAAATTACAGATGAATTTTTAAATGTGTATTTATCATTTTTAATTTGATAATAAAGAGCACTTTGGGCCATCTGTGCTTTGGAGTTTAGAAATGCAAGCTCTTTACCACTCAGAAAAATGTTCAGTTGTCTCTTTTCATCTTGGCTGCTACTTCTAGAAGCAGCCTTACTTCTGATCTCTACCATTGCCTACACACATCTGGAGGCAGCAGCACTCTAGAAATAGTCAGGGAGAAAGTGGAGCAAGACAGACAGGAAGAAGCACATAGCATCTTAGGGATTTCATTCTACAGTGTAGGTAGGAACAAGAGCAGAAAGAACCATGGTGGCACTAAATGCTGGAGATTATAATGGGTTTCAGCTGTTTCAATTTTGGAATGTAAGAAAGTCAGGCAGAATCAAGAAAAACTGAAACCTAAAAAACTGCACAAAATGTGAAAAAGAGATAGATACTACAAAAAAAAAAAAGAAAAAAATGAAGGCATCATGAAAAGTCAAAGAAAAGCATGTCTCTGAAAAAAAATTAGCATGATAAACAGAAGATAATTTAGAAATGTGTTGGGTATAGTTGCTAAAATCCAAGTTGATATGTCCTCTGAAAAGGAGGAGAAAGCCATTAGGGGAAAATAGGCTGAGATGACAAGGCAACCAAGGAGTGACAGAAGAAAAGACTGCAGATAAATTGAATACTCAGTAGTTGATTCAGAGGAACAGTAGAATACTCAATAGTTGATTCAGAAGCAATGAGAAGAAAAATTCAGCACAGAGTATTAAATCAGTGACAGTGGGGCCAATTGATATGTTCTATGTGCATAGAAAGAGAAGAAGAATGCTCATGCCTGTAATCCCAGCACTTTAGGAGGCCGAGGTGGGTGGATCACCTCAGGCCAGGAATTAAAGACCAGCCTGGACAACATGGTGAAATCCTATCTCTACTAAAAATTATAAGAATTAGCTGGGCGTGGTGGCGGGTGCCTGTAATCCCAGCTACTCAGGAGGCTGAGATGAGAGAATCACTCAAACCCGACAGTTAGAGGTTGCAGTGAGCCGAGACTGTGCTATTCCACTCCAGCCTGGGCAATAAGAGTGAAACTCCATCTAAAAAAACAAAAAAGAAAAGAAAGAGAAGAAGAAAATTTATAAAATGCTGGAGCAAGCAGCAGAGATGGGAGACACAGAAGGCTTATTCTAACTAAGAATTGTAAGTCATTTCCACAGAAGAAACCGAAAAAATTACAACGAAGATAAAAAGCACAGGCATAATCAAAAACATTTTACCAAGTTGAATAAATAAGTTTTTGCAGAGATTGAAAGGAGTTACCATCTAGCACTAATCTAACCTTCATGGTTCCGCTCATCAATACTCTGTGTACTTTGTTAACTCTTTTAACAATCAGTACATTTATTGTGATCTCCAAAATTTAAAAATGCATAGGATAAACTAAAACTTGATCCTGACTAAACTGGGTTTCACTGAGTAATTTTTGATATATTTTTCTGTGTTTTCCCAGTTTTCGACAACGGGTATATATTATTCATAATCATAAAAAATTACAAGATTAGTAAATTAAAATACACTGATATAGTGTTTAACCAAACAACTGGGCACTGCAACCTAGCCTAGCTGACAAGTAATCACTATCACAATGCTATCTCAGGGCACAACTCTGTCTTCCTCAGCTGTCACTCACACTCTCCACTCTTCATTCAGCTACACTAAAGACCTAGAATGTGGGGGAAGTGTATGCTACTTAGTCTACTCACAAGTGTGATTTAAACATAAAAGCTTTCATGGAGAAAAAGTAACCTGTCACTCAGGCCCTTTTGGAGCCATCCATCGTCACTGGGCTCCAGGATAACTCTTGTATCTTAATAAGAAGGATGCTACACTTCTCCTCTAGCCACCACAAATGACTTGCCATTTAATTTTTTATTAATTCACAAGTAATTAGTGTATATATTACATATTTATGGGGTACAAAGTGAGGTTTTGATATGTGTTTACATTGTAGAATGATTAAGTCAAGCTAGTTAGCAAATATATCACCTCACATCTTATCATTTTTTGTGATGAAACATTTAAAATTCATTCTTTCAGCAACTTTGAAATATACAATCCATTATTATTTATTCTAGTCACCATTCTGTGCAATAGAATACTAAAGCTTATTCCTCCGGTCTAACTGAAATTTTGTACCCTTTGATCAACATATCCCCTTTTTTCGTCCACTCCTTCCCTTAGCCTCTGGCAACCACCATTCTGCCCTCTACTTATGTGAGTTAAACTTTTTTAGATTCCACATATGAGTGGAATCATGCATTATTTGTCTTTCTGTGCCTGAGTTATTCCACTTAGCATAAAGTCCTGCAGGTTCATCCATGTTGTCACAAATGACAGAATTTCCCTTTTATTATGGCTGAATGGTATTGCATTGTGTATAGACCACATGTCTATATCCATCATGTAACACAGATGTCTCAGCAAAGTTTCGTCAAAGATGTTAGCTAGAAAGAAATCATGTAATGTATCTTATAAATGACGGGATCAACTTTCCCACATATGGAGGGCATTTTAGAAGTTCTAAGACTGCTTCCTGGCCATCATAAATGACCTGCCGTTTCTTTCTGACATTCACAGTAGTGAAGAACTGTCTCAATGAGATCAGCTCATCCTTGTTTTGTGTTGTTTTAAATGCTACCTAATACAATACTAATGTATTTACTAATTTTTTTTACCTCTTGAGTTTTGAATAAGGCATGGAAACTCTCTCTAATCAATTCCAAAACATTTTGTGATGAAACTCAAGACTCATTCATGTTCTAAAGTAGTCTTCTCACACTCTGCTATAAATCTGCTCTGTGAAAGTTGCTACTTGGAGAATGTTAGTAAAACCTTTGAGGAAGACTCCAGAAACCCTTAAGCTTCCTTCTCCAAGGGGATCATCTGTATCCTCAGTCAGCAAAACCTGCAACATTAATATCCAGGGAGACTGACTTCTGCAATTTTCAAACTCAGAAACAAGGGCCAGCTTTGAATCTTCTCTCCTTCATTGTTTGAATTTTTTTTCTACCTTAAGGCAGTTGGGACTCAGCCATAAATTTTGATTAGCAAGACATTAAAAGTTACTATCAATGCTTAAGGGAGATTTGTTCTTCCCTTTAAAATCTTATTTTCCTCTTTGGCTTAAAAATAGAATTGAACTTTGTAAACCTGGCCTCATTTTAGGATTCTGTTGAGACTCAAAAATTGTCAATGTCAGTAAGCTAGTTTGCACACCACGAAGATAGTACAAGTTACATTGGTTTTTATTTCAAAAATTTTTATTCTGATTTTGCAAGTTCTAGTGGGATTATGGAATATTCTAATTGGATATGGACACTTTGAGAATTAAAATGCAAATGAGGTTATTTCTTAAAGTATTCTTCATTAAATGTACAGTGCAATGTCTAAAGAAATAACCAAAATACATTCCAGGGAAAGTTTTGATAACACCACTATTAGCCTTAAAAATAATTTTTCTAAAGATAATTACTTGACCTGTCAGTTTCACAGAACATATGTAGTTGAAAGATTGGCAGATTGGCTTTGGACACCTGCATGAATATGTGTACTTAGGAAGGAGAGATGGAAACATGAAAGGTATATAAACCTGTTTTCCAGGCAGAAAAAAATCAAGTTAAAAATAAATTGGTTCTTATTAAATAATCACAGAAGCTCAGTGACATTTTTTTTTTCTGGCAAACAAAAGCAGTGGAATGTCCAAATGAAAAAAGTTGGAAGTCTTTAGAAATGTGCACATTAATTTCCTCTTGAGGCATACAATATTGTGGTCTGGAGGAAGTGAACATACTAGGGCATTCACATTTCTGTGTCCCTTCTGACATATTTAAGGAAAGGAATTTTATTCATTGGAGGAACACCTTGGGGAGTATTCTGGCTGTAAGGTTGCACCCACTGGCCTCAAGGAGCTGAAGGGTGCATACAACTGCAGACTCCGTGTGCATCTGTAAGTTGAAACAGGCCTTCCTCATTGTCCAGAACAGAGAAAACATGGCAGCAAAGTTCTAACCTATGCTATTTCTAAAGGAGTTTCTCAGCAACTGAAATTCCAAAGCTGATGAAACTAACAGCAATAATAATGTAAACTTTCATTTGTTTTCTTCATTATCTTTGGCTTTGCACATATCAACAGGAGCCAGATTCATTGTTGACATCATTATTATAACTGTTAAGTACCAGTTTTATTGTTTGGTGGGTATGTGTCTCAATGCACTAAAATTGAGTCCAACCAATACTTCAAGTGTTCACTCCTTAAAATTACTTCACATAAATAACCACGATAGTGCAGTGTCTGCTAACACACAAATATTCTTTTTGAAAAAGGGGATTTTTTTTCCCCTATTACTGTAATACCTTTTTTTTCTGATAGACTTGGGAATAATAATCTAACACAAGCAGACATTTATGTAACTTTTCCAATTAGCACATTTCCTGCAAAAATGCTCCCTCTTTTTACGAAGATTAAGTTTTGGTGCAGATTGTGTAATTTTCCCTTGAAGACAGAATAGCTAGGGCAAAGGTGCCATACAATAGGGAGAAAGTGGCATTCAATTCTCCTGAATTATGTTGTTATTTTTCATTTAAATTTATTTAAATGAATTGCTTGGCTCTCCTTCAAAACATGTATTTCTCCTGTTGACGTCTATGAGCAGTAAAGTCCCTCTCAGGGGCCAGAGAGTTGGAGATTTACAATGCCCTGCTGGAAGCCTAGTTTACTTTTCCACACCCCGTTTAGATTGTCAAATATTAGTCTTGGCAGGATGGCAGGAGCTGTCAGGAACAGCTGGACAACTTGATGGCTGTCCCAGGTACCTTGTCCAGTGATGGCAGAGGTGTAGAACTTGCCCTCATCACTAGGGGAGTGCAAATCAAATAAACTGACTTTCACAATTGTGCCAGACATGAGTGATGTGGCACATTCTGGCCAATATATGCCTGGTGACGATGGCCGAGGGGGCTCAGGGAGGGCAGCTCTGGAGAGTTCCGCAGACTCCTGTTACCAAGCGCATCAACTGCAAGAGTAATGTCCTTGGGGCTTTTTTTCCTGCCCAATTTATAATACGAAGTTGTCATATTAGATTTTTTTTTCCACAATAATTCTACCAACTTTCACATCTTGTTTTTGCTCAATAGAAACCAACTCTCACAGTGACCCAAGCCAAATAGAATCTGGAAGCCACTATCCAATGTCTTTCAAAGTCAAAAAGAACTTAGGATTTTAACTAAAATGTGTTTCTCTGCTTCTCTATATCAGCCCAGACAGAACTGATGCATTTGCAGAAATATGCAGCACTAATGTGCTAAAAACAAATCCAGATGTTTAAAAGATTTTTATAAAAACCAAGATGCAATGAAATGGAAACACACACACTGCTGAAGGAAATGTAAGTTGATGTAATTATTCTAGAAGATAATTTGGCCTTTTAAGCAAAGGCTTTAAACAGATTCCATACCCTTTGATCAGAAATATTATTTTTATTTTTTTATTTTAAAATTTTAGATTTTATATCAACCCTGCAACACCTGGTATTCCCATGTGGTCTCCCATACCAAGTCCTAACCAGGTCTGACCCTGCTTAGCTTCCAAGATCAAGCACGTTCAAAGTGGTATGGCAGTAGACCAAAAATTTTATTTTTAAGAAGGTATGAAAGCTGCAAATTATTTTTTTTCTTTACATACTGTAAGGTTGAATGTCTTAGGACTTTTATTCCCCCTCAGGACACGAAACTCTCTTAGGGATAAATAATGACATATCAGTGCATCTCCTTAAAAACTGAAGGCCTCCCTAAGTGCTAGTGAAAAAAATCTCAGAAAAATAAGGAGGCAAAAAATTTCCCTTTTTCCTACAGCTCGAAAAAAGCTAATATTGTTCTCTGACATATTCTGGTTCTATAAACTAAGAAAAATTGAAAACACATATGAAAAGTTGAGTCCTCATTCTCTTGCCCAATGTGAAGGCTTATGATAAAATGTAGAATGTTGTTCTGTTGCACATGTGACACTCGTCCTTGAGTGTCTCGTGAATCAGGGACACGAAGACCTCAAACATTTTTGTTGCATCCTGTGAAGCACGACCAATAATTCCAAAGCCTGAAACTCTCACATAAGTGTCCTGATTATAAACTGTAAATTGACACCTCTGTTTTCCAGAAGGGTCAAATACTTTTTGAGTTATCTCTGCGAAGCTACAAAAGACACTTAAAGGCATGTTCTTCCTTTCCCATGTGGCTGGAAGTAAAATTAACTCACAGCTCTGTTGGAGTCTACGATTAAACTGAAAGTTTCAGAGTTTTTTAAAAAAATTCATATTAATAGTATCTAAGGAAATAATTATAAAATTTTATTTAAAAATGTGTGCCCAGAATGCTTTTGAGTGTTATTGATAATACCCTTTGATCCAAAATTTTATTCTTAAGAAGGTATGATAGCTGCAAAGTTTTTTCTTTTTCTTTACTTATTGTAAGTTTGAAATTCTCAGGACGTTTTTTTCCCCTTAGGACATGAAAGTCTCTTGGGGATAAATAACAACCTGTCAGTGCACGTCCTTGAAAATCAAAGGCCTCCCTAAGTGCTAGTGAAATAAATCTCAGAAAAATAACAGGGCAAAATAGCTATGAAAATCAGCCACAACGTTGATGGCCACAGGAGAAAGGTTTGACCATTTGCCAGGTCAAACATATCATTACACGCATAGATCAGGTGATTGTGTCACACTTTCCAGTTTATTGAAAATGTGGTATATACCAAGGGGAAGATAAAACTCTAAACACAGTCAAAGCTGAAGGTTTAACAATCTATATATGTACTGTGGTTGGCATTAAGTGGAAAAATTATGAGTGATTTGAGGGTTTTTAAAATATTCATCTAAAGTTTTCACTTTGTCTACAGTGAATATGATTTTTATAATTTAAAGGTTATTAAAATATAATGAGAAAACTCAACAAAATAGTCATAAGTGTCCCAATACTTAAGCATGCTGTACAAAAACCCTATCTGATTTTTGCTCCATCTCCATATTTCAGAAAAGTCAAAGTCTAGATGGGAGGTTGATTTAATTGCACGGATACTGTCCTTCAAACACTGACTGACTGTCCTTCTCTATCATGCTCTGCCTCTCTCTGAAGGGAGGGAACTACTGGTAAGAATCTGGATTTTTCTCTGATAGTTTTTTTCTTCTTGTCAATATCTAAGAAATCTGTACTGAACAAAAACAAATGTTATTCTTCAAAGTGTTACTCACTTATTTTATTGTCAAAATAATCCAAAAATGTATATAACTACTGAAGACTGGAAAAGTATATAGAATTTATGGACCAAACTGTGGACCTCATGAAATCTAAAAATCCGTGGTAATGTCCTAATTTTTGAGAGATTTGAGCAAATCACGGAAACCATACCTAATTTCTGGAGCAATTTATTAGCCCTACCTAGAACCCTATGTAGTAGGTTAAATCAGAAACAGCTTCTTTTTGAAGAGATGAAGCTGTACACATATGGCACCATAGCACTGATCCAAGAATCTATCTACTTGCTTTTATTAACTTGATATCCTTTCTCATATTTTTCATTTGGAGGCAGTTGCCTTTTCCCAAGAGTAGCAAGAATCAAGCAAGACAAGCAATAGAAAAGGTGCATGTTGGCTGGATGTGATGGCTCACGCCTGTAATCCCAGCACTTTGGGGAGGCCGAGCGGGGTGGATCACTTGAGGTCAGGAGTTTGAGACTAGCCTGGCCAACATGGTGAAACCCCGTCTCTACTAAAAACACAAAAATCAGCCAGGCGTGATGGCATTTGCCTGTAATCTCAGCTATTCAGGAGGCTGAGGCAGGAGATTTGCTTCAACCCAGGAGGTGAACGTTGCAGTGAGCCAAGATCATGCCACTGGACTCCAGCCTGGGTGACAGAGCGAGTCTCTGTCCAAAAAAAAAAAGAAAGAAAGAACGAAGGAAGGAAAGAAGGAAGGAAGGAAGGAAGGAAACACAGAGCAGGGTTCATGACTGTTCCTGGATTTAGGATTAGGAGATATTGGACCTCAGCAAGGAGGCTTTCCCTTAAATATTAAAAAACATTTGCAAACTGATAGTGTTGGCATGAGTAAAACTCACATGCTCATTTGCAAATTACTGTAAAATGCTCACAATAGAATGGAGATTTGTAGCCACTCAGCAATCCTTGTCATGTGGTGAAAGAAAGTGGAAACAGAAATATTACATCAATATTCTCACAAGTGTATAAATATGAACAAGTTTACTATGAATAGAGTTTACTATGCTAGGAGACCAATTCTTTTAAAGCATAAGGTTTGTGGAGACAAACTTGGCTATGAAAGAATGTATGATTTTAGCTCAGGAACAAAGAGACGGAAGTGCCTATTGAATTTTTTCTTGATTTTCACAATTTATGGATCCACATCCTTTCATATCCCCGATCTGCTAAGGATGAATGGTGAGAACCGAATGGCCTTCCAAATTTGTTCTTCAGATAGTCACATCTATCTAGATACTATAGCGAGTCCATCACTAAATCAGTTGCCTCTTGCCAAAGTCTGTAAGGACTTGTTGGTGCCTATAGGGGCCCCCAGAAACAAGCATGGACCCAGGAAGGAGGCTTTTAGAAGTGCACAAGGGAAAGAGCAATTGCAGGGTCTATAGAATTACAGAGAGGAACACGCAGAGCAAGAGAAACTGCTGGTGGAGCTTCACGTAAAGCCTGAATTCAGTGACTGCATCTGTGACCTGTTCTCTGTAAGTATAGTTACAATACAACTCTGACCCACAGAATGAAGGAAACATACAGAGAAAATTGTTAGAAACACAAACACACAACCAGGCAAGGGAGAGAAGAGGGAGGCCTGAGCAGATGACTCAGAGCTGCATGTGAAGGGGTCATGAGTGCTCATAACAGATGCGATCAGAGGTCATATGGTAGGCCAAACAAGTCTCCCAAAAGATATAAACATCCTTATCCCAGAACCCTGTGAATGTCACCTCATAGAGTGATAAGGGATTCTGCAGACGTAATTAAGTTACGTATCTTCAGACGGGGAGACTATACTGAATTATCCAAGGGACTTTCAATGCAATCCTATATATCCTTATAAGAGGGAGGCAGAGGGAAAATTTATACCCATGTAGAAGAGGAAGAAGCCATGTGACCACAGAAGAGAGACTGGAGTGGCATGACCATAAGCGAAGGAATGCTGGCAGCCACCGGAAGCTGATGGAGGCCAGCAGGGGATCCTTCCCCAGAGATTCCAGAGCAAGCGCAGCCTGGCCAACACCTTGGTTTTGAACTACTGATACCAATTTCAGACTTCTTGCCTCTAGAACTGTAAGAGAAGAAATCTCTGTTATTTTAAGCCACCAAGTTTGTGGTGCTTTGTGACAGCAGCCACAGGAAACAAAGTCATCTTTGCAGCTGCCTTTCTGAATATTTTGAGTTAGTTATAATTGCCTGCTTAAGTGTGAGTTCAATAATCTGCGAATTATGTTGTCAATATTATAAAGACACACATGTTTACAATTTTTTAAATAAGATCTCGGTGGGATATCTGGACCAGGTGAGAAGCAGCAACATCATCCAGAACTCCAGCCCTGAGCTAGGACCCTATAGCAGCAGAGTTCCCTATCCTCGGAAGTAAAACACACAAGGAAATAGTGATGCAGCAGATCTTTCGTAAACCCTAGTGTGGGATCTCACTATCACATGCAAGTGGAAGCCATTGAGGGCCGCACGGGTGGAGTGAAATGATTCTGGCTGTTGACTGCAGAAAGGCTAGGAAGGGAACAGAGCAAGAGCAATAGCGCAGGTCGCTCCTTGCTGCAGAAAAGCGTTAACAAAACGCAGGCACTCCACAGGCTATTTTTCATACAGTATCCTACACAGTAGTAAGGAGTAGTAAGGGAGGAGACCACCCCTCATACTGTCTTATGCCCAATTTCTGCCTCCAAAGAAAGAAAAAGCAAAAACTAAAAGGCAGAAATGAAATCCACAAGCAGACAGCCCGGCGCCATACCCTGGGCCTGGTAGTTAAAGATCGACCCCTGACCTACTCGGTTATGTTATCTATCGATGACAGACATTGTATAGAAGAGCACTGTGAAAATCCCTATCCTGTTTTGTTCCGATCTAATTACCGGTGCATGCAGCCCCCAGTCACATAACCCCTGCTGGCTCATTCGATCACGACCCTCTCACACGCACCCCCTTAGAGTTGTGAGCCCTTACAAGGGACAGGAATTGCTCACTGGGGAGCTCGGCTCTTGAGACAGGAGTCTCGCCGATGCCCCCGGCCAAATAAACTCCTTCCTTCTTTAACTCGGTGTCTGAGGAGTTTTGTCTGCAGCTTGTCCTGCTATAATACTACTGTTATCCCTATTTTGTACACAGGGAAACTGAGTCTCAAAGAGGCTAAGAAATGAAACCAAGATCACACAGTAGCCTTATACTACAGTAGAAATCTAAGCCAAGCTTGGTCTGACTCCAAAACCAGTGCTTTTCTCTTTGTTTTAGTAGCTCAGCCTTCCATAATCCACCCGCCTCCCAGCATTGGCATCAGTTACAATTGCTTGTTTAGTGCACGAGTTATAACAGCAAAATAGGATTGCTACAATAAAATACAGCAAAGAGCAGCACAGACACTTCATAGATACTCATTTTCTGAAATTATAATTACAGTTGTCCCTCGGCAACCAATGGGGCTTCATTAAAGGACCCCTGCATATACCAAAAACTGTAGACTCAAGTCCTGCCATCGGCCCCACAGAATCCGACATAAGAAGCTCAGTTCTCTGTATATATGGGTTTCACATCCCAGGAACACTGTATTTTCAATCTGCATTTGGTTAAAAAATCCACATAAGTGAATCCACATAGTTCAAACCTGTGTTGTTCAAGGGTCAACTGTAGTTCAAAGCAAAGCAAAGAGAGCAAATACCTACGATCCCAGCGTGCCTACAGCTCAGTTTGCTGCCCTCAGTGGGCTCTACCTGCATGAACTTGGCCATGGAGGTGTCCCACCTCATCACAGTACTGGCACGTTCTCTGTTCAGGTTTTTCTCAGAAGCTAGTCCGCAGTGGCACTCAGTGTAGTAGCATGCCTCTGTTGTTTGGGACACTTTATTTTTGAATGCTTTATTTTCTTTAACCCCCGTTTAAAAATCTTTGATCTGAAAACACTGCTTTGGAACTCTTCAGAAGTGGCCTCTCCCGTGGCCCGGCTCAGCATGCAGCCGTCTCAGCAGCTTCCCCTCTTCTCCATCATGGAATAGCCTCACACCTGAAGCTCGCCACGCCCCGGGCTTTTGCTTGCCACCTGGAACTTTGCTTAAATGCCCGGGCCTTTGAAACTTTCTACTCATCCCAAATCTTTTTAACCAAACAGAATGCACCCCTTTCCTAACCCTCCTCTTATAAGGAATTATCTTGGCACAACTCAGGCCAATACCTAAGAGTCCTGGGACCACTCCCTTCTCTCTCATCACCCCTCAGTCAATTCTCTCCCAACTGCTCACTCTCCCTCTCTAAGCCATTGTCTCTCTGCTGCCCTGAGGATTCACCAGGGTCAAGACAGACTTATCTTCTGCATCGTTCCTCTATATGAGCAACTAAGACCTTGCTTGGGGGTCTTTGCTGGTCCCTAACTTCCTGTAGCCTCGACCTCACCTTTCATTTAGTTCATCTTCCACATTGATGCCAATGTGATTTTATCAAAACAAAACCTATATAAATTCCTTCAATGAGATTTCATTGTTTCCATAGAATGAGTGCATCCATGAAGCTACTGATGAGGACCTCTCCTGACCCGTCCCCAATTACTGTTCCCATCCTTGACAGTGACAGGTTGCCCCGTGACACAAAACTATCTACAGTCTCCTGGATGAGGTGTGCCCTCTCCTGCCCTCCTGTCTTAGCTCAGGACATTCCTACTTCCTTGGACCAAAGGACTCTTCCCCAGCTACTCTGCCCAATGAATCCCAATTTCCCCCAAGGCTACACTACAGCAGCCTCTTGAGGAAGCCCCTTCCCACCTCCCCATACTGGGGGAGCTTCAATGCACTGGCCATGACCTTCATTGCAGCATCCAAATCCTGAGCTCTGATGGGTGGTTTCTTTCTCTTTCCACCACTAATACCCGCTTAAGGACTTTTCTGTCCCAATATATCCTCATTCCTGGCCCATAATGGGCATTCTGAAAAGTTCTGTGGAATAAACAAGTGTATAGATGGTTCATATAATTATAGCATCACAAGGAAACCTAATCAGTCTATGTCCTACTTATATTTAGGGAATATGAAGGAATACACCAATTTAAAAAGGATATCAAGGTAAAGAATATAATGTGAGAAGGATGGAGGCAAGAAGAGGGAAGTGTATTGCCCCCCAAATTGGATTTATTAAAAAGGGATTCTTAGGAAGTAAAGCGAGCTTAATTATGAAGGTAGTTTCTGTGTCTAATTAGCAATAGAAACAGCATCCTAAATTACTTTGTGTTAAATTAAGTAGACTGGTACTCTGCAAGCAGCAGGTGGTCTAAGAGATGAGCAATTACAGCTCTTAAGTAGCAGAGGTGATATATCCTTGGCTCCTGTATTCTCAATTAAAATCTTCCAGCTTTTCCTCTAATTAAAAAAGGCCCAATCCTCCTCTTTATTGTGCCAGATATGCATTGATTAAAATGAATAAAATATGTGTTATTTCTTGACTTCACCGGAGAATTGGTGTAGAGATGCCTGCATCACCGGCAACAAGTGTGCCCCAGCCCACTTTAGGAATAGAAAATGGTTCACAATGGCTCAGGAAGCATGATTATGCATTCAAACTTCTTTATACTACACTTTTTAGACTCAACGTTGACTCCATGTTTAATGAGGGACAGTTTTAAAAATCCAAGAGTTTGGTTCCCTTGTTTCAACTCTGGCTTCTTAATTGAGTTCTGATTTGCAATGTCTCACTCATCCCACTAATTGGGAGCAAAGACTTTCCCCATTACCTTCTTCCATTCCTTTCTAAGAACCAGCAGTTTATTCTCATAATCTTTAAAGAAGTTTGGCCTGGGACAAGCACAGGATATAGATTTACTCCCCAAGTTTTGCCTTAACACATAAGCAGCCTCTTCTCCCCCCACCCCCGCCACGGTAGGTCTTGAGTGAATTTACAGGCAGTCAGAATTGTTCTTCCTCCTCAGTTAGAATTAGAAGGAAGGAAAGCACTGGGCAGAAAACCAGACCTGACAACCCGCCTATGACTCTGTTTCAGTGGAGTCGCTAGACGATCAATATTCTCCTCTTGGTTTTTATTTCCCGATAATCTTTTTTTTTTTTTGCCTGGAAATGTAATGGTTACCCTCATCAATCCAATATTACTACCACAACGACTAACTCAATTTTTGAAATGGCTCCTTCATTGAAGAGCAGAATCTCTTATTTAAAGATCAATATTGGCAAGCCAATAAATAACTAACACAATTTCTGAAATGGCCTGCCTAAGCAAAACCATTTACATTTCTGGGCCATTTTTCTTCATATAATGTAAACAACACTTACAGCAACATGGGACACCTCTTCTGAGGCAGCTGACTCACCGAATGTGTAAGAAATGACCGCAAAACAAATATGGAAGACTCCTCTGCCTGCTTTCTACAAAGAAGGGAAATCAAACCCATTAAGATGAGAACCTGATGTGTATTCTTTGGAGCAGTTTTGATCAACAAATTGTTTAGACGTGTGCTTCATGTGTAAAATGGTGTTAGTGCCTGAGGTTTATTTAAATAACTTATTCCACATAAAACACTCATAGCCATTCTTGGCACATGATAAGTACTGTGTGACAGGTAGTAGATTACGGAAGGGTGCAAAATTTCTGCTGGAAGAAGAGACTTATTAGCAACCTGATATACCCCAAAACATGGGGATCCAATAAGATCAGGTACAAGCCAAATTGAAAAAGAGGGACTTTTCTAAATACCATAGAAACCCAAATATCATAATGCATCTATTCTTCTTTCCTGATTTCACACCCTCCTATTATCATGTAGCAGTAAGTGTGGTGGCAAAACTTTCTGATGCTTCCTCCTTGCCAGAGAACATTTCAGATTCACACTACCACCTGCAGGATTGAACATACCAGTAGGGTTGGCTTTCATCTGGGCAATTGTGGAAGAATTATTGGTATTTTAAGGTAATTAACTTTAAAATAATGGAAAGTAGAAAGGGTTGATAAGGAAGTCATCTTATCCAAGTCTTTCCAGTCGAAATTGTTTTACTGTCTGCCATGAAGAGCCTGTCAGGAAAAGGAGACAGCCAGAAATTTCAAAAATATCCTAACTAAATTTTTTATTCTCCTTACATTTTAATGTCAGTGTTTCTTATGAGAATGGATGTTTTACTAAACACAAGTGCTTTTTTTCTTATTTTGCTACATTAGGTAATTATTTTTAATGTATTGCAAAAACCCTGAAATACTCAGAGATTTGAACCAATAGCTTTTCTTTTGTCATAACTTTTCACTCAAAACAGCTATTCTCATTCAGGTAGACATAAAAATGGGACCACTATGGTACTGGATTTCACCTTCATAAGCTTTAGCACCAATTTTCCTAGCTCTAGCCCACTATGAGAAAAAACATCTCTCAGAATTTTGGAGGTGTACTTTCATTAATACCCTTCATAGAAATTGAGATATTTCATCTCTCATGAAGATGGACTAGATCAGTCTAAACTATAAAATAGTCCTGGTGAGCTTGGAAAGGAAGTAATGAGAGTAAACCAGTCACTTTATAATGGGCTCAGTGTAATCACATGGTCCTTATAAACGGAGAAGCTTTCCCAGTCCTGACCAGGGATAGGTATGATGTCATTGATGGCTTTGAGAGTGGAGGCAGGCACCACACACCAAGAGATGCAGGCAGCTTTGAGAAGCCAGAAAGAAGGAAATGGATTCACCCTGAGAGCCTCCATAAAGGAATGCAGCCAGGCTGGAGCCTTGATTTGAGCCCAGGAGGCCTGTGTTGGATTTCTGATCTCCAGAACTGTAAAATAACAAATTATGCTATTTGTAGTAATTTGTAACGGCAGCAAGAGGAAACGAATGTATCAGTCAAAAAGCAGATGAGCTCAGCAAGAATGAACACAAAAAGCAGCAGCAGCCCTGGCTGCTTTTCCCACAGCAATGAGCTGAGCTGGCAGATAAGCAGCAACATCTGTGTGTGTGTGTGTGTGTGTGTGTGTGTGTGTGTGTGTGTGTGTGCGCGCGCGCGCGCGCGCACGTGTATACACATGGATGTATTCATGCACATGTGTGTGCTACAGAACATGTCTGTGTTACACAAGGGACTGCCCTTTCTCAACATAAATAACAAAATGACTTCTGCTTCACTCCCAACCTCCAAATCTCAAACAACAAGGCCTCTTGTGGCCCATAATAACTGGGAATGTACTGGGAAGAGAACTCTGGGAAATATTTTTTAGTCAAGCCACAGCAACACCTTCAAATCCACCATAGTCCACCCCTTGCCAAATTACCACTCATACAAATCTCTCTAAACCATAACTAATTTTCAAATAAAGAAAATAACAGCATCATGCTTTAGACTAACGTGATAAAACTATCTCATATACAACCCAAAACACACTAACATTTTCCCCAGAAGACCAGGTGCTTATCCCATGCGTGTGGATTTGCTGAGGATGCCGTAGAAGCAGCAGAAGGAGGATGACAACCCTAGCTGGTATCATGGGCGGATCAGCTCAGTATGAGCGGATGGGCTCAGTATGAAGGTGTAAGCCAAGAGTAGGTGGCAGCTTGCTGCAGCCTCTCTCAAGTGTGGCCTTGAAAGACAGTGGAAAGGAAAACCTTTCTAATGGGCAGGGCTTTGAGCAATACACCTAGCCATCCACTGTGTGTAGAGTAAAAAGTGACCAGAGGGTATAGACCTATGGGCAGTTATGAATGGCCTGACCAACTAATTAGAAACACAGAACGTAGAAGATTGGATGATGGGCACAAGGAAGTCTGGGTAGAGGCATGTGGAAGGACATACAAGTGGGTAGACACAAAGTATGATCATCTTCATATCCCATGAGAGCATCCATCATAGTAGAGGCACTAAGCAGCCACATAGGCAAAATGACTCAGCTGACATTAACCATTCTTTGTAACTGGACAAAATCATAATAGATTCCTTCAGACTCTGACCCTCTTGAGGATAAGGACTGTGTCATAGTGATTGATCTTTGCATGTTGGGTGCTTTAAATAAGCTCTGGCACATGTAGGCACTCACCAATGTTCATGGAAAGAATGAATGGCTTCTACTTCATCCGCCTTCTTTGGTTTGTTTGTCTTTGTTTTCCATTTTCTTCTGCCCTCTGCTTGGAAACAAGAGAAAAAAACTAATGCATTGAAAATAACTGTGCAGAGTATAAATCATTTTCACAACCAAGGACAAGGGGGATTTGTCTCCCAGAAAGCATAACAAGACAAGCTTGGTTGTGCTTTTTATAACCTCCATGCGTAGACCTTGAGTTCAGAGGAATAAGTACCTGGCATGCTTGGTGACAATAAGATAACTAAATGCCAAATTTTTCCACACACCATAAACCATGCTCAGGGACTCCAAGATACTGAAAGTGTGGAATAATAAACTCATATTTATGTTTTAGTTAGAAGAAAACCTTAGTCTTTTTTTTTTCTTTAGATAATAATTACATCAACCAAGTTTGACAGCCTAAGGCTGTTTTTCTCTTTCCCAGACAAGGTCTTTCTTACAGTAAGATATAAATAATGGCACAACATTTTTAGACTCAGTAAGCCCACACATACTGTAAATTTATAGTTGTCTTCCATCTGTGAGGACAATAAGAGCATCTTGATAAAGAAGAAAAAATCTTGAATTTTTTCAACTCTATAAACCTACTCCTTTATTAAAAATAAAAAGGTAAATCCTTTCAGCCCAAAAGTTGTTAATTTTACCTTGAAAAATTGTATAAAAATACATTTGAAATTTAGTTTGCATTTTAATTCAAGAGACAAAAAAACAATTTAGTGATAATATATGGTAGTAGCATAAATAATAAAATTAGCTGTTCCTACATATTTTTGTGGTTTGGAAAACAGGAATCTTCAGGTATCAGGAGTCTGGATGATGTGCAGATTTTGAGCCGCTCTCAATTGGCACTTGCAATGAATGCCTTGTGTTGTGTGTTGAGTTTTCTGTCTACAGCTGGCCAAATCCAGCCCAGACTCAACTATGAATTCCCCACAGTACTCAGCCCACTGCCCTAAGCAGGCAACAATACTTATTCCATGAACAAATGGATTCTAAGGGCCATTTGCAACATTCCAATTTCTATGCAAGTCGAGGGAACTGAATCTACAGCCTTCTCAAGTTTTTCAGAAACCAATTTTAATTTAGAAAATCATTCTCCTATAAAGACGCATGCACACGTATGTTTACTGCAGCACTGTTTACAATAGCAAGGACTTGGAACCAACCCAAATACCCATCAATTATAGACTAGATAAAGAAAATGTGGCACATATATACCATGGAATACTATGCAGCCATAAAAAAATAATAAGTTCATGTTCTTTGCAGGGACATGGATGAAGCTGGAAGCCATCATTCTCAGCAAACTAACACAGGAACAGAGAACCAAACACCACATGTTCTCACTCATGTGTGGGAGGTGAACAATGAGAACACATGGACACAGGGAGGGGAACATCACACACAGGGGCCTGTCAGGGATGGGGGACAATAGGAGGGAGAGCATTAGGACAAATACCTAATACATACAGGGCTTAAAACCTAGATGATGGGTTGATAGGTGCAGCAAACTACCGTGGCACATGTATACCTATGTAATAAACCTGCATGTTCAGCACATGTATCCCAGAACTTAAATAGATAATAAAATAAAATAAAAAGGAAATCAAAGCTATTGAGAACAGATGACAAGTTCATCAGCCACATTTTTATCTACATAGAGTATTGCAATGATGTTCCACATCACATAGACACATGATTTGCTAAGGGTTGCTTTTTGAGCTAGGGTATCATTATTCTAAAAACTGCTGCAAGATGGGAAGACAGAGGCTAAGCCAGTGAAATGGCCCCGACTCCCATAGTCACAAGGCTGGTAAATAGCAGAGTGGAAATTCAAGCTAACTCCTGCCTAATTCTTGGAACTACACTCTCACGTGCTCCGGAGACACAATTCCAACACTAAGCTGTCTGATTTCTAAGAACAGAATGGGAGAGGAGCAAACTCCACCATGGCCTCTGGAGGTGGCCAGTGGTGTGGCAGCTACAGTCTTCATCATTGAACACTTCTTCCTGGAGGCCAAACTCAGGACTTCCTGCTGTCCTATTTACTTAGAAATGCTTATTTTCTTATTATTAGTAAAGTTAGACATCTCATGATATGTTGATTGGACGTTTCTTATGTTTAACATCTGTCATCTTTATCTTTCTTGTTTATAACCATGATCCATTTTCCTGTGAGGTCTTTGTTCTCCTCCTCCTTGTTGGATCTTCATGGTGTTCAGGTTAATTCCATCTGTTACACATCATAAACACACTCTCCTGGTCTGATACTTGCGGTTAATTCTGCCTATGCTGTATTTTACTCCAACTCTTTCTTTCTGCATGCAGTGAAATGGATCATTTGTAGTATATTATTTCTTTTGGATTTTATTTTTCAGAGAAAAACATGAGGTCTTAAATTCTTTTATTGAACAAAGATGAAAAATTTAATGCCTCAGTTGCCTTTCATTAAGCAAAAATGCAAATTATTGAATAAGTTATTTATCGCAGTCTATCTCTCCCTTTAGATATAGTAATGTTTTCTTTATATAATTGGGAGCTCCAGTGTTGGGTGCCTAAATATTTATAATTGTTATATCCTCTTGCTGAATTGATCCCTTATCATTATATAGTGACCTGCTTTGTCTCCTTTTACAGTCTTAGGTTGGTAGTCTCTTTGATCTGATATAAATATAACTATGCCTGCTGCTCTTTTTTTGGTTTCCAGTTGCAGGGAATATCTTTTTTTACCCATTCACTTTCAGTCTATGTGTGTCTTTGTAGATGAAGTGGGTTTCTTTTAGGCAGCAAATAGTTGAGTCTTGTTTCTTCATCCATTCAGCCACTCTATGCCTTATAATTAGATAATTGAATCTATTTGTATTCAGTATTATTATTGATAAATAAGGACTTAATACTGTCATTTTGTCACTAGCTTTCTCATTTTTTTTGTAACTCCTCTCTTCCTTTCGTTCTGTCTTCTTTTGTGGTTAAGTGGTTTTCTCCGGCACAAGGTTTAATTTTTTGCTTTTTATTTTTAGTGAATCTATTATAGGTTTTTGTGTTGTGGTTACCAAGAGGCTTACAAAAAATCTTATAAATATAACAAGTTATTTTAAAGAGAAGACAACTTATCTTAAATTACAAAGAATAGAAACAAAGGAAAATGGAAAAAGTTCTATGCTTTAACTCCACCCCCCATATTTTGACTTTTAATTGTCTCAATTTACATGTTTTTATATAATCTATCTCTTCCCAGATTGCTGCAGCTATTATTGTTTTTGATAAGTTTGTCTTTTGGATTTAATGCTAGACTTATGAGTAGATTGTACACCACAATTACAGCAATATAGTATTCTGGGTTTGTCCATGCACTTAATTTTACCAGTGGGATTTGTGAAAGGAAAATAAATCTTGGGGCCCCAAAATCACTAGGCTAAAGGAAAAAGTCAAGCTGGAAACTGCTTAAAAAAGACCCACCTCCCATTCTATTCAGTCATCCCTCTGCTCACTGAGATAAATGCATATCTGATTGTCTCCTTTGGAAAAGTTAATCAGAAACTCAAAAGAATGCAACTGTTTGTCTCTCACCTGTAATCTGGAAGCCCCCTTTCTGGAGTTATACTGCCTTTCTGGACAGAACCAAAGTACATCTTACATATATTGATTGATGTCTCATGTCTCCCTAAAACATATAAAACTAAGCTGTGCCCCAACCACCTTGGGCACATGTTGCCAGGACCTCATGAGGCTGTGTTACAGGTGTGCATCCTTGGCAAAATAAACTTTCTAAGTTAACTGAGACCAGTCTCAGATATTTGGGGTTCACATTTTGATAACCACAGAGGGATTCTGAATGGAGTTGCCCCTGACCTTTGACAAATCTCCTATAGCTTGGCACCAGCTTGAGGTATCTTTATGGCTCAAACCAACAGGAAAATTTGTTGTGGCCTGGAAGCACCCCCTCCAAAGATTCCCTGATCTCCTAAAATCTGGTTGAGATCTAAAGTTCACTTTGCTGTACAACTCCGTTTTCTTGGAGTTTACTCACTTCCAACACAAAGAAGGCAAGTTTTCCTGCTTCTGTGATGATAGAAGGCAGGTAACTCCTTTCTGGAGTTTGAGCTTGCTTCCAATAGGGAAGAAGAGTTTGGGTTTTTTCCTGCTTCTAGGATGTAGCAAGCAATCTTCAGCCTGAGGCCCAACCCTAGGTAAGTAACTGAATTAGGGTTTGTCTTGGCTAAAGTTAAGATTAACAACCAGCTGGTCTTAATTTCTCCTTACCATTAGAGTGCTCAGTAATCACCTATGTTGTGTGATCGTTTGTTTGTTTTGCTTAACTGTTTTTTGGTTGTTGTTTGTTTGTTTTTGTTGTTGCTTCAGTCTTTTTCCATTGGGTTTGACCAACTCTATCCAACTTGATCAAATCCGAAGGAAGGTTCCAAATTATGGGGAACAAGGCCTCTGAAGTGGCTAAATTTCTACATACCTACATACAAAAAAGGTGGTGTGGTGGGGGAAGAAGCAAGGCTAGCAAAAGAAAAAAAACAAACAAGGAAAGATTTTTTATTTTTACTACTACAGGATTTTATTTACATAACAAGGCAACCTTTTTGCGAGCCAGGACAAACTGAAAGAGCAATGGCTGTCACCCCATGCTGCAGTTCCATAGCTAACGTTCTGCCTTCTTTTTTCACCACGACAGCCGGGGTTTGGTTCCTAAATCAAGCCCTTTCTGGTTTGATACTTGCTACTTCTAAAATAGCAGCAATTTGTCCCAGCTGAAATATGGTAATGAAATTTAAAACGATTCTTTTAAGGAGCTCTATGGTTAAAAGTCAGCTTCATTAAAAGCTAACATCCAAGATGTGTGTGTGTGTGTGTGTGCGTGTGCGTGTGTGTGTGTGTATGTGTGTATGTGTGCATGTGTGTGTATTTTAAAGGCTTTCATGTTTTCGTTTTTGTTTTTTTCTCTCCTAAGACCTTGTCCTTTTTTTTTTTGAGCAAAAGTTTTTTTCTTCTCAGTTGACTGAATTGTTTTCTTCATTTACTTCTGCTGTCTCTCCTTTCTCTTGCACCCTTCTGCTGCATGAGAAACCTAAAATAATTTGTAACAGCCTGGGGTTCCTCCCTGGGGTTCCTTAATAGCCCGGGGTTCTGGAGAAGATTCCAGTCTCCCTTTTGGGGAGAAACCTCTGGGTTTTTTTAATGGAACCCCAAGAGTGTAAACAGACAAGATCCTCTCAACTCTTAAACTGATTGCTTTTGTATCATGTTACCTGATTTTTTGACTAGAATAGTTATTGCAGCAGAAGCTACTCTTGGGTTTTTAAGGAAGAATATAGATTAGACACTTAGAAGTGTCTTTGTTTTAAAAAAAATTTTTAAGCGCAGTATAAAAGCATCACGTGGTCTAGCCTCGTAATAATTCTCCCTTTTTGGAGACCCAGGATTCAATGTGGGTTCTGCCCAGAGCTCAGAGTTCCATGTAAAAGACAAGTAGTCCCTATCTAAATAAAACTGGTTTCCTTATACAATCCAGTGATAGGTTTCTATAGTTTTATGTTTAATTTGGCATCTATCTTTAATCTCCTTTTAGCACAAGGAGACTTTTTCTCTCTGTACCTTGAGATGTAAATTTTCCAATCTGATTTTTTCATCTAAGAGTTGTTTCCTTATATGCAGATTTAAGGCTATTTAGCTGACAACTGCCACGGTAATGAAACAGGTTATCAAGAGTTTGCAAGTCTAAGAAAGAAAAAAATGAAACAGGAGTTCTTAGGAATCTGTAAGATGTTCTTCTATCAGTACGCCTAATATGTCTATGTATTTATGTGTTGTGTACATAATGTTTTACTATTAAAAATATATAAAAGAGCTCTAATTAATTGGATTAAAAATTAAAGTGCCTAAATAAAATACTTTATCAGAAAAAAAGAACTAGTCATATGCTTTTCAAGTTTATGTGACTTAAGTAAAATCTTTAATAAATTAAAATCTTTAATAAACAATCTTTAATAAAATTATTGGTAAATATTAGAAGTGTCATAAGAATTGCCAGCATACATTTTGTTTGCATTTATTAATCAAGCAACTTCATACTTATCCCTGAATACTATGAAGGTGTCAAAATTTGGCATAGGGGTTACGAAACTATAAACCCAGCTCAAAACAGAATATTTTTGCTTGTGTAATTTTCAATAAATAAGACATTGATATTAGTTTAATGAAAATAGCAATCTCCTTATCATGTACTGATACAATAAATAAGAAAGTAAATATAATTTGTGCATAGTCATTATATTTATATTATTATTAAATAGACATATAATTATTTATATATTATATATTTACATTATAATTATGCAAAGTAAATATACTATGTGCATCCCTAATGCTGGGCATTTTCAGTGTGATTTAGTCTTCACAAAACAAATTTAAAGGCAGCTGTATTCATTCCTATTTAAAAAAAAAATAGAAAATGATATTTAGAAAGTAACTTAAATTTGCCAAGACCCAACTAAACCAAGACAGCTATTATATGACAAGGTAGCAACTCAGCCAGTACTGTGTCTGTAAATGGTTACAGTGATGAGAAACAGAACTCATATGTGTAGGTCTATAATCTCAGAATATTAAAAAAATTTATTGTTGCTACACAGAGGAAAAAAAAATGATATAAGTGCATTCTCATTAATAATTTACAATGGCAGCTAAACTCCAGAAAAATAAAGGATTACCAAGTAAAACCATTGTTTCTTTATCAGAGGTTAAAAATGGGAGTAATAGTAGTTAGCCCATGGGATTAAACTAGATAAAGGACTGTGGTTAGCATAGTGCCTTAAACAGAACAAGCACCTTAACTATTAGCTATAAAGATTATGGAGAGGAAGAGGAAGGGAAGACAGAAAAATAGATCCAGAGAAGGATACATGAAGAGAAAAGGGAAAATTGATAATCAAGAAACTTTGAAGTCATCTGATTTTGAGCTGCTCTTCTTAAAATTAAATTCTAGCCACATGTCCTTGATCCTCAAAACAACCCTAAGCTAACTAACATAGATGGTATTTCCATTTTACAGATAAATGTAGATTTTCAAAGAAGTTAATTAACTGGTGTGTATTCATAGCGGTATTAAAATGCAGACTTTGTTGCATTGTCATCAGCAGCAAAAATTTTCCCATTGGAAAGGAATCATTTCATTAGAAGCCGAAACCTTGGCATCACACAATATACCCATGTATCTTCTCAACCTAAAATTAAAAATATAATGAAATTTAAGAAAAAGTTTGTTTTTAATTCTGGGATACATGTGCAAGATGTGTAGGTTTGTTACATAAGTAAACATGAGCCATGATGGTTTGCTGCACCTATCAACCCATCACCTAGGCATTAAGCCCAACATGCATTAGCTATTTTTCCTAATGCTCTCCCTACCCTCTCCACCCCCTGACAGGCCCCAGTATATTTTTTTAGAAAATACAGTAGTTATTTCCATCTCCCAATGGTAATATAACTGCCAGTTTTTGATTAAGTTTACTGCTTAAGTTACATGCAATGGTTCCTCTGACCTCTGCAGCCATTCATTCAACTGTTCAATGACTATTTAATGAAACTTTCTAAGGGCCAGGTCCTGCGCTTGACACAAGGGACATGGTGGCGAATGCAACAGACACAGACTCTGCCCTCATGAATCTTATAACACTGAAGCAGCAACAGGAGTAAACCAAGTAATGATTAGAGTGATGAGTGGACTTTTAACAGGTGCAAAACTACCACAACTTGTGAAGGAAAGAAACACTTTCCTGAGAAAGCCATATTTGATCAACCAGGTGAAGAAGCAGCTATTTCAGTGTTTGGGGGAAAGGTGGGATAGAGAAAGAGGGAGACAAAGAGAGAAAATATGATACACAGTAGTATCTGCTAATGTAATCCTTGAGGTGATTATATGCCTCAACCTATTAAAGTTGATTATATTATTTGATTTAGCCAATGGAATGTGAATGAAAATAACATAATTTACTCTTGGATAGAAATTTCTGGAGCCAGTGTGAAGTGTGACATGCTCTTCTTTCCTTGTTCCTGTGATCATACAAGCACATGTCCAGATGGAAACTGTCAATCTGAGTACCTGGGTGTCTCATACAAAGGGTACTGTTGCTGACCATAATGAATACAAATGAGAAATATCTTTGGGCCGAGCATAGTGGCTCACACCTGTAATCCCAGCACTTTGGAAGGCCAAAGCAGGTGGATCACCTGAGGTCAGGAGGTTGAGACTAGCCTGGCCAACGTGGTGAAACCCCATCTCTACTAAAAATACAAAAATTAGCCAGGCATGGTGGCAGGCACCTGTAACCCCAGCTACTCGGGAGGCTGAGACAGGAGAATCGCTTAAACCCAGGAGGTGGAGACTGCAGTGGCAGTGAGCTGACATTGTGCGACTGCACTCCAGCCTGGGTGACAGAGCAAGACTCCACCTAAAAAAAAAAGAAAAAAAGAAAGAAAGAAAGAAAGAAAAATAGAGAGAGAGAGAAATGTGTTCAAAGCAGCAAGAATAAATGAAGGGTTATGAAGCTATTACAATAGTCTTGGTTAGACATGCTGGTGGCTTGGCCAAAGACAAGAGTAATAGGGATAGGAAGAAATGGATACATATGTGAGATATGTAGAAGTAATCAGTAAGGTTTGCAGAGGTGAGTGACAATATGGAACTAACCATTGGTAGGAATTAAGGACAATTTACAAGCATCGCCTGTTAGTGGCAATAATGTGTACCTGATAATAAGAAGCTCTGTGCAAAAATGCTAATCATGAACTTACTTCCAATTATTTTAATAGAAAAATTATGATGCACTATACCTTAACCAAAACCTTTGACCAATTCCCAAAAGCGTGCATATGACACAGTACAGCAGACAGACATAAATTGCACCTCTCCTATGACTGAACAATTACTATTGTGAACAACAGTTGCTTATAATTTAGTAATATGACCTCTCTCATGGCCAGCTACACAACAGATGTATGACATTTTCGACAAGTGATTTGCCTTTCAAAAAGATCACATGCACACTGGTCTTATGTTCTGCCAATTGATTATATATAACAGATTTATTGAGATATAATTTGTATACCATACAATCTACCACTTAAAGTGTTCAACTCAGTGATTCTTAACATATTCACAATGTTGTATGACAATCACTATAATCAATTTTATAACACTTTTGTCACCCCTCCAAACAATCCTGTACCCATTAGCAGTCACTCCCCATTTCTCCTCAACAACCTTCAGCCTTAGGCAACCACTAACCTATTTTATGTCTCTGTGTATTGCCCATTATGGACATTTTATAGAAATGTAATAATACAATATTTGGACTTTTATGACTGGCTTCTTTTACCGAGCATAATGATTTCAAGGTTCATCCATGCTGTAGCAAGCATCAGTACCTCAATCTTTTTTCTTGCTGAATAATATTCCATGGTATAGATATACTACATTTTGTTTATCCATACACCAGTTGGTGGGGATTTGTTTCCACTTTTTGTCTTTTATGAATAATTTGTCTATGAACATTTGTTTATACATTCTTATATGGCTATATGTTTTTATTTCTCTTGGATATGTATCTAGTAATGAAATTGCTGGGTATATAACCACACTAGTTATCACATAGGCAACTCCATATTTAATCTCTTGAGGAAACGTCAGACTGTTTTCTAATGTAGCTGCACTATTTTACATTTCTATCAGCAGCTTATGATAGAAACATCCCACTCTTGCTATTATAGCTTTCCTTTAATTATAGAGATTTTGGTAGGTATGTAGTGATATCACATAGAGTTGATTTGCATTTCCCAGTTTGCTAATGACGTTGAGTTTATTTTTATGCTTTTAAGGGTCATTTGTAATATCTAATTTGCAGAAATGTCTGTTCAGATGCTTTGCCCATTTTTAAATTGAGCTGTCTTTTATTATTGAACAGTAATAATAGTTCTTTATATCTCCTAGATACAAGAAGATTTATTCCTATGTTTTAGAGTTTCCTAGTTCTAGCTCTTAGATTTAGGTTTATGACCCAATTTCAGTTAATGTTTCTATGTAATATGAAGTTGCTGTCCAACCTCATTATTTTGCATGTGAATATTCAGTTGTTCCAGCATCATTTGTTGAAAAGGCTATTCTTTCCTCATTCAAAGGTATTGGTACTCTTGTAAAAACAGAAAATTAAATCATGGATGTGAAGATTTGTTTATGGACTCTCAATTCTATTCAACTGTCCTATATGTCAGTATGTCAATTTTATACAAGTAGCACACTGTCCTGATTACTGTAGCTTTGTAGTAAGTTTGGAAATCAAGAAACATGAGGCTTTCTCATTTGTTCTCAGATTTCAAGATTGTTTAGGCTATTCTGGGTTTCTTGAATTTTCAAATAAATTTTACATCAATCTTCTGACTTTTGCAAAGAAAAAAGCTGAAATTCCGCTAGGAATTATGTTGAATCTGTAGATCAATTTGAGATGTATCATCATCCAATCCATATATGTGAGATATATTTTTATTTACATAGGATTTTAAAATTTTCGTTCAACAATGCTTTGTAGTTTTCAGAGTACAAGTCTTATACTCCCTTTCCTCATGCTTATTTTATTATTGTTGTTGTTATTGTGAGATTATTTTCTTAATTTAATTTTTGAATTATTGTTAGTGAATAAAAATGCAATTGATTTTACATATTTATCTTGTGTCCTGCAATCTTGCAAGACTCATTCATTAGTTATAATAACATTTAGTGGATTCCTTAGGATTTTCTATATGCAAGACCACGTAATCTCTAGTTCTTCCTTTAAGTCCAAGTACTTTTTATTTCTTTTTCTTTCTTTTTTGCTTTTTGCCTAATTGCTGTGGCTTGAACATCCACTATAATGTTGACTAGAAGTACTGAGAGCAGACATCCTTACCTTGTTCGTGATTATAGGTGACATTTTTCAGTCTTTCACCATTAAGTATGATGTTAGCTGTGAGATTTCATAGATGCTCTTTATCATACTGAAGAAGTTTTCTTCTGTTTCTAGCTGCTTGAGTGGTTTTATCATGGAAAGGTGTTGATATTTTTAATACTTTTTCTGTGTCTACTGAGATCACCATGTTTTTATTTTTAATTCTACTGATATGATGTATTATATTAACTGATCTTCAGATATTAAACCAACCTCACATTCCTGGCATTAATTTTTATTTGGTCATAATGCATGTTTTTAAAATTTTGCTGGATTCAGCTTGCTGAATTTCATTTTGTTGAAGATTTTAATATCTACATTTTTAAGAAATATTGGTCTGTGGTGTTCTTTTCATATGATGACTTTCTCTGGTTCTGATGTCAAGGTAATTTTGGTCTCATGGAGTAAGTTGGGAAATTTTCCAGCCACTTCAACTTTTGGAAGATTTTATGAAGAACTGGTAGTATTGTTTAAATATATTTTGATGTTATATTGAATTCACCAATAAAGCCACCTAGGCCTGAACATTTCTTTTGGAGAAGATTTAAATCAAATTTAAATTTAATCTCATTACTTTTACAGGCCTATTCAGATTATCTAATTCTTTCTTTATACTAGCAATAAGCAGAACTAAATGGTATACATAGCCAGAGATAAGTATACACTATCTTAAATCTTTGAATTAAAACAAAATGCTTCATATATACTCCCAAATTATTGTTTCTAAATAGCCTAAATTCTCCCAAGAAATAAACATTTCAATTTGTTATTTCAAATAAGAAGAAAAATATGGAGAAGAAAGAGAACAAGTGAATATGTTATTTATCACTTTGAAATTTGGAATTTTGCTGTATAACATAACCTATCTTCTCAAAGGTCAAAACCTAAATTGGCCTAATGACTAAATAAATGATTTCATTAGAGTCAGAAAAATGTTCTGCACTTATCATTATCAGGTAATGTTGGTTTAAATTAGGCATGAAGTAAAATTCAATAGTTCCATGTTCTTTATCTCACATTTTGATTTCAAGTTGGGAGGAAATATGAAATACCACCTGTATTCCAAAATCCCTCATGTCACATACTCAGTTTTTCTCACCTTTTCTTATTGGCAGAGCTACATTGAGAACTAAGTGTCCTACACAAATGAATAATTTTATCCTCTTCAAGCTAATATTTTAAAGATAAGCAAAAGTGTTGTGAATGAAACCATTAAACATAGGGAAAGGGCTTCTTGACATTTATTAGGGCAATGGATTTTTTTGGATATTACAGCAAAGGTATAGACAACAAAAGCAAAAATAGACAAGTTAGACTGCATCAAAATGAAAAGCTTCTGCACAGCAAAGGAAACAATCAAGAAAATGAAAAGGCAATGTACAAAGTGGGAGAAAATATTAACAAACCATATATCTCATAAATGGTTAATATTCAAAATATGTAAGGAACTCAACTCAACAGCCAAAAAAAATAGCAAATAAATAAATAACCTGATTTTAAAAATGGGCTAAAGAGATGCATAAACATTTTCCCAAAGATATACAAATGGCCAATGAGTATATGAAAAGGTGCTAATCATCAGGAAAATGCAAATTAAAACCACATTGAGACATCAGCTGACACTTGCCAGAATGGCTATTATCAAAATGACAAAATATAACAAGAATTGGCAAAGATATAAAGAAAGAGGACACTTGTACACTGTTGGTGGGAATGTAAATTGATATAACCATTATGGGAAATATTATGAAGTAATCTAAAAAAGTCCAACTCACAAAAGCAAAGAGTAGAATGGTGGTTTCCAGGGGGCAGGAGCATTGAGGAAATGAGCAGATGTTGGCCAAAGAGTACAAAGGTTTAGGTACACAAGATGAATAAGCTCTGGAAATCTACCATACAGCATTGTAACTAAAGGTAACAATACTGTATGGCAGTCATGAAATTTGCTAAAATAATTGCTCTTAGGCAATCTCAACATACAAAAAACTTGTAACTATGTTAAGTAACAGATATATTAATTAGCTTGATTGTGGTAATCCTTTCACAATGTATATCAAAACATCATGTTTCATGCTGACATGGAAAGGGGACAGGGAAGTGCTGGGTAGAGAAAGGTGGGTCCCTGGCTAGGGCTCCACCCTCAGGCCTGTGCCCATGGACCTAGGTGAGAGAGGCACTCCTGACTTCATGCCCAAATGTTGCATTTCCCAAGACCACCCTGGCCCACCACGCCCCCATCCTGTGCCTATAAAAATCCCAAGACCCTAGCAGGCAGACACACAGGTGGTTGGACATTGACAGGAGCAAATTAGCAGAGGAATGCACAGGCAGCTGGACTTCGAGAGGAACATACTGGTGTAGGAGCACACCGGCATACTGGTAGGCCATCAACTGGTGGAAAGACGCAGAGTTTGGCTGGGGTGGTTGGAGAAGAGTCAGGCCACCAAGCGGCCTTACTCCAGGGGAAAACTGTCTCCCTTCTGGCTCTGCCATCTGCTGAGAACTACTTCCACTCGATAAAACTTTGCACTCATTCTCCAAGCCCACGTTTCAGCTGATTCTTCTGGTACACCAAGGCAAGAACTCCAGGATACAGAAAGCCCTCTGTCCTTGTGATAATGCAGGGGTCTAACTGAGCTGACTAACACAAGCTGCCTATGGATGGTTAAACTGAAAGAGCACCCTGTAACACTCACCCACTGGGGCTTCAGCTGCAAACATTCACCCCTAGACAATGCCGTGGGGTCAGAGCCCCATAGCCTGCCCATCTGCATGCTCCCCTTGAGGTTTGAACAGCATGGCATTGAAGAAGCAAGCCACACCCCCATCACACACGCTGTGAGGGGGACAAGGAAAGTTTTCTCATTTTTACTGGGGGCTCGTCCAGGATCTCAGAAGGTGAGTGTGAGCAAATGTGAAACTGTCAGGTCTCCCTCTTTCCCAAAACCCTGCCACCTTCTCTCTTTCCTGTGAGTAACAGGCTCTGTTTCCCTTCACAGAGTTTCAAGCCACCCTAACCAGGATGGTCAAAACCCCCAGACTTTGTCTCTTTTCTCTCTCACAAGGTTTGAAATGGCTCTTACCTCTTACTTTATAATGTTAAGAGTTTTGCTACAGGCTATGGCAATGTTACTAACTAAAGTAAGCACTTGGATCAGTCACCAAAGGTGCAAATCAGATAAACTGTTCTTAGAGGTATGGTCTATGACTCCACCACAATAGCTACAGGCACGCATGGCTCAGGGCACCTCCCATTACCCTCTCCCCTCCCAGCTCAGGTGCCTGGGCAGGCCCACAGCCGGCAAAGGTGGAGCCCAACAGCCACAATGTAGGCAGGAGAAAGCCACGGTAGTAACCGTGACCCCACAGGTCTAACAGATGGTTGCTTCTCGCCTGCTGTGCCAATGGAATCTTTCCTCCCCTGGCCAAAGAATTCAACCCGGGCTGAACTGGGGGAAAGTTATAAGGATTAGAAATGCCAAGTTGCACTAAACAAGAGGTTCCTCCCTCTCAATATCCCACTTTTTGCACTTAAATGGTTTTTCTCTTTTTTCCTTTTCTAAGTGAGAAGACCCCCACCCCCACTCTGTTTCTGATAGGGAAGTTAACAGAGGAGTGGCCCCTGCTGGCTGAGAACTGCAAATTTGGCAGGGCTTATTTGAGACACTAAATGGATACAAACAGGCTCTGAAATACATTTTCAGTCCCAAACTTGATTCCAAGCTTAAGGCTGAGGCCCTAGAAAGAAAAAAACAGGTCTGAGGGATCCAAACCCAGGCAACAGGCACAATGTAAATGGGCAGGACCAATTCCTGCCGACTGAACCCCACCCCATGGAAGGAGGCCATGCTTCACGGCATAAACAGGCCCAGGGAACTCAAAGGTTGTCGACAGCAAGGAGAAAGGGAGGCATAGGTGAGGGCAGTTAATTCCTATTTCCAGGTTTTTCCTGCTTCATGGATACATACCGCATTGGTACCTATGGCCAGCACCTGCAAAGGTCACTGGGGCTCAGGGATAAGAAGTGGAGAGTGAAGGGAGGATGCTCACTTTCTCTCTCCATCACACCCTGAATTTTCACTGAAAGAAGGAAGGGAATGAGGGATGTCTCTATTCCAATCTCTTTCAGAATAGGCAAGCAGTTCTCTTCACCACCCCCAGCTTATACTCCTCTGGAGTGTATCCTGAACCATTGGGACTGCTTTGACTCTCAGAATCTGGAGTAAAAAGCACCTCATAGCCCTCTGCACAAAGGCTTGGCCAAACTATTATTTACGGGAAGGACTGGCTTGGCCTCAGAAAGAGACCATTCATCTCAATAGCATCGGCAATTGGAACTTTTCTGTAGACAGGAGGACAGATGGTCTGAGGCCCCACATGTGCAGGCTTTCTATACCTTGCAAGACAATCCAGACCTTTGCCGACAATGTAGGATTGATCCAGCCCTCCTGTTTGCAGTCTCAGGAAGGTGGCAAGGGGCAAGCCCAGGGAATTAAAGATGCAAGTCCCAGAGGCACTCCCAGCAGAGGAGTCAGCTCCTTCAAGCCCTGTTCCTCTGGGTCCACCCTAATCTCCCTATCCAGCTTCAGCCTCTCACTTGCCCCCTCCTAGAAATCCTCATCCTAAACAAGCCCTGGTCTCACTCTTGCCCCTCCAACAAATGCCCAGTGAATTTGGGCCTAGTAAAGGCCAAGTTCTCTTTTCCCTACAGAACTTAAAGCAGTTTAAGGGGGATCTTGGCACGTTTTCAGATGACCTTGATAGACACATAGAGGCTTTTCGAAATTTCACTCAAACATTTGAACTCTCCTGGAGAGACATTATGTTACTTTTGAATAGGACACTGAGAAACAGGCCACTCTGCAAGCAGCAGAGAGATATGGGGATGAGCTTTGTATCACATATAGCATCAGGGAAGGGGGTGAACTTTATCCAACTGGGAGAGAAGCAGTACCTGTGAATGATCCTAAATAGGATCCCAGTGACAAGATGGAAGACAGGAAGAGGAGACACTTTCAGGTGTCCATAATGGAGGTCTTATGTAGGACTAACACCAAGCCTCTCAATTACACTAAGTTGTCCATGATCTACCAGGGATTTGATGAAAATCCCACTGCCTTCCTGGAGAGGCTAAGAGAGGCTTTGGTAAAGCACACCTCTCTATCTCCTGATTCAGTCAAGGGACAGCTAATCCTAAAGGATAAATTTATTACTCAGGCAGCTCCTGACATCAGGAGGAAGCTGCAGAAACAGGCCCAGGGGCCAGATAGTACCTTAGAAGACCTCCTGAAAGTGGCCACCTCGGTCTTCTACAAGAGATAAAGGGAGACACAAGAAAGAGACAGAAGCTTTAATGGCCACTGTGCAAGCCCACAAACCCCGGAATTCCCAGGGTGCACCTGTTAACTGCTGAAGCTATGGCAAGAACAGTTATTGCTCTTCTAAAGTTTAACTGCTCCCATACAATGTTTAATTTATTTCACCAGGATGAAACAGCTCAAGATATGGTATTGTTGTTAGTATATTTCACTTCTTATCTCAGTAATCTTTTGAACTAAATTATTTTCTTGTATAATACACATATCTAACCCATGCATACTTCACTTTATATAACTGTTTTTTCTCTCATGCCTAGAAGCCATCAAACTCCAAATGGTCAGGCAATCAGAGCCTCGGACAATGGCTCCCCTTTGCTAGAAATCCTTAGCTAGACCTCTGGGAGGACTCTGACTGCTGTTTCCCCCAAAACAACACCCACTGTCAGCAGAAGGGTCATCATCCATATTCTAATGGCAATTAGATGTACCTCTTCAGAGGGGGGAAATGATATGGAAGGGGGGCAGCGAAGTGCTGGGTAGAGAAAGGTGGGTCCCTGGCTAGGGCTCCACCCTCTAGGCCTGTGCCCATGGACCTAGGTGAGGACAGGCACTCCTGCCTTCTCACTCAAATGTTGCGTTTTCCAAGACCACTCTGGCCCGCCATGCCTGATCCTGTGCCTATAAAAATCCCAAAACCCTAGCAGGTAGACACACAGATGGCTGGACGTTGAAAGGAGCACATCAGTAGAGGAACACATGGGCAGCTGGATACCGAGAGGAACACAGCAGTGTAGGAGCACACCAGCATGCCAGCAGGCCACGAACTGGTGGAACAACATGGAGTTTGGCCAGGCAGTTGGAGAAGAGTCGGGCTGCCGAGTGGGGAAAATCATCTCCCTTCTGGTGCTCCCATCTGCTGAGAGATACTTCCACTCGATAAAACTTCACACTCACTCTCCAAGCCCACGTGTGATCTGATTCTTCTGGTACAACAAGGCAAGAACCCCAGGAAACAGAAAGCCCTCTGTCTTTGTGTTAAGGCAGGGGGTCTAATTGAGCTGACTAACACAAGCTGTGTATGGAAGGCTAAACTAAAAGAGCACATGCCCACTGGGATTTCAGCTGCAAACATTCACCCCTAGACACTGCAATGGGGTTGGAGCCCCGCAGCCTGCCGGTCTGTATGCTCCCCTAGAGGCCTGAGCAGCAGGGCACTGAAGAAGCACTCCACATTCCCATCACATGCCCTGAGAGGGGGATAAGGGAACTTTTCCCATGTCTATGCTTTAAATAGGTAAAATTTTCATTTGTCAAGTACACCTTAATAAAGCTAGGGGAAAGCAGCATTGTGAATGCTGATTTGGGGCCATGCACCTTGTGGAGAAAAAGAGAAAGCCAACACCAGGGGCAGTGCTCACTTGCCCCCTAATGCCCTCTTAACCTCATGGCACCCAAAGCTAAGGGCCAGAACCCCCAGGCAATGTCACTCTGGCATGTTCCTTGGTGGGCCCAGCCCCCACCTCAAGTAGCTTATTAAAACATTCCTGTCATTTACTTCTAACTGAAAATAGTTTTGGCAAAGCAAATTCTTCAAGCTGTTATTATTATGAGATATTTCACCACTCTTATGGCAGTCGGCTCTCTCATATTGGCTCCATAAGGCCTTATTAGGTTCCCCCTCAGTGAATATATGCACCATGCGTATATAATGAGCTGAATGACGCTGTGAGCCTTACAGATAATCACAACCCACACTGCCAGATGGTTGATGTTCCACATTTGCCTTTGTGGTATCAGAGTGTTAAAAGCTCTTGTTAAAATGCATGTGTGTTATTTGGTGTGACCAGTGCAGGGAGGGATCAGTCATAAAGATGGCATCTCAATTAATATTTAGACTAGTACATCAATCAACAAACATTTGAATAACTACAACCAGCCTTACCGGAATTGAATACAAAGCCAATGTGTTTCAAAAGAGACAAGGGGGAGTGTGAGGAATGCCACGTTGAGATGTTGCAGGGAGTCAGGAGTTGGCATTGACAACACTAGAAATAGTCAAAGAGATCTGGGGAATTATGGATGTGGAAAAAAAGAGGTAGGGGAAATTAAAGTTAGGTGAGGGCTGATGGCAAATGCTGGAGGACTAAATCCAAGGAAGGCTGACTGGTAGGATGCATTTAGTACTACTCCCTTAATAGATCCAAAATAGATCATCAGGCTTGGTGCATTTCATTTTTCAAATAAATTCTCAGTCATGTAGTACTCAGCCCCCTTTTGACATGTTCTTCACCTACCTACAATGAAGCAACAAATTTGTACGTGAAAAACAATTTAGTTTATTGTCCATGGATTTTAGATAGCATTTATGAGGACATACTGCACATTTTTTAACAAGAGTTAGAGGGATATAAAAATAATAATTCTAAGATCCAATTCTTCACAACCAGGGCACAGCCTCTACTTTTCAGGGAAAATATGCATCTCTCCACATTGGTCCTTTTCCATTTAAGCAACACTGTTTGCTGCCCTCACATTTAAAACAGAGTTGAAGGAATAGAGTTGCCTTAACTCGTGCTATCAGACATTGGGAAATTGAAATATAAACAGGCTTTCTTGTCTGTGATGTTTTAAGACAGCTGTCTATGCGTTTTCCCATTGTTTATTAAGCTGTTTCCGGGAAACAGCAGATGTAAGCTGTTCTGGGGCCAATTAGAATGCACGTAGCCATGAAATGTTTAAGTCCAATTCAAGAAAATAATTCATTTTTTTTCCAGGGAGAGGCACTTAATGACTATTTTTTAATCATGTCCTTTAACAGGCAGCTGTGGAGGGATGTGATTCTGAACGTCTTTTTCTTCCCCAGAGTTTTTCTGACTGTTCCTAGGTTATATGAAGAACCAACCTACAAAGACCAGAAAACTAATCACCTTCTAGTGATTCAAATGGCCTGATCTCAGAGAGGTGTTGGCCATCTGGCCATCACACCACGGAAACCCTCCAGTGGCCCAGGTCCAATGTGACAACACAGCCAGATGGCTGGCAGCTCGCTGCACGAGGTGGTCCCTTAGGTCCTGGCTAGGAACATGCTGAGTTCTCCCGAATTTCAACTGCTTGTGAACGCTAACTTTTCCAACCTGGGAGGGGAGATGCAACTCTCCCTTGCAGTGAATGGCAAACAGACTGGCTCCTTTCTTCTGCTACTCAAGCCTCTAAAATTCTTTGGAAAATAGTATCTCAAAATGATACACTTTTTTTTTTTTTTTTTTTGAGACAGTGTTTGTCACTCTTGTTGCCCAGGCTGGAGTGCAATGGCATGATCTCAGCTCACTGCAACCTTCACCTCCCAGGTTCAAGCTATTCTCCTGCCTCAGCCTCCCAAGTAGCTGGGATTACAGGAGCACGCCACTATGCCGGCAAATTTTTTTGTATTTTTAGTAGAGACGGGGTTTCGCCATGTTGGGCAGGCTGGTCTCAAGCTCCTGACCTCAGGTGATCCACCCGCCTCAGCCTCCTAAAGTGCTGGGATTACAGGTGTGAGCCACTGCACCCAGCCATGATATACTTGTTTATATCAGGCAGCCCACTTAGCTATTTGGGCTTAATACAAGGTTTCTGTTTTGTAGCCATGACTGCGCTCAAACGTCAGGTGCAGTCAATTCCTAGTCCCATCCTGGGGATACCAGGGTTTTCCTTTTTCCTATTTTACTCCTTTAACCCCTGCAGACCCTCCAATTCCAAATATTACTCTGTCCCTTTTATTTTCCCATCTCTCAAAAAATAAGAAAAGCTGCTGTTTAAGGCAAGAGAAAGGGGCATGGAGCAAAATATCTCCCATTTCTACTGCTGCTTTTTTCCCACAACCTCAACTTAACCTGATGCACACGCATGCACACACCTCATTGGGAAGAGGAAGAAGAAAAGGAATTAAAGGTGAAGAAGGGAGAGACAAAAACAGCCCAAATGCTGGTTGGTATTAGATAAGAATGCCGTGAGCCACGAGAAACAGGATGCTGGAATTTCAGTGGCTTAAACAATTTGGGGTATGTTTTTTCTCCTCTAACAAGGAATCTAAAAGTAGTTAACTGCTCATGTTACTTTAGAAGCTCACTCCTGTTAGAGCCACCTACTGGCGGGAAATACTGCCCAACTCCACTCACAGTTGCCACAGCTGCCACATTCAAGGCATAAAAACATGGCGGGAAGACAGCCTCAGCCATGGGGTCTCCTTTTCAGATGTCTCCCTTCTGTTTCCCTCCCATAGCTCATGGGCAAATCCTGGGGCATATGGTCCCTCCTAGGTACCAAGGAGGCTGGAAAAGTAACTATCTCACCAGGGGTAAGCACAGTGCTGGTCCAAGCAAAATTAGGTGGTGCTGACAAGGAAGGAGGACAGGCCGGGAACTGGTGCTACAACCTCCCCTGCTTTACCCACCTCCCTGGCTCATCCTCATTCCTCCCACCTTACCCAAGGACTCTGGAATTCCAGATTCCTGGCAAACTATATGCTAGCTGAGCTGGTTTTATGTTGACTTGACAAGCAAGTCATTGTAGAAATAAGAAACTCACATTTGAACTCTTGGAGTACAATTCGTTTGCACATTTTGGAGTGTCTGCCTTTTAGTTACAGAAGAGGAGTCCCAGAGTCAATTTACAAAAGAGCAAATTATAAAAACCTGTCTGTAATTATTAATCTATATTTTTGTGAAAGCAATAGTATTCCAATTCCCATGATTATGCAAAGTTTACCGTCACTGTAAAAATTTATTTTGTAATAAGAAAACTAAGAACATGTAAAATTATATCATTAGAAAAATAGAGAAATTACCCAAATTAGCTTATTTGAAAATATAATTTTTTTAACCTTTTGACTGTTTTAAATTGTTACTTTGTTACTAAATATATTTATAAATTCTCCTCTTAGTTAAGGGAGTATCAAATATTAAAAGTGGTGTCATAAAACAGCAGAACTATATCGAATGGCTCTGAATTACAAACCTAAGGATAGCATTGTCTTCATCAGCAAAGGAAAAGTTACTGAACCAGAAAAAGGACATGTGGTAATTTTTAGTTCCATCCATTTCTTCAACAAATCAGAAAAACTGAAAAATATAAATAAATAAACAAATGTTCCTATACAGTTTTTTCCTCCAGAAATATGTTCTTAAAGAAAGAACAACTCAAAATTATAAATCAAGTGCAGTGTGTCTTCTCTTTTGAGATGTACACATATAACAGCTGAAACTTTAAATAACAGAAAACTGCTTTATCCTTTTTAAAAAACATATTTTGTGTTTCATGACACTTCATTGTATGTGGTAGTTGGATCAGTCCCATATCTCTCTATCGTTAATCAATAGTTAATTCACAGTCAGTAAACAGATTGTTATATTTGGCAATTCCCTCAACTCATACAGATCGTTATATTTGGCAATTCCCTCAACTCACACAGATATCTTAGATATACCAAATAGTGTTTAAAAAGTTCATTTCTTGTGAATTGACTCATTTGCTTCCAAGCTTCTTAACCACATAATGCTTGATATAAACATAGTCAGTGTACTGTTCCCCAAATCTAAATAACACTAGTCATATACACTCAATTTATAATCGTACATATCCCTCAATTTCACACTGTGATGAAAAAGTAGCCAAAAAATACATAAAGTCATTAAAGGGAAATCATTTATGAAGATACCAAGTGGATTGGCAAAACCATTTGCTTCTGTCAGTCAGCCTAATTTTTCTTATTAGAAGGTTGTTACATTTAAATTTAGAATGATTTTAACATAAGTCATGTTGAGTGTATACCCTAGCCATGATCATTTTCTCTAATCATGTTGTCACTAAGATATTATTCATGATGAGAGTATTGACAATAATAATGACAATAATAACAAAAATAGTAAGAAGTACACAAGGAAATAGAATGAATTCTTCACTATGGAATATTAAGGTATAATTAGCACTTGGTAGAATAATTTTGCAGACTAAGTCTTCAAAGCTTTGGCCTATTCAAATTTAAATAATTATATTTATGAATTAGTACATCTTCCCCATTTTCCTCCAACAGTGACAGAAATTGTTTTTTTCTCTTGTGGAAAGTTTGTGTTTTAGATGAATAAAGCATACATAACTATGAAAATGGGAAGTGAAAAATATAAAGACTAATTAAAGTTACCTGTATTCTAACCCTCTAAGATTAATATAGGACATTTAAATCCATGAGCTTCATTTTTTCCATCCATAATGTAGGGATAATAATCTCTTCACGTGGTTGTTGGATAATAGAATGAGATAGTACAGAAAATATGTTATTTTCAGTTCCTGACGTTTTATGGTAGGCACGTCTTAGCAGAGGCAGATATCATTGATTGAACCCAGGTTGGTGTTATTGGTAATTTTAATTTTCTTTATGACTTTTTAACATTTGATACATATTACTTTTATAATCATAAAAAATTGGACATACTTTTAATATTTTGAAAAACACATACAAACACACAGACAGAATCATGATTGTTGTTCTTAGTATTAAAAGTTTCTAATCAAAAACAGATCTATAGGCTAATGAAACAGAATACAGAGCCAAGAACAAAAGCATGCATATATGGTAAACTGATCTTTGACAAGGGTATCAAGAATACCCAATTCATAAAGGATAGCCTCTTCAACAAATGGTGCTAAGAGACTGTATATAGCATGCAAATTGTACCCTTATCTTACACCATGCACAGAAACCAATTTAAAATAAATTGAAGTTTTAAATTTAAGATCTAAAACTATAAAACTCCTAGAAGAAAACATAGGGTAAAAACTCCATGGCACTGTCTGAGCAATGATTCCTTGGATATGATAGCAAAAGCACAAACAAAACAAAATTAGATAAGTGGAATTAAACTAAAAAGCTCTGCACGGCAAAGGAAACAATCAACAGAATAAAAGCAACCTGCAGATTGGGAACCATACATCAGATTGACTGCATTCTGCAGACTGCAAACCATATATCTGACAAGTGATTAATATCTAATATATGTGGATCTCCTACAGCTCAACAGAATAAAACAAATAATCCTATTCAAAAATGGGCAAAAAATTTAAATAGACATTTCTCCAAAGACGACAAACAAATGGCCAACAGGTATATAAAAAGATGCTCAACATGACTAATCATCAAGGAAATACAAATCAGAACCACAATTATCACCTCACAATTGTTATAATGGCTACTTTCAAAAAGTAAATAAACAAAATACAATGAGTGTTGGTGAGGATAGAGGAAATTGGAATTCTTGTAGACTGTTGGTGGGAATATAAAATGACCACAGCTACTATGGGAAATGATATGTAGCTTCCTCCAAAAACTAAAAATAAAATCACCATGTGATCCAGCAATCCCACTTATGGGTATATATCCTTTAAAAATGAGACACTACAATATAAAAGAGATATCTGCACTCCCATGTTCACTGCAGCATTATTCATAATAGCCAGTTTATGAAAACAACTTAAATATCTATTGACAAATGAGTGGATAAGGAAAATATAGCATATATATGCAATGGAATATTAACCTTTAAAAAGAGGAAATTCCGTTATAACCAACGAACATGGACTAACCTAGAGGATATTATGCCAAGTACAGTAAGCTCATCACAGAGGAACAAATACTGCAAGATTCCACTTATGTGAGGTATCTAAAATAGTCAAACTCATGGAAACAGAGAGTAAAATGACAATTGCCATGGGCTGGCAGGGGGAGGAAGAAATGGAAAGTTGCCCTTCAAGGGGTATAATGTTTCAGTTCAGCAAGATGAATAAGTTCTAGAGATCTACTATACAACATTGTGCCTATAATTAACAACACTGTCTTTTACAATTAAAGATTTGCAGAAAGAGTTTAAGTGTTCTTGCCACAAATAAATAACAAATTTCTAAATCTCTTTTTCTCTCTCCATGGTTCTGAACCAAAACCATTTGTTTATGAGAAGCACAACCTACTCTAAAATGTAACGTTATCAATCAAACCAAATATTTTGATTATAAAATATCTAAAGTATACCTAAGGCACTTAGGTTTACGAACTCTATATTAAGAGGGCTGATATGGTCTGGCTTTGTGTCCCAACCCAAATATCATGTTGAATTGTAATCCCCATGTGTTGGGGAGCGACCTCATGGAGGGGCTATTAGATCATGGGGGCAGTCCCTCCATGCCGTTCTCATGATAGTGAGTTCTCACGAGATCTGATGCGTTTATAAAATACTTTCCCCCCCTTCACTATGCACGTCTCCTTCCTGCTGCCATGTGCAGGACATGTTTGCTTCCCCTTCTGCCATGACTGTAAGTTTTATGAGGCCTCCCCAGCTATGCTGAACTGCGAGTCAATTAAACCTCTTTCCTTCAAAAATCACCCAGTGTCAGGTATCTCTTATCTTAATAGCTATGTGAGAACAGACTAATACAGAGGGCTATTTTGGTGCCCTCACAGCTGAGGTCTGTGTCCCAAGATGAACATCTCCCATGTCCCTGGAGCTCAAGTCTGAGCATGGATGATCCCTGGGGCTTATCCTCTTATGAGATATGATCATCATACCAAGGTTTACTTGTCAAGCCTTTTATCTTCTTATGGTAATAATTAATATTGAACTGCACCTTATTTTTTCCTCCATATCAGTTAAAAGAAATTGGATTGTTCTTGTCACACCTCTCAAACTTGTGACACTGTCTGGGGTAACATTAATAATTTTTGTCACTTATTTAAAGGCAGTAAATTTTAGTTTTCAAAGAAGAGAGAAAATGGATGTTACAGTTCTACAATATAGGCAAAAGTGAAGTCCTGCTACAATCTAAGTATAGGTAAAAATTAATTAGAAAGTGATCAAGGGTTTTTTCCTCATGGCTTTTTAAGGAAGTCATTTCCACATATATAAAGACAATAGCAAAAATCCATGGGATCAATGACATTTTCAAAGTCATCAAGAGGGATATGTAAGAAAAAATCTGAGAATCAATTCCGTAACACTCTGCCAGCCTCCTCTTTTACCTTCTTCCCTTTGGATGTCCCTCTGCCTCCTTTCTACTATTCAAAGAAGCCCTGCACCTTCCCATCTCAGAACCCTATACATGCTGTGTCCTCTGCTTGGGATTCTTTTTCCACACCTTCACATCTTCTTATCCTGTCAATCTTGACTTTAATCTCACTTCTGCAGAGCTTTTCCTGTCTACTCTTGTTAAGTAGCTCTCGGCCAATTCGTTGCTCCTTATCATCTCAACTTTGATATTTCCTTCACATCTTTAACCACAAAAGATTAACACCTTATATATTTACTTTTAATTCTACAGTTATGCTTATGTATTGCCTCTCCTTGTCCTGGAGGCAAAGTTTTATTAGGTCTGCTTATTCCCCACTCCCTCACTTCAGCACCTAGAACAGCGCCTGTGCCAAGGTAGTGCTTAATAAATACAAGTGGAATGAAGGAATAAATGAATAACTAAATGAATTTTATGTTCACTGCCTACTTATTTTCGGAATCAGAAATTCAAGTGCACTTACAGGCGAACATGACGGCATGTCTGGTGCCATTCACATGATATAATATTTAAACAAAGTATGTTGAAGGTGTTAGTTCTTCGTGTGTACACTTCCTGCTTGTTTCTGAACTGCATGTAGGAGCTACAGTTCTTCACTCTCCAAACTCCCCTCAAGAAGAGTAACCTGGTTGGGTCACATGGAGCTTCAGAGGGCTTACAATCTCAAATCTGAAGTCCGCCTTCCTGGTCAGAAATCGTACTGAACTTTAATGCGCTGTCAGCAGCTTCTTTTTCTGGCTTTACATCTAAAGAAATCTGAGGGCTGGAATTTCTGAACTTCTCAAAATTTTTGCCCAAAATAAGACAGGACTATAAAGAGCACATTCCACCCACTACATTTCCTCCATGAAAATCAGAATTGGAGCATACTTTGTCTCTCCTTTAAGGACTGTAACCTATGGGTCATCTCAAGTAGGTGTATAACAAAAGGTATTAACCTCAACAGATAACATTCCGTGCCATGAATTTGAGTATAGAGAGCATCCCTTCTGCACTTTTGGTGAGAGATGACATTGCACACTTCCTGCATTTGTAGCCAATTGCTTGCCTCAAACCATTCTGGTCAGACAAAACTTACCTTCAAAATTATTATTACATATGTGAAGTGAAAATCATAATTACTGACAAATTCAAATCATGCAAAACTTCAATTTATGCATGCATATGCACATATCACATGTGTACATACACACACAAATATGTACAAACAGTATTAGGAAAATATTTTTGCGTATCAGTGACAATTTTAAGCTCATTAAATGTGCACTAGTCTAACTATACAGCTTATTTTGGTTTCCGAAGTATATTTTAAAGGTCCCCATAATTTGATGGAGACATTTTAGTTAGGGGTCAGAGTACAGTCCCTGGAGTGCTACTGTCTAGATTTGAATCCCAGGTCTCTCTCTTCTGCACATGTGATCTTGGGCAATCACTTGAGCATCTCTGAGCCTGTTTCCTTTTCTTTAAAATGGGGATAACAGTAGTGTCTACCTAATGTTTGTTTTGAGATTCAAAAAAGTTAATATATTTGTAAATTCAGAGGTTTGTAGCACATTATAAGTATAAAAGATAATTTTATTAAATAAAAAATCACATTTCTCAAATTAAAAATATTACCCTGTGCGCTCAGCTATGTGCCTTGGGGAGCTCAGCACCACAGCATGCATATGTGTCAACTTTAGTCCACGATAGGTAATAAAAAATATCATTTTTATTTTAAAATAAAGAAAGATACATTATAGAGTAGACATTTTAAGATAAAATATGAGCTTCCAAGAGATTTATTTCCCACAGCTGGCTCCTCAGGCTACACTGCAAGACACTCATTTCTGTCCATTATATCTTTCATGCCTTCCCTACAATAATCTGAATTCCAATTCGATTTTCAGGTTTCTGGCACCATCCATACTTTCCTATACCTGTAACTTTGTCACCACTGCCTGTGATGGCCACTTCCCCCACAGTGTGGATGTCCATGGAAATCCAGCCCCACTTCAAAAACCACAAAACATTTCACTTGCTATGGAACTTTCTCAAGTCTGCCATTATGTGTAATTTCCCTACCCCGAGTGGCCAGAACACTGTGTATTTCATGAGTTGTCACATGCTGTATAATAATGTCTGCATGTATGTTAACACTCCCCACTTCCCCTGTCAGGCTGTAGGTTTCTTGAGTTCAAATACTCTTCCCATTACTTAACATTTCCCTCTTCCCATCCCCCAAAGTGCCTAGCACAGTGCTTTTCCATGTATTAAATTGTTTCTTGAAGCAACTATACCTCAAGCCTCCTTAAGAATAGCCTGCCACAGGGCAGTTAGAAATCATCCATCTACTATCACAATGACATCAATGAAAAGATGACTACATCCAATGGGTTACTGACTATAGTTCCATAAAAGTACTAAGAAGAAATGCTCTAATTAGTCATTTGACCACAAACTTGTAACGTTCAGGTGAGCCCCGTCTGCTTTTCCCCAGGGAGCCTGTTAGGTTGGCTCAGCATCTGCAAAAAGAAGCGATCCAATGAAGTAAGCAACACCTTTAATGAGCAACCTATTTGCAGCAAGGCCTAATTCATAACAGTATGAAAAGGAAGACTAAACAGTCTTCCTGGAACATATGTTGACTGGTAATTTTATATCTAGCCAGGCCCTTGGAGATTCTCCTAACTTCATCTTTATTTTGCTGATTTTCTTTGGAGACAGTGATATCAAGAGTTTATAAGAAACAACATAAAAGCATTAACTGATTATAAAAACATAGTTCCTGGATGCTCACTATATACCAGGCACTGAGGTAGACAATAAAGAACCAGAAATGTTCAACATGGAGCTTATTTAAAGTCAACTGTGAAATTAATACCACTACACAGAAAATACACACAGACTGATGTGTGCCATGACAATGGTCATACAGTTTGCCAGAGGAACACATAGGAGCTTGATTCAATAGAATTTGGTTATTGCTTGTAGAGTGTAAGAGAAATCAAGGAGAAATGCTAGCTTTTTGTTTTGATCGCTCAAGGAACATTGGAAAATAAGTAGTTTCATGTGGGGAAAGGGTGAGAACGAAGGCTGAGATGACTTTGATGTAGGGCAGATTCATAATGAAAGGTCACCAGGACATTTAAGTAGAAATGAGCAATAAAAAGCTATCAGCTCAGGAGCTTAGAAGAGAGATCACAATAAAGATATAGATTTCTCTGATACAAAGCAACCAGTGGTAATTGAAACAGCAGAAATGCTTGAGATTGACAAGAGAAAATGCCTTTTGAGCAAGCAGAGTAATGGAGACACTCCCAAGAAGTAGGAGGAAAGCCAGTAGTAATAGGCTAGATGTCAAGGGAGGGGTTTCAAGAAAAGACTGACTAGGCACATCCAACTCTACTGAGGGATCAAGAAAGATGAGGGCTCTACAGGGGCCTGGGATTTAAGCACAAGAAGGCGATGGGAACCTTGAATTGTGTCATGTCGATGAAGTTATAGGGACAATATCCAGTAAGATGTGGTGAGGAGTGACAGAGCATGAGTAAAACAGAGAAGCTAAGTGTAGACTGCCCTTCTCAGAGGCTTGACTGTGGAGGAAAGAGATCATTTCAACCTCAGAAGAAGACCTTGGCACAAAGAAGGATTCTTAAATGATATTTGGACCTTAAATATTAATATATTTAAGTATTTATAGAAAATAACCAGTAGGAAGAAAGAGGTTAAAAATTCAAGAGAAAAAGGGAACAGTGTATGGAGTAGAGTACCAGAAGACTGGACACCCCTGGTCTAGAAGAATGGTTCTCAACACGGTAACTAACAAATTGTACCCTTATCACAAATTCTTAGACAGGAATATCAGCCATGGATCTTTAAAAGGCAAATGCCCCACTCTGGACATGGCCAACAAGGATCTCCAGAGAGCAGCCTAAGGATAGTATAGAATGTGTCTACTCTGCAGCCAGACATATGGACCCTGGCTTAGCCAGCACCTGAGCCCTGTTTCACTAGTGGCCATGTGTTTTTAATATCAGGGAAGATCAGCTTTTTCCTAAACTTCTGCTTCATCTTCAGACTTTCTAACAGCCACCTGAAGGCTTCTGTGTTTTCCCCTTTCAAACTTCAGTTACTTGCATTTTCTATCTTATCCAGACATCACTAACGTCTGCTCATAGTAAAGCATAAGTAATAATTGTGCATGACCAGTTTTTTCAGTTCAATAGCTCATTCTTCCCTCTCCTAAGTTCCTTCTATAATAGGAATTCTTGACCTTTTTTGGTAGTGGACCATCTTAGAGAATATGATGAAAGCCAATAGATACTTCTCCTACACATGTACATACATGTATGTCTACAAATTACATATGGTTTGAGAGGTTGGGGAGGTTATAATTCACCTGAGGAAAAGCTACCAGTCTAAGAATTTGTGATCTGCAGCCTTACTACTCAAAGTCTGGTCTTCAGATCAGCAGCATCACCTAAGAGCTTGTTAGTGATGCAGAATTTCAGGCTCCACCCCAGACTTTCTGCATTAGCATGTGGATTTTCACATATGATGTGGTCATATTCACATGAACGTTTGAAAGACACTGGACAACAAATGAAACAATAACAATTAATTTCTACACATAGTAATAGGCACAGTAAGTTATTCAAATCCTGTTTCGTCTACTACAAACAAGGATGGTAGTTAAGCAGTTCCCACTCTGGGGTCTCTCCAGAAGGAACTGTGAAATGAGAAAAGACTAGGAGAAAAGACTGTCTCAATGATTGTCTGCCAATAAAGCAAGAGTGGGTGAAATTCTTCATCCACTTGCCCCTCCTCACCTGGGCTCCACTGCCCCCTCCATCTTTACCTTATAAATATCCACACTGAGCATCCTTCCTTATTGAAATCTCTCTGACTCTCTAGTAAGAGAAGCAACATTCGAGTTACCAAAATAACTCCTTCTAATGTCCTTTGAACTTCAAATAATAAATCACAATTAAAAATGGTGCTCTCTCAAAACATTTCCATATGTGCTGACAATATGATTCCATTGCATCATTTGCAAACTTCACACACCAAATTAAAATCTGTATTTCTTTCATTTCTTTGGTATGAAATGACCCCAAAGAGCCTGACCTTCTCTGAATGTGGCCACTACTGACAAATCAATCTCATTACAATGCACAGTAAGGGAGACACTTCTCTGCTCCTTGAACAGCTGAAAGGTACACCTGTCTCTTGTGCATATTTTAATTAGAGAGTTGTATTAATCTATGCCCTGTGGCTTTTGGGAAGGGAACATATTCTAAGTCTCATGATAAAAATAATGATATTTCATGATGCAAATTTATGCAACAGAACACAGGTGTTGAACATTTTCCACCTGGACTTCCATGTCACCGCTGAAGAATGGCAATGTTAGTTCTCAAGGCTGAAAGTTAGAGAGGAGAGAGGACAAAATGAGGTAAAAAGAAAGCAGCATGTACAATTTCAGAAACATTGTTGTGACCTCTAAAGTTCAGCTGTTCTCCTTCTCCCTTCTACACTGTAAAAGAAAGCATGGAAGAGGAGAGTCGAGTACATTTCGAGTTGGCTACCAACTTTTAAAAATAATAAATAACATATTCTATTCTGTTTGATCTGGGTTATTCTTTGAACTTTCAATATCATACAATATGACATTAAAGTACAATGTGTATTACAGACAATTAAAACCAATTCAATAGTAAATAATTATTCAATGTCTCCTTGAATCTGATTAAGCAGATATTTTGGTAAGAATGTTCAAAACTGTTGAATAACTAAGAGGGAATATAAAATCAGAATTCATTTTTCTATACTCTTTTTCTGAAACTGATCATGATATCATGTCCTTATAGTCACTTGGTTTATTCCTAGGATATTTCTTAATGAGATTTATTTTGAATGTGAATTTTGTATTTGAGTGTCGTCTTAGTCCATATGAGTTGCTGTAACAAAATACCTTAGACTGGGTAGTTTATAAACAACATAAACTTATTACTCCCAGTTCTGGGGCCTGGGAAGTTCCAAATCAATGTGCCAGCAGATTGGGTATCTGATGAGTCTCATTCTCCACAGACTGTGTCTTTGCCTTTTGTCATCACAAGGCAGGAGGGGTGAACAAACTCCCTCAAGCCTCTTTTGTAAGGGTACTAATTCCATTTATTATTAGACTGAATTATCTCCCAAGGGCCCTACCTCTTAATACTATTATATTGGGGACAAGGTGTCAACATATGAATTTGAGGAGACACAAACACTCAGACCATAGCAAGCATCCACTTTAGAAGGTGACAAATTCTTTATTATTTTTAGTTTGAATTACACAGCTCTGTGTTACAGAGGGATTTTTCCACTTATCCAGGGTTAGGAGAATTTTCTTCTACTACATTACTGGCCAGTTGATAATTGATTTGCCTCTACTATACCCCTAGAATATGGCTACATAACTCCTTTTTTTTTTGCTACTAAATTTTTGTTTCATAGATTTAAATAGGTAAGTTCCATGATTTTATGTCTTGAATTCCCCTGGTCAATAGGCTATTGCCTCTGTCTTCCTTTTCTCTGTTTCATCTCTCGTTCTTGAAAAGGAGATACCATGAACACTCCCCTTCCAGGACACATCATCAGTGTATATACAAAAACCTCACCTTCCCACTTAAAACAGAAGGAGCCTTCTCCAAATCATTTTAAGTGCAATCCTCACACCCTGCCAGCACCACTCCCAAATCCCTTACATACACATGTACACACACACACACGCACACGTTCAGATGCATTCAATAACATTTTCAAATACTGGATAGAAATGCTTAATGCATGTAGACAGATTCAAAATTGAGTGGAAGGTATAAACATGGCTGAAAATTAGTATCATTTTTTGTACAGAAGCCTGGAGAAGGTGAGGAGAGAAGAGACATGTGTCAGAATGTATTCTGACTTTAAATAATTTCTTTCTTTCTTTTTCTTTCTTTTTTCTTTCTTTCTCTTTCCTTCTTCCTTCCTTCCTTCTTTCTTTTTCTTTCTTTTCTTTTTTTTTGAGATAGGGTCTCACTCTGTTGCCCAGGTTTGAGTGTAGTGGCACAGTCTCAGCTCTGCAACCTCCCATGCACAAGCAATCCTCCCTTTCAGTCTCCCAAGTGTACCTGGGACTAAAGACATGCACCACCACACCCAGCCAAATTTTTGTAATTTTTATAGAGATGAGGTCTCACTATGTTACCCAGGCTGGTCTTGAACTCCTGGGCTCAAGTGATTCATTCGCCATGGCCTCCCAAAGTGCTGAGATTACAGGCATAAGCCACGACATCTGGCCTAATAATTCCTGTTTCTAATGTAATGACATGCTGACATTCTCTTTGTCTTTGATTCCTAGTCCAAATCTTCACCTCAGACAGTGTCAGCCCCAAATCATGAATTTCCACTACATACCTGAAATTGTAGTAAACTATGATACATGACTATGGGCAGTTTCATACGACTCAGTTATCGTAGCTTATGCATGAATTTTGAGGCTATCCCCCTGCCCTGGTTGTCTATTTTAAATTATGCCTATTTCAAAGATACCATTGGGTTGTATTAGTCAGGGTGGTTGATGCTGAATACTAAAACTAACTTCCTCCAGATCAGGAGATGAGAACAATCACATGTTTATTTCTCTCCCACGTGCACAGTCCAATGACATTTGGGAGACTATCTCTTAGGAATGAGCTCAACAGCCCATGTTCTTTCTGTCTTGTGATGTTATCACCTTCAACATGAACCCTATCAAGACTAGCATGGGCAACACAGCAAGATCCCATCTCTAAAAAATCGTTTTTAAAACATGAGCCCGAGGGGAAGAGAATTCATGGAGAGTTATGTGGGCAGCTTCAAGTCTGGGCTTGCAAGTGGTCTACATCACTACCATCCTCAGCCCAGTGGTGGGACCAAGCTGCAAGAGAAGCTGGGAAATGCAGTCTTCCTGTGTGCCAAGAGAAAGGCATGAAGTAGGACTTCCCTGACCTTCTTTTGGCTCTCTGTGTCACAGTTTATTGTCAAGTGACACCTAGGGAACACTGCTGAGCTTAACCTCACCTCTCAACGTGACATTATAGAAAACTGTCTATAAATTTCATGGAAAGCAAATACATGAATGATTTCCCCAATACACATGCTGTAATTTCAAGTTTCCCCTGCTACTACGCACATGGTTCATTTTTGCTAAAGTAACAGCAAATTGTGTGTATGTCTCATTCTTTGTGTGTGTGTGTTTGTGCCTGTTAGGATGTAACCTCCTCCACCCAGAAGCAAAGTTTTATAAGAATATTTACAAATACATCTTTCCTGAGAATCTTTGGAAGTCTAAAACTGCAAAGTTTGTATTTCATTTTGCATTTTATCTAATTTTGACCAGATTCTATTCGTCTCAGCAACTCATCTCAGATTCTCCATGCCCTTCTCCCCACAAGCACATAGACTTTCCCTGAGCCAGAGGCCCTTGTTTGAACTAAAATAATAAAAAATAATTTGACGCTGAAGGATAAAATGTATTCAAATCATTACAAATAAACCAAGTACAGAGTTGACCCAGAATGCATGAAAATTCAGTTCATGGTAAAGGAGTTTTGGGTTTTTTGTTTGTTTGTTTGTTTTTTGAGACGAGTCTCGCTCTGTCACCCAGGCAGGAGTACAGTAGCGTGATCTTGGCTCACTGCAACCTCCACCTCCGAGGTTCAAGCAATTCTCTGCCTTAGCCTCCCAAGTACCTGGAATTACAGGCGCCTGCCACCACACCCGGCTAATTTTTGTATTTTTAGTAGAGACGGGGTTTCACCATCTTGGCCAGCTGGTCTTCAACTCCTGGCCTCATGATTCAACCGCCTCGGCCTCCCACAACGCTGGGATTACAGGCATGAGCCACTGTGCCCGGCCAATAAAGGAGTTTTTTAAGAGCAATTTAAAAAGAATTATTTGATAAATGGTATTAGTACAAGTAGTTTATTGTTTGAGTAAACTACCAGATAGTCTTTTAACCTACCAGATAGTCTTACCAGATAGGCTGCTGTCCTTAACGAAAAGGAGATTAGGATACAGACAAATACAGAGAAAAGCAGTATGAAGACCCAGGGAGAAGACAGCCATCTATAAGCCAAAGGAAAAGGCCTCAGGAAGAACCAATTCTGCTCACAGAGCCATTGCTCTTGGACTTCCAAACTCCAGAATTGTGAGGTAGTAATTTTTTCTTTGCCAAGCCACCCAGCTTGTGGCACTTTGTCATGGCAGCCTGAGCAAACTAACACAGGCTCCTTGGGGTGCTTTTAACTCAGCCCTCATCTCACAGTATTGTAAGCATTTGTAGATGTTCTCATCTCCCCACCCACTAGACAGGGAGATTTCACGGAAGAAATGTTACTGCTTTTCGCTTCTCTAGGACAAAGCAGACCTGGCCTCCATAGCTCTAAAATTGAAGTCTCCAGTCAGACTCTAGCAGCTCCTCCATTCTGTGCTGATATTTATGCATTCATCTTGCACAAAACCACTGTGTTGTTCATTATCATTCCTAGCACTGACTGGTGTCCAGTGTCTGTTATTTGGGCGCCTACGACTCTTCTCCCTGCATTCCCCTCTGATGCCCAGTTCAGCAGTCAGTGCCCAGTGGGCAGTCAACAGTGATTGATGACAGCCTTGACGGGAGAACAGAAGCCTGAGAAAGCAAATCAATAACAATTTCCAAAGTGAAAGAGTGGCTGGCATAGTGTTCTCTCTTTGTTCTACAATGAGACTAAGAAATAAATTTGCACATCATGGATTCAGCTTAGATAACTGGGAAATGATACAGACCTGGGAGGCACTCTGTCTGGTAGTTTTAACCACATGAGACGGTTTCAATGAATGTGCAAATTAGACTTAATACAGAGCCTAACAAATGCCTTGGCCATCAGGGTAGCATCCCATAAACTCCCTGGCAGCTCACACCTCCTGGTGTTGCTGACCATGCACATCATTGGTCCACACCTGTCTAAGAGTCAAGCACAAAAGAAGACAAAGATAACATTCAATGCTACTACCATGTCTCAGCAACCTGTCAGAGGAATTACCTTCTGGAAGCAAGAGGAAGGAACAAGCCCCAGATGACTGTAAAAAATGTAGGGTATAGGTTTTTACTCTTTGGGCTCATAAATATGTTTTAGGAAAGGCAAAAGTAAACATTGAAAATATGAAGTCCTAAATGGTTACAAAGCGAGTAAAGGTTCTTCAAGATTTGATGAGAACAGAAACACGTAAGACTAGGTACACATGAGATTTTTTTGGAATCTGTGGTAGTCCTGAGAGAGAGAATTTTGAAGACCATTTAAACAGGCAGTCCTATTCCCCTACAAAATCTTTTCTAAACTCCTGCCTGCTTTCATCCCATGCACTCTCATTATGAGTCAGCCTGCATTTCTTTATTCTTGCTTTAGCCTTTTCTTCCCACGTTAACTATTGTTTTTCTTCTCTTACGTGCAGCAAATACACTCCAATTTCTATACATATTCATCCCACACCCACTGTACCTGTCTTCTCTGGGGAGTTACCTGTCATCTCTGAAGTACTGTTATTGTCATTTCCTGTTTCTGTGTAACCCCATATAAGGTATTGTGTATGGTATGTAGTACATCATTACTCAACAATGAAACACCAGGAGAGATGGAAACGAGTTGTATATGCACTTTAGAACAGGAAAAAGCTGATTATGCTCTTGGAAAATGAGAATTATCATTTACTGTATTCTGCTATTCACGAATGTATTACTTATCAGGAGCTCAAGGCAAGCTTTGGGAAATTAACATAAATTCAGGTTTCTTATATTGTCTGTAGCTTACAAGTAGTACTCTTAGGGAGAGAAAGTCATAAAGCATCATTACCAGATGTTCTTTTTGGAAGCCTTTCATTATTTCCCGACTGCTTCCTGTCTTTTTAAAGATATCCGTCTGAAAGAGCTCCTAATTCATTCTCGTCTGCTTTCTTAGCCACTGGAGGGGCCTCTCCTTGAGACTGGAAGTTCTTCATCTGTATCTGCTGCTCTCCATAGACCTCGAATGACAGAATATCATAAGCACCTCTAGCAAATGAGTTCAGGGTTTGGAAATATAGTGGGCGAAAACATCCCGTGTGAATAACAAAAGGAGAAAATTGTGATGATATTAATCTCAATAGAAACACCAAAAATTAAGAAACAGAATATGGTGGCTGTACACAGGACTGAAGACTCACATTCTTCACATACCATGACTGTTTGGCTAAACTTAAGAAATACTCATAATTCAAAACATGTTTTCTCTCAAATTTACTTTTTATCTGGAAACTCTAGCCTTATGAACCAGGTGATCACAAAGATTGTTTCCCCTTATTGACACTATTCTACAAGACAGAGAAAGAAGGAACCCTCCCTAAATTATTCTATGAAGGCAGTATCACCCTAATACCAAAACCAGAAAAGGACATAACCAAAAAAGAAAACTACAGACCAATATCCCTGATGAACATAGATGCTAAAATCCTTAACAAAATACTAGCTAGCCAAATCTAACAACATATCAAAAAGATAATCCACCGTGATCAAGTGGGTTTCATACCAGGGATGCAGGGATTAACATAGACAAGTCAATAAATGTGATACACCACATAAACAGAATCAAAAACAAAAATCACATGATCATCTCAATAGATGCAGAAAAAGCATTTGACAAAATCCAGCATTGCTTTATGATTAAAACTCTCAGCAAAATCAGCATACAAGGGACATACCTCAATGTAATAAGAGCCATCTATAACAAACCCACAGCCAACATTATACTGAATAGGGAAAAGTTGAAAGCATTCCCTCTGAGAACTGGAACAAGACAAGAATGCCCACTCTCACAACTCCTCTTCAACATAGTAGGACTGTGTCCGGAATTTATTCCTTCCAGTGGGTTCTTGGTCTCACTGACTTCAAGAATGAAGCCATGGACCTTGTGGTGGGTTCTTAACAATGGTGAGTCCGGAGTTCTTAACGATGGTGAGTCCGTAGTTTGTTCCTTCAGATGTTCAAATGTGTCTGGAGTTTCTTCCTTCTGGTGGGTTCACGGTCTTGCTGACTTCAGGAATGAAGCCGCAGACCCTCGCAGTGAGTATTTCAGATCTTAAAGCTGGCATCCACAGTTGTTTCTTCCTTCTGGTGGGTTCGTGATCTCGCTGACTTCAGGAATGAAGCTGCAGACCCTGACAGTGAATGTTACAGCTCATAAAGGTAGTGCCAACCCAAAGAGTGAGCAGCAGCAAGATTTATTGCAAAGAGCGAAAGAACAAACCTCCCACGGCATAGTAGGGGACCCCAGCGGGTTGCCTCTGCTGGCTCGGGTGGCCAGCTTTTATTCCCTTATTTGGCCTGCTGATTGGTCCATTTTTACAGAGTGCTGATTGGTGCATTTACAAACCTTTAGCTAGACACAGAGTGCTGATTGGTGCATTTTTACAGAGCGCTGATTGATACGTTTGCAAACCTTTAGCTAGACACAGAGCACTGATTGGTGCATTTTTACGGAGAGCTGAATGGTGCATTTACAAACCTTTAGCTAGACACAGAGCGCTGATTGGTGTGTTTTTACAGAGTGCTGATTGGTGTGTTTACAAACTTTTAGCTAGACACAGAGCACTGATTGGTGTGTTTACAATCCTCTAGCTAGACATAAAAGTTCTCCAAGTCCCCACCTGACCCAGAAGCCCAGCTGGCTTCACCTCTCAGTACTAGAAGTCCTAGCAAGAGCAATCAGACAAGAAAAAGAAATAAAGGGCATCCCAATTGGTCAAGAGGAAGCCAAACTGTCATTGTTTGCTGATAATATAACTTTTACCTAGAAAACCCTAAAGACTCCTCCAGAAAGCTCCTAGACCTGATAAATGAATTCAGCAGTTTCTAGATTCAAAATCAATGTACACAATTGAGTAGCTCTTCTATACACCAACAGTGACCAAGCTGAGAATCAAATCAAGAACTCAACCCCTTTTACGATAGCTGCAAAAAAATAAAATACTTAGGAATACACCTAACCAAGGACGTGAAAGACCTCTAAAAGGAACACTACAAAACACTGCTGAAAGAAATTATAGATGACACAACAAATGGAAACGCATGCCATGCTCACAGGTAGGTAGAATCAATATTGTGAAAATAACCATACTGCCAAAAGCAATCTACAAATTCAACACAATTCTCATCAAAATACCACCATCATTATTCACAGATTTAGGAAAAACAATCCTAAAATTCATATGGAACCAAAAAAGAGCCCACATAGCCAAAGCAAGACTAAGCAAAAAGAACAAACCTGGAGGCATCACATTATCCAACTTCATAGTCACTAAAGGCCATTGTCACTAAAACAGCATAGTACTGGAATAAAAATAGGCACATAGACCAATGGAATAGAATAGAGAACCCAGAAATAAAGCTAAATGCAGCCAACTGATCACTGACAAAGCAAATAAAAACATAAAGTGGGGAAAGGACACCCTATTCAATAAATGGTGCTGGGATTATTGGCAAGCCACATGTAGGAGAATGAAACTGGATCCTCATCGCTCACCTTACACAAAAATCAGCTCACGATGGATCAAGGACTTAAATCTAAGATCTGAAACTATAAAAATTCTAGAAGATAACATCAGAAAAACCCTTCTAGACATTGGCTTAGGCAAGGATTTCATGACCAAGAACTCCAAAGCAAATGCAACAAAAACAAAGATAAATAGATGAGACTCAATTAAACTAAAGAGCTTTTGCACAGCAAAATGAACAGTCAGCAGAGTAAACAGACAACCCACAGAGTGGAAGAAAATCTTCACAATCTATACATTTGACAAAGGACTAATATCAAAAATCTACAACGAACTCAAACAAATTAGCAAGATAAAACCAAATACTCCCATCAAAATGTGGGCTAAGGACATGAATAAACAATTTTCCCCAAAAGAGGATATACAAACAAAGGGCCACAAACATATGAAAAAATGCTCAACATCACTAATTATCAGGGAAATGCAAATCAAAACCACAATGCAATACCACCTTACTCCTGCAAGAATGGTCATAATCAAAAAAATCAAAAAATAATAAATGTTGGCATGGATGCAGTGAACAGTGAACACTTCTACACTGCTGGTGGGAATGCAAACTAGTACAACCACTATGGAAAACAGTGTGGTGATTCCTTAAAGTACTAAAAGTAGAACTACCATTTGATCCAGCAATTTCATTACTGAGTATCTACCCAGAGGAAAAGAAGTCATTACTACCTGGAAAAGATACTTGCACACACATGTTTATAGCAGCACAATTTGCAATTGCAAAACCTGGAACTAACCCAAATGCCCATCAATTAATGAGTGGATAAAGAAACTGTAATATACATATAATGGAATGCTCCTCAACCATAAAAAGGAATGAGTTAATAACATTTGCAGCAACCTGGATGAGACTGGAGACTATTATTCTAAGTGAAGTAACTCAGGAATGGAAAGCCAAACATCATATGTTCTCACTCATATGTGGGAGCTAAGCTATGAGGATGCAAAGGCATAAGAAAGACTTTGGGGACTCAGGGGGAAATGGTAGGAAGGGGGTGAGTGATAGAAGACCACAAATTGAGTGCAGCATATACTGCGCAGGTAATGGATGCACCAAAATCTCACAAATCACCACCAACCAAACACCACCTGTTCCCCAATAACCTATGGAAATAAAAAATATAAAAAACTTAATTAAACAAACAAAAAAATAGCAAGGAAAATTAGAACACAGTCTTTATAGCTAACTACTGGTAAGAAAATACTAATTATTATTAGAAAACAATCTTATTTTGATCATGACTTTTCTCTCAGTATAACAGTGTAATAGTAAAATCAGATTAAAAATAGATGTAAGACTATTAAGGTATTTCTCCTAACTGCATGCTAAGAAGCCATACTGGGGTTCCCAAATTTAAAACAGTTTCCTCACATTCTAATCTTTTTGAAAGTTTAGCTTAGGATAATGTATTTTCAAATTCTCAGGTTTCTGCCAGCCCTTTGAAACAGAGTTATTTTTAAAAGATTACAGCCTTTCTGTATTTGATTTAATGACTTAAAGTAGAACCAGACTACCAGGAAAGTGGTAGTGGATGCTGTGGATGACATTTCCTTTTTGGATTAACCTGAGAGATTTATTTAGTTTCCAAAGAGGATGGAAAAACTATCTGAATCAATTTTTATTTTTGTTTTGAAGATTTGCGGCTCTGATTTAGGGTGTGTAAATGAATCCCTCTCCAGAGCTTGAGAACATTTCATTCAATTAAATAGATTAAATATGCCTTCTGAAGTACTCTTTAAACTGTTGTGTTATTTAGTTAACTTTCTCATTCTTAACAGCATAAGCATCAATATAAACTTTTCTACAAGTGTGCAAAATTCGACATGAGTTGTTCTTAATTAGTGCAAATTTGCTACATATATTCACTTTGACCTTAAAAAACAAAATGATTAAAATTAAGATTTTTAAAAATCTATTAAAATAGATATTAAAATTTATTTAAAAATAAGATGCTTGGAAGCCAAATGTGCTTTAGGAAACTTAGCAAGAGTGTATACTCTTTATTTTTAAAGGGATAAGGATGAGCAAGGGTGTAAGATTTTAAATCAGAGACTCACTCTTGACCACAGACAGATAGAAGCAAAATATGCTCAAAGGAGGTGGTGATGGATGAGTCACATTAGGAGGACATTTCGGGCAATGCTGCATGCAGAGGAAACTCAGCTAGTGTTGCCTCTGAGCTGCCAATCACCCCATCAAGCCATTTGCCCTTCCCTCCTCAGCGACCTTCACAACCACATTCAGGCTGACAGGAAAGGTTGACACACATGAATGGTAATAATTGAAGCTTCAGTTAATTCTAGAGAAAAAAAGGATATCTCACTCATAATTTATAAACAGAGTTTCCTAGTTTAAGCCATTCTAAAATTTAATCAGGCCATTAATTTCCACTTGTCTGGACCTAAAAATGACTGTTAAAAATGTAAATCACCAAGTTACCTAGAATATTTCAGGTTCTTCTCATTATCTACCTTTTTTCCTTACAGAATAAATACTTTACAATGTGCATTTTATACATTAAGCAAAATAATGTAATATGCATTGATCAAGTATAGTGTGATTTTTTTCTGAATGTTCTTGCACAGTTACTATAATATGAAGAAATAAAATGGTTTGAAACCACTTATGGTAGAGACATCAATGAAGCCAATGTGTCACCACTTGGAAAAAAAAAAAAAGGTTTTGAAATCAATTAAAATAGTTGGTCATGCTTAACATTTATCGAGAAGAAAAAGCCCTCAAATATATTTCAAGTACTAAACCCATATGTATTTCAAGGAACAATCGAGCTTCCACTTGCAAAGATGACAAAGAAGCTTATGGGAGACCAGCATTCCAGACAAGCACTGCTAAAAGCCTAGGTAAAATTAAAAGTACATCTCTTGGAAGGCATCTGCGAGCTAACGAAGCAACAGACAATAGGAAAACCACACAGAAAGTTCAGACCACGCTTTTCCCGGAATGCTTGCCAACCCTGGACACAGGACGAGTGGTAGAAGATGCAGTCCTAGGATCTGTGCAGAAGGCACCACTGAAAGACAGCAAGGCAGCAGAGATTTTCATCATCTCATGAGACTGGAGAGATGGAGAGTAGAAACAAGAAAGGACAGGGTGGCTGTGGGCAGGGAGGGGCAGGAAACTGAGTCCGATCCTACACTGGTTTCACCCTCAAGACCTTTTCAGATATCTTAAATTGCTTTGAGAGTGAGGCCAAGAATTCAAATAGAGCAGCATTTGAAAGTCTTGTGGTGTTAAGGAGATATACAGCAGAGTCCAGAACCAGCTAGGGGGCAGAACCTCACTGAACACCCCAGGCTCTCAAATGGGACTGCTGGAGGGTGACACCCAGAATCAAAGGAAATAGCAGTCACTGGAGACTTAGAAGGGGGCAAAGTGGAAGAGGTGGTAATGGATAAAAAAGTATCTATTGGATACAATGTACACTATTCAGGTGATGGCTCACTAAAAGCCCAGAATTCACCATTATACAATTCATCCATGTATCCAAATACCACTTGTACCCCTCAAGCTATTACAATTTTAAAAAGTAAATAAAATAAAATAGCCATAATTATAATGATGGAAAAAGGAAAAAAAATATAAAAAACAACTTACCAAAATAATTGACTTTTATAAGAAGAATCAAATTTATATTTTAGAACTGAAAATAAAATAACTAAAATTAAGGACTAGAAGGATAGAACAAATAGCAGACTAGACACAACAGAAAAGAAGATTTGTGAATTAGAAAACAGTAAGTCAATAATATATACTAGTTAGACTGAAACAGAGAAGGAAGGGGAGGGAAATGCAAAAAAAAAAAAAAAAGTACAAGAAACATGTGAAACACATTAAAAATATCTAACACAAGAGCAATTGTAGTACCAGAAACAGAAGGGAGAGAGAATGAGGCAGAAGAAAGATCTAGAAAGAAATGGTTGAAGATTTTTTTCAAAACGTATTAAAAAATGCCAACCCAAAGACAGATTCAAAGAGCTCTGTGTACATCAAGCAGAATAAATACAAATAAAGCCACACCTTGACAAATCACAGCAAAGTCCCTATTTTTTTTTTTAAAAGAAGACCAGCCTGACCAATATGGTGAGACCCCATCTCTACTAAAAACACAAAAAAAATTAGCCGGGCATGGTGGCGCATACCTGTAGTCCCAGCTACTCCGAGGCTGAGGCAAGAGAATCACTTGAACCCAGGAGGCAGAGGTTGCAGTGAGCCAAGATTGTGCCACTGCAAGCGACAAAGAAGAAGAAGAAAGGAGCGGGGGAGGGAGGAAGGGGGAAGGAGAGAAGACGGGGAGGAGGGGATGGGGGTGAGGAAGTTGGGGAGAAGTGGGGAAGGTCGGGGGAGGAGGAGGAGGGCAAGGGGAAGGGGAAGGGGGAGACGGGAGAAGACCAAGAGAATACTCTTAAAGCAGCATGGCTGGAATGGGGGAGAGAGACACATTATCTTCAAATTGGCAACAATAAATGACTTCTAAGTAAACACAACGGAAGGCAGAGGATAATGGAATGACACTTTTAAAGTGCCAAAAAATGCTTGCCAAACTAGGATTCTATACCTAGCAAAAACATCCTTTTAAAATGAAGGCAAATTGATGCTTTCAGAAGCAAGAAAATGAGACACTTTTTTACCAAGAGAGTTTTTTCACAAGGAAAACGATCATAGTCATATGCACAGAAAAACAAGAAGGGAAAAAGAGCAATGGAAGATGCAAAAGTGTGGGCCATGTAGTAAATATTTTAGGCATATGGGCCACATACTCTGTGTCATAACGATTCAGCTTTGCCACTGCAGCACAAAAGCAGCCAGAGATACTACATGTTAGGCATGGCTGTGTTCTAATAAGGCTTCATTTACAAAAACATGAAGCAGGAAAATGTAAAGCAGGAAAGGTAAAGTCAGGATTGAAGCAGGAAACGTCAAGTCAGGATTTCACTCAAGAATTACTGTCTACCAACCCTGCTATAAACAATGAAAATAATGTCTTGCGTTGTTTAAATCTTTCTGAGCTGTGTGTATGTATATATGTGTGTGTATATATACATGCACACACCCCAGAAAGATTTAAACAACACGAAAAATTACACATACATACACACATATATATACATTTATGCACACACATACGTATATATATATATACGCAAGGGTATTACATTTTTTAACATAAGCACTTTAATTGTGATAAATTACTGAAAACATTGCATATAAATGCTTTCCTTAATTGAGCATCTTGAAAGAACAAACTATCTCTACAAGATGATCATAACATATATATAGTTATATATATTTAGTGTATATATGCTATATACACTAAATACATATATATGATTTAAATTAAAGTAATAGTATAAAGCAGAGATTGGCAAACTTTTATTAAAAACGACCAGACAGTAAATATTTATATAGTGTATATGGTTATATACATTTAGTATATATAATACACACATATATAATAGTTATATATATATAACTAAAATCTGTGATCCTAGCATTATTTAAAAAGTTGTAAAATCAATGAACATATATTCCACACATGTAGGCTAACTTTAATATAGTTGTTAAAGTTCTCCCATGTTCTTTTTCAAATAATGTTCTCATCATTGTGCCTAGTGAGCAAAGTAAGAGAAGCTTTTTGCATGTTCCAGAGAATGGCTTATTTTATTTACTTCAGATTCATGGTTACTGCCCTATGTGCAATTATCTAATGCTATGCTCTGTCTTTGCCTTCTGGCTTTTTAAGGTATTGCATTTTTAATACAAGCACCTTAATGGTGATAAATTACTGAAAACATTGCATATAAATTTTTCCTTTATTGAGCATATTAAAAGAAAGAATAAACTAGCTCTACAAGATAATCATAAGTCACACACACACACACACACACACAGACAGACAGAGAGAGAGAGAGAGAGAGAGAGAGAAACTGAATAACTGAAGACTGAACTGAGTGATCTCCCCAAGTGAGTTCCTCGCCTTAAACTCTTATGAGTATAAAATTCCATGATCATCTGTAAGGTTTTGCTTCAGAGAGACCATCTGGATTCATAGCTAAAGCATGGAAGCAGAACCAGGACACCTGAGCTTCAGACTGACATTTAAGTTCCTTGAATGTCAACTTTCCCTACAGTCTCAAATGGGAGACTAAAATCTGCTGCTCTTTTACTTTCTAACACATTATTTATAGAAAGACACTGAACTCTTAAGAAAAGATCAACTCTTGTAGGCTAGAAGGGTAAGAAAGTATCATTAACACACAGCGTTGCAACTTATAGGTTATTTAAACAGTTGTCCCCAAAAGCATTCAAAATCGGTAAAAAACAAGAATTGCCTTTTTAAAATTAATATAATTACTTTTAATTGAGAAAATTATATATATTTATCGTATACAACGTGATGTCTTAAAATATGTACACATTGTAGAATGAATAAATTGAGCCACTTTTAAAACAACTTGTGAATCCAATGAACCCAATATATTTTCCAAATTAATCCATAGCTTCATAAATACTGATACAGATAACTCAGTGTACTCTAATAAGCAATTAAGATGAGAATTATTTTTTCCTAGTGCTCAGTCCCAACCCTGGTGAGCTAAGCAGTAAACCCAACACCCAATTTAGAGATTTCCAATTGGAACATTTTATAATTCGCAAAGTTATAATCCCAGAAAATTACTGTCAAAAACATCAAGTATACAACAAAGTAGTTGGCTGAAAACAAGAAGTCTTATTCTCTTTTAAAAATATATATACTTAAAAATTGGTGTTTTAAAAGTTACTGAAATAAAAAATAAAATTGCAAATCCCTTTCCTAAATGGAGCTATGAGTCATTCATTTCAATATAAAATATTTTGGAAAAGAAAGATTTTACAAATGATAAAATTAGCCTCTTTGTTTGAAGAATACTTCGTTGATTGCTTGACCAAAGTTATCACAGCATTTATTCCCTGTAAGTGCCCAGGAAAAACTGAAAATGTAGATTAATAATGTAGCATTTTATACCCAATGATAAATCCCACCTGTTTAGCCCTGCTAACCCCAGGCAATAGAAAAAGAGGTAATGATTCTTTTCAATTTCCCTTCATTCTCCTTGGTTCCTTTATTCTAAGTTTTAGCACATTCTCCTGAATGCCCAAAACCCTATACTGTTAATACTGTTATCTAATTTCCATCCTTTTAGTCAATGTGATGCCTGCTTGTCTAGGCTGGCCTTGTCCACATAAAATCTAAATCCTTTGACCCATTCAAAAGGTAGCACAAAACAAAACTCTTAAATTCCTAATCATCCAATCTTTCAGCATAGCATTTAATAACACGAGTAAATTCCAACAAATCATCAAACTACTTTATATTAAAGCAATTCTACATAAAGAATCTCACTCTCTGTACAGTGCTTGAGGCTCCTCACCTAAAATTTCTTGGGACCAGGAGACCTCATTCTCATGATTGTTTCTCCTTAACTATATTGAAAACGTCCTGGACATCATCAGTCTCCATTACTCACGATCACGCCTTCCCAATCACCTCTCTGTCTTTCTGACTCACTGTGAGGATTCCGTGAGGGTTTAGCTCATAGTCATTTGTTTCTCTGTAAGTCCAATTCTCTTCCTGAGGAACTTCACTGCCCATATGGGAAGCCCATCCAAGATGCTTGCCTCAAAGTTTTTCCACTTGTTTGGTTTCTACGACCTTCTTTTCCATTTTATTTCAGGGATTCATTCTCTTGGTCACATCCTGGATCTTTTTATCACCTGGAAATTCTTCACATGCAAAAAAAGAACCTCAAGTTATCATAGTAAATACAACTTCTTCCTCTTGTCCTCTCTCTTTTTCCCACCATATATGTATTTTAATTTTACGATAGCTAATTATTTAATTTGCTGTCACTAATTAAAGGTCTCACCAGGACCTCACTGGGTGAATGCCCTCAGCTCATTCTTTCTTGCCTTTTGCTGAATCTGCCTAACAAATGCTGCAGCTGGACCAATCCAGCTGTCCTCCCCTGCACATGGAGCTGATTCTTGCTGAAAAAAGTGGCAGAGTCCTATATACCGGTGCTGATACAAATTCATCACGCTTCCTCCAACACGTTGTGTCAGATCAGTCCCTCTGCTTCCCGGGGACAACTACCTCCACCATTTCCTTTGCTGACTCATAAGCTTGAGTCTTCTCCACATTCATCAGTTCATATATCTATTCACAATTAATGTTTTTAAAACTTTTTCTTCCACCTATTCTCCCGTTTACTCAGCCATTTATTCAAAAGTGTTTATTAAGAATCTACAATGTGCTCGATAGTATACTGTATTGGACAATAGCATAAAAAAATACATAACATGGAGTGCTTATTCTCAGGAAGCTCGTGGTTCAGCAAAGGAGACAAATATGTCAATAATTGCACTCTGTGTTTCAGGGCTTTTTATTATGTTAATGATCTTTCTGTTAGAAAAGGACCCTGAACATATAAATAATACAGCTTTGAAACAGCCTTTCTTTCCTTTCTTTCTTTCTTTTCTCTTTCTTCTTTCTTTCTCTTTCTTTTTCCTTTTCTTTTTCTTTCTTTCTTCTTCTCTTTCTTTCTTCAATTACAGTTGAGTTTTAGCTTACACTTTGTACTTATTTATATTTAAAGTTTATTAATTGAGTTTTTTTAAGAAAGAGTCTTGCCCTCTTGCCCAGGCTGGATTGTAGTGATGCAGTCTGCAACCTCCACCTCCCAGGTCCACACAATCCTCCCACATCAGCCTCCCAAGTAGCTGGGACCACAGGCATGCACTACCACACCTGGTTAATTTTTGTATTTTGTGTCGAGATGGGGTTTCACCATGGTGCTCAGGCTGGTCTCAAATTCCTGGGCTCAAGCCATTCACTCAAGTCGGCCTCCTAAAGTGCTGGGATTACAGGCATAAGCCATTGCACCAGGCTTGTGTTATTCTTAAAATAAGTGGTAGGTCCAAAGAAACTAATACACACACACACACACACACACACACACACGTGTGTGTGTGTGTGTGTGTGTTTCTTTTTTAAGGAATTGACTCATGCAATCATGGGGCTAGCAAGTCCAAAATCTGTAGGGCAGGCCAATGGGATGAAAGCTCAGGTGGGATTTCTATGTCAGTCTTGAGGCAGAATTCCTTCTTCTCCAAGAAACCTCAGTATTTGCTCTTAAGGCTTTCAATGGTTTGGATGAAGCCCACCCACATTACCGAGGGTAATCTCCTTTACTTAAAGTCAACTTATTGTAATTGTTCATCATGCCTACAAAATACCTTCCTAGCAACATCTAGATTCGTGTTTGACCAAACCCAACAACTGAGTGTCATTGCCTCACCAAACTGCCAAATAAAGCGTAACCACGACAGGACATTATTATAAAAAGAGAGAGAGAACAAGGAAAAGACAACCTATTAAAGGCAACATTTGGGAAAATACTAATTTTTCAATCTTGGCTGTATATCTGACTTGCCTAGGGAACATTTAAAAGTCCAGTTTCTAGGCCCTGGGGATTCTCAGGGTAGAGCTCAAGGACATGTATACCCACAGACCTTTCTGTTCAGAAGTGGTCTAAAAAGCAGCTGCACAGCCCAGAGGGTTTGTGAAATGGGACTGTGGTTTCTTCTAAGAAGAAACCATGAAATTTTTATTTCTATATTATAGAGTTGTATTTTAAAAAAGAGAATTTTGGCCTGAATGATATGTAATATGTGTATTCCACTGGTACCCCTTTCAGCCCAATATCAGCTGATCACAGGTCGCATGTGGACAGACATAGGACATTGTGCAAACAGAATGGGACTCCCAGCTGGATGGGTTAACAAGTGATCCTCGCTCCTTCACTCACCCTCAGTAAATGCTGCCATTGCAGTCATGTAGGCGGCCAACTTACATATCATAGTAAACAGAATTATGGATATAGTCAAGTCTAAGCCAATCCCCACAAAATGGACAGCAGGCATTAAAAGATTCCAGTAAAGAAAGTACTTAGTGAGCACAAAACTTACAGTGCAATCACAAGTGACTAACAGAGGAAGGGCAGGCATTCTGAAAAGTCTCCATTAACCGCCACAGGAGGCAAAGAATGATGATCTACCTTCTCGTGTGTAAGTGGGGAGCTAAATGATGAGAACACATGGACATAAGGAAGGGAACAACAGACACTGAGGCCTACCTGAGGCTAAATGGTTGGAGGAGGGAGAGATTCCAGAAAAATCACTATTGGGTACTAGACTTATTATCTGGGTGATGAAATAATTTGTACAAGCCCCCGTGACACACGTTTACCTATATAACAAGCCTGCACATGTACCCCTGAACCTAAAATAAAAGTTTTTTAAAAAGAATGATGGTCTAATCAGGTCTGGTAAAAAGTCAGCCCAAAACATTCGAAATTATCAGAAAACTATTAGCTGTACAGATTTATATTCATCCATACTAACAATGATACTGTGCATTGAGCTATTAGCAAGTGATAGTTTGACACGGGCAATTAACAGTAGATGTTTAAATTATGTTCACTTTCTCTTTATCGTAAGATGTTTTATCTCTTTTGGGGGATATGTTGTGTGAAACATATAATACATTACATATAATACATATAATACAAATATATAATACATACAGTACATATTAGCACATTAGTACATACACAGAGTTTAGAAATACATACACTTTTATTGAAGATTCACAATGAGAAGATTTTCATGAATAGAGACACAAAGAAATAAAACAAGCAACAAAGAAAGAAACATGGGGAGCTGTATTAGTCAGCTTGGGTTCCCATAGCAAAATTTCATCAACCATGTGGCTTAATATCAGAAATTAGAGTTTTTTTTTTTACAGTTCTGCAGGCTGGAAATCTGAAAGTCAGATCAAGCTGTCAGCACGGTCAGGTTCTGCTGAGGGCGCTCCTCCTGGTTTGCAGGTGGCTGACTTCTCAATGTCAAAGAGAAAAGACAGAATGAGTTATCCAGTCTCTCTTCTTAGAAGAACTTTCACCCTATTTGATCAGGGTCCTGCCTTTATGACCTTATTTAATCTTAATGACTTCCATGAACGCTCTCTCTCCAAACACAGTCATATTGCATATTGGGAGCTGTTATGGCTTCATCAAATAAATTTTTAAGGGACACAATTCAGTCCACAGCCGGGATCATGGAATTAGAGGTACAAATTTTTTTTTTTTTGAGACAGAGTCTCTCACTTTCACCCAGGCTGGAGTGCAGTGGTGCGATCTCGGCTCACTGCAAGCTCCGCCTCCCGGGTTCACGCCATTCTCCTGCCTCAGCCTCCTGAGTAGCTGGGACTATAGGCGCCCGCCACCACGCCTGGCTAATTTTTTGTATTTTTAGTAGAGACTGTTTTTCACTGTGTTACCCAGGATGGTCTCGATCTCCTGACCTCGTGATCCACCCGCCTCAGCCTCCCAAAGTGCTGGGATTACAGGGGTGAGCCACTGAGCCCGGCCCAAAGTTATTTTTTTTTTAATCTGCCTGGTGGGTACATATCAAATACCTTCAAATTGTCTTGTGTTATGTTTGTAACTGTAAAATGTTATTTCAATAACAGCAACTAACTAAATAAGTAAATTTAGTGAAGGCAATGTTTCTAAAGGGTAGTTCTTACCTGTTCTGTCCACTTTAGTTATATGAATCATGACTCAAGAAGTCAGGAACCCTTAGTCACGATTTGTTAATTTATTGATACCTTTATTTTCTTGTTCAACATATGTATGTTGAGCTCCTCTTATGGACTGGTCATTATTTTAAGCACCGAAGATATCATAATAACCAAACTGGCAGTGTTCCTTGCACATCTGGAGGTTATATTTTAGTGGGAATAAATAAACAAATAAAGTCTGAACACATGCATGTCAGGTAGTGAGAAGTGCATGAAACAGAGCAAAGGTATGGAGAGAGCTTTCTGTGTAGTTGGAACTTAAAGCCCTGCATATGTGTAAAATCACCTGCCAGGTAAACATAGCTAGAAGGTCAGTGATCAGCTCAAAATCCATGCTGATCTTTAGAGGAATAAAAGAAGGAGACTGAGAATGAGAAAGTCCAGCAAAGCCACATGAAACAAGGGTGTTAAGAGTGAGGTCTGAGCACTCTACCAAATGCTGCTGAGGAATGGGATAGACCGTCATACTTGGGGACATGGAGGAAGTTGGTGACCTTGACAATAATGATTTCAGCAGGATTCCTGGGTCAAAGCCTTGCTTGAAATACATTCAAATCAGAATGAGAAGTGCTAAAGTAAAGACAGAAAGAGGCAACTCTTTTTAGGAATTTTGTTCTAAAGACAGCAGTGAAATGGGGTAGTAGCTGGAGGGATAATTCTGTCATGGGAAGGATATTTTAAAGGAAGAAAATATGGAATTTTATATGCTGATGTAAATGACCCACTAAAAATTAAAATTTGATTATATAACAGCTAAAGGAAGTAATTTTAGTCACAAATTTCCAGAATAGTAGAGAAAGAAGGAAATCCGGCACACCAAGGCATGTTGGGTAGCGGGGGCCGGACTTTGTTAGGACAAGGAAAAGTCATTTCCCTTGGAAAGGTGATAAAGTTTATGCATATGGACCCAGACCATCAACATGTTTGGCAGAAGATGATTATGAAGTTCTCTTATGATTGCTTCTCTATAAAATCAGGATCAAAGCTGTCGGGGGAAAAGTCTACGTATGCCAGTAGCTATCTGTACAAGTTCTTCAACTGGTGACCAAAAGAGGCTTCTTGGTGAATGACAATCTACATCCTAAAATAAGTAAAGTCTGCAGTTTACCCTAATTATCTTGACTATCTTCAAACACGGCATGCTATAAGCAATGGTGCATTGACTTCCAATTTCTCTTTATTATGGAGTTAGTGTAAATCCCTAGTTATCTCTTTCTGGCCCAACCCACTTCATATATTGTCTGGTTCCACTGATTCTCTTTCGTATCTTGCACAGCTCTTGTCCCACTCTGGTCTATACCAATGTCATGTCCTCCCATCTGGAATCTTATTGCCATTTTCACAAAAATCCAGACTTGCCCAAAGTTCTCTTAAAATAGATTCAGCCCAACTGCACTGCTCCATAAAATCACGTTTGCTCTTCATAACGTTGTCAGATGCCTATCCTGGCTGAACCCTTCTCTTTGCACAAAGTTGCAGGATCCTTCGATTCTCATCTGTGGGTCCCCACCAGATGCCTCCTGCTTCCTCTGACCAAGAAAAAGAAAAATACTTCTAGATTGGGTGCAATTTGAAAAACAAATGCTTCATTATGCCAACAGCCTATCCATCAAGATAATGATTGCACCCTAGTGTGGAGTAGCCCTCTGACTGCAGAGCCAAGAGTTGATCATGAACCAGCTTGGCTCCCAGTGCCTTGTTGGCATGGGCCAACAGGAGCAGGTTCAAGTTGATAAGGAAGAACGGAAAAAGGCCTTCACAAAACTGACTGCATGCTAAGTGAAGAACCTGACCCCACCCACGGCACTCACGTGAAGTCTTAGAAAGTTCAGTGCCTGCTCCACCTGCTTCCTGTTCATTTAGCAGACTAAATACACCCTCTTCTCATTCAAGCTCCCTCTAGGACTCTTCGCAATGATTTTTTTTACTCTGTGCACAAACACAAGGAATCCTGGTAGTCAAAGCAAGTAAAGGACTCCAACTTGAATATTCATTTTGAACAGCACTCTCTGGCAGTATTAGAGCTATTAATTGTGGCAGGAAAAAAAGTGGAGTTATGTAACCTGCCTGTTGTCAAACGTTATTTTTATTATGACCACTCAACACTACCCGAAAGTAAGCTAAAATCCATAAGAGTCCTTTTTGCAAGACAGAGCATGGCAACTTTAGGCAAAAGAAATGTGGCAAAACACAGCCCCATATAGATGCTCACAAAAAGGAATATGCAATTCAAGGCTGAATCTGATGGGCTTCATTTTGCTAAAACCAATTCTTGGCTAAGGGGCTGGACAGAGACGTGGCCCAGCGCAGCATAATGTCACAGGGTTATCAATAGGAGACAAGGGCAGCTATGCTGCACTGGGTCTTCTGGTCTTTACATGAAGTCCAGCATGTTTTCATTTTGTCTCTTTGTACTAACTCACTTCCAGTTTTCTTTTCAGGGAACTTTATCTTGACCAACTTAAAAATCGCTGACTTGTCATGTCTTTTTTTATCATGCATCCAAGAGCCAGTTGGTTGTAGGCAAGGAAGGAAGTCCTTGAAAAGCTGTAAATACACCTAAGTCCTCTTTTAGTTATTTTTTTCCCCTTTCACACTTAAGTCTTGAGGAAAAAAAATCATAAGATTTTTAACAGAATGTCCTTCATTCTTCAGTCCACAGGAGTTGCCAGTGAAATGCATCAAATTAGAGAAACACGAAAATTGCGCGAAGGAGGGGAACAGGTGGCCCAGGGTAACTCCCCAGCAGGAAAGAGCCTGTGAATTCCAAAGAACTAAATATTTCAGTTTTCTGAGAAGCCAAAGAAGTTTTTAGCATTGCTTATGCAAATACTACTAATGATTAATTTCCTACCCAAACCAGGAAAGCCTAACAAGGTTAAAAACGGAAGTTAATATCAAATTCCATAGGCACCTATTTTGCTGGTACCTATAAAGAACAAAGCACTTCAAACAGAATAACAAAAAAGGCCATTAGTCATTTAGCCACAACATTTGTTCATAATCAGTATAAAAAAAATTCAGACAAAACAAATATTTAGACATTGGTTTCTTAGGGAAAGCAATTCAATTTGATAAATTTTATTAAAATGCCAAATCAGTTGTTAGATTTGGGCCAACCTGCAAGATTCATGTTTACTTTATTGGTCTTCAACTTGATTTAATCTTGCCATCGTTTTTATATTTAGTCACATACCAAAGAGAATAGTAAAATTTAAAAGATAGCAGCCCTGAACCTTCACCATTTGTTCCCACTAAGGTTTTTCTAGCTGTATTTTAGATAAAGTGAAAAAGTTATTGGTTGTTTGATTGCTTGGTATACTTGATTCATTTGGTGCTGCCCAAAGCTGCCAATAAATACCTGTCTGAGGACAAGCACAGATATATAAATTTTTCTTTTTCTTTCTAGTCCTAGGATTTCAAATCTAGAACATGTTCCCTTGGCAAATAGAAATTCAGAATCAAAGAGTGCATACCAACAAAGAGAGCAGAGGAGAAACGAAGAGGGACAAAAGTAATACAGAGGAGGATGAAGAAATGTGCATTCTGAATTTAGGGGAGGAAGTGGCTATAGTGGGCTGGAGAACACTGGGAAGAATTTCAGGTTTAAGGAGAATTGAATTGAGTCTGGAGGTCTGCAGCCATACCACCCTGAACACGCCCAGGGAGAATTGAATTGAGCCTTGAGGTCTGCAGCCATACCATCCTGAACACACCCGGTCTTGTCTGAATTGAGCCTTGAGAAATGGGCTGGCTGTGAATTGAATTGAGTCTTGAGGTCTGCAGTCATACCACCCTGAACACACCCGGGGAGAACTGAATTGAGCCTTGAGGTCTGCAGCCATACCATCCTGAACACACCCGGTCTTGTCTGAATTGAGCCTTGAGAAATGGGCTGGCTGTGAACTGAATTGAGTCTTGAGGTCTACAGCCATACCACCCTGAACACACCCCGTTTTGTCTGAATTGAGCTTTCAGAAATGGGCTGGCTGTGGAGAGGTGGGGTTCATATGGAATAAGATTTGGAGGGGAAATTCTCATTAGGAAGGGTGAAGAGGATTAGTAAAGTCAGAGGCTTAGGACAACACAGAACAACTTTAGAAGGTGGCGTAGCAGAGGCAAGGACCTTCTAGAGAAATGTGGGACTATAAAGACAGGCCACACTGGGTGATGGAAAGCCTTGAGCACCAAGCACAGGAACTTGACCTTGATCTGAAAAGACAGTAGGGAAATCTTAAACACTGTAAAGCTGAATAATGACCTAATAAAGCATCACTTTAGGAAGGTTAGGCTATGTCAGCATATGTCACAGGGTGGGGTAAAAAGCTTTTAATTTGACAGCCATTGTACCAGTGTGAGGTTATAATGACCTGCACTGAGAGAAAGTTGGAAGGAAAGAGAAAATGGAAGAAGGTAATAGGGCTTCATGATGGGACACACTGTGTGAGCTGAGAAAGTCAAAAATAACAGCGTTCACTGGAGAGGCGGAGAAAATGGTAACAATAAGGGGATTCGGGAAATCGGAATGAGAAGCATCTGAAAAGAACCTGAACTCAAACTCGAAGGCATTGATGTTGAGATAATAGGCGAATCACTGCAAATGCCCTGGATGGACTAGAGTGGGGATGGAAGTAAGGACTGGAAATTGATTTGGGAGTCACCTGTGTAGTGTTGAGTCCTCCAGGTAAAGACTATGGAAAGAAAAACAGGGATAAATCTGAATCTTAGACAGAGGCAGTCCTTGGAAAGGAGCAGCAAGAGAAAGTTAAGGAAAGAAGCTAGAATTATAGAATATAAAGGGGACGTGAGCACCAAAGAAAGAATGGTCAGTCAGGTTGAAGACTGGTGAGGGGTCAGAAAGCAGGCTCTGGGAAGGCCATCAGACTCGGTGGTAGCTGCTGAAGCATGCAGGATTAGTAGGTTGAGGGGGCAAGGGCAGGCTTGCGGGGGAAAGAAGTGGAGAATAGATAATGTGGTCATGCTATGAGGTAGATCGTGAAAAGAAGGCAAGACTTGTGATGCAACCAGAGGAGATACAAGGCCTAAAAAAGGCAATTAAAAGTAGAGGGGGATGAGCTAATATAGTGAAGAGCCTGGAGAATTAGGTGGTTCCTAGCATTGAGGGTTAATGGAAGGAGTGGACCGTTTACCTCTGATACCTGTCAGAATATAACCTGTCTACAGACTCAGGGCTCTTCCACATAAAGCTGGACACACTAGTAGAGTGAGTCCTCTGGAGCCACTATTCAATCTGTGCAGGTCAAAGAAAGAGTTACCTACCACCTTCCAGACACTTCACGGAAAGACAGCGAGAGAATAAGCCTGGGAAGAACAGAAGGCTAGACAATGAATGCAGTCAGCAGTGGGAGGAAGGAACAGATAGAGAGAGCGAGGGTCACAAACAGCAGAAAAGTACCGAAAAAAAGGACATTCATCCAGTTGCCCATGATTTCAGAATTTTGGTTAATCTAATTTTTATGTCTAAGCCCTATCTTGATGGTATTCATTAATTTCATTAAAAAATACAGAGAATTGGTGAAAATATATGAGAAAATAAACTATTTTTATTTGTAAATTATTAGTCATTTAAAAATAAACATACTATTATCAGTGCTTTTGTTATTTTGTGAACCAAGGTCAGGCACCTACCCTGCTAAATAAATGTTTATTGAATAGAAGAATGGATGCATGGATGGATGGATGGATAGACGAATGGGTGGATGGATAGATAGATGAATGGATAGCTGGCTGGGGCTGGCTGGCTGGCTGGCTGGCTGGATGGATGGATGGATGCACAGTTGGATGGATGGACAGATGGATGGATGAGTACTAGGGTAGTGTTAGTTCTTGTGATATGCTACTAGAACCAGGATTTGACTCTCAGTAACTGCTTGTGTCTTAAAGAAGTACATCTTTAATAAAAGGAGAAAGTTTAGCAAGACTAAGATGTCATACAACCATGGGAACCTTCCTTCCATCTGAGCATTTGGAACCAGGTTCAACCACATGACTGTATGAAGCAGTTGCCACCTAAACTAGGAGGCAGGAATGAGGGCCTTAGGCTCATTCGGCTCTGCTCACCAGTTGTGGTACTTATTGCACGTCTCTGGCCAACACCAGATTCAGCTGCAAGTCGTGATAATTATGCCCTCTTTTGCTGGAGGCAAAAGATTCCTTAGAGTTTATTTCCTTGCCTAAGGCCTCTGATACAGATAATAAGAAGTGACAATCCTTCCAGTTCAAACATAGTGGGTAGAACATACACTACAAGCTCTAGTTCCTTCTAAGCCCTGCTATAGCAGACTAAAGGGATAAAAAGAAAAAAAGAAAAGAAGAAACCCTTATAAAACCACAAAGACAAAACAAACAAAAGGGAAGAAAGCCATGAGTGAAAGATGTCAACAAAATGTTGAGAGCTGGAGAGCAGGTGGGCAGGAGGTAACTGATTTAGCACAATGGAGAAAGTGTAAATTAAGTGCATACTGAGGGGAGAGCAGGGGACAGTGGTGTCATGTCACACAGTGAGGCAGATCCAGCAACACAGTCATCACCTACAGAGAAGCATCTGATAGCATAGGTGGGAGACACAGAGCCTCCACCTCCACTCCAACCTAAAAATGCAGTTTTCTTTCTGGAGTGGCTGAATGGGAGAGATTCTAATCTCAAGGCACTAGGCCCAGCCAAGGGCAGGTTGCCTTCCTGAATGTAAAGCAAAAGTCTGAAACAGCACTCCTCAAATGAACCTTCGAAGGTTATGAAAATGTTCTATATCTGACCTGGCTAATTATTCAAGAGCTAACTCTGGCCTGTGGCTCTTAAAATATGGCTAACACAACTGAGGAATTAATTTTTATTTTAATTATTTTAATGAATTCCATTGTAAATAGCTACATATGGTCAGGGGCTGCTGTGTTGGACAGCACAGGTCTAGAGACTGCAAGTTGATGTCTCTGCACCCAGTTCTGACCCAGAGCCTGTAGCAGCCAGTTTATACCCCAGGCAGGAGAAGATGGCAAATTTCTCCTGGGACAACAGACCAGCTCAAGACAAAAGACCCAGAGACAGATACTGTGGATTCTCCAACAAAACAGTGAAGTCCCCATTGAGACCAACTGCAGGCAGCCCCCGGTCAGAAAGGCATTCCCAGGCATAGTGCTTCTCAGATGTCTACCCACTAACTCCCTTTCACATAAAAGCAGACCAGCCAAGCATCACTGGTTACCTGGAGAAACTCTCTAACGTGTAAGGACAAGACCATGACAAAGAAAATTTGAGAGAAAAAACAACAACAACAAGAACAACAACAACAATAGGAACTCTAAAGGAACTGACATGACTCAATGTCTATAACCAAAAAAAACCACACACCCTAATAGTCTCAAAAAGAAAAGGGAAGACGCTGCATCCAGGAAGACATGATGCCGGGGGGAAAGGGAACATTAGAGCAACAATTGCAGAGCTGGGGAAATTATAAACCAAGGAAGAGAACAACTCAAGAGTTATTAGAAGGTAAAGAAGGCGGAGAAATTCCCTATTGAAGGGCTGAGACCACTACGAACAGATGGTGTGCATGAAGAAGACAACTTTGTGAGGTCAAAAAGACGTCAATCCTGCCAAGTTCCCTGGAAATGCATGGAAATTTCTTAGGCAGCTTGGCCTCCCACAGACTGTACAGTTGCTCGGGCATAATAATGGAGTGGGTCAGGAGATTCAAGACAAATTATCTCACCCCAAAGGGCTAAGAAACTGCAGCTGACATTGGGAGTTTACTTTGAAAATGAAGTGCATTCGCTCGGGAACTCAACTGCCAGAGTCCACCAGCTGCCACCTGTGTGGTGAGGGGGAACATTCCCTGCAGGCCAACTGTCCCCCATTCCATGCATAGCCCTGAGGGGGGCTGGGTTTCACACACTGCCTCATGAAGTGGGTATCTGACAATGAAAACTTCCCAATTTAGAGCCACTTCAAACAAACATTTATTTAGAACAAGCAGATAATGAGTGATTATTTTCATTTCTGGAACATCACAGATGTGGTTCATTAGGGTATGTCAAATAGGAATAATTCTTTCATTCATATGAGCTCATTTTCAAGAATTCCCAGGGTTTCATTTGAGCAAAACTGAATGACTTCTGCATAACCCAATTCTAACATCTAAGGAAGCCACAGAGGTGGAGATGCAGAGGCTGGGGAGAGAGCCCACACTGAGACACAGCCTTTTTGTTTCAGTACCTTGCAATCAATAGAATGCTTTTCTAATTGATTTCTGCACAGGGTTCACTTTTGGTAATATGTGTCTCAAGGTGAGTAAAACAACCTCCATATTCTAAAAACAGAAAGCATGACTAAGTGGCATTTTGGAACTCAAATTCATTGCCAGCATCTCCAACATGATCAATAAAGATAAATATTTAGATAAGTCACAGAAGCTCTGAATGGAAATCCCAGCTCTGATACATGCTAGGTCTGTGACCTTAGCTGAGCCACCTATCCTGTCTGGGCTTTGGTTTCCTCTCAGATATATGACGCATTGTGCTTTAGACTAAAAAAAAAAGTCATAAAAATGAAGGTGTTAGTCGTTGAAGAAAGGCCAGAGTCTGGAAAACATATGTGTGTACCCTAGCAGTATGGATCTATGAATATTAATCAAGACTTAGCTATCCAAAGAAAAGTATGTCAGAGTCACTTGTTTAATTTAACAGGTTATATTTAATTCAGTGTAGTTACTGCCTTCTCCAAAAGACATTTGTCAATATTTGCATTTCATTTTCTTGCTTATGTGAAGTTTCACAGAGAAGTACCATTGGTGTTTTGGTGTTTTGTATAAAATTAGCAGAAAGCCTCTTTCCAAAATTATTTAAATAAATATTACCTTTTTCTCCCAACACACACACACACAAATTCACATCCAGAGTATACCTTACAAAATGTTATTTATGTTACTGATTTAGCCTGTTGTAGAGTTCAGGGATCTCCTCAACTAACATACATAGATTCATAAATAGAGAGATAGACAGTAATTTACATATACATTATTCATTTTCTCCTGTTGGTATTCCCTAAAGACTACGATAATGTACTGCCAAACTTTGGAAGAAATAGCTGTTGCAAAAACTGCATTTGTCACTTAATTCAATATCCTCTATGATATTCTTAATGTATTAGTCCATTCTTGCATTGCCATAAAGAAATACCTGAGATGGGTTAATTCATAAAGAAAATAGGTTTAGTTGCCTCACAGCTCTGCAGGCTGCACAGGAAGCATGATGCTGGCATCTTTTCAGCTTCTGGAGAGGCCTCAGAAAATGAACAATTATGGTAGAAGGCAAAGGGGGAGCGAAATGTCTCACACGGCTGGAGCAGGAGGAAGAGAGAGAGCAGGGAGCTGCTATACACTTTTAAACAACCAGATCTCATGAGAACTCACTATCACAATGACAGTTCCAAGGGGATGGTGCTAAACCCTGAGAAACCACCCCCTTGATCCAATCACTTCCCACCAAGTTCCACCTCCAACACTGGGGATTAAAGTCAACATGAGATTTGGGTGGGGACACAGATCCAAACCATACCATTCCACCCCAGCCCCTTCCAAATCTCATGTCCTTCTCACATTGAAAAATACAGTCAGTCCTTCTCAACAGTCGCCCAAAGTCTTAACTCACTCCAGCACTAACTCGAAAGTCCAAAGCCTCATCTAAGACAACGTAAGTCCCTTCCACCAAGAGCCTGTAAAATCAAAAACAAGTTAGTTACTTCCAAGATACAGTGGAGGCATTGGGTAAACACTCCCATTCCAAAAGGGAGAAATCAGCCAAAAGAAAGGGGCTACAGGCCCCACATAAGTCTGAAACCTAGACTAAGGGAAGTCATTAAACCTTAAAGCTCCAAAATAATCTCCTTTGTCTCCATGTCCCACATCCAGGGCACGCTGGTACAAGGGGCGGGCTCTCAAAGCCTTGGACAGCTCCACCCCTGTGACTTGGTGGGGTTCAGCCCCCCCAGCTGCCCTCATGAGCTGGTGTTGGGTACCTGCAGCTCTTCCAGGTGCATGGTGCAAGCTGCCAGCGGAGCTACCATTCTGGGATCTGGATTACTTTGGAGCTTTAAGATGTAATGACTGCCCCACTGGGTTTCAGACTTGTATGGAGCCTGTGGCCCCTTTATATTGGCTGATTTCTCCCTTTTGGAATGGGAGTATTCACCCAATGCCTATACTCCCACTGTATCTTGGAAGTAACAAGATACTTCCACCTATGAGCATGCGAAATCAAAAACAAGTGATTTTACACGCTTATATGTGGAAGGACCTTGCCTTATCTCAGATAAGACTTTGGACTTTGGGTTTTTGAGTTAATGCTGGAATGATTTAAGACTTTGGGCAACTGTTGAGAGGGGATCTTTGTATTTTTCAATGTGAGAAGGACATTAGATTTGGGAGGGGACAGGGTTAGAATGATATGGTTTGGATCTGTCTCCCCACCCAAATCTTATGTTGAATTATAGTCACCAATATTGGAGGTGGGGCTTGGTGGGAGGTGATTGGATCATGCGGGCAGTTTCTCATGGTTCCCTTGAGAAACACCATTCCCTTGGAACTGTTGTCATGATAGTGAATTCTCAGGAGATCTGGTTGTTTAAAAGTGTGTGGCACCTCCTCCCTCCCTCTCTTTCTCCTACTCCAGCCATGTGAGACGTCTGGCTCCCCCTTTGCCTTCCACCTTGATTGTTTGATTCCTGAAGCCTCCCCAGAAGCTGAGCAGATGCCAGCCTCATCATCCTTCCTGTACAGCCTGCGGAATTGTGAGCCAATTACATTTCTCTTTTTATAAATTACCCCATCTCAGGCATTTCTTTATAGCAATGCGAAAATGGACTAATGCACTGAACATGTTGTCACAAAAGGCCCCATGAGAGGTGGACAACATGAAACAAAAGCAGAGTTTGATGAGGCTGAAAGAAGGGTGAATGCCTGAATTCAGAGTCAGGGGCTTAATGACAGAGTTGGGGCACTCTTGAATTTAAACTTATGTGGTCTTCAACTAACAGTCCTTGGAGGTCACTTTGAGAAGCAAAGTCCTTGAGACTTTAAGGTGAGCATCTTGTGGGCAAAGAAAATACTTTACACTTCTCTGGGCATCAAAACCCTCCAACACAATGCCCAAAAGCATGTCCCAAGCTTCTCTGATGACGAGGATCTCCAGGACTGTGCTTTGTCAATGCTGATGTAATTCAAATCCCTAGGTGGAAGAGGGGTTTTGTTAAAACATAGGTTCTTCTTTGGTAGGTCCAGGGGGCAGCCTGCGAGTCTTCATCCCTAATAAACTCCCAAGTGGCATCCGTACTGTTGCAGGGACCATACTTAGAATAGTCAAAGCACGGGGATTGTAGCGTGGGTCCCAGGTATTTCTCATTATCGAGGAAAAATAAGGACTGGACACCAGCTTAACACATAGTAACTGCTAAGTAGATGCTTATTGGAGGATGGATAGATTGATGGATAAAATCAAGTGAGTAAATAAACTAATAAATGAAATCATCTGAGAAGCTTTCTGAACTTCGGTTCTTTGGTAAGTTGGGGCAACACCTGACTTAAAGGTGCTGGTAAAACTCAGAAGCAGTAAGGAAAAGAAGAGTCACAGCACAGACTTGAGTCCACCTCTGTATCTCCACACTTCCTCTCACCTCCACCATTTCAGTCCCCAGTCACCCCAGAAAGTCCAGCTATGTCCCTGCTTTGAGTTAAATGTTTTAGTCACTTGAAAGGAAGATGAATTTTAACAAAGGACCAGAACAAAGATATTAATCAGCCGAGCATCCCTAAAAACATTTTTGCCTTTCAGAATATAGGCCACGTTGCAAAACATGAAATCCAAAAGGATATGAAAATTAAGCTAATAATAAAATACTTAGGTCTTAAATTACAGCAAGGGTAGAAGCAGCACCAACGCTGAAGCAGTGAGAAGGATTAGCGCAGCATTCTTCCCAGCCTGCCAAGGCAAAACACACGGGCTTCTGCACCCATGGCAAGAAGCAAGCAGCCTGGCAGAGCCAAAAAATAGACGGGGATCTGGGTTTTTCACTATTGAACCAGTTATATGGCCTTAGGTAAGTCACCTATCCACACAAGGCCTTAGCTTTCTCGTCTGTGAAATGGAGACATCTGGCATTTACTTCGTATGTCTCATCCTTGTAATCCCATCACTTGTCAACATGCATGCGTTTTTAATTGAATCATAGAGAATTCCAGTTGGAAGAGACAATATATATTACCTGGTGTTAATCTTACCTGCTCACTTTAGCAAATTTGAATGCATCATGCAGAATTCATGGTACATTTTATTGGCAGTATTTTTGATCTTTGGTCTGGTAATGAATTCATAAATAACTTGTTTTGATATTTTGCTATTCTACTCTGCTTTTTCATTAAGGGCTGTTGAGGGGAGAAGAGAGAGAGAGGTAGCAAGTGAGAGGGGCTTGGGCTCTGAAGTCAAATCCCACCTTTGCCACTGACTTTCTTTGTGCCTTAATTTCTGAGCCTCACCAATTTTCACTTTCTACTGGTGTAAAATGACAACAATGATAGTCATGGAAACATGGTAAGTGACGTGACAGGTATGTCACATGTAAGGGCTTATTACATAGTAAGTGGTTCAATTCTGCTGGATATAAAGAACAAAACCTGCAGAATAAGAAAGTCTCATAAAGGAAAATGCTTTGAAAAGTAAAATCTTGCTCCTTTAGAAAAGTACCCTTCTTCAGAGAGCATGGCAAAGGGACTGACAGAATTTTCTTTCTTCCCCAATCAATGTAAATTTTGCTAAGATAATAGGGACTAAAAAGTGTTGCTGTAAACTTAGGGCTGGTGATTTCAGGAATGATCAATATGATATTCAGACACCCAGCCTTTAACCTCCAGGGCTATTTCTATAGTGTTTGTATTCATATTAATGGGCTAAGATTTTACCAGTATATCATACTTTAAAACAGATTCCAATAGTACCTACATTGCTATTTTGAAAAACTGATTATCTAAGGTCCTATTTACTGTTTTTAAAGTTAATAATCAAGCTGTTCTAATTATCCAATATAAATATTAAACTGTTAAAATATTGATATAAAAAGCTTTTCACTTCATGCTTTGACAAAAAAAAATCATTTATTTAACATGTAGAACTCAATATTTAAAACCATCTGGCTTTATAAAAATTTTCTTTTCCTATTTCATTATCAAGAGAGAAACCTCAAAGTACAGTGTAGTCAGAAGGGGCTTTCTCAATTCTTCAACAACACGCTTTTTCTCATAGCGGTGTGTGGCCCAGTAGGCCAGAAAGCTGGCATGCACTTTACAGAAGTGAAATATATAGGATGGGGCTTAAGCAGGCCCTGAAGGCACAATTACTTGTGGTTCAAAAGAAGTGGCCCAAATGTCCATAGTCCCCATGCCTGCCATACGGCCTACTCTCTCCTCTCTTCTTCTCCCTGCTGAGGATCTAGAGAGAAATGGCTTTTTCACAGCCACACTACTGGGTCCGTTCTGCTGATTCCAAGCCCAGTGCTCCTTCATTGCTCTACTTCATCTAGAATCCAATAGAAACAATAACGCCCAATGAGCTGGGCTTGAACTCTGATAACAATATTAGAAGCAGGCATGAGCACAACATGTTATTGCAATTCTACCACAGCAGAATTCTGAATTCTTTCTAATTTTATATTTTAATGTTTGACAGTGCTTTGAATTATAAGTTGCCTTATTCAGTTGCAAATATTAAAAATAAATGTTTATGTGTCATTCTTAGTGTTTTGAGAATACGTATATCAGTGGCTCCATTCTTTTCAGGCTATCACGGGGTAACAGAAACGTAACTGCCCCAGCACCACTGCTTGCCTTTATAAAACACAGACCCACCAGGACAGAGATGGTGAGACTGATGCTACCAACAACAGCCAAGAAGCAGATGTCTTTGTCAATTACATGACAGCCAATTAGAGATTTATTTACAAACTATTATTACAAGCGTTGTATTTTACTTACTATATTTGAACCATTCCAATGTTGAAATACCTAGTCTCAAAGTAAAGAGAGAAAGAAACATCTGGTCTTGTTTATTTTTCTTTTTTCTTTTTTTTTTTTTTTATTATACTTTAAGTTTTAGGGTACATGTGCACATTGTGCAGGTTAGTTACATATGTATACATGTGCCATGCTGGTGCGCTGCACCCACTAACTCGTCATCTAGCATTAGGTATATCTCCCAGTGCTATCCTTCCCCCCTCCCCCCACTCCACCACAGTCCCCAGAATGTGATATTCCCCTTCCTGTGTCCATGTGATCTCATTGTTCAATTTCCACCTATGAGTGAGAATATGCGGTGTTTGGTTTTTTTTTTTCTTGCGATAGTTTACTGAGAATGATGGTTTCCAATTTCATCCATGTCCCTACAAAGGACATGAACTCATCATTTTTTATGGCTGCATAGTATTCCATGGTGTATATGTGCCACATTTTCTTAATCCAGTCTATCATTGTTGGACATTTGGGTTGGTTCCAAGTCTTTGCTATTGTGAATAATGCCGCAATAAACATCCGTGTGCATGTGTCTTTATAGCAGCATGATTTATAGTCCTTTGGGTATATAACCAGTAATGGGATGGCTGGGTCAAATGGTATTTCTAGTTCTAGATCCCTGAGGAATCGCCACACTGACTTCCACAATGGTTGAACTAGTTTACAGTCCCACCAACAGTGTAAAAGTGTTCCTATTTCTCCACATCCTCTCCAGCACCTGTTGTTTCCTGACTTTTTAATGATTGCCATTCTAACTGGTGTGAGATGATATCTCATAGTGGTTTTGATTTGTATTTCTCTGATGGCCAGTGATGATGAGCATTTTTTCATGTGTTTTTTGGCTGCATAAATGTCTTCTTTTGAGAAGTGCCTGTTCATGTCCTTCGCCCACTTTTTGATGGGGTTGTTTGTTTTTTTCTTGTAAATTTGTTTGAGTTCATTGTAGATTCTGGATATTAGCCCTTTGTCAGATGAGTAGGTTGCGAAAATTTTCTCCCATGTTGTAGGTTGCCTGTTCACTCTGATGGTAGTTTCTTTTGCTGTGCAGAAGCTCTTTAGTTTAATTAGATCCCATTTGTCAATTTTGGCTTTTGTTGCCATTGCTTTTGGTGTTTTGGACATGAAGTCCTTGCCCACGCCTATGTCCTGAATGGTAATGCCTAGGTTTTCTTCTAGGGTTTTTATGGTTTTAGGTCTAACGTTTAAATCTTTAATCCATCTTGAACTGATTTTTGTATAAGGTGTAAGGAAGGGATCCAGTTTCAGCTTTCTACATATGGCTAGCCAGTTTTCCCAGCACCATTTATTAAATAGGGAATCCTTTCCCCATTGCTTGTTTTTCTCAGGTTTGTCAAAGATCAGATAGTTGTAGATATGCGGCGTTATTTCTGAGGGCTCTGTTCTCTTCCATTGATCTATATCTCTGTTTTGGTACCAGTACCATGCTGTTTTGGTTACTGTAGCCTTGTAGTATAGTTTGAAGTCAGGTAGTGTGATGCCTCCAGCTTTGTTCTTTTGGCTTAGGATTGACTTGGCGATGTGGGCTCTTTTTTGGTTCCATATGAACTTTAAAGTAGTTTTTTCCAATTCTGTGAAGAAAGTCATTGGTAGCTTGATGGGGATGGCATTGAATGTGTAAATTACCTTGGGCAGTATGGCCATTTTCACGATATTGATTCTTCCTACCCATGAGCATGGAATGTTCTTCCATTTGTTTGTATCCTCTTTTATTTCCTTGAGCAGTGATTTGTAGTTCTTCTTGAAGAGGTCCTTCACATCCCTTGTAAGTTGGATTCCTAGGTATTTTATTCTCTTTGAAGCAATTGTGAATGGGAGTTCACTCAGGATTTGGCTCTCTGTTTGTCTGTTGTTGGTGTATAAGAATGCTTGTGATTTTTGTACATTGATTTTGTATCCTCAGACTTTGCTGAAGTTGCTTATCAGCTTAAGGAGATTTTGGGCTGAGACAATGGGGTTTTCTAGATAAACAATCATGTCGTCTGCAAACAGGGACAATTTGACTTCCTCTTTTCCTAATTGAATACCCTTTATTTCCTTCTCCTGCCTGATTGCCCTGGCCAGAACTTCCAACACTATGTTGAATAGGAGCGGTGAGAGAGGGCATCCCTGTCTTGTGCCAGTTTTCAAAGGGAATGCTTCCAGTTTTTGCCCATTCAGTATGATATTGGCTGTGGGTTTGTCATAGATAGCTCTTATTATTTTGAAATACGTCCCATCAATACCTAATTTATTGAGAGTTTTTAGCATGAAGGGTTGTTGAATTTTGTCAAAGGCTTTTTCTGCATCTATTGAGATAATCATGTGGTTTTTGTCTTTGGCTCTGTTTATATGCTGGATTACATTTATTGATTTGCGTATATTGAACCAGCCTTGCATACCAGGGATGAAGCCCACTTGATCATGGTGGATAAGCTTTTTGATGTGCTGCTGGATTCGGTTTGCCAGTATTTTATTGAGGATTTTTGCATCAATGTTCATCAAGGATATTGGTCTAAAATTCTCTTTTTTGGTTGTGTCTCTGCCCGGCTTTGGTATCAGAATGATGCTGGCCTCATAAAATGAGTTAGGGAGGATTCCCTCTTTTTCTATTGATTGGAATAGTTTCAGAAGGAATGGTACCAGTTCCTCCTTGTACCTCTGGTAGAATTCGGCTGTGAATCCATCTGGTCCTGGACTCTTTTTGGTTGGTAAACTACTGATTATTGCCACAATTTCAGATCCTGTTATTGGTCTATTCAGAGATTCAACTTCTTCCTGGTTTAGTCTTGGGAGAGTGTATGTGTCGAGGAATGTATCCATTTCTTCTAGATTTTCTAGTTTATTTGCGTAGAGGTGTTTGTAGTATTCTCTGATGGTAGTTTGTATGTCTGTGGGATCGGTGGTGATATCCCCTTTATCATTTTTTATTGTGTCTATTTGATTCTTCTCTCTTTTTTTCTTTATTAGTCTTGCTAGTGGTCTATCAATTTTGTTGATCCTTTCAAAAAACCAGCTCCTGGATTCATTGATTTTTTGAAGGGTTTTTTGTGTCTCTATTTCCTTCAGTTCTGCTCTGATTTTAGTTATTTCTTGCCTTCTGCTAGCTTTTGAATGTGTTTGCTCTTGCTTTTCTAGTTCTTTTAATTGTGATGTTAGGGTGTCAATTTTGGATCTTTCCTGCTTTCTCTTGTGGGCATTTAGTGCTATAAATTTCCCTCTACACACTGCTTTGAATGCGTCCCAGAGATTCTGGTATGTTGTGTCTTTGTTCTCGTTGGTTTCAAAGAACATCTTTATTTCTGCCTTCATTTCGTTATGTACCCAGTAGTCATTCAGGAGCAGGTTGTTCAGTTTCCATGTAGTTGAGCGGCTTTGAGTGAGATTCTTAATCCTGAGTTCTAGTTTGATTGCACTGTGGTCTGAGAGACAGTTTGTTATAATCTCTGTTCTTTTACATTTGCTGAGGAGAGCTTTACTTCCAACTATGTGGTCAATTTTGGAATAGGTGTGGTGTGGTGCTGAAAAAAATGTATATTCTGTTGATTTGGGGTGGAGAGTTCTGTAGATGTCTATTAGGTTCGCTTGGTGCAGAGGTGAGTTCAATTCCTGGGTATCCTTGTTGACTTTCTGTCTCGTTGATCTGTCTAATGTTGACAGTGGGGTGTTAAAGTCTCCCATTATTAATGTGTGGGAGTCTAAGTCTCTTTGTAGGTCTCTCAGGACTTGCTTTATGAATCTGGGTGCTCCTGTATTGGGTGCATATATATTTAGGATAGTTAGCTCCTCTTGTTGAATTGATCCCTTTACCATTATGTAATGGCCTTCTTTGTCTCTTTTGATCTTTGTTGGTTTCAAGTCTGTTTTATCAGAGACTAGGATTGCAACCCCTGCCTTTTTTTGTTTTCCATTTGCTTGGTAGATCTTCCTCCATCCTTTAATTTTGAGCCTATGTGTGTCTCTGCACATGAGATGGGTTTCCTGAATACAGCACACTGATGGGTCTTGACTCTTTATCCGACTTGCCAGTCTGTGTCTTTTAATTGGAGAATTTAGTCCATTTACATTTAAAGTTAATATTGTTATGTGTGAATTTGATCCTGTCATTATGACGTTAGCTGGTGATGTTGCTCGTTAGTTGATGCAGTTTCTTCCTAGTCTCGATGGTCTTTACATTTTGGCATGATTTTGCAGCAGCTGGTACCAGTTGTTCCTTTCCATGTTTAGCGCTTCCTTCAGGAGCTCTTTTAGGGCAGGCCTGGTGGTGACAAAATCTCTCAGCATTTGCTTGTCTGTAAAGTATTTTATTTCTCCTTCACTTATGAAGCTTAGTTTGGCTGGATATGAAATTCTGGGTTGAAAATTCTTTTCTTTAAGAATGTTGAATATTGGCCCCCACTCTCTTCTGGCTTGTAGGTTTCTTCTCTCAGCTCGTCAAAGTCATTCTCCATCCAGCTTTGTTCCGTTGCTGGTGAGGAACTGCGTACCTTTGGAGGAGGAGAGGCGCTCTGCGTTTTAGAGTTTCCAGTTTTTCTGTTCTGTTTTTTCCCCATCTTTGTGGTTTTATCTACTTTTGGTCTTTGATGATGGTGATGTACAGATGGGTTTTCAGTGTGGATGTCCTTTCTGTTTGTTAGTTTTCCTTCTAACAGACAGGACCCTCAGCTGCAGGTCTGTTGGAATACCCTGCAGTGTGAGGTGTCAGTGTGCCCCTGCTGGGGGGTGCCTCCCAGTTAGGCTGCTCGGGGGTCAGGGGTCAGAGACCCACTTGAGGAGGCAGTCTGCCTGTTCTCAGATCTCCAGCTGCGTGCTGGGAGAACCACTGCTCTCTTCAAAGCTGTCAGACAGGGACATTCAAGTCTGCAGAGGTTACTGCTGTCTTTTTGTTTGTCTGTGCCCTGCCCCCAGAGCTGGAGCCTACAGAGGCAGGCAGGCCTCCTTGAGCTGTGGTGGGCTCCACCCAGTTCGAGCTTCCTGGCTGCTTTGTTTACCTAAGCAAGCCTGGGCAATGGCGGGCGCCCCTCCCCCAGCCTCGCTGCCGCCTTGCAGTTTGATCTCAGACTGCTGTGCTAGCAATCAGCGAGATTCCGTGGGCGTAGGACCCTCCAAGCCAGGTGTGGGATATAGTCTCGTGGTGCGCCGTTTTTTAAGCCAGTCTGAAAAGCGCAATATTTGGGTGGGAGTGACCCGATTTTCCAGGTGCCTCCGTCACCCCTTTCTTTGACTCGGAAAGGGAACTCCCTGACCCCTTGCGCTTCCCAGGTGAGGCAATGCCTCGCCCTGCTTCGGCTCGCGCACGTTGCGCACACCCACTGGCCTGCGCCCACTGTCTGGCACTCCCTAGTGAGATGAACCCGGTACCTCAGATGGAAATACAGAAATCACCCGTCTTCTGCGTCGCTCACGCTGGGAGCTGTAGATCGGAGCTGTTCCTATTCGGCCATCTTGGCTCCTCCGCTGGTCTTGTTTATTTTTCATCGCACATCAGAATATGTTCCTCAGAAATATAAATGTGAATAGGAGTATTTGCAAAGAGCAAGGTATGTAAGGTTTCCTTAAACAAAAGGAGTGAGTGATCATGGTGTACAAACCCCATTAAGTTCAAATCCTATACAATATGTGCTTGAATAATTAACTTTGAGAAATATGTAAGGAGATGCTTGAATCATACTTTTGGCTAAAAGTGAGTAAGCAAACGACACTGAAACCATGTAAAAGAAGCTAACATATTGTATAAGGCTAAATGCAGTCTCAGTGCATATAGTATGATACATTGAGTCGAGAATCAGAACAATGACATTGATTTTTAGATAAAGATTAGAATTACACAAATTAAAGCTGTTTCATTCTTTCCATTATAGTGGTCTAGATCCATCTTGTCAAAGGAAAACTCCCTTTAAAATCGCTGAGCTACTATTAGTGATCAACTGCTCAGTTGTGACAACTGGTAAAATAAAAACATTCTATGATAATAAAAATAACAAAATACTCAGGGACTAGCTTAACAAGATATGTGTAGAGCCTTTAAGAAGAAAACTAGAAATAAAAATAATGGAAAAATATGAAGTGTGATAATAAGAAGATTGACTACTGTAAAGTTATTTATAAATTTCTTCAAAATTAAAATCTCAATAGTATATTTTTATAACATCACAGAATGGACATGAAGTTCCTTTGGAAAAATGAACAAAGATAGATGATTAAAAATACACTGTAGGATTAATGAAGGAAATTTTCCTACTGCATATTAATACTGAATATAAAACTGGAATGAAAAAGCAGAGCAGAACTAATAAAATAACCAAACAAGTTATTTATGAATGATTAATTTATGGATAGTTTGGTTTTACCCTTTCATATTTTTCAGTGATTTATTTGGTGACTGTGAAATTCTTTCATAATTAGACATAGTACATTTTAAAAACAATAATAATCATTACCTCCACTCTCCTGTCTCATTTGTATTTCATAGTTTTATGTGAATTACTAACTTAATTCTAACAGCAAATCAGTTTTCCTTTTCTCTGTTTTATGTCCATCAGTTTATAACTATCTTCCCACATTAAAAATAAAATCCTCCCTTGTCCCTCATAGCATCTCCAGTCTCAGTTCCCCTTCACAACACATTTCTTCTAGAAGTTTATCATTAGTGCCTCCTAACACTTACATCTCATTCCCGCTCCATCCGTTCCCATAGGTCTTCTTTTCCCATCTCTTGGCAATATCATACTTGGATCAATTGATGTTGGTGACATTGACCTTGGGAAATCGCCAGTGATCCCCAGAATTCAGAATCCAGTGGTCACATCCATGTCTTCATTTCACTTCACCTGGCAGCAGTATTTGCTGCCGCTGACCAGGTCGTTTTTCTTGAACCACTTTCTTTCTTGACTTCTATGACTTTACACACCCTTTATTTTATCATCCATTGTATTATGTAGCTCGTTGTATAGTTATTATCTTTTCTTATGTGTCTTCTCCAGCTTGCTGTGAGCTCGCAAGCAGACCACAAATAACTCACTGGTTGGATTTACTTTTAAACATAAAAATATTATAATGAATTCATATTTCTGAAATGCCCATTATAGATTAATGGTGGTATGAGGAGGATCTAGAAAGCTGACACTGGTCAAAATGGCAGGTGGGAGACAGCATTAATATTAATGAAATATCTAGCAAATAGTCCACCCTGGGATGTAGCCAAGGTCCAAGTTGAGTGACAAAGAATATAATTTACATAAGTATGTCTCATCCTTGTAATCCCATCATTTGGCAAGATGGATACATTTTTAATTAAATCATAGAGAATTCCAGTTGGAAGAGACAATATTTATCACTGGGTGTTAATTTTACCTGCTCACTTTAGCAACTTTGAATAGATCATGCAGAATTCATGGTACATTTTATTGGCAGTATTTTTTGATCTTTGGTCTGGTAAGCCATTTCTTAGGCATACGATAATATTCTCACTATTTTGTTCTCTTTCTAGACTTTATACAAGCTACTACCTTTTACTGTACCAGAAGTTGTAATTAAATACATATCTCAGCTTGTATTAGCTGTGATGTATTGTCCTGAGTGAGACTGGAGAGAAATCCTAAATCTTTGAGGAGATAGGGAGAGCATTCTACTTTCAGCAGTAAGACAAGCTCTGTGAGAGATTTTGGGGCTTTTTGCACATATGAACATAGATACACTAAAGACTATCTTCTTCTCTCTATGCACCTCTAGCAAATGATTAGCAAAGAGGAGGGGTAACCCAGAGTCTTGAACTTCTGCGTAGACATCTTCACAAAGTCATAAACAACCAAGAAATACTTCTTTGGGGAATAAAAATCCACATACTATCCAAATCATCTTCTGAAAAAAAAATAGATACACCAGTCATTCGGAATCTGGTAAACACAAATTTTATTATCTCCTTCGAAGTGGAAGCAGCAATACCTGGACTAGTGAAAGAGGAAACAAAATTCCCTCCATTGATATCAATCCAGCTGCCATCCATGTCATGGTCTGGAGAGGGCTGAGACAGTCATAGTTGAGCTTCAGATCATTTTACAATACTGCAGATGTGTAATTCACAGATCAGATAACTGGCAAGAGTTACTTGGTTTGTCATTTTATTGGAATATTTCTTAAAAGCCTCATTCATGTAGAAATGACTGCAGACCCCATACAAATGTGCACAGCAAGACTAGTCTTGGTCAGTTTATCTCATAGTGCCTATTCGGCAATTAAAGCTACACTGAAAACTAACAAATAAGTAATTAGAGGAATTATTAAAAGTTCCAGGTGCCAGAACCGAAGTGAGTCAAAGAAATACCCCCACTTTTGGTAGATATATTCACTCTTTCTTTTTCTTTTTTTGAGATGGGGTCTCACTCTGTCACCCAGGCTGGAGTGCAGTGGCAAGATCCATGGCTCACTGCAGCCTCCAACTCCTGGGCTCAACTGTACTTCTCACCTCAGCCTCTTGAGTAGCTGGGACAGACATGCATGACCGTACCCACTTAATTTATATTAATTTTTTGGCAAGACAGGGGTCTCGCTATGTTGCCCAGGCTGGTCTTGAACTCCTGGCCTCAAGTCATCCTCCTTTCTCAATGTCTCAAAGTGTTGGGATTACAGGAGTAAGCCACTGCACTCAGTCCCCTCTCTTTGCTTTTCAGGGAAATTCTTTTATGATTAGACATAAATTCTTTCATATCAGACATAGTACATTTTTTAAAACAATAATTCCCTCCACTCTTCTGTTTCATTTGTATTTGTTTCATAGTTTTATGTGCATTATTAATTCTAACAGCACATCAGTTTCCTTTTTCTCTACTGTTTTATGTCCACTGGTTTATAAATATCTTCCCATGTTAAAAAACAAAATCCTCCCTTGTCCCTCATATCACTTGCAATCTCAATTCCTCTTCACAAGACATTTCTTCTAGAAGAAATTTATCATTAGTGCCTCCTAACGCTTACATCTCATTCCCCCTCCACCCACTCCAACAGGTCTTGTTTTCCCATCATTTGGCAACATCATACTTGGAACAATTGATGTTGGTGACACTGATCTTGGGAAATCACCAATGATCCCCAGAATTCAGAATCCAGTGGTCACATCCATGTCTTCATTTTGTATAAAAGGAGTGATATTTTATAAAAGGAGTAATTACAAAGAAAATGTTGGTGGGGATTTGGCAAGGAAGAGCTCGGGTATTCAGCAGCATCTGCACAACGACAGCTTTGCCTGGCGAGTGACAGTCGGTGTGGAGACTTACTCATTAGTGAGACAGCACAGCCACTCTCAGCATGGCTGGGAAGGCCCACCTGACACCCTGTGGTGGATTAGTCACCCCATCCAAGTCTAGCTGCCAGCAGGAAAGTGAGACTATTAAGCAAAATAGTGCATTGGCAGGGGTATTAAACATAAATCAATGAACAAATTACCTCCATAAATCAGTTCACTGAGCAGAGCTTTAGAGCCTGTGCCCAGTGTTTGATAAAACAAATAAATGACAAGCACAACAACCGTTTTCTCCAGAACATTTTACACATTTACCTTAAATGAGTTCCAACTTGTGACCAAGACAAAATGTTTGCCATCTTTTTAAGAATGTATTATGAACGAATTCACTGATGAATGAGCATTCCTGAGAACGCACCCACACTATGCTGGGCAGTAGATCCGCAGAGAAAGGCATGGGACGTGTAACCACTGCCTGGCTCATGTTCTGAAACTCTCCCTGGCTGAGGACCATGGGCTGGGGACGCATCTCCTCTGCACCTCCGCTTCTTCACCTAGGCAGTGAGGTTGGTAATAATAGCTACTTCATACAGTTGTTATGATAACTAAACGGGTCCATTTGGTAACATATTCTTAGAAAAGTGCTCAGCAAATTTTTTTATGGTTGTGGAGGGGCGATGATGCAGTTGGAGAGGGGAAATATATAGAAAACAAAATTAAAACGTAAAGTTCCAAGTGTGGACTGCCACAAGACTACGGAGGAGGGAAAGATAAATTCTGCCTGGGAGCATCGGAAAATTCTCCCCAGTTTGAGCTGAGTCCCATTAGTCAAAGTCCCCTATACAGAGAAGGGCTGAAGGGCACAAGTCAATGAAGACACTATTAGCACAGTGAGAAAATGACTAGTAGAGAAAAAAGGTTTCTCCTGACACAGTTAAGACATCTGTGTACCACACATGTATGTGTTTGTGTGTTTGACTGTGTGTGTGTTTATGAGTGTGTATGTGTCTGTATGTGTTTGTGTGTGTTTGTGTGTGCTTGTGTGTGTGCTTGTGTCTGTGTTTGTACATTTGTGACTGTGTGTATTCTTGTATGTGTTTGTGTGTAACTGTATTGTGTGTGTTTGTGCATGCCATGCTGTGTATGTCTGTATGTGTGTTTGTATGTTTGTGAGTGTAAATGCGCCTGTATGTGTTTGTGTATGTTTGTGCTTGTTTGTGTCTGTATGTGTGTTTGTATGTTTGTGAGTGTGTGTGTGTGCCTGTGTTTGTGAATCTTTGTGTTTTTGTGTTCATATGTATGTGTTTTTGTGTACTTGTGTGTGTCTGTATGTGTGTTTGTATGTTCGTGACTGTGTGTGGTTGTGTGTGTGTATTTGTATGTGTGTTTGTGCATGCGTTTGGGTGTGTGTGTTTTGGTAGACGGGGGTAAGGGGTATGGAGAGGATGGGGTTCCATACAGCCACAAGAATATGAGATATGCATGTATGTAGAGCAAAATTGTTGCAATCCAGGTGTAGACTGAAACTATCAAGACTGAGAATAAAATGGGACTGCCTCAAGGTCTCTATCATGAACCCTCCACAGGCTTTCTGTGTGTTGCCATGCACTGACATTTCATGGAGACATTTGGCCTTAAGTTCCTGCTCCCCCTAATTCTTGACCTCACTCACACTCCCCTTTTTTTTCTTGCATTTCCTTTAAAATACAAATATTCTCCATACATCCAGGCATGGACCTAAGCTCTACCACCTTGACTTACCCCAAATCCTAAAAGGACTCTACAGGCATCTATGGGACTTTAATAAAGGTTTACAGAATACTTTTGCATCCATAAAAAAGGGATGATATTTTATCAAAGGAGTAATTACAAAGAATAAGAGAATTAACACAGAGTTTTTTTAAAATGGGGCAGTAGAGTGCGGGACTAAGGAAATTGAGAGGAGACCAGAAGAACAACTTGAATTTAAAAGACCAAGAAATCACCCTGGCCCAGAAAATAGAATGAACATGACCTCCCCCAAAAATGGAAAACAGAAGACAATATTGGACAAGAAGAATCTGGTAAGTTTAGCATCTAAACAATATAATTTCTAAAAGGAGAAAGCAGAAAAAAAGGAACTGTCACATAAACCATATAAATATAATTTTATAACATTGAAGAACATGATTTCCCACATTGAAGGGGCCCACACAATGTCCAGTCGAGGGATTTTAAAAATGACCCACACCAAGGCACAGAACTGGAATCTCGGAACATCAGAGATGCCAAAAGTTGAAATAGAAGATCAGGAATCACAATGGCATTGGGCTTCTCAATAGGAGGACTGGAATCTAGAAGTTCGAAATACAGAAGGAAAAATCATGTCCAAACCAGAACTCTATACCTGGAAAAGAAATTTTCAGATATACAATGTCTCTAAAAGAGTCACTTCATGGATCCTCTCTCCGGAAGCTACCAGAGGACATGCTCCACCAAATGACAGATCCAACCAAGAAAGGAGGAAACATGGGGCCCAGCAAACAGAATTCAATGCAGGAGTGACAGAGACAATGAGAATTCCCAGGATAGTGATGAAGTGGGGCTTCAGTAACCCAGCTCTGCAGGCTCTAGAAAGCTCCAGGTTGGAGAAGAAGAATAGGTGGTTTCAAGAGAGATGTTTCCAGAGGAAAACAATAAAATAAAATGAATAGAATCCCTGATGTATTTGACCAGATAAGAGAGATCTTATTTATAATTCTGTAGGGGAGATTAGCGTGATTAAGCCTCTGGCATACAGAAAACTAAGCAAATAAAATACGTGGCATAATTAACACCAAGGGGAAAAAGTAAAATAAAATAAATACAGTCCTAGGACACTCTGCAGCTCAGCGGTGGGACATTGCTTATGTAGAAATAATAACGCAATCTCTAAATACGGTTTTGCCCCAAAACTGACATATAGCCATGTTAGGAGGATAGAAAAGTGAGTATATGTTGGGGGTAGGTAAGAGAGTCTTAAATCCTCACCTTTGGTAATATGAAGTCAAAATAAATTCTTATAATTGGAAATTCAAGCAATGGAAATATATAGTCAGTATCAGAGGAAAGAGCCTAAAGAAACGAAAGTGGTTGTCTCTAGGGGAGAAGACTCAAAGATGGCGAACAGCAGAGTAGAAGCCCACTATTTTGTTTTTGTTGTGTTTTGCTTTTTTAAAAAACAGTAAATTGTTTAAACTCTGTATATGTATGACTTTGATAAAAACTAAAATTCTATACAAAACTGAGTTAATCAGATGAGACTCTTTGATTCCTAACTCCAATATGCCTCACTTAATCTGTAATTATGGTGCCCATTCCTTCAATTAACCACTCCTCAACCACCTGGTGGTCAGCTTTTAGCCCTAATCAGTTGTGCCACAGCCTATAAAATTCAGATACTGAAAATATGCTCTCAGTAAATTGGCAGTAAAGACCTACAGAAATGAGAAAAGGAGCTTGATTGGTAATTCCAAAGGTAATGAAGATTGTTTGCTTGTTTTATTTAGCATACCCTACTAACTAAAAACACCAGCATGAATGCAAATTCAATCAAGGCAATTAAACTCTGCCTTTCTGAATTTCAATTATAAAAAAATCAGCCTGTGCTCCTTAACCAACTGAATGAAATTGTTTGTAGAGAAAAATTAAACAAAAAATCAACATATTTAAGTGCAAAGACTAATGCATGCTTCTCAGACATATTAATACTTTTACTCAGTACTAAGGATTTTCCATTGTTGCATTGCCCATAATTTTTTAGTTTTATTGAGGTATAATTGATATACCCCTAAAGCAAAGACTTAATGTACACATCTTGAATCATTTGAACAAATGCATATACCTGTGATACCACCACCACAACCAAAGTACTAGACATATCCGTCACCTCCAAAAATGTCCTTGTCTTCTTTGTTGATTTTCTGTTTGGTTGGTTGGTTGGCTGGTTGGTTGGTTAATTGTTTGGTTGGTTGGTTGGTAAGTTGTTTGGTAAAATCACTTAACATGAGATCTAGCCTCTTAACATATTTTAAAATGCAAAATACTGTATTCTTAGCTATAGGTACTATTTTGTAAATCAGATCTCTACTCTTTACTCATAACAAACTTTATAGCCTTTCAAGAACAATTCATTTCACCCTCCCTCCAGAACATAATTTTTTATTTTTAAAATTTTTTTTAATTTTATTTATTTATTTTACTTTAGGTTCTGGGATACATGTGCTGAATGTGCAGGTCTGTTACATAAGTATACTTGTGCCACGGTGGTTTGCTGTACCTATTAACCCGTCATCTAGGTTTTAAGCCCTGCATGCATTAGGTATTTGTCCTAATGCTCTCCCTCCTCTTTCCCCCGACCCCTCAACAGACCCTGCTGTGTGATGTTCCCCTCCCTGTGTCCATGTGTTCTCATTGTTCAACTCCCACTTATGAGTGACAACATGCAGTGTTTGGTTTTCTGCTCCTGTGTTAGTTTGCTGAGGATGATGCTTGCTAGCTTCATCCATATCCCTGCAAAGGATGTGAATTCATTCCTTTTTTATGACTGCATAGTATTCCATGGTGTATATGTGCCACATTTTCTTTATCCTGTCTATAATTGATAGGCATTTGGGTTGGTTCCAAGTCTTTGCTATGGTAAATACTGCTGCAATAAACATGTGTGCATGTGTCTTTATAGTAGAATGACTTATAATCCTTTGGGTATATACCCAGTAAGGGGATTGCTGGGTCAAATGGTATTTTTGGTTCTAAGATCCTTGAGAAATTGCCACACTGTCTTTCACAATGGTTGAACTAATTTACACTCCTACCAACCATGTAAAAGCATTCCTATTTCTCTGCATTCTTGCCAGTATCTGTTGTTTCCAGACTTTTTAATGATCATCATTCTAACTGGCATGAGATGGTATCTCATTGTGGTTTTGATTTGCAGTTCTCTAATAACCAGTGATAAGCTTTTTTTCATACGTTTGTTGGCTGCATAAATGTCATCTTTTGAGAAGTGTCTGTTCAAATGCTTCACCCACTTTTTGATGGGGTTGTTTTTTTCTTGTACATTTGTTTTAACTTCCTTGTAGATACTAGACATTAGACCTTTGTCAGATGGATAGATTGCAAAAATTATCTCCCATTCTTTAGATTGCCTGTTAACTCTGATGGTAGTTTATTTTGCTGAGCAGAAGCTCTTTAGTTGAATTAGATCCCATTTGTCAATTTTGGCTTTTGTTGCAATTGTTTTTAGTGTTTTAGTCATGAAGGCTTTGCCCATGCTTATGTCATGAATGGTATTGCCTAGGGTTTATTCTACGGTTATTATAGTTTTAGGTTTTACATTTAAGTCTTTAATCCATCTTGGGTTAATTTTTCTATAAGGTGTAAGGAAGGGTTCCAGTTCTGTTTTCTGCATATGGCTAGCCAGTGTTCCCAGCACCATTTATTAAATGTGTAATCCTTTCCCCATTGCTTATTGTTGTCAGGTTTGGTGAAGATCAGATGGTTGTAGATGTGTGGTATTATTTCTGAGGCCTCTGTTCTGTTCCATTGGTCTAAATATCGGTTTTGGTGTCAGTACCATGCTGTTTTGGTTGCTGCAGCCTTGCAGCATAGTTTGAAGTCAGGTAGTATGATGCCTCCAGCTTTGTTCTTTTGACTTAGGATTGTCTTGGCTATACAGGCTCTTTTCTGGTTCCATGTGAAATGTAAAGTAGTTTTTTCTAGTTATATGAAGAAAGTGAATAGCACCTTGATGGGAAAAGCATTGAATCTGTAAATTACTTTAGGCAGTATGGCCATTTTCATGATATTGATTCTTCCTATCCATGACCATGGAATGTTTATGCATTTGTTTGCATCCTCTCTCATTTCCTTGAGCAGTGGCTTGTAGTTCTCCTTGAAGAGGTCTTTCACTTCCCTTGTAAGTTGTATTCTTAGGTATTTTATTCACTTTGTAGCAATTGTGAATGGGAGTTCACTCATGATTTGGCTCTCTGCTTGTCTGTTATTGGTATATAGGAATGCTTGAAATTTTTGCACATTGATTTTGTGTCCTGAGACTTTGCTGAAGTTGCTTATCAGTTTAAGGAGTTTTGGGGCTGAGATGATGGGGTTTTCTAAATATACAATCATGTCATTTGCAAACAGAGACAATTTGAATTCCTCTCCTCCTATTTAAATACCCTTTATTTCTTTCTCTTGCCTGATTGCTCCGACTAGAACTTCCAATACTATGTTGAATAGGAGTGGGGAGAGATGGTATCTTTATCCCAGTTTTCAAATGAATGCCCTCAGCTTTTGCCCATTCAGTATTATATTGGCTATGAGTTTGTAATAAATAGTTCTTATTATTTTGACATGTGTTCCATCAATACCTAGTTTATTGAGAGTTTTTAGTATGGAGCAGTGTTGAATTTTATTGAAGGCCTTTTCTGAATCTATTGAGATAATCATGTGCTTTTTGTCATTGGTTCTGTTTATGTAACAGATTATGTTGACTGATATGCATATGTTGAACCAGCCTTGCATCCCAGGGATGAAGCCAACTTGATTATGGTGGATAAGCTTTTTGATGTGCTGCTGGATTCGGTTTGCAGAATTTTATTGAGGATCTTCCCATCGATGTTCATCAGGGATATTGGCCTGAAATTTTCTTTTTTTGTTGTGTCTCTGCCTGGTTTTGGTATCAGGATGATGCTGGCCTCAAAAAATGAGTTAGTGGGGAGTCCCTCTTTTTCTATTGTTTGGAACAGTTTCAGAAGGAGTGGTATCAACTCCTCTTTGTACCTCTGGTAGAATTCAGCTGTGAATCCACCTGGTCTTGGGCTTTTTTTGGTTGGTAGGCTATTAATTACTGCCTTAATTTCAGAACTTGTTATTGGTCTATTGAGGGATTCCACTTCTTCTTGGTTTAGTCTTGGGAGGGTGTATGTGTCCAGGAATTTACTGATTTCTTCTAGATTTTCTAGTTTATTTGCATAGAGGTGTTTATAGTATTCTCTGATGGTAGTTTGTATTTTTGTGGGATCAGTGGTGATATCCCCTTTATCATTTTTTATTGTGTCTATTTGATTCTTCTCTCTTTTCCTGTTTATTATTCTGGCTACCAGTCTATCTATTTTGTTAATATTTTCAAAAAACCAGCTCCTGGATTCATTGATTTTTTGAAGGGTTTTTGTGCCTCTATCTCTTTCAGTTTTGCTCTGATCTTAGTTTTTTCTTGTCTTCTGCTAGCTTTTAAATTTGTTTGCTCTTGCTTCTCTAGTTCTTTTAATTGTGATGTTAGGGTGTCGATTTTAGATCTTTCCTGATTTCTCTTGTGGGCATTTAGTGCTATAAACTTCCCTCTAAACACTGCTTTAGCTGTGATCCAGAGATTCTGGTATGTTTTCTCTTTGTTCTCGTTGGTTTCAAATAACTTATTTATTTCTGCCTTCATTTCATTATGTACCCAGTAGTCATTCAGGAGCAGGTTGTTCCATTTCCATGTGGTTGTACAGTTTTGAGTGAGTTTCTTAATCCTGAGTTCTAATTTGATTGCACTGTGGTCTGAGAGGCTGTTTGTTATGTTTTCTGTTCTTTTTCATTTGCTGAGGAATGTTTTACTTCCAATTATGTGGTCAATTTTAGAATAAGTGTGCTGTGGTACTGAGAAGAATGTATATTCTGTTGATTTGGGGTGGAGAGTTCTGTAGATATCTATTAGATCTACTTGGTCCAGAGCTGAGTTCAAGTCCTGAATATCCTTGTTAATCTTCTGTCTTGTTGATCAGTCTAATATTGACAGTGGGTGACAGTGGGGTGTTAAAGTCTCCCCCTATTATTCTGTGGGAGTCTACGTCTCTTTTTAGGTCTCTAAGAACTTGTTTTATGAATCTGGGTGCTCCTGTATTGGGTGCATATATATTTAGGATAGTTAGCTCTTCTTGTTGTGTTGATCCCTTTACCATTATGTAATGCTCTTCTTTGTTTTTTTTGATCTTTGTTGGTTTAAAATCTGTTTTATCAGAGACTAGGATTGCAACCCCTGCCTGCTTTTTTTGCTTTCCATTTGCTTGGTAAATATTCCTCCATCCCTTTATTTTGAGACTGTGTGTGTCTTTGCATGTGAGGTGGGTCTCCTGAATACAGCACACCAATGGGTTTTGACTCTTTATCCAATATGCCAGCCTGTGTCTTTAACTGGGGCATTTAGCCCATTTACATTTAAGGTTAATATTGTTATGTGTGAATTTGATCCTGTCATCATAATGCTAGCTGGTTATTTTGCACATTAGTTGATGCAGATTTTTCATAGTGTCATTGGTCTTTATATTTTGGTGTGTTTTTGTAGTAGCTGGTACCGGTTTTTCCTTTCCATATTTAGTGTTTCCTTCAGGAGCTCTTTTAAGGCAGGCCTGGTGGTGACAAAATCCCTCAGCATTTGCTTGTCTGTAAAGGATTTTATTTCAGCTTCACTTATGAAACTTAGTTTGGCTGGATATGAAATTCTGGGCTGAAAATTCTTTTCTTTAAAAATGTTGAATATTGACCTCCACTCTCTTCTGGCTTGCAGCATTTCTGCAAAGAGATCTGCTGTTAGTTTGATGGACTTCCCTTTGTAGGTAACCTGACCTTTCTCTCTGGCTGCCCTTAGTATTTTGTCCTTTGTTTCAACCTTGGAGAATCTGATGATTATGTGTCGTGGAGTTGCTCTTCTTGAGGAGTATATTAGTGGTGTTCTCTGTATTTCCTGAATTTGAATGTTGGCCTGTCTTGCTAGGTTGGGGAAGTTCTCCTGGATAATATCCTGAAGAGTGTTTTCTAACTTGGTTCCATTCTCCTGGTCACTTTCAGGAAACCCAATCAATCATAGGATTGGTCTTTTCACATTGTCCCATATTTCTTGAAGGCTTTGTTCATTCCTTTTCAATCTTTTTTTCTCTAATCTTGTCTTCACACCTTATTTCATTAAGTTGATCTTCAATCTCTGATATTCTTTCTTATGCTTGATCAATTTGGCTATTGTTACTTGTGTATGCTTCATGAAGCTCTCATGCTGTGTTTTTCAGCTCCATCAGGTCATTTATGTTCTTCTCTAAACTGGTTATTTTAGTTAGCAGTTCCTGTAACCTTTTGTCAAGGTTCTTAGCTTCCTTGCACTAAAGAGTTAGAACATGCTCCTTTAGCTCACAGGAGTTTGTTATTACCCACCTTCTGAAGCCTCCTTCTGTCAATTCGTCAAACTCATTCTCTGTCCAGTTTTGTGCCCTTGCTGGAGAGGAGTTGCAATCATTTGGAGGAGAAGAATAATTCTGGTTTTTGGAATTTTCGGCCTTTATGCACTGGTTTTTCCTCCTCTTCGTGGATTTATCTACCTTCAATTTTTGAGGCTGAAGACCTTTGGATGGGGTTTCTGTTGGGGAGGGAGGGTTCTTTTTGTTGATGTTAATGTTATTGTTTTCTGTTTGTTAGTCTAACAGTCAGACCCCTCTCTGCAGGTCTGCTGCAGTTTGCTGGAGGTCCACTCCAGACCCTATTTGCCTGGGTATCACCAGCGGAGGCTGCAGAACAGCAAAGATTGCTGCCTCCTCCTTCCTCTGGAAGCTCCATCCCAGAGGGGCACTGCCTTGACGCCAGCCAGAGCGTTCCTGTATGAGGTGTCTGTCAACCCCTGTTGGGAGGTCTCTCCCAGTCAGGAAGCATGGGAGTCAGGGACCTACTTGAGGAGGTAGTCTGTCCCTTAGCAGAGCTCAAGCACTGTGCTGGTAGAACCCTCCTAGTCAGGATCCGCTGCTCTCTTCAGAGCCAGCAGACAGGAATGTTTAAGTCTGATGAAGTTGCGCCCACAGCCGCCCCTTCTCCAATGTGCTCTGTCCCAGCGAGATGGGAGTTTTATCCGTAAGCCCCTGACTGAGACCGCTGCCTTTCTTTCAGACATGCCTTGCTCAGTGAAGAGAAATCTAGAGAGGCAGTCTGGCCACAGCTGCTTTGCCATGCTGTGTTGAGTTCTGCCCAGTCTGAACTTCCAGGCCTTTTTAGCACTATCGGGGAAACCCACCTACTCAAGCCTCAGTGATGGCAGACGCCCCTCCCCCCACCAAGCTCAATCATCCCAGGTCATCTTCAGACTGCTGTGCTGGCAGGAAAAATTTCTATCAGTGGTTCTTAGCTTGCTGGGCTCTGTAGGAGTGGGATCCACTGAGCAAGACCACTTTTCTCTCTGGCTCAGCCCCCTTTCTAGAGGAGTGAATGGTTCTGTCTTGCTGGGGTTCCAGGCACCACTGGGGTATGAAAAAAAAAGAACTCCTGGAGCTAGCTCGGTGCCTGCCCAAACAACCGTCCAAACAGGGCCCAGGGCCCTGGTGGTGTAGGCTCATGAGGGAATCTCCTGGTCTGCAGTTACAAAAACCATAGGTAAGGAATATCTGGGCTGGATAGCACAGTCCCTCAAGGCTTCCCTTGGCTGGGAAAGGGAGGGCCCCTGCTCCCTGCACTTCCCAGGTGAGACGATGCCCCACCCTGCTTCTGCTTGCCCTCCATGGGCTGCACCCACTGCCTAACCAGTCCCAATGTGACAAACAGGGTACCTCAGTTGGAAATGCAGAAATCACCTGCCTTCTGCATTGGTCTCGCTGGGAGCTACAGACTGGAGCTGTTCCTATTTGGCCATCTTGCCAGCCAGCCCCCCAGACCATAATTTTTTAATCACAAAATCAGAAACCATTATCTGAGTGCATTTATGAGAATAATAGCCAAGTAAATACTTGAAAAACCTGTAAAAATCATCAATTCGTATATGACTCAAGTATTTTTGTACATGAAATTAATTCTAGATTAGTTATACTCATCATACATTATAAAACTCTTGCTCATCAGAAAGCTGGAAGTTACATTGGTGGAAAAAAAGACAAAGTTAAGTGAATCCAGGATTGAACATTGTGTCAAATTATCTTCCTCACACTGGGAAGATGAGGAATTTTTTAAGACAACTATAATACAGCAATAAGAGAGATGTCCTTGTTTTCACTGGAAACCTAATTTCCAGGATTATGCTTTCCATACATGAGGAAACAATGTGAAATCATAGCAAAATTAAAGCTGCTTCAAGTTAAAATATGCTGGTTGTCAATCATTTCACCTTTATGTAAATTTGAGCCTTGGACTTAAGAGACAAACAAACACAAAGAATACTGGCACACTCTAATAGGATTTTGCCGATGCTTGTAAAGACAAATGACAAGTCATACTAGATTTGTTACAAAATACTTTTGTCCACCGTCTACTGGGGTCCAGTGAAAATGAAATGCAGCACTGAGTGATCCTTAGGAGTTTTGAGCAGGAGAGAAATAAATAGAAATGCAGTCATTGTCTTGGACAGAGAGAAAGTTTTGTTTTCTGAATTCTCGCCAAATTACTGATGCTCTGTTTTTCACTTACAAGTGCCCTGGCGGTTTCCAGTAGCACCACCTCATGGCCACCGAGGAAAAATATTCTCCTTGTTCATTAGGAAAGCCTTTTTCCAGCTTAGAGTGTAGATTTTTCCATTAGAATGGTTAGAAGTTCATTTTTCCAGCTCCTTCCACTGAGTTTCCTAATGGACTCAGCCTCATCGGATGGAGCTAAATAAGACAAAATCCCCCTAAGCAGAAAGCTAAAAGTTCACCAACGGGGAAAATGGGGACTGTGACCCACAGAACAGCTCCTCAAGATTTACTTTATCAATCAGATTCCAGTTTGCTGCCTAAAGCCTTGATTAATGTATTTTTGAGAAGAAAAATGCCACCAGTAAGGAATACAGTATTTATCACGATTTTTCATAAAAACACATATTTTGGCTAACCGGGTAACGATAACCAGAAAATAACAAAGATCTGAGAATCATTGCACCTGCCAGTGAGGGTCAGGCCAGGAACTCTTGCGGTTTCTGGCTTCTTGAACAGCCCCACAGATGTTACCAACAATGTATATTTTCCATTAAATGGGAGAGCATTAAACATTTCACTATAGAGCCTGGCACTATCAAAGGCTCAGGCTGACTAATATCTCCCTGTGACTCAGCAAGTGAACTCTCATAAAGTTTGTGGCTGCCTCCAATCTGTTAATGACCAAGACAATTCAGTGAACACTTTCTCTTGTTACAGTTCATAAAATAAAATGAAGGTGTCTGCCTGTCTGTGGCCTGCACCATGGATGGGAAGCTTGAACATCTGAACGTGGCTGGGGCACTGTTCAGGACCACCTTCTTTCCTCAAGATGTACGGTTCGAGCAGCAGTCTTTGTCTTCTTTCATCAGACATCATTATCAGTAGAGAGATTAAATACCTCCGCCAAACCATCAGCCAAAATCAAAGAGCACACACAATTTACAGCCATTTGGAGGACAGAGCTATAAAAGATTCACGCATGCTGTGTCAGTTCAGGTCCTCTGAGAAGCAGACACCAGGAAATAATTCTACAGGCAAGGATCATTCAGGGAGATGCCGTGAAGGATAACAGGGAGGGATCAGGAGTAGTGAAGAGAGCTTCCAGATTGCAATGCAGCCCTGACACCTGTGAAAGAAGAGAGAGCAGGAAGGATTGGGTAGAAAGAGCCTCAGACTATGGGGCAGTACTGAAAGAGCCTTGCCCAGGCAATGTGGCCGAACTAACATTGCCCAACAGAGGAATCCTGCATCAGGCAGAAATGGCCCAATTCTAGTATTCTGCCTCGCTTAGTCAGTGGCTGGGAGTGGCCCAAATGAGTGGAGAGGGGTCCAAAGAATGGTGTCTGAAGACTTTCAACCAGTCACGTTCCAGAAGTGGGTACTCTGAGCAGGGCCCCACGACAACCCTTCTCACTTCTCTCTCCTTCGTTCAGAGCCTCTACGGTGAGGGCATCTGTGGGTTTTGCAGCTCAGCATTCATTTCCCCGCCTCATGGTCACAGCACTTACATTTTCCTTGGGAAAATTGCAACTATGTTCTAGTCCTTTTGTTTTGGGTGAAACAGATTCTCTGTTTCCCTGCAGATGTGGTCATATGAGCCCAGACAATGAGAATGTAGTGTGCTCCAACCTCCAGGGATGGATACCACACACCCAGAGCCACGGAAATCACCCCAGGGCTTTTTCTGTGGATGTTGAAAGCAGAGATTCTATCTTTCCACTGGGATTGCTGAGAAAATAAGAATAAGCTGGGAGCTATTGGGAGCAATCTTGACCTCACGAGGAAGAGCCTACCTGAGAATGGAGCCAGAAGAGAGAAAAGCAAGGCAGGCAATGGAGAAAACCAGGCTTAGATATTATGATGGACATTCAGTGCTTTGGCCCAGCTCTATTTGAAGGCAGGCCTTATCCCCTGTCCTCTGGGCCCTCAAATACATTAGGTCAGTAAAGTTGGCAATATTATTAGACCATCTGAAGCAATAGCTTTTTCTGTCAATGACTAATTTTCATAGTCAAATGTCTTTACAAGGACAATGAACTCCAGCTCTAAGCTGTCCTCCCATGACAACTCAAGGGCCCAGTTTTTGCTATGTCATTCAGTCAATGAGCCAATATTCCCCCCTTTTTGCTTCAGCTAAATTTTGTGTCACTTGCCACCATGAGTTTTGACTGACATAACTATGTGTCACGAATAACTTTGGTGGTTTAAAACCCATATTCTGGTCCTTTTGTAAGAGATTAGGAATACAATTTTAGGCACCTTTAAAACAATCTTTAGATCACATTCGTGTTGCCAATGAAATTGCTGATGGAGGACTTTTGCTTAACATCATTAGTGATGTCATCTATATTACTCAGGGCCCAGGAATCATACCAGTTAATGTAACAAAAAATTTAGTATAAAGAACCATTAGCCAGGTGGAAAGAACTGTTAACTAGTTAACTAAAAAGACAGACAGAGAACACTAAGGTGTCCCATAGGAGCACTAAATTATCACAGCTGTCACCACTAAGGCTGAGAGAAAAACAGGAAAACACTGGAATCATTAAAACTTGAAAGCTGGAAACCATCATTCTCAGCAAACTAACACAAGAACAGAAAATCAAACAGTGCATGTTCTCACTCATAAGTGGGAGTTGAACAACGAGAACACATGGTCACAGGGAGGGGAACATCACACACCGGGGCCTGTTGGGGGGTGGGGGGCTAGGGGAGGGATAGCATTAGGAGAAAAACCTAATGTAGTGACAGGTTGATGGGTGTAGCAAACCACCGTGGCACATGTATACCTGTGTAACAAACCTGCACGTTCTGCACATGTAACCCAGAACTTAAAGCATTTAAAAAAAACTTGAAAGCTTAGAGGAAGGGACCTACGGTGCTGAGCCTGAGACCTCACATGAGGGTGTCTGTGAGCTCAGAGGGGCCCCATGGGCCTGGGGGCTGGACTTCTCAAGAGAGGGCACCTGCTGGCTGGCGCTGCTGTCTCTGCGAAGGGTGTGATAAGGCTCCTTCGACAGGTATTAAAAGAAAACCACCAACCAGATTCCACTCTTTCTATGGGAGGTCAAAGGAATGTGCTGGGTCAAAGATCACAGGCAAGAAATCCAAAGAGAGAATGAGCTGCGTCTTCCCCCTCTGTCTCTAGTCTCTCTCTGGCACCCCACATTGGCAAAGCCTGTGTTGACCCAGCAAGCAAAGGACTAACGTGGCTTCCAGAACAGAGGGGTTGGCTAAAACCCGAGTCAGTAGCATAATGGATGGCACAGGGTCCAACAACCCAGCAGGTCCAGAAATTCTGAGACAAAGGTCATGGTGCATGAGAAGATGAAGGACAATAGGAACAACGAGTTATTGACATTCAGAGAAGTAACATCATGCTTGACTGTCCAGGAAATGCCAAGAAAGACTATTTCCAATGCAAAGAGGTTCTGTGAATCCTGGGAACAAGATCAGCTGACATATCAGTGTAGCAGAAATTTCAATCGCTAAGTAAGCAAAGACATCAGAAACACAAGTGCTGTGATGGGGCCCAAATCTCTACCGCCTTCAGCTCCTCAGGCCATGACTGCAACCTGTACATGGGACCTCTACTTTTTTTAGTGTAAGCTAAGAATTATTTGTCACCAGGTTTAAAATTAAAGTTGAAAGGTAGTCTTATCTTTTTAAATAAAAGTCATATATATTAAACTAATGTCTTTTAATCTATTAACTCAAGCAGAACACTGTAAAATGCCAGACCTCTGAAAGGACTGCTTTTCTACTCTGCACAATTTATGAAGAAAAATTATATTCTAAAGCCCTACATGAAGGTGGGGTTTTTATTTTTCTCACCTTAAAAGATGCATGTATGATTTTTTGGGGAGGCAGTCCCAGTGCAGCACAGCTCTGTTTGCAGGTGGGTTGTTCAGATATTTAAGGCTGGGTTGTTTAGATAAGGATGAGTGGTTTTTTAAAATTCAACCTAACAGTGATTTCATGCCATCTTCTTCCTGGGGGATTTCAATGGTGAAAGATGATGGGGCAATATATCCAGAGGATTTTTGTTGTCTCCAATACCCAGACAGTCAGGGCATAATCTGCCATTTCTGCTGACAAACCAGGCACTGTGTGGGGACATCATGCCAATATGCATGTGCCTGGGTGGGTCCCTGGTGGAAGAAGATCTGATTAAAGCCCATTCACATAGCAGTCCCCTGTTCCCTGAGTCTCCAAATGCATTGGGTCACTGAAGGTGGAAACATGATTAGGCCATCTGAAGCAATAACTTTTTTCTGTTAATGACTAATTTTCATGTTCAAATGTCTTTACAGGGAAAATGAGCTCCAGCTCTAGGCTCTTCTCCCTGCTAAGTCAGGGACCCAGCTTTTGCTAAGACTTCAGTGACCTTAAGCAATTATCTGGAGAGTTTTGCTGACCTTCATTTCAATCGTAGTAGGTGTCAAAAAATTGCTTTTCATGGTATTCAGTAATTTTGGTCTCTAAATACTGCAATTTTTTTCAAAGAACTTATAGGGTTATGAACTTTGCTCTAATCTTCTATGTGCAGAAGAGCTGATAACACACTGCTTATTTCCTATAGTGCTGACACTGCTTGTTCAATGCTAAGGATATTTTTAAGTTTTTTGCCTCTCAGTATTTCAAAACACTTTCATCCTGATTTCAGAGTTTTCATTCTGATTTCCTCTCAGTTCAAATATCCATTCATTTTAACATCATAAGATTCCTTACGATTAACCCAGCCTTAAATATCTGAACAAGCCACCTGCAAACAGAGCTGTGCTGCACCGGGACTGCCTCCCAAAAAAATCATACATGCATCTTTTAAGGCGAGAAAAATAAAAATTCCACCTTCATGTAGGGCTTTAGAATATAATTATTCTTCATAAATTGTGCAGAGTAGAAAAACAGTCCATTCAGAGGTCTGGCATTTTGCAGTGTTCTGCTTGAGTTAATAGATTACAAGACATTAGTTTAATATCGCTAAGTTGCATCTCCCTGGAGATGCAATCATGTTGATCATAAATATATTCTAAAACAAAGAAATAGCACCTTTGGATAGTTTCCCTGAACACCAGCCACAGTCGGGTCTGTTACGCACGTACTCCAGGTAGGAAACTGGAGTAAGCTCTGGGATCCGAGGTGCATGACTCAGTTGCCACACTGAAGACAAAACTGTCCAGCTGATAACCTGAGATAAAACAATTCAATGTTTAAAAAGCGTTAACTCCAGAAATAGGAGCTACTGCACTAACCAAAGAATAATTTCCAGAGAAACACATTTTATAGTCTAATCTACTCACTGCCTTTGGAATATGCAAATCAGCTACTTTCTGGAATTAATTTCAAACAAGATGCATTTCTTGAAAGGACACTATCTTTATTTTTCAAATAAGCACAAAATATCACTTTCTCCTAAACTCCTGGAGTGGATAAATACCAGAGTGATGAGGGAGGGCAGGAGGCATGGGGAGAAGAGCTGTTGGATGAGGGTCCTTGCATGCAATTTGCCCTCTGAGTCCCTTATCCTACAATCCCTAGATCCCTACATCAGAGGGATCTCACATTTTCCCACTTAGAGGAAAATCTTCACCTAGACCCATGAGTCCTGTGAATATTTGATCCTGTTCATTGGGGGCTCCATGAGGGAAAATAGATCTCAAAGAGAAAAAAGTTTAGCAAATCGATACAGATGAACCACTTTACTACCTCACAAGGTTGCCTGTCATTCTCACAGATTCTCCTGATGTCCTATCTCCACAACCTGGGAACTGCCTAAAGACAAGGACATCATCATAGATTTCTTATGGTACAATCTGAACATCCATGAATATCATATGTGCACACTGGATTAAACTCATTAAAGTAAGTTATAATCTAAAAACGAGAATTCTGAAAAACTGAAGGGAATACTACTCTGGAACCTCTTTCTTGTCTGAAATCTTATATGAAATGAATTAACATTGTTGGCTTAAAATTTGGAGCTAAGTCAGCTTCCTTCTTTGTGACAGCAGCAGGCAGGCACACTGGGAGAGTGATTATTTGAGTGGATTGTCAATGTACTTATGTTTCCCCTTCCTTGTCATTATAAAACTGGATGAACCAATGTGCAAAATCATGCTCTGTCCAATACAGCAAGTCAGCAGCAATTTATCAGCATGTAGCCTCGTTAGTAACCTAGAAAGGGGACAACCTGCTCCCTGGAGGATGCCCAGATGGCCAGGGCAGGAGCAGCCAGTCCTGGTGGATCTTAACGCACCCTCTACCCTCATCAAAAAGGTTGTGGGGTAGGGGGAGGGGGGAGGGATAGCATTAGGAGATATACCTAATGTACATGACAAGTTAATGGGTGCAGCACGCCAACGTGGCACATGTATACATATGTAACAAACCTGCACGTTGTGCACATGTACCCTAGAACTTAAAGTATAATAAAATAAATAAATAAATAAAATAAATAAATAAAATAAAATAAAGTAAAATAAAAAATATATATATATATATATGGAAGCTCCAAGAGCCATAATTAAAAATTAAAAATCAGTCTGCGAGGGCCTATGAAAAACAGCCTCTACTCCTGGCCCTAAAGCCAGAATCAAGCAGCCATTGTCCCCATTTCTGAGGGGAAGAGAGAGCTGAATAGCACAGGTCCCTGAGAGCTTATGGGCCAGAGCTGCCATCTTATCCTCCATGGGTAGCAATGCCATGAGACACTTCTGTCTCTGGAAACGTGGGAGAAGAATTTGGTAAGTTCAAATTTCTGGCCTTCACCAGTCCAGGCAGTGTCTATATTGGCTCTTCTCAGTCACTGTTGATGCAGAGAACTGGGGAGATTCCGTGCTGATATGGTATGAAAGAACTCAAATTAAATGTGAAGACATTCACATTTTGCGAAAACGTTTTCACATGCACCTTCCACAAATGTTATTTCATTAGTTTCCAAGAGGTGACACAATATGAGAGACCTCTTCCTTTTGGCAGAGGAAAAGGAATAAAGGAAACACTAAAAACAAGAGACATCAATTGGGTGACTGGAGAGGCCCAAGAAAGTCAAAAGTTATCAGGATAAGCGATTATTGTAGAAACTGTCTCTGAAATTCACTGGGCTGTGTCCAGCGGGTGATGACTCAGCACACTAGGATGTCCTGAGACTTGGAGCAAAAGTCGTGAAACAATATCGTGTAGACGCATTCCCGCTCTGTTCTCTGGATACTGCTATTCAATTGTCTGGGCCAGGATTACATGGCTCCAAGGGCTCCCTGACAACAAGTGCCTCCTGGCAATTAAATGAGTTCTGAGAATGTGGCCTTAAAGCACAGAATAGTGATCTTTTGACAAGGTCATCCTCTGTTTGGACGGCAGAAAGAGTAATGGAATTGATTAGCAACCATGAGGTAATGTGGGTCACCAAGGTGACAATACTCAATGCTAGATATCGCCAGGGACCTACCGCCAGCATTCAGCACAAACTGCAGCCTGATATTTAAGAACAGAGGTTCACCCGCAGCCCCCAGGAGCTAGGCCCTACCAGTGCAGAAAGGACTGAGAGGCTCTCATTCAGCTGGGTGGAGCTGAGTGGGAGTGTAAAGATGGTGAGGAAAGGTGCTACCTGGTCAACCAAGCATAATTTCCACAGTGAGAGGAAACAGCAGTTCAGAGTCCAAACAAACTGTCAGCAGAGGGGGCCATTCTGACAGAAAGAGTGGCCAGAAGGCTGCAGTGATGGGGAAAGCCGCTGAGAAATACCTGGACACAGAGGCCTGCAGACCATCAGCTCAAGGCAGCCTGCAGTGAAAGACCAAGGTCCTCTGGGAACAGAGGCAGGACTACAGCCTCTGGAAGGGAGAAATCCAGAAAGCATTCAGCTTGTGGGGGGCTTCACTTGCAGTCTCCCATGCAGTGCAATAAGATGCTGGCTGAGCTGCAGTTATCCAAGGGCTCAGCTGTGCTGGATGTCAAGGTGCTCATCAGGTGACCATCAGACAGGAAACTCAGTTCCATTCCATTTGAGCCTCCACATTGGATTTCTTGAGCTTTCTCAAGGCATGCTGACTACATTCCAAGAGGGAGCCTCCCAAAAGGGAGGATGTTGCTGGTGAACACCCCAATGTTCACCATCATTGGTGGCCACATAGAATGGCCACATAGAATGGAAATGGAGGCCACATAGTCTCTTGTCACCTGGTTTTAGCTGTCCCAAGACATCACTTCCACTGCATTCCATTGGTCAAGGAAGCCATGAGTTCAGCCCAGATTCAAGAGGAGGAACAATATATGCCATCTTTCAAAGGGAAGAGTAGCAAAGAATGTGTGGTCATCTCTAATCTCCATACCATCCTTACTGAAGAGCATCCAATTATGGCCACCTAGGGCTACCTCTAAGTTAACCACTTTGCATAAATGACAATAGATTCAGGATCCTTCAAAATCTGCAAGACACCAATTTTGTCCATGTAAATGAATTTCCACCAATCCCAGACAGTCTCTACTGATGCAGAAGAGACAGCACCAGCTTCCTTGTGGCAAGTCCATTCCTTCTAAGATGGTGCCCCTCCCTTCTACAATCCCCACTGAGTACCACAAATACTTGTCATTTTCAATACCAGGCAGCTTGATAGATTCCCTTACTTGAGCCTACACTGAGTCTCCAAGGGGAAGCTTCTAAGAGGAGTTTCAGAGAGCATTGTCCATCCTTCCACCTCATCCCCCAGGATGCCCATCTTATTTGGGAAAAGGAGTTTGAGAAATTAGAGATGCATAAAATATTAGGTATTAAACCAGTTGAGAATTTTTCCTAGATATTTATACTTTAAATACTGGACTTTGGGTAAATCCAAACCTGGTCCAGATAGGAGAAAGAGGCCACTGAAAAGATGCCATCCAGATTCATTGACAAAAATGGAGCCATAATTGTTAGTTCTCCTTCCTCCCACCTCAAGAGCCATGAGTTTCCACGCTCAAAGCTGAGTTCATAAACACAGGAATGCTTTGTCTGGGGCAGGTTATTTGGATTTTCCTTATTCTGCACTTTGATTACAGAACTTGATTTTGGAATCTGTTCAGTCCTGACACCATTCCCGCTAAGAAAATCAGGATTAGGCTACTATGTGCCTGCCAGGGTTATTGCAAGAACAAAGATTTCACACATTAAAGCACTTAGCGCCTACCACACATGCAGGTTGACTCTGCCAGCCTGTTCTCCCGGCCATTGACTTTGGCCCTGCCCCTGGCACCACTGCCTTCTAAGCCAAGTTGACTCTTAAGTCCTGGGATACAGCTCCCAGGGCCAAATGTAGTGTGAAAACTGCCAAAGATCAACACTCCTCACTTTTGAACACTTCCTTTGTGTGTACATCATGTTTTCCTTTCTAGATATTTGAGTAAGATTTTAATAAAATAAAACATTCCTTCTAAATTCATGGTCAATATTGACAACATGCTTAGATAACAGCATATTTACAAAGTTTCCTTAGAAACTAATGCTACATTAATAGAAAATGTAGCCATGAGGCACTTCTAGGATTGGTCTGACTTATTATGGAATGTTCTAGTTTTGCTATTCATATCAACCTCTTCAACAGGCATGCACAATTTGCACTTTTACAAGAGACTAGTTCTTTAAAATACATTTATCATTATCCTAAGCACCCTCTGAATTTCTCTATATAACTATGGCTTATTTCAATAAAGGCCAAAAATACATCTGGTCATTTGGCTGCTACAGTGCTTCCAAGCCTTTTAAACATTTTTTAAAATTTCATGGTAGCCAGAGGAAATTATACAGTTCAGATCATTGACATACATGTTGGGACTGCTAACAGCAAGAGCTAACAGGCCTGGGATCCAGCAGATCCAGGGACTGAGGGAATCTATGAGTGCCTCCCAGCATGAAGGTGGGGAAGCTCCATTTTTGTAGACTGCCATTGGTAATCACTGACCAAATGAGAGGTACGTACCTACCAAACCTTGCCAGCTGCAATGGACACAGACGCATCATGAGGATGACAGCCACCCTCAAAGAGCTCATAATAACATTGGGGACACTGGGATGGTCACAATCATATGAAATAAATGATAGGATTAAAGCCATCAGAGCAAAATACACAGGACAGACCACAGTAAAATTGCGTGTTAAACTGCAGGTAACTTCTCCATGATGCTGGGATGCAGCTGGGTAAGGAAGGCTCAGTGAAGGACGCAGGACTTGACAAGACCTTAGAGAGAATGAGGGCAATGTGGATAAATAAAGGAGAGGAGGATTCCAGATGAGGATAACAGTGCTAGTGAAGCGTCAGTGGGTGTTGGAATGGCTGTGATGTCTTTGTAGAATGGCGAAGACACATCTGGCTAGATATTCAATGAGATGATGTTTGTAAAATTCCTCTGCAAATTATAAAGCACCTATCAATGCCAGGCATTATTGGGGGTATTTTTATTATTGTGTCAGAAACGACAAGGCATTGTAGATGTTGCAATTATCCCGAGAAAAGTTCTTATCTCATCTTTCCCTTTATACTGGGTATATCATTGTAACAAGTTATTCAAACTATCATAGCTTCAATTTCATTAGACATATACAGTTCTTGGCGGGGGGTGGGGGGGATTAGAGATTCTATATGTAATGTGTTTTCCGCAGTGCTTAGAGATGCTCATTAATGGCATCCAACACTAATGCCACAACTTGTGCCATTGTTGTACATTTTATCTTCCATTGTATCAGGCAGGTGTTTCAAGTCAGGGTTGGAAGGAACCATTTGAAGGAGTCATTTGAAACTTCTGGATTCAGTTTGCTCTCGATTGACCTAAGTGTTTTTATTGTCCATCCCTTTGATCAACTTTTAGTTAAATTGATTAATCTATAATTGGAACTAAGCCAGGTAGTGAGATGGCCATGATATAGCCTATCTACAGCTCCTCAAGAACATCCTTAAACTGTGCTTCTGAACTTTTTTGAAGATCAGATCCACTGGGCCTCCTGCTGGGTCCTCCCCCACAGATTCTGAATCAGTGGGTCTGGGATGAGTTCTTCCAGTTTGTCTTTATGATCAGTCAAGCTTGAAAAGATGTATGTGAGGCATGCAATATACTCATGCATACAGGAAATAAAGAGTCTGGATAACTCAGATCACAAACCCCTAACTTGCTTTTGTGAGATTTGTGGGGCAACAGTGATGCTGTGTATAAAACTTTACTAGCCAGGCACAGTGGCTCATGCCTGTGATCCCAGCACTTTGGGAGGCTGAGGCGAGTCGATCACGAGGTCAGGAGTTCAAGACCAGCCCGGATAAGGTGGTGAAACCCCGTCTCTACAAAAAAAACAACAATTAGCCGGGTGTGGTGGTGGGTGCCTGTAATCCCAGCTACTCGGGAGTTGAGGCAGAGAACAGCTTGAACCCAGGAGGCGGAGGTTGCAGTGAGCTGAGATCACGCCACTACACTCCAGCCTGGGTGACAGAGCAAGACTCCGTCTCAAAAAAACAAACAAACAAAAAAACCACTTTACTAATTTGGTATAAAGAATAAAGATGGCAGAAGACTACCTTGACTTAGTACAAATTTATAAAATTTAAAGTCTACCTTTTGTCACAGAATGCATTTCTTTCTTGTGAAGCTTAATAGATACGATCTTTAAAATTAAAGTGCACTTTAAAGACTTCAGAAAAGGCTCATTTAAAATCTTGAGGAAATGCTGATTTTCATGTCTTTTTATATCCATTTAATATTACTTTATATCTTGAGGTTTCTGAAAGCATAACTCACTTGAATTTTTTAAATACAGTTTTTAATATTTTCAATCATAATGCAAATTTTTCCTCAGATTTAGTACCAAGACAAAGCCTGTACCTTCTGATAGATTAATGGGACTTTCTTCTTTAAGATAATAAAGAAACTTAACACCTTAATTTGACATAATCATAAAGCACTCAACTCCTAAATACAATCAACATGTAAGTATATCTATGTAAAATAACGCTATCTGTAAACTCATCAAAACTGGCTGACCTATCATTTATATTTTTCTGACCCAATAGTCAAAATACCTAGGAAAGAAAATTCATGAGCTCATTCCTGCAAAAAGTAACAATTTGCTCCTGGCTTTTGCCAGGGCAATGCTGGGCAATGGAGGGCAAACCTGAATGTCAGAGAGGTTATGGGATTTGTCACTGGCTTGACTAGAGATGGGAGCATGGGGACTGCGTGGTCTGGAAGCCCAGGTTAGAGGCAGGGCCTGGGAGCCTGCAGCCTGGAGGTGCCCAGGACAGCATGTGCTGACTCCATGCTCCAGGTCTGGCACCCAGCAGGGTCCTCATTAAGTTGGATTGAATTCAATCACTCATCTGAAAATCATCAAAATTTTTGAGGAAAAGATACCACAAAGCATAAAATTCGCTCTCTAGGAAAAAGCATTTTTATGGATATTTCAAAAAGTAGAACGAACAGAATAAATGGCAAACTGTTTTTTGTTCTGGAAAAGACAAGGGAGGAGGAGGCAGCATCGTGTCAGCTCAAGCTCTGCAGATGTTGGTTAATTTTGGATCTCATTTATTCACAGAGAAAACAAAATATGGCCTCATTACAGTCAAGAAGGGGGTTATTTGAGGCCAGCAGCAGATTCAAACTTAGTAAACACATACACACACCAGAGAGTGTATATACATGTGGAGATCTATGCCAAAAATAAAAGTCAATACTCTCCCCTCAACTGTCCATATTCAGAGCAGAAGTGGGTGATCCCTGAGCTCCTGCAAACTACTGCCCAGCATAGCAGGCACACACACAAAGGAGCAGCCATTCTGAAGATTCAGGGACTGTGAGCTGTTCCTTGTAATTACTCTTAGCCCAGCATCATAACAAGAGAATGACTGACAAAAACAACTGTATAATACACATGTGCATAGAAAATGTTAAGCGTGGGGAACAGGGAAGAAGACTGATACCATTCACTTCGATCTCAGCAACTGACAGGGGTTGTCAGGTCCTTCCAGCAGTGCCTCAGAGTCCTAAAATGTAGACACAGCTACCTTGACTGAGACTATAGCACCCCAAAAGACCTGCATGCCCTGTTTGGGGGAGCCACATTTTTGCAATTAATCTCTGCATGGAACACAGACTACAGAGACAAGCTTGGATATGCATTCCTGCTCAGTTCTTCATTAGCTACATGACCTTGAGCAGGTTAGCTAACATCTCAGTTTCCTGGTGGGGAAAATGATGTCACCTGCTTTATAAGATTATGGTGAGGAGTAAATGAGCAGATGCATGTGCAGTTCTGGGCACACATTACCAGTGAAATCGACGGCAGTCACTATTTTTATTACACAAATTCATAACCTTGGGAAATAAACACAGCACAGCATTGGAGGCAGTGGGGACAAAGGAAACACTCGTCTCCCACATCCTGCACACCACACGTCCCCATCTGCAACTCCCTTCCTTACGTACTGGTTTCTTTGTTTACCCATTCTGCCTTCCTTGAATCTCATGTCTTCTCCACCATTATGTCCCCAGCAGATGGTTAAGGCCAAATTAAATGCTTGTTGAATTAATGACTTCTCTCTGTCATTGTCTGACCTTTTTTTCTATCTTTGTCCATCTTCTCAAGAAAAGCATTAGGGGGAAGAAAAAAAACAGCTGAAAAAAATCCCAAAAGGAACCCAAACCTGGCTTTCAGTGTCCCAGAGATAAAGCCTGGTGATGCCACTGTACTTCTAGGTCACATCAGTAAATAAGAGATTAACAATGAAAGCAGGAAGGACAGCTAAAACTGAGATCCCAAACCACCCATTTCCTAAAGAAATGAAAATCCCTTGAGAATGAGTGTCCCAACTCCCAATGTCCTGGCTCCCCCAGCACATTCCAGCTCCACAGCCCCCATACCTTCAGGCTGCTCCCCTATCCCCAGCTGTTGGTGCCTGTCCTCACATCCCTTGTGAAACTGGTGAGACCCATGCTGACCACCTCCTTTCATTCACCCTGCTCTTTGCCTGCGGGACACCCAATCCTGCCCTTGCAGCTAAGAGTGGGATACAGGTGTTCACCGGTATTCTTTCAGGTCAAATATCAGATCGCAAAGGACTGATTAAGGGAAGAATTTTAAAGTTATGTGATAACAGTGGGAGTTATCAGGAAGGTCTCCTTTCCTTCCTTTCTTTCTTTCACTTCTTTCTCTCCTTATTGCTACAACTAGTTGATTTCTTCTTCCAAAGCAGCATCTTGCCAGCCTACTTAACTCAGAGCTCAGGACGAAAATGCCAAATTGACCATGATGCCCTCCTTCTGGTCCCTTAGACCTAAGAATCCTGCCTGCAGATAGGCAGCCTCTTTCCTAAATGTTTTTATTACAGAAGGAACCATAAATAGGAATACATCTTGTATCTAACAAAGGAAAGAAGGAAGGGAGGGAGGGAGAGATTAAAAACAAAACCCTATATATGGCCTGTACAAGATTTTCGTTGAGCTCTTAAAAATTTCTAACATATGGTTAAGAATTTGAAAACAAGAAAACATGGGATATGACTAGCATCAAAACAAGAGGGCCCTTGGACACAAGAGTCGAGCCTTCCTCGGTGTTCCCTGCTTGGTGTTCGAGAGAGTACCTGGTACATGATGCCTGTTAAATGAATAACCACCTTACACAACAGTTCAGTCTTTCACAAATTATTTTAAGAAAAGAAGGAGATAAATCTCAGAAGTCCTTTAAAAATTTCTTGTAGCTAGTTCATCTTCATCCTTCCTATCTGCAGAAGCCAATAAGCACAGTTGGAACAAATAGGTTAATAAAACCAAGCCAGATGGCCAGCCATGAATTTTGCTGCTTCTCTGCAGCCGTTACAGATTTATCTTTTAAAGTCTTACACTAATCAGAGTATAAATTCCCCTGAAGCCATTTGGTGCCTTGGTAAGTAAGCCAGACCCATGAATTTCTTAGAATACTGAACCCACATTTCTCCCTGTAGACTTCCCTTCATCCTTTTAGGGATCATAAAAAATCCACTGCCTTCAAAACACCATTTTCAAACCAGGAATTTAGGATTACATGATGATGCTGTACTCTTTCATTAATTTTGATTTATCTCACTTGAAATCTGAGACCCTTAGAATAGTGTTTCAGTTTACATTAGAACTCTTTTGGAAAGGGAAAGAATGAACTTATAGTCTGGATGGTGTGATGAGTTCATACTTCAAATATCCCCTCCCTCATTCATCGCCACCATCACCACCAAATGCATAGGAATGACAGAGAAAATGCAGTTGAGAAAATTTGCGGGATATCACAGTGCAAAAGTGAGATAAGCATTTCAGTGGCCAGAAAAGGGAAGAAATACAAAGGGGAAACTGAGGCTGACCTCGCACCTGCTGTGTTCTGGCTCTGAAGGCAGATAGAAGCAGCTAGGAGGGATCACAGCTAAGCTCCCAGTTTGAACTCATTTCAATCAGATCCCACTTCCCATGAGGGAAAGGTAAAAGTAGGAACAAGTGTGCTGTGGCTGATATTAGCTACTTAGCAAAGAAGGCAAGGGGAAGCTGACCCAGGCTTGCAGGTAGAATCTGAGCCTGGGCAACTCCAGACTGCTTTGTGACAACATTGGAGATATCCCAAGTATGACCATGGAAGCAACAGAATAAAACCTGGTCCTGGGAATGGGTTCTGGGGAAACAAGGTGAAGGCTACCACAACATGACTAGACAGCTGGGCAGGTTAGGAGGGCAGGAAGCGGGTAAAACCTGGAGAAAGGGAGAGAATGAATCTCAAGGTGAGTCTACAAATCAAAGCTGAGAAACACTGACCCTGAGAACAATCCCTAATTAAGAGACCCCCAGTGACAAAAATAATAATTTTAAAATGTAAAAAGTGGCTTTAATATAAGGATATTTTTGATACTCAAGAGATTAAAGCAAAACATGGCATTTCATGAAAAAAAGACACATTCTGAAACTAAAAGAATAATAGCTATGAAAAAGTCAATTAAAAATTCTGGACATAAAAAAAGTTTTTTAATTAGAAAATATGCAGTAAAAAGCATAAACAGACAACATTTTTTAAATTACAGAATTAGGAACTGTGTTTGAAATGTGTTTATAATATAGGACACAGACACAAAAAGTATAAAATAATAAAAAGGCATACAGAATCCCTCCAAACACCATTATTCAAATATAAAACATCACTTGTATTTTAAAAGTAATGAAAGTTACCAGACTGAAAATACTGATTAACTACAAAGAAACCAGCAATTAGTTTGAAAGCTAATATTTCATCAATGACAATAGATGACAATAGATGCCAGAAAAAAATAATATCTTCACAGAACTCAGTGAAAAGTAATATCAGGTAAGAAACTATGATTCTAAAGTGAAAGGAAAGTGAAGACATTTTCAAATTACAAAAATAAGAAAGGTTACCACCACTGCCTTGGCTATTTCTACATAATAATTTAAAAACTATTAAAGTATGTATTTTAAAAGCATAAAAATAAACCTAAGACAAATTAATGGTATTCAAGAAACAATGAGAAGCATAGAAATTGATTACATAAGTTGACTGACCAAATTAACCTTTAAGCATTTTAAAAATTATAATAAGAAAATATTGACAAAAATTAAAAGGAATATGAAGGGAAGAAAAATTCAGAAATCAGAGGAGGGAAAGTTAAAGCATACTGAAGTCATTGTATTTCTTAATAAAACAAATAAAATAAGAGTAAATTTGGACTGTATTAGAAATTTTATATTGATGTGTATGTCTTCAAAAGCTAAAGAAACCTTTGAAGGAATAGAAAGGTAATCTATAGTTGCCAAGCCAGAAGAATGAATGAACCAAAGAAAACTAAATCGATCCAGTAAAAGACAGAAATAACGGGAAGAATTTTTTTAAAAATAAGGTTAACAGAAAACACAAAAAAGAGTTGATACTTATAATCAAACAATGTTAGTATGGACTCCCAAGCAGACCTGAGACAAGAACTTGGGCCCAGGTAGTTTATTTGAGTGATGATTCCAACAAGCATGGTGAGAAAGGGGAAATGTGATCAACCTAATTAAGGTGCACCAATGAGCGGGTTAGCACTTGGGGCACCTGTGGCTCAGTCCCCAGAGGGTCCCTCTGAAACCGTGAGAAACAAACTGCAGCATCGCCCATCAGATTGGGGAGGCATTCATGCACCGACTCACCATGGTTGCCTCTGTGTGGCTCCCTATGAAACCTCCTGATTTCACAATAAACTTGTCCATGGCACAGCAAGTTTCTGCAGCACCTGAGAATGTCCCCAAGCAAAAAGGAGGGCTGACTCCACCACTGTAGAAAGAGATGTCAGAACCTGCATGCAGGAGAACTCACGTGGGCAGAAGGGATGGACAGCAGCAGCAGTACTTGCTACAGCCCATACCAGGACTGAAGCTGCCTACTGAAAGACAGACTGCCAGATTGATTTAAAAGAAATAGCCATATGCTGTTCACAAGACACTCCTAACAAAATGACACGAAGTTACAAATGATGGGGCTGGCAAAAAAAAAAAAAAATACACTGGAGAAAAATCCTCAAACCTGGATGTAGGAATATGCACAATGGTGCTTGCTGGAGCAATGACTGTAATGGCAGCAAATCAAATATCATTACCTCCACCAAAAGGGGAAGAGCTAAAGGCATTGCAGGATAGTCATATAATGGACAATACACATCATCTATACCCAGAGTATAAAAATTAATTGGGAAAATCAAGTAGAAACACTGTGCCAATCTCATCTGGTCAACAGGACTTAGAAATGGTAGAACTGAACATGTATATAGATAATTTATATTTCAACCTGACTTCTAATATCATTTAACATTTTGGAACTCTGCATACACTACAAATTTATGACTAAATATATTACTAATAAATTTTCCCTTCAAGTGATTTGCCATCAAAAGTTTTTCAATAAGAAACAGAAAACTTTTTAAAAAGATATTAGTAGTCTTTTATTTAAGAATTATATACACAAAGATGTTCACTGTCTTTACTAATAGTTAAAACTTAAAAATTCTACATAACTAAATGGTTGCATGTTTTCAAGGGATGGCAGCTATGAAAATGAAGCTTATTATAAGGGGAAAGTTTATGAAATAATGTGCACAATATGATTCTAATTACATTTACAGAGAGACAAAGATGGAAATTTAAAGTAGTAAAGTCAACCTAGGATGAAGGAAAAGAATTCAATGATGGGCATAGAAACAGATTAAACACATTGATAAACCTAAAAACCTACCATTTCCCATAGCACCAAAAAAGAAATACGAGTTTTACATAAGCAGAAGATTTGCAAGATTTCTATGCTGAAAACCACAAAACACCAAAGTAGGAAAAAGTTCCTGAATAACTGGAAAGATACACCATATTCATTGATTAGAAGGTTCAATTTTCTTGTCAGTTCTTTCCCAAATTTATCTTTAGATTCAATGCAATCTCAATCAAAAATGCAGCAGCAGAATTTTTGTTGAAATTCATAAGTTGATTATAAAATTTATACATAAAGACAAAATAACTAGAATGGTAAACACAATTTTGAAAAATAAAGAAGAACCACTTTTAAAACTCACCATGTCCTGATTTCAAGACTTACTATAAAGCTACTTTGATCATGATAATGTGGTATTAATGAAAGGGTAGACACACAAATCAATGGAAAAGAATAGAGGGTACTAAGACAGAGCCCACACAGACATAAACAAATGATTTTCAACAAAGTTGCAAGGATAATTTCATGAGGAAAGAATACTCTCTGCAACAAACAGTGTTAGAACAATTGGGCATCTATATGCAAATAAATAAACAAAGCTGACCTATGCGTTGCTCCATTTATAAACACTAACTCAAAATTTAAACCTAAAACTATACAATTCTTACAAGAAAATGCAGGAGAGAAAATATTTGTGACTTTAGGAAAAGATTTCTTATACAATTCATAGAAATTAAACAACTTGCGTCTGAATCACTTTCAGGTAAATAATGAAATTAAGGTAGAAATCAAGAAGTCCTTTGAAACTAATGAGAACAAAGATACAACATACCACAATCTTTGAGACACACCTAAGACAATAAGGCAGTGTTAAGAGGAAAATTAATAGCACTAAATGCCCACATCAAAAAGTTAGATAAATTGGCTGCTAGCTAGACTAATAAAGAAGAGAAGATTCAAATAAATACAATTAGAAATGGCAAAGTAGATGATACCATTGACCCCAAAGAAATACAAATAACCATCAGAGACTATGACAAACAACTCTATGCAAACAAAGTAGAAAATCTATGAGAAATGGATAAATTCCTGGACACATACACCCTCCCAAGACTGAAGCAGGAAGAAACGGATTCCCTGAACAGACCAATAAGGAACTCTGACATTGAATCAGTAATAAATAGCCTACCAACCAAAGAAAAAACCTACAACCAGGTAGATTCACAGCCACCTTCCACCAGATATATAAAGAAGAGCTAATACCATTCCTACAGAAACTATTCCAAAAATTCGAGAAGAAATTTGTATTAGGGTTCTCTAAAAGGACAGAACTAAAGGAATAGATATTTATACAAAGGGGGGTTTATTAAATATTAACTCACATGATCGCCAGGTCATACAATAGGATGTCTACAGGCTGAGAAGAAAAGAGAGCCAGTCCAAGTTCCAAAACTGAAGAACTTGGAGTCCGATGTTCTAGGGCAGGAAGCATCCAGCAAGAGAGAAAGATGTAGGCTGGAAGGCTAGGCCATTCTCTCTTTTCACGTTTTTCTGCCTGCTTATATTCTAGCCACACTGGCAGCTGATTAGATTGTGCCCACCCAGATTAAGTGTGGGTCTGCCTTTCCCAGCCCACTGACTCAAATGTTAATCTCCTTTGGCAACAACCTCACAGACACATCCAGGATCAGTACTTTGTGTTGATCAATCCAATCAAGTTGACACTCAGTATTAACCATCACAGGACTCCTCCCCAACTCAGTTTATGAAGCCAGCATCATCCTGATACCAAAACCTGGCAGACACACACACACACACACACACACACACACACACACAGAAACTTTGGGCCAATATCCTTGATGAACATTGATGCAAAAATTCTCAACAAAATACTTGCAAACCAAATCTGGCAGCACATCCAAAAGCTAACCCACCATGACCACGTAGGCTTTATCCCTGGGATGCAAGGTTGGTTCAACATACACAAATCAATAAATATGATTTATCACATAAGCAGAACTAAAGACAAAAACCACATGATTATCTCAAGAGATGCAGAAAAGGCTTTTGATAAAATTCAGCATTCCTTCATGTTAAAAAACTGTCAATAAACTAGGCATTGAAGGAACATATCTCAAAATAACAAGAGTTATTTAGGACAAACCCACTGCCAACATCATACTGAATAGGCAAAAGCTGGAAGCATTCCCCTTGACAACCGGCACAAAAAAAGAATGCCCTCCCTCACCACCCCTATTCAACACAGTGTTGGAAGTCTTGACCAGAGCAATCAGGCAAGAGGGAGAAATAAATGGCATCCAAATAGAAAGAGAGAAATCAAACTATCCCTGTTTGCAGATAACATGATTCTATATCCAGGAAATCCCATAGTCTTGGCCCAAAAGCTCCTTATGCTGATAAACAACATACAAAATTAATGCACAAAAATCACTAGCCTTCCTATACATCAACAACAGTCAAGCTGAGAGCTAAATCAGGAACACAGTCTCATTCACAATAGCCACAAAAAGAATAAAATACCTAGGAATGTACCTAACCAGGGAGATGAAAGTTCTCCACAATAAGAATTACAAAACACTGCTCAAAGCGATCAGAGTTGACACAAATGGAAAAGCATTCCATGCTCATGGATACGAAGAATCAGTATCATTAAAATGGTCATACTACCCATGACATACTTCAAAGAACTAGAAATAACTGTTTTCTAATGTATATGAAGCCAAGAAAGAGCCCAAATAGCCAAGGCAATGCCAAGCAAAAAGAACAAATCCAGAGTCATCACACAACCCCACTTCAAACTATACTATAGAACAATAGAAACCAAAAAAGCAAGGTACTGGTACAAAAACAGACACATAGACCAATGGAATAAAATTGATAGGCCAGAAATAAGGCCATACACCTACAACTATCTGATCTTCAACAAACCTGACAAAACAAAGCAATGGGGAAAGGATGCCCATTCAATAAATGGTGCTGGGATAACTGGCTAGCCATATACCAAAGATTGAAACAGGACCTCTTCCTTACACCGTATACACAAATCAACTCAAGGTGGATTAAAGACTTAAATATAAAACCCAAAACTATAAAAACCCTGGAAGACAACCTAGGCAATACTATTCTGGACAAAGGAACTGGCAAAGATTTCACGATGAAGACACCAAAAGTAATCTCAACAAAAGCTAAAATTGACAAATGGGATCTAATTAACCTAAAGCACTTCTGCACAGCAAAACAAACTATCAACAGAGTAAACAGACAACACACAAAACAGAAGAAAATATTTGCAGTCTATGCACTTGACAAAGGTCTAATATCCAGCATCTATAAGAAACATTTAAAATTTACAAAAAAAAAAAAAACACTAGAAAGTGGGCAAAGGACATAAACAGACACTTTTCAAAAGAAAAGATACATGCAGCCAACAAGCATAGGAAAAAAGCTCAATATCACCAATCTTTAGAGAAATGCAAATCAAAACCACAGTGAGATACCACCTCACACCAGCCAGAATGGCCATATTTAAAAAGTCAAAAAATAACAGATGGTGGTGAGGTTGCAGAGAAAAGGGAACACTTATACACTGTTGGTATGGGTGGAAATCAATTCAACCATTGTGGAAAGCAGTGTTTTCTTTTGAGGAAATATTCCTCAAAGAGCTAACACAGAACTACCATTTGACCCAGCAATCCTATTACTGGGTATACACCCAAAGAAATATAAATTATTTCATCATAAAGACACATGCATGCATATGTTCATTGCAGCACTATTCACAATAGCAATGACATGGAATCAACAAAAATGCCCATCAATGGCAGATTGGATAAAGAAAATGTGGTACATATTCACCATAGAATACTATGCAGCCATAAAAAACAATAAGATTATGCCCTTTGCAGGGACATGGATGGAGCTGCAGGCCATTCTCCTTAGCAAACTAACGCAGGAACAAAAAGCTAAATACCACTTGTTCTCACTTATAAGTTGGAGCTAAATGATGAGAACACATGGACACAAAGAAGGGAAAACAGACATTGGGGCCTACTTGGGGAAAAGGGAGAGGATCAGAAGAAATAATCATTAGGTACTAAGCTTAGTAACAGGATAAAGAAATAATCTGTACAACAAACCCCCATGACACAAATTTACCTATAGAACAAACCTGCACATGTACCCCAGAATCTAAAATAAACATTTTTAAAAACGAGAATAAATTTTAAAAAGCTTTCTTAGACAAACACATAAACATAAACAATATAAGAAACAAATCAAACAATTGGTCTGCATTGAAAGTAAAATCTCCTTTTCTTTGAAGGACACTCAGTAAAATGTTTAAAAGCAAGCTGCAACTGGGAAGAAAATACTCTCTAAGAACATATTTGATAAAGAACTTGCAAAGAGAAGGCATAAACTTTCAAAACTCAATACAAATAAAAAACAGAAAAAGATTTGTATAGACACTTTACCAAAGAAGATACGTGGATGGAAAATAAGCACACGAAAAAATGTTCACATCATTTATCATTAGAGAAAAGCAAATTAAAACCACATGAGATACCATTACACCTAGAAGAGCTAAGATTTTTTTAAAAAAATTTTAAACTAACCATGCAAAGTACTAGAGACATACGAAGCAACTAGAGCTCTCATATACAGCTGTTGGAAATGCAAAAATTTGTGACTACTTTAGAAAATCGTTTGACAATGTGTTACAAAGTTAAATATGCATTTACCATATAACTCAACAATCCCACTTCTAGGTATTCACCTAAGCAAAATGAAAACTAATGTTCACAACAAATCGTGCATGTGATTTTTTATAGTGGCTTAATTCATAATCATCAGAACTGGAAATTACCCAAATGGCCTTCAGCTGGTGAACAGATAAACAAACTTTGGTACATTCACAAAATGGAATGCTACTCAGAAACTTTTAAAAGAGAAGAGAACCACTCTTCTTTTTTTAAAAAAAGAAAGAACCACTGATACATACAACCACAGAGGTGAATCTCAAATGCATTCTGATAAGTGAAAGAAACAAAATCCCAAAGACTGTTAACTGCATAACTCAATGTATATGACACTCAATGTATATGATATAAAAGAAAAAACTATAGGGGAAGAAAACATACCAGTGATTGTCAGGGGGGTGGGTTTGGTGAAGGAGTTGAAGTAGCACGACAACCTTTCCAGGAAATGGACGCTTTTCTGGCTTGGGAGAGAGTTTTAAGGCAGGCAATTTCAGGTTAAGAGGCTCATTTCCATTGAAAGGCTGAGAGAAGCAGACCCTAAGAAACAACGTTTGGGAAGGGTCGAGGGCAGAGGTTCTTCCTCAGTGGCACACTAAAGGAAATGTATAAAGATGAAATGGACTCATTAGGATACCCCGTGTTTTATCAGAAAAAAAAAAAAAAAAAAAAAAAAAAAAATCCCGAGTGATACACAGGTGATATGGTTTGGCTCTGTGTCCTCACCTGAATCTCATCTTGAATTGTAATAATCCCCACCTGTTGTGGGAGGGACCCAGTGAGAGGTAATTGAATCATGGGAGTGGGTTTTCCTGTTGCTGTTCTCATCTTAGTGAATAAGTCTCACAAGATCTGATGGCTTTATAAAGGGGAGTTCCCCTGCACATGCTCTTGCCTGCTGCCATGTAAGACATGTCTGTGCTTCTCCTTCGCCTTCAGCCACAATTGTGAGGCTTCCCCACCCATGTGGAATTTTGAGTCCACTAAACCTCTTTTTCTTTATAAATTACTCAGTATTGGGTTTGTTTTTATTAGAAGTGTGAGAACAGACTAATACAATAGAAATAAAGTTTGCTCAGTGAATAGAAGAGATTCCAAAGCATTTGTGCTGGTTTCTTTCAATAACAAGCTTAAATAAATTAAATTCTACAAATATTGTCAGAGTCTGAGCTAGCCCTGGAAAGCCAGCTCTGAGAATACCACTTGTTAGAGAACAGTTCCCCTTGGCTGCCCAGTTCAGTGAGTGCACTGAACAGACCAGCATCTTTTGGAGGGCTGCCCCACGGTCTCTCTGTTCCCAGCAATGCCAGGGAGAAACTGCACCTCTTAGAAGATAAATAAGCTTGAGATCCACAGTGCACCTTGGATATATGTGCCTTGTGCATGCTGGCAGTGGCCCAAATTCTTCCTATAAACCTTTTAATTGGCTTGAACTGCATACATTTCTTAGAAAATGGAAGAGTACAGATGGTCAATATCTCCTCTGGGGTAAAATATAAGGATGCCTCCAAATGAAGTTAGGTTGCTCTGAGAATCTCAGCAAATGTGAAAGGAATCCCAGCAAAGCTTGTTTGTACCATGTGAAAAGATGAGAGTTAAAAAAAGCAGAGGGCCCCTTTCATCAGCTCTCCCCTACCCTATCAGGCCCATCCTCTTTGCTGATTAGAATAAGTTGAGAAGTTCATTCAGTACATGTTAAAAAATATCAAGGGCATTATGTTCACACACACACACAAAAACTGCACACAGATGTTTATAGCAGCTTTATCCATAATTTACAAAACTTGGAAGAAGCCACCAAGCTGTCCTTCAGTAGGTGAGTAGATAAGTAAACTGTGGTGCATCAAGAAAATAAAATGTTACTCAGGGCTAAAAAGGCATGAGCTATCAAGCCGTGAAGGAATATGGAGGAGCCTTCAATGCATACTGCTAAGTAAAAGAAGCCAGTCCAAAAAGGCGGCATAATGTATGATTCCAAGTACACGACCTTCTGAAAAAGGCAAAACAGTGGAGAGAGTAAAAAGACCAGTGCTTGCCAGTGGTTGAGGGGAGGGAGGGATAAACAGGCAGAGCACAGAGGATGTTTATGGCAGTGAAACTATTCTGTATGATATTATAATGCTGGATATATGTCATATACATTTGTTCAAATCCATAGAATGTGCAAAAACGAAAGGAAACCCTAATGTAAACTATGGACTTTGGGTGATAATTAAGTTAGTATAGGGTGATAATTGAGATAACTGGGTCAGTGTAGGTTGATCGATTGTAACAAACATACCATTCTGGATTGGGTTGACCCCAGCAGAGGAGGCTGTGCCTGTGTGAGGCAGGGAGAAATCTCTGAACCTTTCACTCAATTTTGCTGTGAACCTAAAACTTTTCTAAAAAATGAAGTCTTTAAAAATATATAGACCACAAATGCACAGAAGACCCAAATACTGGGCCACAGAAACAGAACAATGTATAAGGTATAGTAAAATGATCATCAGTGAAAAGTAAGAAAAAAACCCGAAACATTGGATACTGCACTTTTTAACAAGGCTCACATCTCTAAGTCTACACACAGAAACTGGCAATTCTAATACACAATAGCTGGCTTTTGCCACTGAAAGTCTGTTCATGTTAATGAAAAAGTTAAAGCATTTCTTTGTAAAATAAGTTTGAAAAGGAACCTCTTACTAAAATATTCACAAAACAGTATTCTGTAAAAGTGAAGAATATTAAAGAATTTTTAAAAATCTCCATTACAAATAAAAATGGGAAAGTCACTTTATAACCCACACAGGTACTGATTTTTAGCAAGGTCAGAAAGTAAAGCAGGAGAACAAAAATCATAACAGTAAAGTATTCACCATTAATTGGAAACTTGCAGAATTGTAATGATATAGTTTAATTCACTCCTTTCCTTTTTGTCCTCATTTCACATTTAGATTAACATAAACTAGAAGATCATCAAACTGGATGACTTCTTAAATGACCCATAAAATACTGGATGATGAGAATACAGCATGGATGTCAGGGCAGAGCTGAAGGTCATGGTTGGGGGGTGGGTGAGGGTTTTTACTGCCAGTGATCAGCACAGAAAAATCGACCAAAGAAATGCTTATGTCATGGCCAAATTCAAACACCTGGGGGTGATTTTTTTCATAGAGAAACTTATTGACATTCTTGGTCACTGTTAGTCACTGTATGAACCCTGATAAAAGTGGCTTGACTTATAATTGACAAAACTGAAAGCAACTCAAATATCCTTCAATTGATGAATAATAAACATTCACACATTGGAAAACTACTCAGAATGAAAGCAGTCAAAATTAACAAACGCCTGATAAACGCATCTAAATGGGAATAAAGCACATTTCACATAAATCATTGTGCTGTTCTCCTGTGCCTACCAAAACATGGACTACATGTCCTGGCAAATAATAATAAAAGTAATTTTAAAAAAGAATAGGTCATACTAATTAAGTGCTTACTGTATGCCAAGCATTGTTCTAAATGCTTTACTTCTACTCATTCAATCCTCACGACACCTCTACGAAGTAGGTCCCATGATTATCTCCATTTTATAGATGTGAAAATCCAAGTACAGAACAGTGATTAACTTGCTTGATGTCACACAGCCAACAAGTGGCCCAGCCAGGATTCGAGCCCAAGAGTTAATGTGAGCATCATCTGATCTCCCCATCATCTGAAAGGAGGTGCCATTTACAGGAGCCTGGCTTTTCACTTAAGTCTGAGAAATTCTCCTTGTTGCACCAGAATTCCTTTGGGATTAAACCCTCCTCTGAAATGCAAAATCATGCTTCAACAGACAGATTCAATATCCTCCAGGTTGGACAGGAAAATATAGGCTGTCATGACATGAGTTGCTTCTGGGTTTGCATAAATTAAAGTTTACTGATTATATATTGTCATTATGTTTTTTTAAAAAAAAGGAAAAGCTATTTATTTCAGAAATGCTAGCCTTCCATGAAAGCATCCGTAACATATTTTCATACGAATATGCCATTGTGCTAAAAATCACCCAAAATGTAAAAACTTAGTTGGGGCAGAAGTGGGGTGTGGCATCTAAACTTGTTTCATTCTCATTTTCAAGCAGAATTTTCAGTAGAACTGGGAAAAAGAAATGGAGCATGTCACATACCAGCAAGTGCTGCACATTGTCCCTTGGAGCTAGTGCTGAGGGGGAAATGCATGCCCCTGTGCCCACGTCCCAGCTCCCCGAGGATAACAGCAGGCCATGGCCAAGGCAGCATCATCTCCAGGCAGCCACAAGAGCTCTAACAAAGAGCCTTACTATCATTTCCACAGCTGTGTGCATCAGTCCCCAGGAGCTAAAAGTAAGAGAAGAGAACTTGTTCAAGTAAGAGAAGATTGCAATCCCATTTGAAGATTCTTTTCTAGGTGTTTGGGTCTTCCATTCTTACTGTTGTTACATTAACTAATAATGATATAGAAGCAATAGAAGACTGAAGTGCTCTGAAAAAGTTTGCAGGCTGGAAGACAAAGAAATAGGCAGATTTTAGTATCTCCAAGGTTACATTCATGGATTCATAGAATGAAACTGAGCTCGACCTCTTATCTTTTTTTGTTTTGCTTTTATTATTATTTTAATTGACACATGATAATTACACACATGTAATAAGTACATTGTGATTATTCTGATACATGTTTACAATGTATAGGGTGATCAAATCAGGGTAATTTGTATTTCCAGCACTTCAAGTATTTATCATTTCTTTGTGTTGGGAACATTCAAAATATGCTGTTTGAGGAAGTCAAACTGTCTCTGTTGCAGATGACATGATATTTGGAAAACCCCATTGTCTCAGCACAAAAACTCCTTAAGCTGATAAGCAACTGCAGCAAAGTCTCAGGGTACAAAATCAATGTGCAAAAATCGCAAACATTCCTATACACAAACAATAGACAAGCAGAGAGCCAAATCATGAATGAACTCCCATTCACAATTGCTACAAAGAGATTAAGAAACCTAGGAATACACCTAACAAGGGATGTGAAGGACCTCTTCAAGGAGAACTACAAATCACTGCTCAAGGAAATAAGAGACGACACAAACAAATGGGAAAACATGCCATACTCATGGATAGGAAGAATCAGTATCGTGAAAATGGCCATACTGCTCAAAGTAATTTATAGATTTGATGCCATTCCCATCAAGCTACCTTTGACTTTCTTTACAGCATTAGAAAAAAAACTACTTTAAATTTCATATGGAACAAAAAAAGAGCCCATATAGCCAAAACAATCCTAAGCAAAAAGAACAAAGCTGGAGGCATCACACTACCTGACTTCAAACAATACTACAAGGCTATAGTAATCAAAACAGCATGGTACTGGTACCAAAACAGATACATAGACCAATTGAACAGAACAGAGACCTCAGAAAAAAATACCACACATCTACAACCATCTGATCTTCGGTAAAACTCACAAAAACAAGCAGTGGGGAAAGGATTCCGTATTTAATAAATGGTGCTGGAAAAACTGGCTAGCCATATGCAGAAAACAGAAACTGGACCCCTTCCTTACACCTTATACAAAAATTAACTCAAGATGGATTAAAGACTTAAACATAAAACCCAAAACCATAAAACCTCAGAAGAAAACCTAGTCTATGCCATCAGGACATAGGCATGGGCAAAGACTTCATGATTAAAACACCAAAAGCAATTGCAACAAAAGCCAAAGTTCAAATGGGATCCAATTAAACTAAAGAGCTCCTGCACAGAAAAAGAAACTATCATCAGAATGAACAAGCAACCTACAGAATCAGAGAAAAATTGTGCAAGCTACCCATCTGATAAAAGTCTGTATCCAGAATCTAAAAGGAACTTAAACAAGTTTACAAGAAAAAAAAAACAAACCCATCAAAAAGTGGGCAAAGGATATGAACAGACACTTCTCAAAAGAAGACATTTATGTGGCAAAAAAAAACATGAAAAAAGCTCATCATCACTGATCATTAGAGAAATACACATCAAAACCACAATGAGATATCATCTCACGCCAGTCGGAATGGCGATTATAAAAAAGTGAGGAAACAATAGATGCTGCCAAAGCTGTGGGGAAATAGGAATTCTTTTACACTGTTGGTGGGAGTGTAAATTAGTTCAACCATTGTGGAAGACAGTGTGGTGATTCCTCAAGGATCTAGAACCAGAAATACCATTTGACCCAGCAATCCCATTACTAAGTATATACCCAAAGGATTATAAATCATTCTACTATAAAGACACACCCACACATATGTTTATTGCAGCACTATTTACAAGAGCAAGGACTTGGAACCAACCCAAATGCCCATCAATGATAGACTGGATTTAAAAAAACGGTGGCACATATACACCATGGACTACTATACAGCCATAAAACAGAATGAGTTCATGTCCTTTACACGGACATGGATGAAGCTGGCAGCCATCATTCTCAGCAAACTAACACAGGAACAGAAACCCAAACACCTCATCTTCTCACTCGTAAGTGGGAATTGAACAATGAGAACACATGGACACAGAGAGGGGAACATCACATACTGAGGCCTGTCAGGGGTCGGGGGCAAGTAAGGGAGAGTATTAGGACAAATACCTAATGCATGCGGGGCTTAAATTCTAGATGACAGGTTGATAAGTGCAGCAAACCACCATGGCACATGTATACCTATGTAACAAACCTGCACATTCTGCACATGTATCGCAGAACTTAAAAGTAAAATAAATAAATTTTATTAAATATGCTCTTCTAGCTATTTGAAAATATACAATAAATTGTTTTTAATTGTAGTCAACCTATAATGCCATAGAACTTATGCCTCCTGTCTAGCTGGACTTTCGTACCCATTAATTAATCTTTGTCTTTCCCCACTCCCCAATATGCAGCCCCGCCTCTGGAAACCACTATCCTGCTTTTTATTTCTATGAGATAAACTTTTTAAGTTTCCATAAATGAGTGAGAACCTGCAGTGTTTACGTTTCTGTGCCTGGCTTATTTCACTTAACATAACGTCCTCCAAGCTCATCCATGTCGCTGCAAATAACAGAACTTCACTCTTTTGTATGGCTAAATAGTATTTACATGCCCGTGTTTATTGCAGTACTACACATAATAGCTGTTTATTAAATATTTTCCCAAGCTACCTCCCACAGATGTATCCTTATATGTTCATTTATATATATAGTAGTGTTGTTGGGTTTTAACTTATTTACATGGTGATTATGCAATACATCTCTGCATGTAATCACATTCTCTACACACACTCCACCCTGTTTATCCATTCCCCTACTTTTGAGCACCAAGACTCCTCCAATTCTTGGCTACAGAGTCCATGTCTTCTTGGATGTCTGAGCAGATTTCTTGGTAACTATAAAAGGAGAAGAGTTACTTTGTGTATATCTATATACCCAGCTTCACTAAGCACTGCCAGATTGCTTTCCAAAGTGGCTGTGCCAGTGTTTACTTCTAGCAGGTGTGCAGGAGAACCTTACTACCAATTTTGCCATAGCCCACCAGCATTATTGGAAATTACTTCTCCTTAGTCAATCAGCACATTTTTTATTTGTACATTTTCTTATCACTTCATCAAGTAATAAGCTCATTTTGCCAGAGCTTTGTCTATGTTAAATCTTTTCAGGTTTTAATTTTACTAGTCCAATCTTTTTTTCTTGTGCTGTTTTCTTTTTTTTTTTTAATTTGGTGATGAGGGATTCTAGTATAGCTTACTAAATCATATTGATCTACCAAGTTAAAATAAGGGCTAGTTCTAATGACAATTGTATATTTCTCTATTCCTCCATATAACCCTGCCAGCTCTTAAATATTTTGAGACCACATTATGAGGTTTCATAGCTTCATGATTTTTTTGTCTTCATTATTTACATCAAGCAGAAACAAATACCAGTTTTGAGTAGTTTCTTAGCTCTAGATGCAAAATCTCTATCTTTTCTTCACGAAGGTGTTTCACCTTAAAATTTTGCCTCTGTCTGATATTGAAGTTGCTGCATTGGCTTTTAGTTCTAACGTATATTCTTTGCATCCCTTTACTGAACCTTTCTATATTTTTTGTTGTTGTTCTCTTCTCTTCTGTCTCTATCTGAAAATAAACTGTGATTTCTTATAATACAAACTGAAATTTTTTTCAAAATTCAATCTACGCACCTTAAATACCGTAAGTATTTAACCCACTTAAATGTCTTGTTCTTATTGTTATATCAGGACATATTTTAGCCATCTTATTTTGTGTTTTCCACCTACCATGCTTGTTTTGTTTCTTGTCCTCTCCTTTCTAACCTTGCTTTTTTTAAATAAAGTTATCTTCTGCTGGTTTGAAAGTTACAGACCCCTTTTCTATTTTTCTGGTGCTCATCGTGAAACAATTGAGGCCATACTTTCCGTTATTTCTCTACACAAATGTCTGCAGCTCATCAAAAGCCACGGTTTTTCTTATACAAACAAATGGATCCAAAGAGTCACTCATCTCCCACCAGATGTCGCATCCCACCTACCCGACTAACATATTGGTATTATTCGAATTTTGCTCCAAATGGCAAGAGGGTATTTATTTATTCTTGCATCCATTGCTTATTTACACAACAGTAACGTTTACCTGTTACTTTACTTGTCTGTATCCTCTATTTTTCATTGTTTTCTTCTAGATTTATCCTTCTGCTAGAATAGATCTTCTAAAAAGTTTTACAGATAGGATCTATACGGAATAAAATGCATGAGTCTTCATATGTCCAGCAAAATTTTTATATTACTATCATTAATTTAAATGACAGCTTTTTCTTTAACACTTGAAGATCTTTATTCATTTTCTTCTTGCGTTCAGTGATGCTAATGAGATTTTTAGATCTGGTTTTTATTTATTCCTAGATGATCTGATTTTTTTCTCTCTGAAAAATTTTATAATCATCCCTTTGTTTTTATTACAATTTTACATTAATATGCCTAAGGTTGTGCGCAAGTTGTATTTCGTTGCAGTTACTTTATTTTGGAGTTTTTAATTTATCTTTGTCACTGGCTACTCTATGAGTTTTTATGCTGATATATACTTTTCTTTTTTTAATTTTGTATATTTTACTTCAATAGGTTTTGGGGAAACAGGTGGTGTTTGGTTACATGAATAAGTAAGTTACTTAGTGATGATTTCTGAGATTTCGGTTCACCCATCACCCAGTGTACACTGTACCCAATGGGTAGTCTTTTATCCCTTCCCACCCCCAACTTTTTCCCCCAAGTCCCCAAAGTTCAATGTATCACTCTTATGCCTTTGCGTCCTCACAGCTTAGCTCCCATCTATGAGTGAGAACATATACTCGTTTTTCCATTCCTGAGTTACTTCACTTAGAATGATAGTTTCCAATTCCACCCAAGTTGCTGCAAATGCCATTATTTCATTCCTTTTTATGGCTGAGTGGTATTCCATGGTATTTATATACCACATTTTCTTTACACACTCGTTGATTGATGGAAATTTAGGGTGGTTTCATATTTTTGCAATTGCAAATTGTGTTGCCATAAACATGCCTTTGCAAGTATCTTTTCCGTATAACGACTTCTTTTCCTCCGGGTAAGTACCTAGAAGTGGGATTGCTGGATCAAATGACAGAGCTACTTTTAGTTCTTTAAGGAATTTCCACACTGTTTTGCATAGTGGTTATGTGAGTTTACATTCCCACCAGCAGAGTAAAAGTGTTCCTTTTTCACCCCATCCCCATCAACATCTTTTTTTTTTTTTTTTTTGTTATGGCCATTCTTGCAGGAGTGAGGTGGTATCGCATTGTGGTTTTGATTTACATTTCCCCGATAATTAGTAATGTTGAGAATTTTTCCATATGCTTGTTGGTCATCTCTGAGAATTGTCTATTTGTGTCCTTGGCCCACTTTTTGATGGGATTTTTTTTTTTTTTTTTTTTTTTGCTGATTTGTTTGAGTTCTTTGTAGACTCTGAATATTATTCTTTTTTCAGATGTATAGATTGTGAAGATTTTCTCCCACTCTGTGGGTTGCCTGTTAACTCTGCTGATTATTTCTTTTGCTGTGCAGAAGATTTTTAGTTTAATTAAGTCCCATCGATTCATCTTTCCCTTTTGTTGCATTTGCTTTGGGGTTCTCGGTCATAAAGTCTTTGCCTAAGCCAACGTCTAGAAGGGTTTTTCAGATGTTATTTCCTAGAATCTTTATGGTTTCAGGTCTTAGATTTAAGTCTTTGATCCATCTTGAGTTGATTTTTGTATAAGGTGAGAGATGAGGATCCAGTTTCATTCTTCTACATGTGGCTTGCCAGTTATCCCAGCACCATTTATTTGTTGAATAGAGTATCCTTTCCCCACTTTATGTTTTTGTTTGTGTTGTCGAAGATAAGTCGGCTGTAAGTATTTGACTTTATTTCTGGGTTCTCTGTTCTGTTTCATTGGTCTATGCGCCTATGTTTACACCAGTACCATGCTGTTTTGGTGACTATGGCCTTATAATATAGTTTAAAGTCAGGTAATGTGATGCCTCTAGATTTGTTCTTCTTGCTTACTTTTGCTTTGCCTATGTGGGCTCTTTTTTGGTTCCATATGAATTTTAGGATTGTTTTTCTTAAAAAAGACATCACATCATTCTGTGAAGAACAATGGTGGTATTTTGCTGGAAACTGCATTGAATTTATAGATTACTTTTGGCAGTATGGTCATTTTCACAATATTTATTCTACCCATCCATGAGCATGGGATGTGTTTCCATTTGTTTGTGTTGTTTGAGATTTCTTTCAGCACTGTTTTGTGGTTTTCCTTGTAGAGGTCTTTCATGTCCTTGGTTAGGTATAGTCCTAAGGTGTTTTTGGGGTTTTTTGTTTGTTTGTTTGTTTTTTCAGATATTGTGAAAAGGGTTAAGTTCTTGATTTTGATTCTCTGCCTGGTTGCTGTTGGTGTATTGCAGAGCTACTGATTTGTGTATATTAATTTTGTATTCTGAAACTTTGCTGAATTCATTTGCTAATTCCAGGAGCTTTGTGAATGAGTCTCTAGGGTTTTCTAGGTATGCAATCATATCATCAGTGCACAGTGACAGTTTGACTTCCTCTTTACAGATTTGGATGCCCTTTATTTCTTTCTCTTTCTTGATTGCTCTGGCTAGGACTTCCAGTACTATGTTGAATATAAGTGGTGAAAGTGGGTGTCCTTGTGTTCTTCCAGTTCTCAAGTGGAATGCTTTCAACTTTTCCCTGTTCTATACTGATGTATTTTTCTTTGCATCTGGGAATACTGGGTTATTAGTGCTTCCAATATGATCTCCCATCCATGTTTTGTTTTATTTTCTTCCAAGACACCTAGTAGACAGATGTACTCTTCTGTTTTTGTTGCTCTCATCACTTTGAAGGCTCCTTCCCAGTTTCCCAGTCATCCAGCTCATTATTGGTTCTGCAGTGACTCCCTTTGATCACTGAATCAGTCCATTGAAGTTTTTCTTATTATTTTAATGCTTATGCTTTGATTATTCAATGTATCCACTTGATTCTTCCTTATGAACACTTGTTCATAATTCGTATTGCCAATATTCTCCCTTATCTTTTTGCAGATAATTATAACATTTATTTTAAATTTATGTTCTTAGGTTTGGGATGGTTTTTTCTGACCTCCTAAAGGCTGCTTCATTGGTTGCCTGTCATGTGGCTCATCATGTTTCCCTGTGAGCTCCTCTTTGCTGCCACAGGATGGTCCACTGTCTCAGCTAGAGCTACTGACCGGGAGAAGGACCAAGACCTTGAGGGTAGCAGGAGCAGCTCTCAAGGCAGAGAACCACTCATACTTCTGACCCCACTGAGGTATAAGGTGCACCTAGCCCACAAAGCACCTTCCAGTCCCAACATCCTCCACTCAGACAGGATTCATGTCCAAGCCATTCCCTCTTGTCATTTCTCAATGTTTCACAAGGCAAAGTTGGAATGCAAGACACAGAAGGGCAGCCCTCCTGCCACTTCCTCTCATTGCATTTTTCTCTCTACCCCTCCCAGATCATTCCTTGAACATTACCCTTCTCTTTAACTGGCATGATTGTTTCCCAAACCCACCATCATAGTGGGAAATCTGCCTTCCTGGAAGTAGATGGAAACTCACGCAGCTCCTTGGGAAAACAGACTGATTGCCTCATTGGCAGGGCTTTGCCCACCTAGCCATGGGTATCTCCTAAACTTGCAAGTTGAAGGTGGGGGCATCTACCAGCCAGACCAGATTGGCCTGCCTAGATTGCAACTCCAACCTCACACTCTCACTCAGAGTCACGTGGAAAAGAGTAAAAAGGGATCATCCTCCACGTGTGGGTTCCCTGGCAATCTTCTGCTCCCCACCATTATTTCTTCCTTAAAGAGGAGCACAGATACCAGCCTTCTCAGGTTTCTCATAGATTTTGTTTTATGTTTTCAGCTGGGCTTTCTTTTCTGTCAATCTCTTCCTCTCTCTTGCTGTGGCTCCTGAGATGGGTATCTGAGAAGCCCATGCCCATGCATCATTACCTAGTCTTTTTCCACAATTAACATAAATAAAACTCCCCTGGAAAATTAGGTAAGTATTGATTTTCATGGCCAAAAAATAAAAGTAGTGTTGATGATGTGACACCGATATATTTAAGATGTAGGGCTACTGATTTGATTTGTGTAAGCATAAACACATCCACCTAGTAATCTTTGTGCAGTGGGCATTCATGATGGCATCTCTGTGGATGACTGCCTCTGCGTTTGCATCAGGGCGTCTGTATAGACCAGGTTTTGTCACCCAAAGAGTAAGAACATAAAAAGTGTGCTTCATTCTATCAAGTTTCTGAATATCTAATTGGCATATTCCTATCAACAACAGCTTTATTTCTCTCTTCAACTCTTCTTTTAAAATGAGAGGAAAAAATTTACAAGAGACCAAAGCACTGAAAAATCAAAACCTTGCAAAGGGCCATGCCTGGAGGTTTCCTTCCCTGTGTGCTCTCTAGGGATTATGCCTGATTCCTGGGTGGGCTTTTGGGCTTTCCTTGGCTTAATCTCAGGTGCACGTGAATCACTTCCTACTCTACTGCTGTTGTCATTGGCATAAACATCATTGTAACGACATTAATGGAGTAATTCTGCAATTGCAATCAATTGCTTTTCAATTTCCTATAGCTATGAATAGAGCAGAAGTAAAGTTGTGTATCCTTTTATAATTTACTCTTGTATCATCAAACGTATTCCCACATGCTACTATTTAGACTTCATAATTATCTTTTCCATATTGTTTAATATCTTACCAAATGTATTTATTATATTTTATTTTCTACTCCCACATTTTTGCCTTCACAATTTTAACAGCATTTCAAATATCACTTTTTACAATTATTTTTCTCTATTTTTTTAATTAATCCCTGAGGATCTGCAGGCAGATTTTGGTTACACCACCCAGTTTCCTTCCATAAGACCTAACCCATTTACACTGCCTGTGGCAATGAATGGGGAGTAGGTGCACTAGCATTTCACTGGAACTAGTCATCAGTTAATTTTAATTTTCACAAATTACTATGGGCAAAATGGTCTGGCAACTGCTTCCCAAGTATGGAAATAATTACTCCAGCCTGAGTCAGAAGCAGAAAGAGATTCTAACAGAATTGTCTCTACTTGAGCCTCTACGGATGTTTCCGTAGAAGTTGACCCAAATAGGTCAAATCAGTGCACCTTGTTCCAAAAATATGGACCCAGTTCAGAAGTTGAATTGCCTTCTTGACCTAAGTTAGAATTCAAAACAGAGACTTCTTATTTTATTTTATTTTATTTTATTTTAGTTATTTTGCCTTTCCTCAGAGAATTTTAGCTTTAAAATTCTGTCACCCAGCCTTTGTAGATGCCACACCCAGTGGGTGTCAATGTCCCTCCACAGCCTCTGTCACCTGGCCTTCATAAACACCATGCCAAGTGGGTGTTGTTGTCCCTCCACAGCCTCTGTCACCCGGCCTTCATAGATGCCACGCCGAGTGGATGGTCATGTCCTTCTACAGTGCCTTTTACCTCCAAGAAGCCAAGGAGCCCATGTCTCTTGTAATATTAACATCAAACTGCTTTTAAAAATTTTGTGAACCTTTATAATTCTAGAATAGGGGATGATTTAAAACCAAATGCATTTGACTGGGAGATGATCATGAAATTGCCACATAGAAAGAAAAAATTACTCCCTTAGCCGAGAGACGCTCCAACATCCACAAAACAGATGAATCACAGGGAGAGTCGTGGCATTCATTATAAAGAGATCGTGACGGTTATTATTTTAATATTGTATAACTTTTAAGTAGAAAACACAATGGTGCATGTGAATGTCTCTAAAACTCAACTTATCCCCAAAACGTTAGGAATGCAAGATGTAAAAGGTAGAACTATTATGTTTTGCTTTGTTGCACTTTTAAAATCATGGTAATATAGACACGAGAACCACCTGGATTTCCTCCCTAACAGTGAGATCTTAGCATATTTCACCATCCCAATCATCTGCCTAGGGATTAGAAGCCTCCCACGGAATTGACTCCCACATGATCAATCCTGGACAACCCTGGGAAGTGTAAGTGAAGTGAAGACCTCTAGTCCTCTGCACTTGACCTTCCCTTGACCCTTGGCCCTCCTTCCTCAGACTCATCCCCTTCCAGTCCTGACCCACTTCCCCAGGAGCCGGGGGTCATCTCTCATGTAAGTATCCATTAAACATATTTACTCATAGAATGCAAAGACTGAGGTAGAACTATGTGTGAAAAGAAGCTTGAAATCTAATGATCTGAACTGGGACCCAGTTCAACAGCAGCTTAGGTATTTATGAAGCTTCATTAGGTGTTTAATATCTGTGAGTATCTGTAGGGGAACTATTTGCTATACATTGCTGTTTGGAGTAAATAAGAAAACAAATAAAAGTGCTTTGTAAATTGAAAGACTCCATCATTTTCATAACCTTCATGGTTAACATATCCTAAGAGCCAAACTCCCAGAAATTGTGTGATTTTCCTCACCGGGCTGAAGCACGGCTTTTAGCTAAGAAGACTGCCTGGGTTCACATTCCGCCTGTTACTCCCTAGCTCCACCCCTTCAGGACCTGAGTTAGCCCTGTGAGCCTCTGTTTTTCCTCCTAACAGACGGACATAACAAACCATCCCTACTTCTTCTGGGGTTGTTGCCAAGATTAAATAATTTAAATAAACTAGCAAAAACTGTATAGTGCCTGGTATAAATCTCATTACCTACCCATGCTGGTTATCATTATTAGTACGACTATATTCTTGAATTTCAGGCATTTCTGCAGGAGAGATTTTTGGATATTGGTCCTTCTTTAGACATTTCAAACCATATCACATACAATTTCCTACTCTGCTCCATTAACATAAAAAAGTCAAGAAAAATGCATATCCTACTAAATTAGTAGTTACAATGAAAATAGTTCTTTTAGAATGGAAGAAATTTGCTGTATTAACAATACTAACAAAGAATACCAGCCCATCTATATCATTCATTGTCTCTCTGAACCAAGATATTTTTGAGAGAAAGAATTAGCAATGGTGATAATAGAAGTGTTGGGAGATCAGGTGTAAATAGGGCTATCTTGGGAAAACAAGACATATGGTCACCACGTTGTCAGCTTATCCTTCTAGGTTCTCTCCCAGGGTCTCCGAGGAGAGGGCTTTGCCTGAAACCAATACAGGCCATCCACTACCTCCTGAACCTCCACACTCCCTTCCCTCAGAGTTGGCCCTAGAATGTTCTTTCTGGCTGCAACATCTCTCCACAGTCGGTCTATGAAAACCCTACGCTGTCCCAGCTGTCTGTCTTCAAGTGACCCTTTAGGGAGACATGGTCTCACATCCCCATTCAGAACGTGCTCCACTGCTGCAAATTTCCCCATCTCTCCCTTCCTCTCTCATGACATTTTCCATGTTCTTCTTGGTATTATGATGGTCTTCAAACCTGTCAATGCCTTCACATGTCGGTAAATTTCTCAAAAGCACAGTCTGTGTCTTATTTAACTCTAGACCTTGGCATTACATGTGGCAGGTAGCAGATGCTCGATGAGTCTAACAAATAAATTAAACCAAGGGCATCTGGCTTGAAACAATACCAAACATGAATGTGGCTTTTTCCTGATGCTCTACCCCTTAACGTCAACATTCCATCTGGGGACACCACAAAGTTTGCCACATATTTGATCATGCCTGCGTTCTTCCCTTTTTAACACAAAATCTTTAGAAACAAGCTTTCTGAGCCCTGGGCGGTGTCTGTTGTTCTGAGAGTAACAGATATTTGGATGGAAGAAAACACTTTCTGGAAGATAGGAGATCTAGTATGATACACTTCCTTGGAATCAGGGATTTTACACAGTTAACAAGCTGTTCAATTTCATAACAGTTCCAGGAAGAACCAGGGCACTGGAGAGATAGTAGCAAAGTTGTCCATCACAAAGATTATATAGACAATATGTGCTTTTTTAGGATAGGAAAGTTACAATTATGACCATTGTAACTTTGCAGGCAAAATCTGAATATGAGAGACACTGCTCATCCAACATGCTTCGAATTCTTAAAGATTACTTAGGATGATCAATGGCTGTGCCTAGGACAAGCCAGGGTGGAAATTTTAATTTTGGTTTTATGCAGTTGATCTATAAGAGACAGCCTATCCCATTCCTCATCCCAACCCACACCAAGGGCCATATCATTCCCAGCATACATCAAGTTAATAATCTAGTTCTCCAGAAAGATGATTCTAGGGCTCACATATCACTTTATAGTTTAAGGACTGTAGAAGTTTAATGAGATACTTTCTAATCTGAGTCATAATGTTTCTGGAACAAAACGGCTGCATCAAAACAGCCAACTAAAAATGCCACATGCCAGACTCAAAGAGGGTAATCTTCCCCCAGGAATGTGCTCATCTTTCTTTACTCAATTCAGAAAGAATGTGAATGCAATACAGACAGAGGTGCAGCAGTGAACGGAATACTACACGCCACAGCCTTGCCAGAATCCAGGAAATCATACTACACAGAGATTGCTTTGCTGGGTGAGTTTTCTGCAATATTGTAATAATTTTCAAACAAGCCCATCTTGACTAACCTTGGTAATTTGACAAAAGTGCCCCTACATCACTTTTGGGAAAGCAAGGATATTTTCACTGTTATTGAAGAGAAGCAGATCTTCATCCTGTTGGCCTCTTACATAGAGTCTTTAAGTAATAGCCTTAGTTACACAAATACACTGTGAGGAGGAACCAGTTCTCCTGAAGATAGTTTACACAAATTCCAACTCTCTTCATTCCCCATTCGCATTAAATTATCTTCTCCTGCGGTAGGCAGAGTTATTTATCTAGGAACTGGTCAATGAATTTGTATTTTAAAATCTGGGGCTCTTTAGGGCTCTAAGGAGGAAACTGATACCCCAACCTCTGCTCCCCTAAGTTTGATATTAACAAGCCTGGTAAACCAGACAAGTTCCAAACAAGGACAACTAGGAGGAAACACAGCAAGCCCCTGCAATGAATCAACCCTGAGCAACAGTGAGCTTAGCCCGGTGCCCAGACCCAAGACCCAAGGCTCAATGCCTTTGAGGAGCCAGCTTCCGACCTTGGTCTCATGCTGACTTTCCGTAGCATCTTCACATTACTGTACTGTCTCAGAAACGACACCGAAGCAGAGAAGGGGTCCTCATCTCAATCAGCGTTTATGAGCACAGATTTATGAGTCTGTGCATTTCTCCCAGGGAAAAGATAATAGGTTTCATGGGATTTCCAAATATCCCATGATCCAAAAAAATTTCAGAATTGCTGCTCTAAATGCAATGTCGATCAAGATAAATTTTAAAATATTAAACTGATTTAGGCACAGCAGGCAAAGCAGCAAGCAGGACCCTTTAGGGAGGAGGAGGCCACTGACAGTCTTTCTGAGAGTTGAGCCGGGGATAAAGTCTGCAGGCTGCGGAGGATGGAGCCAGGAGAGGGCTCTTCCATCTGGCAGCACGGAACCAGCAACACTAATCCAGATTTCCTGGTCTCAACCCACAGCAAGGCATGGTGCATCTCTGCATCTTAATCATTCAGAAAACAATGTTAGCAGAACAACCAAACTCTATACAATTTTTAAAGAGGTCCATTCTGAGCCAATATGAGTGACCATGGCCTGGAGAAACAGTCTCAAGGAGTCCTGAAAAAGTGCACCTGACGTGGTGGGGTAACAGTTTGGTTTTACACTTTTTAGGGAGGCAGGAGTTACAAAGGCATAAACCATGACATGGAAGGTATACATTGGTTCAGCCTGAAAAGATGGGGTATCTTGAAGTAGGGGCTTACAGGTTACAGGCAGATTCAGAGATTCTTTAATTTGCAATTGATTAAAGGAATCAGGCTCTATCAGAAACTTAGAGTCAGCGGAAAAGAATGTTTTAAGTTAAGCTAAGGATGCCCTGTAGTGAGACTGATGGCCTGCCAGCTTGATTTAACCCTGGCTTTGCATGGCCTTAGGCTTGTTTATAATTTGGTATCTGATTGGCACAGAGTCTGTTCTGTCCCTCTTACCATCTCTATGTTAACCTTAGTGCTGGTTGGCTGTTGTGCCTAAACTTAGGCTTGTTTATAATTTGGCATCTGATTGCCACAGAGTCTGTTCGTCCGTCTTACCATCTCTATGTTAACATTAGTGCTGGTTGGCTTCTGTGCCTAAACTACAAAAGGGAGGGCATGTAATGAGATGTGGCAGACCTCCCTTCCCATCGTGGTCAGGAATTCAGGTTTTCAAGTTTTTCGGGGACCCCCGTTGGCCAAGAGGGTCCATTCAATTGGAGGGATGTGGGTTAGTATTTTATTTTGTTTGTTTGTTTTTGAGACAGGATCTTGCTCTGTCTCCCAGCATGGAGCACAGTGGCGTGATCTCGGCTCACTGCAGCCTCTACTTCCTGAGTTCAAGTGATTCTCATGCCTCAGCCTCCTGAGTAGCTGGGATTAAAGGCACCCACCAGCACGCCCAGCTAAGTTTTGTATTTTTAGTAGAAACAGAGTTTCGCCATGTTGGCCAGGCTGGTCTCAAACTCCTGACCCCAAGTGATCCTCCTTCCTCAGCCTCCCAGAGTGCTGGGATTACAGACGTGAGCCACCATGGCTGGCCTAGTATTTTATTTTCAATTTACAACAATACTGCAGGTAAATGGGCACACCCAGAGAGCACGGCTATGTGCTTGACTTTTCTCTCTGCTCTACCCAGACTCTCTGCTTAAGACCGAGTTTTAATCAGTGACAGTGCCTGGTTCCATGAGTAGTGTGTTTTCTTTATTTTTATATAAACTTTCTATAACACCATGCATTTCAAACATTTTTCTGTTTTGGGGCAAATTTGATTGAAAATCATTTTTCACAAGCCTCCAAAATCACTTCCTCCTGCTTGTCATTTAAGAAAGAAGAAAGAAACAAAAGTAAAGAAAAGAAAGGGAAAGCTAACAAAATTTTAAATTCTGTCTGGAAAAGACAGAAAGATCTCAGGTGGTAAGTTTCTAACAAGGACCAAGGCAGAGACGCTGACACATCCAATATTCAGCTCATCGGGCCCCTGGAGCTTCTCCAAACCCAGGCTTTTCCCAACCACACTCTGAGAGCCTCTGCAGTGTGTAAGAGTGAATGGAACCTGAGTTACAAAACAGAAAGGTGCCTCGGGAGTCCCCAGCATGATGGCTTTCCTGTGTTTTGTTGGGAAGTTTAGAGGCTAAAAGAAGACTAAGAGGATCCAGCGCATGCTTAAGTGAGCCCAGAAATCAGAAACTGCTTCTCCATGGAAACTGTGCAGAATAATCTAGCAGAGAACTTGTGAAGTGTGGTCTCCTACCCACACTCTTGTCTCTGTGGCCCCAAGAGTCTGTCGGACCAGCATGGAACAAGTAGGAGGTTGGCAGTGCCCAGCGTTGTATCAGATGGGCCATTACTTTGCTCTTGGAGAAAACCAGACGATTGCATATGAGCCCAGGGCTTGGCAGGTGGGTGTGAGGCAGCACCTCCCCCATGGCTCTGCCAGCCGACCCCTGAACTCCCCACCGTGATGTGGCTGTGTGGGGAAAGCCAGCTGCTTCACTTTCATCCACTCTGTCTTTGCATCTTGTCCCAGGCTCCACAACTGATGATCTTACAGCCTTTTCAAGAAAAGTCACTTTATATCACTGGTTAGCCTCCCATGATGCTGTTAAAAGAATATTCTTCTGCCTAACCTAACAGGTAGACGGATGGCATCACTGGGAGCTGTCTAAGCATCTAGAACTCAGTTAAGCATGTACTTGATCCTCTTCAAACTTCTTCAACCCTCCAAACCTCCCAACCAAACACAGAGTGACTCAGCTCCTGGGATGATCGTACTACCAGAACTGAGCTAAGAGTTTTCACATTCACAGATACTCAATTTGATTCACAGATAATTCAAAACTGCTTCCGTTTTGACATTTTCAGAACAAAAGAGTGCAAATATAGTAAAACCTCAACTACATAAACATCTGGATTATGCCGAGAGATACTTCAAGTCTTTTTCTCCGCATGGCAGAGGACACACGACCTGACACAGCAGGGAGGCTCTAACGAGCTGGTGACTCTGCTCAATTCAATACTCACTTAGGGACATGCAGTGCGCACCCACTGGGACACAGCCACAAACCCACCCATCCATTGGAGTAGTAGGACAGACAGACCTCAAAATAAGTATTTGTGATATGGTGTGAAAATCATGTAAATTCCTACAAGAAAGGGAACCAGCAGAGTAGAGGCGATAAATTTGGTGCAAATGGAAAATGTTTGTTCCTGAGTATGGGACATCCAGTTTTAAAGGAACTCCTGTGTTGCAGACAAGGCTCCTAACTGAACTGGGGAGAGAAAAATATGGACAATATGGAAATGGTCTGGAAGAAATAAAAATTCTCCATAAGAACAAAGCATGGCAAGCTCTACAGTGAAGTCCCTTAGCATATCTTTTTTTTTTTTTTTTGAGACAGAGTCTCACTCCATCACCTAGGTTGGAGTGCAGTGACACCATCTCAGCTCACTGCAATCCCCATCTCCCAGGTTCAAGTGATTCCCGTGCCTCAGCCTCCCAAATAGCTAGGATTACAGCTGTGCACCACCACACCCGGCTAATTTTTAAAATTTTTAATAGAAACGGTGTTTCACCAATTTGGCGAGGCTGGTCTCGAACTCCTGAACTCAAGTGATCTGCTCGCCTCAGCCTCCCAAAGTGCTGGGATTACAGGCGTGAGCCACCGCAGCTGGCCTCCCTTTCCATATCTACTGCCTGTTCCCCAGCCTCCAAAGTGCCTGATGAGAAAGAGAAAAATGGAAACCGCTTGAGTGTCAGAGGACTGACTGAATCCTGGCAGCCACACCCCGCCCTACACCTTGCTGGCAGTGTGCGCCTGGAGGCATTCCCCTGGCTCTCTGCCTCCAGTTTTCTCATCTTACAACAGGGTCACTAAAAGTGCCGGCCTCATGGGGTGGTCATCAGGATGGATGGGGGCAATGTTTGTGAAGTGCTCAGCTCGTGGGAATCCTCAGCAGACGTCAGCTATTATTACAGTAGTGGCTGCTGTTGTCATTGTTGTTATTTCAAAATGGACAGTAATATATTCCTCCCTGTGTTCCTCTCACCATGGTGGGCCCCTAGGCTGGGATACCTATGGAACCTGAACATGCGTCCCCCAAAACAGTGTTTACACTGTGGATAGTGTGAGACTGTAAAATAACAGGAGCATGTTCCGACGTGAGAACGTAGGGTTCAAGAAGAGACTGGCCCCAGTGAGTAATGACTACTCAACTCCCACATGAGGTCTGCCTGTCACCCAGAGGGCAAGAAGCAAGAAGACGGAGGGCACTGCGGCCTCAGCCAGCAAGCTTGGAATTCCCTTTAATGACGGGATTCTCTCCTCCCTCTGTCACTACTGTTGCTGAACTTCCCATTTAGATTTCAGATTATTATGAAATGCTGCAACAGGAAGCATCCTCCGGGACAGGGCTTGATGGAATTCTGATGACATGATGCTGCAATTCCTCCTCCAAGAGCCCCTCCTGCCCAGCTGCCTTGAGACATTAAAGAAACCAGTTTCCTTGGCTGTGATTCTTGGGTTGTGTCTCTTGCGTATCATGAGGAGAAGGTTGTCCTTCCCAGAGATCAAGGGTAAATGCTGTGCAAAATCCAGTCCAGACCAAAAAAAAAAAAAAAAAAAGTGCATCACAGTTAGGACTTGTTTCTTGGCTCATTCCAGAAAAGAACTAACGTTGCTGATAAGTTCTTTGGACCTGGACACGTGTCCTGCTTGAGAGTCAGTGACGGGCCACCGTGCAGTGCTGATGGGACAAAACCATCCCCTGCACCCTCAGTGAACCACTGAGAGTGTTGCCACGCCACCCACCAAGTTTCCAGGATGTACCATTGAGACACCCGCCTGGCCAGAAGGCAAGGCTTAGGCAAAGAAATTAAACCGAAGTCGAGCCAACACAGCTTAGCATCTGGTAAAACATATCCCTCAGGGCTCTCTGGTGACCCAGTTCCCACAAGCCTGTGATGCCTGTCTTGACCACATTCCACTGGAGACAGGTGGAGAATGGGAGGATTAGGGTAGATAAATCTATTGGGTTTGGAAACCATCTCATGGTTTTTAAATCCCTAAACTATTAAATTCCCATTGAATTAAAGTGTCTGTGTTTGGAGAAACAAAACCAATTACATCATCACTCTCAGTTATGAAATTTTAGCTTTATATTTATGAAATGTCTTTTCGTTGAAATATTTTCTTTGGCAATTGATAAGCCTTTAGGAGAAAGGAAACTATTCTTGCCTGTTAATTTTTACCCCATGTTCTTTCTTAAAGACTTCGGACAAGCCTTGGCTTAGTAACTCTACCCAAAAGTATTAAGTGTTCAGGTTTGTGAGAATAATGTCTTGTTAATTATTAACTCCTCTAAAACATTCTCACCCCCTAGAACTATTCCCTCCTTAATCCACACACATGCACCAGAAGCAAAAGCAAGCTCAAACGTTCATCATCAAATCAGCTCACTTCAACTTGACTTCTATAGTCAAATATTGTGGTCTTCTGTAGCAACTGAAAGAGGCTGTCTTGTTAATTCTGAGAGTTTTTGTTAACAAAAATGCTGGCTGGGCACAGCAGCTCATGCCTGTAATCCTAGCACTTTGGGAGGCCAAGGTGGGTAGATCACTTGAGGTCAGGAGTTCGAGACCAGCCTGGCCAACATGGTGAAACCCCGTCTCTATTAAATAAAATACAAAAATGAGCTGAGTGTGGCGGTGCGTGCCTGTAATCCCATTTACTTGGGAGGCCGAGGCAGGAGAATAGCTTGGAGTTTGCAGTGAGCTGAGATCACATCACTATACTCCAGTTCGGGTGACAGAGCAAGACTTTGTCTCAAAAAAAAACAAGAAAACAACCAACCAAAAAAACATGCTGTGTTATGACTACCTGGCTAAAAAATTCCATCTCAGGTACAATATGTGCCATACGCAAGGAATCTGAGAATGCTAATGGTATCAATAAAGTCATTGAGTGTTTCTTACTTTGGTGCTTTGAAGGATTAAGTGTGTATCTCTAAACGATCTCATATTTTAAAAACCCACAATACCGCAAACCATGATGAGACCCAGAGAACCCCAGCCACGCGCTGCCCTTTCCTACAAGACAGAGGCGCTCAGGCCATGCCAGCTGGGATGTGATCAGTGCACAATGGGGCCAATCACAAAACCGCTGCCCACTAGGCTAACTGTTGGAGCCCCAGTTCCCAGTCTCTCCTGTGCTCTAGAAAGCCCAGGTGATCTCCTGTCTGGTTGGCAGCTGTTCTCATCCTGCCCAACACTGCCCAAGTTCAGTTCTCTTGTACCTCCAGCTTCCAGTCTTGTCTTCAAAAGGCCACAAGCCATGGCACTCCATCCAGACCCCATGTCCCCAGCTGACTGCCCCATACTGGCTCCTGATGCTGTGGCCAGGCCTCTCTTGGCTTCAGAGATGGCTCTTCCCCGTGACATCACCTCCAAGTGTCACAGATAGAAGCCGGGTCTCTCCTTTACTTTCCAAGGTAGACCTGATCAATCTTTGGCCACAGAGGCTACATTGGAGCAGGAAAAGACCCTCTTAGACTTTGTTAGGCCACAAAACAGTGCGACTTCAGGCCCACTGGTCTCTCCACCACCCCATTGTCATGACTCGCTCTACCTCTCTCTTCCTTCAAATACAAACCCAGTTCTGAAAGAATATTCCACATATGTAAGGAGTGCTTCCTATACTTGACCACCTGAAGCAGTGCTCCAGGTCCCTGATCGTGCCTGTGTGCTTCCTTGTCTGCTGTCCTCAGCCCCTTTGTCCCCATCTAAGGAGGTGACTGCGTTTCCCTGAATCCCCTTCCCTGCATGGCTCCAGGTTCAAGCTTGCTAACAAGAGGCACTCACGTAACAGCTGAAGGGCCCAGGTGAGGCAGTGGCCATCCCTCTGGACAGTGAGGACAGGGGAAGGGTGACAGATAACTCAGAGGTACGCGTCCATCCCAGTGGTCCCTGTTGCCATCTGCTCCACAGCCAGCTTGTCTTCCTGATCACCATTGGCCTACAATGGCCCAAGCCCCCACTAGGCACTGAGATCCAGCCTGTAGGGTGGCTGGAGATGTCCTTGTGTCTCCATGGCCTCTCTTCTCACACCCCAGAAATGGATTTGGACTTTCCCACAAGCTTGGACTCTAGTTCAAGGGCTGCAGGCTGCAGTGGTTTTCTTCAATTAAGACGCCTGACTGCCCCTTTCCAGATCTTCCCTTTCTTATAGCCCCCAACATTTATTCCCATAATGCTTGCAAGCTCTCTGGTTTCCCAACTGACCCCTGACACATCTGGAAGTCAAAGAACAACCATTATCTGTCCTTGTGATTGGGATCTCAGCCTGGGAAGTCACCTTCATCTCCAATGTGCCTTTTAGTGTGCTCCCCCAAAGGCCCAATGAGGTCCATGCAAATAGACTTTCCAGCACCCCATGCTGACATTCTCTCCTGCTTCTAGAGGAACTAGAAAGGCCTCCATCCAAGGCCTCTGTGTGTGTGTGTGTGTGTATGTGACTTTGCACCATTGATGTGTGCTGAGTGACAGTGTGAACCAGCTTATCCCACCAAGCTCCCTGACATGGGGACCAGGATGCACTAGGGCACCAGCTCTGCTCCTCCGAGGTATAAAAAGCCCTAGACAATGAGCTTGGCAACATCCCCATCGCTGCCTACGACAGACAGGCAGGGAGAAGTGCTCAGGGCCAGCCAGCTGGCTGTGTTAGCAGATGGAGCAGTTGCTGCGTTTCATCCACAACACTGCATTTGACTAAGTCTGCAGATTGGCCTGCACAGCCAATGACCACCTGCAGAGCCTTGAGTGCTGATGTTATGATGGCGATCATGGGCATGTCCTTTAGCTCACCATTCAGCATTATTTCTATTTTGACTAACATTTGGAGTGATAAAAATAATACTAAGCTGGGAGCTAAAGAAAACCCAAAATTGGTTTTTTCTATAATAAAAATCTCATTGATTTTTTAAAATTCCTAGAATTGTATTCTTTGAAGAATTTCTGCTTCTAGTTGTGGTGTCTCTGCTCTCCTGGGGCCTGAGGCCTACGCTTACCTGAGCCCTTCCCATTTCTTCATCACCTAAGCCAGGTGATGGGCAAGACAGGTCAGGATGAAGGATCGGCCACAAGAAGGGCCCAGCCAGGTGGCCACTGTTCACAGGGTGGTGTGGAGACACCTGGGGACCATGGGGCTGACACACCCTGGGGACCAGCCCAGGTGACAATCTGTGTCCACCTGTAGCCCCACTCTTCTCCTTTCCCATCCAGGCCAACCCAGTCCCATGCACCGTGCCCTCTTTGCTCTTCTTCTCTTGCTGTGTTCTCAAGACCTTCTCTACATCCCTGAGCCTAGAGTAAGCTTTTGTACACCCCTGCCCCTTTTCAGCCTTTCCAAGTGGTATAGGAAGGCACAAAAATAACAACAAAAGCCAAAACAACTCAGAAACTTCATGTCTATCTCTTCTCTGTGTATAGTTCATAATTCTGAAGTTCACATGACATTTCACATTATTCAAATTGAGTGCCACAGCAATAAGAGCTTATGAATATGGCCTTCTGTAGCCTCATGTACATGTTCGACAAGTTTCTTCCTGGTGTGATGTTGCAGATATTGCCCATATTGATGGGTATAGCCTAAAACATAAGTTCCTTGAGAGGAGAAGAACATCTTTCTTAGGTTTTTGTGTTTTTTTTTTTTTACAAAATCTATTTTAATAAAATTTCCAAGATTGAGTTAAGCAAATAGCACTAAATATTAATATTTATAAATGAATACTTAATATATGGCATTATATTAATATATCAATTATAATATATAACCTATATTATATTAAGTATACTATTACTTAAGTACATATTACCCTTAAGTATATTACTATATTAAGTATACTATTACTTAAGTATATTACCTATACTATTATAAGTGATATATTATTAGTATATTATATCAATAATATAAATAAATATTAATATTATAAATTTCTAAATCGTTAGCTGATTCTAGGAGGAAAAGATTTCTACGAAGACATGATAACTCAATTCTTATTAGCACCTAATGAGCTTTTCAAAGTTGAATATCATTTCTGTCCAGTAAGTCACTAAAGCCTTGTTTTTGTTTTTAAATAAATTCAAATGGACCAAATAGGTTAAATTATTTTTAAATCATTAAATTATTCAGTGTTCATTTCAAATTCTGCAGGCTTGTGAGGGAGAAGTGCACTTTTAATAGGTTTGTTTACTGAAGAAATAAAAAACAGATGGTCTCCTATAATTTCTGTTAGAAACTTCATAGAGCTCCATGAAGAATGGGCCAGGTTATAATTTAACCACGTTTGGATGAAAAGCAAATAATCGGCCTTAAAGAGCAAGGTCTGTTCTTTCAGCCTCCCCTTTGTCACCCACTGTGAACACACGAAATTCAAAAGCCGGAGTTTCCCATGTGATCTCTTAAAAGGATTGCGGAAGCTGTAAGCGATAAAACAGAGAGGGGGCTTCGTTACTCAGCTCCCTCACTCCGGCTGCCAAAACCAACAAGCAGGAGCCATGCTTTGTTTTCTGTGTTTGATTGTTGGGAGGAGGGAGGAGCCATGTGATGGAGAAAAGGCTATCGCTGGTTACAAAGTTGATTTGATTCTCTGAAAAATTGATAAAGGGAAGGCACTGTTCCATGAGGGCCTTACATCGCAGAAAAATGACTACTTATCCCATGCTCATCCCAAACCCCCTGACCGATGGAGCTCAAATCCAAGGACATCTGCCCAGCAGCAATGGCCCTCCGCACTCCAGCCCTGCAGCCATCGCAGGGACAAGGGCAGCCTCTTCTCCTCAGGGGTCGCCTCCACCAGAAACACCCAGAGGAGTCCCCGATACACAGAATCATGCTCAAGTCTTCCTAATACAAAAATAGGCCACAGTTGGAGTGATTAAAAGGTTTTGCAAATAGATCATGGTGATGGTTGTAGAACATGGTGAATGCAATTAATGCCACTGAATTCTATACCCAAAAATGATTACCATGGCAAATTTTATGTTACATATATACATATATGTGTATTTGCAACCACGATTAAAAGCATTTTTATTAGACCACAGAGATAGAATGGCGTACTGAGCAAGAAAAATAAAAATTGACAAATTAAAATGCTTAGAAATGAGTTGCTCCCTTCTGAGGAAGGTGTGCACCCTTTCAGAGAATAGCCAAATATCCTCCTTGCCCATCAAAAAGACACACCAAATAAGCAGCAATGAAAACAAAAGAGACAGTTTTCTAACAAGATTTTGTTTCCCTGAGAGTCGTTAGAGTTGTCAGCATTCTTTAAGATGACAAATCTTCTTCCCCTTAATTAGCTGTTCCACAGACAAACTGCCCCAAACAGACGGCTATAAGGCCAGCTGCATATAGTATTTTTTGAATAAAATGAAGAAAACAACAGCAGCAGGATTTGAGCTTATTAAATTGCTTTGAATTCTATTTCCAGTTCAATCGATATTTTATTCTCTAACCTCAAAATAGTGACGTAAGCCTCTGCATCGGAAAGAAACAGCCTGTAATTGGGCTTGATTGCAACTAGAGCTTGCTGCCTTGAGTCCTCACATTCCAAAAGCAATCGGGTCAATACTCTATATTTTATTTCCTAAATTATTTTTAACCTGATTTCACTGAAATGAACTAGTGCTTTTCTTCCTAAAGCACATACAATAGTTCTCCATAATATGTTAGCCAACAACATATCCAGGTCAGTTACAAGAAGTCAGTCAATGCTTATTTCAAGTTATATCACAAAATCCAAGTGCAATAATGTATTTCCAGCCAGAAGGTTATAAACCGGAGGTGGATTTCAATAAGTGGCTTCTTTGGACAGCCTTGTCTCTAAGCATGTGGCCAGCATCCCCAGAACTGGCTTACGTAGCCTTGAGGCTGACAGTCACGAGAGCTGACTGAATGCCAAGCACGGCTCTGCAGGCCTCGTGTGTGTGTTAACTCACTGGATCCTCATACCAGTCCTGTTAGGTTGGCAACATTATAATCTCCACTTCACCCACAACAAAATGAGCCAGAAGGTCATCAGGCCAGTAAGTGTAGGAGGCCGACCAGGAAGCCGGGAATGTGGACCTCAGTGTTCTCTGTGCTGCTTGTCTTAGGGAAAGAAAAACTTTGCGAGGATGTTTATCTTGGCATGCTCTGATCACGTGCAGGTCTAGAACCTCCCATGACTTTCTAAGCGTCCTTCAGATCTACAGGGGCATTTACTTCCTAAAGGTATTTATTTTTATTGTATTGCACATCATAATACAGTATTACAATATCTAATATTATAATAAAATATATATTACACATATAATATACTACATTAATACGTATTTTTGTATCTTTCTTTTATTTTAGGCTCAGTGGCCCATGTGCAGGTTTGTTATATAGGTAAACTCGTGTCACAGAGGTTTGTTGTACATATTGTTTCATTACCTGGGTACTAAGCCTAGTACTCAATGGTTATTTTTTCTGATCCTCTTTCTCCTTCTACCCTCCACCCTCAACTAGACCCCAGTGTCTGCTGTTTCCTTCTTTGTGTTCATAGTTTTTTTTTTTTTATAAAGTCTCGCTTCCTCACCCATGCTGGAGTGCAGTGGCACTATCCTGGTTCACTGCAACCTCCGCCTCCAGGGTTCAAGTGATTCTCGTGCCTCAGCCTCATGAATAGCTGGTATCACAGGTATGTGCCACCATGCCCGGCTAATTTTTGTATTTTTAGTAAAGCTGGGGGGTTCACCATGTTGGCCAGGCTGGCCTCGAACTCCTAGCCTCAAGAGATCCCCCAGCTCAGCCTTCCAAAGTTCTGGAATTACAGAAGAGAGCCACCACACCCAGCCTTGTGTTTATAAGTTCTTATCATTTAGCTCCCACTTACAAGTGAGAACATTCAGTATTTGGTTTTCTGTCCCTGTGTTACTGCTAAAGATGGTGGCCTCCAGCTCCATGTTCCTGCAAAGGACATGATCTTGTTCTTTTTTATGGCTGCATAGTATTCCCTGGTGTATAGGTACAACATTTTCTTTATCCAGTCTACCATTAATGGGCATTCAGGTTGATTCCATGTCTTTGCTATTGTGAATAGTGCTGCGATGAACATACGCATCCATGTGTCTTTATGGTAGAATGATTTACATTTTGGGGAGTATATATCCAGTAATGGAATTGCTGGGTCGAATGGTAGTTGTTTTTAGCTCTGAAGAATCGCCACACTGCGTTCCACAATGGTTGAACTAATTTACACTCCCACCAACAGTGTATAAGTGTTCCCTTTTCTCTGCAACCTCACCAACATCTGTTATTTTTTGACTTTTTAGTAATACCCTTTCTGACTGGTGTAAGATGGTGTCTCATTGTGGTTTTGATTTGCATTTCTCTAATGATCAGTAATATTGAGCTTTTTCTCATATGCTTGTTGGCTGCATATATGTCTTTTGAAAAGTGTTTGTTCATGTCCTTTGCCCACTTTTTAATGGAGTTGTTTCATTTTTTCTTGTAAAAGTATCTAAGTTCCTTATAGATGCTGGATATTAGACCTTTGCCAGATGCACAGTTTGCAAATATTAATATTTTCTCCTATTCTGTAGGTTATCTGTTTACTCTGTTGATAGTTTATTTTACTGTGCAGAAGCTGTTTAGTATAATTAGATCCCACTTGTCAATTTTTGCTTTTGTCATGATAGCTTTTAGAGTCTTCCTTATGAAAGCTTTGCCCATGACTATGTCCTGAATGGTACTGCCTAGGTTGTCTTCAGGGTTTTTATAGTTTCAGATTTTACATTTAAGTCTTTAATCCATCTTGAGTTGATCTGTGTATACGATGTAAAGAAGGAGTCCGCTTTCAATCTTCTGCATATGGTTATCCCAGCATCATTTATCAAATAGGGAGTACTTTCCCCATTGTTTGTTTTTGTCAGCATTGTCAAAGATCAGCTGGTTATAGGCATGCAGTCTTCTTTCTGGGCTCTCTATTCTGTTCTATTGGTTGATGTGTCTGTTTTTGTACCAGTACCATGCTGTTTCAGTTACTGTAGCCCTGTAGTATAGTTTGAAGTCAGGTAGCATGATGCCTCCAGCCTTGGTTGGTTTTTTTTTTTTGCCTAGGATTGCCTTAGCTATTCAGGCTCATTTTTGTTCCATATGAATTTTAAAATAGTTTTTTCTAGTTCTGTGAATAATGTCCTTGGGAGGCCTCAGGACACTTACAATCATGGTGGAAGGGGAAGCAGGCATGTTTTACATGGTGGCAGGTGAGAGAGAGCGCATGTGAAGGAGAAACTGTCAAACATTTATAAAATCATCAGAGCTTGAGAGAACTCACTCACTATTATAAGAACAGCATGAGGAAACCACCCCCATGATCCAGTCACCTCCCACCAGGTCCCTCCCTCAACAGGTGGGGATTATGGGGATTACAATTTGAGATGAGCTTTGAGTGGGGACACAGCCAAACCATATCAAAATATAATGTATATATTATATACAAATATAATTTATATTTAGTTTCAGTTGTGTTTCAACATGATCAAAGAAAGTTTCCATAAACTTGCTATTTCAAAAGTTCCTGCTATTTTTCATTGTTTATTCTATTTTGCCTTAGTCATAAAGATTGGATTATTAAGCTTGTGTCTCTTCCAAATTGTGTACAATTTTGCTTAGCTTTGTTTTAGATCATTCTCTGTATTTGAAGGAAAATCACTTAACTGTCCTTGGGATGTATAACATTAAAATATTTTTACCTTTTCTGGGTGTCTCACACAGAAATGCCACTTCTGCCTTTTGCCTATGCACAACCCTATGAACCTCCTTTCTCCCCAACTTCTTCACCTCTGTCAAGTGTGTCAGGTGGGCTGATCCTCTGTTGGGAGGGTGGGAGTGTGCCTGTTTAATTTACATAACAATGAAAACACCATTACTGACACTTCTAAAATTCCAGCCCTAGGACACCCTTCAATTCACAACACAGAACATCTCCCCTCTGAGCTCCTAATTAGCTACTGCCCAGCTCCTGTCAAAGGCCCATTGTGACTGTCAACAGCCAATGTGAGAAAGACAGAAGGATGCACCAGGACATGCTCCTCCTGATCCCACAAGGTTTTCTAAGCTGTTTTCCCACTGAGCTAGGAGGTCAGGAAGCAGCACTCCTGATGACATGAGCTCATCTCCCCAAACGTAAGCCCTCACTAGACCACAGGTTGGTAATATACTCTCAGCTTTTAAGTAAAACTAAACAGTGCCTCCCTGTGCCGAGCCCCGTTCCTTCTCTTTCTACATGGGCTTCCCTGGAATGAGTGAGAAAAGATTGGCCTGGGTGAGCTTCCAGAGCACCAGCTGGGAAAGACCCCCTAGGGTGATGCAGACCTGCTCTACTCAAGGCTCAGGGCAAATCCCTCCTGCTCTAACTCCCCAAGGCTGGCCCTGTCTTTCCAAGTGGAAGCCAGGAGCCTGGGGTTCAGGGTGCCTGGTGAACATGGCCTGGGTGGTCCTGGGCTCCTTACTTGGCCCTGCACTCTTTGGGTGGTCCTGGACTGTGGCACCCACCTGGCCTCAGTGGAGGAAGCCCCTACCTTGACAGACTCGTTCTCATGAATTCCAGTTAGTAGCTGGGGCTGAAGCATCAGGTGAAAAATGATCCCTTTGTCAGCCCCTGTGCTGGGGACCCCAGGATCCTTGTGGAGAGATGCGGCTTCTCTAGACAGGTTGGGATGCCGGGTCCATCCATGACACATCTACAGTGCCGTCTTCTGCACCACTCAGAACATGATCCGACCACCAGAATCCTATAGAACCGTGTCTCCCCTGTCTCTGCTATAGCTTCAAGAAGTTCTGCACCTAATTTGGCCAGGCACAGTAGCTTAAGCCTGTAATCTCAGCACTTTGAGAGGCCAAAGCAAGTGGATCACTTGAGCTCCGGAGTTCGAGACCAGCCTGGGCAACATGGTAAAACCCCATCTCTACTATAAATACAAAAATTCACCAGGCCCTGTGGTACATGCCTGTAATCCCAGCTACTCAGGTGGCAGAGGCAGTAGAATCTCTTGAACCCAGGAGGCAGATGGCGCCACTGCACTCCAGCCTGGGCAACAGAACAAGACCCTATCTCAAAAAAAAGAAGTTCTTTGTCAAGTCCAATGTTCAAACATAAGAACTATATTACCGTGTACCTGTGTGCAGTGTCCTTGCCTTCCCCTGCCTGTTAATAATGTTGAGGTTTTGTGTCCATCCGAATGACTCAGCTCATGTTTCTTTTCTTATCAACAGGCTCAAATAGTTTTGGGGAAAAAAGCAAAGACCAATTTTAAAGCAAATATTAAGTCATGTACATTTTTAAGGTTTAGGAGTAAATCATAATTTTCACACCATGCATTTTCCGATCTCTTTTGTTATGGGGCAGAGCCTTAACAAGTTCATGAATTAAGTGATTGCAGCACATCAGAACTCTTATAACACTTTCTTCAGTGTGAGAGGAATCTGGAGACTCTCATTCCCGTACAGGGGTACTGGGGACAGAGTTCCTTCTGGTTTATTCCATTGGACGTGACTCTTCAAAGTTCACCATTTATTTATTTGTTCACTCATTCACTCAACAACCTTATGTAGAATATATGCTAAGCATGGAAAGATAAGTGCGCTGATGGACACTGAAAGAGTCCTGGGGAAGCATGAAGAGCTGACTTAGAAATGGATTTTGATTCTACAGTAGAAGGTGAGCAGGAACAATGAGGAGAGAGGAGGTGGCGTATTCAAAAATGGAGAGGGGAGAAAACGCACAGGAGGCATGTGGGCTGAGAGCCAAGGGCTAAGAACTGGCTTCCTGGCATATGACTCCCGTAGTCCCACAGGGCCGCCCTGCACTTAGAAGGCCCCAGGCTTGGCTTAATACTCTGCTGTCACCATCTTGAAATTCATCATTTGTGAGCAAGGGTCCCTGCCTTTTAATTTTTGCACCAGGCCTTGAAAATTATGCAGCCCATCCTGATGAAGAGTGAGTCAAGAGAAGATAAAAGCTGGGGGGTGGTGGGTTGTAGATGGTTTTCCGCGCTATTCCACACTGGGGGTTGGTAATAGAGTCAGGGTTTGCTTCTGAAAGTTTCCTTCCCACTGCATCTCCTGCTGTCCTCCTGGACACTAGAATGAACCACATCTGGGCTTAATCCCTTCCCCGACGCTGGGATCAGAGGCTTAATTGCCAGGACTGGTCTAAACCAGCACATTAGCCCTCTGCTCAGGCACCTGCTGGGCCTTCCGCCTATTTCCCCAGCTTCTAGCCCACAGAAGCTCAGTGCTGATGGGGAAAATGCAGATATATGGGAACTGAGGTCACAGCAAAGTCATCTTTCTCATCTCAATGGCACTACCCTCCTTCTACCCCTAACCTGCTCTCTCTTCATGACTGCTGTGACACATCAGTCTTTTCCTCTCTTCAGAACACACATGCAGCCCCTACTACGCCATGCTTGGATAATTTCCCTTCTTGTTCATCCACAAGAGTGATTCAATTTCTTTTGTTTCCCCACCAACCAATATCTTCACCCTGGTCATCCAAGGGATTTGGAGACAAGCCCATCTGTGCTCATGACGGCATCTCTGCCGGTACCTCAGATCTGCCTGTGGTCTTTCTCTCTTCTGAACTTCAGCCTCTCCTTCTCTTCTGGAATCTTTCACATGAGCCAATAAACTAGCTTTATTTTCTCTTATCTACCTAAATATGTAAATACACCATCCCTCCTCCATGGCAACTTCTTCAGACGTCGCTCCTTCCTTGAACTGCTGGGTCACCATTATCCAAAATACACTGCTGCCTTGGTCTCTACCATTCTCTTCCTGTGGAATACTCTTGCCCCAGGAATTCATCTGGCTATTCAACCTGCCTCTCTCAGTCACAAATCACCTAGTGCAACTCATGGGTCTGTGGTCAGGATTCAAACCCAGTTCTATCTGACTCCAGAGCAAGAAAGAAGATACCAAACCAAAGAAATGGGTCACTACATGCAGTCCTGGCCACTCCCATGTTTGCCTGCCCCACTTTATCTTTTGTCTGGTAGATTGTATTGCTGTTTAGCAAATATCACCCTGCCCTCCCCATGATGTTGGGCCCGAACACATGTGTTGCACTGGCTGGTTGAATACAAGCAGGCATGATGCAAGCAGAAGCTTCAGATGCCACCTAATGACTTTACTCAGCTCTTGTGATTCTGTCTTCTGCCATGAGAAAGGTCCCACGTACCCACGGTCCCACAGTGGGAAAACACACAGAGGAAACCTTAACCCAACACAGTCTGGAGCCTGATGCAGCCAAGCCCTGCCAAGGTGCAAAACTTGGAGCTAGAAAAAATGACCTGCTCTTGTAAGCCCCTGATATTTGGGCTTGTTTGATACACAGCATTATCACAGAAAAGCCTGACTCATACACTCTACCGTGTGTTGGTAGACTCGGTACAGAACAAAATATATCTGTGAGGCCTAAAGGAGAAACAGAGAGAGAAAGAGAAAATGCAGAGATCTTAGGGAATCCACAGACTAGACTAAGCATTTAGTGAAAGCTGTGTTTATAAACAAAAGCTTCCAAATCTGCCTTCTGGAAAATGCACAATAACTGGCTGGTTCACTCATCCTGTCCTGAAGGCCGTCAGAAAGATCATTTTTGTCCTTTTCATTGTCTTGCGCAGAGAAGGAGCTACATAGGAATGTCACTCCCAGCCCTTTGTCCTATCCCTTACTCATCCCAGTCAGGGCAGTTGAAATGGCTTCACCCATTGGTGGGTTTGGGAGAAGAAAGTGGGCATGCCTGAGCAGTCCCTTCTTCTCCCCCGCACATTCTACCTACCTGCACAGAACACGCAAGCTACTCTGTTCTCGATCATGCTGTGAGGGGCTTTCTTCTAGGGGAGGACTAACTCAGTGACTAGGTGAGCAGATAAGTAGAATTTAGGGGTGTAGAAGCAAGCCTATCTGCTTATAGGCCTAATTGCATTTTACAAAAAATAAAAATAAAAAGGCTAGCAGTAATCAAGTTTCATCCCCAGCTACCTAACACTTATTGTCAAAGTATTAATTTCTTATCCCATAAGACTTCAAACTAACATAATTTACTATAGCATAATTTAGAGTAGTATAAAAATTTTGTACGGTGAGAAGCAAATACTGAGTTGAAACTTTGAGATCCATCAAGGGGTAAGTGAGAGGTACCCTTCTATACTCATGTGCTTGAACCAGTGTGCAGCACCCACCTCAAAGATCCTTGGTAAAGTCGGCTTCCATGTTAGGCTGTGAACAATGTGAAACAGGCTAAGCTATAGAAAATCACATTAGATTAATTAAATTTGCAGCTGATTAATCCTTTCATGTTAGCACAATGATCAATTTTAGCATAAGTAAGGGTTTGGACCTTAAAGAGAACTGTTGATAAATCTTAAATATTAACAAGGCTGAATTCCTGCTAGGGAGAAAAGGCAATGTCTTGAATTTACCAAGTATGTCTGCCATTCAGACATTCCCTTTTGTAGAGATGACCAATAGCAGCAATGAACCATGGAAGCTTCTGAAACAGGCACATGGATACAGTTAATAATTGAAGTGGTAATGTTTTAGGACTTTCTCCTCAGTTCAACTAAAAGCTGGGTTCTTGTCACACGACCATGAAAGATTTGACACTTTTAAGGGTAAGAAGGGCAGAATTTATTGGGTGAAAAGGAAAAAAGGGGGAAACAAGGACTCTCAGCAAGGCAAGAGTCCTGCCAGCGGGCCTCCTGCCTCCCAGACTGAATCCCAGGTTACCACCCAGGATCAGGAGAGGCCAGGCTCCTCCCCGGCCCGACAAACAACCTGAACTTCCCCAGACTCGACCCCAGTGCACACTCGTCCCAGTATGCAGTCCAGGCAGAGGTTCTCTGGGGACCTCTTTATACTTGGCTGTTACTCATTGGAAATATCCATCAAATTTTTCAGGAGACCCCTTTACCACCTTCTCTAACCCTAGGAGTCTGTGGACTAATTAGCATCATCTGATTTAAGGAGCCCATCTACTGAAATCCAGTCCACAGTAGTGCTTAAATGGCAAAAATTAAAACCTTTCATGTTAGGTGAGCCTCTGCCTGTAGGACAAGATTACATTACAATTCAATGCTGTAGAATGTGACAAACAAAACAATAAACCTATTTAAAACAAACCCACTAACCTATGTGGATAATAGCTACTTAATTCACCCAATGGTCCCCTGGGAAAATTACAAGCAGACAGATGAGAGAATATACCATGGACAGGTAGGGGTTCACAGAAACCAAAGCGAGAAAAGTGCTCAAGGATTGGACTCCTGTGGGATTCCATAAGGAACCTCCCTATAAGTACCGGGTTGGCACATGATCCTGGGAACCAGGGAAAAGCATGTTAGAAAGAAAAGCAGCTTCTATCTTTCCTTGGACTACTAGTGGGGATTTCAGAAATCATATCATTTAAGTGAGTCCCATCTCTGATTATTCTATACTAAAAGGCAGTTGCTTATTAATAGTCAAGCAGGTGTAGAATGGGTTTCACACTCAAGTGGCTTTGTGTAGACAATGAAGTAGATGATGAAGAATGAGTTTTTCTTTGTTCATAGGAAAAAAAAGTGATGAATTTGGGATATCTTTTCTATCTTTATATTCTATTTTTGAAAACTTAAATACTAAAAAAAGTGAAGAGAGGGAGACAGGAAGGAAACAAGAAGACAAAGAGAAAGATACCAGATTCTGCTGTTTTGAGAGCATAAATCAAGAGACATAAATGTTTACAGCTTCCTAGCTAGTAATACTATTTCTAGGAACCTCCTTTCAGAATAATCATAAATATTAACAAAGCTTTGAGATCACTTAAATACCCGATATTAAGTTATTCATTTGTAAATGTTTACAGATGCTGACAATTATTATTACAAGGAGTGTACAATGACATGGAAAATTTTTTGAAATTCAAAAGGGCACATAACTGTGAATACATTTTTATTCTAGCTGTGAAAATAATATGGATGATAAAAACTCAAAGGAAACATATTAATAGTGACAAAATGATAAGTGGTTTTTATTTTCCTCTGTGTAGTTTTTCATATTTTTTCAAATATTCTTTTTTATTTTTTATTTTTTTTGAGACAGGGCAGGGTCTTGCTCTGTCACCCAGGCTGGAGTGCAGTGGTGCAATCTCAGCTCACTGTAACCTCCATCCCCCTCCTCAGTTCAAGCAATTCTCGTACCTCAGCCACCTCAGTAGCTGGGATTACAGGTGTGTGCCATCATGCTGGCCAATTTTTATATTTTTGGTAGAGATGGGATTTTGCCATGTTGGCCAGGCTGGTCTCCAACTCCTGGCCTCAAGTGATTTTATCTGCCCACCTTGGCATCCCAAAGCACTGGGCCATGCCTAGCCTCAAATGTTCTTCAATGATCAAACACTATATATATATTTTTATATATATATAATTTTTCCATATTTTCCTATATATATAATTCTTTCATATCTTCCATATATATATATATATATATATATATATATATATATATATATATGGAATCCCAACATGGCCTGCCAATGCCTTAATTTAATCTACCCTAATCTCCAGGACTGTGAATACAATGGGATATCATCCCATGACTACAGCATGCACATGGCAAAAGAAAATTTACAGATGTAATTAAGGTTATTTAATGGTTGACTCTGAGTTACTTGGAAGGGAGGTTATCCAGGTGGGTCTAGTCTAAACACATGAGCCCTGAACAACAGAGTTTTCTCTGGATGGGGGCAGAATGAGAAGTCAGAGAGAATCAAGGCATGAGAAGAATTCCATGCACGGTTGCTGGCTTTGAAAATGGAGGTGACTGTATTAATCATGTCTTTTATTTTCTGTATTCTAATGCTTTAACATCTGGGGCCTTGCTGACTCTGGAGAGACTGCCCTTCCCAGGGTTAACCAGTTCTAAACATAGCAAACAGCTCACCTGAAATATGCCTTTTAAATGCAAATCAACCGATCCAGAGCACATACCCTCAATCACCCCCTTTTTTCACAGAAGACCACTATGCACCCCTGCCCTAATCATCCCAAGGCCAGGTATCAGACAACTGCTGCCAAAACACTAGGGGTTCAGCTTAGGTCCAGTTGCTCACCACACAGAAAGCCAATCACTGAGACAACAAGTGTTGCCAGGAAAGAAAGACTTTAATGCTGGTGACGTCAGCCAGAAACAGAACATCAATCTCAAATTAATCTCTAACTGATTAAAGGGTTTACATAGCAGGGAATTAAGGAGGCATAAGAAAGAGGAGTTTTTTTTAGCAGGCAGCAGGTGCATCTTACTGTCCAGATACAGTGATCTGGGAAATTTCAGTTTCCTGATATTGTACTATCTGGATGGCCTATTAGTTTCCTGAGAAAGGAACTCAGATAAAACAAATGTAAGTTTCTAAAGCTTCAGTTCTATGGGAAAATTGCACTGGTCCCACAACTAGAGACAGCCCCTACGCTTCAGAGCCTGCTGAAATTATTCAAACTCACCAATCTGGAGCATGCTGCCCTGCCTCACCTGTTCCCTCCTGATGAAAACCACAGTCAAGGCTCTTGCCCACATTTCTCCTGCTCCCTCTCCCTCCTGACCCACCTGGTGGCCACCTGTGATGTGGTGTAACTTGCTCCTCTGGGGACTGTGACCAACAAACTGTATTTTTTAATGGCAATTATCTCACAATCTGTTGGCTTTACTGAGTCTCAAATTTTCTATTAATACACCGTATTTTAGAACAGGGCCACATTCAGGGATAAGACAGAAGCTTTCAGGAGCTGAGGGAAACTCCAGCAGCTGAGAACAACCCCTGGCCAACATACAACAAGGACGCAGGTGCTTTAGTCTTACAATTGTGAGAAACTGGGTTTTGTCAACCACCTGAAGAAACTTGAAAGGGATTCATCCTCCAAGCCTCCAGGGAAGAGCCTTATTGGGCCGACTCCTTGATTTCAGCCTTGTGAGACACTGAGCAGAGAGCCCAGCTGAGCCTCCACAGGCTTCTGAATTAGGGAACTGTGAGAGAATAATTAGGCGATGATTTAAACCACTAAGTGTGTGGTAACTTACAGAGCAAAAACAAATACAATAGGTGATGATGATGATGATGACGATGACAATGACGATGATGATGATAGATAGATAGATAGATAGCTCATTTCTATGTTATATGTAGGCTGCCTTTAAATGTATATAAAATTTAAACTGGATATATTTCCTCAACTCTGGATAAATTATATCATCTTGTTTACGTTTTTAAAAGACAAGCATTTTACAAGAAGCATTTTCATTCTGGTTTTTAATAGAATTCAAAGCTATGAAAAGCAGTCATCACAGCCCTGGGCAGAGTTCAGCTGCATTCAGTTTGTGCATCACCAAGTGACTTGTTAAAGCCACAGGGACAACAGCCCAGGACACACTTATCTGAGGTTATTTGATTAGATATGAATCTTTCACCTTCTTAATACTACAATTGCTATGCCAGCTGGAAATATGTGGCAATCTCCCCTCTTCCCCCTCGCCCTGGGTGGGTGAGTATGTCTCACCATCGTGGGTCACATGTGAAATAACAGCAATCCCTGCCATTACCAGCTGTTAGTGCTGAGGTCAAGAGAGACACCTTAGGGATACTTAGAATATGATATGCTTCTCACGTTACAGAGTCCTTCAGTTTAGCAATCTTGGCTTTTATAGCATCAGAATAATATAAAATAACACTTTCCTAAAAATATAGTTCACTTTGACAATCAGTTCTCTCAAATCCTAATCAGAAGGTTATGACATGGATATAAATTTTTAAAGCAAACTCTAAAATGGAACACATGTGAACTGCATCCCTATCATGTTCATATTGTTCATCTGGGCACTGGGATGGGGTACAGTAAATAACTTTGTCATGGTGCCAACATCCTCAAACAAGCTTGTCTTCACACCTTGTTTCTCTGCTTATGTTGTCTTCAGAAAAATCTGAGTCCAAACCTCCTGCATCAGGCAAGGACCACAATGCACCTGACTCTAGAATCCAATCTGAATCCCCATGACAGCCCTTCCATCCAAACTCACATCCCCTGCCATTCATTTGCTTCCTGTCTGTATGAGAGGCTTCTGTGTCACCACAAATGGCCCTCCAGTGTTTTCCAGTGATATCTCACTCTCTCTACACTGAGAGGGCAGATAATTAAAGGGCAGAATTCTTTGAGGCACTCCAAGAAAATGCCTTCCTTTTGAGCTTCTTCATTTGCTTCATAATCAACACTGTCACTGTTGTTCCAATTTGCCTCCACACTAATTGCCATTACTCAACCTTAATAAGCCCAAGAACTGTATTGAGAAACCTCTAAACGGCTCTCTGTATGACTCATTTCCGCTGCCAGAGACCCTAGTTCTGTTTTTGTGTGCAACCTGCACAATGTCTGTGCCCCTCCCACAGGGACAACCATCTTTGTGCAGGTCGGCCTGGCAGCCAGGCCCAAGGTATTCCCACTGTACCATCATGACCCTCCAGTCTGGAGAAAAGAAGGATTAAAGTCACAAAAATTTTACTCTTCAACCACAGGTCCTCACTTACAAGAGCCTGAACAGGCTCGCTGTGCTCTGGGACTGATACAAAATTGGTCACAGATCCGCTGGAGCAAAGCCAACATTAGATTTGATCACCTTGGGGTGATAGCCAATCTTACATTTTTTATTCCACACCCTTTGTCCCACTTTCTTCTCAATCTTTATATTTTGGTGAGGATGGAGCATTTGGGGGCAGGTAGTCTGAGTAGAGAAGACCCAAGAGCAAAGAACAGAGTCTAGGAAAGATGTGAGATCCATAATGAGTCCATTGTCCTCTGAAAGTCTCAGTGATATCAGTCTCAGTGTTCATTGCATGTGCATAGAGTTGCCTCGCTGTCTCTCCCTGTGGCTTCTTGCTTGGGACCAAACTTCCAGGTAACACAATCTGGTGGCCAAGGTAGTCTCAAACATTCAAAGTCTGAGTAAAGAAAAAGTAAATCTTTTATTTAAAAAGTATTCTTACTACTCAGCCATAAAAAAGAACAAAATCATGTCTTTTCCAGCAACTTGAATGGAACTAGAGGCCAGTATTCTAAGTGGAGTAACTCAAGAATGGAAAACCAAATACTGCATGTTCTCACTTATAAGAGGGAGCTAAGCTATGAGTACACAAGGGCGTACAGAGTTGTATAGTAGAAAATGGAGACTCAGGGGGTTGGGGGAGTGGGGGATAAAAAACTACCTATTGGGTACAATGTACACTACTTGGGTGACATGTGCATTAAACTCCCAGACTTCACTGCTTTACAGTTCATCCATGAAGCCAAAAACCACTTGCATCCCTGAAGCTATTGAAATAAAAAATTTAAATTAAAAAAGATTTAAATATTCTATTCTAGAATAATCAAATCAATTCTTCATCGCTAATTAAGAAAATGCAAATCAATCTCAAAGTTTCATTCAGACTGTATCAAATATTTCCATCTGGCAAGAACTATGCTAAACAGAAAGACAAAGCAAAAGATACGATATGATCAGATAATGTCACACACACCTTCCCCAAAGGACATCTCACTTGAAGGCCTCATACCAGCCCCCAAGGCCCTGTGTGATTTGATCCCCATCACCTCCCAGAACTAATCTCCTACCTCCTGCCTCTCAAACTCTCTGTTTCAGCCACACTGGCCTCCTTCCTGTTTCCTGAATAAGTCAATCAAGTGCCCCCATCAGGGCCTTTGCACAGCTATTCACCAAAATGCTCTTCCAGCCACCAGCAAGGCTCATTCTCTCCCCGCCTTGAGGCTCCCACTCAAATGTTACTTTCTCTGTAGACTTTCCATGGACATTCCATCTAAAATTTCACCTCCATCCCATTGCCTTCTAACCCCTTTTCCTATTCAGGAAAAATAAGAAAGGATAGGGGAGAGGAGGATGTGGGGTCCAGAGCTGAAGAGGAATCCGGACTATATTGCAATTCAACCCCAATCACAAGGCCCGTCCACTCTCACCAGGGGTCCTGAATACGTTTTTTTTCCATTCAGATCCCAAAGATTCTTGGCAGCTCTAACCTCACTTTTCCTCCAGGACTTATCCTACTTGGCCCATTACAGAACAATGTATTCATGTATGTATTGGATGTCTCTTTCCTCCCAGCATAGAAGTGCCATGGTCAGAAGGATGTTTTGTCCCCAGTGCCCAGAACAGTGCCAGCCCCAAAGAGGCTCATTTGCTTAATGAACAGTTGGATTTTACAGCCAGAGGATTTGACGGGTCCCTGAAGGATGAATAGAATATATGGAGATGAAAAAATGTAGTGGGATTTCCTCCATCACAGGTAACAGAGTGTCCAAGTCCTGAGGCAAGAAAGACCAGCCTAACAGGAGTACTTTGACCCAAGGCCAGAGTTGCAGAGGGCAGACGCAAACCACGCAGCTCCCAGAATCTTTTAGGAACCGTGGACATTCGATCCATGGGAGCAAGGTATAGTTTTAATCAAACATGATTTTTATTTGACCTGTAAAGAAGCAGAAGCACTTTATAGCAGAGATGACGTTGTCTACCTCTTGTCACTTTTCTCTTTGTCTCTTGGTAACAGAATCCTGACTGTCTTTGGGGCAGCAATGTGCCCAGCCAAAAGACTGCATTTCCCATCTGCCCTCTGACAAGGTGTGGCCATGTGACTAAGTTGTAGTCAATAAAATATAAGTGAAATTTGTCAGAAATTTCTGGGAAGTCTTCTTAAAAGGGTTTGATACAAGTGGGAGGGACATCCTTTTTTTCACCTTCTCTATATTCCCATTTCTGCTGCATAAGATGCAGGTGTGATGGCTGGAGCTCTCGCAGCCTCTTGGACCATGAGTTGTACTTGGTGATGGAAGCCACGTGCTGAGAGCAGCCAAGCAGAAGACTGGTCTCTGAGGACATCCAGGTGCTGTCACACCAGTCTGGACTGCCCACCACCCAACATTTTAGTGAGACAATAAAACCTTATGGTTTCAGTCAATATTATTTGTGATCTTCTGTTAAGTGCTGTCAATATCCTCCAGTCAAGGGGCACCAGGAACACACCTGTGGCTGAACAAGTTTTGTTTATTACTCAGTGCGGTGAGGGGGAATGCACAGTATGGGAAACCAAGGGTCCTAGTAAGAGGATTCAAGAAAGGATATCATTTTGGTCTTTGTGCCTTACAGGAAGTTGATCCTACCAAAATGTGTATTGAATAAATAAAATTTAAGGCCAAACAACAACTAGAATGTAATAATGTAGTTCTTTTGTATTTGACAAATAAAAATTTCAGTTTCTAGTTTAACATGAATTAACAGATTTCTAGTGTTGCTCAGATTTTTGGACAAATTCAAAGTCCAAGTATTTGGTCTATATTTGAATTTTCTATTCCTAAAGTCCTTCATTTGGACATAAACAAATTTCAGAGTTTGACAGGTCACATTTTATGTGACTCAATTATTGCTAGCTGAGCTTATATTAAGAAAGTTTATTCACTTCATTTTTCAGAACATTAGAATAATCCATACACAGGTTCTGAAGTACAATAAGTAAAAGTTGGGTGGTATTTGAATTAATTTGGGGATGGTAATAAGGGGTCTATTTTGAGCTCACCTTTTATGGGAGAAATATGGTTGCTTTATGCCTGAGGCAAAATAAAAAACAAAAAAAGCTGCTATGCAGTTGTCACCAAAAAATATATGTTGTTGAAAGAAAAGAAATCTAATTGATCCAAAATATGAGGGAAAACAATATTCAAGTCTAAATTAGCTTAACTATTAAAAGAAGCAAAGATGATCACAAAAGTTGGACAGAGAAAAATTGTTGTTCTAAATGGTTTTGAATGTGTGTGAAATTTTTAAATCTGTTTTTAACATAATTATGTAATGTTCAAACATTTTAGTACATGAACTAGATAATGAAATGACTGCTCAGAAACAGTCACCCATACACACATCCACTTATATATTCAACAAATATTTATTGAGCATACAGAATTGACTTGATTCTATGCAAGAAGCAACAATGAAGACCCTGAAGTCAAGTAGCTTGTAATCTTCTGGAAAAGTCTGAATAGGAATAATAAATAATTTATTCCAAAAATGGAGCAGAGAGCAGTGAGAGTGGTGTAGTAGGAACAGGAGTAATGAGCCTAATCCACCCTGGAAAGTGAGGATGTCTTGGAAGCAGAGATATCAATGCTGGATCTAGAAAGGCCAGTAGAGCTTTCCAAGTCCAGGGTGGAGGGAAAGTCTTTCTAGGCACAGGAAAGCATATGTGTAAAGTGCAGAGAGAAGAGCACAGGTGTCCAGGATGCAGACAGTAGTTTGGTGAAGTAGGATCTAGCATGGAAAAAGAAACTTGAGAACAGAGAGAGATGGATCTGGACGGGAAGACAGGTGGGACAGAGATTTATGCTATGTCACCTGTGCTAGTGGAGTTGTCATTTGCAGTGCTTCATGCACTCCATGTGCTTGAGTTTTACATCCTTTCCCATTCCCTGTATCTTTGCATGTCTCTCAGCATGGGCAGAGTACATGCTCCTGCCTCCTTTATGTTAGACTTCACAATGTAGACTTTCTTTACCAAGTGGAAGGTGGTTAGAAGTGAGTAGGTGTCAGTTCCAGACCATAGCCTCAAGAAGCCAAGCAGATGCCAGCATCATGCTTCCTGTACAGCCTGCAGAATCATTAGCCTATTAAACCTCTGGTCTTTACATATTACCCATTCTCAGGCATTTCTTTATAGCAGTGTGAGAACAGACTAATGCACCATGCAACCTGCACTCACAAAGGAGATGGAGGGATGACAGTGAGAGTTGGGACATTACTCCGATTGTCATGGAAGCCTAGAGGAGTGGGCTTTGATATGTCTTAGTTACGGCAGATGTCACGGGCAGCCCAAGCAGAGTTAGACTCATTATGTGTTTCAATTAAGTTGAAGAATTCCAATAGTGTGGAGGAAACAAAGCCAGATTTTAGTATAAGAAGTGAGGACCTGGAGGCAGAGCATGATTTCAAGCTTTGGAGAACGTGAGTAAGAAGGGAGGTAAGTATAGCAGACTACAGAATTTCTTTGTAATAAAGAAGATACTAGTATCTTGTTGTTAAGAGAAAGGACTTGCAAAGGACAGAGAAAGACTGATTGCTGCCACAGGGAGGCCCAGAGAAAGGTGGCAAAGGGGTTAGCCTCAGAGAAAAGAACAGACCTTGCCTCTAAGACAGTGAGGAGAAAGGAAAGAAGACTATGCACAGACCCTGGTATACTGGGAGCTGGAGAGGAGGACTTTGCAAGCAAGCTGGACAGATGCTATTTGACATTCTGGTGGGATGTGTAGCAAAGAGATCTGTTTAGGGACTTTAGCAAGGGGAAAGTGTTCAGAATTAGAACTTGTTTAAAAATGGATAAGGGAGAGTCATACTGCATTGGATCCCAGTGAGATCAGATAGTTTTTTTCTTCTTTCAGCAGGACACATTATCAGGATTATTTTTATTTTTATATTTGCATAATACGAACAGAGAGCAAAAGGATTGACTGAATTCACCAAGGGAAAATGAGAATGGCAACAGAAGGTCAATTCCTTGCCAATGACAGCATGGATGAAAGATGAATAAGGGACTGACTGAAGAAGAGATGAGCAAAGCTAGAAAGTGGTTTGTATCCCAGTGCTGCCTCACACCTGGACTCCAGGCCATGCTGTCCCTTCATCATCTCATGTTATCTTCAAAACAACCTTTGGAAGGATGCAGGAGGAAGAAAATGGAAAGGTGTAAAACTAGAGATCAGAATGAGGAAACCGCATCAAGTTCAGAATAAGTGAAAGCACAGAAGTATAAGAGTAACAGGATTTATTGAAGAAAAGTAGATCCAGAGACTATGGTCTTATACATGAAGCAGTTTCAAGTGACAGCCAAGCCATGTGTATGTGTTGATGAAATGCATTGGAGGAAAGGGTCATCAGAGTTGGGAAGATTTCTAACACTTAGTTCCTGAGAGGGGCAAAGGACTGGGAGATAATACAAGGAGGCATGTTACCTGTGGGAAGTCAGGATGAAAGTGAACTAAATGTCTACCTATTCACAAAATCCAGATTACAAATTGGATGTGGTATTATTTCCCAAAATGCATAACCTAAATCTAATCATAGGAAAATATCAGATGACCCCAAATTGAAGGACATTTTGCAAAATACCTGACTAGTACACTTCAAAAGTGTCAAGAACATAAAAAACAAGAAAACCTAAGGGTCTATCACAGACTGAGAGAGGAGACATTGCAGCCACGTACCAAGTGGATACCAGATGCAATCCTGGAACAGGATAGGACATTTGTAGAAAACCAGTGGTCTCCAATTAGAGCCTGCAGCTAGCTAACAGTAATGTACCAATGTTAACTTCTTAGTTTTGATACTTATTTATGGTTATGCAAGAGGGAAAGTTAGGTGACAGGTAGAAAAGAACTCTCTGTATTATCTTGCAACTTTTCTGTACGTTTAAAATTATTTTAAAAATTTTAAGAGATAGCTGTGAAGTCCACATGTCCTAGAGAAGTGCAGGAGCCTCTGACCTTTCCATACTGAAACCATCTCACTCAGGTCCATGATGAAGCTTGTTACACATATTTCAATCCCAAGCAAAAATCACCATAGCTAGGAGCCTCTGTGCAGCAGCTTAGTGCACTGCAGTTACTGGCACTCCATAGTACCAAATAATTGTTTGTCCCACTTGAAAGTCGAATTAGGAAATTCTACATTTGTATGGTGACATGCTAACTGTGATGGTTAATACTGAGTGTCAACTTGATTGGATTGAGGGATACAAAGTATTAATCCTGGTGTGTCTGTGTGGGTGCTGCCAAAAGAGGCAGACCCACCCTTAACCTGGTGGGCACAATCTAATCAGCTTCCAGTGAATATAAAGCAGGCAGAAAAACATGAAAAGGAGAGATGAGCCTAGCCTCCCAGCCTACATTTTTCTCCTATGCTAGATGCTTCCTGCCTTCAAACATCAGACTCCAGGCTCTTCAGTTTTGAGACTTGGACTGGCTCTCCTTGCTCCTCAGCTTGCAGATAGCCTATTGCGGGACCGTGTGATCACGAGTTTCTCTGCACAAGCTCTCTCTCTTTGCCTGCCGCCATCCACGTAAGACATGACTTGCTCCTCCTTGTCTTCTGCCATGATTATGAGGCCCCCCAACCGCCATGTGGAACTGTAAGTCCATTAAACCTCTTTCTTTTGTAAATTGCCCAATCTCGGGTATGTCTTTATCAGCAGCATGAAAACAAAGTAATACACTAGCCGTGACTGACACACCTCCTCCCAAATTCAGCACAACCACTATGTTCCACAACTGCATAAACCACTAAGTATGTGCTGGGTAGAATACTGACCCTCAAAGATGTCCACATGTGAACTTGTGACCACATTAGATTACCTGGCAAAGGCAGATGAAATTAAGGTTACTAATCAGTTGACCTTGAGATGGGGAGATTATCCTGGATTATCTGGGAAGGGTCAGTGTAATCTCAAGGGTCAAAGTGGATGAGAAAATTGGAGAGAGACCCAGAAGATGGTGGCTCAAAAGGACTCAGTCCAACATTACTGGCCTTGAAGGTGGAGCGATGTGGGTGGAAAACTGTGGATGGAAAAGGCAAGGAAATGGTTTTTCCAGAAAAGAACACAGCCCTGACAACACCTGGATTTTAGTCCAGTGAGATCCATATCAGACAGCTGACCTACAAAACTGTAAGATAATACATTTGTGTGGGTTTAAAGCACTAAGTGTGGGGCATGTGTTGCGGCCACCGAGCTTCACACAGTGGTGCCTGGGACTTTGTGAGAGGCTGGGGATGAGAAAAACAAAGAAAGCAAAACTTGCAAAAGCATCACAAACCACATTTTTCCATCTGGGAAAAATTCCCTCTACCTATAGCAAATATGGAAACAGATTGTAAATCATACTCTCAAAAAACATACCACATGTTCCACTCTCCGTACCAGAACAAGATAGACAGTTCCAAAGAGACGACCAAGAATTTTGTTCTGGAAATGAGGGCATTTGCACCTACCAGAAATAGACAGCTGCCTCCCCTACTCTACCACACCCAGTGATGGTCCCAGGAAAATGCTCTCTGGAGTCTGCCAGCTGTGACACTTTGTAGAGAGACCCCTTGCTCACCAGGCTAAATCATAAACTCATTGAAGCCTGAAGACCCTAAATGAGCAGTATAACCTGATTTGAATATTCAATTTGAGATGTAAATGTGTCACCAGCTGTCTTACTGCAGACTGTTATAACAAAGGGCCATAGTCTCAATGTTTTATAAACATCAGGAATTCATTGTTCACAGTTCTGGAGGCTGAAAGTCTGAGATCACAGTGGGTTCTGCGGAGGGCCCTCTTCAGGTTGCAGTCTACCTACTTCTTGTATCTTCACAGGGTGGAGAGAGTTCCAGAGTGCTCATGTATCTTCCTATAAGGGCACTAATTCCATTCATGAGGATGCTATCCTCATGACCTAACCACCTTTCAAAAACCCTCCTGCCCAATACCCTTGCTGGTGAGGATTTCAACTTAGGAATTTGATGGGATGTGGACATTCGGTTCACTGCATGGCTTTTTGTATAATGTTGTTCAGGGACTGGTGGGTTATCAGTAGACAGCCTCTGTGAACTAACTGAGAAAGGCAGTCGAGGATGCAACCCAGGAAACCCAGGAAAGGAAGGCCCTTAGACTCCACCTCTTGGGCACCCTGTGGCATGCACACAATTGTTCCTGGTGCTGCTGGTGCTGTTGCATCTGGTGAGATCCCTGGCACGGGAGACCTGTCCTTCCCTGCACAGTCTACATGTTATGACATTACAGGTTTTGAGAGCTTAGCTCCTTGTTCCTGGTATCATTCAGGGTTTTATTGAAAAGACCCCATGCCCTAAGAAGACGCCCCACGCTGGCCAGCTGGGGTAAGGAGAGACCCCACAGTGACCAGTTTAAGTTGGAAGAAATTGCTGAAGATAATAGGTATCCAGCAAAAGAGTCCAGTGTGGGCACTGGGCAGCCAGGAAGGATGTTGCAGTCTTCACGAGGGGTCGTGCCCTATGAAGATCTCTATGCTGTGCCATCACACACGGGCCCCATGATGATGAGTACCTGCACCTCCGACCCAGACCCTCCATCACCCCTGCTGCCTAACAAGAGAGCTGCTGCTCCTCACCCCAGAGAATGGACTTCATAAGGTCCCCTCTGCCCACCAGGCACTCACCCTGTGCTCTTCAAGATCCAAAGAGCATGGGTGCATATGATGGGCAGAGCTGGCTCCGTGCCTGCATCCCTGCCTGAGGGTGGCTGGGAACGTGATTTTTTGGCTTCTCCTTGGAGAGCTCGAACTGAAAATATGGCCGCTATCCAGGATATTGCTTTGAGGGAGGACCTCCCTACAGAAGAAGAAGGAAGAGGGGGAGGAAGAGGAGGAGGAAGAAGATCTGAGGACAGTTTAAACATGCCCTTAGCAGCAAAATATATATGTTTTTTTTTTTAACGGAGTTTCGCTCTTGTTCTTCAGGCTGGAGTACAATGGCTCGAGATCTTGGCTCGCTGCAAGCTCCGCCTCCCAGGTTCAAGTGATTCTCCTGCCTCAGCCTCCCGAGTAGCTGGGATTACAGGCTCCTGCCACCACGCCCAGATAATTTTTTGCATTTTTATTAGAGACGGGGTTTCACTGTGTTGGCCAGGCTGGTCTCAAACTCCTGACCTCAGGTGATCCACCCCTGCTAGGCCTCCCAAAGTGCTGGGATTACAGGCGTGAGCCACCGCGCCCAGCCCAGCAGTAATATATTTAATCAGGCAAACCTCTACCTAACAGAAAGGACAGAGACACTCAAACTGGGCTAACAAGCAATGTCAATCAATGAGCTGCTTACAGAAGACAGACTAAAATAACAACGTACACAAGTTAAAAACAAAAAGATGAAGATGACAAAAAAGAAATCAGAGAACTGTTAACAGCAGACCAAGTAGAATTCAAGACAAAATGAATTAAATGTGACAATGAAGACCATTTACATCAAGTTAAGGGATAATTTGTAAGACAAGGAAAATAATCATGAAATTTTCAAGAGTCAAATAGTGTCTCCTCAAAATCTGCACAGAAAAGGAGATTGAAATAACAAGAACATTTGATTAAAAACGAAAATGGAGCAGGACTTAAAACTCTCAGTATTACAGATTACTGACACCAAGGCTGTGGACAACGTAAAGCACATAAAGATGTATTCATGGATGTACTCTACTCCTGCAGACACCACAGATACAGAATTGCTTTAAAATGACTTTATTTATAAGTAATAAATATATTATTTATTATAAGGTAGCAGAAAAAAATAGGCATTGGTAACAGCTTCAATGAAAACACTTCTATCCAGATCTTTTAAAACATCCTCACAAGCAACTAAAGAGTCTGCCATTTTAATTAGGGCTGAAGTCTGTCAAATCCCAGGGTATGTGGCCAAAGTTCTATTTAAAAGCAAATTTCATTTCTTTAAAGGATTTCACTATTAAAAGAGAAACCATGGATAAAAACTAAGCATCTACGCAAAAAAAAAAAAAAAAAATTATGTACATAAAAAGTGGAAAAAATGTGGTCCCCAAGAAAGTAACAGTAAAGATCAAAATGAATGTTAATAAGTTAAAAGAAGATATCAAATAGAATTGCTAAAATAATCCAAAAATTGCTTAAAATCATATAGAAATAACATTTTTTAAATAATAAAACATACTTTGTACAAGTATATGCCAATTAAACTTAAAATCTCAGAAAAGTTGATTTCCCAGAAAAATCTCAATTGTCAAACTTGAGAAAAGATTCAAAATACTTGTCATCAAAAATTACCTCCATAGACCGGGCGCAGTGGCTCACGCCTGTAATCCCAGAACTTTGGGAGGCTGAGACGGGCAGATCACTTGAGGTCAGGAGTTCAAGACCAGCCTGGCCAACATAGAGAATCCCGTCTCTACCAAAAAATATAAAAATTAACTGGGCCAGGCGGCACACACCTGTAGTCCCAGCTACTCTGGAGGCTGAGGCATGAGAATAGCTTGAACCTGGAAGGCGCAGGCTGCAGCTAGCCAAGATGGCACCACTGCACTCCAGCCTAGGTGTCAGAGTGAGACGCTGTCTCAAAAAAAAAAAAAAAAAAAAATTACCTCCATAAAAGACCACAAACCTAGCAGCCAGATCTTAATTTCTTTTATTTATTTTTTATTTTTATCTTTTAGCTGCTCCTCGTGGAGCAGGGTTAACCCCTAGGTACCCAGAAGTCAGCCCAGATCTTAATTTCTAATACCATTCTGCAATAAAAGAAACCAGGGCTCCTTAGAGAAATGGCTAATTCTGTGATGAGCCTGGAGCATCTCATAATGCCAGAAAGTAAGAAAATGCTAAGAAAAAGAAAAAAAAAAGAAGCTAATCTCACAATGTCAAAAGGACACAAGAGCCAACCGAAGACACTCTCAGTGGCTAGAACTGGAACAAACTGAGCAACAAAATAAACAAACTAGTCTTGAATAATAGCCAAAAGTATAAGATTGATATCCATGAAGACATTCTGCAATAAATAAATAATTGAATAAATAAATAAATGGGGAAGAAGAGACAAATATCCCATGCGTGCAGAAGAATTCCAAATAAATTATGCAGATACTCTGTCCTCAAAGAGATGGAGCATATCTCGCCATGCCTTAAGCGTGGGCTGCACATAGCAACTTCCTCGTAAAGGGGACAGAATGGAAGGGCAGGTGCGGCAGAAACCTGACAAACAGGACCTCAGCCAGGTGAACGAGGCCAGCATCAGCAGTGATGAATCATGATGCTGGTACTCACATGCCTCTGATATGATGCAATGAAAACTGCACCTCACCTCTGTGGTCCTCCTTCCCAAAACACAGGACTCCAGTCTAAGCATGAGAAAAACTCCAGGCAAATCCCAGTAGAGGGACATTCAGTGAAACACCTGTCCAGTGTCCCTCAAAACTGCCAACGTCACAAAAACAAGGGAAATCTGAGTAACTGCCACAGCCAAGAGGACTCTAAGGAGACCCAGTGCCCAAAAGCAATGTAGCTTCCTGATCAGATCCTAGGACAGAAAACGACGTTAGGAAAATACCGAGGAACTCTGAATCAAGAATGGAGTTTGGCTAATAGAAATGTACCAGCATTGGTTTATTAGTTGTAACAAATGTACCATTCTAATGTAAGATGTTCACAGGAGGAATTGGGTGTGGGTATGTAAACACACTCTATCTTATCTTTGAGATTTCTGAATCTAGAACTACTCCAGAATATGTATTATTTATTTTTTATACTTATATATAATATATAATTATATATTATTTACATATTATGTATTATATATAATATTCTATTTTATATTTTTATGTTTATGTTTATATATTTATGATATTCATTTACATATTAAGTATATATTTATATAAACATATTACTATAATATATTAATGTAAATCATAAATATATAAATATATTATAAATGCATATTTATATGTATTCAAATATGTCATAAATATATAATATAAACATAGAAAATATTTATTTATGTGTAAAATATATATTGTATATAAACATATAAATTATATACATTTTAAAGCCACAAATATGTTTATAAGTCTTCGGGTAATTCTTTTACAGAGTCAAGGAAATGATCATTAATGACACTGATAGAATGTGCAGGAGAATATAAGAAGTTTTTTGATTCATTTTAAGTAGCTAACACAATCTGATACCGTCATTTGACAGAGGTTGCATACATGTAAATAGAGATATAAAAATCCTAAACTATCAACAAATTGAATTAATGCATTTAAAGAACATTTCAACAAAATATAATATGCAATTTAACATTAAGATATCTATTACTACAATATTAACCTGTCACCTCAAAAGATCAAATCAGAAAACAAATATTTTAATGGACACTTAAAAGGCCTTTGGTATAATTCAACAACAATTACAGATTAAAATTGTTAGCAAAACAGATTTTTTTAAATACTCAAATGATAAAGGACAGCTATCTTAAATCAATAAGAAAAATCTTATCTAAAACTCAAGCAACCTTCCCACTGAAATCAAGAATCAGAGCATTATGACTGATAAGTTCTCTAATGTTTACCATGTTTCTGGAAGTTAAACATAGATATTATAAGGTACAAAGCAGAAAGAAGAAGAAAACCTGGAAAATAGGTGAAAGTATCTTTTTTTCCCCCTAGAAGTACAGGGGGACTCCTAGGGGGTAAAAAATGAACTTATTTTTAAAAGCCATTGGAACTAATCTAGAAGCACAGTAAGTTCGTCAAATTCAATATGAATATAAAATGCTACAACTTTGTGTTACCAATAGCTTGTTACAAAATATACTAGAAAAAAGTCCCATTCCAACCTCAGCTAAAAATACAAAATGCTTATCTAAAAAAGAAATGAGTGAGACTAGAGACTATCATAATGGCCAAGGGTCAAAGATAGTCAAGGCCAAAGAGAAAGAAATACTCAAATAACAGCAGAAATTAAAGAAAGGACCCAGCTCCCCTGATCCAGCCTTCTGAAAGAAGCCAAACCAAGACGGAATTACAAATGTCCTACAATGAAGAAATATTATAAAAGGTGGTGAGCAATGAACTTGTTGGATTTGGCTGTGAACTTTCTAAAATTATCCAGGGCTTACTGAAACCTCTGTGATCACACATGCTTTAGTTGTTTGTTTAACTTTTATTTTAGGTTCAGGGTACATGTGCAGGTTTGTTATACAGGTAAACTTGTGTCACGTGGGTTCAATGTACAGATTATTTCATCACCCAGATACTAAGCCTAGTACCCAATAGTTATTTTTTTCTGCTTCTCTCGCTCCTCCGACCCTCCACTCTCTGGTTGGCCCCAGTGTCTGCTGTTCCTCTCTTGTGTCCATGTGTTCTCATCATTTGGCTCCCACTTGTAAGTGAGAACATGTGGCACTTGGTGTTTTGTCCTCACATTACTTTGCCTCTATAGTGGCCTCTAGCTCTGTCCATGTTCCTGAAAGGACATGACCTTTTATCTAATGTGCTCAATATTCCATTAGCAGTGGTCCCCCCACTAGCATGCACCACAACCAGTGATTCTAAGAAATCAATTTATTTTTCTAAAATCTGATTTGCAAAGAAAAGAGAGAAAACTACCAGCCAACGCTGTACCTAACACGTAATAAAAAGCATTGTACTTCAATGAAGGTAGTACTTGTTTAATTCCGAATTCGAAAAATTGAAAAATAGTTACCAAACCATTGATATACTCACTATGGAAAAGAAAAAGAAAGCTAGACTACAAACATGATGTCAAGTCTATGGGTCATCCTTGTAATCATTAACTTTCAACCACTTTTCTAAAATGCAGCAGAAAACGATACTACTAATAGACATGCATACAAATACAAACACACACACAAAATCAATTGCCTAGTAATGTAAACACTTGGGATTTTGAAACCAGAAGACTACTAAATTACCTCTTTGTGTTTCATGTTCCCATTGTTTACATGGTAAAAATTATAGCTAATTAAAAACTTAAAATAAATGAATAATGTTATATGAAACAGGGGTCCTCAACCCCAAGGCCACAGACCGGTACTGATTCATAGCCCGTTAGGAACTTGGCCACACAGAAGGAGGCGAGCAGCGGGTGAGCCAGCGAAGCTTCACCTGTATTCACAGCTGCTTCCTATCGCTTGCACGACCACCTGAGCTCCGCCTCCTGTCAGGTCAGTGGTGACATTAGATTCTCATAGAAGCGTGAATCCTCTTGTGAACTGGTCATGCAAGGGATCTAGGTTGCATGCTCCTTATGAGAATCTTATGCCTGATGATCTTCTGAGGTGGAGCTGAGACAGTAATGCTAGTGTGGGCAGTGGCTGAAAATACAGATTAACAGTAGCAAGAGGTTTGATTGCACAAAGACCCTAACAAATCAATTGCTTGCAGACTCATATCAAAACCCTATCAGAGAGTGGCAAGCGACAATTAAGCTGCATCTGGTGGAAGGCTTTCTGGTGGCCAGTGAGTTGATGTACTTCAATCGTACAGTTGCATCCGATGGCAGGCTTTAAGTCAGAATCTGACATTTATTTTAATCCACACATGGCCTACCATTATTTTATTTACCACTTCTGTCCACGCCTCTTTCCTGTACTGTACAATTGTCTCAGTAACAGTTTCGGTAAGCCCACAAGCTAACCCTAGCCAAAATCAGTAAAAAACAAATGTCACTGGAAAGCTTATTTGAAAAGGGGGAAAGACCCAATCATGAGACAGCAGAAGACCCTAAGACTGACAACATAAAGCAAGCTGCATTTAGAAGAAAAGACCAAGAGTCCTATTTAAATTACAGGTTCACTCCAACAGGTGATTCGCATTTTCCAAGCCCACTCTGTATACTATGTGGTGACTCTCCAATGAAGCCGTGAAACCTTTAAAATTGCTTCACCACATGGATACCAAGCACTCTGCATTAAAAGATATGCCTTTGGAGTTTTTCAAAGGAAAAAACATGAACATGAAGAACAGAAGCAATTAGTGAAGGCCACCCCTTCATCAAATGTGTCTGCACTGAGAACATCATTCTTGGTGGCTAACCGCATTACTAAAGCTAAGAAGCCCTTTACTATTGGTGAAGAGTTCATCCTGCCTGCTGCTAAGGACAACTGTCGTGAACTTTTAGAAGAGGTGGCAGTTTGAAAGGTGGCACATGTTCCTCTTTCGGCTAGCACCGTAACCAGAGTAATTGATGAAATATCAGGGGATACTGAGGCACAATTGTCAGAGGAGATTAATGAGTCACTTTGGTACACAATTCAGGTTAACAAGTCTACCAATGTTGACAGCAAGGCAACAATGCTTGTTTTTGTGAGATATATCTTCAGGAGGATGTGCATGAAGACATGTTAGGTGTACTTTTGCTGTCAACAAACACCACAGCTACAGAACGACTCAAATCTTCAAATGATTATGTATCAGGAAACTGAACTGGCCATTTTGTGTCAGTGTATGCACAGACAGAGTGGCTGCCATGACTGAATGGCTTTCTGGTTTCACTACTTGGGTCAAAGAGGTCACTTCTCAATGTGAGTCTCTGCAGTGTCATCCATAGAGAAATTCTGCATAGTCAAAATATGTCACCTGCACTTAACAAAGTTTTGCAGCATATAATTAAAGTAAAGTTACCAACCGCATTAAAGTACATGCCCTTAAATCATGTCTGTTCGTGCAGCTCTGTGAGGAGATGGATGCAGGGCACACACGTCTTCTCTGATACACGTGTGCTTAGAATGACATGCGTGTGATAGGATGAGATGGCTTCTCTGATACACAGAAGTGAGGTGACTTTCTAAAGGTAGATCACTGGCCAGAGTTTTTGAGTTATGAGAGCCCCTCCAGAGATTTCTTTTAAAACAGCAGTCACCACTGGCAGCACATTTCAGTGACACAGCATGGGCTGCAAACGTTGCTTACTTGTGTGACACATTCAACCTGCTCCACAAACTTAATCTGTCACTTCAGGGGAGAACGGCAACTGTGTTCAAGTCGGCAGATAGTCAGTAGATTAAGCAGCTGCATTCAAAGCCAAACTGGAATTATGGGGGCGACAAGTGAACACCGGCATTACTGACATGTTTCAAACATTAGCAGAGATTGTGAAAGAGACAGAGCCAGGGCCTTCTTTCCCCCAGCTGGTGCATGATCACCTACCTCAGCTTTCAGTAGAGCTTGAGCGTTACTTCCCAATCACCAAATACCCCCGAACTGAGAAGGAATGGATCTGCGACGCGTTTATGAATCAGCCAGGTGAACTGACTTTGTCCGTGCTGGAAGAGGATCACCATCATTTTGCTTGAGATTGCAAATGATGTGGCCTTGGAAGTATGTTTGAGACAACTTCAAATCTCCATACATTCTGGATTGTTAAAGAATATCCTGAGATTGCCACAAAAGCACTGAAAAGCCTGCTTCCATTTTCAAGGTCCTATCTTTGTGAAGCAGGGTTGTCTGCAGTGACAGCAACCAAAATGAGATTAGAGTTGAGTGGACATAAAGCAACACACTTCAGGGTCACTGTCTCCATCACCCCCAGATGGGACCATCTAGTTGCAGGAAAACAAGCTCAAGGCTCCCACTGATTCTTCATGATGGTGAGTGGTATAATTATTTCATTATATATTACAATGTAATCATAATAGAAATAAAGTCCATAATAAATGTAATACGCTTGAATCATCCCAAAACCATCCCCCAGCCCACTCGGTCTATGGAAAAATCGTCTTCCACAAAACCAGTCCCTGGTACCAAAAGGGTTAGGGATGGGACCACCGATATAAAATATAAAACTCAAATTTAATGTTCCTGGATTTGTGCACTCATACACACTTTCATACTCATACACACCCACCCACACACGCACTCTTACATGGACTCACACACAGTTACACATAAACACACATGCACACACACCCTCTTGCACACTCACACAACTCTCACATACACACTTAGCCACATTCACGTACTCATACACACTCAAACACATATGCACATACACGAATACACACACTCACCCCTCTCTCATATACACAGCTACCCACACTTGGATACTCACACGTGCACACACTCACACCCATTCACACACTCTCTCAAGCACTCACACTCACACACAGTCACATACTAAGCATGTACACACATGTGCACACACTCACACCCATGCTGTCTCACACATATGCTCTTCCACTCGCAGTCATACATGAATAAACATGTACACACACTCATGCATGCACACACATACTTTCATACACTCACCCACAGTCACATAATAAACATGTACACACATGCACACACTCTCACACCCATGCTCTCACACACTCACATGCACTCACAGTTACACATGAATAAACATGTACACACATGCACACATGCACACACACTTTCATGCACTCATGCACACACACTTTCATGCACTCACGTGCACTCATACACTCACACATACATTCACACACATGCACAGTCACACATATTCACACACTCACTGAGAAAAGAACAAACAAAAGCTCAGTAGGGTCTTTGTAAACATTTTTCCTCCTCGTTTTGAAACTTTTGTGCAATTTGTATATTTTAAAAGTAAATTTCATTTCTGCCTTATATACCATCGTAATTTCTGTCTCTCAAAAGCTTTAGTTTCTGCCGTATCAACAGAAGGTCTAACCCATTTGTCCACCCAGATCACCTAGCTGCAGTCCAGTGGTGAAGGCCGGCAGCCTGGGGGACAAAGTGTCCCCAAGACACCTCCACTGTGATGAGGGCATCACCGCACTGTGCCCTCCCCTGTGATGCTGAGCCTGGACCTGGGGGCCGCCCACACTGAGTTGAAGGCTCAAAGACGAACCTCTTCTTGACAATGAGCAGTTCAACCCTTCATGAGCACAAGAGTCCAATCTTCCATTTTAAGTTATTTTCTTCTTATTTGAGCCACTTAGCTAGAGTCAAGGGAAGTAAAATAGTGCCCAGGTCAATAGAGACTGTGAGTTCTCTAAGAAACAGTGGGTTTATCCCATTTGTTCTAAGAAGCTCCGGGGCGGGGCAGAGAGCCATCTGACCCCTGCACCCACGGGCTATGAGCAGGCAACTGGCAGGCTCGTAATCGACAACATAAATACAGCAACAATAGCAACAAAGTGTGTGGGCACACATACCTTGTGTCTAATTTAGGACAATCTTGCTATGATCACAGAAATCAGAAACTTAGCACACTCATGGCAGCCTCTCTTGCACTGCCAGACAAAAATAAGAGGACAGCGGGCTGCCTGGTTGATGCAGGAGGGGAAATAAACAGCCCAGGATTGGCTGGTGATCCGTCAGCAGAACTGGGTCAGCTCAGCTCATGCGAAAACGCAGTGCCAGCCTCACTGCCAGACAAAGAGCAGAGCCTCAAAGTGGAGCAGGCCCCCAGGTGGCCACCTCAGCTGTCCAGCCAAGGTCAGAGGGGCTGGGCAGAAGAGGCGGCTGCTGGCCAGGCGGGATTAGCTGCTGGCCCAGGCAGCAGCAGAGATCAAGCATGGGTGTAGAGAGGTACGTTTCCAGCACGCAGCCTTCTGGAGCCAAGATGTTCTCCCGACACCACTGCTGCCTGCAGTGCATCCACAATTTGGTTTCCAATTTTTCTGTACAACAAAATAAAGCTTTAAAAAAAAAAAAAACACACAGCCCTTTGTGCTAGATTCTGTTTAAGCTACTTGAGCACTGAAAGGATGATGAACTTATCAGCACTTTTCAATCCAAGCAGAGCCAGAGAGCAGCCACACACACACACACACACACACACATTCATACATGTGCACACACACCCATACACACCCATACATGTGCACACACGCACATCCATACACGTGCACACACACATTCATACATGTGCACACACGCATGCATATACATCACTCACATGCACACGCTCACACACGTAGACACTCACACATGCATGTACACTCACACTCATACACATGCACACATACATGCTTACACAAATTCACATACTACTCACACAAGTACCCATATATACATGTACTTACATTCTTACACACATGCACACAGACACACACACACGCCAGTCCTTCCTAAGTGCCAGGCCATCAGGAGAAGCGGGAGGGAAGGCCTGCTGGTGTCTTTGTGGTTCTAGACAAAAGTGAACCCAAAGTGAGCTTCCATCCCAGTCGTTCCCGGTGATTCTGCCCGGCTCACTGCCCGGGGTCCCCGGCTCCCTTCTCTGCAGGCCCCTGCCTCTCCCCTGCACTCCTGGCTACGATTCCATGAACGTCCCATGTTTTCTCTTCAGGCCTGTGCCTGGATCACGCCCGGGGGCTGGGGGCTTCTGAGAAGGCCTTGATGACCCCTGCTCCTGTATTCATGCCCTGGTGTAAGCCCCTCCCTGTGAGGGTCTCAAGGCTGGACCTAGAGACTTGCCTTTGAAATACAGAATAGGCAGTCATGGTGAGACGCCCCTCCAAGGCTCAGCTCGCTCTGACCCTTCCTTCAGCTCGCTTCCATGAATCCTGCAGCTCACTTCCATGAATCCTGCTGCCACATGGTAAGCTGCTCTTCAAAGAGGCCCAGGTGGCAAGAACCTGAGGATGGCTTCTGACTAATGCCCACAAGGAAATAAATCTTGCCAACCACCACACCAATGAGCTCGGAAGAGTCATCCCCTGGGGGGCCTTGAGATGCCAGCAACCCCTGCTGACACCTTGCTTGGAACCTGTGGGACACCCTGAGCTCAACTGCTTAGCTAAGTTGTGTTCTACAATCAAGAGTAACCCCTGGGTTCCTGACCCATAGAAACTGTGAGATAAGAAATATCTGTGGCCTTAAATTGCTAAGTTTTGCAGTAGTTGGTTATACAGCAATAAATAATGAATACTCTCTTATCACCCAGTATCCAGTACATGCTTTCTTCCATTGCAGGACTCCTGCCAGTGCAACCTGCAGCCCAGGCTCGCTGTTCCCTCCTCTGGGACGTGTCACATTCGAGACATGGGTGGTGTCTCTCGTGCCATCCTGGCACCCGGGCTGTGCTTCTGCAGTGCTCCTCACACCAAAGCTGCCTGTTAATTGCCTGCTCTCAGGGCACAAGGGCTTCAGAAATGGGTTTCTTCCCCATTGCTTCTTGCTCTCCAGTTCTCTGCACCAATCCAAATAGTAAAAAAAAAAAAAAAAGCATATGCAGGGCAGTTTTCCTCTATGGCTACCCACTCCTGGTCTATCCAGGCCCTCAGTCGGTTGGATGGTGCCCGCCCACACAGGGTGAGGGCAGATCTTCCTTCCTCAGTCCACTGATTCAAATGCCAGCCTCTTCCAGAAGCACCCCACAGACACACCCAGGAATAACACCCTACCCGCTATCTGGGTATCCTTTAACCCAGTCAAACTCACACCTGAACTTAACCATCACACCCAGTCTTCGTTGCCCAGGGCTGCCAGAACAAACTCAGAGTTCAACAATCTAGGTGCTTTTAAAAATAGAATTTCATTCTCCTGCAATCTGGAGGCCAGAAGTCCAAAATGGCAGTGTCAGCAGGGCAGTGCTGCCTCTGAAGGGTCTAGGAAGGTCCTTCCTCACCTCTTCCTTGGGTCCTGGCATAGCTGGCAATCCCCAGTGTTCCAGGGCTTGTGGCTGCATCACTGCAGGATCTACTTGCATCTTCATACAGCCTTCTCCCCTGTGTCTCTGTGTCCAAATTTCCCTCTTTTTATAAGACACCAGTCATGGCATTAGGGCTCACTCCTATGTAGTATGGCCTCACCTTCACTTGGTTACATCTGCAAAGACCCCATTTCCAAATAGGCCACGCTCACAGGTTCTGAGGGTTAGGACTTTAACATATACTTTTGGGGAACACAACTCGATCTGCAACAGGCATGGAGTAAAGAAGTGTAAACATCTGTTTCTTCTCTTTAGCCCTTCGTCCTATTTGGAGAAGCATTTGGAGTGGTGTGACTTGGGGAGATACAGATGCCTTATTCTTGGCACAACTATGAATGTATAGTTTAGGGGGTTAGGGCATTACCCAGAAAATGAGGAAGGCAGCCAACTCAGGAGAACTATGCTCTCAGATAAAAGAGTTCAAGGGACCTTGAAGTTTCCTTCCTGTCTGGTCTTGGAGCTAAGTCAGTCAAAATTTAGGGGCTAAAGCCTTGCTCAGTGATGGGACTGGGTCTTTATTTCTATGCATTGGGACCTGGGCCAGCTTGACCCAGCCAGGATGTGATTCTCTTACACCAGCACCCTTCATCTGCATCTGCTGACACCTACATGCCACAAACACACCCATTAACTGGAGATAAGAAGACGAGGCCCCCCAGTGCTTCTAAGACACTACCACAAATGGGGTGGATTGAGGAGAGAAGGAGGGATTGGGTTTACAGAAGCTTCCCTCAACACATTCCATTCTTTATGGAAAAAGACACAATTTCTGTTTCCAAAAACCTAAGTTGCTGAATAGTAGACATCAACAATCTGTCTTCTGGGTTCAGAGTTCTTTGTATGTTGCTTTCATATCCAGGCATAATTACAAATTTAGCAAAATTCACAGATAGTAGTCAAAGTGTGGTAGCGCCATAAAGTTCTAGAATAGTGAACTGATGATCATCTGCCTTAACATGGTCCTTCCCCAAACTCCCTGCTTCTTCCAGGTCTTATAGAAGTTGCAAGGCCACAACTAAGTTCCATTTTCCTCCAACGTTTTCCCAGATTCCAAGCCATATTCATCTCTCTCTTCTATACACTCTTCCGCAAAAGAGAAGTTGCCATTGGTCATGCATTGTTGATAGTGGTTTTGTTTGAATAGCCTCAAATCTCCTCAAAAAGAGAGAAATTCATATTTTACGTTTACTTGTATGACTCATGGTACTAACTGAGTACCAGTAATTGGTTAATACACCCTTATTAAATGAATGAACAACGGCCCATTTCAAAAAGAAAGAAACCGGGAATCGTGTGGGAGGAGTTCAGTCTAGAAAGGAATAGGAACAGATTCTGAGCAGCTGCACTGCTGGCCCTAAAGTGGAAAAAATAGGAAGGGTCCACTTACCCTGGAGTATGACCAAGATAGAGTGTGAGTCTAGTGTTAAGAACTACAAGTACAAAGAATATGATATGCATACGTGCCGTATCTGTTATTCATCAAAACCCAAGCTGGATTATCTCATTAGAACACTCTTCATGAGATGCAAGAAGCATTACCCAATTTCAAAGATTTGTGATCATGTGCCTTAAACGTTGTTAACGAGAATTCCAAACTTAACATATTGAGAATAAAAAGTTGAGTTTCTTATTAAACTGATAAAGTACAATCTGTTTTTATTATATTCAAACACACAGAGAGAGACAATCAATATGTAAATAATATTTGGTTCTGTGAAGGTAAAGGATTTTGTGCAAGACGTGTTCCTGGAAAGCATGTACTACCAAGAATAATGTGTTTGTTTTATAAAACTGATTTCATAAATACTTATTATTGGGAGGTTTATGTTAAGTATAATTGACTACAGTTCAACCAAATTATTATGCCAGTGAAAGGTTAGAGCACTAAAATTCATAATATGAAAAGAGAAAAACTATTTCAACTCAATTATTCAATAACTAACTAAGCATTTCTAGATTCTCTTCTCTGTTATTCAACCTCTCTTTTGCCTACTTCATTTCTCTGCCAAAATCACTATCAGACGTGGTAGTAAAGAGGAAAGCAAAGAATCAAAATTCAATTAAGGTCCTTTAAGATACAACTGTCCTGTAAATGGGGCTTTGGGAAAACAAACAGTGAAGACAGCGGTTTAAACTGTGTTTATAAATGTGTTAATTGCAAACCTTTATCACTCCTAAATCCTGGCTTACACAAATGTTGTTTTCCAAGCCTACTGGAAGAAGAAAATATTTTTATGCAAAGAAGTCGGCCTCACACTTTGTTCATTCCCATCAAAAAATAAGAAAGCTTGATCCCAGGAGATATAACAGACAAACAAATTAGACTGCAGGAAGCAAAAATATAAATTCTAAGTGACAAAAAAAAATCCAAATTATAGAACAAGTAGCTAGAAAAAAACCTTTGCAATTTATTTCACAAGAGCTTATCTTCTCAACACATGATGAGCTCTAACAAATCTTTAAGGAAAGGGTCAAAAATGCAATAGAAAAAAATGGGGAACAGATACAAGAGAGTTTATGGAACAAGAAATACAAATGAAACATATAAAAATATTCTCAAATCCATTTTTCCATTTCTCACTCAAAACATGGAATCATTCTGGACTCCTCCCTTACTTTCTCCTCCCTAACATGTCCAAGACCTTCTCAGCTTCATCTTCTAAAAGGACCATATCAACCTCTTGTTTGGATTACTGCAATTCCTAACTGAGCTCCCTGCTTCCATGCTGTTCCCTTCTACGGTCCTTTACAGGGCACCCTGAGTGACCCTTCTAAGAACGTAACCTTACATTGGTTTCCTTTTGCAGAATCAAAGCCAGAGCCCAGTGGCATAAAGGCCCCAACACATCAGCGCCCTGTGGCCTCTCTGACCTCCTCCTGCTCCTCCTCACTCCCCTACTCCAACATTCCCAGTTCCCTTGTTCTCTTTCAAACATAATGTGGAGGATGACATTTCCCAAAGATGACAGCAACAATACTCCCCTGTGATGGTTCGTTTTAAGTGTTCACTTGGTTAGGCCACAGCACCCAAATATTTGGTCAAGTGCCAGTCTAAATGTTGCCATGAAAGTATTTTTTAGACATCAACATTGAAATCAACAAACTTTGGATTAGCAGACTGCTTTCCATAATGTGAGGGAGCCTCATTCCATCAGTTAAAAGCCTTAAGAGCAAAGACTGAGGTCACCTAATGGAGAAGGAATTCTGCCTCCAGACTGCTTCAGATTGGAATTGCAGCATCAACTCTTCCCTGGGGCTCCAGCCTGCCTTGCAGGTTTTGAACTTGCCAGCCCCCACAATCCTGTTGGTCAATTCCTTAAAATAAATAAGTAAATTCCTATCTCATATATACATATATATAAGTTTAACAGTTTTGTGTGTGTGTGTGTGTGTGTGTGTGTATACAATAGGTTCCGTTTTTCAGGTAAACCCTAACGCATCTCCCAATAATATGACCTTGTCATTTCCCTGATAAAAGAGGTAGAGTCTATGCCACACCCCTGGGCATGTTCCTGTGTCAATCTAGGAACATTTTCCATCAGAATGTTTTTTGTCAGAAGCTAGCCAGCCTGCAAGGAGTGATCCAGTGTCATGGAGAGACCACAGGTAGGTGCCCTGCTTAACCGTCCCAGCTGAGCCCAGCCTTCGAATCATCCCAGCCCGGGTGCCAGCATGTGATCAACAAAGCCTCTGGATGATTCCAGTGCCTGCCTTCAAGTCACCCGGATTCCCAGATTCCAAGATTCAAGTCTTCTCAGCTGAGGCCCCAAACATCAAGATGCTAGAAGAGCATCCCCACTAAGGCCTATCCAAATTCCTGGCCCACAGAATCCACAAGCATATGAAAATAATTGCTGCTTAACCTCTCAGTTTCAGGTTGTTTGTTATGCACTATTGATGAGCAGCATGAATGCTGAGCAAGTCCCTTAGAATATGACTCTTCACTGCCTGTGCGCTTGCTGCTCTGTCTTTGTGGATCTCCTCCCTAGATTCCTTTGTGGTCTCTTCTTCACCCTGGTCTTCTTCACTCTGTGCAAACATCAACTACTCCAGGAGGCCTCCTTCTCCCCCATGGAAAATACAACCCTCCACCTGCACTCTTTAACCCCCTTCCCTGGTTTATTTTTCTTAGGAGAACTTATCACCATCATATAGGCTGTCTATTTCACCTATTTGCTTTTCCTTTCCCTATCTCCTCTGAGTGTAAGCTGGATGAGAATAGGAGATTTGGGGTTTGCTCTGTTCAGGATTGCATCACTAGCACCTGGAGCGGAGCCCAGAGCACAGTCAGTGCTCAACTAATTACAGCAGAATGAATACACGAATGAATGAAGAAACTGCACACATAAAACAGCTGCAAATTAAAACTCCAGTGACATAAAATTTTTTACCTATCAGATCACAAAACTTGCACACGTGGGTAATGCATTGTGCTGGTGAGCATGTGGGGAGACAGGCATTGCCACATTTTTCTGGCGAGAATATTAACTGGGGAAAATTATTCAAAGAATGATTGGACAGTGGAATTCAAAATTTTAAGTGCACATAAACATTGACCTAGCAAATCAGTTTCTAAGAACATATCCTACAGACATACTCATACATATGTACAGCAGTGTATCTATAAGAATATTCAGGGCAGCACTTGTTTGTATGAGCAAAAGATTCAAATATCAAATGATCTTCAGTAATATAATTGTTAAATAAATATCAGAACATTACTGGTAAGAAACGTATGCCACTGTAAAAGAGAATGTTGCAGTTCTATACTGAAATAGAACTTATATAGAATAAGCTCCAAAACATATTGTCAGGGAAGGAAGCAAGGTTCAGAACAGTGTGTATGCTGTGTCACCGATTTAGCTATAAGAGGTGGAATGTCTCCAGAAGGATGTAACAGACAAAAGCGAATAACAGATTGCCTCTGGGGATATGAACTCAGCAGCTGGCAGACAGGAAGGGAAGAAGACATTTTTCAGTATATTGACCAATTTATATTTTTAGAATGTTGTATTATGTGCATTTAGTTACCACTGAAGGAAAATATCCATTTAAGAAAAGATAATATGCCAGATATATTTCCTCTTTAATTTCTTCTAGAAAGAGTGGTCATGGGTCCATGCTTCCCTCCTGCCTGCCTTGGTGACAGACTGAGCACAGTGCCCAACGTCCTGTGTTCAACTGAGGGAGAGAGACATTTGGTTTTTTCTCCAGAGAGAGACCCATGAAGACTTATCCATAAATCCTCACAGCCATCCCAACCAATGCCAAGGAGTTAGCAATCCATGAAATAAGCAATAAATGCTTTAGTAAAAGTTGTAGCAATAGGTGTAGCTCACAAGACTGCTTTCAGTATAAAAAATGGGGTAATCTGCTGCTTATGTTTTCACAGCATGATAACTTGTGGGTCATTTCACCTGCTGATGGTTACTTTAAATAAATAGAAATGGGGCAGTGAGAAGCACGAACCAGAATTTACTTTCATCTATATTCCCTTTGGGGGCTTTCTTCATCAACATTGTTAAGCCAAATAAGATAAAGAAACATTTAAAATGCATTACATTCAAGGCTTTTTGGTCTACAAAATTGAGTAAACAGTATTTAAGAGCAAAGATATTAACTCTAAAAAGGAAGCATGATACATTACTTAGTAACAGTGACTATTATGTCTTTATCTTTCATGGAAATCTTCAAGGGTTAAGACACATAATAAGTGTCATTCATGCAACTGTTTTCAACCAATGTCTAAACTACGTTATTAGGCTAAAAAAAAAATCTGTAATGAAAGAACTCCAAAAAGAGTCATCTTCCAGGAAGGAGTCTCCATTTTCTTCAGAGTAAACATCACCCAAATGACGCTGTACCACAGACATCCCTGGTCCTCCAGCAGGTCACAACCCAGAAAGGGAGGGAAACTCTAGACAGATGACTCCAGCGCACACTCAGGGTACACAAGGTGAGGGGTAGAAGCAGCTTGGAAGGAGGCCGCCCAGTCAGCCTCCGTGGAAACTCAGCCTTTAACTTGTGCCTGGAAGGAGGAGGAGACGGAGAAGGAAATACTCTTCTGGGAGGGAGGAGCATGCAGGATGAACGAAGGCAGCACAGCTAACCTCTAACGCTCCTAAATGCCAACCCCAGGAAGTTGCATGAGAATGAAAAATCATCTTCTGCCTGTAACGAGTTGAATGGCACCCCCAGAAAAGATAGTTCCAAGTCCTAAACCCCATATCTAACGATATGACCTTATTTAGATATAGGGTCTTTGCAGATGTAATTAAATTAAGGATATTGGGATGAGATCATCCTGGATTTAGGGTTCACCCTAAATGACCTGTGTCCTTATAAGAAAAAGAAGAGGAGATTCAACACAGAGACACAGGGGAAAGCCCACATGAACACAGAGGCAGAAATTGGAGGGACGCAGCCAAAAACCAGGGACTGTGGAGGACGGCCGGCAGCCACCAGGAGTTGAGAGAGGGGCCTGGGACAGATTCTCACTCAGAACTTCTGGAAGGAACCAACTTCTAGACTCCAGAGCTGTGAAAGAACAAGTTTCTATTGTTTTAAGCCACCAAGATCATGCTAATTAGTTATGGCAGCACAGGAAACTGAGAGACTGCCTTTTATGCTGACCTTGATGTTGTAAGTGTCTCCCACAGGGCCTGCACCTAGAAGATGCTCAGGAGATGTTGAATAAATGACTGCAACGTGTAGAAGCAAATGGGTGGCAACTGGGAAGAGACAGGTCAAGGCCAGGTCATGCCAGATCCCAATGACATTCCCTGAGCTCATTCTGCAAGGCTTGGATTAAGGAATTGTAAGGGGATGAAAAATGCATCAGGCTAGTGGGAAGACATTACAACAATGAGTAAGCTGGTAAAGGCAGGAGGTCCGGGCAGACGCCTATGACAGATGGGAGGAAACTTGAGTCAGGCAGTGGCAGCAGGCGTGGATACCGGAGCCCCTAAAAATAAAGCTGACCGTCTGGACCAGGCTGGACGATGAAGAGGGAGGACCTGTCCACAGGGGACTGAAGGGTTTGGACGGATCGAACGCATCCGTCAAAAACGGAAAGGAGAATATTGCAGTTCAAGACAGGTCTCAGGCCAGGTTTCCCAGAAAACAGAACCTGAGGCCAAACTAAAGGGCTACTGGATCTGAGGAGCTGCGATTCCAGGGTGGAGAGAAGAAGGAGAAGGGAGGAGAGGCAGGGAGAGAGGGAAAGCCAGTCCAAGATGGTGCAGGGCTGTGCTGCCGCTGTTTCACAGAGAACAGGGCACAGGACCTCGCTGCACTTTGCCACACGGAGGGACAGAGCCGGTGCCTCGGGACAGTCCCCTGGAGCCAGGAGGAGAGAGGAAGTGTGGTGTGCACTCCCCCTCTCCTGTCTCACACTGGTAGAGTATGTCCCATGGACCATAGCTTCCACATGCTAAGCTGTGCTACTGGTCCCCTCCTGGCAGCTGCTGCAAGTATCAGGTCCTGTGTCCAGGACTTCCTCAGGGTCAGGAAGTGGCAGTTGGAGCCAGCACTGCCCCAGGACAGGAAGGTGATGCACACGCCCACCCTGGCGGAGGCCAAGGAAGGGGCAGGGCCTACAGAAGAGCAGTGGCAGCTGTCGTGGTGGCCAAGATCAGGCTGTTCCATGAGCAACGACCAGGGCCCAGGACACTGGGAGGCCAGGGGAATTTGAGAAGTTGGCTACGTAGTCCCAGATCCAAAATGCAATGTGATTCTGGCAGGTCTCGCTCATCTATGCATTTTTAAATCTTCCCGGCTCTATGAGTAACTCGATGGTTAATATTGTTTGACTGGATAAATTTCTAACAAAAACAAATTTTATCATTGGAGAGGAAAGTCAGAACTCAATCTCAAGTCCACTAACAGGACTGTGTAACCATTTTCATGTATATCATGATTTACTATAGCACTAACTATGGACCTGTCTCTTATGGGTGTTACAAATATCAACTTGTTTAACAACCATCGCAAGAGCCAGCCCGTGTGGTCCCATTCCGGCTGCAAAGCCCATTGCCCCACCCTGCTATGCTGTCTCTTTGTTTGTTGAACTTTTCGCTGATGGAACATTTGTATCATCTTAGCTTTCCGTGGGAAAAAGAAGTGCATGCCTCATGGTGGGCCCCCATTTCCACCTGAGACAAAGGCGTTCTGATCACGTTTCTCTCCTCTTGCCATTAACCAGGGACCAGAGAATTTGTTTTGTCTCAGACCTTGAAAACTTTAAGATCAATTAAACAACCAGTGGGTTTGGAAGCATGACAGGTGAGTTCAGCTTCTGAACGACGCTTCAGGCTGAACTTGAACAAATGTCCCCAACACAGCTTGGAACTGTCCACAGCAATTCTGAGCCACGATCTTCACGGTTGAGACGTGGACTCTGCAGTCAGACCAACTGATTGAATGTCAGCTCTGCTCCTTGCCCTGCACCACCGGACAAGTAAGCAACCTCTCCACGTCTCAGGTGTGGAATCTACAAAATACAGTGCTAAATGTAGATACCGCTCATAATGACCGAGCACCAAGTGGATTAAAACATAAAATGCCCAGAATGTTTAGTACACAGTTTGGCTCTTACAATAAACACCTGCTGCATTGATACTATTAGGGTAGGAGGCTCCATCTAGGTAGGCTCTGAGGATGGGCTGTGCACATCCACATCCTGACACCTGCAGGCATTGGGATCCTTCCTCCATCTCACGCCACATTATCGCTATATGCAGATGCAGTTCGTTTGGTCTCACAGCCATAGTTCACCACAACAAGAACTTAAATTCTGCCATTCCCGGAATTCCTATATAACTTTTAATTATTTTTTTATTTGAGAATCTTATTTTGGTGGCCAGAATGGGCTTGACCACAGCAGAAGGATTAAGTCTAAAGAAAGCAAGGACACCCGCCCCCCCACCCCCTGCCACCTTCATTAATCATTTCTACACTCAGCCCCCAGCATCTCCATGCCTGAAATGCCAATTGGAATTACCATTGCTTTCTTGGGTTGCCACTGCCAATAAAGTGATCGGCTCACCTCTGCTAAGCAGTTCTGTCTCCATACACAACTACATCCCCTGAAGCCCTTTGAGCCCTGATCAGCTGGGGTTTATATCAGTTACTAACGCAAACAAAATGTAAGTCAAGCAAGACAGAGTGCTGGAGCCCGGCAGGAGCCTGGTATCCTCTCGGCCATTGCTGCTGTCCTGCCAACAGCTGGTGTCTGCCTCGAGATGTTTTATGCTGCCATCAGCAGCAATTCCACCAGCTGGCATATTGACAAACTGATAAAGCAGATCATATCAGTGGGAAGAGCTGGAACTTCCTCCAGTGCATTTAAGCTGATGTAGCCTGTTTGGGCTGTGCATATACTTGGCTCAAAAAAGAGAGGAACCACGTAAGACCACACATCTGCTGTGAAGGATGAATAGCTGAGAAAAGACTAAGGACTTGATGGCCTATACTCCCATGGGTCTGAGCAATGCATCCTATGAGGATCTTTTTGGAAATTTCTTTGTTCAAAGATTAGCAATATTAGGACCATTTATTCTCTTGCTGCACAAAGGGACTTCAGACAAAAGACTTGAAGAACATGGACAAAGAAATGGAAGCAGAGACTGTGGGAGGATCTGCTGAGAGCTCAAACCAGGGTGTGGGCTAGAGACTGCGTCGGGGAACACAAGGAGAAGAAACATCATCGGGGTCTTATCTTTTTTTTTTTTTTTTTGAGATGGAGTCTCACTCTTGTCACCCAGGCCATGGCTCACTGCAACCTCTGCCTCCTGGGTTCAAGCAATTCTCCTGCCCCAGTCTCCCGAGTGGCTGGGGTTACAGGCACCTGCCACCACTGCCCGACTAATTTTTTTTTTGTATTTTTAGTAGAGATGGGGTTTCACCATGTTGGTCAGGCTGCTCTCAAACTCCTGACCTCAGGTGATCCACCCATGTCAGCCTCCCAAAGTGCTTGGATTACAGGCATGAGCCACGGCGCCCAGCAGGGTCTTATCTTCCTGCAACCTTGAAGAACCCAAGCAGCAATGATGCACTTGGAGTGTGGAAAACATTCTTTTAAACTGCCTATCCTTTTAGGGAAGCAACAGTATTTATCTTGGGAGGAAATACTGAGCTCTTTGTTTGGGGGTAGGCTGGGGGTGGGGGAGGTTGTTGTTTATTTCTTAGTCCAGGAAAACCCCAGTGGGCCTTTTTGCTTAAATCATTGCTATTAGCTAAATGTTTGTGTCCCACTCACCCTCCACCAAAAAAATATGTATGTTGAAGCCCAGTCCCCAAGGGGATGGTAGGAGGTGGAGCATCTGGCAGATGATTAGGTCATGAGTGTTGGAGCCCTCATGAATGGGATTAGTGCCCTTACAAAAAGACATGAGAGAGCTTGCTTTCTCCCTCTCTGCTCTCTGTAATGTGAAGACACAATGAGATGCTCACGTGCAAACAAGGAATTGGGCCTCCATTAAACATTGGATCTCCCAGGCCTTGATTTTGGTGTTCCTAGCCTTCAGAATTGTGGGAAATAAATGTTTGTTCTTTAAGCCACCCAGTTTATGGAATTCTGTTATAGCAGCCAGAATGGAATACCATTGTAGTGGCCAATGCCAGAGCTTGTTCTGGAAGGAAGAGGCATAGTCAATAAGTCACCCTATATAAAAATGGACTAGGACATTTCTGCAGACATTGTTTGATGTTAAATATTTGAGTTCTGTTTGCTGCCTTTGGCTGGCAGAGGAAGAAAGCATGCTGTCTGTAAGAGGAAGGGTGCTGGCCGGGCATGGTGGCTCACACCTGTAATCCCAGCACTTTGGGAGGCCGAGGCGGGCGGATCACGAGGTCAGGAGATCGAGACCATCCTGACTAACACAGTGAAACCCCATCTCTACTAAAAATACAAAAAAGTTAGCCGGGCGTGATGGTGGGTGCCTGTAGTCCCAGCTACTCGGGAGGCTAAGCAGGAGAATGGCGTGAACCTGGGAGGCGGAGCTTGCAGTGAGCTGGGATTGCGCCACTGCACTCCAGCCTGGGTGACAGAACGAGACTCCGTCTGAAAAAAGAAAAAAAAGAGGAAGAGTGCTGTGTCCGGGCACTTCCATCTGAGGTCAGTTGGTTTCTGCAATAGCCAATGGTGGAAGCAGATGAAGAGATGGATCATTGGTGATGACCCTGCGATGAGTTTGGCCAATGGCTCCCAGGGCCAGTGATATTGAGAAGCCAGAGCTAAGGTTTCACAGTGTTATAGTTTTATGTCCTCTCCAAGCCTTCAGTTGAGTTTATGAATGCTCCAGCCTTGTGCTAGTTGCAACTGTGAGAGAAAACTTGAGTGAGTAAGTCAAGCCTCCACTGCAGAGAACAGAATCCTCTCTAGCTAGATGTGTTTGCTTCCTGAGGCTTCTCTACAAATAACCACACACTGTGTGTCTAAAACAACAGAAACTGTTATCTCACAGCTCTAGAGCCCAGAAGTCCAAAGGCAAGGTGTTCACAGGGCCACATTCCCTCCAAAGGCTCTAGGGGAGGATGCTTCCTGGCTCTCCCAGCTTCTAGCGGCTCCTGGCCTTCACAAGCTCCTTGGCTTGTGGCCGCATCACTCTAATCTCTGCCTTCATTCACGTGGTCTTCTCCTTTTTTTTTTCTTTGAGATGGAGTCTCACTGTGTCACCAGGCTGGAGTGCAGTGGCACCCTCTTGGCTCACTGCAACCTCCACCCCCTGGGTTCAAGCAATTCTCCTGCCTCAACCTCCCAAGTAGCTGGGATTACAGGCGCCCACCACCATCCCAGGTTAATTTATGTATTTTTAGTAGAGACAGGGTTTCACCATGCTGGCCAGGATGGTCTCGATCTCCTGACCTCATGATCCGCCCACCTCGGCCTCCCAAAGTGCTGGGATTAGAAGCGTGAGCCACCGCGCCCAGCCTTCTCCTCTTCCTATAAGGACATTGTCACTGAATTTAGGGCCCACCCAGATAATCCAAGCTGATCTCCTCTTCTCTAGGTTCTTAATTACATCTTCAAAGACTCCTTTTCTAAATAAAGTCACATTCACAGGCTCCACATGAACACATCTTTTTTTGGTGGGGGTTGAGGAGGGAAAGTAGCATTCAACCCACTATAGCCTTGTTAAGCAAAAGGGAATTTTTATAAATTATTCAGTGCTCACAGAATCACTTGGGAAGGGTAAATGTGTTAGTCTGTTTTCATGCTGCTGAGAAAGACATACCCGAGACCAGGCAATTTACAAAAGAAAGAGGTTTAATGGACTTACAGTTCCATGTGGCTGGGGAGGCCTCACCATCATGGCAGAAGGCAAGAAGAAGCAAGTCACATCTTACATGGATGGCAGCAGGCAAAAAAACTGTGCAGGGAAACTCTCCCTTATAAAACCATCAGATCAGCTGGGCACAGTGGCTCACCCCTGTAATCCCAGTACTTTGGGAGTCTGAGGAGGGAGAATCACGAAGTCAAGAGGTGAAGACCATCCTGGCCAACATGGTGAAACCCCATCTCTACTAAAAATACAAAAATTAGCTGGGCGTGGTGGTGCACACCTTTAGTCCAAGTACTCGGGAGGCTGAGGCAGGAGAATGGCTTGAACCCAGGAGGTGGAGGTTGCAGTGAGATGAGACCGTACCACTGCACTCCAGCCTGGGCGACAGAGTGAGACTTCATCTCAAAAATAAAAATAAAATAAAATAAAATAAAACCATCAGATCTCGTGAGACTTATTCACTAGCACAAGAACAGCATGAGAAAGACCTGCCCTCATGATTCAATTACCTCCCACTGGGTCCCTTCCACAACACATGGGAATTCAAGATGAGATTTAGGTGGGGACACAGCCAAACCATATCAGTAAAGAAACAAATTCCAGGATGAACACACAAGAAAAACGCTCAAAGCCATAGGGAAACCAGGTCACCAAGAGAGCTCCATCCTGCAATGGTGAGGGAGCTGCAGGGTGCAGCAGCCACCCATTGACTCCAGAAGCTCCCACAGCAGCTGCCAGCTCCACACCACCTCTGCAATGAAAAAACAGAGAGCATGCCCACCCCTCCCCATCGGGACTGAGTCTAAGCTCAAGGATTCACAGGGCGAAACCTAAGTTATATCCAGACCCTAAATGCAAGGGATTTAGGGAAACACAGGTTTAGCATTCCCACTTCGCACTAAAAGAGGGCTGGGGAGCAGGTGGCGGTAGCATCCCCAGCACCTTCTGCACAGCCTGTGTCCACAACCAGCTCAAAGTGGCCAGTAGAAGCCATTTTAAGATTGGGACAAACAGCAGCCAGCCATTCTCAAGCTTTGGAGAGCAGAAGAACTTAGCTCACCTGGGGAGCTGGCTATAATTGGATGGCACTGGCTTTGGACTAATGATCTGCTGAATTAATGAGTGGGCCAATGAGAAAGGATTGCAGAGGATCAACCTTGGCAAAGAAGCAAAGCCCCCAGGACTTCCACCTACACTCACCTGGGCCTGACTCTGAACCCACTTCCACCTCTGTGCCCCTCAAACATACACCTTGTGCAAATCGGTATTTTACTTCTACACAGGAAAAGAAGTAACAACCCAGGATGAGAACACTTGCCCAGATAATCCAGGCTGATCCCCTCTTCTCTAGGTTCTTAATTGTATCTTCAAAGAGTCCTTTTCTAAATAAAGTCACATTCACAGGCTCCACAGGAACACATCTTTTTTTGGTGGGGGTTGAGGAGGGAAAGTAGCATGGAGGGATGGACACGAGGCCTTCCATAGCTCTGCAGAAGGTATGGCCTGCTTATTTGGGGCTATCTCTTAATTTAAGGCAAACCAACAACAGAAGAAACACTTCACTGCCCCCTGTATGTTCTCAGTGTCTGAATTCAGATGACGACAAATGAGGAGGAGCCCTCTGTGTTCCTCATTCTCTTAACTTTAAAATAGGCCCCAGCTACTAAGAAGGAGCATGCAGGAATAAGAAATTACACTCCTAAAATTCTAAATGCACTGTGGACGTCACTTAAAGTAGAATAGACAGTCCCTTCTTGATTTCTCTGCTTTTCCTGCTGAGGCCCCAGGCCACAGACAGCAGCCAAGCTTCTAAAGAGACCTCTACCCTTCTTCTAACCTTGTCTTTACTAGAGGCAAGAGGAAAGAATACAGAGAGGAGAAAGGAAGCCTCTGTATGTGAGAACTCACACTGAAACTCTGCAGTGCTCCCTGAAGTCTGTAGCATCAAGGATGGTACAAAGATATGCACAGCCTAGAGAATCAATTATGTACAGACCCAAAATGGACATATGACATTGAACCAGAATTAAGAATATGGATCTCATGGGTCTCATGGACTACTTCAAACAAAGCTCAAAAATGTTTTAACAAATATCCAGAGATCTGTTTCACGGATTCTGGATTTTAATTTCTAAAGTTTGCATAATTGAAAAAATTAGAAATATCCTGTCTTGGTGCTCTTCAGTGGGAAATCCCAAATAAGTGAGTTTCTCATTAAAAGATAATCTTGCCTTGCATTTTCATTATAAGTAAAATTCAGATCCTCTTTATTCATTAGTTTCCTAAAACTGGTATTTCCATTAAACCACTGAGAAAAAATACACTAAGAGTGTTTGCTGTGTTACTCCCTAAGGGGCTTGGCATTTTCCAGCCTAGGGTGCATCATCTTTCCTGGTCTTCCTCATCCAGTATGAGTGCAGGAGGCTGCTCTGCAAAGCCCCACAGCTGAATGGCGTACCGCAGAAATACAGCTGACATGTTGCTTCTTTTCCCAGCTCTTCTATTTGCTCTTGGCACTTGGGGCCCAGCTTGGGCACAGAGCTCCACTTCCCCAGCCCCACTTGGCTGATCAATGAGGCTGTTTGGAGGATTATGTTGAGAAAACACATAGCAAGTCAGCCCTGGAGTCAGAGGGACTGCTGTTCCAGGTCCAGCCCCGTTCCCTTCCAACTGTGACCTTGGAGCAGCGGTGAAGTCTCTCCAAGCCTCGCATTCCTAATCTGAAACACATCCCTGCTCTCTCTTAGGGTGATTATGAATTGATGCAGGTGAAACTCTTAGAACAGTGCTGGGAGCTCAGCAAACCTCCTCACCTCCTACACATGCCATGTGTGTTTCTGTCCACACACCCTTCTCTCCTGGGAGAACTCTCTTCCCACCCTGACCCCATCTCCATCATCCAAGTATCCTTGAAAACGCTGCTTCTCAGAGATACCTCCCAGGATGATCCAATCAGACTCTCCTCCCCATACCTCATCCTTCTTATCCTGCCGCGCTGGTCTATTTTCTTTATTGGCATCTGAAATTACTTTAATGATTTGTTTTTTATATATTTGTGGTCTGTCTTGGCTCCACATCTTTGTCCATCATTGCTGTCCACCCAGCACCCAGCAGGGTCCGTGGTGGCCACATTCTTTGCTGAGTAAATGAATGAAGGAGCCGAGGCGTGTGCCTGCTTGAGACTCCTCTGGACCTTGACCCTTCCACCACATCTGTTCTGACTTAACTCCAGGTCACAGTGATGCCTCCTTCCTCTGCAGTTTTTTGATATTTAGCCTTAACACTCTGCATGTGATTCTCTTTCTAACCGGATCACCAGTTTCATGAGTTCAGTGGAGTTTTAGTCCTCTCTCCATATCTAATCCTGGGCTTCATGCCTTGGACCCAGGAAGCTCAGATGAGGGCTGCTAAGGGGGATGCACATTGCTTCTTTGTTCCTGAAATCATGGTCAGCAATGGCTGTGGGGATTCAGCACTGCAACCCCCCTCCCGGTGGGGGATCACTTTGAGCAGTGTAGAAAGAAGGAGACCCTGACCCCACCCACAGTCTGTCCCCACTCTGACTCCCAACCCTGTGCCCACTGCCTTCGTAGGAAACACAGTTCTCGGGGTTACTTGCCTTACTTACGCCACTCCCCAGAGTGACTCACACCATCATCTGTCCTTTGCTCTAGGCGCCCCTCCCCCACAGGCCTCCCCCATCCTTGCCAAACACCCCCACGAGCCTCTTCCCTCAAGGTCTACTGAAGACCCACCTTCTAGAAGAATCTCACACACAATGCCTTTCTCCCTCAAGCAGTGGCTTGGCTTCCTCCTGCAAGCCATCAGCCATGGGTTGCCACTGAATGACTTATGTCTGTGACTCTCCTCTCCCAGCAGGACTGCAAACCCTGGAGATCTGTGCACCCCTCACCATGCACCACGAAACACACCAAGGAGAGCCAAATACATGATTGGTGCTTTGTGCTCTGTGCATTGGTTTCCTTGATAATTGCATCCTTTCGCCTAAGAGGTAAAGATCACTCACTTCCTCCCAGTTCATTTTGTCTGCTGAATAATTCTCACCAGCAGTGAGTCACACTTCTCACCATGCACAGCACAGCACAGCGTCCTGCGTGTGCCTGCTGCAGAGGCTCCTGATCAATATGGAAGACACTCAGCCTTGAGCCTAGTGATAGGAGAGAAAGACTTCAAGCTGCACATTTGAGAAATAAATTAGCACTTAAAGGCATGTTAATCTACCCTTCACTAATGTATTCCACGTTACTTTTCTGACCCACCATTTTGTCAGGAGGTTCTGTAATTTATGTTCTGTGGCAGCTTGCAAACCTTCTCTTGACCTTAGCGTAAATCAGAGAACTGTAAAACTGCCTTTGGAGAACAAACGGAAATGCAATTGAAACTCTTTTGCAGGGAGGCCTAAAAAATGGAAACCTCCCGCATTAAATGTAATGGAAAAATGATTTGATCTTTAGTCACCCTGTCATTTAGGAATCAAATCTTTCTGAAAAAAAAAAGTCAATATGGTTTGAAGAAAATCATTTCCTAATTGACTTCTGCTGAAAATGGAGATGACCATGCAGGCAAACTCATGTTTATTTTAACTCCAGACAATGCAAACACTGAAGCTGTCCATGCAGCACCTGGAGCTAAGATTTACCTGGAACCAACACATCTTTTACTCCAAGTATCTTGGAGGCCACATGACACAATTAGTCTTTTATTTTTTCTTTATGATGAAGAACCATCGTCATTTCTCTCTCACTCTCCTCTCTTGCTGTCTGCAAAGTATCCTAAAATATATGATCTTCTGTCTTAAACATTCCGTTTTTTCAACTCCACTCCTATTTGCCCCTATTCCCCCTCCCCTTGGCTTTTCTCCTCATTATTCTTGTAACCAGGACAAGCCACATAACTTTCGGGTCTCCATGCAAAATGAAAATTGGAGCCTCTTATTCAAAAATTATGAAGAATTTCAAGTTAGCAAAGACTAAATGTGGCTTGGGCCCTTTGAACAGGAGCCCTAAGTGACTGCACAGGTCACACTGCAGGAACCCAGCCCGCCCTTGATCCAGGAGACCCTTGGCTGTGCCTACGCACCTAGACTCCTGCTCTTCCCCCACTGCACGTTTTTGCTGAGCAAGTCTTGGCAAGAGATGAAGACAGAAGTGCAGTTCATCAGCGGGCACAGGGCCCTTCCTTCCCTTCCAGCCAAAATGAGGGGGCCCAGAATCGGCAGAACAGCTCCTCAAAGAGAAGATCCCCATGTCCTGAGACACATTCTCAAGCAGGACAAATATGTTCATGTCCGCATTACTGGGTCTATGTCTCATTGAACTTTGAAACACACTTTAGACATGAACAAGCACTTCTCAAAAGGAGACCTGGATGTGAGGGCGATCTGGCTGCGACATCTGTCACCCCATTGATTGCCAGGGTTGGTTCGGCTGATCTGGCTGGCTAGGCGGGTGTCCCCTTCCTCCCTCACTGCTCCATGTGCGTCCCTCCTGAAGCTGTGTGCTCGGTCGAAGAGGACGACCATACCCGATAGAGGAGGACTGGTCTTCAGTCAAGGGTATACGAGTAGCTGCGCTCCCCTGCTAGAACCTCCAAAGAAGCTCTCAAAAGAAGACCTACAAACAGCCAACAAATGTGAGAAAGAGCTCAACATCACAAATCATCAGAGAAATGCAAATCAAAACCACAATGAGATACCATCTCTCACCTGTCAGCATGGCTATTATTAAGAAGTCAAAAAACAACAGATGCTGGCAAGGCTGCGGAGAAAGGAAACGCTTATACTCTGTTGGTGGGAATGCAAATTAGTTCAACCATTGTGGAAAGCAGTGTGGAGATTTCTCAAAGAGCTAAGAACAGAACTATCATTCAACCCAGCAATCCCATTGCTGGGTATATACCCAAAGAAAATAAATCGTTCTTCCAAAAAGACACAGGCACTTCTGTGTTCATCGCAGCACTACTCCCAGTAGCAAAGACATGGAATCAACCCAGGTGTCCATCAGCAATGGACTGGATAAAGAAAATGTGGTACATACACAGCATGGCATTATACACAGCCATAAAAAGGAATGAAATCATATCCTTTGCAGAAACATGGATACAGCTGGAGGCCATTATCCTAAGTGAATTAACATAGAAATAGAAAATCACATACCACATGTCCTCACTTACAAGTGGGAGCTAAACATTGAGTACCCATGGACATAAAGAGGGGGACAGTAGACACTGTGGACTATTGGAAGGAGCAAAGGTTGGAAAACTAAATCTTGGGTACTTATACTCAGTACCTGGATGATAGGATCCTTCATACACCAAACCTCAGCATCACGCAATACACCCACGTAACAAACCTGCACATGTATCCCCTGAATCTAAAATAAAAGTTGAAATTATAAAAAATTTTAAAAATCAAAACACTTTAGCTCTTCAATATCCAATTCTATCTTAGCTCAGTTCAGCAAAACCATCCACTGAATAGAAACTGTGGAGTAGGTTTACAGTCAAATCTTCTATGATTCAAGACATTTGGCCAAAACCTTCTCTTGGAGTTGTGTCCACCGTTCTGTTTTTATACCCAGTCTTGGGACAGGTGCAATCTTGGTCTCTGGCTGGCTGCCTTTGCGGCCCACCCTGAGATCCAAAAGCCATGTGTTAAAAAGGCTTTCCTCCATGCTTGGCCTTTTAAAGTTCAGTGTTAACGCTGCCTTGGAGATAAATGCCTTCAGACTCTGTTCCCAGAAAATTGAACTTTAAAATTCCCGGAGACTGGCACTGCCCCTAAAATAGTTTCATGCCACTATTACCAGAGATAAAAAGATCGCACCTCTGTGATGAAGCTGCCACGGCTGCCCCCGGCACTTCCCCATCCGGGCCTCTGGCCTCTTCACTATGGATTGCATGACTCAGGGAACAGCAAAGGGTGAGAAGAGAAAAGGTGGAGAACGGCCCAGGAAGGGGCCAGGGAGCCCCAGGGCTTCACATGTAAACATACGGCCATTCTGACTCTGTGAGAGTACAGGGAAGCCCTGAATCCAAAAGGCAAAAGCTCATTCCTGGGCTCTGGCATCAGAAGCCCTGGGCACGCCCTGCGCCGGGCGCGGTGGCTCACGCCTGTAATCCCAGCACTTTGGGAGGCCGAGGCGGGCGGATCAAGAGGTCACGAGATCGAGACCACGGTGAAACCCCGTCTCTACTAAAAATACAAAAAATTAGCCGGGCGTGGTGGCGGGCGCCTGTAGTCCCAGCTACTCTGGAGGCTGAGGCAGGAGAATGGCGGGAACCCGGAAGGCGGAGCTTGCAGTGAGCCGAGGTTGCGCCACTGCACTCCAGCCTGGGCGACAGAGAATGGAGTGAACACGGAAGGCGGAGCTTGCAGTGAGCCGAGATTGCGCCACTGCACTCCAGCCTGGGCCACAGAGAATGGAGTGAACACGGAAGGCGGAGCTTGCAGTGAGCCGGGGTTGCGCCAGGGCACTCAAGCCTGGGCGACAGAGCGAGACTCCGTCTCAAAAAAAAAAAAAAAAAGCCCTGGGCGCGCTCTGGGGACCCAAGGCTTCGGGGGTGGAGGGGAGGGGGGACCCTTCTAGACGCTCCGGACGAACCCAAGGCCTCGGGGCTTGGGGGGAGGGGGGACTGCAAACCTTCTAGAAGCTCCGGACGAACCCAAGGCCTCGGGGGTGGCGGGGAGGGGGGACTGCAAACCTTCCAGGCGCTCCGGACGAACCCAAGGCCTCGGGGGTTAGAGGGGAGGGAGGACTGCAAACCTTCGAGGCGCTCCGGCTCCTTTGGGCTTCACTCCATTGAAATGGCAAGTTTGGTGATTCCCCTTTTATCAGATGTGTCCAGCACCGTAGGCTGCCTCGCTGGCTGGGCCCAGTTTCATTGCTTCTTTTAAAATATTAGGTTCAATGTGTGCCCTTCTTTCCTCTCTCCTCACTAGCCATTTTCCTATCACAAAACCACCCTGCAAATCCTAAGAAAATGCAAGTAAATTGCTGCTAACATCCCCAGTTGTCTATTTGCAGGGGAACAACAAATAAGTTCTATTCTCCTTGAATAAGCAGCGAATTAGCAAATGTCTTTCTCTGTCATAAACATTGGCTGAAAACAGCCCCTGGTGATGGCATAAAAGGTGCAGAACAGCTATTTTTAACCAACAAATGAGAGCAGTAGCATCTAATTTTGGACAGCTGCTCCGTCTTGATGCTGGGGGCTGACTCTTTGTGAATGGAAGGAAAATGCAAAGGGAAATTTTTTCCTAGTGTGGCCCCCACCAGCAAGTGTAAAACGTACTCAGAAAGAGCCAGTGTTGAAGGCATAAGCCGCAGTCATCTGTCTCCTTATGCCAGGAGGTCATGGTAGTGCTATTGGTGGGCTCTCCAGCCTTTGTCCCCAGTGTTCCAGAAGAGGGAATGTGGATGCTGGGAGGACCTGCCTCTGGAGAAACCCAGGCCACCAGCAGGTGGACCCTGAAGTGGGAGGACAAGGACGGATGGGAAACCAAATTTCCTGTAAGATTAATTGGTGCCAAACCCCCATATGATGAGATACTAGGCCTTTAAATGTTTTAACCGAATGATCTGACATATGAATTTTTCAATGAGTTTAATAAAATATAAAGAGGTGACATTGACAGAGTTGCAAATAATAGAAACTGTTGTTTCCCAAAGGCAAACCCACAGTTGTCCAAAGAGCACCATAAGCATGTATTTTACAGCATCAGATAAGTGTCTGGCTTCCTCCTTTCAGCTGACTGAGGCCTCTCTCCTATGAGGAAGAAGCTTTGAGTCCTGGCCATTCAGCATCTGCCTTGTAATGAGGGAAAAACCAAGAACCAAAAGGAATTAAGAGACTAGGGGGAAAGGAAAACCTTTTTCAGCCTGACTCCCTTGCTAAGTCCCTCACTTACAGTATTTTAGCTACCTGGATGTCGCATGATATGTGATCTGACAGATCTATAATGAAAACAGAGACACTAGGGAACAATGTGATTGGAGGAACGTAATTACGGAATGTGGAACAGCTTTCCATGGGCCCTGGTGTGTCTGCAAGGCAGTGTCTGCCATTCCTCTGGGTCATTGTCAAGGACAGTGATCAGCCTTGGAGAACTGAGGTCATGTCTCCCTCCTCAGCAAAGACAGGCATTGTTAGAAGATTTGGCTTCCCTGTGTTCAGGGTTGGTCTCCTGTAACAAAACCTGCTGCATGTGAAAGTGTCACTGTGCCCTCCTTAGGATCATCTTGTGGGAATCAGATGCTGATACTCTGACCATTGCCATTGCCATGAGCAATGAACTGTCCTTTTCTTCTGACCCAGGAGTTTCATGTCTTCCACTAGCATCCATGAAACTCTGACAAGCTAACATTTTAGCTTACAAGAAGGACAAGATCTTGGACCATGGACAGTTCTTGCCACTGAATTTAGATAACAATGACTGACAATTTTGAACAATGTGCTCTCAGGTATGTAAATGATACTTCAGGGTTAACCTTTAGGCAGAGACTACGAATATCTCCTTAATATCTGTTTTCTTCTTTTTCCTATCAGAATGGAACTGGGCATTTTGATAGGAGTTTCTATTCTCCAGAATAGAAACTGCATTTTCCAGTTCCCCTTGTAGATAGGTGTGCTCTATGTGACTAAGTTCCAGCCCATGGGATGTCAGAGAAGTGTGCAGAGACGGCTTCTCAGGGCATTCTGTAGGAAAGTTGGCATGCACATTTGTGCCTTCCTCAACCTCTTGCTCCATCCGTCCGCTAGCAGCATGGACAGGATGGCCGAGGGTACACCGGGGCTGGGAAGATGAGGGCCGTGCTTGGCAGCTCGACAAGATCCCTGCTGTGATGAAGAGCCAGTGCTGGCCAGGACTTACACATGAAATAGAAATCTTGTTCAAGCACTGTCATTTCGAGTTTTCTGTTTTCAGCAGCTGAAGCTAATCCCTAACTGGTACAGTGCTTGATGCCAAAAGTGGAATGCTGCAAGGAAAGGACCAACATGTGGAGCAAGTTGCTCAGTGCCATTCCAGCTGGCCTGGCCAGACAGACCATCACCCCGTCCGTCCTCTTCCTTTTTAGCCTCTCTCCACACTGACTGTTCTCAAGCCCCCTTGCAGCCCTTGAGCTGCCCACAGCTAGCCCTGCTAGCCCTGGTCCAGGTTCACAATAGCTCTAGACCTTCCTATACACAGAGACCGCCCCATCCCCACAAGGTACATGTGAAGGCCAGGTCTTGAGAAGAGCAGCTTTCAGTCTCCTGCTGCTGCTGCTTGAAAGGACCTAAAAGTGAGTCAGTCTGGAAACATACTCTCATAGGTGTCTCATCCTCTCATAGGTGTCTGACTTAGGGCATGACCCTCTCTGGTGTGTCTTGAGGCACAGTTAGGTGGAAGAAATGGGTCAAGGTAAGAAACCTCCCCCATTGCCTCTAAGAATCACCCCAGGGACAACTGAATAGATGGCCCATGTCCAACACCAGCCAGGGGTACGACTGGCCAACTCTGTCCCAGTGCAGCCGTATTCACTAAAATAATGAATGCCTTACCAGAACAGACATTCTGAAATCTAAAAGTGAGTTTTAGTAGAGTGGCATCAACAAAATTACCATTTTTTTAACCCACCCATTTATCCACATCACAGGCTGAACAACATGCCACATTCCATCTGCATCTGGTCATTTATTCACTTGCTCACTTAACACACATGTATTGAGCTTATTGAGCACCTAGAGTATAACAGACCCTACTACATACAGAGACTAGAAAGATGAATTTAGTGAGATTCATACCCTGAAGGGGTACAGAATCTAGTGAGCCTCAGGCTTGGCAAGGACAGAAACTCAAACATGATTATTCAGAGACAATCACTTACATTGAAAAAAGAAGATGGGAGTGAAGATGAACCCCTAACCCATGGGAGAGATTTCTAAAAGAAATCATCCTGTTCTGTGATAATAACATATACTTTCTCAAAACAAGTCATTTGTGAGCTCTAGTGGTAGGAGAGAAATGTCTATTAAATACTTTTAAAGTTAACATTCCCAAGTGTCTGTCTACTGAAAATCCAATCAGAAAATAAAAAATGATGTGTCTGTGTGCTTATATACCTACAGTTGCATGATATTTCAGTTATGAATGCTTTAGGCTGCAAGTAAGAGACAAACTCAGCCAATAATACCATTTAAAAACACAGACTTATGGTGAAATCTGATTTAGGTCTTCAACTGAGCTAATAGGGTTGTGCCAATATCAATGGCCTAGTTTTGACAGTGTACTATGGCTAAGGAAGATTATAGGGAAAAGATGGGGAAATGACATGTAGGAACTTTCTGTATCATTTTTGCAACTTCTTTTAAGACTTAAACTATTTCAAAATGAAAAGTGTTAAAAAATTATTAACATAATTTAGATATCTCACCCGATTTACTAAAACTTGACAGGATGTTTTGGTTGTTAAACATAAGTAACCCCAAAATAGTAAAGTTACAGGGAAGTCAGTATCTGTGGAGAGACACGCAGGCTACTGGGCATAGCAAGTCACCTACGTGAGACTTTCCCACTCTGCTGAGGTCATTTGGTGAAGTGCCTAAATAAAACATAAGAACCATCGTTTACAATAATTCCATTAGAATTATAACACTTGAATTTCCATGTAAAAACACCAACGACCAGCAGGACCAATTTTTATAGGGCAATCTTGGTGAACAAGGCTGTAAATAACATGGAAAAAGAGTGGGGAAGAGTTTCTCTGACTGAAGCCCTCAGTTGTGAGATGCTAGAGTAATGGAAAGGGGTGGAGGTCAGAGACCCCAGTGAGGGGGTTCTCATAATCTTAGTCCAATCACGCTTGAAGGTGGCATCCTTGGAACTATAGAAAAATGTCACCATGTCAATGATCCCCATGCTAAAGTCACAGCCAATGTTAATGAAGAACATCCTTCCAGGCACTATTTTTTTATTTTTTTGAGATGGAGTCTCACACTGTTGCCCAGACTGGAGTGCAGTGGCGTGATCTCGGCTCCCTGCAACCTCCACTTCCTGGGTTCAAGCGATTCTCGAAGGCACATTTATTAAAGTGTATTGCCACTTCTACTCACTGCTTTTGCCCAAGTCCTGTAGATATTAACATGTTCTGAATTCCTCTGCCAGTGACCAGCCCTTTTATTTTTCCTGTCTTTAAGAATACACAACAAATGCAAGCCAAACAAGTGCTTAGTAGCTGTGGTTTGAATGTTGCCCCCTCTAACCCTCATGTTGAAATTTGATTCCCAGTGTTGGAGGCAGAGCCTAATGAGAGGTATTTGGATCGGGGGCAGATTTCTCCTGAATGTGTTGGTGCTGTTCTCGCAGTAATGAGTGACTTCTTGCTCTATTAGTTCCCAAAAGAGTGGTTGTTAAAAAGAGCCTGGCACCTCCACTCTCTCCCTCTTGCTCCCTTTCTTGCCATGTGATCTCTGTATACGCCATCTCCCCTTTGCCTTTAACCATGAGTGGTAGCAGCCTGAGGCCTCACCAGAGACTCAGTTTTCCAGTCAGCAGAATCATGAGCCAAATAAACCATATATATATATATATATCCAAATATATCTCCATATATATATCTATATATATATATGGAGATAGATAGATATATATCTATATATATATATATCCCAGCCTCATGTATCACTTTATTGCAACACAAAAGGACTAAGACATTATTCGAGCATTGAAGATACAGGTTTAACTATAAATTTGCCCAATAAACATAGTGTAGATTAATGAACATGTTCATCAAACCTTCTTTATGAAAAAAAATGACTTCACAATCCAGGTCAGGCAAATTTTTGGTAATGAAAAATATTTTTCAAAGGCTGATATTATTGTGTAATATAATCAATGCAATTATTTGAAAGGGAGGAAAATAAAAATCTACAAATAAAGAATAGATTTAACAGTGACAGTATCTAAGAATTATACTCCGATATTTACCACTAATTCTGATTCCTTATGCCTAAAAGAAATAAACACTTGTGGGCAAATTTTCAGAAAAGTCTTCCTGAAGAGCAATTTTGCAGCAGTGTTTGGATTCATTTTCAGCCAGCCAAAAGCAGTCGGGGAAAGTCATAAAACAACACCCCAGAAGATCTTTCAGGGCTGAAGCATGCCTCATGGAGGCTCAGCAAGCAGTGCCTGTAATAATTACCAATCTCAGACATGCTAACCCCATTAAGACTAGTCGTTTCAGTGCATAAATGACAGGCTGTGCAAACCTCCAGCTCCCAGGACCAGGGGATTAAAGGTTTCCTTAATGCTTTTATCAGCTCTAATTATTAGTAGTTCTTGGCTTCAATGATTTAGAGCCTTAACACAGCAAATCTTCATTAGGCAGGAGAGTCAAAGTACTCCTCTCTAAATCCATTCCCAAAGCCAGCCTGACTCTCTCTCAAGGTGAACTGTGCCGAAGACAGAGAGATTCAGCACATTCAGGAGGGGCTCCTCCATTGCCTAAATGTATTTCATCCTCTGGGCACAGCCGCTGGTGACAGCCATAATTTGTGGGGCTGAGCTAAAGCTGCTGCTTCTCCAGAAAAGTCCCAGGGGCCCTCACACAAGGGACGCTTCTTATTATCATCAAGGGGACCCAAGCCACTGCCAGACACATCCGCGACAAGAGTGAAGTCACTTGTGTCTACTGGGAGGCCAGAGGAAGCAGATACTTAGAGATACTACATTTGGGTCAAAACTGCTTGGTAGACCTCTTGGCAGGAATAAATGACACTGTAATAGTCTAAAGATGTCGAAAAGCTTCCTGAATCATTTTTTAAAACATAGATTTAAATGCTGCAAATTTTCAATTATCTCTGCTAATGCTTGTGTAGAGAGGCACAAAGAATTCAAAACTGAAGATGATAAAGGGTGGTTTGTATTTGGTCTGGAAAGTAATTTACATTTACATGTGGTTAAGAGCAAGTCCTAATTCTGAGAGTGTTTAACAGCGCTGAGCAAAGGGCGAAGAGCTTGAGGATCCTTCCTGCCCTCACACAGCATCCTGAAAGTGAATTGCATTTTCTCCTACGCTGGACAACTTCTGAAACCCTGGCCTTCAAGCGACATCATAGTTCTGAATGCTCACATATTGATTCAGAGGGCTCACAACAGAACAGGAAAGAAGATGGCTGGGTATTTACATAGGGCAAAGAGGTTTATGGCTCACATACCTGCATTTTAGGGAGCCTCTGCACATTCACCACTGAGGGAAACCTTTCATTTATCTCCTTGATTTTTCTGCAAAACCTTCTCAGGGTATTCACTTCAGTCAAAATGCACCATGTAGAGTCGGGGAGTGCATGCCACAGAGCCTGCCTCTAAGCCTCCACTCCGGGAAGAAGCTTGCGTCTGAACAGAAACGAAACACCTCTCACCAAATGATTTGAAAGAGTCAGGAAAAGGACAAATGCTTCTGTCGACATCACTCATGTGGTCTTCAGCATGTTCCTCGTGGGTCTGGTGGAAGGGCAGAGCTATTTTCTGACAATTCAGAGTTCTTGAATTTCCTGAGTTTATTTTTCAAGTTGATAGGGAGACACATAATCTCTCTTGTGCAGGGATCAGTTTAGCCTGCCAGTAAGAAATTCTACTGTAAGATGGTGCACATGAAATCAAATGTCAATGTTCATCTGGAATCCTTAGGTCACATGGCCAAGTTCAAGAGGGAGCAGCCGGGATGAGCACAATCGCCCGGGGGAGCCCTCCCTCACCAGTTAGTGGCCCTGGTGGTGCCTTGCCCTCTTCCAGAAGATAACAGATGAGCTGAGCGATTCCTAAAAGTGATTTCACTACCTCTTTCTTATCTTATCCTGCAGTTGCTGGAAGAGCCGCTTTCCTGCCCCTTTAAAAAATAACCAGCTCAAACAATCCCGCAGTTAGAAACTTTCAGACCAATCACTATCTCCATTCATATCCTCAGCAAATCCAGCTGGTGTTATCTTTAATACACATCCAGAGCCTGCCTGCTTCTCAGCATCTCCACTGCTTCCACCATGGGCCAAGCCACTATTGTCCCCCACCTCCTTCCAGGAGCCCCTGCTCCCAGCCCTGACCCATGACAGCCAAGTCTCCCACCACAGCAGCTGCAGAGATCCTGTTAAAATATGGAGATAATTCTACCACTCCTCTGCTGAAAAACTTCCAGTGGCTTCTGTTTTCCTCACAGTAAAAGTTAGTGTTCCTCTAATGGTCTACAAGGATTCTTAAGTCCTGTTGACAACGCAAACATATACATATGCATGCAGAAATATGCCTATGGACACACTGCACACACGTGCACATGTTCTCATAGTTGCATTGTTTATAATACAACTATGCTTGCCATGCTGCAGTATAAGCTATGCATTATAAACTATATTTATAATGCATAAATGCTTGTGTTCACATCCATGTGCACGTAGCCATGTTCACATGTGCACACACACGCATACACTCACACAGGTGCACATATGCATACACATGCCTCCACTCACACACCTGCACAACTGCTTGTACACACATTTACATGCATTTACGTAAATGTGCACACATGCATACACACATTGTCATACATGCACATACATGCACATATTCACACACACATGCACACACTCTTCAGGCCTGCTACCTCTGTGACCTCATCTCTCCCATGTTCACTACACCCCAGTCACTCTGGCTCTCTTGCTTACCTTTGTAACACCAGGAATGCTCCCACCACAGGGCCTTGGTACGTGCTTCTCCCTCACTGCTGTCAGGCCTATATGTCCAGGAGTCTTTCCCTGCCCCCACGGAGTCTACACTGAAACTTTCCATGCACTCCCAACCACTTCCTTTGTTTCATTTCCCACCTTAGCAGTCATCACCACCCACATCTGTGCATTGCACTTATTTGTTGAGTTGACATGTCTCCTCTGGCAAGAATGCAAGCCCTTGGGGGGCAAGGATTTTGGTCTTCTTTACTGCTTACTGAATGCTCACTCTTACACTCTGTGGTGTTGACTAAAATATTGTCTTATAGCCACAAATTCACCCTTCAATGCCTGTTTGTGATCCTGGCTCTGGGTCCTGCAAACGTTCCTCCTTCACCCGCTGGTGCGGTGCTGAGTTTTGTCAGCAGAGGGCGCTGGAGGACACTGCGGGAGCCAGATTTCCCTCTCAATTTTGATGGGCTACAGACCCTTCTTGGCCTGCTGATCTCCAGCCCATTTATCCATCCCATCCCATCTTCACCCTCCGTGGCTCATTCCAGAGATGGTGACCTAAGGCAGGTAAATCAGATAAAGCGAACATGGCACACTTCCCAGAACTGTAGAAATGCAGCATATAATTACTGTCCACACTGAAAAGAAAAGGTCACCCCCAAAAAATAACAGTTATACAAATATAAATATAACCATTAATATTGGTTAGCACTGGGTGTGGAACTGAGAGAAGAGGATGATTCTTATTTTTGTCAGAATATATCTATATTTCTCTGATGGTTTACCAGGAGCAGTTGCTCTGTCTGGCCACAGCCATGAAAGTGCACTGTTGTCTTTTACACTCAGACTTTGGGTCCAGCTGTGTTTGCAGCACCCCAGCCCCCATAGCAGCTGCCAATCTGGGGGAGATGGAGGTGAGTGAGCACTGCTGCCTTAGGGCCCAGGCCCCCTGGGTTTCCATAAGCAATCCCCAGCCTCCCTGACTCCAGCCAGCTCCAGGCACACTCCTCAGGCCACGCTGCGAAGGTGGGTGCAAAAGTCCTCAGTCACCTGCCACACCAAGTGCCACACAGCCAGACCCACCCAGCACAAGGCAGAGACACACCAGCCACTCATTGCCATGGGCCACGTTGTCCTCAACTTTGTCCAAACACCACACACACACTCACCCCCTCTCTAGAGTCATTTGCCTTTTGCTTCACATCCTTTCTTCTCTGCACTGCTGCCTCTGAGAAACGCTGAGTCCTTCTTCAGTCCATGTTTTCTGTATCTAGAGGCTTCCCTTGGTAGGCAAGTAGGGCAAAGAGCTGGGAAGCATGGCAGTATGCCAAGGTTTTCAGTATTTAAAGACCAGGGTCAGGTCAAGATGGCCAAGGGGTATCCTGGACATTGTCCAGTGGTCATGGCCCAATCTCCTTCAAATTACAACACAAATATAGCTATATAAGTGATTAAAAATTTAAGGAAGTCATAGCCATGGAATTTTTTAATTCTTCAATAAAAGTATTCTCAACAGTATCACTTTTTGGAAAGGATAACTCAATAGCTCCATATACTTAAATATCATCTACATGAGGCTTTTCTTTTCAACCCATCACACAAAGAATTGCTCCTGGCCAAAACTTCCTAGGCCTTGTCTAATGGTACCTGCGTCATCATGCTCTTACGTCAGAATACCAGGAAATTGAATTTTAGACCTGGTGTATTGTCACAAGAGAAATGTTAGCTACAGATGAGGATGTTCAGAGAAAGTGGTGCCTCTGGGGCTTTGACAGTTTGCAAACAAGATTTTTCAACTTATCTTTAAAGAAAAATTTTCTAGCACCAGAACAGCCTGGGTAAGAAGTTCAGAGAGTTCCAGGAGCTCCCAGAATGAGGGGCCACATCCTGCAGCATCCGCATCACACAGGGACATGGAACCACCTTCATCTCCCTCTTGAGGAATCTTGAAATAGTCCAGGCAGAATACAGCAAGCCTCAGAAGGCTATTTTCAATTTATATATATTATATATAATATTTATTTATAAAATATTATATATAATATATATAAATAAAATATATATTATATATTATATATAATATATAAATAAAATATATATTATATAATATTATATATCATATATTATATATAATCTATATATGTGTCACAGATTTGGGAAATCTGATCTAAATAGAAATAAGATGTCTTAAGTGACTTATGCCAGGTCTTCGCTTGCAAAGACTCAAAACCAACTAAATATCACCTTCATTCAATTGCTGACATGCAAAGGCCAACATATGCTGATTAAACAACCCCCAAAATATAATTAATAAATTGAACTAAGTGGTGTAGACAGGTGCGTTAGTCCATTTTGCATTGCTATAAAGGAATACCTGAGACTGGGTAATTTATAGAGAAAAGAGGTTTATTTGGCTCACGGTTCTGCAGGCTGTACAAGCCGGGCACAAACATCTGTTCGTCTTCTGGTGTGGAAGCTTTTACTCAGGGCAGAAGGCAAAGGGGAAGCTGGCGTGTCACATGGCAAGAGAGGGAGCAAGAGAAATACCAGGCTCTTTTAAACAACCAGCTCTTGAATGAATTAAGAATGAGAACTCATTCATTACTGGGAGGACAGCACCAAGCCACTCATATGAGATCCACTCCAATGACCTATGATTAATTTTGAATAAAATTGTACATTTTATAAAATTATTGGTCAATATTCCAAAAGGGACTCTACAGTGCTTTGCTTCTAATTCCCCGTCTGCACCCCAGCATGAATACAAAAGATAGCATACTGAAGGAACATCTCCAGTCTTGGAGTCCTATGTATTGTTCTTCCTCAGTTTGTGTGCTAGGAGAATCCTTGAGTTTGGTGGGTCCTTCCAACTTCCTTGTGTCATGCTTGACATTTGGGGTTGATGGCCTGTTTATTTCTGGCGTGGGACAATTTATCCAAATTAGTCCAGGCTAGCATGGCTGTCCTGAGTAACTGCTCTTCTCCTACTGATAATAAAATGAATTGTGTCAGCATCATGAAACGTGGGCACCAGAATCACCGACACCCAAGAAGATACAAGCAACCCTCGAAGGAGGGGTTGGCACATGATGTTTAAGAAACTCTACTTGCTGAGAAATAACCATGTCTTTTTCTCAAATTTTCATTTGTGAGTCCTCTAGACATAAATGTCATGGGTTAGCAAATCCTTTCTCTTTTCTTTCATTTTTTTCACTTCATTTCATTTCTTTTTTTTTTCCAGCACTCTCTCTGCAATATACAATTTAGAAGTCAAGGTGGGGATATAGGGTTCATCTTGTTAAAATCCTCATTGTGAGTTGGGGTGCTAGTGGCCAGAGAGATTGAGAGGCCTCCTTCAAGTGGCAGGAGAGGGCCTGGAGATGCTGTCTTGCCTGTCAAATGAGCTCTCACTCAGTGGGAAGGCCAGGAGAGGGCCATGATGAGTGCTCATTGACAGGCACCGTGGAAACCATGAGGATAGAAGCACTTGTGGTTTGTCGCCACGTTTTGCTTTTATAGGTTTGTTTTATTTTACACATGCAAATGGATGGCCCCGTTACCTGCTTCCCATGAGACAGAGACAGGAACATGACAAAATCATCATCCTGGGAACAAATAAGGTGCATCATAATACTTGCAAGTTATCTAACTTGTCCTTCATGAGCAGGAGTACACACACCTACACTTTCACATTTCACATTTCACCGCTGTTGTCAGAGACAGAACATAATTGATTAGAAGAAATTCCTGTTAACACACAATCAGTCCATCCTATGGATCCATGATATTCACAATTACGTTAACTTGTACATGTAATGATCTAATTGCCAAAAACTTCTATAGGGCTTACTATGTGCCAGGAATGACCCCAGGGTCCTTACTGACTTAACTTACTCAATCCTCACAACTGCCCTATGAACAGCTGCAGTTATCTCCCCTCTCTTATGGCTGAGGAAAGCGAGGGGCACAAAGGGGCTAAGGAACACACCCAAGGCCATACAGTAGGTAACTGGCAGAGTGACACCCTCATACTGGTGGATGAGTATTACCTGGTCTGTCATGGCCTTCAGGTTAGTGACCCAGACAGGAAATCTGAGACAAGGAACTCTAATATCTGCCTGGCCAGTCAGGCTGTAGCTCCGGGGCACACTTTTGCAGCAGGAGATGGAGCTGTTTGAGGCCGGGGGCATGAAGGCTCAGCTTTTGCCACAAGAAGCAGAATAGATTTCTTAGGGCCTCACTCTTCCCATCTGATGTGCTGCTTATTTCCTGTGGCTCATGGTGGCACATGGTGGCACACAGGCAGACCAGAGCCACCAGCTAGGACTTGCCCAGACTCTTAGGTTCCCATCCAGGTCTGGGGATGAGGGCCACTGCCAGAGTCCCCTGGGCTGTCTCCTTGTTCCCTGTCCTCCCTAAGCCAGTGTGAGGCAGTAATGTGCCCTCTTCCTGCCCTGTGAGGCGGCATGGGGTGGGAGGCTCCCTGGCTCTGGGGGACTGGACTGGCACACTGCCTCTCAGAGATGCCTGTCTGAGACACACCCCTCTGCCAGCAGACCCTGGAGCTGTGGCACTGCCCTAGCATTTGACTCAGGAATGTTTCCTCTTCCAGCTCACAGAGAAACTCTCTGTGGTCCACATTTACCTTAAATATAAGAAAATCAACTTGTCATTGGACTTATAGAAATATACACATGTTTGAAAGGGTTTGAGACACGCTAGGAGGTTTCTAAGGAGGCTTTGGGATCAACAACCAAGAGTAAGCACTGAAGATGCTTTGACTGCTTTGAGCCACCCCCTGGCTTCCTTTGGCTGGAGTCAGCCTTCTGTCCGGAAGGGCAGGCCCTGTGCCATGGCATCCTAACCACATCCTCACCAACTGGAGTCTGTTTCCATTAAAATGAAGTAATTAAAAATAACAGGAAAGGCTTTCTATTTATAGATGGTTTCATAGACACTTTTAAAAATACAACCTGAATTTGGCTCCAGTAATTGGCATTGGTTCTTTCAGGTTCTACGTGGATTTTATTTTTAGTGGTGCAGAATGATTTCTGAAGCATTCAGCTGTAATAACAGAAGAGGGCAACAGATGGTTTTGTGAAACATCAGGCTCCTTATTTTGAAGAGAATGGCTGCAAGGAAAAGGAAGGTTCTCTTTAGCTGTGATACTCATTCTCTTAGAGGTAACGTTTGTTCATGAATTTTCTATTAGTGATTTAAGGCATTTTCCAGAGATTGAGTGTTTGTCATTGCTCACACTAATCTTTGCAGAAACTTTGAGATAATTTCTCTCTTTTTATTTTTATGTCATAGATAGGAAAACTGAGTCATGGTGAGACAGGATAGGAATCAAAACTGTGTGGAAGGTTGCAATCAATACCTGTCCACCATGCTATGCTAGTGGGTCATTAATGACTGAGGTAAGAAACGCTGCATTTCTTGACAGCATTTGCTTCTGCGTTCACCCTTATAGTCTGGAATCGCCTTAATTTTAGAGGATTCTTGGCTATTTCACTTCCTAGATAAGACCAAGGTTAGTTTGGGGTTGATTTTTGTGCCAATTCTTACAATAGAGTGGACCTTTCCTTTCTTAGTGCCTTGCAGGTGCATATACTAAATCAATAAAAGTCATTTTTATGGGAAGGCAAACAGAGAAATGTGGTGTAGGGAGAGACTAAAGGGAAAGGAAAGGCATTTTGTGTCAAGCCTTTTTTTAAAGCCCAGGGTAAAACAATAGACAGTGTTGTTTAGTGTGAAATGGCAAAAACCAACCAACCAACCAACAAACAAACAACCCATCAAAAAACAAAGATAAAAATGGTACCCAAAGTGTAGACTAGGGTGATACGCTGGATTCACTCAGTGGTCCATGAGGGCATTCAACTTGTGAAGGTGAGATGGCTGTACGAGAAGAAAAGAAATGTTGTTCATTTTCATGGTCTTGAATACTAGGAAGTTACTAACCACAGCTTGAGATCTTTGAGTCCACCTGCTCTTACTTCTCCTCTGACAATAAAGGCTTTCTTTCTTGTCTCTCTTCTTACACACAGACACACACACACACACACACACACACACGTGCACATATATTTATATATAGGGAGACAGAGAGATTGTAAGGAATTTGTTGGAGATTTGATGAGTCCAAAATCTGGTAGAGTAGACTGCCAGGCTGGAGGTACTCCAGAAAGAGTTGCAGCTGGAGTCCAAAGGCCACCTGCTGGCAGAATTCCTTCGTGCTTGGGGGACCTCCGTCTTTGTCCTATTCCAGCCTTCAGCTGGTGGGATGAGGCTCACCCACATTAGGGAGGGAATCTGATTTACTCAGAGTGCACCTGTTTAAATGTTTACCTCATTCAAAAAACACCAAACACAGAAACATCCACAGCCATGTTTGACCAAATATCTGGGCACTGGGACCCAACTAAGTTGACACATGAAATTAACCATCACATACTTAGTTAGAAATAAGGGTGATTATGATGGGGAGTTCGAGGGTGTGACTGACCTCCAGGAGATCTGAGAGGGCCAGGGACCTTGGCATCCTCCAGGAGACCCAGAATGAGCCTGCAACAATATTTAATTGCATTTCAGCTCATTGAAAACTGGCTCAAAGAGAACAAAATGATGGCAAAGGGTGTTTCATCGTCTGAGGTGTGTGCATATCATTTTACCATTTTGTCATGTTATGGGGTTGGGGGGAGGTGTGTAAACCTGCCCTTGCTGGCAAATGGAAGTTCAAAGACAGTGGGCATAATTTTCTTGCCTTGGAGATCAAGGAATTATGTGTTGAGTGTATGGAGTCACAAGATGGAAGCTCCCAGAGTCTTCTGTCTATGCAAGTGAGGAAGCAATTGTTGCTGTATTAAGCCACTGAGATTTCAAGACATAGCCTATTTTGTTATGACTCAGACACTGTGCAAGCTGTGTGTGCATGAATGTGCCTGTGTGTGCATGCATGTGTGTGTGCATGGTGGTGCATGTGAGAGTGTTCCTGTATGTGCATGCATGTGTGTGTGCATGGTGCATGCAAGTGTGAGAGTGTGCCTGTGTGTGCATGGTGTGTGCACGTGTGAGAGTGTGCCTGTATGTGCGTGCATGTGTGTGTGCATGGTGCGTGCACGTGTGAGAGTGTGCCTGTGTGTGCGTGCATGTGTGTTTGCATGGTGCATGCATGTGTAAGAATGTGTCTGTGTGTGCGTGTGCATGTGTGCATGCATGGTGCATGCATGTGTGAGTGTGCCTGCATGTGCATGCGTGTGTGTGCACATGGTGCGTACATGAGTGTCTGTGTGTGTGTGTGCATGTGTGTGCATGGTGCGTGCACGTGTGTATGTGTGCATGCGTGTGTGCATGGTGCGTGCATGTGTGAGTGTGTGTGTGCGTGCTTGTGTGTGCATGATGCGTGCATGTGTGTGTCTGTGCGTGCATGTGTGTGCATGGTGCATGCATGTGTGTGTGTGCATGCATGTGTGCATGGTGCATGCAGGTGTGTGTCTGTGTGTGCATGCATGCGTGCATGGTGCATGCATGTGTGTCTGTGTGTGCGTGCATGTGTGTGTGTGCATGGTGCATGCATGTGTGTGCATGCCCGTGTGCACATGCGAGTGTCCGTGTGTACATGTATCTGATTATGGAAAGTCTACCTGAAAACCTGTGCGCTAGAGCTTAGCCAGAACCACTTCATACAATGATTCTAATGCTAGGGAAAAACCCATTTGCTGTCATTTTGGTTCTCTTTGAGCCAGTTTAATGAGCTGAAATATAATGAAGTTTTGTTATGGGCTTATCTGGGGTCTCCTGGAGGGTGCCAAGGGTCCTTTCTTACTCTGGGCTCCCTGGAGTTCAGTCACACCAACTGAGGAGCCCATCCTCTCTGGCTCTAGCGTGCCTGGGTCCCTTCTTTGGGGAATTCTCTTCCTAATCCATTTGTCCGTGGGACTGGCAGTTACCTCTCCCTGGTATTGTGTTGAGTTCATAACAGGCTGAGGAAATAGCACCAGAGCACCCATAGCACTCACTCTCGGAGGGCATTTGACCACCACTGGGAGGTCACTGGAGCAGCTCCCTGGACTTTTCCCTGGAGTTGGATGGGAAGGCGAGCTTACTCTCATGATTTGACCTACCAGCTTCTAGGGTAGGGCTGTCAGAAGCAACTTTTACCACCTGAACATTGTTTCATTGTAGTGAGGAACAATGAGACTGACCTGAAAAGCAGAATGGAGATGGCAGAGACATGAGGTGGCAAGGGATGGAGGGGGCATCCTGAGGACAGTGCTTTAGTCTCTGGGCTCAGCTCTTGGGACACTCACCTTGGTCGTCCCACTTAGGCGAGCTTCAGTTAGTCAATGTTGGGTTTCTGTCACTTGCCAGGAGCCTTGGCATTTAAGGCAGAATTTGTTTACTCTTAAATTAAGCAGCTCTACAAGTTTCATTTCATTTCATTGCTCATGATTTTCATCCCAGTTTCACTTCATTGCTCTGCTCTCTCAGGATGAGTCGTTGGCAGGGGAGAACTCTCCTTTCTGTAGTGGAATGAGTCAGTGTGGTGCCTGGATTGGCCCAACCGAGTGTGGGAGCAGATGCTCTCACTTGGACTGTACATCATCTTGAGTAGGTCAGTCAGCCTCCTGTGCCTCAGTTTCTCTATGTCCACAATGAGAATGTTAGCACCTTTCTCCTAGGTTCATCGTGTTGACTAGCTGGGCTAGTGTTCTAAAGCCCTTCAAACAGTTCCAGACACACAGTCAGTTCTGCTTCATTAGTAGCTGCTATCATTATGGTTTCCACGACAACATGCCATCTGACCCTATTTATGCCATCCTCCCTGGCCTGGGAGCCAAGGTCACGGTAGAACACCTGATGAGTCATGCCTAAGTTTTTGGCATCTTTAACCAAGACAGAGATCAGTAATCAAAAGTAAAAGTATTCAGTAAAACAGATGAATCCACATACCATTTTTGAATGTTGAAATATGTTCATCAGAACAACTTTAAAGGTAAATTGGGTCGAGAGCATGATTTAGTACAAAGGTCAGTAAAGTATGGCCCATGGGTCAAATCCAGCTGTCACCTGTTTTTATAGAACCCATGAGCTAAGAATCATTCTTACACTGTTAAATGGTTGAAAAAAAAAATCAAAAGAATGTTAACATTTTGTGACATGTGAAAATTATGTGAAATTGACATGTGCATATGCATGAAGTGTATTAGAACACAGCTGCCCCCTCTGCTTGCATCTCGTCTCTTGCTGCTTTTGGGCTACGATGGCAGAGCTGGGTTGAATTGTGGCCCACGGTGCAGAAAATATTTACTTTCCGCCCCTTTTACAGAAATGTTTGTTAACCACAATTTAACTCTTTTTAGCTTAATTCTTAATTTTCCTTTGTCCCTCTAAAATTTCAGACTTTCAGGAATTGAGGGGTAAACTTGAAACACGGGTTTGTAAGTGAGGACACTACAGCGCTGGCTTCATATAAGACATACAGGCAAACTCATGATCCTCACTCATTTCATTTCAGATGAAAACTGCTTTCCAGTGACAATCAGAAGGGGAAAGGTTGAACTGTCATTTTTCTGAGAAAAATAACATGGAATAAAAGGGCCTACATTCTCTTTCCTACATTCTCATCATTCTACAGTTATTTGGGGTTTTTATCTCTCCCACTTGATGTATATATTCATAAAACCTCAGGAAGAAACATGATCAAAAGTAAAACTGAAAGGAAAAAAACATAAAAATGTTCCTTGGTTTTGTTATGTTTTCGTCAAACTCAACGTTTAGTGAGTTGTTTTTATTTTCCTTTCCAATTGTATTTATAGGCTTCGCTCTTCTCCCTGATTTTTTTTTTTTTTTGCCTTTTTGCAAAACATTCCCTGGAGGAACAGCATGAATCAAGACAAGCTCTTTATCTTCTGCTGATTTATATAAAAATAGACAGCATGCATGGGCTTTTGCATGCTGTTTCATGAAATGCTCTTGTTTTTATCATTGTAAACTTCTGGGGCTCTGAAAAAATGATAAGGAAACGAGTCCTATCATCACCTCCCGAGAGTCAGCATTTGTTTCAGTTTCTCCATGTGATCTGTGATGCAGAGGTCTGGCTCTCCTGTGGGTGGGGCTTAGAGAAGAACCTCTGTGATACACAGGAGTGAAACGTTACTTAGCAGATGCAGCCTCACGTTTCCGTGATACTGTAATCATCTAACACCAGGAGAATCCCATAGAACATTGACATCAACACTAGGGGGTTTGCCCTTGTGGGGAAGAATCTAAGGTAACATCATGAGGACTCTAATAAATGCAATGGTGTTTAATTATGGTTTAGGGCTCTGACATGATGCAGAGCCCATTATGGACAAGTCTCTGGCTGAAAGTCCCTGCAAGAGGGATGGATTCTCAGAAAGCAATTTGTCATCATCGTTTTGCCCTTGGAAGTGAAACCCAAGAGCAACTGGGATTCCCCCGGTGCTCTCCTGGAGCGTCTTGGCCCCATTCTGTTCTCTTCCAGCATCTTTCATCTCCCATCTTCCCTCCTTCAGGGGCTCATTTTCAGAATTTTCCATTGAAATCCCTCACGTTTGTCACTTGAAGGAGTAACCTTCATTTATATGTAACATTCAATTAAGTAAACACTCATTGCATAAAAGAGGCTTTACTGTGTGCACAGATTTGATTAGGAGCAATTACGACTTTGTGTCATTCATATGAATAAGCTAACTTAAGCCGAAATGTTAACAGGAGGGAATGACTTCCCCATCTCCCTCCTCCTCCATAAACATTTCCCATTTAGTGAGGATTCCATCATCCCAGACAGAAGCAGCCCAGACAAAACAGAGGCGACATATCTCCACACTGCAGTCTCAAGGCTGGTAGAGGAGGACAGAAACTGGAGAAAGAAGGCCAAGAGCAGCAGCTGAGCTCAGAGAAAACCCAATACCTGCAGAGAGATGCCTTTCTGTGGAGAAAAGAGAAAGTCATAACCAGAAATACACTCAGGGAACAATGCTCAATCCTTGGTTTCCAAAGGGTGAGAGCAGCTCAGGCAGGATCCGCAGGCTCCAAAGCTGGGGTTATACAGGTGGAGGGTGTGGCCTCAAGAGGCAGCCTCAGCCGGGGGCACCCTGGTAGGATGGGCATGGTGGGGAGGGCCTGGGGTCAGAGCTGGTTCAGTCTGGGTATGGATATGACCAAGTGGCCAGTGGGAAAAGCCGCCAAAAGCATTCACAGTGGGAACACATGATCCTAAGAGCATAGCAATTCCAGGCTCACCGACTAGCAGGCTTGGAGCTGCAGGTCTTCTGCCTGCCCCATCGATTATGTCCAGGGCCTCCAAAGATGGATGGGGGTGCCAGCAGCCCCGAGTTCCATTCTGGGCATCACACTTTAAATGTGGTAAAAACGAATTCACAACAAAGGCTTAGATCAAGGAGGCCGACGGAACAAGATGCTACTCCTTCCCCTCTCTCATCCCCAACTTCCTAGAAAAGACAAAGAGAAAACACCTTCAAAATCAGAGCAAGTCCATTAGAGGCCTATGATGTGAGAAAGAAATCACTTCAATGATGAGATCTGTGGGTTGTTTGTGACATCAGCCTGTGTTAGTTACCCTAATAAGAACTTAGTGACTGGAAACAAGGTATTTGATTTTTTAAAAAATAATAAAACCTAAACTACATAGTATTATTCTAGCAGCTGGGTGTCAGGAGGTAAGACAAATGATATTTAAGACTGGAAAATTGGATCAACACTTTCTTGCAGCAAAATATTTAGTGAAACTTTTGCCTTTTATTTCTTGGAGCATAGGTCACACGCCAGAGGCTTTTGTCATTCTGGAGAAGAGCAGAGGTTAGTAGCATGCGCTGTGAAAGCTCCACTTGGAAAACCATCACAAGAAAGAGATGCATTCAGAAAGGGAGGGCCAGAGTGCAGTCAGCAATGTTAAGGAAGAGAGTCCAGAAATTCTCCACTCGGCACGGTTGCAGTGGAAAGAACCGGCATGCTAAGGCATTACTGAGATGAAAGTGGCCCAGCTTACAGCAACTTGTCCATCAGCAAGAAATACAGGTGTTAAAGCACTGAAACTTTAAGACTGTTACGCCACTCACATGAATTACACTGACTCAATTTTCTATATATGTACTAGTCACAGCAAGTAGAAAGTGCAATAGGGGAAAAAAGATCCCAGTCACAGTAACGAGAGGAACAGAAAGCCTAGACATGCAGCTGACAAGAAATGTGCAAGATCTGTATCCAAACACCTGTGGAGGTTCCCAAGGTTCCCAAACTTGATCTGCATATTCGATGCAATCCTGACCAAAATTACAACAGTATGTTTTTAGAACCTGACACACTGATTCCCACATTCATCTGGCAGAGTAAATAAATGCAAAAAAAAAAAAACTAATAAATTCTGATTTAAAACACACAATTAAGGGAAATAGGCCAGATATCAAAACATATTGTCTTGTTATAGAAATTTACATAATGTGTTTATGGAGGAAAGGACAAATCAATAGAACTAAACAGAAAATCTAGACATATCACTAAGGTGGCATTTTTTAATCAGTGTGGAAAAATGCTTTCCTCCATGTATTCAATGGTTTTCAAGTAACTGGCCATCCATTAAGGAGAAATATAAAATTAGATATACCATGGCCAAAAGTAAATTCTAAATGATTTTGAAAGAATGGAAGAAAATATCAAAATAGCTTCATAATCTTATAATGGGGAAGGATTCTCTGAGCTAGAATTTTGTAAATATAGAATATTTTGTAAATATAGAATTTTGTAAATTCTAGCTCACAAAATTCAGAAGTCAAAGGAAACACTACATGAACATTTAAAACATGCCTGTGACCAAAGAACACCATAAAAAAAGGGAAAATTAGAAAAATAAGAGAAAATATTTGCAACATATACCATAGGCTAAAGATTGATATTCAGGGTATATGTTTAAGAATCGCCAACTACTCAAGAAGATGAAAACAACCCAAGAGGGAAACGAGTAACATGATGAACCAGTGAAAAAGAATGAATTCTGATAGTATGTTCTGACATGTTAAGGTTTTGAAGATTGTTAGAAAAATCATGAAGGGAACATGTAAAGTAGAATCCTGTTTACATTTTACAGTTGTGTGTGTGAGTGTGTATGGATGTGTTCATGTGTCTGTGTGTGTGAGGGCATTAGTAAGTGCGTGTGAGTGTGCGTGTAAGTACATGTGAAGGCACAGAAAAGGATCTAGAGAGATACAGGCATGATTGTTAATAGTGGCTCCTTCTAGGGAGGAAACTGTCAGGGGTCACTTAAAGGAGTAAATGGCATTTATGGTTTATTCTAAAGTCCCTATATTATTTTTAATTGCATAGAGAATTGTTGCATGCATATGTACATATTTTAATAGATTTTATTTTTTAGAACAGTTCTAGGTTCACAGCACAATTGGGCAGAAGGTACAGAGAGTTATATACTCGTACCCCACACCCATCCGGCCTCCCCCACTATCAGCACCCTGCACCAGAGCGGTTCAGTCATGACAGCTGGTGGACCTGTACTGATGCATCCTAATCACCTAGATCCATAGTTTACACCAGGATTCACGATTGGAATTGTGCATGCTGTGGTTTGGACAAGTGCAGAATGACATGGATACACATGATTACAGTATCATACATTTTCACTGTCCTGAAATTCTTCAGGGCTCTGCCCGTTCATCCCTCCCTCCCCCCAGGTCCTGGCAACCACTGATGTCTTTTTTCCATCTCCATAGTTTTGCCTTTTCCGGAATGTCATGTAGTTGGAATCATACAGTAGGTGGCGTATATGTTTATTTTAAAGTCCTTAAAAACACAGAAATATACCCGGAATTGTATAGGAGCTCAGGAACATCAACTTGCAGGGCCATCGGAAGCTGCTGAGGCTGGAGACGTTCAGGTGAGCTCCATGAAACAGAAGATCAAAGAAGAGCCGGGGCGGGATCAGAGCAAGAAAAAGAGCTCTGTTTATGCCGAGAAGTCGCAGCACAGAGTGATACCACCCAGGAGGTAAGCCCACAGTGCACAGAATAAAACGGAGAATCAACACTGGGGAGTTAACAGAATTAGCACTTCCTCAGACAAGCTGCATAAAATCACCCAGAATGCAGGAAACATTTCCTATCAGAAGAAAAAGATTTAGATGTATAAGATAAACAAAAAATAGACATAGGATGTCCAATAAATGGAAACTCTAGAATGCCTGAAAACAAAACCAGAATCAATGCAGATCAAATGTGCTTGACTGACACCTCTCAAGGTATATAGAGGCTAATTCTTTAACTTTGATCATAAAACTCATTGCTTTTTTTTTTTTCATGTACTAGAAAGGGAGGCTTCTAAACTAATCATATATTGCACTGGTGTTAATCTTCAGATTGTAACCCAAAGTGTAAAAATGTATTCATTTTAAAAGAACCTAAGGATTTTGGGGGACATTTTGATTAGGTAAGACAAAATGTTGTCTAGTTATTCACAACAAGGTACAGAAACAGTTCTCTACGACTCAGGAAGCACTGATCCCCGGGGGGATAAGGATGCTGTCAGGACTGCATTCCTCAGAGGAATGGGAACAGCCACGAGGCTTAGGTGTCAGAATCACCTACTTCTGGAAGACAGAGGAATATTCGTGGACAAAATGGAATAGAAGAAAATGAAAGAGTCAGCGGAGGAAGGAGACAACTGTGTCCTTGAGGATCTGGCCAGGGAAACAACTGGGCCACTTGAACAACAGAGAGAACTCCGTGCAGGGGATTGGTCACCCGTGACGGAGGGGGCCGAGCAGCAAACAGGGAGGGTGAGCAACAGCAGAAAGCGACAGCCACCCCTGGCTGGAGAGGCAAATGGAAGAGGTGCACGGGTCAGCCCTGTGGGAGGGGAAGCCGGAACAACAGCAGGTCTCCCCAGGGGACACAGTGGTGCTGCCGCCGTGTGGGCGGAAAACATCGGCAGAGCAGAGTCGGGGGAAAGGTTCCCAGGTCCCCCACTCTGGACCCTCGGTGGTCTAAGGCACCCAGAGGCGGCTGACTGGGAGCCTTGGACTCGGAGCAGCGCGTAGAGGGTGAGGGGCCTGCACAGGAGGAGCGGCCGGGCGGTGGAGTGTGTCCTGCCTCGGGTCCTCCCTCACCGGGGCCTCGTCAGGGATCCTCACAGAGGTTTGGTTTGGTTTGCTGGGATTTCTAGGGAAGGCAGCCGGGGTTTCATACCAGCCTGGTGGGACAGGGCGCTGTGGGGGAAGAAGAAACTGCTTTGCAAACCCACTTTCAGCAGTGACTGAGAAAGTCAGAAGAAAGCAAGCTGGAGAATTGGCAGAGGTGATAGGAGCTGCCCACGCAGGCAGCCAGCTGAGCCAGCCACACTGAGGGAAACCTCGAGGGCAATGACTCTGGCCAAGGGACACCTGGGTGACAGATGGAAGCCCGATTAGCTGTGGTCCAAAAAAGGGGTCCTCCAAAAAGCATAATGGAGGCCATTATTGTGCAGTTATGAATGAGAAAGTGGCTGAGTTTCCTTCAGTGTGTTGACCTCCTACATGGTAAGCACTAACAGCATAGTATGTCCTCAACACCAGACTAGGGGAATGAGTCTGTCACCAGGGTGCACTGTCCATCTTCGATTAGTTTTCCAGCTCTTACAATTCACAGGTCCTTTTAAATATTAGAATGTATTTGGTGCCACAACTGAAAGCATCGAGCTGCATTTGTAATCACCACACTATCCACCTGATCCTCCCTTGCTCTGCTGCTAGCCAAGGCAACTGTGAGAGGCTGGACTGTGCACCTCCACGCTGTGAAGCAGCAACTCTCCTGTTTCAGAAACCATGGGTTCCATCGCCCAGCTCCTGGCTCTGCTCCCACTTAACAGACGTGGGTTGGAGCATCACTGTGGCCATCGCATCCTCGCGTGCAACAGACAGGATGCACGATTTCCCTCCAGAGCCTGTGTCAGTCTGCTTGCCTGTGGCACCTTCACACCAAGCAGGGAAGTCTGCATTTTATGTCTTGAAGCAAATGCAGCTGTGCTTATAGTGGTCACCATCCCCGTGTTGACGACAGGGTTGCAAGGCAGAAGTGGGGCACAGCGGAAAGTCCTGGCCCATTTTCCATCTCCAAGCCCCCTCCCCTTGATCTTACTGGAATCTTCCCAATGCATTCTACATCATGTTTTCCTCAGGCTGAGATCTCCCCTGTGCAAGAAACAGTCTGAATCCTAACGAGATGTCTAAAAAGAGGCAAACAAGCAGCTCTAAATAATTCTGCCGTGCTTTGAGGGACAAAGTGAATAAATGCTAAAACATCATCTCTTTAGTTCTCAGGTTCTTAAAAACTTTCTAAAAAGCTGCTATTACCCCAGAAACACACTTTGAATGTTTCCCACTGTTTGGAAAAAGCAAAATACTTTTAAAATAAATAATGTGTGTATGCATATTCTATTTAACTCCATGATTTTTACAGAAAATTTTGAAAAACAAAAAATTAACGAGGAAGTACTTTAGCACCTACTATGGTTTCATGATGAGCAAGAAAATCGCCCAAAAGACTATTAACAAAATGTGCCTCTGGGAAGTCACCCAAGGAATAGTTCTGGTTATATATGACTGTGTATAGTCTATAGAGTTCAGGAAACTTAATATTGAGTTAAATCAGATTAAACTATCCTGGTACACTTTTCTTTATTAAGTCTACTTCTAAAATGTTGCCATAAATAAATTATTCTAAATTGATGAAATGAAGTAGAATGGTTAACATTTAAAGAAATCCTAACGGGAATTATTTTTTAAATCACACAGTCACCTCCTGTTTTGTTTAACATGTACTTCTGCAAACATTTGGATTTTATTAAGAAATAACTAAATTTAGGAGAGAATTTTAACTGCATTCTCTAACATCGATTTTTAAAACTGCTGCATATGAACATTATTTCCAGAATGCAAAAACAAATGAAGTTTCTTATAGTCTTTACACGCGAACAGGCGCCCCTACAGTCTTCCTCGTTTATCACCCACCGCTCAACCACCAAGCTGTCGTGGGATGGTGGCGACCTCTAGAGGCCACACTTAGGAACTGTCTGATTTAAAGTTCAACCTCTCTAGGCTCTTGGAAGAATCAGCAACAGAGCTTTTCCTCTAGGCTCTTAGAATCGTGAATACACAGAGCTTTTCCTTTCTCTTTCATGCATCGCTGCTCACAGCCCAGGTACTTCCACCTAACGCAATCATTTTCTCACACTTTCATGGCAAATGCCTCCCTTTTCCTTTTTGCCATTCTTTCCAAAAAATAAAAATTTTTCTATTTATGAGTAAAAATGTTTAAATGACTCCAATTATGCTCAGAGCCTGTATGAAGGTAACGAAAAGGAAGACATTTGATGTGAAGTCAAACAATGTCACTGACTGCTAGCCCTTCATTCTCTCAAAAAGCCCCTTCACAGAAACTCCACAAATTCTATTTCCTAAGCATCAAGATTCCAACTTTTTAAATGCTATTAAATTGTTAATTATCTCTGTTAGTAATGCATTAGTTTATTTCTTAGTTATTGCAGATGCAGTAGTTTCTAGCATTTAAATATTTTTGTATTAATCAGAATGTGTTATGCTGCAGTAACAAACCAACCCTCAGATCTCAGTGGCTTTGCATAAAGCTCCATTTGACCCCCCACCCACTCACCCCACAAGTCTTCTGTGGTTTCAGCCACTATCTAAGGACTCTCAGCTTCAAGCAGCGACTTGGAGGCCCAGGTGAATTGCTCCTTATGGCTGCACCATTTGGATTGCATGGTTTCCAGGGCACTGCATCAGTGAAGGGAGAACTGAAGGGCCATGCCTCTTCTCTTAAATGCTTTAGAAGCCCAACGGTCATGCTGAGGACCACTCTCCAGAGCTTGCTACATGGCCCTGCCTAACCCCAAGGCTCTGGGAAATGTGGGTGTCACATGGATTTTCACTGAGCAATAAATGTTTCTGTCACACAGTATATTTGAAAAATATTTTAAGTTTGACATTCTTAAGGGAGGAATAGGTCTAACCCAAAATTTCAAGCTCGCTTATACCACTCTCCATCAGAAAATGCAATCTTCGTCAACTGTAAGCTGTCATAGTACCTGAATAAATGCAAAAAGGAAGGGGAAAAAAGCAGCTCCCTTCCAAATTAAATCATAGAAGAAAAGGATTAGTCAGGTACACTTCTGAGAGGAAGACATCAGCTAAGTCATTTGGAGCAAGGTGTGACTGGAAAGAAGCATAACCGACAGTGATAAGCTGCCAGGCAAGAGCTGCGACAATTCTTCACAGACCGCAAGCCACGCAGCACACTTCGGAATACAGAGGAGAGAAGTTAAACAAAGCTCAGAGCCCACTGCTCAACCCCGTTAGCCTCAGTGGAGAAACAGCACCTCCCAGTGATCCTTCCTCATATCACCTTTTTTTCCCCATTCTTTTGTTTGTTTGTTTTGTCTTTGGGTTTTTTGTTGGTTTGTTTTGTTTTATTTCTCATATAATCCTGCAGTTCCCACACAGGAATTTCAGTTCTGGGCTTTATTGCAATGCTTGAGCCCTAATACATTTCTGGGCTTTCAATTGCTTCCAGAAAAACTGATGAGCCACGCCCTTATGGGACCACCCATCACAGATGATTCTTCAAGTAACTTTGGAACAAATCAGTGCCCCTAAATAGAGACGCAGCAAAACAGCAAAATAGCCCATGCTGTTGAGATTATTCCACAAGGGGGCCGGCAACATCAGGCAGAAGAGGGAGGGAGGTGATGAGAGAATAAAGAAAACAAGATTTGTGAGGTTGACTCAGAGGAAAATTAGCTCTGTCCAGAGCCGCCTGCCATTAAACAGCGATCAAATACAAGTGGAGCGGGGTGAGATGCGAAGTTTTACCTTCTGGTTGTTTACATGAGGCCTGAAATGAGTTCTACTTTCCTTTCCCCTTTCTGCCCCATAGACACACATGTATGCACACAATCACATGTGCACACACAGAGTCAAGGACAAACATATGAGAAACCACTGGGTTCAGTAAGGAGGTCGCCAGGTGAGGAAGGAAGAAATCAAAGCAGACCCTGACGCTCACAGGGGGGTCAGGTTATTTTTCTCTTGGACATAAACATTCTCACAGAACAGCTCCCCCGGTGAGCTTACTCAGAGCAGGAGTAAGTGAGACAAACCAAGGAGCTTTATAATTTTGTCTAAGCACAGACAAAAACAAGGTCGCTGTACCACCTCCTGATTAGAGTGAGTGACAGCTGCTTCTTATCCCCTGCAGGCTTATCTTCACCGCAGCTTGCCCTCCCTACAGATGAGACTAAGACACATGGGGGAGACGCAATCATAGGATCTTCCCTGCTTTCTGACAGCAACCAATCCACAGCAAACACCTGCTGCCTTACACCCTCTCCCAATCACCCAACCAAAGCCCAAATCCTATACCTCCTTCTCCTACTGAGACGCCTTATTGTTCTTCACCATGTGTGTTCTTTCTTGTCAAAATGAGTAATAAACCCAGCTTGTTAACCTTTAGATATCCTCTTGGTGGCCTTCAGCTTGTGGCACTGACACAAGCATGAGACCCTCCTAGTTAGAGAAAATTGACAAGAATTTGCAAGGTGCTTTCCCTTCACTGTCCACACTTCCCAACCCCACCAGAAGATTATACATAAAAACAGGCTGGAAGGGGGAAGAAGAGACTTGGGGGGAATAAAATAAGCAAGACAGTTTGTTCCTTTTTGCCATTGCCTCTAAACATCTCATTACTTTGCATGATGTACAAACACACAAATAATGCACACACATACACACAAATAGCTCAGGAGGATAGACATGGATTTGGAAATAAAGAACTGATTCTCAGAAGACAGTGTGGCAATTCCTCAAGGATCTAGAACTAGAAATACCATTTGACCCAGCCATCCCATTACTGGGTATATACCCAAAGGATGATAAATCATGCTGCTATAAAGACACATGCGCACGTATGTTTATTGCGGCACTATTCACAATTGCAAAGACTTGGAACCAACCCAAATGTCCATCAATGACAGACTGGATTAAGAAAATGTGGCACATAGACACACCATGGAATACTATGCAGCCATAAAAAAGGATGAGTTCATGTCCTTTGTAGGGACATAGATGAAGCTGGAAACCATCATTCTGAGCAAACTATCACAAGGACAGAAAACCAAACACCGCATGCTCTCTCTCATAGGTAGGAACTGAACAATGAGAACACCTGGACACAGGAAGGGGAACATCACACATTGAGGCCTGTCCTGGGGTGGAGGGAGGGAGGAGGGATAGCATTAGGAGATACACCTAATGTAAATGATGAGTTAATGGATGCAGCACACCAACATGGCACATGTATACATATGTAACAAACCTGCACGTTACATGCACCTTAGAACTTAAAGTATAATAAAAAAAAATTTAATAATAAAATTTAAAAAAATTAAGAAAAAGAACTGATTCTCACCTATGTCTGGAGGTCCGTGAGTGGTAGACCCTACAAACATACTCAGCAATGCCCAGGCGAGCTGAGGACAGCACGGAGGTGAGAAGAGGCGTAACTGGATGGGAGGGCACAGACACCAGTGAAGCCAAATCTGGCACAGCAAGAAACCTGTCCCGATGTGTCATCAGAGGGCACCACAGAGAGCTAGAAAACGAGCTAGGATCCCAGCCACCCAGAGGCAGCAAAGCGAGTTGAGACTCCCCATTCTCAGAAGGAGCTTTCAGCTCAAGAAGCTACTGCATCCACTGGGGATCATCCATGCAAGGGGGCTGTGAGAAGCCACCTGGACCCCTAAAAAACAGGACTATTCCCTGGTATTGCTGGAGCCAAGAAAGGTGCGAGGTTGTTTAAGACTGAAAAAGAGCCCCGCAGAGATGTGTGCTCTGTCACCCTTGGAGCTCAGGCCATCTTGTGAGCTGACACCCTCTCTCAGCTTGGCCCCGTGGCAACAGACATGGTCAAACTTTGTAGATGTACAAGAGGGAGAAGGGGAGAGAAAACCCTTTAGGGGAGAAAACTTTGAAAAGCATCTCAATTTAACCCAATGGAAGCCAGAAGAGGCCAAGCAATGGACTAGACATGGCTGGAATACCTGGAGCTCAATAGCAGCAACAAGGAAAAATTTAAGAAAGAAATTAAAATGGTTCAGTAAACCTATTTGCTTAACATAAAAGAAGGCAGTAAAGGACCAAAAACAAGACGTACAGAAAAAAAAAAAATAGCAAAATGGTAGACAAAAGTGCAACTACGTCAATGGGTTAAATGCACCAAATAAAATACAGAGATTGTCAGAAAGACAAGTAAGACCTAATTGAAATACTGTCTATGAGAGATTCAAGTTACATTTAAAGGTGCAAATAGGTTGAAAGTAAAAGGATTTAAAAAAAAAACATGTATATTGTGAGAACAGTGGCCATAAGAAAGCTGGAGAGGCTATAGTAATATCAAGCAAAATAGATTTTAAGACAAGATATATTAGTATATTATCCTATAGGCCAAAGAAAAAAATTACAGGGGAAACTGGAAATAACTTGAACTGTCTCAGATATTTGGGGTTCACCATACCCACTAGAAAGACTATACTCAAAAAGACTAAAAAGGCCGGGCGCGGTGGCTCATGCCTGTAATCCCAGCACTTTGGGAGGCCGAGGCAGGTGGATGACTTGAGGTCAGGGGTTCAAGACCAGCCTGGCCAACATGGTAAAACCCCATCTCTACTATAAATGCAAAAATCAGTAGTACATGGTGGCATGTGCCTGTAGTCCCAGCTACTCAGGGGACTGAAGCAGGAGAATCACTTGAACTTGGGAGGCAGAGATTGCTGTGAACCAAGATAGCACCACTGCACTCCAGCCTACACTCCGGGCTAGATGACAGAAAGAGACTCCATCTCAAAAAAAAAAAAAAAAAAAAGAATACCAAGTTCAGGATAAGGAGAACTTAGATCCCTTTTTCTCATGCCTGAGGGGATGTAAAATGGGGCAGACACTTTGAAAAACAATTTGGCAGTTTCTTAAAAGGTTAAACATATACTTACCACACAACCCAGCCATTCCACTCCTAGCTACCCTAGAGAAAGAAAACATATGTCTACAAAAAGACTTTTATAAAAATGTTCATAACAACAACATCCATGACAGCCCCAAGCGGGAAAGCATCCAAATCTCTATCAACAGGAAAATTAGCAAAATGTAGTATATTTGTGCCATGGAGTACTACGCAGCATAAAAGAGGCAAACTGCAAATACAGGCAGCAACACATTTGAACCTCACTGCATTATGCTAAGTGGAAGAAGCCAGCCACCAAATAGTAAAATTGCATGACCCTATTTATATCAAAATTTCTAGAAAAGATTAAAACTTATAGACAGAAAGATGAGTCGTTGTCTGTAGCTACAGTGGCCCGCGGGAGCAGGACTGGCTGCAAATGAGTGAGAAGGAACTTTTTGGCATGATGAAAATGTTCTGAAACTTGATGGTGGTGATGGTTGAACAAGTTTCTATTACTAAATATCACTGTACATTTAAAGTGAATGAATTGTATGGTATGAACATTATAACTCAATAAACCCATAAAAAAGAAGAAGAAAAAACCCTGCAAGCAACGGTAATGTAGTCAATGGGGCATCATAAAAGGTGTTATAGACTCATTAGGGGATTCTTTCCTAAACAAAGTAATGCATTTTACTACCACATTCCGGTGTCAAAGAAAGGCAGAAGTGTCTGTATCTGTGTAAATTCACTTCCCACAATGTCCCTGCATCCCAGATCAGCCCCCTTAGAGGAGGCTCCATTTGTAGTATACTTAGCAGACAGCTTGTGTCTACACCTGCAGATCCACCACCTAATGAGACGGGAAGGTGCTTGGACAGATCCTGTGCCTGACCCTCTATCTAAGGCTATGTCAGTCTTATTTGCAAAACTCTTCTCATGAGGCATTAAAGTATGTTTTCTTTGCATTGCCATTTGGGCTGAAGACCAGCTGTGAAACACAAGATTAGACCTATGTCTGGGTTCCCGGTATCGCCAGGCATGGCATGCCAGTGCTGGCGCAGGAAACAGAGAAGCTTCCCCTGGCGCTCAGCCAAGGCTCCCAGGTACACCTAATGACACTTGCTGATCACAACCACTTTTCTCGAAGAGATTTCAAGGTTTTACACATTAATGTGGCAGCCTTCATATGGAAATTGGGCTTTCCAGATACTGGAAGCTAGAAACAGGGGTGGGCAGGTGAGTTTTCACAGTAGACTCCCCTGGGGATAAGAGGGATCTATTTTGCTGCTTTTGCCGATTGCCATGGTGTGAAGGCTCTCCCCATGGCCGATTTTAAGTGACTGACTTAATGTTCGCGAGCGTGAAGTTAGGAACAGAGGTCACAGCTGGCTCCAGCACACCTGTGCCTGGGGACAGAGGAGGAGCAGGAGGACATGAGGCACATACGTGACAATGACATACATGACATTAGGCACATACAATGTTTAATCAAGACTGAAAATGTCAGAGTAGAACCATGTCACTTTATTACTTGAACAGGTGAGATAAATTTAAAAGCATTTCAAATTTAACAAGCTGTTAATTACTATTCATATTGTTTTTCTGAATTTGGTTGTACCATTGGCAAATTTTCAGTAGGACCATTTGCATAGATATGTATTATATATACACACATACATATACACACACAGCATATATATATAGACATACCACCCCACATATATACATATACATATGTTAGAGTCTATCCATACACTTACACACATGCTAGAGTCTATAATCTTCTAGTTAGTTACAAGAAAATGGCTCATCGTGATCCTTAAATAACAGAAAATAGATTCCTCTCCAATAATATGAATCCTCCTATGATTTCCCTGAAATTACTGGAAAATGCTAATTAACCATACCTTGATCTCACAGCTTCGAACCTAATTGAGAAATTCACCCAAGACTCAGAAGGGGCTGAAAATTGCAGCATTGTCATCAGTAAAGCCGAATGAGAGACCGAGGCTAAGCATTGAAGCCCAAATAGACCTCTGAGTCCTGCTTCCATCACTGCGTCCACCTGCAGAGCAGCTGGGCAGACACCAGCCAACCACTTTGCTCAGACAAACATGAAAATCTGATTTTATTTCATGGCCTAAACCTCAGAGAAGGTGAAAACCCTCCAATATCTGGATGCTAGTCTAAGGACTAACACAGGCCCCAACCCACCATGATTGCAACAGATCAGGCCAGAGCACAGGTTCTGAGGACCTGCAGCCAATTTCTGCCGACGTATGTTTAGCATACCAGCAGTAGCTCCCAATTGTGAGGCATACACCACACCAGGCTTTTCCAAAGCTTTATTATTAACCTTGACAAAACCTGCTGGACATGTGAATTCCATTTTAGAGATATGAGTGTTCAGAGAGGTTAAGTAGCACGCCTGAGGTCGCCCAGCTGCTAATGGGAAAATCAGGATTCTTGCTCATAACTGTCTCACTCCATGGATAATTTGTGTGCAGGCAAAGTCCTCATGCTTGGCCAGGAGCCAGGCAGGTAGCTGCCAAGATTCCAGGTATATAATCATCAGGCACAAAACCTGGCCAAAAGAGATCAAACAGAAGTCCCCTGGAAATAACCATAATCTGTGGAGCACATTTCCTGTTTGGGGCACATCTCAATGCCTTGCACACCTCATTTCAAGCAGGCCCTCCCACGCCTTATAAAATACTTATCAACTTCACTTACAGCCAAAAACCCGGGACCTTAACCAAACAGCAGCCTTATCTGACATTGAGCTATTCTGCTTCCTTGCCTTTTGCAGACTGAAGCCTGAATAGGCTCAACACTGATTGCAAAAGTCTTGTGGCCTAGAGCCAAAGCTTCTTGCAGTTTCAAGGCTCTTTGGCTTGATCTCATTGCTAGACAGAAATTCTGGTGTGAATGGGCTTCCCTCACTCACAATGCACCAGCTGGCCTTGCTGCCAGAAAGTCACCATTTTTCCAAGGGTGGTGCTAGGATCCAGGTCCTCAGGAGGAACCATCTAAAGATGGCAGGAGAAGACCACGTCTCATCTTGAACAGAAACACCTGAGTCCAGGGCTTGGCTGAAGCCAAGAGCAGGAGTAAACAGGCTGGGATTAACATGAGTTCTCGCTGATACCCTGAGCCAGTGATTCCTGCCCCACGACACCTGTGGATGCTTATATAGTAAGAAGGAAAACAAACACTGTCCCTCTCTCATTAACACCGAAACATTTACCTCCCTCTAGCAACAATTTTTTTTTTTGAGGTAGAGTCTCACTCTGTCACCCAGGCTGGAGTGCAGTGGCGCAATCTCAGCTCACTGCAACCTCCGCTTCGTGGGGTTCAAGCTATTCTCGTGCCTCAGCCTCCCGAGTAGCTGGGATTACAGGTGTGCATCACCATGCCTGGCTGATTTTTCTCTTTTTAGTAGAGACAGGGTTTCTCCATGTTGGCCAGGCTGGTCTCAAACTCCTGACCTCAGGTGATCCTCCCACCTCAGCCTCCCAAAGTGCTGGGATTACAGGCGTGAGCCACCATGCCCAACCCCTCTATTAACAACTTTTAAAAGTGGCATTCTGAACAGAATGAAAGGGTCATCATTTATCTCCGGCTGTAGTTACTATTGGGCTACCTTTATCTAGGGATCCAGTTACTGACCCAGGTCCTCATCTAACTGAGGCTTCTCATCTCCAAGACACGGAGAACATCAGCAAGGCTGGACGTGGAGCCCCCTCCTCCACCAGAGGTGCTGTTTCACAAGATGGTACCTCCACTTCCCCAGGTCCAGGCTCCTCTTGGCAGGCCCCAGCTTGGAGTCCTGGATCTGTGCACATGGTGGTAGGTGCAGACATCAGACCGGCACAAATCATGAATGTACTTTCTGTTCAGCTTTGAGGATTGGTCAGTGACTAGCAATGAGAGACAGAGAGAGTCTTTGCAGAAATGACAAACAAAAGGTTTGACAGCTGACACAGAACGTGGAAACTTGAGAACCCTGTTGTTCCAGCTAAGACATGGGAGCAAAAAATAAAAACCTAGCCCTATCCTATAAAAACACTTTTCAAATGCAAAAGATATCTGTAAGTTGGATTTTGAGTTTGAGTTTGAGATTTTCATAAAGCATAGTAAGAAAAACTCCCATCTTAAAATTACCATTGTCAGAGAGAGTTCACAAGGGGCGAGGTGAGCAGTAGCAATTAATAATTTAGCATTCATGTAATATCTGGCATTTGCAAACTGCTTTCCCATCATCTTTTCTTATTGCTGCTCACAAGCACTGCAGGTAGGGAGTCAGCAATAATTATGTCCTAAGCTCAGAGAGGTGCTGGGTCAGTAACTGGATCCCTAGAGAAAGATAACCTAATGGTAACTAGAGCCTGAGATTAATGACGACCCTTTCATTCTGTTCAGAATGCCACTTTTAAAAGTTGTTAATAGAGGGAGGTAAATGTGTCAGCTGCATTAATAAGAGAGGTGTGGTGTTTGTTTTCCTTCTTAGTATATAAGAGCCAGATAATCAAAATACACATACAAAAATACCACTGACAGTAAGGGTCCAAAAGAGGTAATGCTTTCACTAGTACTTTGAGACATGACTTTTGTTATTTAAAAGCAGAGACATTTGAAATTTGTGGGTATTTTCCATTTCGGAGAGACGGACTTTGAGACCACAAACCATAGTCAATACTAACTATGCTTTAACTCTTCTAAGATACAGAGCAAGCACATCATCAGCCAACTAGGGAGTGGTCCAGTCTTTTCCACTCTTGTGAATATGAGTGGCTAGCCAGTGGGAAGGGACCCTCATCTTTGCTGTATGAGTTGAGCCCCCGCCTTCTGCTGGGCACCATACACAGACATCAACAGCAAGCCCGGTCTGGCCCTGCCTTTGCTGGAGAGGAGGGGCATCCTCATCTGCCTATGCCAAGGCCTGTGGGAAGGGACGTGATCCTGGGCAACAGAGAAGCATAGTGTGACAGGTCCAGAAAAGGGTTCTGAGAATGTGACATTGAGCTGACGTCTCAGGGTGAGTAGGTATTAACTGGAAAAGAAGGGAAGAGGGAACAGCATGTGCAAAGACCCAGAGGTGGAGGCTGCACAGGTCATTGGAGGGATGAAAATGAGGCCAAGAATCCAGAGCTCAGAGTGAAGGTGCAGGAACAGATGGAAACAGAGAGCCAGGGCTGGGAAACAATGGCCACACACAGAGGGCAGCACGCAGCAGCTTGGGCTCCAAGACTGAGCCTGACCTGCCACTTAGCAGCAGCCACCACTGACGAGTTCCTTACTACCTCCATGTCCAGCTTCTTCACCCGTAACTGGAGGCCACAACAGAATCTACCTTACAACATTCTGCAGAACAGTCAATGCTCCATAGAGTGCACATAAAACATTCTAAAACGGGGTCTGTTTTGCAGCAGAGATGTAAGAATTTTCTTTTAACCTGCACTGTTCCCATCCTGACATTTTCTTACCTTTAGGCAAGAGTTTCCTACCCTGTGTTCTATGGGACATTGTTCTGTAACATATTCTGAGAAAGGGTGCCCTAATTGAGTTTGAGAAACATTGCATATGGCACATTTAAGAATCTGAGAGTCCCACAGTTTAAAACAAAACAAAACTTTTTGTAACCAAGTGTGTGCCCTAACAAATCAACTATCCCATGCCGCTTCCTTTGTGCTGGACGCGAAGTTGTCAACTGTTCATAATCTGTGTCTGACTCCACGAAATTTCCATGCAGAGAATGTTGAGAGGCATCAGCCAACAATCATTCCAGACTCTGGCGCGTGCATTTGCAGGCCTGCAGCAGAGCAGTTTCATTGTTGTTATTTAGGAAATAAATTAGCTCCAAGTACCCATTTATGATACAAATGCTCAGGCAGTCCTCATTTCTCAGAGCTTTTTCCTGACCCATAGCTATAATTTTCCATTTATTCAGTGGATGACATCCAGGGAACAAATATGTGTTACTTGAACGATAAGCCCTTGTTAGCGTTATTTCATCTCTCAGTTTCAGGCTCCTCATCTGTAAATCACGGTATCAGACTAGGTGGCCTAAAAGCCCTTCCAAAACTAGGATTATATGATTCTATGTTAAAATCTTTCCAGGTTGTGCATTTTCTGTTCTTAGGTGGCCACTGAGATGGACCCAGTCTCGATATGAGCAGATGGACACACATCCATCACAAATGAAGGACAGATTTCTAGGCCTCCGTGTGCTTCCATTATTTCATCCCTTTTAGCAGTGCTAAAGAATATTCACCAAATGCATGATCATGATTACTTTTGTAATTTTCTATGTGTCTATTTTTTAAAAAGCATTAAGTACAGAAAAATATATTTAAAAAAATAACATAAAGGAAAAGTGCCCAAATGTTAACATTTGTTAAATCATGAATATGTATGTTTCTGGGATTCTTCTTTGTGTTTTTAAATCTTTCAAAATTTAAAAACGATAATCTTCAGTAAGTGATAAATTCTCTTAATGGCGATCTCTTCACAAGTCTCTGAAGTCGTCTTTTATACACGCTTCATCATTTCCTTGAGTTAACTGTCTCAAGGCTTAAATTTAGAAATAGAAATACATCCCTGCTTCTTGCCCTGCAAAGTTCATGTTTGGCGATTCTCTCATAGACACAGCATTATTTGCATGAGACCAAAATTAAGCTCTCACTAATGGCAGCCGGGAGCTAAAACCACATCCAAACTGTCTAATTGCATTTCAAAATGACTTCTAGGTCCTTATTGTCAGAGTCCTAGGGGGAGTCATTTTCCCATTAATTTTATCTGAAAGGAAAACGTTTCATACTATCTCATCTAAATCACCTTGGGAAGGACCACAGCCAATATGCCATTTTAGTTTTGTTGAAAATAAACATTTTTGTTGAAAACATTTTTTCATTTTGTTGAAATGAAATATTTTTTCATTTTGTTGAACAATTTTGTTGAAAAGAAACGACACATGGTAAAACATCTCCAACTCCATCCAAGTTATTATAAATTTTGAATTAAGCCTAGATTTAGACTGATGTTCAATATGTTTACCTGTTTGAGAATAAAGGCTTTGTAGTACTTATTTATAGGCAAACAAGTGAATCTCTCATTAGATAATTTTTAAATATATTATTTGTATAGAATAGAGGATTCTGATTCCAACAAATGCTGAACGAGCATGATGCCCAGCTTCCTTGGCCAAAATTAAGCTGGTGAACTCTGGAGGTAAAGCCCCCTGAAATGGAGGTAGGGGGCAATGCTATTTTAAACTCATGGAGAGGTGGATTCGGCCTGGGGCAAGAGCAGCCGGAGCTCAACTTGCAATTTTCAGTCATTTTCTTCACTCAGATCATGTCTGCACCCAAAACCGTGGCAACTGTGGCCCCTGGTCCAGACGGCCACAGAAGGCACATCAGAGAGGTCCAGATTTTGTGTGCTTATGAGGAGCTGAAAAGAGTTAAGTGGAGAGTGATCACTTCAGGCGGTAGCTCGTGCATCTTCCCCGGGGCTGGTGAATTCCAATCTAACTGTGTTTCTCCCTAATGCTGCTGTTCCCAGCAGGGTAGTGGGTGAAGCTCCAAGCTGAGGAGTGGTTTTGTAGGGTGGGGACTAACCATGACTGTGTTTTCTGGTGCCAAGTCTCTGCTACAAAGTTCATCCACCCCATCCTTTGAGCTCACTGGGGCTGAGGTGGTGGAGTCAGGCCTTCCTCAATGTGCATGGCTGACAGAGTAGCCAATATCCCAGAAGGGAAGGCACTCTCAGGACAAAAAATAAAATAAAAAAAAGAAAGAAAAAAGAAAGATTGTTGATGGGCATAACACTTTAAAAAGAAAAACCTACTAGATTACAGCCTCCATCAGAAGCAGAAATATTCAACCAAGAATTCATAATTAGACTAATAAACATTTGAAAACAGATAAGGGGATATATTAGCAATATGAATCAAAAAGAAAGCCATAGAAAGCAGTCAAACATTTGGTATAAAAAAGGTTATAGTTGACTAAAAAATGAAATGAATAGGATAAATATCAAATGGAAGCAGCTGAGGAGCAAAATAGCAAACTGGAAGACCAGAGCATTGGAAAAATGTCAATCCCAGGAAGAAGAAAAAAATTAAAACTTTTGTAATTGGTAAATACAAAAAAAATGAAAACAACATGGAGGAATGAAATACACGCACTAAATCCAAATAAAAGGAGTTGCAGGAGGAAAAGAGGAAAATTAAAAGGGACTCATAACTATTTGAAGACATAAGATATAAATGTTCTAGAATTTTATATTTAAAAATCTCATACAGTACCAGAGAGGAGTGATAAGTTAAACACATTTTAATAAAATTTTAAAATCGAAAATACAAAAGGAAAAATTTTAGAGGCCAGAAGTGAAGAACATTATATACAATAGGTCAAGTTTGGGTAAAACCAGACTTTTCAATAGGAAGAATGGATGCAAAAATAAAAACTGGATTGGTGTTTGCAAAATATTAAATAGCCTAGATTGTTAGATCTGGCCAAAACATCATTAAATAAGATGATCACCAGACTTATAAGACCTTACAAATATTGTCACCCAGAGGCCCACATTGACAAAAGTTTGTAGATGAAGTGCTTAAATTGAAGAAGCAAATCTGAGATGTTGCAAGCGACAATAATGATGTGAAATAAATGTAATCAAATATATTGGCAAAGTTTGTTATCTTTAGTCGTTAGGACAAGGAAGAGATAAATATGCCCAAAATATACAGAATTAATAAGATAGATCTTCACTATCCAATATGGTAGTTACTAGCCTCATGTGGCTATTTAAATTTAAATTTGAGTTAATTAAAATTAAATAAAATTATAAAATGTGTTCCTTTGTCACACTAGCCACATTTCAAGGGTTTAATAGCCCTTCGTGGCTACTATATTGACCAGCATAGCTATAGAACATTTCCATCATCACAGAAAGTTCCATAAGCCACCATCCCTAAGATAGAAAATATTAATAGGATGGCAATGTTTGTAGGGAAGATGACACCAGTGAATATGAGGGCACACAAAAGTTCTATCTTATTATCGAATAAATAAAAAATAGCAATTTTTTAAAATGTAGAAAGGTAAGCAAACAAAAATAATAAATTAGTATGGTAGAATGGATCCCATTATACCAGTAGTTACAGTAAATGTAAATGGGCTAAAGTCATAGTTAAAAGACAAAGATCAAAAGAAGGGTTTACATATTGTATACAAGAGACCCACTTAAAGCATAGGGGCATGCAAAAGCAGTTTGACAGCATTGGTTCAGCCATACGAAATTGCCATTTTTGTGGGACAAAAAAGGATGGATATTGCCAATTTTATATGGTTCAATGTTTCAAGAAATAAAAGACATAAATGGCTACCAACAGAAAGAAAGCTAATACAGCTGCATCAATACTAGACAAAAGAGATACTAAGACAAAATGAAGAGTTAGGGATAGAGATTATCATTACATTAATTTGAAAAGACTCAGTTTATTGAAATGACAAAAAGAAATTTTGTCAAATGTACGGACCTAAGAAAACACTCACAAGATGTAGCAAAAAGTGTTAAAACTGCAGAAAGAAGTTTGATAAATTCACCATCATATTGGATTACTATGACAATTATTGATACATCAATCAGACAAAAAATTCAGCAAGAATAGTTGAACAATACAATTGACAAGCTTTCCCTAATGGATGGATACAGAGTTCTATATTCAAAAGTTAAAGAACATCCATTTTTGTCAAGGGCACATTTATAACAATGAATTACATTTAATAACCGATCAAGAAAGTCCCAGTGTGCATCAAAGAACACCACTTAGGCTAGACAGCTCTATGTTTGCTTAGGCAGAGTCCTATAAACTCAAACACAAAGTCCTTGAGATCAAACCCAACCTCCACCCAAGAGGTGACTCTCCCAGAAACTTCCTTTAAAAGTTCTAAGAATGAAATCACTTCTCTGCCAAGGTACCACCTGCTAAGACTCAAGCCTCAATAGAGTGCTATATCTCCTTGAGTTCAATGACTCTTACTTCTATTTACTCACACAAATGAACAGAGTGTTGTACCAAGCAGTACAGTGACCAGTTAAAGCCTGATGGAACACGGTGTGAAGTGGGACTTTTCCTATTCTTTAAGAATTTTGGCTAAAGCCGCAGAACTTAGGACAGGTTGATGAGTGCATCATCATTCTAGAGAGAGAGGCATTGAACACTTTGTGACCCAACTTAATAAAAACATCACAGATCTAGCCTGCTAATTAGCATCAAGCTCCATCACACATCTCCAGCGTATGTAAGAGATGACCTGGAAATGTACAAAGTGTTGCAGTGAACTAGCAGAGAAACTGGTGGCCTAATTTGGAGCGACATGTCTTTCTTCTCCTCAAACTCGCCCTTTAAAAAGTCTGGGAGGCTCCCAGGGGATCACTCTAAGAGGCTGGGACTGCCAGCAAGTTTCCATGGGCTTCCCCCTGGCTGGAGTTTGGCCGGCAGAGCTACAGAAACTCCCAAGTCCATCTTGCTGTGCCCCCTTTGTAGACCACCGTGAGACAGCTCTCAGGGGAACCTGTCCATCTCAAAAAGGACAGACATCTCAAGTCCTCTGGAAAATTGAAGGATGTTTTAGGATTTCCAGATTCCTCAAGCTGAAGCACCCACATGACACGCAATCCTGTTTCTTGGTCGTTTTGACCACACCCTATTGCACGACTTGTCTGCACTGCTATGCACAAAGCTCTGCACTCTCTCACCCATCTGGTCAAGCGCCCCTCCTGGGAAGAGGACAGAGAAAGAAGGAGGACATTGAAACCATCATACATTGGAGGGCTGGCCTATGGCTTCCCACTCAGTATTCTGCTCTCTGTGTAAAGAACCCCATTCCTTCAACTGCTCCCTCTGCAAAATGGTTTCTAATCATTCACTATCCTGTCTACTCTTACTCCCTTTTGCCAACATCACTGTTCAAGTACATTGCCCTGAAATTGCAATAATTCCACTGCCAAGTGAGACGAATAAGGGAGAATAAACACCATTTCCTTTAAATGTTCTAAAACCCAGGATTTTTACTTACTCACTAATACAGCAAGTCTGAGATTCCTAAGGTCTCACATCATCACAGAGTTAGAGACCAAGTAATTTTAGCTGAGCCAGATCTCTTCCCCTCATACATCTGACTTTTTTCTGTTTGATAAGTTGGATAACTTATGAATATAGGGAAAATGTTGACAAAAGATTAAAAGTACAAATAGATTTGCATAATTTTTCCCCAAAAAATATAACTAAATCATAATAGTAATTAAAGTCTTGGCTTTCTTGTGTGTTTTTAATCCTTACCAATTTAAGTATTTTTCCAGAACAATTTCATTGTCTCCAAAAATAGTCCTTCACAAGACAAAAAAAATTAGCTAATAAATTCTTGCATGTAAAATGGCTCTGCATCTTATAAATATTTCACAAACATTTGCCAGTTTATTTGTTTTTCTAAATGGTTTCTTATTATTTCTTTGTTTAAAAGGTCCTGGGCCACGAATATATCATGTCCGGGGACTGCAAGATAACAAACGATTTTTTTTCTCTAATCACATTGTTCTTTACAATTTGATTTACTTCACTGTATAAATTCATTTTCTTGGCATGAGAACAGCTGTCTCATGGCTGTTGGGGGCAAAGCTGGAACTCTCAGGCAAACAGCCAGGCTCTCCCGTCTGGCCTGGTGTCACCACCATCCCTTAGGGCCTCTGCCTGAGACAACCCCCAACTGAAGGGCAAGCAACATCCCAGCCTTGTTTGTATCTGCAGGAGGATTCACAAGAGGGCTGACTCTTAGGAGGCTGAGATGACCATTTGCACTGGTGGATCCTCAGAGAGGGCATGGAGCAGCAGGGATGGGTCCTATGGAGGTGGAACAGGAAGCCAGGGTTCCGGCTCTTCCCAGCTTTGCCCACCAGCTGCAGCAGAGTGTCATCACAGTTGCTTTTGGTTTTCAATCCCCATCCCAGGACCTTACTGTGAGTCCAAGCTCCCGGCCCCTTCCTTTCTTTCCCTGTAGGTTCTCTCTGTGTTGCGCAGTTCTTGCAGTTATTTCAGGAAACTTGAAACCCCTAGCCTCTTAGTGAGCACACACACTCTCAGACCTTCAGCCCTTACGCTGTCACAATTTATAGTTAAGACCTATGTGGACCTGAAACCTTAACTGTCATCTGTGAAGTCCTCTTTGATACTGTTCCCTCACACTGGCAATGCTCTTGGGGGCACCCTAACACCTGGTTTTTCTAAAGTAACTCTAAGTTTAGCCACTATGGTGCCCTTCACTGCAAGGAAGACAGGGTCTCTATCACCAAATAGTGACAATCAAGTACATACGATAACGTTTATTTAAAGTGTAATATACTCTAAGTGTGTGTATTCGTTCAATTACACTAGTAGGAAATGTAGCAGCTAGCATTAGTGAGTACTCAGTGTACTCAAAGTGCTTTGTACACATTAATCAAATAAATGCAGTGACTTGTTTTATCCTCACAAAATGCACTGACATTGCTTTCAAGATCTAGTCCATTTTGCAGATGAGAAAAGTTAACTTGCCCTAGGTCCAGTGAGTGAAAGCAGATAACGGAGATTTGGGCCTAGGGAGGCTAGGTCCAGAGCCCATACTCATAACAAACACGTCACCCTCTCTAAACTGTACCACCCGTGAGTACAGTAACAGCTCATTCAGAACAACTAATATTCTCACGTGTTTCAGGAGCGCAAATGTAGGAGAACTCACTTCCAACTGAGGTAATCAGGGAATTTTAAGATGCGGGTTCAGTTACACCAAGACAAATATGACAGAAGTAGAGAAATAATTCCCATCTGAGGAGACTGTGCAAGCACAGAGGTAGCTTCCCAGCTGCCCTCCACCTAGTGCATCCCATTAGCACCCATCCTGACCTTTTTCTACTCTCTCAGGGGAATCGGAGCTTCCCTCATTTCCAAAACAGGAGCCACTTCACTGTACCTGCTGTAGCGACCACACACCATCAAATGGGACTTGTCCCACTCCAACTGTCTTCTTCTCCTCCATCCTAAAAGAAGCTTCTACTCTCTTCCTCTTCTCTTCACTGACCACCTTCCTGAAAATGATGAGTTACATGTTCTCCTGGATTACTTAAGTAATCAAACAAAGCTTTCATTTGCCTGTGACACAGGTAATGAGAGCAGCTCTTCTTGACGTATAATTGAAACAGAAAAACCCTTTTTAAATTTTTTTAACTGTTAAGTTCAGGGGTACAAGTGCAGGTTTGTTACGTAGGTAAACTTATGTCATGGGGGTTTGTTGTACAGATTATTTCCTTACCTAGGTATTAAGCCTAGTTCCCATTAGTTATTTGTCCTGATCCTCTCCCTCCTCCCACCCTCTGCCCTCCTCTGCTAGACCCCAGTGTGTGTTGTTCCTGCCATGTGTCCATGTGTTCTCATCATTTAGCTCCCACTTATAAGTGAGAAGATGCAGTATTTGGTTTTCTGTTCCTGCGTTAGTTTGCTAAGGATAATGGCCTCCAGCTCCAACCATGTCCTTACAAAGGACATGATCTCATTCTTTTTTATGGTTGCATAGTATTCCATGGTGTATATGTACCACATTTTCTTTATCCAGTCTATCAGTGGAACCCAGAATCAAAAGTGGCATATGCTGGTGCCTCAATGATCCACCTGAAGAGAGAAAAAAACTTAAAGGAAAAGAAAACTGATTGGATCAACATAGAAAGCTTGGGAAGACTTGCATCTGACTCCCTCTCTTCCTTCCCTAGCCTAATACTTAATCCCTCACCAATCTTAGTAAGTTACACACACCAAAAGCTCAAAACTCCCAGTTGAAGCCCTCCTTCACCTTCATGCCTTAAAAAAAAAAAAAGAAAAAAAAAAACTCCTAAATGCCAGGAGTTGTAGTAATCAAAGGACATGAGGACATGACCCTGATGGGATACTTTAGCCACACCATTACTTTACAATGGCATGGAGAATCTTTAAGAAATCATGCCCCAAATTTGTGCTATAAGTGTCCCAAAGTTTGAGAATTCCATTATAATTGCAATGAAGTTAGTTACACAGGTTCCATTGTTTTAAGGACTACTCAGCTTAAGGAGGAAACGTTCCAGCCTGTGGCCACTGAAGATGCCTCTGATGCAAAACGTTTAACATTTACAAGTAAAAGTTTTAAATCCCGAGTGATTCCATAGGGCAGCAGTCACCAGCCTTTTTGGCACCAGGGACCAGTTTCGTGGAAGATAATTTTCCATGGACTGTGGTCAGGGGTGATGGTTTCGGGATGATTCAAGTACATTACATTTATTGTGCACTTTATTTATATTATTATTACATTTAATATATAATGAAATAATTAGACAACTCACCATAATGTAGAATTCAGTGGGAACCCTGAGCTTGTTTTTCTGCAACTAGATGGTCCCATCTGGGGGTGATAGGAGGCAGTGACAGATCATCAGGCATTAGATTTTCATAAGGAGTCCACAGCCTAGATCCCCGGCATGCACAGTTCACAATAGGGTTCGAGCTCCTGTGAGAATCCAATGCTGCTGCTGATCAGACAGGAGGAGCTCAGGCGGGAATGTGACCAATGGGGAGTGGCCATAAAGACAGACGAAGCTTCGCTTACTCACCTGCCTCTCACCTCCTGCTGTGTGGCCCAGGTCCTAACAGACCACTGACCATACCAGACTGGTCCTTGGCCTGGGGTTTGGGGTTCCCTGCCATAGGGTACAGAGTGTACTGATGTCAAATCAAGTCAACAAACTATGAAAAAGAAAGTCAAAACATGTGCCCCAAACTTCCACTTCTAAGTAGTAGGTAACAGCCAATGCCCCTGATCTCAGGAACTAAGAAACAAAAGAATAAAAAATCATTTTCGAAGCATTGGAGAGATGTGGAATCAACAAAGAATAAATAAACTAAACTTTCAGAGAGAAAAGCCAGTAAGAGGGAGATGATGGTTGGCATCTGTTTTTCCCTGGAAACATCTTCCTGTACTGTTAAATAGAAGCCCAGTGATCAGATTTAGGTCAGGTAGAAGACGCCGCTAGAGGAAGGAAAACCAGAAAAGCTTTCAGTGGTGCCATAGGGCTAGGGTGACAAATCATATCTCAGGTGAGGGCCCTGCAATGCATAGCTGATTTTACCCACAAGACATTTGATTTTTTTTTTTTTTTTAGCTGAGTAGTCAGGGGAGTGGAGGCCTAAAGAGCTAGGCTAAAAGTTCCTGAAAGGCAAAGTAAAATTTCTGTCAATATTTGTGACTAGGAAACAAAAAACTTCCCAGGGAAGGAACCTGAAAAGAAATCCAGCACAAGATGAAAGCCTGTGAATTGACACCAGGATCTGCAGCCACTCTTTTGGGGGCACCAGACAAATGTGGGTATCAAGGCTCAGCCCCTGGCAAGAGGCTGCTGCTGCTGGAGACAGAAAACAAAGCAAAGACTTTAGTGTTTGTCAAGGACAAAATTAGCGGGTAGGGCATCCAACCCAAGCATTCTCTCCATCAAGACCTTTGCCAAATTCTGAAGGTGACGAGGTCAGGAGTGTGAGTGCTGAGCTTAAATTTCTCTAAGGCCAAGCTGAATCACCCACAATCATTCAGAACTCAGGATGCAAAGACTTTCCAAGCTCTCAGATAAAGCCCTGAGAACAGAGGTAGGTTGAGTCTGATCAAAACTACACCAATCCCTAATGGTTGGCCCTTGGGAATCAACCTCCTCTGCCTTAGAGAGGAGACACAAAACACTTTCATGTGGAAAAGAACATCATTGGAACCTCTACAGTCTTTTATACAAAATATTCAGCTTACAAGAAATTATTAGATCTGTGAAAAGATAAGACCATAGGCTCAATGTGCTTTAATGTTTTTAAAAGCAAACAACAGAATTAGGTTCACAAGTGACCCAAATTCTAGATACAATAGACAATTATTTTAAAATAATTATGATTAATATATTCAAGAAAATAGAGGAAATGAGAGGCAATATAAATAGAATAATGGCAATTTGCAATTAAGAATTAGAATTATTTTTTAAATAAACTATAGAACTAAAATCATAATATCCAAAATTAAGAATGCAATGAATAGTTTTAACAGTAGATTGGACATAAAACTGGTGAACTGGAAAGCAATGCAATAGAAAAATACCCAAACTGAAGGAAAGAAACTAAAAAGAAAAAAATGATTTTAAGAAATTAAGAGAAATAAGGGATATATTCAAAATGTCTAAACAATATATAATTGCATTACCAGGGAGGAGAGAGAATGAGAAGCAATATTCAAAGAGATAATGACTAAAAACATTCCAAACTGATGAAAGACATCAACCCACACATTCAAGAAATTCAGCAAACTTCAAGCAAGATAAATATAAAGAAAATCACACCTAGATACATCATCGATGTCAGCTTTCTAAAAATCAAGGACAAGAAGAAAATATTAAAATCAGCCAAACAAACAACACATTTCTTTGGAATGAGAAAAAAAAGAAAAAAATTAATAGCTGACTTCTCAAAAGAAATCTTAGAAGCAGATAACAAGCCAGGCATGGTGGCTCATGCCTGTAATCCCAGCACTTTGGGAGGGCAAGACGGGCAGATCACTTGAGGTCAGGAGTTCAAGACCAGCCTGGCCAACATAGTGAAACACCAAAACCCCGTCTCTACTAAAAATACAAAAATTAGCCGGGCATGGTGGCAGATGCCTGTAATCCCAGCTACTCAGGAGGCTGAGGCAGAAGAGTTGCTTGAACCTTGGAGGCGGAGGCTGCAGTGAACCGTGATCGCATCAGTGCATTCCAGCCTGGGCGAAAGAGCAAGACTCCATCAAAAAAAGGAGAAGGAAGGGGATGGGGAGTAGGAGGGGAAATCATGGAAACAGAAGATGGGAAATTTGTAACCTTATATGCTTTATTAAAGCAAAAGGAAGAAAATTACAAACAAAGAACAGAGCAGAATTTCAGTAAATTTTTTTAAAAATCTTTAAAAATCAACAAGGTCAAAAGTTATGCTTTGAAATGATAAATCTTTAGGAAAATTGAACAAGAATAAAACACTAACTACCTAATAAGAAAGAAAAAATGAACTATAACTACAGATCCTACAAACATTAACAAGATAGAAGAATATTATGAACAAATTTACTCCAGAAGATGTGGCTATCTGGATTACATCAATAAATTCCTCAAATACAATTTACCAATTCTAACAGAAGAATAGAAAATGTGAATAGTCTGATATATATTAAAGAAATTATTATATAATTTACAATAATTAATTTATTATTCAGTTTTTTCAGTAGATTATTATTGAATTTATTATTAATATTTCCACACAAAAAAACCCAGGCACAGGTGGATTTTTCATTTCACAGGAACAAATAACAAGTAATATATTAGACTATTAAAAGACTATAAGGAGAGGAAATATTTCCCAACTTTTATGGATGAATCTCTCTCAGAACATATACTCAAAAATTATTTTAAAATATTAGCATAGTAAGTTCAGTGATATATACAAAAGATACCATATTATGAAGAAATAGGGTTTATTTCAGGACTGGAAGAACAGTTTTGCTTTTAAAGGCAATCAGTCTAATTCATGACATCATCAGGAAAAAAACTGGGGAAAAATCATGCTTTCATGTTAATGCAAAACATTAGACAGAATTCAACACTCATTCATGATTTTTTATAAAAACTCAAACTAGCAATATGGACAATATATATGGAGATTCTTTGGGGAAAATGGCAAAGATCTATTTCTTGATATGAGTTATCATTGCAAGGGCTTCCATCTTGAAATAATTCGCTAAGCTATACATTTATTATGAGTGGGATTTTTCTGTGTCTATGATTTATTTTACAATAAAATGTAAATAAAAAGGGAAGAAGTTGGAGAAGTTAGTAAGATAACCTGAATATCATGAATCCCATTAAGAACTTATTTTTTTCAAACTGTGATGAGTGTCTGCACCTGTGTTCACAACTGGAAATTCATTATGTCTCACATCATCTTTAAATTTAAGTGAAGCAACACTATGCAGTCTTACTCCATAAAAATGACTTATTATCTTTAGATGATTCATTTACAGGTTTAGTAAGGGAAAAATGTGTGACATCCTTCAATTTCATGGCTAGAATGCTGAACAAATAGGATTCCAACATCATAAATTTATTTTACCCATCACAATGCAGTTATATATTATCTTTAATGTTCTCACGGGCCTTGCAATTTTTTGATAGGAGAGTTTGCAATTATTTGAAGAGATGCAAACAAAGAAGGACTGAGGGAAGGAAGGTGTGTGGAGTGTATTTGGGGTGTGTATGTATAACGTGATTGTGTTTATTTCTAGGTGATCTGTGTTATTATGTATGTGAGTGTGTGTAATATGCATTTGGTGTGTGTGAGGGATGTCTGTGCATATTTGTGTATATCTGTGTGTTGTGTATGTATGTGTGGTGTGTGTGTATTGTGTGGCACATGTGGCATTGTGTTTCATTGTATTGTAGTGTATTACGTGGTGTGTGTAGTGTGTGTATTCTTTGGTGTATATGTGGTATATGTCTGTGTTGCACTGTATGTGTGTTATATGTGCACTGTGCAGTAAGTGAAAGGTGTTTGTGTGTGTATTGTGTGCGTGATATGGTTAGAAGACTATACATTCATTAACAGAGTTATTTTGAAAAACTCGTAATCCATCCAGGAAAGGGCTACCCAGAAGGTTGAGTCTAGAAATCCTACCATGAAGGAATAGAAAGAGCAGGGAAAGATAAACTTGAATAGGAGACAATTTAGAAAATGAAAGTGAGATTTTTTTTAATTGGCTGAAAATGTCCAAAAAGGAACTCATGAAAAGGGACAAGGCTCTCTGTGTGGATACAGAAGGCAGAACGGAAGCTTGTTATTTGAAATGCAATTAGACATCTAAAAAAATGCAATTTACTCCTTGCTGAGTGGAGAATTTTCTGTCACAGTGGGTGTGCAAGTAGAGATGAAATGCAGAGCTATCGGGGTTGGGCCAGATAACCTCAAGATGCTCTCAACTGCGAAAGGGTTAGAAAGAAGAATAAAGAGTGTGCTAGACCATGCCCAGCCCTAGCCATCCCCATGCCATCCCTGGCAGGTGCTCAACAGAACCATGCTCTTGGGAGGCACAGTGAGATTATTGGTGGCTGCTCCTTGGATGGTTCCCAATGAACTCAACGCTGAGGGAATCCACTCCAATACCCTCTCCTTGAACTGGAGAGCTATTACTCAGATCAAGATACAGGCAATCTCAGAATTAAAATCTAAGCGAAGAGGAAGGGTCGTAGATCGAGATCATCAGAAGCCAACACCATGGGGTACAGCATTGCCCATTCAATGGGTGGTAATGGAAGCAATGAGAAGTGTGGGGAGCAGAAGAAAATTTAGCTCTGCTCTTGCTTCTAACAATGTTCCACACATTTCCTGTGTTAAACAAGTAACTCAGCTTAGCTTATGGAGTCAAGGCCCATCCACTTTTCCCAACACAGCCACAAGCCCGGAGAAATCTAGAAAATAATACAGTCATTAGCTTTAACTACGGGCTTTCAAAATTTATCTGTAAACACGCATGCTATTTTTTCAAAAGGCAGGATTTGGCCTGAGCAACAAGCACAATTGAGAGTCTGTGGAGTCACCTTTGTGTATTATGGAATACACACCCATAATCCATGCAGTTTTTAGCAGTGGAATCTATCTTCTGCTTCCATCCCATGTTACACATCACTTCTGGCTCCATCCCATTCATCTTCTAGGACATGAGGGCTGGGAATGAGACTTGGCAATGCCACAGTTGCTCCTGCCTGGTACGAATTAATTTTTAGGTAATTCAGTAGTGGCCAAGCATATCTTTACAACCATCCAGCTCAACTCAATGTGAATGCAATGATCATGCATTCTTCACACTGCATCAAAAACAAGCAGATGTCTCGTGGATCCATTCCCTGTACAATATTCCTAAATGTTCAAACCTGCATTTTAAAGGTCTGATGAAACAAATTCAAGTTAATATTACTTGCTAAAAATTAGAAATGAGAACAAGAATTTCCTAGCAGCTTTAAAATACCCCCAAACTGGAAACAATCCAAATGTGTATCAACAAGAGAAAGGATACATCTCCCGTGCAATGGAGTATGACACAGTATCTACGTCAGTTCAGGCTGCTATAGCAGAATATCATAGGCTGGACAGATTATATAACAAATATTTATTTCTCAGTTCTGGAGGCTGGGAAGTCCAAGATCAAGGTGCCAGCAGATTCATGTCTGAGGAGGGCTTCTCACCTGGTTTGGAGGTGGCCATCTTCTTGTATCCTCACATGGCAAAGAGAGAGAGAGCTCTGGTCTCTTCATCCCCTTGTAAGTGCACTAATCCCATTCATAAAGGCTCTGTTCTCATGACCTCCTGATACTATCACATGAGGATTTAGGCTTCAAGACATGAATTAGAGAGGAACACAAATATTCAGTCCATAGCACACAGCAACGAAAAAGAATGAACTCCTGATGGCTGCAACAACATGAATTAGTTTCAGCGGCATAGCTAAGTGAAGGAAGCCACACAGAAAAGAGCAGATGCTGGCCGGGCGCGGTGGCTCACACCTGTAATCCCAGCACTTTGGGAGGCCGAGGCAGGCAGATCACGAGGTCAGGAGATCGAGACCATCCTGGCTAACACGGTGAAACCCTGTCTCTACTAAAAATACAAAAAAAAAATTAGCTGGGCGTGGTGGTGGGCGCCTGTGGTCCCAGCTACTCAGGAGGCTGAGGCAGGAGAATGGTGTGAACCCAGGAGGCAGAGCTTGCAGTGAGCCGAGATCGCACCACTGCACTCCAGCCTGGACAACAGAGTGAGACTCCATCTCAAAAAAAAAAAAAAAAAAAAGAGCAGATGCTGTGTGATGCCATGTATGTCAAGTTCAAAACCAAGCAAAGCCAATCTATAGTGACAGGGTATATTAGTCCACTCTCAGGCTGCTATAAGGACATACCCAAGACTGGGTAATTTATAAAGCAAAGAGGTTTAATTGACTCACAGTTCTACAGGGCTGAGGAGGCCTCAGGAAATTCACAATCATGGTGGAAGGAGAAACAAACACATCCTTCTTCACAGGGCGACAGCAAGGAGAAGTGCCAAGCAAAAGCAGGAAAAGCTTCTTACAAAACTATCAGATCAACCGGGTGCAGTGGCTCATGCCTATAATCCCAGCACTTTGGGAGGTCGAGGTGGGCCGATCACTTGAGGTCAAGAGTTCGAGACCAGCCTGGCCAACGTGGTGAAGCTCCACCTCTACTAAAAGTACAAAAATTAGCCGGGTGTCATGGTGCACGCCTGTAGTCCCAGCTACTCGGGAGGCTGAGGCACAAGAATCGCTTGAACCTGGGAGGCAGAGGTTACAGTAAGCCGAGATCTTGCCACTGCACTCCAGCCTGGGTGACAGAGAGAGACTCCATCTCAAAAAAAGAAAATCATCAGATCTTGTGAGAACTTACTCATTATCACAAGAATAGCATGGGGGAACTGCCCCCATAATTCAATTACCTCCCACCAGGTCCCTCCCATGACATGTGAGGATTATAGGAAATATAAGATGAGATTTGGGTGGGGACACAACCAAACCATATCAGAGGGGTCAGGGTAAACATTATTCTGAGGGGCAGGGGATAGTGACTGAAAAGAACTCCAAAGAGGTGTTCTGAGGTCTGGCAATATCCTGTGTCTTGCTCTAGCTGGTGGTTAGTTACATGGATGCATTTAGCATGTGAAAATTCATGGGGCTGTACATTTGATAAATAGGCCCATGGAAAACAATCAGTAAATGAGCTCAATAGGAATTTATAAATCTCCCTGTAGGAGGATGCTAATGTAACACAGCCAAAATTATAATGCCATTTTGGGGAAGCTTTTGTGGCCTCAAACACCATTAGGAAACCCACAGGCAATGGGAAGACACTTGGCTCAAGGCACTGGAATACCAGAATCATGACCCTTTTTGGGACTAGAAGATCTTGGAAATCATATACGCCAAGCCCCTCAGTTTACAGATCTGGAAATGAGGCTCCCAAGCTTCCGCTGTTGCAAATATCGTCTGGAAGACAATGCCTCCAATCAATGGAGCTCAGCCCTGGCTGCACGGCAAAACCTCCTGGAGAGCTTTAAAACATATTGATACCCAGGCTCACCCCCAGCCTAATTAATTTATAATCTCTGGAAATGAGGCTCCACATCAATAGTTCTACCAGCTCCCCAGGTGAGTCTAATGACTGCATCAAATCATTACAGCACCCATATCTTGCTTAAATTTGTTTCAGATTACTCCGCCAGACCCCTTGCAAAGCCTGAAGCAATGGGCCCAGGAGTGGTGAGTTTTGTTCAGCACAGAGGGGATGTGGGAGGAGGAGAAGCCCAAAGAGAGGCTCAGTGAGGGTGAGGGGGCCGCACCACCCACTCCCCCCACCTTGCCTGCAGTTGCCAACACCACCTGCCTCGGAGCTGGGGAGAAATGCTCTTCCGTTCTCTTTACAAGATTTCCTGTCACTTCCTCCCAGCTCACATTCAGTGGTGCCAGTTGCATAACCCAAGGAGCTGTTTTCTTAAAGTTCAAAGTCAGAATGGATCTGGCACAGCAAGAAATTCAGGATAAATTTAGTCAAGATCTCCGTTCTGGCAGCAGAGGCACGGCTTTGACTCAGCTGCGCCATGAGTCCCGATGCACAGGCTGGAGGTGCACACCCAGATCTTCAACTGCAGCCACAAATAATGTCAGGTAGCGTCTGGGCCTTTCCCGCCACTCCCAGGAAGTCATTATGCCCCATCTTCGGTTTCCTCTACCTATAGGAAGAGCTCGACAACAATGCATTTGCCGCTCTCACAGGTGTGGACCTCCCTAGTGGGATCTGTCCAAGCAGGATCCGGGAGGCAGCTGTCAAGTTAGGAAATGAGATTCCTTGGAGGCGGGCAGGTGACACAAAGTAAGTGCCTACCAGTTACAGAACACTCAGCACTTTACAGGCACGCCTTGTTTAGTCCTTGCACATCACACGTGCAAGCCATTTGCTAATATTTTACCATCTAGAGACTAAAGGCTCGGCCCCATTGAGCAATCTCACAGGTTAGAGAGAGCATCTGGGTTTGGATACAGGTGTTTCGGATTCCAGAGACCACGTGTGTTATTAACTACTCTGCTGCTTTCTAGATAGTCTTTCATTAAAATCATAAAAGATGGAAAACTAAATAAAATACAGCTGTGTTTTGCTCATTCACCCTTTCCTTTTTTCAGCCATCTTTCAGTGAGGACCCGCCAGGTGTGAAGCACTAAATTGTTGGGGTTTGTGAGAGCTCATCACACTCACTTTTACCCCCGGCCAGTTTGGAACTGAGAAAAAGCTGCTGGAGTCAGATGGATAAAGATGGAAGATCCCAGCCACGGTACTGGAAATGCAGAGTGAGAGAAGACGGCTCAGGCAAGGGAGCAAAGGGGCAGCTCATCCCCTTCTCGGAAACAACTGACCCCCAAATCTGCAAGCCCATCCACTGGGAAAGCATCTGTCCTGTGAAAGTTCTCAGAATCCAAACAGAGTCACTGATGTTAAGAAAACTCTCACAAATAGAGCCAGGGAAGCCATGAACAGCGGGTTCTAAAACCATATGCCTGATAACAAACAAACAAAAAAACAAAAACCCCCAAAAAATCACAACCTTGCTCAAAGACCATTGCAACCTTATGCAAAAACAAACAAACAAACAAAAAAAACACTTCTGCAAGGACATCTGTCCAGCAGCTGCCTGTCCAACCTCAGACTGCTATCACCCTTGCTGTTGATCTTTGTAGCCAAGCATAATTATATCAAAAGAAGTAATCCTCTTCATTTTTTTCCCTCAAAAAACCTTTGCCTTCCTTTCTCTCCCTGAATACAGGCATAGTTTACTAAAATGTGCATATTCCCATTGCAATGCTCTCTTCCCAGATAATCATCTTTGCTTTCAGAGAGCCTCTCTCTGTTTTATGTAGGTGGACGACCCTTACCTCATAGAAGAACAAGCAGATGGAGCAGGTTGCACCTGATCCATGCACGTTTCCTGCAGTTCCATGTCCCTGAGATATCTAGAATAGGCGAATTCCGAGATTGAAAGTAGATTAGAGGTTTCCAGGGACTGGGGAGAGGCAGCTGAAAGGGATTATTTAATGAGTTCAGAATTTCCATTTGGGATGATTAAAAAGTTTTGGAAATACTAATGATGGGTACACAATATTATGAAGGTCGTTATTGCTAATAAATTTGTACACCTAAAAAATAATTAAAATGGAAAATTTTATTTTACGTGCATCTTCCCACACAAAAAAAAGAAATTCCAAATAGACTTCTGTTGATACTCCTTCTCCCCTCCAGCAACCATCCTATGTCCTTGAAAACAGTTACTAGGTCTCAACGCCAGAAATTCATTCCTCCCCTCCTCTTTTCTTTTGAACCAACTTCAAGCAGCCTTTCCTTCTGCTGCTGCACCCACCTGGAGGAGGTGATGGGAAAGCGTGGCCAGGGCTGCAGAGAGAAGGAGAGAAGTGGGGCAGTGAGGCGTGAACACCTCGCTGCTGTGAGAGCGGCAGGAAACATAGGCACAATCTAGACAGGGGTGCAGGGGCCAGGGAGGGTTGTTGGTTTTGCAATAAAAGACATGACAGCACGTGTGTGTGCTCCCGGGAAGGATCCAGAGGAGGGGATGAATGAGGCTGTGGGGACGCGAGAAGCAGCTGCAGGTGAGACCAGCACTTCCCCTAAGGGAGGGGAGGGATGAGGCACCACACCCGGCGGCTGGTGCGTTTGGCCCTGGAGCTGCAGGGATTTTATTTTGATTGCTGCTCCTCTCTTTGCAGCAGAGTTATCAGAGCAGGGAGAGGAGATGGGGTTGTGGTTGCAGAGGTCCAGGGAGAAGGCTGGAAATAGCCATTGCTGAGAATAAGAGTGAGTGGACTGACGAGGGGCCAGCAACAAGGAAGGCCTGCCTGAAGATGGTCCTCACGGGTGAAGAATGCCAGTGTTGAAATGCAATCACAGAAATACACAAATAACTAACAAAGTCTAAAATGAAAAATGCCTACTTTGGAGACTTCGTTAGTTCCCTAGGGCTGCATAACAAATGAGTACAAAATTGTTAGCCCATCTTTTAATCCCATGAAATACCCATTACCTTCCAAAACACACTGGCTCCCCTGTACTCCCTCCCCACCCCACTCTGGTGAACGTTTCTGTGTTTCTGTTGTGCGTGAGCGCAGGAGTTATAACTACCTGATGATTTTCAAGTCCAGGGGCCCTTTCACACCCACTAGCTCAGTCCTCCTCTTTGAAGCCTTTGTCACTGCTGGGCGCCATCCTCCACAAGGGATGCGAGGCTCCTTGCCTTCTCCCTCTCTCATCGTCCCTCTCCTGCATACGAACAGCTCACCACACCATATTCCCCATAGCCAACTTTGATCTTTTTCTTTCTCCCTGAACATTTGTCCCCCTGTGTCCACAGCTTCCACTATTACCAAGCGAGGCTGTAGCCCTGGACCTCTGCCCCAGCTCAGACCATGCTCCTGCTTCCCCTGGGAACACACACCCAGCTCTCCCACACTCAGCATAACCAAAACCATTCATTATGTCCCCAGAAAACTTGAAACTTGTTCTTCCTAGAGATTCCTCACTATGATTACCGAACCTATCAACTTAATGGGTCTATCATATGTGCCCCCCACACACACACATGCAAACACACACGCGCACACACACGCACACATGATAAAGACTTCCCTAAGCAGAGACTGGCAAACGTTTTTCTATAAAAGGCCAGATAGTACATATGTTAAGCTTTGCAACCACATGGTCTCTCTGACATTGTATCTTGAAAACAGCATACAAAAAGTAATGAACACAGCTGAGTTCCAGGAACACTTTATAAAAACAGGCAACAGGTCAGATTTGGCCAACAGGCCATAGTTTACTAAGCCATGCCCTAAAATATACCAATGCTTAACAGTGGTTTATCTGTCAATGTCAGGATTCCAGGTAGTTTTGATACTCTGCTTTATAATTGTTCTGTATGTTCCAAGTGTGCTATAATGAACATGTACATTATATTTATAATCAGAAACAGGATTTAAGCTAATGTTGGAAATTAATGGCTGATATCGTGGTCAGCTGTACTGATTAAAGTTACTCCTCCAAACAGACAGCCGTCCTTGAAAAACCCCAAAACTGTTGTTAGTAGCCAGTAAGTGAACAGTTAATATTTGGCTTATTTGAAGCTCCAATGGAAAGATTTTTTTTCTTTCACACATTTTCTGTAATCAGTGCAGGCACCTGCATGTACGCACACACACAGTGATTTTCTTGAGGAAATGGATGAAATTCCTTTTTCCATTACATTTTCCTCAAATGACTTCCTTGTCTCACTGGCAGTATATAAGTCAAAGAAAAATTTACAATTATTTCTTACACTACAAACTTAGTGAGAATGGAAAAATGGGCTGAACCGAAATGTCTCTTCTCCTCCCACTTTGGTTTCTTGCACACAGTGTGATGAAATCCTGCAGACAGGCAGAACTGGGCATACAGTTCTCAGAAGGGCCGCTACTGAGGCCAGGAGAGTCAAATCCCCCCTCCAGCATTCTGCTCACACATAGATAAGAGGCAGTTTACTCTTTGTGTTGGATTTTTTGCTTTCACTTTCAACAAATTGATCCCTGCAATGTAACTGTTTTCAGATAAGAAGTTTAAGCAAATCCTTTCAAAAATAATAGGCATTTTCATTTAGAGAATTAAAATTCTAAAGGGGTTCAGGAGCTACATCCTGAGGCTCCCTCTAGGGGCGCCACTCCCTCCTCCGTGCGGCCTCCTGTGCGCCCGTATCAGTGCGGAATCCCTCTGGGCCAGGTTTCTCCGCTCTACCAACCTTTCCTGATGGGCTCTGAACGCATCACCCGCAGCAGGAGGTTAGGAAATCCTGAATTCGGCTGAATATCTAGAGCCCACCAACCACGTTCGATGTTCACTGAACACTGGCCCGTGATTTTTTGGAGCACCTCATCTTGGATAACTACAAATGTCGGGTTCATTGCTCTAGATCAAGGTCTCTCAACTTGGGCACCATTGAGTTTGGGGGCCAGAGAAAAATTGTATTTTGTTGGGGGTGGGGGCTGTGCTGTACATTGTAGGGTGTTTAGCAGCATTCCCAGGTTCCACCCTGGATGCCGGCAGCAGGCCCCCAGTTGTGACAACCAAAAATGTCTTTGGTACTACCAAGTGTTCCCCTACTGAGAACACTAAGTGTTGGTCACGCCTACATACCTGAGGGTATGACAGCTCTTGTATGTAGGAAGTGTATTTAGTAAGAAGGTCTCAGGGAAGCAACTGTTTCCCTGGGAGAGGTCAGTACAGCCTGAGCCATCGGCTTCCTTGGGAGCTCACCTAGTGGTAGGTGAGCACGTGTAGAAACGCTGGGCCATGGCGCACCTGTGAAGATGACCCTTCCTCCACCAGAGATTGAACTGGAGTGGCGATGGGGATCTTCACCATCCCTGTCCTCTCAGTCAACCCCTTGATTCTGATGGCTCAAATTCATAAGATCCCTGAGGCCAAACCAAGAGTAAACTGTGGTAAATGGGAAACCTGGGGCCAAGGTTGAACTGCTCAGGGTCTGTGGATTTTTTAAGTAGTTGCTAACATTTAAATATTAGAAAAGGTCACTTGAAAATCCAATCTGGCCACTCTTGCCTTGCATTCACATGTAGGAACAATGAACTGGAGCTGGGTCACCTCGGGCATGCCCTTTGCCACAGTCCCCACCCTGCCCTGCAGCCCCTGGGCAGGTTCCTCTCCTGCTTCGCTCATTTACATCGGCTGCCTGAGGACACTGAGGTTGCAGCCCTGGTCTATGGCCTCATTTCACCATTTTTAATGTTGTGACACACGTTTTCTTTTAGTCAAATAAGAAAATAAGCAAACAGATTGCCCAGTGGAATTCAAGCTACAAAAGAAATTTAGAAGAAATATTTGTGTTGAGGACTACTTTACCCAACTGCCCAACTCCCAAACATGCTCAAAATATAAAATCCAGCTTAATGGTCCAGTGGCCAGTTGAGTGCCCTGCTGAGACCAGAACAGCAGGGAGGTCAGGAGACCCTGGCCATAGATTTACTTGGTGCTGACTGGCGTGTGACCTGGGACATGTCCTCTGTCTGCCCTGAGCTTAGCTTCCTCCTCTATCAAATAAAAGGGCTAGACTATAGGGACCCCAAGGATTTTTTTAGATTAAAAAAATTCCAATGATTCTCTAAATCATGGATCAGCAAGCTTTTCCTATAAAGGGTCAAAAGGGAAATATCTGAGGCTTTGCGAGCAACACAACTACTCAGCTCCACCACCGGAGTGAAAAGCAGCCACGAACAATATGCAAATGAATGAGCGTGGCTGTGTTCCGAGACTTTATCTTTATTCTCAAAAGCCAGAGGCCAGCTGGATATGGCACTCAGGCAACAGTCTGTGGACCCCTGCTCTAAGTTAAAACGTCCACAAATTTACATGTGATGAAATGGCATGTCATTTCTTTGTATATCCATGATAATTAAAAAGAAAAAACAATTTTAAGAAAAAAAATGGCATAAAACCATACACACACTGTATCAATGTTAGTTTCCTGGTTTTGACATTGCAGTGTAGTTATGTAAAATGTAATCATCACGAAAACTGAGTAAACGGCACAGGGTGCTTTTCCACAACTTCCTGTGAATTCATTATTTTTTTCAAAGTAAAAAGTTTAAAAAGTGGTCTATATTGAAAAAAATAAGTGAATCGCTTTCTGTGTGTGTGTGTGTGTGTGTGTTTTGGTTTTTTTGTTTTGTTTTGTTCTGTTGTTTTGTTTTGTTGAGATAGAGTCTTGTTCTGTTGCCCAGGCTGGAGTGCAATGGCGCAATCACAGCTCACTGCAGCCTTGACCTCCCAGGCTCACGTGATCCTCCCACCCCAGCCTTCCAAGTAGCTGGAACCACAGGCATGTGCCACCATGTCCAGCTAATTTTTGTAGTTTTAGTAGAGACAGGGTTTTGTCATGTTACCCAGGCTGGTCTGAAACTCCTGGGATCAAGTGATCCGCCCACCTCGGCCTCCCAGAGTGCTGGGGTTACAGGCGTAAGCCACCACACCTGGCCGTGAATCATTTTTTAATGTTAACTTTTGAGAATTTAGTTTAGCAAGACACAGGGTTCTTTTATTGCATTAATATGTCTAGCAGGCATATAGTGCTTATTTAAAGGTTTTCTGTTTAAACTCAGCCCAATCCTAGATACACTGATAAAATAAATTTTAGAGTCAGACAAGAAACCTCTTGTTCTCCCAGGATGTCTCCGAACGGATGGTCCTTCCGGGTGATGCTCTGGGGGAGTGGATGCTCTGTGGTGTTGCTGATCCATTTAGGCCAAAGTCTCCTCCTGGGTCTTCTGTCTCCTGTTACCCTCTTGACCAGTGGCATACCCACTCAGTAGCGGCCCTCCTGAGAACTAAGTCTCCACATTCTTTGATTAAGTAGATGCCAAACTCAGGGAGCATGGGGGATTTCATTATAGCAGGAAGGACTTGAGTCAGAGGGCAGAGAGATGTGGTCAGAGGTGTCCCCTTCATCCACCCTAGCTATGCCACTGGAAGTGCGCAGGGCCATAGAGGGAGGGAGAGTGGCAGGACTGCGTGACCTGGGGGGATCTTTGACCTTGACACTTCATTGCTCCATGGCTGCAGGCAACCTTACAGCTGGCTCTTACTTTCTCGATTGTTCCAAAGCATCCGTCTCACTGCTCAGCCCCTTCTTTGCAGTGTTTTAAATCTGCTACTTTCCACCTGATGCAGGAATTTGAATTATCATCTGCAATTTATGCTGCAAACAAGGAATGATTTGTAACTCTCTTTACTTTTTTTAAGACCACAGCAAGTGGCAGGAAGCCACAGTGAAAACTCCCATGAGGCGTCTCCAGGAAAGACCAAGTGACCTTTGTGGGCATAACTGTGAGGCCCTTCAAACCTCACATTAGAGACACACACTCACAATACATGCCACAAGCACACTCACATACACCTTACACACTACATACACAACACACACACACACAGCCCACTACACGCACATTATACACACAATACACACCAGACACTACACATACACACACAACACACACACACATTACATACATACACACACAATATGCCACACACACATTCACACCCTGCATATACAATACACACCACACACATACATACACACCATACTACACACATGCACATATGCTGATACACACAATACATAGCACGCACCACACATAAACAACTACATACACAATACAAACCATACGTAACACACACATATACACAATACACACCATACTACACACATGCACACATGCTCATGCACACAATATAGAGCACACAGCACACATAAACACACTACAAACACAATACACACCACGCACACAACATACCTCACATATACACATCCACCCAACACACACACACACACACACACATCATGCTCCACCCTCATTCAGCCCTCCCCAGGGAGCCCATCCTCTCCCTTGGTCAAGGGTTGGAGGAGCAGCAGGTTAGGGCTTGCAAAGGGAAAAGGAAGTATAGGTCATGGGGGACCCCCGGCCTCCCTTCACCTGCTTGCCCCCACCAATCTGGTTTTCTAAGCTGCCCTATTTCTAAGCTGCCGTATCACAAGCCAGCTCACTTTCATGCAGCTGCTATGTAGGCAAATTGTACGTAGATTTCATTCCTTCTAACTTCATTCATGCTAAACACTGCACACACTGGGTGCTTTATTTCATCTTCCTGCCTTTACCACCACAAGTCAGATGGGCCAAGCAGTCATTCTTTGAAACAGAAGGGTTTCCCTGAATAATGTGTCGCACCTGTCTCATCTTTCAATTTACTATGTTAACTTAAGAACCCACTTGCAAATGGTCAAAGATAATGCACATTAAACCAGTATTTGCTACTTTTGAGTTACCTGGGATGCTTGTTAAAAATAAAGAGCTCTGAGCTTTGCCCCCAGACTCCAGCATCATAATCTTTAGGATCAAACGAGTGAAACCACGTTTTTAGAAAACATTCCAGGGGATTCTTAGCACTCAGAAGAGGTGGAGCAGCCCAGCCTTAAACCCTGACTCCGATGATTGCACGTCACGTCCATTGCATCTATTGCGATGCACGGGAGCTCGTCCCTCCCTAGCTTCCAGCTGTCCTGGGTCAGTAGATTTGCCCTCTCAGCCTGGCTCCCTCCTTCTCTAAAGGGACTGGCAACAGTGGACTGTCTTCCGCTTCTTAGCTCATCTGAAACCTTAGCCAGACACAGCCACCAACTTGAGTGCTTCCAGATTCCAGAAGAGCTGGAAGCAACAGCCCCAATGTGATCTCCATTCTGCCTCCACATTCCTCTTTTGGAGGAAACCTGGACCTCCCTGCTCACAGGGCCCTGGTTCTCTCCACTGCTCCCTCCTCCCCTGAGGCCCAGGTAGCCACAGCACAGTTGGCCAGCCTGGGGGAGCATTTCATTCCAGCTCTTTCCCAGGGACAAGCAATTTCTGGCTGCTTGTGCCATTCACTCTGCCACTTTGTGCAACACTCTTCACTGTATGGACACGCGTGATGTTCTGAGTTCAGACCGTGTATTAATCAGGATTCTCCAGAGAAACAGAATCAATAGGATATATTACATACATAGGAGGAAGAGAGTTTGAGAGAGAGAAAAATTTTTTATGGGAATTGGCTCATGTGATTCTGGGGGCCCAGAAGTCAGACTGTCTGCCATCTACAAGCCAGGGAACCAGGAAAGCTGGTGATGTGATTCAGTCTCTGAGTCCAAAGGCCTGAGAAGTGAGGTAGGGGAAAGGGAGGGAGCCAGGAGGTCTGATACCAGAGGGCAGGAGAAGATGGATGTTCCAGCTCCAGCAGAGAATGAACTCCCCCTTTCTCAGCCTTTTTTTCTACTTGGGCCCTCTGTGAATTGCACAATGCCTGCCCACATGGGGGAAGGGAATCTTCATTTGGCTACAGATTGCAATGCTAATCTCTTCCAGAAATACCCTTGCAGACACATCCAGAATACTGTCTTACCAGCTATCTGGGCATTCGTTGCCCCAGTCAGGTTAACATATAAAATGAACCACTGCGACTGCCTCTTAAAAATCTACACAACTGTCTTTAGAAAATAGCACTTAAACAAGGTGTCATATTTTAAACACTGGCTATGAACAGTGTGCTAGACAAGATATATACATATTTCTGTTTTTTGTTTTTTGTTTTTTTAAGACAGTCTCACTCTGTTGCCCAGGCTGGAGTGCAATGGCGTGATCTCGGCTCACTGCAACCTCTGCCTCCTGGGTTCAAGCAATTCTCCTGCCTCCCAAGTAGCTGGGATTACAGGCACCTGCCACCATGCCCGGCTAATTTTGTATTTTTAGTAGAGACAGGGTTTCACCATGTTGGTCAGGCTGGTCTCGAACTCCTGACCTCAGACAATCCACCCGCCTCGACCTCCCAAAGCACTGGGATTACAGGTGTGAGCCACAGCACCCAGCCAAGATCAATATCTTTAAAACCATTAACTTTCCTATGCATCCGAAAGAACCAATTAGAAATGCATAGAAAAATCTCATATATAATAAAAAAACTATAATAAACCGAGAAAGAAACTTAACAAGAAATGTTCAAGATTACAGAGAAAACTATAAAACCTTACTGACAAACTCATTTAAAAGACCTGACTATGTTGTGGGATTTATTGTATTCAAAAATGAAAAGATTCAGCAGTGCAAAGATTTTAATGGAACTAGACAAGCTGAGTCTCAGAGTAATATGGAAGAGGAACTATGTAACAATAGTCAGAACCTTTAAAGGAAAAGAATGAAGAGGGATGGTTGTGCACCCTACCAGACTTCCTAAAAGGTACAGGGACGTGCCAATTCAGGAAGGGGCGACACCATCCGTGGAGAGATAAAGCCTAGAAACTCATTTATTTGTTCATTCAAGAATAAATAACGATTGTTAAATTGACCCGCTACTATGGTTTTGGCATTGGAAGTTTGGCATTGGCAAGTTAAATCCCTACCAGTACAGCATTCATCAGAAAATATGTTTCACCTCAATTAAAGTCCTAAATACAAAAAAAAAAAAAAATGCCAATAAGGGAAAAAACATAAAAGAGAATGTTAAGGTAGAAAAGACATTCTAAATATGGTATAGGCTGGGTGTGGTGGCTCACGCCTGTAATCCCAGTACTTTGGAGGCCAAGGTAGGTGGATCACTTGAGGTCAGGAGTTCGAGACCAGCCTGACCAACATGGTGAAACCCTGTCTCTATTAAAAATACGAAAAAAATTAGCCAGGCGTGGTGGTGCATGCCTGTAATCTCAGCTACTTGGGAGGCTGAGGCAGGAGAATTGGTTGAACTCGGGAGGCAGAGGTTGCAGTGAGCCTAGATCTTGCCATGGCACTCCAGCCTGGGCAACAAGAGCGAAACTCCATCTGAAAATAAAATAAAATAAATAAAAATAAAATAAAATAAAATGTATAAAGGAAGAGAAGACATCTCAATTTGTCTACTTTGAAATTTAAATAACAAACAAAGCTTTAAGACATGGGACTACTCAGAGATAATACGTGTGATTTCTATCACAGGCAAGAGGCTAATTTCCATAGTAAATTAAGAACAGCAACAAATCCACATGGCAGATGTTCTTTCACCGCACCCAGGACTCCTGTGTTGGTGTAAACAGCTGGTGTCCATCCTATGGGGGCAGGTGTTTGGACATTTGAAGATCCAGTGCCCTCATGGTTGTCAAATATTTTGGATATTTTCTCTGAACATCAATAAGAAGAAGAATAGACAAACAGACAAAGACACTGAATAGGTAACTCATAATAAATGAAATTCTAATGACTAATAAACATGAGAAGACGTTTAGGTAATAATTAAGAAAATCAAACCCAAAACTAAATGATTCGCCCTGTCTCAGCCATCAGCATGGCTTGTAAGTATGGTGATGGTGTCGAATGTCTATTAGACATTGCCTCCAGGAGTGTGGAATGTGCCCAGCCCCTGTATGACTGTTCAGCATGTGTATTACACTCAACATGCATTCCCTTTGTCTTAGTCCCTTTTCTGTTACTTATGACAGAATACCTGAAACTGGGCTATTTATAAGAAAATAAATTTATTTCTTGCAGTTATGAAGGCTGAAGAATTCAAGGTCAAGGGGCCACATCTGGTGAGGAGCTTTCTTGCTGATGGAGAACTCTCTGCAGAGTCCTGAGTTGGCCCAGGAGACCACATGGCGAGGGGCTGGGAGTACAAGCTCAAGTTCTCTTCTTCTTATAACTCCATGATAATCTATTAGTTCATTAATCCATTAATCCATGAATGAATTATTCCAATCATCTCTTAAAGGTCCCACCTCTTAATACTGCCATTGTGGAAACTAAATTTCAACAGGAATTTGGGAGAGGATGAATATTCAAATCATAGCACCTTTTGATTCATAAATCTCACTCTTGGCCAGGCACAGTGGCTCATGCCTGTAATCGCAGCACTTTGGGAGGCTGAGGCAGGAGGATTGTTTGAGGCCAGGAGTTTGAGACCAGCCTGGGCAACATAGCAAAGATGCCATTCTATAAAAAATAAAAAAAGAATAGCCGGGCATGGTGGCATACGCCTGTGGTCCCAGCTACTGGGGAGGCTGAAGTGGGCAGATCACTTGAGCCCAGGAGGTTGAGGCTGCAGTGAGCTGTGATCATGCCACTGTGATCCAGTCTAGATGACAGAACGAGACCCTGTCTTAAAACAAAACGAAACAAAACAAAAAACAACAACAAAAAAAACACCGCCTCACATTTTTCATCTATCCCAATGGTTCTGAACAGGCGGGAAGGCCAATGTTTCCCCCAGTGGATATTTGACACCATGTGGGGACATTTTTGGTGGTGATAAGTAGTGCACACTACTGACACCTAGTGGGTGGAGGCCAGGGATGCTGCTAAGTGCTGCTAAGCGTTCTACAGTGCACAGGACAGCACCCCCAACACTAAATAATTATCTGGCCCAATATATGGACAGTGTCCAAGGTGGAGACCTGATTCTGAAGAAATCCTCACACATACACAAGAAGCCACAGCTAAGGATGGTCACTGAAGCACTGTTTGTGGTAGTAGAAACTGGAAACAATCTAAACGTCCATCAGTGATGAAAGAAGGAGCTACAGAAACAGATGCTGGCACACTGTAGAACTCCATAGCATTCGGGAGAGAAGGCACGCTACCCAGCCTTGGAAAGGTTCAGTAACTACAAACTCAGCCTTCCATGGGTAAGTTGTAATCAAACATCAGAATGCTTAAAATAGAGAAATTATACCAATGACTGCCCTCTAGTAGCCCAAAGGGGTGAACTTTCACCCTAAGGAGGACTCATCACCACTCCTACCACCCTCTGAAATGTTGATGCCCCCTTAAAGGGTCAGAATGGGCATCTTGCCCCCACACACCATGAATTGAGATTTCTAGACACTCTATTGGTTCACTTGAATGTAGAGTGACCTTTCTGCAGATGTATGCACTGACCACTAGGTCAGCGACGTCCATAGCGGCTCTGCCACAAGCCACAAGTACCTCAGAGCTGAGAGGAGGACCACGAGACCAGTTCTGAGGCCCCCTTCAGCTTCATCGGGCACAGATTCTTAAACCGTAGTCTGGAAAAGATTGTCGATTTAGAGAATAGATGTTACTGTGCTATTCTGCTCTTGCCCATTTTCATTAGCCCCAGCACCTGCAACCACAGTCCCTAGCCAGAATCCTGGGCAACACAGCAAGATGCCATCTGTACAAAAAATTTAAAAAAATAGCCAGGCATGGTGGCACGCATCTGTGGTCCCAGCTACTAAACCAGGGTTCCATAAAACAACCTTCTCTCAGGCCTTGGAGGGGGTGCCTCCGATCTGGCTATTAATGTCTTTATTAGTATCCAAGGACTTCTATAACAAAATACCACACTCTGAGTGGCTCAAAACAACACAAATTAATTCTCTCACAGTTCTGAAGGCCACAACTCCAAAGTCAAAGTGTCAGCAGGGTTGGATCCTTTTGGGGGCTCTAGTGGGAATCTGTTCCAGGCCCCTCCTCCAGCTCTGGTGATGGCTGGCAATACTTGGTGTTCCTTGGCTTGCAGACATACACATTGCTCCAAATCACTCCAATCTCTGCCTCCATCTTCACATAGCATTTCCCTCTGTGTTTCTCAGTACAAATTTCCCTTTTCATTAAAGAGATCATCTATTGAATTACACACCACTTTAATCCAATATGACCTCATCTTAACTTGATTGTGTCTGCAAAGACCCATTTCCAAATAAGGTCACAGTCACCGATTCTGGGGGTTAGGACTTCAATATCTTTTGAAGGGATGCAATTCAATCCTTAAGAGTCCTTGACCTGCACAACAGCTAAACTGAACTAGGAACCTGGCTAACAGGATGCAACATTACCAACCTGGTTCCCACCTCACAGATAAGAGGAGCTGCCCCAGCCATACCCAATGGGTTAATGTCGGGTTGATCAATGTCATTCAAATGGGGAGCCCATCAGTCTTAAGAGACAGGTGAAGACCAGCCCTAATGGTAGAATCTTCCTCTTAGCTCCATTCTCTGAGCCCAGAAGGATCCTGAAGAAACTGGAAGAGGCACAGGCTATGTTCTGTGTCTTAGTCCGTTTGGGCTGGTATAACAAAATACCACAGACTGAATGGCTTATCACATAACAGAAATTTATTCCTCAGAGTTCTGGAGGCTGGGAAGTTCAAGGTCAAGCTGCAGGCAGATTCAGTGTCTGGTAAGTGCCCATTTCCTGGTTCAGGGATGGGACCTTTCCACTGTGTCCTCATAAGGCAAAAGTGGCCAGGAGTCTCTCTCAGGCCTCTTTAAAACACTAATCCCATTCAAGGCCAGGCACGGGGGCTCACGCCTGTAATCTCAGCACTCTAGGAGGCTGAGGCGGGCAGATCATGAGGTCAAGAGATCAAGACCATCCTGGCCAACATGGTGAAACCCCATCTCTACTAAAAATACAAAAATTAGCTGGGCATGGTGGCACGTGCCTGTAGTCCCAGCTACTCGGAAGGCTGAGGCAGGAGATTCACTTGAACCTGGGAGGCGGAAGTTGCAGTGAGCCGAGATCGCGCCATTGCACTCCAGCCTGGTGACAGAGTGATACTCCATCTCAAAAACAACAACAACAACAAAAACACTAATCCCATTCATAAGGGCTCCACCCTCATGAGCTAACCACCTCCCAAAGGCTCCACTTCCAAACACACTGATATTGGGGATTAGGTTTCAACATACAAGTTTGGGGAAGACACAAGCATTCAGTCTGATCATTCTGTCCCAGCTTGAGACTGCAGCCAACAGGACAGCGTGATGGCACACTGAGCCACAGACCTCCATCTAAAAAGATGTCTAGGGAGCTCTAGCAGACACCAGGAGCAGCAGGTAACTCCAGGGCCCCAGGTTCCTGATTATCAGCCTGGGCTACTGCTCTGGTTCTCCTATCTGAGTAGCCAATCAGAGGAACAGGCCAGGCTTTTAGAATTGTCAACCAGCCCCATGCTCTGTCAGTGAGGCCAGCAACTCTCCTTCTGTTCCAGGCAGGCAGCTGAGTTAAGGAGTGTGAAGCCACTTTGGGGATAGGGACGGGGTCCCTCTATATAAGTATGGGAAGCTAATTGTCTTGGATGAGGACAAAGTCTTGACAACTTCCAATGGACAACATCCTTGGTGGACTTTCTTAGGTTGCCATGAGGACAGGATCAGCCCCAAAGTTGGGAAGCTGACTTAACTCAATCCTGTGGACTGAGCTGTCATCTAAGAAACTAGTTACGGCCGGGCGCGGTGGCTCACGCCTGTAATCCCAGCACTTTGGGAGGCCGAGGCAGGCAGATCATGAGGTCAGGAGATCGTGACCATCCTGGCCAACATGGTGAAACCCTGTCTCTACTAAAAAATAAAACATAAATTAGCTGGGTGTGGTGGCACATGCCTGTAGTCCCAGCTACTCGGGAAGCTGAGGCAGGAGAATCGCTTGAACCTGGGAGGCAGAGGTTGCAGTGAGCTGAGATTGCGCCACTGCACTCCAGCCCAGTGATAGAGCAAGACTCCATCTCAAGGAAAAAAAAAAAAAGAAAAGAAACTAGTTACAAATAAAGGCAACCATCCAGATCTTTCAAATGGAGCCCATTCGATGAGCTGTTGGTACTCCCCCCACCCTACACATGCATGGGAAGACTTCAAATAGTATCTCTTGTAAGTGACACCCTTAAGGGTTTAAAGCAGGGATTTAAGACAGGTTCACTGTGTTCGGGCCACCATCATCAGCTCAAAGGCATTTTCCTGCTAGTTTACAACATATGGTCTAAAATAGTGTTAAGTTGCTTACCTTCTTCCAAATGGCAGAATGGAGAAAGGAAGTGAATAAAAGTCAATGACAGACTTTCCCTCCAGCATCTTTTAACCCTGTCACGTCCTGAAGGGTCAGTGCCTTCTGACTTTTATGGTTATGGTCCATCTCAGGTGGATGGGCACAGGCGAAGAAAAGGCACACCTGAGCTGCATCTGCACCAGAGAAAGCAGAGGGATGAAGGGCTCAGGATGGATTTCATCCTTCACACCCTAGTTGGGCCAAATCAGGAGTCTGTGTCATGTTTCAGAGCAATTTTCCTAGCTTGTCTGTGTAAGAATCATTTTGGCAAACAGCACAGATTTTTTACCTCCTAATTTAAAAAAATACCTAAAGAATGGTTTGATGCATTATTTCCCATGATCACTTGAGCAACCCTCGGAGCAATTCTCTCAGCAGAATCCTTGTCCTTCACACTGTGCATTTCATCTGCTGTTTCCTGTGGAGGAAAAGAATTTTTCATCCAAAGCAGCAGAAAGCGCTTTGTCCAAGTTACAGCCTCAGGAGTAAAATGAAGGGTACCCGGCGATGCCATGGGATGACAGAATACAACTGCCTTTGATCCCAGCACTGTTGCCGTGTGCCCAATTTGTATAATGAGCCAGGGCCTCTCAATAGTAAAGATTAGTGGAAGCAGACAGCTCTGCCAGCTTCCTGATGCTCTCCTGCTGCCTTTTTCTCCAGGGAGGATGTTTCCTCACCTGCCTGTGGGCACCTCCCACCATCTCTGAAACACGCGAGAGCATGAACTCTCACTGTGGTGCCAACAAGCACTATCACCACAGATCAGCATGACCGCTAACCACCTGAACACAGTGCACCACCGAGGCCACCGACGCTGCTGCCCAGAATTCAAAAAAATGTACTCAGGGCCTCCAGCCTCCCTGGTTTGTTTTCACATACAAGAAGCTGGGACAGAGGGAGAAGGATGGAGCCGCATCCTCTGAACTCTGTCAAGGAGGCCAGCAATGGCAGGGGAGCTGAACTGAGGAGTAACGAGTCCCAAGTTGAGGGAGCCCCACCTTAAAGGGGCCAGGGTTCCCTCTAAGTATGAGTATGGGAAACCAATTGTCTTGGATGAAGACACAGTTCTGACAACTCCCAGTGGAAAGAGTCCTGGATCGGGTTTCTTGGATTGCCGTGGGGGATAGGGTTGGTCCCAAAGCTGGGAATTTGACTTAAAACCATCATGTGGATTGACTAACCACCTAAGACATGACACGGCAGCACGTCCAGGCGACCATCCAGATCCTTCTGAACGGAGCCCTCGCACTGGTTGTTGGTGCTGCCACTCTTTGTCTGGTGCTGTCCCTTTATCAACTTCTTTCTTAAACCAGTATTTTACCTTATAAGACATCAGTTCTTACGAGAGCTTTAGCTAGTGTTTAAAATAAATGTTCTTGGGGGTAATATCTAAAATACATAAGGAACTCAATGCAATAACAAGAAAAGCAATTACCTGATTTAAAAGTGGGTGAGGATCTGAACAGAGGGACTGCACAGGTGCTCCCGCCTACACCTGCTTTTGGAAGGAAAGGTCTTCCAGCCCCACAAAATGGAGGGCCTCAGTTTCCCCTGCGGGTGGCCTGCAGCGCCCCAGCCTCGTGAGCACCTGAGCCCCAGGTCCCGTGGAGAAAGGCGCGTCCCCCCCGGAGCTGAGCTGCAGCCCCCACACTGACGCCTCCCTCGTCCGCAGCTTCGCAGAGCCCTGGCGCGGCTTCCCCAGATCGCAGGTCATCAAGTGGTATTTCCTGTGCAGCTTAGCTACTCAACATTCGCCAGCATCCTGGTTTTCACTCAAGTTTTCCCTCTCGAGCAGTAAAGAAGGCAGTTCCAAACTTCTGCTTCTGTTCACAGATGGGGGAGCCCCCACCGTGAACTCCAAGTCTCAGCTTTATTTTTCCAAAAGCCATATTTTATGGCCAAGAACCTGAAAAGAGAATGGGACAATGAGGTTTGGTAAATTAAAATGGCTAAAGGTACTGGGCATGAGGCCACAGTCAGCCCCTGAAGTTCCTGGACCCCACCTGCTCATGGGAAGAATTCTAGCAACCGGGCTGACCACATGCTCACAATGACTATTCCCAGAAGCACGGGAGTCTTCAACTGATCATTCATCAGCTCACCTCTGTCAACAAGGGCCCCTCTAGGTGAAGGGGCTGGGACCACCTTGCCACATCTCCTCATTTTGTCCTTAAAAAATCTGCTTGTAATCGCTGCAACTCAGAACACTCCTGAGGTAGCATCCTGGGGTTGGGGTCCCCAAATCTGGCCCAGATAAACTCTGCTGATAATAATGTTTTCTCAGTGTCCTTCTTTTTTTAGCTTGTCATCACTTTCTTTCACAACATCACTGCACGTGACCGGCTTTCCTTCAGCAACTCTTTCTTACAAGAAAACCTGATTCTCATCTCTGCTAGGCGGCACATCCTTTTGTGGGGAGCTGCGGGAAAAGCCACTGATGTGGCGGGGGCTGTGGGCAGGGACCAGCTCCATCACCAGATTCCAACCACGCTGCTGACCCCAGTGTCACGCAGGAAACTCCCCGAGTGCGGTGGACGACAGGGTGTGTCCTGAGCAGCCAACACCACACCACACCACAACACGCGTGTTAAACATACAAGGGAGAAGGGTCTGCTGTCCACATCACAGCACAAGATACAAAAGTCACACCAGTGATATGAATGAGGTGCAGAGACACCCCGGGCTCTTGGAGGAGTGGGCGCGAGAGCTGGGTCTCAAAGGAGGAACAAGGTGTTTTTTTTTCATTGGGATAAAATTCACCAGTTTAAAAGGTACAAGTCAGTGGTTTTTAGTATGTTCAATTCACCACCTTGTGTGACCATCACCACCATCTAATTCCAGAACCTTCTCCCTCTTCTCCCTGCCTCACGCCCCACCCCACCCACCCCTCAGAACCACTCGTCTGTTTATGTCTCTGTGGATTCTGTATCAGGGAAATGAAAATAAAAACCACAGTGAGATCCACTTCACACCCCCTGGGATGGCTGCAGTTGAAGGGTGGACCCGTGACCAGCGGCGGGGGGTGTGTGGGGGAGCGGCGGGGGGTGTGTGTGGGAGCGGCGGGGGGTGTGTGTGGGAGCGGCGGGGTGTGTGGGGGAGCGGCGGGGGGTGTGTGGGGGAGCGGCGGGGGGTGTGAGGGAGCGGCGGGGGGTGTGTGGGAGCGGCGGGGGTGTGTGTGGGAGCGGCGGGGGGTGTGTGTGGGAGCGGCGGGGGGTGTGTGTGGGAGCGGCGGGGGGTGTGTGTGGGAGCGGCGGGGGGTGTGTGTGGGAGCGGCGGGGGGTGTGTGTGGGAGCGGCGGGGGGTGTGTGTGGGAGCGGCGGGGGGTGTGAGGGAGCGGCGGGGGGTGTGAGGGAGCGGCGGGGGATGTGAGGGAGCGGCGGGGGGTGTGGGGGGGAGCGGCGGGGGCTGTGAGGGAGCGGCGGGGTGTGTGTGTGGGAGCGGCGGGGGCTGTGAGGGAGCGGCGGGGGGTGTGAGGGAGCGGCGGGGGCTGTGAGGGAGCGGCGGGGTGTGTGTGTGGGAGCGGCGGGGGGTGTGAGGGAGCGGCGGGGGGTGTGAGGGAGCGGCGGGGGGTGTGTGGAGCGGCGGGGGGTGTGTGGGGGAGCGGCGGGGGGTGAGGAGCGGCGGGGTGAGGAGCGGCGGGGGGAGGCAGAGCGATGAAGCCCCTCTGGGAAACTGCCTGGCAGCTCTTCAGTAAGTCACAGGTGGAATTCCATGCCACCCAGCAGCTCCATCCCGGGTGTGCCCAGGAGAAATACAAACATACGTCCACACCAAAAACCTGCGTGTGAATGTTCCTAGCGGCATTCTTCAAAAGAGCCACAAAGTGGAAGCGACCGGAAATCCCATCAGCGGATGCGAGGACAGAGGAAGGTGGCGCAGCAGGACAGCTGGCATCATTCGAGCGGAAACGGGTATGAGTCGCCGCCACAGCCGACCGCGGCGGGAATGAGCATCTGAAGCTCCTGCTTGCTGCCGGGAAGCCAGGCCAGAATCCCACAGGCTGAGTCTACCTGCGGGAACAGGAGCGGGCAGATGGAAGGGTGTGGCCGCAGTGGGGCAATCCTAACAAAAAAGAGCTGGACTGGCTGGGTACTGGCTCCACCTTCACCACACCCCGGAGGTGGATGCTATTTGCACCCCTAATTTACAGATGGGAAAGGTCAGACACTGGGCCAGGTCTGCCTAGCTAGGAAATGAGGTGGGGTCCCCACAAGCTGTGCAACCCCAAAACTCAAGCCCTTACCCATCACCTCCCTACACTGACTCCGTGTGTGCCGGAGAGAGAGTGGGAAGGAGCTCAGTCACATGCTCCCCCCACACCCGTCTGAGCTCCACCCTGGTTTCCACGGAGGCCAGTTGCGATGCTGAACATGACACCCACTACATCCTCTCTCAGGAGACAAGAACGCTGGGAACCATGGGAGCAGGGGAAGAGGCCCTGGTCTTGACGCGTTCTCCAAAGACACAGAGCCCGTTGTTCCAGTTCTCCATGAGGCTGACTGATGTCACAGCCTTCGCATCACAGACACACAAAGGAGTGAGCTGCTGAGAAGGGAAAATGCTCAGTGCACCACGTCCCAGGTCCTCCTCGCCATTGGCCCCTATGACTGAGAGGGCCCTTCCTTTGCCATCACCAGGAGGTGGCTGCTACAGGCGCTGTTAGCAAGCCACCATTTACCACTTCCGAAGGGTGGAGGGACTGAGGGAGCCAGAGAGGGGCTGGCTGGTGTCCCAGGTTGGACAGCGTCTTCCAAAAATTCACGTCCACCAGGAACCTCGGAACGTGACGTAATCTGGAAATAGTGTCTTTGCAGATGTAGTTAGTTAAATCAAGATGAGGCACACCGGATTAGAGCTGGCCTAATCCGATGACTGGTGTCCTTAGAGGAGAGGGACATTTGGACACAGAGCGCCACAAGGAAGGCCACATGAAGATAAGGGCTGCAATTTCAGTGCTGCGTCCATAAGCCAAGGAATGCCGAGCATTGCCAGCCACCACCAGAAGCCAGAGAAGCAAGGAAGCCTCCTCCCCTGGAAACCTCAGAGAGGACACAGCCCTGCCGACACTAGATTTTGGACTTCCGGCATCCAGAAATGGGAGAGCCTGAGTTTCTGCTGTTCCAGCACCCCCAGTCTGTGGTGCTTTGTTCCTGCAGCCCTAGGGCACTAATACCATTGGTATTTATTGTACAGATGTCCTGTGTCCCTACGCAGCTGTGAAGCCTCTAGTGAGCGGCGGATGCAGGACGGCCTTGTTCATCTGTGCCATTCATTCTTCCAGTCTTCAGTGCTGGGAAGCAAGAATGTGACCTCCCAGCACCCTTCACCCCGCCCCGTGCTCGAACCCAAGAGCCCAGTACTGGCTGTGCTGGAAAAGCAACAGAAGGTGTTGGAGGAGGCGGGGAGCTAGGCTGCCCGAGGGAGGGCTCCGGAAGTTCGTTCACATCTCCCACCTTGTCCCTTTCCCACAGTCATACCAGCGCCCATCACCTAGGACCATGGTTAGAATTAAATAAACCAAGTGCCCAGAGTGGGGCCTGGCACACAGCAAGTGCCACATGAAGACCGTTGGGAAGCCTTCAACTGGGACAAGAATAAGGTGTGCTTTCGGCTGAAGAAGGTCTTCTCGGAGGTCCCAGGCCCCAAGTATGCAGCATCCTCTCTCAGCTGCCGAGAGGCGCTAAACTCTTGTGCTCATGCTCGCTGGCAGTGCCTCTGTAATCCCCTTAAATCAGTAGCAGTCAAGAGCCCTAATTTCTTCATTTGTGTCAAAGAGGGAAAGGTTAAGTCAGGACGGAAAGGTTAAGTTGGAAGGATAAAAAGTGTCCCTGTCATTTTCCAGGTCAGCTGGGTCTCACTCGGTACCCTGTCAAACAGAAATCGAGCTGAAAATAGTTTCAGGTAAAAACATCATGATAAGACGATAAATCAACAGGCCCCATCACAAGCCCTGGGTGATGCTTAAGAGGTTCTAGATTACTAAGCCTACCCATGCACTTTCCTGTGTGTGTGCTGGTACACACATGCATACATACACATGTATACACACAACCTCCACGTGCACACACACACACACACACACTGCCAAGAGCACCAACAATCACTCCATCAAATCACAGTTTTTGTCTTTCCCAGACTGAGTCACTAGAGCAAGATGCTGTCCTCGGAAGGTGGAATGAGTGTGTGTTTCTTCTAAAAGTAATTAATTCTCCCTGGAGAGTCAGGCTACGGGCAGGGTGGTTTCACAGAGGAGGAGACTTTGGGCTGAGTCTTGGAGCTTGGGTAGAGTTTCCAGATGGACAAGTAGAGAAACAGACATGAGGGGCAACTGCGGGCCTTGCAGTGAAGCCAACGTGAGCTCTCCACAGTACTACCACCCAGCAGTCCTGCCCCAACCAGTGGAGGCAACAGCTGTCACATAAACTACCCCCAGGGTGTGGCCAACAGCCTGGCCACCATCCAGATGCAAAGGCCAAGCTCGACCTTGCCCTTTCTCTGTGTGTCCTTCAAGTCTGTACTCTCAGCCACACTGGGAACTGCAGGCAAGTTCTCCAAAGCTGGCAAGCGCTAAGGACAAAGCTCCAAGAGCCCCGGCAGCTCCAAGGCCCTCACCCCATGTTCCTTGCACCCTAATACTGTGGTTGCAGCAGAACCTGCAGAAGCAGCTCAGAGCCCCGCACACGTAACAGCAGCCCAGGAACCGGGTCACTCGTCATAATCTGGGCACTACAGGGAGAAGAGCCTGCCCCGCCTGGGCTGTGCCAGGCTCCCCTGCCCCTGCTCGTCCACAGGGTCCCTTTGTGAGAAGTGGGAGGGGGAGCCCCTTCCTCTGGACAGAACAGCCCAGCCCAGGGTGCAGAGCATGGATTCCAGCCCAGTGGTCCGTCTGCCAGGGCCCTCATGTGGAGAACAGCCGGCACAGCTCAGAGGCAGCCCCCAGGAACCCATGAGACACCTTCCATGGTAGCTCCCTTGGCAAGGGAGCACATGCCAGGGAAGGGCCACATGGGCTTCGGGGGTGGAGTTCTGCCTCAGGGAGGGATCCCTGTCACCCCTGCAGGAAGGGGCAGTTCCCGAAGGGGCTAAGTAGCCCTGGGGACAGGGAAGCAGCACAGATGACAACACAGAGCGTGGCCCTGGTCTCCAAGCTCATGACGCAGAAGCTGCACGTGCTCCAGCAAGGGCAGGCCATCACCACCCTGTGTGGCCTCACCTCAGGCCACGGACCAAGGAAGGCTGGGTTTCAGGCATCCCTCCTGCAGCCGCCAGCCTCCCCTTGCCCCACTCCCAGATCCAGCTTCCTCCTCCCAGAAGAGCAAAGAGGCAAAAACACAAGGCGGAAATCAGCCAGCCCCTGGCCACAGAGGACATCCTGCCTATGGGCAGCAGCCCAAGCCACATGCAGTGGCCCCCGCCAAGCTTGCTAGCCATGTCCTTTCCCCCTTCCTGTGCCAGAACAGGACAGAGTCTCCCAGGTAACCCTTTCCTCTTCCCACAGAAGGGAAGGGTCTCTGGTGCATGAGGGGAAGCTCCTTTTGCCTCAGGCTCCAAGGACAGTGGGGACAAGCTAAGTCAACTGGCATCTGCTAAGCCCCCATCACAGTGGTTTGTTTAGGGATTGGCCTTTCTCAACAAGCAAGTATTTAGTGAGCCTCTGTGTTCAGGCCTCCGAGAACACAGCACAGGGGAAGCATCTAAAAGCCCTGCCCTGGTGGCCCTCACATCAGGTCACAGGGCCAGTGAGCCGCTGTGGCCTGAAACTCACCCCAGCTGAGGGCCTTGTGGGGCTGTGGGATTCACTACCCTCCACGGAGAAGCCATCCCCAGGGAGGGTTCTAGAAACCCCACCATACATTGCTTCATTCTTCCCCTCCCTCGGCAAACGCCTGCCGGGCACCTGCTTGTGTTAGTGCAGGGCCCAACACTAGACTCACTATGAAGAGCTGCCTTCACTCCTGGGAACATCAGGAGGGACCCTCCCCTCTGCATTCTACTGACAGAGCCCCCCAGCCAAACAATCCTCCTCAGCCCTGGGATGCAGCACGGCACCCCCATCCCTGCACAGTGGGCTGCAGGATCCCCAGCGTCCCCAGATGGTAAGGGTGGCTCCCTGTGCCTCAGCCACTTTTAACAAGTGTGCTTTCCACTGAACACCTGCTTTCCCTCAGGGAGCCTAGAATTTGGGTACATGCTACGCCCTAGTAAAAACCCTGGGCGCTGAGTCCCTAAGAGTATCCTGTAGCTGACAGTTCACAAGTGTTGTCATAACCTGACACTGGAGAAAATAACCTTGTCCTGTGTAGCTGCACCAGGACAGGCTCTTGGGAACTTGCGCCCAGATCCCCGGACTCTGCCCCACGTGACTTTCCCCTGCTGGCTTGCTCTGTGTCCTTTCGTAGTAATGAACCATGCTGTGAGGATAGCACCACGTGATGAGGGCTGTGAGTCCTCCTGAGAAAATCACCAACACTGGGAGTGGTCTTCGGGAAACTTGACGCAAGCTCCAAGGCCAATAACTTCAGAAAAATCCACAAACTGAAAGCCACTGTAAAGGAGAAAGCACCAGGCTCCAGGAGGCTTCCCTACACAGACTCTGGGGTAATTCACGCTCACTCCCCACGGGGCTTTTGGGCAGACAGACCCCATTCTGCCCTCTGGTGTCCACAGAGTCCCCGATGAGCTGAACACCAAATGCTCGGAGGCCCTGGCCACAGGGATCAGTGTCCACCAGCAACCTGGTCCATTCAGGGTGGACGCTTTGACCAATGGGTGGGAAGTCTTAAAAGGAGCACACCTCAGGCCAGGGCAGGCCACACCCCCCACACCCTGACACAGCCTCAGGAATGGGAATCTCCCCTTTTCTAATACCCAACATGAAGGAAAAGCCCACTCTCTGTCTGCCCGTTCTGTGTTTTCTTAGATTCTGCATGTCTGTTTGACATTCTCAAGGCCAACTGTTGGCCAAAGAGATTCCCTCCGGCTACGAGGCAGCTTGGTGGGCCCCACTGTATTAGTCTTTCATGTTGCTGCAAGGAAATACCTGAAACTGGGTAATTTATAAAGAAAAGCGGTTTCTTTGGCTCACAGTTCTGCAGGCTGTACAGGAAGCATGGCACCAACATTTGCATCTGGTGAGGACTTGGGAAGCTTCCACTCATGGCAGGAGGCAAAGGGGGAGCAGGTGCCTCACCTGGCGAGAGAAGGAGCCCGAGAGAGGGAGGAGGTGCCAGGCTCTTTAAACAACCAGAACTTGCGTGAACTCGTAGTGAGAACTCATTACCACGAGGACAGCAGCAACCACTGAGGAGGCATCAGCCCTCATGAGCCAAACACCTCCCAGCAGGCCCACCTCCAGCATTGGTGGCCACATTTCAACATATGTGGAGGGGACAAAACATCTCAGCCCTATCTCCCACCCACCTCCATTATCTGACTCTTGCACATCCAGCCAACACTCCCCGTACCCAAGTCATTCCAGGGCCAGGAAGCAGGCAACTAGAGCCCCGCTACAGCCTGAAGCCCACAGAATGATTGGTGCTGGCAGATGCTAAGCTGCTCACCTCCCTGCAGAGGACACCCCCCATGCGGGCTGAGGCCTAACCCCTCCCCAGCCCCCGCCTCCTGTCTCCTGACCACCCTGACATGCCTGCTAGAGAAGAGGGCTACTGTGTAAGGACAAATCAGAGCAACTTGAGGATCAAGTTGCTGCCTCGTTCCCCAGCACCAATGCGGAGGCCTTGTGGGAAGGGTAGCCATGGAGCCAGTCCAGACTGGAAGACACAAGGCAAGTCCCGCCTGTCCAGACCTGCTGGTACCTCCCACCTGCAGGACGTGAAATCACAGCAAAAAGGAGACAAGGATTATTTTAAAGAGTGGAGAGAGAGGGCCCGGAGTGGTGGATCACGCCTGTAATCCCAGCACTTTGGGAGGCCAAGGTGGGCAGATCATGAGGTCAGGAGTTCGAGATCAGTCTGGCTGACATGGTGAAACTTTGTCTAAAGATACAAAAAATTAACCAGAAGTGGTGGTGCACGTCTGTAATCCCAGCTACTCGGGAGGCTGAGGCAGGAGAATCGATTGAACCCGGGAGGCAGAGGATGCAGTGAGCCGAGATCGTGCCATTGCAAACTGCAATCCAGCCTGGGCGACAGGGCAAGACTTCGTCTCAAAAAAAAAAAAAAAAAAAAAAGAGTGGAGAGAGAGAAAAGACAGTTTTGTGTTCTTTTGCACTGATAAAATAAGAAATATTTATTCTCTACCAATGTAGGTTTTGAGTGTCTACTTGTAGGGCATTTGCCAAAACTGCTGTTCTCTTAATATGGCCATAAACCTAACAACCAAAATAAGCCAGCTCCCAGGACCCATGGCTGGCTAGTTGGCTGCCCACTCCCAGCCTCGCCCATGTCCGGGAGGGATCCTCCTTGTCACCGGACATGGCCCCAGCTTCCCGACCTCACTCGCTCCACCCCACACAGCGCACTGGTTCCCTGAGGGAGAAGTGGCCTCAGGGTGGGGCTCCTGTAGAGTTCAGTGGCTGTTTTGCCCCTGGGGCTTCCAAGGCAGGTGTCTGGGACATTTCCCAGAGGCCCGCATGGCACCCAGCTGCTCCTCTGCAGCTGCCCTGGCCTCCAGGCTCCGGGGCCAGAGCCTCAGCCACCTCCTCAGCCCTTGGCGGTGACAGGGAAATGTCTGCTGGCGGTGAGCCAGGGGCACTCCAGTGAGTCAGTGCCCTGGGCAGCCAGACAGAGAGTGCCAGCGAGGGGAGAGGGAGGGAGGGAGCAGCAGAGGAGCAGGAAGTCCTAAAGGCTGCAGGCTTGGAGGGGAAGGTTGCGGTGAGAGGCATCTGCAAAGCACCAGGCAGTTTGCAAAGCGCCCTGCGCCAAGGCCTGCATCCAGGCCCCACCGCTCCAGGCAGTAGGTCTCATTCTCCAACCAGACAAAAGGGCCAGGCAGAGAATGCCACCGCCTCAGTTCACAAGCCCATCGGGGAGTGAGATGGAAACTGGACCCAGGACCTCCCCGCATAGACAGCTCTCTGCTCCTGTTTCCATTCCTGAGGTTCTGAGGCTGAGCCATAGGCAGATTCTGGGGAAGAACAGACCAGCATCCTCATGGGGCCCGGCTCCTCCACTCATCAAGCTCATGTCCGACATCGGGGACCCTAACGACAAAGCGGCCACCAATCCCCTGCCCACACCAGAATTGGCCCCAGAACTTGGTGCAGGTTTGCTGGGTGGCTGCGAGTCTGATTTCAGCAATTCTAGCAGACCCTCTGTGGGAACTGATGGACTCCCCTGGGGAGCAGGAGGGACCCCAAGACCCCCAAGGTGCAGCATCTGTAGTAGCTTCAACCTCATTGTCACTGTTAAAATTCTACAGATTTTTCTTTTCTTCAATAGAGCAAAAAATTGCAGCCTCATGTCCCTGGGCCTTTTTTAAACCTGAATACCTGGGGCTTTAAAAAATATTAATTCACAGCCTACCTTAGGTGGGGCTCCCCTCCCGCATGGAGTGACGTGCTGCCGGCTGCAGCAGGGAGGCTGGCAGGGTGGTTTGACCACAGAGAAACTCTGCAAGGCTGAGGCAACAGCGCCCCCTTCTTCTCAAGGGTGAGACTGCGCAGCACAGCCAGAAATGCAAGGGCCTGCACCGACATGCCAGGCCTGGCATGCGGGAGGGAGCCCTCAGCCAGACTCCACGTGGAGGGGGTGAGGGGTACGGCGTGCCCACCACGAACCCTGGGCCACCGTGCAGCGTTCCCTGCTGTGCAGGAGTGGATGGAGGCCTGGCTTACCTGAGAGGAGAGACAGACTCATCAGTAAGCACCCCATGCAGGAACTTAAGAACTGAAATGAAACAACACTGGCAATCATCTGTCTCATTGTGGCTCCAAGTCGCCTTGCTCCTGTGCTGATGAGCTAGCAGGCACTTTTAAAAAACCAAAGAGGGGCTGGGTATGGTGGCACACGGCACTTTGGGAGGCTGAGGAGGGAGGATCGCTTGAGCCCAAGAGTTCGAGACTACCCTGGACAACATGGCAAAACCCCGTCTCTACAAAAAACAATAATAATAATTAACTGGGCATGGTGGAACATGCCAGTAGTCCCAGCTACTCTGGAGGCTGAGATGAGAAGATTGCTTGAGCCTACGAGTATGAGGCTGCCATGAGCTGTGATCACACCACTGCACTCCAGAGCAAGAAGACCTTGTCTTAAAAAAAAAAAAAAAAAAAAAAAATCCAAGAAAATCATCCAGGATGGCAACACTTGAGTGACTTATGTTACAATTAAATGAAGGACCTTAGCATTGTATTAAGTTATATTAGACAGTGCTTGACTTAATGATTTTTCAATTTTATGATGGTGTGGAAGCCGTATGTGTTTAGGAGAAACCATACTTAGAGTACCCATACAACCATTCTGTTTTTATTTCAGTAAAGCATACAATACATTATGTGAGATTGTGTACCCATTAATCAACCTCTCTTCATCCCCCTACTCCCAATCCTTCCCAGCCCCTGGTAACACCAGTCCATTCTCTATCTTCAGAAGATCCACTTCAGCTCCCACATCCGAGAACATGCAGTATTTACCTTTCTGTTTGGCTTGTTTCACTTAACATAATGGCCTCCAGTTCTATCTGTGTTTCAAATGGCTGAAGAGTGTTCCACTGTGTATTTACACCACATTTTCTTTATCCATTCATCCACTGATGGGCACTTAGATTGATTCCACATCTTGGCTCTTGTCAATAGTGCTGCAAAAAACATGGAGTGCAGATGTCTCTTCAATAATTTTTTCTTTTGGATATATGCCCAATAGTGAGATTTCTGGATCACATGGTAGTTCTAGATCAGTAGGGACACTAAAGTTTATAACAATCTATTGTATGTTTCAAAATAGATAGAATAATTCCAATGTTTTTAGCATAAAGAAATATTTAAGGTGATAGATCTCCTGATTACTCTGATTTGACCTATACAAATTATATGAACATATTAAACTATCACATGTACTAAAATATGTACATATATTACATCAATTTTAATATTAATAAAATCAGCTTGTGTTAGATGATTTTGCCCAACTGGATGCAAATATAAGTGCTCTACGCATATGTAACATAGACATTCGGTAGGTTAGGTGTATTAAAAGCATTTTTGACTTACAGTGGGTTTATCGAGACCTAACCATATCATATAAGTCAAAGAGCATCTGTAGGTACCTAGATTTCAATTTTCCTTAATAAAGGAAACTTGAGTCTTAACTCTCTTTCCTGCTGCCTTTTTCAAGGTAAAATACTGTCCTTACCCACTAAAGCTCTGCTATTTGCTTGCTACTGACTTTCTTTAGCATGGAATCACAGAAGCACAGAGAAGCATAACTGCCTGTCCACAAGCCAGTGAAACTGCATCAAGCAATTTCTACATGCCTGGCAGTGTTGAGCCCACGAGGAACAGACACCCATGGTCACAATTTATTGAGTAAAGAAGATAAATTTGAAAAGTTAAATATTGACCCAAGAGAAATATGTTCTTATAATGAATACGTAATTAACTGACAGATATAGGACCCAACACTAGAGAAGAGGCAGAGGAGAGGAGTCATCGAGGCTCTCAGGGATGCAGAGCCGTACTGCACGTGGAAGGGGTGGCTACCGGAGCGAGTGGACAGAGGTGGAGGAGGAGGGAGTTACCTGAAAGACAGCTGGTCCCCATTCACAGAGGACACTGGGGACAACAGGCAGGGGGCTGTCCTGTCCCTGGGGACATACAAGGGGAGACAGAAGGGTCAGCGCCTCCCTACATGTAGGCACGACCCCTTCTGTGCCAGACCAGCCTTGGGTCTTTGACCACTTTGAACAAGCTAGAAACACAGGACACGTACAGAGGGGGAGACTAGACGAGAAATGTTCCAACCGCTCTTTGTTCTGCACCCAAAACAGTGTTAAGCAGCATTGAGACCTTGTCCACGTGGTGTCAACTCTGGCTGGAGGATGCCTCCTTATCAAAGGGCCACCCACTGTGGATCCCGTCCTGCCATTGCCTTTGAAAAGGAGTTCTGGGGCCCCCATCAAAAGGAGCCATGCTCTGCCCAGTTCTGAAGACCCGTTCCGGGCAGGATCGTGGCTGTCCCTCTCCGTGCTTTGGTGCATGTCTCACGTAACAGGTCCTGCCCATGAGTGGTGGTAAAAAAAAAAAAAAAATTTAGTGACTGGGCCACCAGCATTTTAAAAAATTAAATAGAACACAAAAGACGAGAGCGACTGTAGCAAGGGAGGTCATGACATGATAAACAGTTACATTTTCATGGTGGCAAAGTAAGATGAGTTCCTCTGGCAAGGCAGCCCTGGCCACATGAACAGCGATGGCTCCCAACCTGGCCACATGGGAGACTCGCCTGGTGCTCAGAGCTCTCCGGTGTGTGCAGGCTCCCTCCTAACCATTCAATTCACAGTCTCTGGGGGTAAGCCCCGGCATCCATGGCTCCTAGAAGAGGCGGCACCCAGGTCTCAGTACTTCCTTCTTAAAAGCAGGGCCCTGATGTGTGCCTCCATGCATTGCCCACAAGAAAGAGCCATTGCATACTAGGGGTTGTCCCGGGCCATGGGGTACACTGGCAGAAGAGGACTAAAGGATCGATAGTACCCTGGGTGGGCCGTGGGAGATACGGGTGCAGCTGGTGAGGAGAGTGGGGAGCAGGCCTGGGTGCAGCTCAGGGAGGGAGCTTTTGGGTGCTGGAAGCACAGCTCTGGTGCAGCTGGTGAGCGTGGCCTACAGGTGGGCACCGAGGGGCTCCTGCAAGGATAGTTTCAGGTCTGTTGAATCCAATGGCAAAACAGTGTGCGCTTTTGTGTATTTTCAGATTTTTTCTTTTTCCATTTCATTTTTCTTCAGTCATTCATTTTTGCCACATTTTGCATAACTACTGATACATGACCGATTGAATATTAAAAAATAATAACAAGCCACTCAGGACAGATCAATTGAGAGGCAAGCATTCCAAGGGCAGAATGTCTCGGAAGGCCTCGAATGCCGGGTCCAGGGGCCAAGACTTCCACCCGCAGGGGAGGCACAGCACGCAGCAGGCGTCTGTGCACAGCTCAGTCCAGCCATGCTGCCCTGGGGCTACGTCTGCAGGCTGAGCTGTAAGTTCACCCAATGCCTGTCTGTGACAGACTTTGGTAACAAAGTGGTGAAACCAGCACCCAGGTGGGGCCAGTGTTCCCAAGGGGGCAGGGAAGGGACTTCCCTAACTGAGGTCTCCAGCCTGTGCCTTAGCTGGATTAGGAGGCAGACAAATGACCTGAGTGGAGCAGGCTGCCTTCCTGTTTCCTGACGGGCCCATTCCGCGGTGCACAGCAACCAGGGTGGGAGCTGCAGGGCCCTGGGGGAAGCTCCCAACTCCAGGTATAGGATCCAGGGCTCTGATCAGTCCAGCAGGCATTTGTGCAATCCGCAGGACACCCTCCTCAACCCCTGTCCTAAAGAGTTGAGAAAAATGCAACTAAGAGTGGGGAAGAGTTGGTGGTTTCCTGGCTTAAAGATGTGTTCCATGGAAAGTGAGGGGCTCCACAGGGCATCCCCCAAAATCCGGGAGAAGGGAGAAGGAGTGGAACAGACATTCAAGCAATGAAGCTATGTCCCCTTTTTCCTCCCTACCAGACTGCTTTAACCAGAACTTCAACCCATATGGAGTTTCACATGAGATTTTGTTTGAAGTATGTGTTTCCTGTATATATCAGTTAAAACTGTATTCAGCTGAGAGCCCTGAATATCAGTGGCATAAACAGATGTGGGTGTCTTCTTCATGCAAATGTTATATATGAACATAGAAAGAAGGACCAAAGCCTCAGGACTCTGGGTCCTTTCTGGCTTCCTGCTCTGTCAGCCTTACTACACAGCTAGCCACTTCATGGTTACAACATGGCTGCTGTGTCACCAGGCATTGCATTTGAATTCCAGCCAGAATCCAAGGAGGGAAGCAAAGTACTTGCTCCTAGAAAAGTTTCATTCCAAAGGAAAGCACTCTGTTGTGACCACCCCTAGCTGCAAAGATGTTATAAAAGTTATCTTTTCAGCTGTGCACCCTGCTGTCTAAACAAAGTTGAGCCAGATAAAATACAGGACACCCAGTTAAATTGCCCATGCAATATTTGGAACACATACCAAAAAAGTATTCATTGTCTACTTAAATTCAAATTTAACTTGGAGTTTTGCGTTTTCATTTTCTAAATCTGGCAATCCTGGAAGAAAAAAAGGAAAATAGATATTGGGTAAGTAACTAGCAGTGTCTACCTACCATGCTGCCCTAAAATAGTAACCAGAATGTCAAATGACAGCATTTATTAAACGACACTTTTTCTTTCAAAATGTTCAAAGCTCCAGAGCAAGAATCTTAAATACCAAATAAGCAACATTATAAATTCAAAGGCAAGAAAAAGGGGAAAGGAAAATAGGAAGCCATGTATTACAATATTTTCCCTTTTTGCCTGTCATTAAAAATGAGTTCCTCCCGCCACTCCCCTTTAAATTGACAGGCTTGGTTCCCTGCGCCGGGCCTACCAGGTCTAATAACATGAGTCCATGCGGCCCAAGTGCTCACATCGGGCCTGGCATGGCTCCAGGTGCTTCATGTTCATTTACTCGTTTAGTCTGTACAACGGCCCATTGGGAAGATGAGGAAACTGGAGCACAGGAGTCAAGTGACGTGCCCAAGGACACACAGCCAGGAAGCAGCAGAAGCAAGACTTGAAGCCGGTGACTGTCCATGGAGATCCACCCTCCCTTTTGCTCTGTGAACAGCCTGCTCACTGGTCCCCTTCCAGTGACGGCTGCCCTCTCTTCTACCCAAGACTACTGATGACAATGACTTTTCTTTCACATTTGGGGACACTGAGAGGGAAATATCTATTTTCTAACAGAAATAACTCCCGAGTGGCACGATTGGAAAGGGAGGCAAAGGCAATATCCTGGAAAGCTTTGTAAATCAAATTAAAGATTTGGGGTTTGATTTCCCAAAATAGAGGAGCTGTACTGATTACGTTAGCTGCTTTTAGCGGACACTTGAACCAGCAAGGAAAAGCCTGAAGCACAGAGCGAGACTGTTACTCCCTTCTCCCCTGGCCTGCCAAACCCTTCCAGGGCTCTGCGCACCCCAGCTCCTAACTCCAGCCTTTGGGCCCTAGGCCCAGGCTCTCTGCTGGCAGGATCCTATAAACACTGGCCACAAAAAGTCCAACAGGAAGCCTCTCACGTTTCATGAGCCCACGTAGTTCCACCATAACCATTTCAACACACAGGGCCTGGCTGGTGATGCCACTGTGTCCCTGAAAGGCTCCCCATGACGTGAGCCACAGGCACAAGACACATCTTCAGAACCTGGTGGGGCTCAATCATAATGTAAGCACCAGTGTTCCACCTAAACTCACAGCAATTTCTCTAGATGTTGTCAGACAACAAAAAGGGGCCACAGGACTTTACAAAGAGCAGTGGTGTGGGAGCGAGACCCAGCGCCCTCTCGGGGGCCTGGCGGATGTGCCACGTGACCTTTAGAAGCCCGTCACGTCACAGGACTTCACTTTCTCATTTTCGGGGCTGAGCTGCTCTAGCTGGTCCTTAAGATTCCACCCAGCTTGAAAATTCCAACAGTGACATGGCAGGATGTGTGGAGGTTTGCTGTCTGTTGAGACCTGGATTTGGCCATAGCCACCTGCACCCATTCCCACAAACCTCACTCAGGACTTGATGAAATACAAGCAGGAATGACAGGAATCTGCCTCGAGTCACATACCTCTCAACCAAGTGTGACTGACCCCACGGCACCTATGATGACCTAAGCATTGGCCGAGCTCCAAGCGTTCCGTCTCAGAGGCCTGGGCAGAGGGCGCCATATCCACACTGGCGGGAAGGAACCCTGGGCAAGCTCACCCCACAGCCACGTGGCTTCCCAGGAGACAGGACTCAACCTCCCAGTGTGACTGGTCCATACCCCCGTCCTTTACCTAAGAACCCCATGAAAAGCCTTGGTTTCTTGCCCTTGCCTGGAACTCACTCCAAGACCTCTGAAGTCCTTAGCTGGTCCTTCTCTAGGATCAAGTCATGGAGTAAGACTCACCATGAAGGACACCAGGCAGTTTACCCTTGCAATCTAGGGCTAGTGGGACCCCGCCCCTCCCAAGTTAACCCTCCCACACGGGTCCTGGAGACACAATGCAGGCAACATATTTTCCGGCCATTCTTAAACAACAGGCGTAGCCCCCAGCGTGGTGTCTGGGATGTGTGTCTGTTGAACGGGAGCCACTGTCCATTCTAGGCAGTTACCTTTGACCAAAGGTAGTCAAAGTCACCTAAGGATTGGCAAGAACCTCAAAAGTTATCAACAGCAGGAGGATAATGACACACACCTGAAAAGTTCTCAGGGCTTAGGGCATCACAGGTGACCCAGTCGCAACGAAACGACGTCTGGATTACAAACGTCACCACCTCCCCCGCGTACGGCTCACGCCCAGGCCGAGGCATGCGGGGCACGGCATTTACAGGGTCCTCTGCGTATCTCACAGGGTAGAGAGGTGGCACTCGAGACCCTGGGCAAATCAAAAGGAACACACGGAAGCTGGTCACGAGGGGGTTACCTGTTACCACGAGATCCAGCGCATGGGGTCCCGAGACTACATGGTGGGCTTGCTGATGTTCACGTAGTGGCCTGGACAGGTTCACTGTGCCCTCAGAAAGCCCTTACCTTCCAGTACTCCCAGCTTCCGAGGAGAGCGGGACCCATTTGACACCTCAGGTGCCTCTGTGGGGCCTCAGGCTCCCTGGTAACACAGCTGCTCCAGAGGCTGCTCCTGGAAGCCTCCTAAAGGCAGCTCTCCTGCAGGTATCAGTAGCTGAGTAGGAAGCATCACAACTCACAGGGAAATCCAGGGCAGGTCAAGAGTGCCTCCCCCCGGATACCCATCAGTCCTGCCTCCAACACAGAGGCTAACTCAGCCACGTCTCCTGCCTCCAGTGCCCTGCACCTCAGCACTGTCCTGGGTTCCTCCTCCAGATGCCCCTAGCTGTAAGCCCTCCAGTTCCCTCGGAGGCCCTGCTCAACTCCTGCCAGCCCCACCCTGCCCACCGCAGCTCATGCAGAAGCTGCACAGGGCTCTGCCCCTGGAGAGGCTTTGGAGTCCCACCCAGCTGCCTGTCGTCTTCCCCCCAGCACCACCATATGGTGCTGTCAGCGGCTTCTGCACACTCTTAGGAACCAGGTGCCATGAGGATAGGGCTGCTCTGTTCTCCAGGTGGAAGGAATGTGTGTTTTACCCACAACACCCACCTTGACAACCGGAAGGACTCTAGAGCTGATGGCTCTAGAACATGCACTCAAGGGGCTGCACAGGCTGGGACATGCAGTTCTGTCACTTACTGGCCTAGAAGAATTCTTGTACCTTTCCTCATAAATTCCAAACGTCGGCAGGGCACGGTGGCTCACGCCTGTAATTCCAGCACTTTGGGAGGCAAAGGTGGGCAGATCACCTGAAGTCAGGAGTTCGAGACCAGCCTGGCCGACATGGTGACACCCCACCTCTACTAAAAATACAAAAATCAGCCGGGCATGGGGTGGGTACCTCTAATCCCAGCTACTCGGCAGGCTGAGGCAGGAGAATCGCTTGAACCTGGGAGGCAGAGCCTGCAGTGAGACAAGATTGTGCCACTATACTCCAGCCTGGGCAACAGAGCAAGACTCTGTCTCAAAATAAATAAATAAATAAATCCCAAACGTCAGTTAAATTTTAAGCCACATTATGATTGTTTGGTTTGTAATGTCTTGTTTGCAAGTGACGCAATGCTGACCTAAAAGAAATGAAGAAACTAAAATGTTGCCCCTGGGCGGTCTAAGTACATAGTATCACATAGCAGCTTACCAGAAACTTCATATAAGAATCATTTAAACAGTTTTACTGAATTCCTGTTAGCATCAGAATGTGAGGACAGAGGACAGGTTTCTGTTACTGTTACATAGGCCTTATGCAAAGTCTAGAACCTCCACCCACTTTTTTTTGTTTGTTTTTGAGACAGGGTCTTGCTCTGTTGCTCAGGCTGGAGTGCAGTAGCACGGTCTCAGCTCACTGCAACCTCTGCCTCCCGGGTTTGAGCAATTCTCACGCCTCACCCTCCCGAATAGCTAGGATTATAGGTGTGAGCCACCACACCCGGCTAATTTTTGTATTTTTACCTCCTCCTACTTCAATGGACCAGTGACAACATAATCTCCCTGCTGCAACTTGCTTTATAGGACTGGAATCATCTGCCTTCTCTTGAATCTTATTTAGAATAAATGGCTAAAGCACTGCCCTAATTTAGAAATTCAATACGGAAAATGTAGAAGCCACTCTTGCCCTTGAAAGCATACACTTGGACACAAACACAAAACTGGTTTCCAAAGTTTATTAAAAATCAAAGAATAGAAAAACTTTACATAAAAATATGTCAATTTTAGCTTCCATATTGTTGTCCACACACAAAAAAATCGAAACATGATATCTTTTTGTCAAACCTGTAGCACGCGACCACAGTGGTAGCCAGGCCAATTCATTTGCTTCACCATGACGGAAATGGAACATGGTACCTGTGTCTATGAATCGAGTTTTAAAATGCACACCCCACGGGACACGCACTGCCAGACCCGTAGTGGTTTCCTTAATGTGGGTTTACAGTCAATATTGCTAATGCGTAGAGATTAGTACAGGCCTACAGATCAGTTTTTATAAATATTCTTTATCAATAGGTTCACAATTTAAATATTTTAAATATTTTTGATAACTTTCGGTCATCGAGAACTGCAGACACAGTGTGCTACTCTATTCTGGAATGCCTCCTAGAGAACCTGCAGTCGCAGCTGACAGCTCCCAATGACAGAGTGAGCCAGTCCTGCTTCAAAAGGGCAGACCGCAGACATTTTAAAGCTTGTCCTTGCTGGGCGTCGATCACATTCAGAGATCAATCTAGAACTCCCCACTGCTGCACATGCATCAGATGTCATGGTAATAAGTATCTTGTCTTGACATTCTCCACTAGTGGACTTCAAAGACCAACCTACCTGTAGTGTTTAGCAAGACCAGACCCCCGTTTTAAAAACAGGAAGTCAGATGGCCTACAAGATGCAACCAACTCCCAGGACAACTGTGGTGCTCCAAAAACTCAGGGTTAGGCAGGATGGATATATTCTTGTTCAAAAAAAGGTAACAAAGACAGTGGTTGTTGTGGCAGAATACACTTGCATAGTATACCTGTATGCTTCCGACGTCGGGCGCCAGCGGTCCCGGCCCCAACGCTGGGCTGTGCTCTCCTGCGACACGATCCGTTAAAACACTCCCCACGGCGCACTGGGCAGCTGAAGCACTTCTCCTAGATTTGCTCTTAACAGAACGAATGCATACGCTACAGATTCCTCAACGGAATCAACAGAATTCCTTTCTCCACATTCCTAAAACTGGGTACCACGGTCCGCAATAATAGTCACCAGACCCATCATCACAGGCTATGTCACTAAAACTGACCGAAGCGTTTTCCAGTTCACATTTTCCTAAAGATTTTATAATGTGACAACCCTTCTCTCCTTAGAAAGTTATACTTCTGGCACTTGAAATGCTGGATTTGTTGTCCAGTTTAAAAGAAGTGAAAACCAAAACATTAAAACTCTGTGGTCAGAGCAGGACAACGGCCTGGGGCCCGACAGCAGGGCCACGGGCAGTCTGCCAGGTGGCTCTGGAGCCAAGCCCTTTGGAAAACCTTCAGGGCGACCTGGCTCCTTCACTCACTTCCGACCAAAAGAAAAGACATCAAAATAAAACCCCAAACCCCTCATCATGGTGTTTGTAACGATGCTCGTCAGACAACCAGCCGACACGATGACCCAACTTAGAAAATGCAGCTCGGGAAAGGACCTAAGCTTGTTTAAAAAAAATTCCCTCCTCCCTTAAATATAACTTATGTGAAAATAGGAAATTAAATAAAAAATATCTGAGTTATTGCACAAATCATAAGTTTTCAATATTTACATAGAAAAACAGTTCTGAAATTTCAAACAAAATGTGAGGGCAGTAAAACAATGACCTCCCAAGCTTATCCGTGGAGGAAAGACACACGAACGGGGTTTGATCTCCTCTGCTGCTTTGACGAACAGGAAATGAAAATAGCAAACCGCGAAGGAACAGACACGGCTACCTCAAACCGCAAGCGCATGTTCACGTCCCTGCAGTTCCTGAGCCCGACCTGCCTCAGCACTGAAGGAAGAATCCTGGGAAGGCAGAAAACAACGTCCACGTTTAATAAGGCTTCACAGATGAGCACAACGAGCTGTTCTTGAAGATGGACGCGACCACCACACGAAGAAACATGCAGAGTGATCAGCGGCGGGCGTGCCGCGAGCCCGGCTGACGTGCGGGGTGCTGGTCTCGGTTCCCCTGCCGGTGGCCGAGGCCGCGGGGCAGTCTGCAGAGGGGTGGGGGAGGCTGACGCAGCCAGGAGCCATTATCTGCTGAGGCTCACGGGCAGACTGTCCCGTGTGTGTGTGTGTTTTTTCCTCCTCCAGCCGGTGCGGTTATACTGGTGGTGTCCCCTGTTGCCCACAGGGGGCCGCACACCTCCGCTACCCACAGAGCTGTAGCCGCCGCCTTGGGTGTGGCCGTGAGAGCCCTTCATGGACAGTTTCATGCCGTTGTGCTGCTGGAGAAAGAGAGAGACAGCAGTGTTGGAGCCAGACAGCAGGCACAATGCCCACGTCCTCGGGCAGTGACCACACTAAGCACCGACGTGATGTTACATAGAGAGCAGGGATGGACACCTGCCCTCTGGGACTTCCCAACTCCTCCATCTGAGAGAAAAGCATTCTTCCCATTCCGTGAATGACTAAAGGCAAGAACCATGTACCAGGATCAAACCACACAAATTCAGCAGAACCTCACTTCTAACTTGTTCCACTTATCCATAGAAATAAGAAGGTCCCTAGCCAGGTGCCAATGGCTTGCACCTGTAATTCCACCACTTTGGGAGGCCGAGGCAGGCATGTCACTTGAGGTCAGGAGCTTGAGACCAGCCTGACCAACATGGTGAAACCCCGTCTCTACTAAAAATACAAAAATTGGCTGGGTGTGGTGGCACACACCTGTAATTCCAGCTACTCAAGAAGCTGAGGCACAAGAATTGCTTGAACCCGGGAGGCGGAGGTTGCAGTGAGCTGAGATCACACCACTGCACTCCAGCCTGGGTGATGGAGTGAGATTCTGTCTCCAAAAAAACAGAAGTAAGAAGGTCCCTGTCATGTTCTTCCCCCAGCTGTGACCTTCTAGAAAGAACCAAGCAAGTCACACGTGCCAGGACCTGGCGCTCTCGCCCTCAGCAGCCTGTCGATCCCAGCATGCAGCAGCCTGTGCTTGGGCTACACCCAAAGCACATTCCCTGCACTGCAAAGTCGCGGCCAAGCAGACTGAGAGGGAACACACGCCGGCTTCAGGAAAGTCTCAGAGCAAGAAAAACAGCAGGAGGAGACTGGGAAAGCAAAGCCAAAATGCAAAGAAGAGGCCGGTGTGCGAAGTTGTTCTTTCACCCTGAATGTGTCTATCGGGGATGGATAAATCCAAGAGGAAATGTTCTATTACTTAACTCCTAAAAACAATCATCATACAACACAGGGCCAACAAAGCCTCAAGAATAAAAAACTTACTGGCAAAATAGGATTAGACAAGCAAAGGAGGAGCGGAATAAAGAGGTGTGGACACCGATGAAAGCACCGAGCATCCGCAGAGCCCAAGGAACATCACACACGACGGGGGCTGACCTGGAAGATCCTCGCCATGGCTCTCCCAATCATTCAGGTACTTCAAGAATATAGAGACTTAACGTGACCTGTTTCCTCCATGCACACAGCTGGACTTGAGAGGAGCCACAAGGGCACGCATGCCAGGGCCCTGCTGAGGCCCAGCACACAGCTCTGCCAGCCCTGACGCTTGCTCCTGCCCCAGGCGGGGATCAGGCAACGTGGGAATGACAGCAGCATACACGGGACATCATGGCAAGATCTGCTCTTGGTTTTATCATTTGCTTCTTGAAAACCAAGGTATTTAGCATATAAATGAATTATGTAAATGGGAAAAGTCTTCATTTTGAGCCTTATTTCAAACTTCAGTTTTATGCTAATCAGTTCAACAGAGGAATTAAGAGATGTTTGTGGCAACCAATTAAACTATATATTACATCTTAAAATAATTTAACTTTTTTAAGTTTTGTTTGGAAAGACAAGCAAACAGGCTGAATGACAACAAAGCAAATTCCGTTTTCAAATGATCTCTCTGGAATTCTCTCTGGAGGAGAAAACATTTAGCACCGCCTCTCACATGGCAGCTTGAACAGGTAGGTGAATGCACCAGGACAGAGCTATACCTTATGATACAGATGAGGGCTCGAGAGCGGGTTGGGGGACGCTGAGGGAATGGCCGGGGAAGACATGTGGTGGACGGCTTTCAAAGACGCAGTTCCTTCTACACCAGCTTGTCTGCAAGGAACAGGAGCAACCCCTAGGGTCGGTGGAGGTATAGTAAACCTGGTCTAGGAACAAAATGAGAGACGGCCATGGGTACCAAAGCAATCAGAGGAAAACCATCCGGCTTCTAAGCTCAGCACCACCAAAGGGCAGCTGATAAATGGCACAGTTGCATGTGGGCTCCATAGAGCAGTCTGTTTTACTATTACCTAACAATATTGTGCTTTGAATTGGAAATACTTCGTATTCTAAAACAGCAACTGGCATATAAAGTATGCCCAGTAATCCAAGTCATAAAGTTTGAAACTCATTGAAGATCAAACGATCAAGACATTAGAGTCATCAGAAGAACAACCGTCACCCCCGTGGTGAACCCCCTACTCACACGCTGAACTCAGGGGTCACAGCCCAAGGCTGGCCCAACTGGTGGCCTGAGAGGCCGTGGGACGGCTGGCAGTTCCTTCCTTGCCTGCTGTCCAGGTCCCAGGCTGCTTCTATGTCAGCATCACCCGTTACTGTCAGCAGCAGAAGTGCGCTAACGAGAACCCCTTTTCTCAGACTTGCAATACTGACCTGGTTGCATCTTGGCATCCCGTGCATTTACCCCAACAACCTCTGGAGATTGACTGTGGCCAAGAGTCTTCTTAGATAAAAACCTATAAACCCTCAGCGTCCCTGGACTTCACACTCGAACCACACAAGCAGCCGCAGAGTGTGGCTCTGTAGCTCAGCAGCCGCACTGGGCTCTCAAGGGCCCCAAGGCTTGTGGGTGGTTAAAACAAACACCTTTGTGACACATGGCCAGGACGTCAGGGCCACTGTGATGACCATAAAAAGGCGACCAAGTTTATCTGTGGTATAATTCATTTTAAGAGTGTAAATAATTGCCCCTGAATTTTACACTTATGCTGCAATTAGACACGTTACGGTGTCCGGCTGGGCCATGGCTCTGCTCATCAGCTCTGTGGGTCATTACAGAGCCAGCATCCCAGAAGCTCCGCCAGAATCACGGTGGATCCTGTGAGAATGTCTTCCCCAGAGCAGAGTGCAAAACTCCAAGAAATGAGTCAAAACACTTTTGCATGTACCTACATAGCTTTATGCTCAAATTATACCCCACATTTCAGAAAATGGTTTTAAGTCAATTAACATGTTGGGTTTTATACCCACACATATTCAAGTGATGTATAATCGCAAGTAGATACAAAATTTAGTATTTATAAAATTATCCTTTAGATTTCTAATTTTATCTAAATTTTAAAAACAGTATATTCCAACAGAAAAAGCCTTAGAAATTATGCCTAATTTCAAACATGAAAAAAGTCTAATAAGTTCACATTAAAACTTTCATTGAGATTCTGAGAGGAAGTAGGGACAAGTGTCTGGCACGGCTTGGCGCCCAGCTAAGTGGGTCGTGACTGAGTCGCTCTCTCAAGATGACCCTCGACAGCAGTCTCATGCTGGGGCAGTGAGGAAACTTGCAGGAAGGCAGTCAACCTGGCCCCCGTGAAAAGCCACGGCAGCACTCAAGAACCACAGTGTCCTCGCTGCTGAAACTATACATGGGGGACCTCAACACCACAAAAAAGAGAGGATTTCCTAGAACAACACACCAATGGCCAAATACTCAAAAAGTTACTCTTCTAATTCAAAGGACCATCAATCTCCTCTAGTGCATATCACAGCTCGGATGCTGTTCCCAGGGGCCACCAGCGGGAAGGGTGCCAGAGGGCCACGTACCTGATTGTTGGTTGTCATGATCAGTGTTCTGGAAGTGGTGGGCTGAGGTTTGCCACTGGGCATTGGCAAGGCGGTGGGTAAGCCGGCCATGAGAGGAGCTGGCGCTTGCAGACTGAACTGGTAAACACTGGGCGTTGTGCAGGGCGGTGTGTCTGAATCCTTGAACCCGGTACAAAAAACAAAAAGGACAGCTGTACCACAAAGGTGCACTACTACTTCCTTAAAGCTATGAAAAGAAACGCCTGCATCCAGGCTGGCTATGAAAGGTTATTCAAATTAAGTCTAACTTCTGAACAGGCAGCCCAAACCTACCCAGGCTTCCTTCAAGTAATTTCATCACAACTGAAAAAGAATGTTAAAGGAAATACAGAAGAGATACTTGGATTTAATTTTTTTTTTAATCTTCAAATAAATTTTTAAAAACTACTCAAGGAAGTCCACTGTAGTTCAACCATTTAGAGGATTACTGCCCTCGACAGCCGCATGAGTCGCACAGACAGGTTCTGAAGGTTCACGGCAGGGGAAAGGAAGCCTGGTGCCCACATCACGGGGCTGCCCCCCACCCACCTCCACACACATACAAGGAAACAAAACCTGAGCAAAACCAAGGGGGAGATTTTAAGCTCGCGGCTATGGACATTTACCAGAGACACAAACTGTCCAACAGACACACGGAGGAGGGGAGGGCACTTACAACGTCACTCCCAGAAAGTGAAGACACAGAAGAGGCCGAGGAGCCTGAAGACAGGAGCTGGGGGCTGGACAGCGACAAAGTCAAGCGCTGGCCATAGGGAGACTCGGGCTCTCGGTTCTGCGTCTGCTCCCCATTGCATGTGGCTATTCGCTCTTTGATCTTGATCCTGCTGTCTGTGGAGGGAAAAAGCCTTGGTTAATAACTCCTGAGAACTGCGGCGTGGAGCCGCCCCGGCAGCATCAGTCACGGGCTCTGCTGAGCCGGGAACGCTGCTAATGTGACTAACAAACCCAACATTAGGTTTTGCCTAATTTAATTTTAAAAATTACATTCAATTAGTTGTTGGAAAACATTAAACATGTTTGTAATAACTTGGGTATGCAAATCATCTTCAACTGTGAACTTTCTAAAATCTAAATATAGATCAAGTATTTTTTACGAAAATTTAGCATCCTAATTAGGATGTACTATAAGTACGAATAAATACACACCGGATTTCAGACAGTACAAGAAACAGCTATAAAATATCTTAATTATTTTTATGTTGATTACATGTTGAAATGTTAATATTTTGACTTGAGTGGAATAAAATCTATCAAAATTATTTCACCTGTTTCTTTTCACATTTGACACAGCCTAGAAACTTTGAAATTCTATGTGTGGCATGCATTATATTGCTTCTACTGGACAGTGCTGCTCTAGATCTTATTGTCTTCTTAATTAATGCTCATCAGAAAAACTAGCTATTTTCTTAATTTGACCAATTTACCACAAAGGAATAGAGACACTTCTGCATGAACATGCCAGCCAGTGGTTAGGATGAACACAAATGAATTAATCTCTCACCCATGCCTGGCGACGGGTGGGCTTTGCTGCCCCACTTCTCTTTGATCCACCTCCGGTAGTCAATCACCTCCTGAGTTACTTTGATGATTCTTCCTAAAGTACTGCAAAGGGACATTGTTGGAGATCAACAGAGTACAACAGGTGTCAGGGAGCTGAGAACCCCTCTCGAACAGCTACCTTATACCCCTAACAGATCATCTCGCTAGGTGAAGGACAGTAGGAAAGGAGCTAAAATACGTTGACAAATATCTCTGACTTTTAATGATTCAGCTCAAGCATACCCTGGGATCGCAGTACATCTACCTACAGAAGACCACTGTGAAATGCAGCTCCAAGTAGGGGAGCGGGGCCTTCCCACCCACGATGATCATACAGTGCTGACATTTCACTTCCCACTGCACGGACGAGAATGGAGACGGTACCGAGACGAGTGCCCTACATGGGGCCCAGAGCTCCGCCTGAAAACACCGAGCAGACAGCGGCTCAGGAACACACAGAGCTCCAGCACCACCAGCACCTGCAGCGGCTGCTGAGCCAGGCCTCGAAACCTGTTTATTCCATCATCCACCACAGAACAGATCTATCAAACTGTTTCGAATTCCACTCTTGACGACCACGTTACTCTTCCTTCCCATTCCTATCTCATCTCCCACCCCTTCAAATACCACCCTTTCCACTACCACAGAATGATCTGGGTGAGAAGTAAATACTTCTGACTACATTTTGGGACTGTAAAAATGCCCCAAAATGTAGAACAAGGGACGAGTGTACATAAGAGAAGATGGTAGGGACTGAATTTTAAAAGCCAGAAATCACCTCCCCAAAACAAAAGACCCTGAAGAAAATGTCAAATCTCCAAGAAAGAAATTTTCAACTCTCAACCATGGATGAATCCCACACAGCCATCCCATATTCCTAGAAGGCCTTCCTTCACCAACATATCTAGATTCTACTGAAATACGGCAGAACATCCCTTCATAAATTTCATGGAGGTAAATGACACAGGAAAGGGATAAGTACCATCCCACAGGCACGCTGAGCCCAGACGCAGACACACAACCCATTACCTTTCGGCGTCTCTGTTTGGATAGGACCTGGCCAGCGGTGACACAGCATGGCTGAGCACTATGTAGGCATAATCGAAGACCTGCTTCACCTGCATGGCGCCATAGGAGCTCCGGCCAACGTCATTCCCTGCAGCAAAAAGGCTATGTCAGACCCTCCCCACATGCACACCATCGTCCACATGTTTTGGATCTTCTCATACAAGTGACTCTGAAGCAGGCCCTCACCACTGAAACTCTTCCAGACCCTACCAGCAAAGCCCAGACAGGCGAACACAATGGGCACGGGTGGCACTTGGCACTGGCAAAGGCCCTGTCAATCACCATGCACAGGGCACAGTCTGTGAGTGCCGAGAGGACTGGTCTGCATCATCAGTGCCCCTGTGCTCATGGCCCACCTCACGGAGGCGGCTGCCATTCACAGACGGAGTGACAGCCCACAAAAAGCCACCTCTCCAGGTGGCAGAAACATGAGGAAGCCAAAGACTACCATTGTGCAGACCAGCAGCACCGACCCACTGTGATCGCTGATCTGACAATCAGGAGGCCTCACAGTGCCCCAACAGGGCAGGTAGAAGGGCAGCTCACCCCAAGTGCATCACAACTCAGTCAACGCTAATGGAACCTACAGGAAGTAAATCCTTTAGAATGGAATGTGAATTCTCACGTGTGGAAAACTGGGACAGCAAATCAAAGGAATCTGTCACAGCAGTCACCAAGGAAGCCAGTCAGGAGAAGCTTAATTTTCATAAGAAAAGCACTGTTTCTAATTTTAATCTACAAACAACTCATTCTTCACAATCAGGTTAAGTGTGGATTTCTTTTAAAGGATATATGTTCTAAGTACTGGAGTTTTATCTTTTCTAGATTTATATTATAACTCAACGATTATGTGGGTCTTTGTTTTTTGAGTACATTTCAGCAGACACTTGAAGACAATGCCAATGTCTCCAATGTGACTCATCCAACGGACAAAAATGGATGATACACTGCCATACCGTGCTACCAAGAAAACCACTCAAGAGCCTGCACAAATCATGCCATCTATAAACAACAACAAAACACATCAGCCAATGTGTTTTCCTTGAGACGATCTTTAGGAAATAAATAAAGCTCACATCCCAGAAGCCATAAAACAAAAACAACCATTAAATCTGAGGTGTTTTTTTAAATGTATAGGAGCTGAATAAAAAAATACAAATGCAAAAAACAAATTGGAAAAAGTATGACATGTGTGACAAGAAAGGCTTCCCCGACACACACAGGCCTTGCACACAGCAGAGGAGGGCAGCCAGCAACCGGGCGGACAGCACACAGAGCCACACAGAGGAGAAGGCCCAGGGACACGCGCCTGGAGCTGGGCTCTCCACCACCTGTTCTGTCACCCGTCCGCCAACGATTTTATCACCAACAGTAAGAATGGTATCTCACCTAACAGACGCTCAATCAAAATTTGTGGAATTCATAAATAGCAATGTGTTTAACCCCACTAATCATTAAAGAAATATAAATTTAAAAGCGTTAACACATGGTTTTATCAGATTGGCAAAGATTTTAAAAGACTGTCACCAAAGGAATGAGGACATAAATACCCCTGAATACGCCAATGGGAATAAAACCGGGAAACCTCTAGCCCAGCCTTAGACTCTTCAATGCGGCAATCCTCACGACAAAACACAACCTACACACATAGGAAAGGGTCAAGGGTAAGCGTTAAGTCAAAAGCCAAGTGACAAACGTGTTTGCGTTGTGGGATGTGTTCAACAAGATAACAATAATAAACATTAATATCCATATAGGGAAAAAGTGGAGAAATACATGTCCAAATAAAAGGGGATTATGGCATCCATGGTTTTTCTATATTACATACTTCAGAGAAACAAATGGTTTAGGGTGGATATGTTATACTTCAATAATCAGAAAAAGAAAAGATTTTCCTTAATTCTTCTTTATTATAGAATGTAAACAGTTAGAAAGACAAAAGTTAATTAGAAGCATTAAATAAGGATTTCTCAAAGTGTGATTATTAACTGGTTAGTATAAGAGAAACCTGCATCAAGAGCAAATGAACTGCCCGGGGCTCTCAGAGCCCCAACACAGGCCCTGTCACCAGCACGTCCCCGAGGCTGGCCCAGCTCTCAGCAGTGGAGATCAGGGCGCCCTTACCTGGCAGCAGGGGGTCCTCAATGCACAGCATCGACGGTCTGTACCCGCTGGTCATGGCTTTCATGATCTCCTCTTTGGCGATATAGGCACCTCCTTCTTTGATTCTAATACCGGTTTTCAAGTAATTAAAATTTCTCCCATAGAGTTCAAAAAATTCTACAAGAAGCATTCCAAGGTTTTCATCAGCTCTCCGGGCATCAATTCTTGGATGCAACTGTAAAAGCAATGCACCCACAATTTGTATGGATTCATGGCATGTTCTAAAGAAAATAGCACGCGACGAAGTCTGCTGTCCAGCAGCCTCTTCAAGGCAATACCAGTGAGTGGCACTCGCTCACTCACCAGCACCACGAGGAAGCCTGAACAGCAGCCTCTTCAACGAGGAGTGTTCAAAAGGAACACAACGGACTCATCTGAATTTTAGTGTAGTTTGATTTTTGAAATTGGTAATCCATACAGCAAACTTCCTGCAAACACAGATATCTGATTAACCAAATATGGGCAAATAAGTTGGACTATATTCTGCATAACTTAGTCACCTGGATGGTAGATGTAATTTCAGATTCTCGTCATCCTAATTTCGTTATGCTGAAGCACAACCAACAGGGGTCAGTGTTAGACTGACTAGTATGGCAGTATCACATAAAACCGGAAAAGTGAAAGGATTGATTTTAGCTGTGTAAAGGTCATTAGCATTATATCACAATATTTATAGCAAGCTTCCATCCTGCTTGTCACACAGATGAGCACCACTCTCAGTTCAGTGCCATATCGTCTTCAAAAGCAGGCACTGGGCTTGTTCGGAAGTAAACCACTGTCCACCACACCTCCTGAGGGTCATAATTCTCAGCTGTCCAGACCTGCATTGCCCACATGTCTATTTAAATGAATTAAAACAAATTAATTAAAAATCCAGCTTGTTGCTCTCACCAGCCACACTGCAATACTCAGTAGCCACATGTGGCGCCCTGCCCCTTGCCGGACCATGCAGAAGTGGCCATCACCATCACAGAATTCTATCGGACAGTGCCAACTCGAAAGGGATGGACGAGGGCACATGAGAGAAAGCCCTCAGAGAAGCACGGTGCTTGAAACTATTTATAACACAGAGTGCCAGGAGGAGCTGCAGCTAGAAAGCATACAAATGTTTTTAGGGTTCAGAAGAATTCCGGAGTTCTCTGCATATTTCCACCACACAAGAGGAGGATTCCGATTCTGGCCTGACCTTTATTCCCTTCCTTATTCCTTGTCTTTTAGCCAAAATCACATATCCAAGAGCCTGGCCGGTGCCAGGGTGGGCCTCCTCCCCTCACTTAGTCAAGAAACTCAGATGCTGCCACAGTCACACCGCTGAGGCAGGACAAGCTCTGGGCACTGGACAAGGCACAGGGATGTGGCAGTGAACACAGGAATCCCACTCATGCTGTGGTGGCCTCCTGTGGGGTCACAGGATCACTGAAAGGACCCCCTGAGGGGGTGGAGGAGGCCCTGGACCCAGGCCTGGCACATGGCACATGCATGATCAAAGTATTAAGTAGCTGTTGTTACTACAAGGCCATGAAAATAGTGCAAGTCAGGAGTATATCAGTAAAGAACAGAGGCCCATGTTTAATTCAAAATAATGTCCAAAAACTATGGAAGAAAGGCTATATATAAGGGCCACATCTCAGAGGGGAAAGTGAAGACAGGACAGTGTGACTAGAACTGTAAGAAAACAGACATGGAATTCCATTTTCACTACTTTTAAAGCATCTTGGCAGAGACAGACCAAGGAAGCTGCGATCATCACAGGTAGTTACCCAGTGATTCTACTATCATAGCATTCATGACAGTGAGAACATTACCAAATCATGGACAGATTCGGTAATCTCAGCACAATCACAAAGACCAAATTAATGGTAAACACTGGAGAAATACAGCCGTGCGGCTAAATTATATAGGCAAGATTTTGTAAAGGACAGAATTCTTCACTCAAGAAAATATAAACGGAATAATTACTGTTCCAATTAGAGATGATTTTATATGTTTAAAAAGTATAATTACAGTTTATCAATACATCACAGCATTTAACAATACTTTTTAAAACACGTAGGTTTTCTATTGATAGATTTTCCATGTTACTCAGCAAAATAAGGACCACATATAATTTAAGACAAAATAATGATGTTTCATCAGTCTGAGAAAGCTCTCTTGTAAATCCTTTTCTCATATGTGGTACTCAACTTTATTCTGAGACAAATTTTTTTCAATATAAATCACAGACAAGCACCAAGAAATGTTTATTGTTTACCATGAAATGGACATTTCTGAATACAGAGAATTCCCTGAGCTTGGACTGATGTGCACTGGACTCACAGAACCAGACGGGCACCCCTGCACCAACAGTTACACCCAGTACAAAATGAGCATCCAGAAAGGTGCATTAATCAAGAGGGTTTGATTGTAAGAATCAGAAATCAGCCTCTACCAAATTGAAACAATACAGTAAAAGGAGAGCAAAGGCTGCTGGAACCCACTAGGCAACTGGTTGGAAGAGTCTACTCTTACACATGTCTCAACAGAAACAGTCTCAAGAAAGCATACATACCTGTAGAAAGCTAATGGCCATTAAAATTAGGCTGTATGAGCTAATTCCACCTGTAAAAACTTCATTCAGGTCCCTCTGCAGAAGGAACTGTTTCAATACTAAAATCAAGTAAGGCAGCAATGAATATTTCTGTAAATTCCAAAAGAAAAAGATTTACTGAGTAATTACCATACTTTCAAAGAGATTTCACATAGCAAATCACACAAGACAGAAAGGAAAGTTTCCTCGATCCTCTTGCCCATCTGAAGGCTCTCAGTCATTAAGTCTCAAACTTTGGTTGGGGGACGCTAAGAATTAATTTCCTGAGGGGCTTGTGAAAATCGAGACTGTGGAGCTCTCCCTGGGTTACGACTCAGCAGGGGTGCACCCCTACCATGACGAGTCCACAGGCACAAAGGAACTCAGGAAGAGACCAGCGCGTTCACTGGAGTGTTTATGTGCTTGCTACACAGGCCATGAGGACAGTGGGGGCCTCCGGAGCAGGAGAGCAGAGTGAGGCTGGCAAGGAAGGCAGAGCGGCAGGAGATGGCAGGAGGGAGGGAAAGCCTGGCTGCTGCTGTTCGTGTTGCGCTTGGGGTGGACATGCTCCCTCAGACCAGATGACAAGGGGGAAGGGGGAACCTGAAGAGCAAGGCCCTTGAAAATGGAACAAGATGGGACCAGATTGCAGGGGTGGATTTGCCCCTGCTAAGGATTGCAACAGCCTCTACTGCAACAGGAGGTCACGACCACCCGGAGGTGCGTCTGCCCCTGCTAAGGACTGCACGGCCTCTACTGTAACAGGAGGTCATGACCACCCGTTTAAGACCAGGCACATGGTCAGAGTCCCAAACATGTCAGCTCAACCAAGTCTCTCTGCCCATCCTCAGGCACTGAGACCTCCCAAAGTGAGTATATTTAAGGCACCTCATGATTTATCAACTTCCACCTGGGTAAAACCTGCGAATGAGGCACACTGAGCTAGAAGCAAAGTCTGTAATAACTAGAAAGAACATTTTAACAAAGCTCTCTAAAATAATTGTCAACTTTATAAAATGGTTACTCAGGAAAAGCAAATTTTAAAAACAGCTATGTAATTTCAAAGTATCTCTAGAAATAATATTGTAGGAGAAATAATGTAAGTGTAGTCTGTGTTACGAAAGACTTGTGTGTGCAGCTGACAGCTGTAAACATCGTAGGATGCCACCAAGCACAAGCACTCCAGTCCTGCACTCTCGCCGCGCTGGGTCACCAAGCACAGTACCTTCATGTAATTCTTGATGAACTCCGCTGCCCGGACGCCCGTCTCCATGTTAAAGCTGATGTCAACTTTCACTTCAGTCTCCTGATCTGTGAGCTTTATTATTGGTACCTGTAAAGATTTCATTTTAAAAACTGCTTTAACATGCAGGACTCTCCACAGCCAGGCATCAAAATGCTGCCAAAGCTGTACAGAGGTTTGGTGTTTTTTCTTAGTAATGAAAGGGGGTCAGAGAACACTGTCAGCATCAGTAGTCCCTGAACCCAGGACGACTCCCAGGCCCCAGCCCCTCACAGCAGGACCCACATTCTGCCCAGCCCCTGTAGCCCTGGATCAGCACCAGAGGTGACCAAGCATCAAAGAGACGTGAGGGGAGGGAGCCAACAGGGAACAGGAGTTAGTCTCTGCCACGCCCACCCTATGTGCTGGGATGGAGAGAGGTGCTTGGCCCCAGACTTTTATTTGGCAGAATTTTTGAAATCATTTAATGTAACTTCGAAGCCATTTTTTAAATTGTATGTTATACTGATATTGTTTCTCTACTTTGGGTTTTCACTCTTTAAGACAACTTTACTAAAAAAATTTTTCCCCTAAAAAATTCAGCAAATAAAAGGCTATTTTAGAAATATTCTCACCAACAAGAACTGTCACCGAATGGCATTCAAAATCTGCCTGAGCAACTGTCCAGACCACACTCATGCCCCACCCTCCACCCCACCAGTAAAACTGAATTCTTCCAGAAGAAAAGGCAATGTTTTGTTTCCTTCAGCCTTGAAGGATTAAAAAAAGGAATTCCTTTAACCAAAACAATCAGTGTCTAACGAAAAGTTCAAATGCCAGTGATAGGCAACGTAGGGACAGTGCATTCAGTACACACCTATTCTGGGCTTTAATGTCTACACTTGAGGGCAACCAACCAAGGACTCAGCGTGTGAGGACATGCCAGTGGGGCCAGAGTCACCTGGACACCACTGCGACCACCAGGCAGGGTAAGCCCTGAGGCCAGTATGTTCTTAAGAAGGCAGAGAAAGAAATACTTTCCCAAAGAACTCATCAGAAACTGCTTTGGAAGAAGCCAACACTCAATGGCTATGCCTCCCTGACACCCACAGTTTAGGAAGCAGCTTCCTTTCCATCTCATAGACTCCTTCCCACAATCACTCCTGGCACTCTCCTGCCCTACTCTTGCACACACTCACTCACGGCAGGAACCCCAAATCCTGGAGGTGAGGAGTTAACACTGTAACACAGTTTTGGGTTGTTGTTCCAAATAGACAAGATTTCACCTTAAACTCAGCCCTCGCCCTGGGTCTCTTGTGCCCATGACTGGCCGGCTGCACAGTGCTCCCCAGAAATGAGCAGTGGCAGGCTCCAGGCTCTCCCTACAGTCTACACTGGCCCTCAGGTAACAGAGGAAAAGATACTTAGTAGCCAATATGCGACAGTAACGAGGTCACTGGGACTAAGCAGTTACTGTAACTGCTCAACCTACTGTGTGGCCTCAGGACAGCCGCGCCTTAGTTCCTCTACTCCAAAGGTGGTCGCCTGGTCAGGATTCCCACCCACCTCCCCGCTGCCCCTTGGCACACACAGAGGAGCAGCAGACAACAGCGGCCTGGACTATGCCGCTGACCCACCTTGGGCTAATGACCTCACCTCTCCGCATCTCAGTTTCCTCACCTGTAAAATGTGAACAGCAACAGCATCTGCTGATGAGAGTGGCTGGGAGAGCTAAGTGCAATAAGGCCCGTAAGCATTTGAGAAAGTGGCCGGCCAGGGCTTGTCTCGTGCTAATGAGAAGAGCCAACAGCCCCTTCTGGAACCTGGGCCTGGAGGGAACCTCTGGTGCTGCCTGCTCGCTCTGGTCCACATGACAGTGACATGAGCATGTGCACTTCGTTAACTCTCACCAAGAGGTGCACCTGGTACATGTGCACTTTTCAGTGCATATATCATGTTTTAAAACTTGCCCCCAGCCTCAATCAAAAGCACCTGACAATGAGAAACATGTGAATGCCCCCTCCCCTATCACCACACAGGCAGGAGGAAGCTCCTGCCTTAACTTACATTCTGCTAAACACTATAAGGATGTGAATCACACACAAGTTGACACACAAATTTAAAAATGAAATGCTAGCCGGTCGCACAGGTGAGCTAAGAACTGTCATACAACAGGCAAGTACCTCATAGTCCCTGGGGGGCTTATAATCTTGAACTGACATAAACCTTAGCAAGTACACACCAGAAACAGTCTCATCTTCAAACTTCCCCCAAAGATAAAAGGCTTTTCATATATGTATATTTTTTGGAACCACGAAAGGAACAGCTAAGTTGTTCCTCTTTAACATAACATAGCAAATGGTAATCATAAAAACCATGGTTTAATCATTGAGCCACACTCTCCATAATGGGCAGCACCTGAATGTCAGTGTCCGGTTTCAGATGACTCTCCTTTCCTATTCATCCTAACACAAGTAGACACAATCATATATTTTCATTCCAAGAACAGTTTAATGGGCTCACAAGTCCCAAAAGTTCAGACTGTCACTAAACATGTTCTCAGTTGGTGATCACGACTATGAAACAAAAACATAAAACACATGTCTATACCAGAAGCAGATTAATCTTCAAAACTGTAGCCAATAACTGTGTAAAATACCACAAGCTCGTGACGCAGGCGTATCCTGTGACCACCTGGGATGTGACAAGGCTCCTGCCCGGTCAGAGGGGCCAAAGCCAGGCACTCACCGTAGCCTTGTCAAGGACTTTGATGGAACACGGCTCAGCCACGTTGTGCTTCCGCAGGGCTTGCTCCAGCAGCTGTAAAGGAGGACGCTCCCATTTCCCGAAGACCACCAGGTCTATGTCGCTGACAGAAGAAAACGCACGTCAGCCACTGCTCCCCTCGCCACAGCCTACACACTCGTGTGGGGAGGATAAGCACCAAGGCACATGTGCCTGTGTCTCCCACAAAGGCCAAGACACAATCCCACTAGCCTATGGCCCCTAAGGAGGTGAAGTGCAGTTCATGAACTACAGCAAGTCCTCGCTGAACTTAAGGGAAGACTTCCATATTTGTAGCATAAGATGGAAAGCAAGAAGGTTAAATCATTCTCCCAACAGCACTAGGTATGTGAGGGGATTCAAATGAAAATGCCTGCCCCCAAACCAGGCTGAGGCCCCGCTCTCCCAGCACCTACTCCGGCACTGCCTACGCTGGATCACTCCTGCGGACCCAGAGATTCCTGGATACCCAAACCTGTTCAATTACCCACTGGCCCTGCTAATGTCAACCCCCAAATCCTGAGATTATAGCCTCTTCGGCCTCCAAATGCTAACTAGCAGTGGGTTAATAGAAGGTAAGCTTTTAATGAGACAGTGCACAGGAAATTTATTTGGCTATCAAGAATCCTTAATGAGAAAATACTAGTTTGTATTTTAGAATGCAAACTTGTTTGACATTTTCCTATCAGGTAAAAATACTTAGAAAATACTATTTAAAGAGAATTTTGCTTGAATCTTCATCAAAACATAAGATCAATTTTTCAAACACATGTCCTAAAATATCAGCAGAATGTCTTCTATTGCGTTTACTTCCCACAGTCCTCCCACCTGTCTTCTTCATATTTCCAGCATGAAGCATTTTTGCACCCCAACAAATTAAGTGTGAGAGGAAAAATGCAAAGCAATGAATTCATCATAACACTAAATTAAATCTTTCTGCCAATTTCCCTCTGTAACCACAGTCTTTTCCTTTAGCTGGCATTTCTCGCCTTAGACTCAATTACAAAGAATCTATTTGTAGCCCTTAATATTGCATAGACACCATCCCAGCCCCCCACTAGCCCATGCCATGCAGTCTGGTACTCACCTAGTTGGAAGATAAAGACCTGTACTAAAGCTGCCAAATATCTGTACCTGAAAGAAAGAGTGGTTGCCTTAAAATGTATACCACAAACCAAGCAGTCACACTACCATTATTTCTTACTAAAAGAAAGCCCTCACTATACCCTTGGGTAAAAAATAAAACTACCTTGGAAACTGATGGAGGGGACCGTATAACAATCAACCAGAAAATTCCCTTTAAGTTAAAGACATGCCCAAAAAAGGAATGTTTAAAAACTCAAAATTAAGAGGTGAAACAAGTTTTGTCCTCACCCTATAACCCTTCAAAGCTGAGGACTTTTCAGAGCTAGCTTCAAACCCTTCAACCTCTTCTTAAACCCACAGCTAAGGCACTGGGGCAGGGCTTTGTCCTAGGACTCTGAAGTTTAAAGCCAAAAATCTGTATCATTTTAAAAGAGGCGCAGAAAACTGGGTTGCCCTTGCCCACCAAGAGCACACATGCCCCTCACAGCTGGGGCACGGCCAGCCCTGCTGGTCCACTGAGCCCAGTCAGCAGTAGGGAAGGCTGCTGAATAGAGCCGGCCAGGGGCAGGCTTCACGCCACCTGCACCAAGCATTCCAGAAGGCCCCACTCCACATGTCAAAAAACACTTGTTCCTTCACTGCAAGAGTGGTGTGTGATGAGGGAACACTTCCAAGTTTTACAAAAATGAGCACATTATATGCTACTATGTGTGGTGGTGGGGAAGCAGGGGTGGGTGACAGGGTGAAATTTCTAAATTTTAAGGTGAACTTAAGAGAAACAATCACACCATTCTCCCCCTTCCAAAAAAAAAAAAAAAAAACCCAACAAATCCCTCAGCCGATGGTCTTCGCACTTGAGTGCGCGCCAGCATCACGAAGATGTGCGGCCACCGCAGGTGTCTAAGACAGCAGGTGCAGGTGCGCCGGGGGCCATGCATTCCAGGCAACGGAGGCCTTCTCAAAGCACACTTGGAGAACTGCTGCCTCGGGCCAACGAGAAAAGGTCTGTGTGGATCTAGCCGACACATCATCATCACAGGGTATTTAAATTTACTCGCACGTGACGTGCGACACAGAACTCCAAAGAACATACTCACATCAGCCGTCGGCCAAAGGTCTTTCACCACAGTTTCGATCCGTTTCACCACCTCTCTTCTCATAGCTGCTTCTTCAGGACAAGGGGACATGAAGTTATAAAAGTCAATTATTTCCTCATGTAGTCTAATGGACAAAAAAGAAAACATACTAGAGTTACAATGAAATGTCACCACATTTTCTGTTCTGTTCTTACATCAGGATGACGCTCAAACATATTTCTGGCCACGAAATTCAGTTTCATTTCTCCTCTGAAAGTATAAAATGAAAACTCTGTGCTCAACAAACTTACACAGTATGACTTAGCAACACTAAACAACTGAACTTTGTCAATACCAAGTATCAATAAATGTATAACTGGCCTTTAAAGACTTCTCCAAAAAAATCATCTCAGTGACTTTATATTGAAAAAATGAGAGAATTCCATCCAGGAAGTGTGAAAGCAGCTTTCCAATGAATGTGGCACAGTTAGGCACACTTCTGAGGCTGGGAACCAGCTCCAGCACAGGCCCCAAGGCCCCATGGGCACCTCCCTGAGTGCCTCACGCTAAGGAGCATGGGAGGGACTGAGAATGGGCCAAGGTGTGGGGAAGGAACATGTGAACAGGAAAAAGACGTATGAGTCCTCAGGGGCCCCGCGGCCCAGGTCTGCCCAAGCTACCTGGTGACCATCCACTAAATCCTGGTTTCATCCGCCACAGTCTCAGCAGAGAGAAACAGGGTCCCTGGAGGCAGAAAAGCTGATCGAATTCAATACTCAAGTATTCTCTCCTTAAGAGGCCAACAAGGAGGTCAACACCCAAATGCCTGTGGGACAGGAGTAAGTAGGGCCTCTCTCTCTTAACAAAGCTCTAAAGCAGTGTTTTCAAGCACCATGAGCAAGGCCTGGAAGACGCCTCACGCCGCCACCTCAAAGGTGCTGATCTCCTGTCACCCCATGGGCTCCAAGAGCTGAGGTCAGCCCTGTGGCCAGTGGCACCAGCCTATGTCATGAGTTAAGGCTGAGGCCTACACAGATGACTGCAGGAAAAGTGCTGTCGTCCTCTTTTCCTTTAAGGGATTAATTAAAGATGGAGAGAGGGGAAGGCAAATTATCCAATCCTAGGAATTATAACAAATCAAACTCACCTGCTTCCATTCTATGACTCCTAGGAATTATAACAAATCAAACTCGCCTGTTTCCATTCTGTTTCATAAATAAGGCAAACAGCAGAAGACAAAACAGGGCCAACGAACAGCTGGCAAAGTGGAAGCAAGTAGCACCTCTTACAGGACCTGCCAGGGGTGAGTACAAAGGTGAGTGGCCCTGCATCAGCCTACAGTTTGGCTCTTGTGTAAGGTTAATTTCAACTGTCAGTCACCTAAAGTATTGCCACTTCCCACCCCGCCAAAAGAGTCATTTGGAGTACGCATTCCAAGCCGTCCACAGAGGGCTTAAGGCTAGGCTACAAGCACACACGAGAGACTCCAGGAGCAGCAAATAAATGCTGTGCACGCTTGCTCATGAAGCACCTGCAAATCAGGCCATGCCTGCAGCCTAATTTTATGTATCACATTTAATTTAAAAAAATATGTGGCCAGATGCGGTGGCTCACGCCTGTAATCCCAGCACTTTGGGAGGCTGAGGTGGATGGATCACAAGTTCAGGAGATCAAGACCATCCTGACTAAAATGGTGAAACCCCATCTCTGCTAAAAATAGAAAAAAATTAGCCAGGCGTGGTGGCACATGCTTGTAGTCCCAGCTACTCAGAAAACTGAGGCAGGAGAATCGCTTGAACCCAGGAGGCAGAGGCTGCAGTGGGCCGAGATTGCACCACTGTACTCCAGCCTGGGCGACAGAGCAAGACTCTGTCTCACCAAAAAAAAAAAAAAAAGTAAGAAAAAACCTCACCCCAAGCATGGTCCCAATTCAGACAGCCACCAGTCCAGCTGTTAACAGAGCCCAACATTAAAATATTTTTTCCAAACTGATCAAACTACAAGAGCTTTGAAGTAAAGCTTCTATCTTTTCAACAATTACTGAGCACCAACTACACACTTTTCTACCAGCTCAGTAGGCCACTTTAAAGTCTGAGGTGTTACCTAAAATTTCCTACCACTTAGTAATGTAAGCAGGACTAGATATGTCACGTTAGCAGGTTAACATCCACCCCAGGGAAGAGCCACAGGCCAGCCTCTCTCCATCAGGAAGAACGTCTGGGTGGATCCCTTCACCTTCACCAGTCACTATCACTGTCACTGCAGAGAGCTAGGGACAGTCCTAGGCTATCCATGAGAACAGCACTGGCAAGTCTGTCCACCTAAACCACTACACCATGTGGCCTACTGCACCTCACAGTCCTGTTCTGAGGATAATAACAGGAGTAGAGAAATTTAGAGATTCTAACAAAGATGCAGGCTTGGAATTATTAAATAATTGGCCCAAAGTCATGGAAGAATGCCAAAGCTAGGATACTAAAATTCTATCCACATCCCCCAGATTTAACTCATTAAAGCATATTGTAAACAGGGCATTCCAATTTGTCAAAATGGCACTCCACATTTCCACCTGCAGAGTAGAATGTACTGTCAACTTTAAGTTCTACCTGAAGTAACGGCAACATCAAATAGCTTTCAGGACCTGTGCAGCCACATTCACCACCCTCAGGGGCATCCCCTACTATCAAGAGATGCTCAACACTCCAGGAAAGGAAGAGCACGGAGATAACACCTGCTGCAGTCTGCCTTAGACACACAAAATCAGCGTAACATGGCATCCGTTTTTGTCAAATGTCTGTTCCCTTGCACAGGGAGAAGAGGGGGTGGCCTGGTATTCCTCCCCTAAATCAGGAGAGATTAATGGCGAGGCATGGCCTGCCCATGCTCCTAGCAGAAGTGGTGCTCAGGGGAACACTGTCCTCCTGACCTTGGCATTGTGTCCAAACAGTAAGCTGCACTAATAACCACACCTGTCTGAAATCTGTAATAAAATGCACCTAAAAGTGAGCAACTGCTGTAACAAATATTAGATAATAAGAGACAGGAATAATTTTGTTTTGCCTTCTCAGAATAGAATGGAAACTGCCGGGGGCCCGGCCATCCATGCCTCTTGGATGACGGAGTCAGACAAGAAGGCTCTGGCGAAGTGCCCCACTGGCCCTTCTTCAAGGAGAGCAGGGACCAGCAAGGTGCCGCACGACTCCAGGACTGCCCACGAGGCAGTGTGAGACTGGTGGCGGCCGTGGGACAGTGCCAACCATCATCATTACATCCTCTGGGCTGGCCTGAAAAGCCCCCAGCCTGCCTTCTGCTTGGCTCTTTGTGAGGCCCTCAGAGGGCGAGGGTTGGGGGCCAGGCAGCAAGGCGGAACACTGACCAAACTGAGAAAAAGTGCACAGTAAGAGTAGCCCAACAAAACCCACGTGAGGGCACCGCCCAGCCGTGCCCACCCAGCGGCCTCCCTGGCCCTTCGGCCTCCCTGCAACCGCATGACTCTGGAGGCCATCTGTGGATGGACGCAACAGCGCACTGCTCCGTCTCCGGTGCCCAGAACAGCGCTTGCCTGTGCATGGAATCAATCAATCAAGTTTTGCTAAGATATTTTGCTGACCTTGTCATTGCTGATGTACACTCTCTACGACATCTAAAATTAACATTCTGAAAATATTTTACCTCTGCAATGAATAATTTGATTTGTTAGCAGAAACCATTTAAATCGCCAACTATCCCTTTAAAAATGTAAACATTTTTACATTTTTTGGATTATCTCATTCAATACTAACACTGCCAGGACTTTTCACTGCCTTAGGAAGCTGTGCACATACCTTCACAGATAAGCCCTGCCGACCACAGGCCACGCCGCCAGCGCAAACTACAACATACCTCCTTTACTCATCTATGACTTCAAATACTGAATATGCCCGCTGGTTCAATTCTCCAAAAAGTCTGCCACAGAAGTACATCAATGAAAAGTTTTAATCATTTCTCCTCAACAAAATAGAAATAAGTTTAGTCTTATGTTCTCACATACCAAACCTCCAGGGAATTTACAGCTGGCAGGACGTCTGCATAAAAACCACACTAAAGTCTCCTATCCACAGACCCGTCATCAATATCTTTTAAAGCTCAATTTCAGTTCTGCTCACTAGTGTTCAGTCTCCAAATCGAAGAAATTTCTATGCATTGATCATAATAGAATAAATCCCTCTACAGTGGATCACAAAGGTGGCATCTCAGAACCAGGAGGACACAGTGAGAGCCCTAGGCAGCCCTGGGGCCCTGCTGCCCCCCAGGCATGCCATCATTCCCCTCCCCATGAGAAAGGCTGGCGGCACGCCGGGAAGCAGTGCCAGCCAAGAGGCGGCCTGACCATCCTCCCCTGCAGCCTCAGGCGGCCAGTGAGACCTGGGAAGTGCCTGGGAGGGCTTTCCCAGGAGGCTTCTTAGGGAGGAGTTGGCACACAGCCCTCTGGCCTCACCCCCTACTCCTGACACATTAGGCTGGCACTCTCCAGCTTGGGGCTGTGAGTGGCCCAGGAAACTCCTATATGATACACATCTCATTCTCAGCTGAGGAGCTAAACGGACAAACTGAGGTGGGGCCAAAGGACACAACGCCAGGAACACTGCCCCCAGAACCGGAAGCAGAGCTTCCAACTGCTCCGTGGTGACTTCTAGCCTCGTCTTAGATTCTGTCACCATTTTGAGTTGGCTGTGGTGTAGAAAAGAAGTAGGATCTATAAATGAAGCAAGCCTCTGATGCTTGTCTCTGTGAAGTGAAATCCTGGGACATTAGCAAGGCTCCAGCCCCACAGAGAGCAGGGTCAGCTTCCCGATCCATTGCCACGGAGCAAACTCTTAATGATTCATTTCCTAGTTATCTTAAGAAAAAAGGAAATGGTGACAGCAGAGGTTTTTTTTAGTGAATTTTTATTTTAGTCAGGAAACTACTCGAAAACAGAATTCTGAAGCATTATTTCCTAGTGTGCTTTACTAAAAATTAGAGAATAAAGTTCATTGAAAAACAACAAAAGATCACTCTCGTTTACAATCACTGCCTTGCAAGAGTCCAAACCCATCGAAAGGTAATGACTGACTTCTCAATTTAGTAAATTCCCGATTTTCTGCTTTTAGTACTGAAAAGCAAGATCAGCAATGTTTTTGTATTTTAGTATCTGGTATATGCTTGCTGTATGTATTTATGAGACCCAACTTACTGAGCTATTTTAAGAGCAAAAGAAGGATCCTACAGTTAGAGAACAAAACTATATTATTCCATAGCTAATAAAGCTATTGATGACAACAGGTGACCCATTTAGGGGACGATTTTCAGCTTTAGAAGCTGAGCTAATGGGATTAACTGGTTTTCAAGCTTGTAAATGTGAATTAAAGCCAAAGCCAGGGAGGACTGGCTGGTTTTGAAGCTGGGGCCAAAGAGGTGAAGCAAGCCCACCCGTGCACTGCCTCACCCAGGCAGGCGCTTTGTATCTCTCCCAGGGCAGAGCTGGCTCCTCCCCCATCTCAGCCCCAAGGCTCTGCCCTGCCTTCCCCAAAAGTCACAATTTCTAAGTTGTTCAAAGGTGACTTCTTTGTAGTCAACCCAAGGACAGGCAGCTGCACTGCAGTAGGTAAAGGGCAAAGGAACTAAAGGGCAAAAAAGGCAAAGGTCATAGCCCAGAAGCCAGGACAGCGTATGTAAAATAAAACACTTTAGAAAGAACAGTGGGGCTGGAAGAAGCACACCAAACACTTCATAACGCAGGTCTCTGGGTGGGGAACATACAGGAACATACTATGGGCTTGTCTAGGACATTCTCCTAGACTTTAAATCCAGTAGCTTCTTTTAAGCAAAGTGATGGTCAAAGGTCAGATTTCACTGGATGTTTAAGGGAAAGGAAACGTCACGAAAATGAACATGCCCTCCTCCTCCAATCTGGTTACAAGAAGTTTCAAGCCAGGAGTTTTGGCCCAGGCCTGCAGTCCAGCTAGTCAGGAGGCTGATGTGGGAGGATAGGCTGACAGCCCAGGATTCGAAGCTACAGTGAGTGGTGATTACACCACTGCACTCTAGTCTGGGCAACAGTGCAAGACCCCATCTCAAAAAAAAAAAAAAAGTTTCAGCACCTTAAACCCACTGAATATGAGGACCTGCACTCTGAAGAACAGGTGCTTCCAGTCTTCCCAACTCACTGAAATTTCCCAACTCTCAACACTCAGGTCTACAGTTCTGTCCATGTTAATTATGTGCCTCAGTTTACCTTTAACACCCCGTTAATCTCATCAATCCTGAATTCTAGGGAAAAAGTGATTTGACAAACTGCATGTGAGTTCAGTTCCCAGTCTTTTCCATTACAACGTAAAATGCGACAGAAAATACTGGAAACTCATTAACTGTGAATTTATTCTCTTCCTCTCCTCCTCCAACTCTTCCTTCAAAACCCTTAAAACTAGTGGTTTCTCAGAAATCGAAGTTCCCTCACTTCAGCTCCACAATGTTCACTATGCATTTTTGCCCAAAAAAACAATACCTTAGTGAAAATATTTGGAGTTAACCCTGCAATTTTGTAGATTTTATAACATGCTTTGATACGATTACACCAAAACAACAACTGATTCAGACACTACTACATCGCACTGATAGGGTCTGGATTAATATTTAACTTTAACTAGGAAGAGTGGGTTGTAAGCAAATCACAAGTAAAGCATAATGAGGGAATGACTGCATTGCTTCTATTTTGAGGGATCAATGATCCTCTTTAAAGTATCCATTTACTGATACAGTTAATAAGCTAATTATAAATCATTTTTATTTATTTTTGATTATGTTACAAGGCAACTAATACCTGCACAAATTAGAAAACTCAGAAGCAGGACTTCAAGGCTTTTTTTTTTTTTTTTTTTAAATTAAGGCTCGAAAGAAGGAAAAGGACTGAAACTATAAATGAAACCCTTCATGTTTCTAGGGCTGCCAGTCAGCTGCTTTTAGTGCCTGCCTCAGTTCCGCCCACTCTGGGCAGGGAGGGACCTATCGATGTGCCTATCTTTCTACACAGGGGCTGTGAATGAAGCTGCAGGCTCACGTGTAAGGGGAAGGCCAGGCAAGGACCCAGGACAGTCTGCTGCAGAGGAAAGGGGCACCTGACAGCTACCGACAGAGGAGGAGGGCGCACTCCCCTGGAGGAGGAGCAGGAGCTGTGAGCCTCCTGAGACAGCCAATGCTAACTCGGTGAAAAAGGTTAAGACCGACTAACATTCACAAAACAGCCAAGGCATAAGGGCTCTGCAGCTTAGGAATCAATGCGGAACTCAGATCTACATGAATTCCACTCAGCAAATGTAAGCCTTTTTTCCCCTTCCCTCCCACATCTCTCCTGGGATGAGCCACATAGGATCCTGGAGCAGGTGATGTCCCAGGGCCAGTCAGAACCTCACCGGAGTGTGAGCAGAGGTGCCTTTGTGGGTGCTGGGGGGTGCAACACTTTCACCCTAGTAAAGCAAACCCAAGCACGCTGCAAATGCTGCAAATGCCATGCAAGGTCCTGGGGCCACTCCGGGGGGGGGCGGAGAAACAACATTATCTTCTCTTCCCCTCAGAACAGAAAGTAAGAAAGGGCTTAGGTACCAGAAGCCTGTAATAATTAAGCTACAGAAAAAATACTTAACTTGGGAATCTGCATTGGTTCTAAGCCCACTGCTAAAGAAGAAAATGAGGCACCAGACCAGGATGAAGCCCTGCCATCTCACAAACTGAGTGGGCAGATACTCCAGCAGTGGGGCCAGAACTACTCAGAACCACCCCACACCACAGGTACCACCCGGAGCAAACCCAGGGGAGGCACCCCACCTGCTTAACATGTCCTCAACCCAGCTCAGCACACACACACAAAAAAACCACCAAGGGGTTCAGTCTCCTAATACTGGAGTCTGAAACAACCCACAGTGCAATCAAGGGCCCACAGACTCTGAAAGAGATTAAGGAGAGGCCAAGAAGGCACTTCCTGAGCCACATCTGCTGGCTCCGATCCACCTGCCACCCAGCCTGGCAGTGCAGCCACAGCACAACTGCTGACTACCGCAGGGCAGCTCTGGGTGCTCCGAGGGAACCGCGCCTGCTGTGAAACTGCGTGACTGCGCCTGGAAGCTAGTGCAAGCCTTGCTTGCTAGCTCAAGCAGCTGATCACTTTTGAAATGAAAACAGCTATACTTTCTGTTGTCTTTCCAGATATCCTTACACTGGATGAAAGATAAGTGAGCATCATCTTTTGGGGCAACAATACAGAATAAAAGCCAAGAGGCTAAAAACATTAATATCCTGGGACACTACACAATATCCACATTACTAACATTTGCACTAGATCCTCCCAAATAATAGTCTTTGAGGCAAATATTACTATTTTCATTTTGTAGATGACAAAACTAAGTATTCATTAGACATATGGTAACTGGCCCAAGACCATACACAACCAGGACTGAAGTCTTCATCTTGAAGTCTGAGCCACTGAGCTGGAAGCCACACTCAGGAAGGAACCCAACACAGAAACAGGCCAGTCCTTTCCTAAAGAGTGAAAAGATGTAAATATAACTCCAATTATTCAGAAAATTGTGTACATCTATCTATACAATATTTTAAAGTTGTTTAAAAGAGCTTTTTAAGGACAGGAGGAAATGCTTACCTAGCATTTTTTTAAAATACGAAATGATACATTTGCTACATATTTAAAGCACCATTAAAAGTGACAAGAAATATGCTCAAATGTTAACAATGGAAAAATTATAGGTAGTTTCTGTATTTTCCAAATTTTCTTCAATAAGTCATCATTGCTTTTATAATCCTAATAAAGGAAATGTAATAATTTCAGTTTTACTAATTCATACTGCAAGGGTCAAAGAGCAGACATCACTGTGCCCGTCTTAAGTCTTCTGTAAGAATCTGGTATCCCCCAGCCTTTACACTAAAGTCACACCAGCAGGGGCTCCCTCTGGGCTCTGCCGCCCAGCACCACAGGCCCTCATGCTGCTGACGCTGTGTCAGCTCCTAGCCCCGCATGGCTAAAAGGCCCCTGCGGCCATGAAGTTCTGGGTCTGGTTTAGAAAGTTATCCCATACCCTAGACTGCAGCAGTACACGTCCCTGCCCTGCCAAAGGCAAGGCCCCTGAAAAAGCTATCCTACAAGTCCGAAAACCCTCCAGATGAGCTTTGTGAGGAAGGCGTTCTCCCAAGTGCCCCAACCACACCAGTAAGGCCAACCAGGCTCTCTCCATCATGCCAGCTCTCAGAGGCACCGCTGCCAGGGGGCTGTGCTGAGTGGAATTCTGAGGCTACATTACATAGCCTTAGTAAAAAAAACTGTTACTATTCATTGGTGATGAATACTCATTAGCTGACATTCACCATCTTCCTGCTGTGACCAGACACTCACTGTATGACATGCTTCACTGAGTCTGATGAAACCGCCGTCACCCCATTCTACAGACAGCTCAGAGGCAAAGCACCTGCCTACACCTCACGGGCGCCGTGAGACCCCAGGCAGCAGCTGCAGCTCTGCAGCCCCTGCCCTCCGTACAGTCAACCCCTTGAGGCCCCCGCCAAGATGACAGAAAACAACTATTCGAGAAAGGACTATACAAAAGGCTGGAAATCACCAATTACACAAAGTAAGTATGAGCGAGTGAGAGAGAGGGAGACAGAGAAAAGAACTCACTGGATCCAAAGATGTAAGCCAATATTAAAGCACAGCAAGCAGATGGGATTCGTGGTCTGCAGCTATTTACCGTGAGCCTCTGCACAGCATACCCTGGCTGATACAGACAGCAGAGCTGTGGGCAGGATGATGAGATGTGGCCCCTACTCTCACTGAGTTTATATGGGAGGGACAGGGGGCATGATGGGGAAGATAAGTAGCCAAAATAAACCAAAAAGTTGCTATGCAGAAATTTAAACTGGCAACCACGGCTGTGAACTTTAGGTTGGTCAGGGAGAGCCTCCCTGATACCAAGTGGCTGGTACTGAGGCTGAGATGGGAAAGGTAACGAGCAGCCAGTTACGGAAAGACAAGGGGACAGCACTCTGGCACAATGGACAGCAGGACAGGGCCCCCAGGTGGGATGGACTAAGAGGGCACCAAAGGCACCAGCACAGCCCAAGCAGCGGAGTCTAAGACCAGGCCTGAGTGTACCCGTCTCCATGGGCCAGCTACAGAGCAGAGAGTCCGAAGCCTGGAGGAGATTCAAGATGGACCTAAAGGACCAAGCCCTCAGAAGGTCAGGATGCAGAGCCCAGGTGCCAGCAAAGGCCCCACTGCCTCCTGCTGAGACGCCAGGCCCTCGGCCTGCATGCAGCCTGGAAGGGGAGAAGGTCCCAGGGGCAAGGTGGGAGGGGTTTTGGTGAGCAACATTAGGAAGGGCTTGGGTGAGCGACATCCATGGCATGCCAGCTGTGTGAGGGCAACACAGTGGAAAAGGGAAGGGAAGAGGGAGCCCAGCACGGAAGATCACAGGAGCCAGGGATCAGAAAGGAAGCCCAGGATGCCCTGCTCCACAGAAACACCGAGTAAGGACACATCGAGAAAGCACAGGGTGGATGGCGACAAGGAGTGGAACAAGAGCGAAGAAGCAACTGCACTAGGGTGGTGAGCTGGGGATCAAGGTAGGCAGAGCCCATGTACTAAGAGAGCTAAGGTCTCTGGGAGGCTGGGCCAAGCAAGACAGACACTCCCACCCACAGGAAGATGGGACCGGTAACAAAGTATCCAAGACTCAAGAGAAAACCCCCCGCCACGCTAAGGCCGACCTCAGTCTATATCCGGATCCTCAAGCAAGCAACTGAGACAGCAGTTGGGCGCAGGAGGGAGGGCGCTGAGGACAGCTGGGCAATCAAAGGCAACTGCCCATCCCTGGGGACTGGGTCTCACCTCTGATTCCACACAACCCTCCAAGCCAGAGAGGACAGGCAACGCACGTGGGTTCTGAAGCAAGGAGGGGCCCAGTCACCTGAGACCCAGGCACATGGCAGATTCAAGGAGAGTGCTCCCAATCAGCTATTTGGGACCCTGACCATTCAACACACACGACAAAAAGGCACCAACAGTGGCTCCTATCTGCAAACGCGGTAGAGGACAGTGGATGCCAGGTCAAGGTGGCACGGCACAAGTCACAGACAGAGGACACTGTAGGATGCCCTGCAGGACCACAGGACTGAGCTGACCAGAGGCAACGCAGGGGGCGTCGCCTCAAAGAAACTCACCAGAAGCATGAACCACATTAGGAACTTAGAAATCTCAGGCAGCAGTCCCGGGAAGCCTCCTGATGATGAGCATGAGGTCTGTGGAATATGCTGCAAATCGTGGTTTCCCAGGCAGAGACGAGACTGCAGACCCTTCAGGAGCCTGAAGTGCCTGAGGTCAGATCGCGTCCCAAGTACAACACAGGGACGCAGCTCCCCCTACATGGTGCTGTCATGAAGACTTAATAAATCCACACTGGCAAGTGCTTAGCACAGGGCCTGGCCCTCGGTAAGGGTTCGGTGCAACAGTGGTCATAACTACAAACAAACTACAGAGGTTGAAAATTCACGGACACAAACACCACCACTGGGCACCAGAGGAGGGAGAAACAAAGGCTGAGCCTCCAACCTACACAGCCCAAGCAAACCAAGACTTCATCAAAGCTTTTACTCTGACGTTGCTGCACTTAGCCACTTAAGGTTTTCATCATGTTTTATGCTCTTAGTCTCAGCAGTATCTCTTAGAAACTAGTATTTCCAACTGAAGTTGGACACCTTTCCCTTTCAAGCAAAATTAATAATTTGGCAAATTTATGTAAAGATAAGACTTTTAATAAAAGTATTTCTACTGACCAATCCATGTGTCCATCTACACGAGCCTAGAGAGAGAGGTCCTACAGTGGCAGCCACCTGCTTGTGCTTCTGGGTGGTGGGACTGAGTGACTTTAGAGCTTTCTGCTTTAAAAAACAAACCACGGATCAGTTTTACAAAAACAATGTCATTATGTTTTAGTTAGTTAGCACGAAGCACTCTTAGAAACAACCTCTAGCTTTGAAGCAATCAGCAAATGGCAGTGTAAGATGGCACACACAGCAGGTGGTCCGCAGCCTCTCTACAACTGGTGATGACAGCACCAGGTCCTCCTGTTTGGTTGACAGAAGTCACCCTCAGAATCCTCTTGGGAAAATCAGGGCACTAGCTGTCCATCTCTGGAGTCTCTGAATCATGTGGAGACTGGGCAGGCCCTCAGACAGCATCGGCATCTCTCCTGAGAAGACAGACATCACTTCTCTGGAACTCAGCATAATTGTTTTCTTTTTTTTTTCTTTTTTTGAGACGGAGTCTCGCTCTGTCACGCAGGCTGGAGTGCAGTAGTGTGATCTCGGCTCACTGCAACCTCCGCCTCCTGGATTCAAGAGATTCTCCTGCCTCAGCCTCCCAAGTAGCTGGGACTACAGGTGCGTGCCATCACGCCCGGATAATTTTTTGTATTTTTAGTAGAGATGGGGTTTTACTGTGTTAGCCAGGATGGTCTCGATCTCCTGAACTTGTGATCCGCCCTCCTTGGCCTCCCAAAGTGCTGGGATTACAGGCGTGAGCCATTGCACCCAGCCTGTTTTCCTCTTTATTAGCTTATCTCTTTGGACAATTCTCGCTTTGCTCTACATTTCCAGTGGCTAAAGAGACAGGCTACGGAGTGAGACTACCTGGACTCCAATGCCTGCTTTACACCTACCAGCTGTGTGACCCCAGGCCAGCTGTGCCGAGAACAGCCTCTCCCAGGAGGGTGGCAGGAGACACTGTATAAAGGGTGAGGGCTCAGTCAGGCCAGTGGTGATTACTACTGTGGCTAGGACTGTACACCACTCACCTGATGGCAGCAGAGGAAAAGCTGAGGTCCCCACCTATTAAGGGAGGCTCTGTGAACAGCAAGTCATCTTCCCCAACCACAGGCCTTGTTATTTTATTCTAAAACCAATCCTAAAACGCGCTTTTTACTCAACGAGTCTGCAAGCTTCAGTTCATTCCATGCTTTCATCTCCCTGAATAGTTCCCATAGATTCCTACCCTTTAGAGTGTGGTCTCGGTGCTCTATCCTTCCACCTGTCACACTCGTCCTTCAGCATGAACATCAGTCTCTTGTGAGTCAGAACCACAAACTCTAGATAGATTCACCTTTTGCTTTCTTCCATGAGGTAACTCATAATGACACTTTAGAATTCCTTTGCATTTCACAGGACATGCAAGGTATCCTTTTCTATATTTTTGGCCATCATTTCATCGTTGTCCTTCCATTTTTTAATAATGTTTTACATAAGTTTAGAGACGATGCCTATAACCAAAATACACTTTACTGTGTTGCGTCACTGGCCCATCTCTGCCCATTCACAGAGGTCTTGCGTGGCTCTTCACTCCAACATACCAGTGCCCTCTCTGTGGGGGAGGTGGGAAGAAGCCCAGGCTTGCATACCATGCAGACCTGCATCTGGGCACCAGTGCCTTTATTTTCTAGTAGCGCCTTGGGCAAGACGCTTGAATCACTTAATGCTTAATTTTTCTCTCTTCAAAATGAGTTATAGTCCAGGATTGCGAGACTGCAGGTCAAGCCCCCAGTGCAGCAGTGCTGACTGAGGCAGCTGCGCTGCCAGTCCTGCCTTGTCTTTCAACTGCCGTCAGATGAAACAGCGAGTAAACAGCTCATCAGATGCTCCACTCTTCATAGAATGCAACTTCTAAGAATACTCCAGGTGACAGAAATCCCGCTTCCACACTGCAGCCTCCCTCCAGGCCAGTTCTGGAACACCTCAAGAAAGCACGAACCTGAGCGTACTACTGCGCAGGACTGGCTTCCCTATGAAATCCTCAACACTCCGCAACCCCACAGCTATCAACTTTGTCCTGCGGTGGCTGTCAAAGCACCCCACCACATCTGAATCTAATCTCTTTAGGAAAACAAAGCAAAAGGCCCTGCACCAACATATTTGAACCATGTTTGTAGAATGAGTTGCTAGGTTCCATCCCCCGCATGTTAGCGACGTCTTGTTCACTGAACACTGTTAGGAGTAAAGTGCCCAGATGTCAGCCGTGAATTCACATTTCCAACTGCAGCACCTCTTGCCAGGTCACGTCAGACTGTCAAGGCTTCAGTTTTCTGTCTACAAAACAGGAGTAATATCACTCATTTCAAGGGTCAGCTCTGGGAACTAAAGGAGCAAACTCGTGCAGAGAGCTAAGCCAAAAGAGCCCCACACACGAGCCACAATGGTGCTCGTGACCAGGAAGACTGTTGAGAGAAGGAAGTGACCGTCTGCACCATCATTAACCTGCGTGCAAAAATGCTGAGACCTATCACCTGCATGCTGGACTGGAGACACTCCAGGTCATAACAGTTGCTCCATGTTGCTCTGTGCTGCGCTCTGCTATGAACCTATTTTATGCTTCATGTGCTATTAAAACAGCGGCTTTTTGAAAAGGATTTGCATTGGAAACTCAAACAATTTCTAGAGCTTTCACAGTGATAACTTGCTGAGTAACACAGCTTTTACTGTTGTATGAGTTTCAATTTATTTCAGCAACAGTTACTGAATCAAACACTGTTTCAAATAGAGCCTAAAGTTACTGCAGTTCAGAGCTGTCTAAATACATGGCCATTTAAATTTTAATTAAAAGTAAATAAAATTAAAATTCAGCTCCTCAGTTGCATTTGTCACATTTCAAGTGCTCAAAAGTCACATATGGCCAGTGGCTACTGTATTAGTGCAAAAATAGAATTATTCCATCTCCACAGGAAGTTCTACTGGACAGTGCTGTTCTAGTTGCCTACTTAATGTTCCCTGGCCCTTAATTTTGTTTTCCTTCACTATACACAGAACACTATGTTAGAAGCTGCAAAGAGTTCAGAAAACACTTCATCCACTCCTTCTACTATGTGCAAGAAATAAAAAAACCTTAACCAACTTTAAATGAGTTACACGGAGCAGCACATACAGCCCTGAGCAAATACATCAAGAGTACCCTTGCCTCTGGGGAGATGAGATTCTTATTTAAAGCTGTAGAACAGTGCTGATGTACCTTCAGAACAGTTAAAAAAAAAAAAAAAAAAAAACTAACAAATGCAAAACTAGAACAGACATTATTCATCATTAAGGCATTGTTAAAATGTTTTAAAAATAGAAAGGTATCTTTCAATTCACAACACCCCTCTAGCCCCCCACTCCCAAGACTCAGAATATTCAGTCTTTAGCAGTTTTCACTTTGGTCTGAAAGTGGAAGTTGTATTTTCAAAAACCAAGAAAAAGGCTTTTCCTGTCCAGCTGGCAAGAAGGACTTAATTTTTGGTTTCAATTTCCTTAAAGAGAGGAGAAAAGGGCAGCGGTGGCCTTTTTAATCTCTCGCATGACAACTCACAGAGTGCTTCCAAGTCTTTCATGTACTCTCTGAGGTGGGTGCCACAGGCTCTGCTTCACAGGGGGGGAAACTGAGGCTCAAGTTAGAAACCATGGCGAAACCAGCTAAAGCCAGACCTGTGAGTGTGTGACATGGGCTGATGGAGCTAGGCTCTCAAGAGCCAAGCACGTGGCTCCCGAAGCTGAGAAATGGACTCCACCGAGCAGGTCTGATGCAGAAACATCAAAATACATTCGACTTTTCATTTCCCTTAAACTACTACATCCTAGCCATTCCTTCAGATCGACAGGATTCCAGAAATGTTACAATGATCTGAAATCTCTTTCAAACGGAAAGACAGAAATCACCTAACACCCACATCCTAGCACTTGGGAAACTAACTCCAATCTGAAGCCACAGGAGAGCCTAACTGGTTATGCACGGCAGCTGATTTAGGAAAGAAAAGGATCACAAGCCCACAACAAAAAGGCATGTTGTTGATAATCAAAGACATTCTCTGCCAACAGGGACCCTCAGAGCTGCTCCCATCTCGCCCACCCTGTCAGCCAAGAGATGGATAAACTTCTGCAGAGATCCACCCCGCCCGGGCCCAGATGTGGCCCACCCCCTGGCTCACTGCCAGCAAATGCAGTGCACACCACCAGAGTCCAGGACACCAGGGACAGGCTCATAGGGCACTCTCTAGTGGCCCAATGGTGGACAACTCACCTCCATACTTCTCCAGGCTTTCTAACTTTTCATAGTTAGGTATTAATTTTTATAATAAGAAACAAAGAGCAGTTAAAACTAAATGGTGATGTTTTTCAAATACAGTATAGAATTTTCTTGAATGTTTTCTGCTTTTGCATTCTACATTGTAAAACAGAACACTAGTTTAGCCACTCTCCAGGAAGGAAAGCAGATAAACTGCAACAGACTTTATTTTTTAAAATTCTAAGACAAACAACAAAAGTTTCCCTTAGCATTTGGTTTATGAATACTCCGAAGACTTGCCATCCCCCACCTGCTCTCCTGAGTTGGCAGATCCTCCTCCTGCTCTTCTTTCTTGGGAGATACTTACTTAGTGGCTACCGTGTGCTTGGCACTAAGAATGCGGGCTACAATACAGCCCCTCCTTCCCTGAGGAGACTCAGGAGGGCAGTGGGATCAACTTAGTAATAGCAGCAACTCCACAAGAGCCAAACACTCAGGGGGCTCAGGAAGGGACAGAGGGAAGAACCGTGTGGGAGTTTTCTTGTGCCTCCTAAAGGAGGCACAGTGCTCTGAAGCCAAGGTTCTGGGGAAGCCAACATTGCTACGAACCTGGGCTTGCAGGACAAGTGTTCCCCACATCTTCTGCAAAGCAAAGATAGACTGCTATCAACTTAAGAGAACTGGGTTCCAGAGGTGACTCTTGGGTAAGTCATCAACCCCCACCTGCATAGGAAAGACCCCTTTCCTAAACTAGCCAATGCAGGACACCTCGTGAACAGGACTTTTCAATCACTGTATTTTCATATATTCACACGGCTTTCCTGCAAACTTTTATTTATTTATTTATTTATTTATTTATTTATTTATTTATTTATTTTGAGACAGAGTCTCGCTCTGTCACCAGGCTAGAGTGCTGTGGTGCGATCTCGGCTCACTGCAACCTCCAACTCTCCAGTTCAAAGGATTCTCCTGCCTCTGCCTCCCGAGTAGTCCTGCAAACTTTTCTTAAATGACATATTTTAAAGAATGTTCATCTGAGTGCAGCACAGAAAGGTTCTCCTGGTTATAGTGGCTGCCTGAGTTCAGTAGTAACCACCAAGCCAGAGGACGGAACTGGCAATCTGCAAGAGTCATTGCGATGGGCTGGAGTCCAGTCAGGGGAAAAGTGTTGGACAAGAAGAACCACAACCTGCTCATCAACGGATTCTATGCCAGGGGAAGTCTACCCACAGAAGAACCTCCTCCCCTCAAGGTCCTACACCCTACTCCTTGGAACCTGTGGCTCTGATGAGGTTATCACACCATGATCATGTTGTACTACTACATGACCTTCAGGTAGGCAGGTTATCTGCAGGAGCCTGACTCAATAACACAAGCCCATAGAAACAGGGGGCTTCCTCCAGCTGGCGGAAAACATCAGAGAAATTCAAAGTACCTTGCTTTGCAGATGGAATGCAGGTGGCCTTAAGAAGCTGACAGCGCCCTACCCAATTCCCCTGCTGGCAGCTAGCAAGCAATCAAGGACTTCCATCCTGCAAGGAACTGAATTCTGACAATAACAGGAATGTGCTGGTAAGAGGACCCTGAGTGCCAGCTGAGAACACAGCTGGCCAACACCTTGACTTCAGCCTTGCAAAAGCCTAAGCAGAGAACCCAGCCCCGCCATCCCTGATCTGACACACAAAATCCTTAAGACCATAAGTGAGTGTTCTTCTAAGCCTCTGAGTTTATGTTAATTTGCTACACAGCAACAGAGAACTACCACAACATAGAAATCTCAAAAATAGGATGCTGACGAGTGTGCATCCCCAGTGTTGGGAGAAAAGGCATCCTGGCCACCTCACTCAGGCACATGTTCCCAACAGGTCAGGTAACTTGGACACCTGTCAGCGCTGACTGAGACCACCTGCCTGCCCTCCCTGAGGTGCTTCTCAAGGCAGGTTCAGAGTGGCAGCTTTCGAAGAGGGCGAGGCTTGCCATCCAATTCACTGCAGAGAAGACAAAGCACTGACAAGCCAGCCACACCTCCTAGAAAGGGCCTCTTCATGGCAGCACTGCGGCTTCTTCAATCTTCTGCAAGTCTGGGTGGTCTGACTCTGCCACCCCTCTGTACCTTTAGTCCAAATTCTGGTTGCATCCTCAAAAATCAAGTTTCTGAATTTGAATATCAAGGTTTGCTGTTTTTTTTTCTTAACCTTTACTCCACAACTACAAAATCAGATCCTAAACCATATGACCTAACTGAGGCATAAAAAGTTCTTATTTTCCAAGGATAACTATTAACTCTTCTTCCACAGGACGCTTACATGAATCCATTTAAAATGAGGACAAAATCTCATATTAAATAGTGACCAAAGAACGTTTGAGACTTTACCTTGAGACACAAATCTTAGAACTTTTTACTTTAAAATATTTACTTAAAATTACTTTGAAAAATTATGTCACAAACATGCATTAAATATTTCTGAGAAAAAGCAAATGACACTGTTGTTCCATCACACGCTCACAGCAGCAAGACAGACAGAACCCACTTTGCTCCATTCTGACTTCCACAGCACGAGCATTAAGCCTTTTTTTTTTTTTCCTGCGAAAAGATTGGAGGCCTCTCATTCCCAGCCAGTTTAATACTCCGACCCTCCTTTTCCAGAGTCTGTCATGCCCTCCTGGGCAGCCCCTTCTCCAAGTGTCAGCTGTCCTGACCTGGCCAGTCCTCATCTATCAGTGACCAGACATATGGTGCAAGCAGGTCTCCAGCAAAACTTTCCTCAACTCCAGCACAGCCAGTGTCTTGCACTCGATTTTCAATTTCACCTTGTGGAGCTTGGCCATGGAACAAAAGACAGGAACAAGTGATGCTATTACTAAATGGAAGGAGTGTTGGAAGAGTTAATTGATGAAATTAACTCCTCTTCCTCCTCCAACAGTGCAGGAGCAAGTATCTGCTTAGTGTGATCATACATACACGCTTCTCTTCACAAGCTTATACCTCTGGGACTCGGAGAGTGAAACTCAGAAAGCAAGGTCCACACGTGCCACCGCCACCCTTTAAGGCAGGTCTCACAACAACCTCTCTCATGCATCCTGGACACTCACAGGAAAGTATGGGAGGGAAAGGCCCCTAGAGTGATGCCTCCCGTGCTCTGCAGCAGGCCCTGCTGAGCATCACAAGGATGTTCCGGACAGGTCACACCTGCTCTACTTTATGTCAGTGAGGTCAGGCTAGAGGGAGAGGGGGGATCCTGGTTGCGCCTCCAAGCTGTGACTCCTTCGCAAGAAAGAATTGAGAAAAACATGCACCAAGTTGGAAACGACTCTCACCAGACGCCTTGCGGGGCATGGCTGACCATGTCCTATGCCGACAGTCGTCGGTCTCTCTCAGACTTCAAACTAAGAACAGAATTTCCTTTGAGTTAATAGAAGATATTAAAGGATGAGATTAAATACCAAGAAACCTGCAAAGAGGAAGCTGCATACACCTGCTGCACACTGCAGGCACACCTGAGATGGCACAGCCTTCGAAAGGCCAAACTCTGAATAGAAGCTGTTCAGGGCCCGGGACACCTGCATGTGTCCTCGTTCAACTACATTCTTCCTGGGTCTCTGTAACACACCAGTAAGGATGTGGCCAAATATCTGAGGGCCATGCTCCCACTCTCACTTATGCAAGACTCTTAACCTGAAGAGGTTTCCAAAGCTGCTAGAACGACCATGACAAAGTAACAACAGCCCAAAGCCCTGCTGGGTCAGGGGATGAGAGCACTTGCAAGTGACAGCAGCCAGAGGCTGGGATGCAAAGGGCCCAGGGCCTGTCCAAACACCTGCCCAACATCTCTAGGTCAGAAGCCCAGGTAGATAGCACAGCTCACGCTAAGCACACCACTCCCAAAACAAAGGCTTGAGATTTCAATCAAACAATGATTCAAGAACCAGAGCCAAAAGAAGCATTTCACCTCCTCTCCTCTGAAGGTTCTTGCACCAATCCCTGTCCTCTTTCACCTGCTTTTTCTTCATCCTACTTGAAGCAGAAGGCAGACTGGCAGTCTCACAAGGCCAAGCCACCAGGCAAAGTGTCCAAGGGCAGAAAACTCCTCCCCAGAAAAGGACAAACAGTGAGGGTTGCCACATGGGCTACCAGGCAAAGACCCAACTGGGTTCAGCCAATGCTCCACAGCAGGCTCATCCTCCCATGAGGAATACACACTGCATTTTCAGAAGTGCATGTCCTGGGACTATATCACAACCCCAAGCAGCTTCTCAGCAACAAGGTCCTTTACTATTGGCCAGCCCAGGTGAGCCTTTAAAACTCAGTTATTTCCTTAGCTAAGCCACAACCGAAAGACTTTTTGGTGGCCTTTCTCAACACTCTGGGTAAGCTGATGGCCAGAAGCAAGTTCTAGACAGAACTATTTATTGATACAAAAAGGTTAGTTTATATAGGACCAACAGGCCATGTGGAAATGATCACAGGGGGGACCTTACCTCCTCTAGCCACAGGCCCAACTCTACCACAGCTTAGGTTTGCTTCTGAAAGAGTAGCTGGAATAGCAGCCCAAGCAGAGGTCACCGTGCCCTTCTGGGCACAGAGCAGGTGGTCCTCACAGGCCCCTTTGGGCAGAGACGGCAGGAAGCGGATGCACCCAAGGCCATACTGGAGGCATGGTACACACCACCCAGAGACAGGCAAGGAGAGGTCTCCAGCAAAGGGGAAAAGGAAAGTTCCAAGAGCATGACTGCAGTATCAAACCAGACCTCCTGGTGGGCTTCAGAGCCCTCTCATGCCCTACACCATACTGCCTTACAGCTAGGTTCTAACGGGTTGGCAAGGGGTGGGGCCAGGAGCCAGGACCTAGGGGCATCTGAGCAGCAGAGCCCTGGAGGTGTTGCTGAGTTTTAGGCTTTAGTCTTTAATGTGGGGGATTGGAGATGGGGGAGGTGACATCACAGGGTGAAGGGGAATCTGACCAGACCTGCTGGCAGAGAAGATTGCCCCATTACCTGTGATGGGAAAGGACTCAAGCAGGACCAGAGTGCATCAAAGGCACCTCCGGCTGCTTGAGCAATCTCCACAGAAGTAACAAGAGCCTGCATGAGGGAGGATGAGGTGTGGAGAGATTAAAAGGGCCAAACGAACAGCATGTGATGAGAGACTGGACGTGGGTGACGAAGAGCGTGAGAGGGGACCTGCACAACTGAGCAGGGTACTCTTGTGCTCTAGGCAGGGGGCACTTGCAGGCAGGTTTCAGGGTGGGTCAAGATCATGAGACTGTGTCTCCCATGCCGTCCCTGCCCCAGATCCCCAGATCCTAGCACAGCACCTGATCCTAGTGGGCTCATTCACTAACAAAAGCAACACCACCTACTGAGCCTGACTAGAGTTACCTGGAGGAAACAGCTCGGGGAGCCCAAGTGAGGTGCATGGGACCTGATGCGCTACCACTTTCTAAGAGCAGAGGTACAACCCAAGACTGGCAGAGACCACGTGTCTTCCTGTTTTTTCTAGTGCTAAGAGAAACGGAGTCCATTCCAGTTACATAACAGGCTGGAAACCTAAAGGTCCTCCCCAAGCGAGCCCTTAGGTATATATTGCTATTCATCAAGAAGAAACTGCTCCCAACCACCTGCTCTCAGAAAGTTCTACAGGTAAGAACTGGAGGGAGAGAAGAGGAGTCTGCGCTCCTGCCGGCGTCTGCACTGCATGTTTACACTTCGGGAAATTTAGAAGGTATCGCTTGTAGCCCAAGCCAGGTGAAATAAGTTACAGAACATGCAGCTATTACAGTGTATCACACGCTTTAAAGAAGTATCAACTCGTGTTTCCCAACATACTTCAAATGAGAAAAAGAGTTACAAGCAAAAGTTTACTATAAGAACTCCCAACACCTAGCAATTGTGGTTATTTGTAGGACTCTACTGCATGCAACAACCCTCATACCCCAGCAAATCCTTAATTGTTTTTTAAATTGGGGGGAAAAATTGTGCAAGGAAAAATTATCATTTAAGTCTTAAAATACTGACATACAACCTACACATAAATTGCTTCCAGACGCTCAGAAAAGCCCAAAATGGCAAAGGGGCTGCGTCAACAGCATCACACCTGAACAGCCTCACCTGGGACAATTCCAACCCCGAAACACACACCACCTTTCGTTTCATTCCTTGCCGTCTGTAAGTGCACTAAATTTAAGTAGAGCCTCTAATTCCCTCTAGGCGGATGTAGAAATATTTAAAATAAAAATGGCACCTTCCAAAGAATAGACATATATGACAAATCTGGTTTTTTCTTTGAATTAAGCCAATGTTTATAAACCATAGGCGATGCTTATGGTAATTGCAGCACAAAATTAAAGGACACAACACCCCCCAAAAAATGAATCACCTCTAAGTTGACAGTTAAATTTTTTTAAAAAATGAAATTAAAAAGGTTAATATTTACCTTCGACGTGATTCGAGTTCCTGGCAATGCTAAATTATTCTGCAACTTAACTTACGTGAAACTCCACACTTATCTACGCCCCACTTTGACAAGGGGTTCCTCACTTGCCCGGAGGCGGGGTGGAGGGGTAGAGAGTCGATTTCCCGTTCCAATCTCAAGAGTAAAAAAGACAAATACCTGCAGGTCCTACCCAGCAGCCCCTTTTCTTGGACTGTTACTTGTAGGATCTGGGCAAGTCACTCCACGATAAATGAGTCTGATGTTTAAAAAAAAAACTTTCAGTGCAGAGTCGGGCCTTGGCCTTAGCCTTCAACATCCATCCTCCAAAAGCCCGGGCGCCTGGGACGGGTGTCTGCACCGCGGGCGCCGGCCAGGACCATGGGCCCCGCCCCCGCCCCCGCGGCCTCCCCGCGCACTCACCCCTGGATGCCCGGGCTGTACGCGCGGCTCTTCCACGGGGTGCCGGGCCGCGGCGCCTGGGCCCCGGGGCCGCCCCCTCCGCTGAGAGCGGCCGCGCGGCTGCCGGACAGCAGGTAGTTGAGGCCGTAGGTGCTGGCCTTGTTCTCGCGTTTCCGGCGACCCGGGTGGAACTGGTGCTGCGACGGGGAGCCGGCGGGCGCGGGGCCGCGCGGCCCGGGGTGCCCGTTGGCTGTGCCAGGGGCGCTGGGCGCGCCGTCGGCGAAGTTGAAGAAGGCGCCGCCGCGGCCGCCGCCCGGCCGGCCCAGCGAGGCGCTGCTGGAGGACGACGACGAGCAGCCGGGGCTCTCGGTGCCCGACTCCGCGTTGGACGAGGAGGACGACGACGAGGACGACAGCGACGGCGACTTGTGCAAGCGCCGCGCGCCCTCGGCCGCGGGCCCCAGCGCCGTCAGCAGCGCGGGGGGCAGCGCGGCGGGCGCGGTGGGGCCGGGCGGCGGGGGCGACGCGGCGGGCAGCGCGGGGCCCAGGCCGCCACTGCCCCGCCCGGCCGCCCCCGCCGCGGCCGCCGTGTCCAGCGCCGGCGAGTTGAGGCAGAAATAGGACGCGAAGCCCGAGCCGCCGCGGCCCACGCCCTGCGAGGTCTCCCAGATCTGCATCCACAGGGCATTGGCCGGCCCCTTCTGCTCGGGCTGGATCCAGGCCACGCGCGGATCCATCCACGCGCCGCCCCCGCGGGGCCCGCGCGCCCGCCCGCCCCGACGCGGCCCCGCCCCCGCCGCGCCCCGAGGCCCGGCCGCGCGCGCACGGACGGACGGACGGGCCTGGGCCGGTGGCGGCGGCGGCGGCGGCGGCGGCGGGCGGGCCGAGCCCCGGCCTCCTGCTCTAGCCGCGCTCCCGTCGGGCTCCGGCGTGGGGCGGCGGCGGCGGTGATGGGCCCCGGCAGGCCGCGGCGGGCGGCTCCGGCGCTTGGCGCGTCCCAGCGGGCGGCTGCGGTCTCCGGGCTCCCGCTTCACGCGGCGCGGGGCGGGCGCGGGGGCCGCGGCGGCGGCGGCGTTCCACTCGGGCCGCGGGGAGAGGCCATCGGAGAAGGGCGGGCGGCGGGGCCGAGGGGGCGGGCCCAGGCGCCGAGCGGCTGAAGGACCCGCGGGAGGCGCCGCCGCCCGTGCGGCTAGCCCTCAGTCACGCTCGCGCCGCTGGCTCGGCGCTCCTGCGGCGGCGGCGGCGGCGGCGGTGAAAAGACACTCTCGGCGGCGACAGCGCGGGGGAAGGAGGGGGCCGCCGCCGCGTCCGCTCCAATGAGGGGCGGGGGAGGGGGCGGGGACGGGGGCGGCAGGAGGAAGCGCGGCCTCGGTCGCCGGGCCGTGTCGCCGGTGCGCACGCGCGACCGATTTCAAATCCTCACTAGACACTGCCGCCGTGGTTACCGCGCCTGCGCGTTGGGGCCCCGTCGGCCGCGGGCGGGGTGAGGACGGCGTCAGAAGCTACGCGACTGGGAGGGGCTGGAGGGAGAGGCGGTGGCGTTGAGCCATTACTGACTAGGCCGGCGTTGGGTGGAATAGGCAGCGGCTGGAAGGCCCGCACGCCGCCCTCGGCCCGCCGCGGCGCGCAGACCCCGGCGTGCAGACATGCGCGCTAGGGCCGGTGTCACCGGGCTGCCGCCTGAGCCGCGCTGCGCGTGCGCAGGGCAGCGTGGCCGTCACCGCCGCCGGTGGAAGTTTCCGAGCAGCCGGGCGGGGGCAGCGGACGCCACCGCAGGCGCTTCCCCCGCCGGCCGGCCCTCCCTCCTGACGTAAGGGCGGGCCCCGGTCGCAGATCCCGCCCCAGGTCTCTCATCCGAGGGTCCGTGCAGCAGGTCACGCTGCGCTCTCTGGGGTCCGCGCGTCGGCCCACGTGCTCCCTGCACCTCGCGGGGTGAGCGGCCAGCGTGCCGTGCCGGGTGGCTGGCTCCGCCGCTCCGGAGCCGGGAAGGACACGCGGCAGAGTCCTGCTCCCTAGCGGGTCTGCTTACAGGCGTTTGGTTTGCTTTTTAAAATGATTTTCTATGCGAAAAGTGAAGTGAAAACTTCCAAGTTAATTCCCTGGGCAAAATGGGCAGTGCTAGCCGAGGAACGGCTGGTGGGCGGCGCGTCCGGCCCCCGGCTTCGGTTTTTCCAGCTGCACCGAGCGGGCAGGAGTCAGTGGGAAACCGCCCGCCATCCACAGCCTGCCGTTTGCCATCCCGGTGTCCCGAGCGCGATGGAAGCCGGGTTGACAGTGGCACTGTTTGGAATACAGCGCCAACCACACATCCTGTGAGGTCCAAAGCAAACGCCAGTGTCGTTGATCATCGCGGTGCCCCGCGAGCCTGGGCGACGTGAGGCCCCGCGGCTGCCGCCCTGTCTTCAGGCGGAGTCCCCGCAAATGCACTCCCGGGCCAGGGCCCTGAAGCTGCCTTAGCCCAGTGGCGCCCGGGCTCCAAGCCTTTTAAGTAGAACGGGACCTGGCCTTCGTACAGGCGTGTTGTAAATGCTACCCCCTCGTCTCCAGCACAGATGAGTAGACATTACTAAGCACTTGACCCTTCAAACATCGCCCCAACAGGAAAGGTCCGTGTGTTGCATACAAAGGCTTTGGGGCAAGTGGTGGTGGTTAGTAATGAAAATGAATGTTTCAGACGTTTTCAAATACCTTCATATTGTACACGTGGAAATCATGACCAAGGATTAGAACGTGCATTCAGTAAACTACAGAAAATCACACACAAGTCAAACGGCCGTTATTCTGGAGCTGTTTGCTTCCAATGGCTCAGTCCAAAATCCTTGGTCATGCCTGGCTCCTCTCTCTGTCCACAATGAACACATCCTCTTGGCTCCACTGCCCGAAACAACCAGAACCCAACTGCTACCCCTCCTCCTCCCTCCACCCCTCTTTCCCCGCCACCCGTCCATTTTAAAGCAGTGCCTTCTAGCTGGTTTCCCACATTCTGCACAGCTGCTCGTGTGATCCTTTTTAAAAAACAAAAAAGATGTTACTATTTTAAAAATCATCTCATGCCACTCTTAGAATACTATGCAGCCGTAAAAAGGAATGAGATCATGACCTTTGTGGGGACATGAATGGAGGTGGAAGCCACTATCCTCAGCAAACTAACACAGGAACAGAAAACCAAACACCGCATGTTCTCAGTAATAAGGGGGAGCTGAGCAATGAGAATGCATCGACACAGGGAGGGGAACAACACACACCGGGACCTGTTGGGGGTTAGGGGAAGGGAGAGCATCAGGATAAATAGCTAATGCATGCAGGGCTTAATGCCTAGGTGATGGGTTCACAAGTGCAGCAAACCACCATGGCACACATTTACCTATGTAACAAACCTGCACGTCTTGCACGTGTATCCCAGAATTTAAAGTTGACATTTTAAAAAATTCAGTCCATGCCACTCCTCTGCTCAAAACCCTCCAGTGGCTTTCTCATTCAGCAAAATGGAACAACCTTGCTATGACCTGCAAGTCCCTTATCCCCTGGTCCTTCCCCTCTTCCCCTGCCCTCACCTCCCAGCGCTTTCCCTAGCCCAAACAATACCAGCCAGAAGCACCCCTGGCACACTCCTGCCTCAGGGCCTTTGCACTTGCTGTTCCATCTGCCTGACATGCGTTCCCTCCTCCCCATCTTAGTGAGGACGTCCAAGTGGCTCTTTAGTCTAAACTGCAAACATAACCCTCAGCATCCCGTTTCCCTTCCCCATTTGCTTTTTCTCCCTTAGTTTCCTGGAGCTGAGTAACAAAATGTCACAAACTGGGTGGCTTAAAACAACAAACGCATGCTCTCACAGTCCTAGAGGCTGAACGTCCAAAATCAAGTTGTCAGCAAGGCCGTGTATCCTCTGAAGGCTGTAAGGGAGTGTGCCCCATGCTCTCCTCTCAGCTTCTGGTGTTGCTGGCAAACCGTGGCATTCCTTGGCTTGTTGGTGCATCACCCCACTCTCTGACACGTCATCGCATGACGTTTCCCTGTGTCCTTGATTTGTGGATGCAGCGCTCCACTCTCTGTCATCATCATCGCATGGCATTTTCCCTGTGTCCATGTCTCTTCTCAGAAAGACACCAGTGGCATTGGATTAGGGCACCCTAGTGTCTTCCTCCTAACCTGATTACATCTGCAAAGAGTTTCCAAATAAGGTCATATTCGCAGGCACCCAGGGTTGGGACTTGATCATATCTTTTTGGGGGACACTATACCACGTCATATGTATTTTATCTCATTTATCATTTGTGTCCCCCGCCCCATTAGAATGCATGCTCCGTGAAGAGAGGATAGGAATGGCTTGTCCCTGCTGTGTATCAGCTCAAGGATTGTCTGACACATCAGTCCTTGGTGAACATTGGCAGAATGACTGGCAGCTGATTGATTGGCCCAGCGGGAATGGACACGGGCAGTTGCCCTTGTCCAGCTTCCAGGATCTGTTACACAGGTTGTCATTGTTTAGGTATTTTAAGTTTTTCTTGATTGCCTCATACTCTGTCTTTGCAGTTTGCCTCTAGCTAATCCTCGTTGATTTGATCCACCAGCCACCAAACAACATTTTGTAATTAAAACCAAGGTTTTGTTATTTATATATGATCATAAATATTTTTATGTAAATTAAAAGCAGTGTATATATATGTATATATACACATATACATATATATACATATGTGTATATATATGTATATGTGTAGAGAGAGAAAGAGAGAGAGAGTCTCACTCTGTCACCCGGGCTAGAGTGCAGTAACGCAATCCTGGCTCACTGCAACTTCCGCCTCCAGAGTTTAAGTGATTCTCATGCCTCAGCCTCCTGAGTAGCTGGGGTTACAGGTGTGTGCCACCGCATCCGGCTAATGTTTGTATTTTTAGTAGAGATGGGGTTTCACTGTGTTGGCCAGGCTAGCCTTGAACCCCTGACCTCCAGTGATCCACCCACCTCAGCCTCCCAAAGTGCTGGGATTACAGGCATGAGCCACCGTGCCCGGCTGCAGTGTATTTCTTAATGCAATCAAGAAACAATACTGAATGTAAAATGCAGTTTTTGAGACGCTGGGCAAGGGAGATCTTTCTCTTTATCAATTTCTACAGATAAGTGCAGCCCATTCCCGTTTTGGGCTGAAACCCTCTCCTCTCTCTCTTCGGATATTGGAGGAGGAATAATATTAGAGATTACACCATGATTTTAGTGATTTGTTCCCATGAAAAAAATGGTTTACAAAGTGTATTCCATGGACTACCCATGCCAGAATTAGCAATGCTGGTCAAAATGCAGATACCTAGAGCTCACCCAATTTACTGAAACTCTCTAGGAGCAAGCCCAGGAATCTCTATTTTAAGTAAATTTTCTGAGTAATTCTAAAACACAGTGAACTCTGAAAACCTCTACCTAAAACAGGGTTCCCAAATTCAATTGCTCACAGGTGCCAAATAACTGAAAGTGTGTAGGTATTAGCTACTGCTGGGTAAGAAGCCACCCCAAGCTTAGTGGCTTAAAATAAGTGTTTGGTATTGCTCACAAGTCTACAAATCAACTAGGTGGTTTTGCTGCTCTGGGTCAAACACAGCTGATCTTGCTCCACTCAGCTGGCCAATCAGCTGAAGGCTGGCTGGGCTAGAGTAGCCTGGCTGGCAGCTGGGGCACTGGAGTTGACAGAGTTGACAAGGACCATCAGTCTCTTGTTATCCAACAGGCTGACTCAGGCTTGTTCTCAGGTGGCTGAACAGAGTTTCAGGAGTGCAAGCAGACATGCATGAGGCTCAGAACCGGCATGCCATCACTTCCTTACCATTCTGTGAGACAAAGCAAGTGGCAAGGCCTTGACAAGTCAAGGAGTGGGAAAGAAGCCTCCACCTCTTGATGGAAGGAGCTGCATCATATTGCAAGCGGTGTGGGGCACTGGAAGGGGGAGAATGGGGGATGAATTATGCTAACCTCTACTTCTGTTATCACATGACATCCTCCCCTGTGTATCTCTCTATGCCTTCTCTTCTTGTAAGGACATCAGTCATTGGATTTGGGGCCCACTCTAAATCCAGGATGATTTCATCTGAAGATTCTTAACTGATTATACCTCCAAAGACCCTATTTCCAAATAAGGTCTTGTTCTGACATTCTGGGTGGACACTAGGAGGTTGCATAGTCTCCTCCCAAAATTCACCCAGAATTTTGGGAAGACCACTTTGCAACCTACTACAGAGGCTTAAATAAAACAAGAAAGTTATTTTGCTCCCGTAATAAGAAATCCAGCAAGAAAGGGCCATTGGCATGGTGGCCCAGTGTCCCAGGATGTCCGAGCTGACCTGTCTGACATTCCCCTGGCCTTCACCTAAAGGCTGCTCTGGGTCCATCCCTCATGTCCACAGGAAGGAGGTGGGGGAAGAAGGACAGTGTCTGCTGTCTGTGACCCTTTGTATCAGAAAAGCAAACTTTTTCCAAGAAACCTCACGTTAGATTTGTCCTCAAATCTTGTTGATTAGAGCTAGTTATAAGGCCACCCCAACTGCGAGAGAGTCTGAGAAATTAAGACACATGATGAGACACAGAATGATCATGAATGACCTAAACCAATCGTGAGCCATTGTTTGTGCTTGACTTATGACCATGTTGAAAAAAACTGGGTCTGTTAGTAAAGAAGCAGGAAGTGGGTCTCATGTCCTGCCAGTGTCTGCCACCTGCAATCTCTTCTGAATTCAGTCCATACGAGTCTGTTTCTGAGAGCCTGCAAAGACCCTGTTTCCAAACAAGGTCTTGTTCTGAGATTCTGGGTGAACGTGAATTTTGGGAGGACACTTTTTGGCCTGCTACAGAGGCTTGAATGTTCTGACGAAATCTAGTTTTTGACCTTGAATAGAGTAGCCCCACCAAGAGAATACAACCCACAAGAAATGCCTCTTCTTTCCAACCACTCTAGAGCAGGATTGTCAACCAGAGCTGACTGTGTCTCCCAGGGCACATGTGGCCACGTCTGGAGACGCTTTGGATTGTCACGACTAGGGGTAGTTGCTGGGCCCCAGCGTCAAGCACATACAGGTGACAAATTCCGTCTCTGAGTGAGGGCCCAAAGAAGCTCTCAGCTCAATAAACGGAGATGTGTGTGATGTACACACATGTGCAGGGTACTAGTGGGAGACAGGGCAAGGGAACCTAGAGGTGTTGCTGGACTGATCCTAGAAGATGCAGAGTATTAGCCTAACAGAGGAAGGACATTCCAGGATGAGAAATGTCTGGAGACACAGCCCTGAGGACAGAAATTCCCCAGGGCTCTCAGTGGCCAGGGGCCAAGCATGGCAGCAGAAATCCAATGTGAGGCTGTTGGCCAAAGCCAGGCACAGGAAGGGTGTGCCATGGTCAGCACTTTTGGGGGTACCATTAAAAGATGTACCCCAAAGAGGGGTATGGTCTAACATGCGTTTTAAGAAAAGTTCACTTTGTCTTAACAGATGGAATTATGAGAGGCCAAGATTGAAGATGGAGGTAAAGGTTGGGGGGATGGCCTTTTGAGAGAAATAGAAAATCAGTAATGGGCACAGTATTAGGTATGCAAAGGATTATTTAGGAGAAAATAAATTAGGGTCAGTTATTGTAGTTGCTATAAGAAGCGATCTCAAATCAGAGTGGCATCACATGTTAAGAGTTTATTTCTTATTCACTTCCCAGTCCACTGTGGGCCTGCATGGGGCCTGGGGTATGGGGAAGGAGAACTCTGCTCCACACAGTCATTCAGGAATCCTGGCTCTTTCAGGCAGAAGTTCTGCCATTCCCTTGGGCCCTGGAGTTTTCAGCTAGTTCTCTGCAGAGGGCCAGCAAAGGGGTGAGGGGAAGAAATAGGATGGAGCATCCTGCAGGAGGTTTAGGGTCCAGGTCTGGGGGGTGGCCAGCACATCACTCACATGCATATTTTGGTGGCCAGAACTCAGACATGTGGCCCCATCTAACTTGAGGGAGGCTGGACTATATAGTCCAGCTGAGAGCCCAGAACAAAAAGGAACTGGGTCTGGCAAACACAGCACACTGACTTTGCCACAACATGTTTCGGAGGTAAAATCTTTGGGGGCTCAGTAATTGATTCAACGTGGAAGAAGGAGAGAGGAAAGTTCAGAGAGCTTCCAGGTTTCCACCAGGGAGGTCGGAACAGGTTGCCTTAGATGGTGACCGCAGGAGCCACTGCCTGAGCAAGGAAGATGGTGCATTCATTTTAAAATCGCTGTGTAGCTTAACATTCACTGCCCGTATTAACATGTGTCCTGCATTCCATTTATTGGAGAAATGTTTCTTTTTCTTTATTTTTTAAATGAATATAATTTACAATGTAAAAGGTCAAATAAAATGAAAGTGAAACAGAAAAATCCTCACTTTTCAATATTCCTTTCTCATCTAATGAAGACCCCTTCCCTTCTCTATTTCTCCCGGCTCCCTGCCTTAGGCCTAAAGCAACAACCAGAAGCCTTCCTGGGTGTTTACATTACAGCACACCAGACTGCAGGCACCGCCACCCCAGACTCTGCCTGCAGCTAAAGTCACCAAGTTTGCCGTGCCCCATAACTGAGGTCATTGGCAGCCCAGCACCAAGCCTCACTGGCATCAAGGGCAGCGGGTTAGTAAGCATGGCTCCACACGGGTAAGCAGTTCTAGGAAATGGGAAGAAACCCAGACCATCCATCTCAGGGTAAGTTTGCTGGATTTTCTCTCTCTTTTAAGAGTCTTTCAACAGGGCATACAGCCCATTCTCAAATTTAGATTTCTGTTTTTGTTAAGAACAGGGACTGTGGAACGAATTTGCCTGACTTTGCCATCATTCTGCCATTTCCTAGCTATGTGGCCTCAGGCAAACTGATTAAACTTACTGGCCTCAGAATGGGGAAAATTTCTGTAACTCATGCCTGGAATTACGTGAAGATGAAAAGCAGGCATGTCCATGAGATGCTTACAAGAGGGACCAGCGCCGTGTACCTATTCTGTGCATCCTACCCGTCCACTGTTCCTTCTCCGTGTTTCTTGAAGAAGCTGGAGTTTTCTTTCAGTCTTCTGCTTCTCCTGTTGCTTCCTCTAACTGAAGGAAGAATCAGTCCATGGCTTCTGCTCCATGCTTTCTGCTCTTGGTTCAGGCTCCAACTTTCCCATTAATGGAAGAGAATGGCTCTCCTGCTCCCAGCTGTAATGAACTAATTAATTTTTCTATCTCTCTAATCATTCTCTATTCCCTGCCAAACCCTCTGGGTGTCTGTTTTGTTCTATTGTTCAAGCCTGGACTTTGAGGGTAGGCTGGGGGCATTGCTAGTCCCCACAATTGCTAATCCAGGCACTTGAGTCATTATCTTCTATACATCACACTTAACAACCAGAGGGAAGTGCAACCTCGTGGGCCTCGGAAAGGAAACCACCCACAGACTTGTGCGCCTTCTTCGCAGGCCAGGCTCTCCTTCCCCCATGGTAAGAAGGTGAAGACTTGGAGATTGGTGAGTCAGGCAATCAAGGTCAAATTGACATACTCTAGAAGATTACATGCCGTGTGGAACAGTACTGGGCAGTGGACCCACTGGGACAGGGGCTCAGGAGGCTATGGCAGTCCCGCAGGAGATTCTGGAGGTAAGGGGTTGAATGGGGAGCAGCGTTGATTTGGATGCAGCATGGATTTTGAAGTAGAGCCAGCCATGGGGAGCTAGTGGGGAGGGAGGCAAAGAGTGAACAAAGCATCCGTTCGGGTCGGTGGCCTCAGCCATGGATGAAAGTCTTATTTCCTGAGATGGGGGACACTGGGTGGAGCAGGAAGCATCCCTCTTTAGGAAATGCTAGGTTGGAGATGTCCCTCGTACATCCCCAGGAGACAGTTGGACACAGAGGCTTGCATTTAGAAGAGAAGCCAGTCTGGAAAGGGCCGTCACGGAGCAAGCCCTGCCTGGCTGGCATGTAGCAGAGCTGCATGGGGTGAGCTCACCCGGGCGGGGACGGGTGTGGAAAGCGCAGAGAAGCAGGGTAAGAGCAGCCTGAGGGTGTGGGGGGAGGTGGATGGAGACGTGGGCTTGTCATTTGTCTTTGAGAATTCGCTGCATGGCATTTTAAACCTCTTTAAATTTCTGAGTAGGTTTGAGGTGTGTGTTGTAAGTTTTCAAGGCCCTATTCAATAAAATATCTGGGTAATTACTACACTCAGGAAACTGGCGCAAGTCCACTGAGGCCTAAAAATAGCAAGTTTACAGACCTGTGGATTCTTTTCTCATGACAGTGAGGCCTCACAGGCCCTGCCAGGCAGCCCGGGAGGTGCAGGCCCCCCTTAGAGACACAGACAGAGGCTGGACACAGAGCCTGGCTGGCCGAGACCTTTCCAGTGAATTCTGTGCCACCAGAAGGACAGGCATAGGCGATGGCTGGTGCCCTCACGAGGTCACCAGTGGGCTGTTTGTTGAGAAAAATGCTGCTTGTAATTTTACTTTCCTTCTGAATTTTAGCCGTTTTCTTCTGAATTTTAGCCATTACACGGATGATGGCTAAAATCACAAAGGGCACAGAAGCACAAAGGCCAGGGGCAAGGGTGGGGAGAAGCATGGGACAGCCACATTCTAAACATGGTGGTGGCATCCTTGAAAACGAGTGAATGACCGAGGCAATCCATTTCCGAGGTTTTAATCACATACATAATCATTGGTTGTGAAAAAGTGTTTCAACACCAGCGAAGACATGACCACAAAACCAATGTTTAGGGAAAAACACAGAAGACATTATTCACAGCTGTTGTCTATTCATTTACTTCTTTGAATTGGAAGAGTGGTTTTAGCTGTGAAATGCCTCCATGCAGCTGGGAAAACGTGGTCTCTTCCATAGGAGTATTTGAGGACCTCAACCCTGGGTCCGGACTCTGGTTTACAATTGTAGTTCAAGATGTTGGTATTGGAAGGAGGGGCCAGGAGAACAAATCCTCCTACACAAAGAGGCTTGCAGGAGATGTGTTACTGCCAGGGGGCTGTCCACAGTGTACTTACTTCTCCTTGAAGACACCTTGAGAAAGGACAGCGCATACTGGTAGTGATCTTGGCAACCTGTCTTAGGCCAGGCACAGAGGCTGAGATGGGGGGTCACTTTTTTCTTTTTTTATTTTTTTTGTTTGTTTGTTTGTTTTGAGACAGAGTCGCACTCTGTCACCCAGGCTGGAGTGCAGTGGCGCAATCTCAGCTCACTGCAACCCTGCCTCCCGGGTTCAAGTGATTTTCCTGCCTCAGCCTCCTGAGTAGCTGGGATTACAGGTGCATACCACCACTCCTGACTAATTTTTTTTGTATTTTTAGTAGAGACGGGGTTTCACCATGCTGGCCAGGCTGGTCTCAAAACTCCTGACCCCAGGTAATCTGCCCACCTCAGCCTCCCAAAGTGCTGGGATTACAGGCGTGAGCCACTGCGCCCGGCCTCTTCTTTCTTTTTTTTTTTTTTTTTTTTAATAGAGATGGGGTCTTCCTATGTTTCCCAGGAGTTGGAGACCAGCCTGGACAACATAGGAAGACCCCGTCTCTATTAAAAAAAGAAAAAAAAAATTGTCAGGTGTGATGGTGCACGCCTATGATCCCAGGCTCAGGAGGCTGCAGTGGGAGAATCATTTGGGCCCAGGAGGTCAAGGCTGCGGTGAGTTATGATGGCGCCACTGCACTCCAGCCTGGGCAACAGAATAAGGCCCTGTCTGGAAAAAGAGAGGGGACGGGGAGGGGAGGAAGGAGGGGGGGAAGGGGAAGGGGAGTGAGAGGGGAAGGGGAGAGGGAGGGAGGAGGAGGGGAAGGAAAGGAAAGGAAAGGAAAAAGGAAAGGAAAAAGAAAAGGAAAGGGGCAGCCTGCCTAGCATTGCGGAAGATCCCATGCGCCTCTCTGGAAGCTGGGAAGTAATCATCATGTGTCAAAGAGCATGCTGGCCCAGGGCGTGCTTTGTTTGGCCCACTCCATGTTTTTTTAATGTTTAAATGTTAATCTCTTTATTAGTTAGCTCTTGCTCATTTATGCTGCAGTAACAGACATCCCCAGGACCTCAGCGTTTCATAGGAACGACATGGCACACATTGGTGGTGGCTGTCCTCCCAGGCAGTACCCCACATCTTGTCTTCCGTGTTTGGGCACCCAGGCTGGAGTAGCAACCCATCTCAGTCAATGGCAAAGGAAGGTGAGACATGGCGAAACTACACATTTGCCCTCAAGATTCTGCTGGGTATAGCAATGTCATGCCAAATTCCATACCATTGGCCAACGCAATGCCAGGGAGCCCTGCAAGCCACGTGGTGAGGGTGGGATGTGTGAGCCTCTGACTAAGAGGACAGACAGAACACTTGAGAATAAATGGGAGGCTCTATTTTTCTTCTTTTTTTGATGTCTTGATGCAGCAGGAATGGGAGGTTCTAATACCATCTCACTCATCCTTGGACCAAGGACACCTCTCCCATGCACTATGCCCCATGCCTCTCTCTCACTATGGCCCAGTCCACGCATGGAGGTCCCAGTTGGTGCTCAGGTTCGTAGCGCCTACACGAATAAATGCAGTGCTGTTTACCGCCTCAGTCTGGCTAGCTTTAAACACAGCCACTAATAAGGTGATTGCTTTTTATCATAAAAATGCTGAAAGAGCATTGGATATTGTGACTTCAGGATGTCCAGAATCAAGAGGAAAAAAAACATTTCAACACTGTCAAAAATTTTGCCCTGTCTTTGTGGCCAGCTCCCTCTTGGTTCTTCAACACACATCTCCTTGTGCGTTGAATATTCAGTTATTCAATGACTCTACCTGTGGTTCTTCCCGTGTGGTGGGTGCAGGGTGCATGGCCAGCGATGGATGGCAGGAACCCAGACCCGTGGCGCTTCCTGTCACGGGCCCAGAATCAGGACTGACGGTCAGACTCCCTCACGGCCCCAGCGTTACTCCTGTACCTGAAAGCAGGCACAAAGGCAAGATTTTCAGGGCAAGTGTTCAATATTCTGTGTAAAAAAACGTCAGTGTTACTGACAGAGTGAGCAGCGGGTAGAATGTGAGTCACCTCGGAGGGAGGCTGCCTTTGTGTTCTTCTCAATTGTTCTGTAATAAAAGAGTTTCTAGAGACTGGAAACAGCGGAAAAGATGCACCATTGACACAAATTGTCATGTGCATTGCACAAACAGTTTCTCATTCAGGGGCATTTTCCACAGCCTCTACCTTACCGTCAGTGGCCCAGCCCCCGCCTGGACACCTCCATTGGGTTCCTTTTGTCATGATTCCACTCTCTACTCCTCTAGGTTCTAGTGTTGTCACCACCTTGCTGGCACTCTTACCCCGGCCACCCCAAACCCCTTCAGACCCTCGGCTGCAGCCTGCTTCCACGCTGCAGAGCCTGAGCACTGCCCTCTCTGTCTGGGAAAGCTGTCCGTGAGCCGCTCAAGCCCCCCGCCCCCAACTTTCCGTCAACCCTGGAATCTGGCTCAGCTGTCCTCGAGGAGGCCCTCTCTTGTGTCTCTGGTCCTTTGACACATGGTCAGTTCATTGCAGGTTTACTCACTTATGTCCCTGTGTTAGCTGCCTGTACCTGGGGACAGTGACGATGCCAACTCTGTCCACTCTTGTATGGAAAAGCTCAGCAAAGGGCCTGGCAGACAGCTGTGTCCAATGCATAGTTGTTGACTGAATAAAAACAAAGCCGCTGACCCTCCCTAATCCTAGACCCTCATCTTCATACCAGCCTGATTTTTAGCCACTCACCCACTTGCTGAAGCCTGGAAGCTACCAGAGCTGGTTTGCCCATAGCCCCTGTGCAAGCCTCGGGCTACCTTGTCTCTGACCTGTGCCTCAGGGTGCAGTGTTTCCTGGACACTCCCCTAACATCACCTTTGCCTCTCCCGGCGCAGTGCCAGCCTTCCAGACCCAGATCCAACCAAGACCTCTGTAAAGCTTTCCTGGCCGCATCAACCTTAAAGTAATGAACGTAGGAGAGAGAAATTTGTAACAATTGTGAAAATTACTGTGGTGATTGTGAAAATGAATAATAGGGCTTTTCTTATTGCCTTGAATTACGTTAGCTCTTCCACTTTTTAATTTTCACCCTTTTGCTCAGCATCCCCGGTGGACTAGAGGCTTTGTCCCAGCAGAAGCGTTGCCACCCCCCCGGAATCTGAGCCCTTCACTGGACCCAGCTCCGTGGCCTGCAGACAGGAAGCCCCCAGTGAACACATGCTGGCGTGGTGTGAATTCACCCCCCTGCCTCTCCACTCCTTTGTGCTTCCCAGGAGGGGCAATGCAACAGGCATTGCAACAGGCATCCCCAGCATCACAGGGCAGAAATGCTCCACAAAAGTCTCAAACTAAACTGAGAGAGACATTATTCACTTCCAAGTGCTTCAAACAGCAAAAGAGTAAGGCGGAGGACAAGAAAAGTATTGACGACTGGTAAATATTTAAGGAGTAACCGAGTCAATGCCAAGCATGCTGAGCTCTGAGCCAAACCACATTCAGGAAGAGATCAACGTAGAGCACAAAAGACTTAGGTTTTCACATTTGCTTGAAAATGTAAGCAGTTACTAAGTAAAAATTAAAAGATGATTGGCTAGGTGTGGTGGCTCATTCCAGCACTTTGAGAGGCCGAAGCGGGAGGATCACTTGAGGCCAGGAAGTTGAGACAGCCTGGGCAATATAGCAAAACCCTGTCTCTACAAAACATTTTTAAAAATTAGCCAGGCACGGTAGTGTGCACCTGTAATCCCAGCTACTGGGGAGGATGGCCTGAGCCTGGGAGATGAAGGCTGCAGTGAGCTGCGTTTGCACCACTGCACTCCAGCCTGGGTGACAGAGTGAGACCTTATCTCAAAAGGAAAAAAAAAAAATTGAAAAGGGTTGCTTTATTAGGAAAGTCATATTCATGGCCCTAAAACCTTCAAAGAAATTGTCACGTATGGTACAAGAAGATATATTCAATTTGCTTTGTCTTCCTCTTCAGGTCAATCACATAATCTTTGTAAAATTCACTTCCATTCCTTTTGAATGGGACTTGTGCTTCTCAACTGGAATGATACTTTTCATCATAAAGTTAGAGAGGGATCTTGGCTAACTTTTTTTTCCAGAGAAGCGGACTCTTTTCAGGACAAAGCACTCAGCATATTTTAGAGACACAGATCATAGCATGTGTTTGCCAGAAGGCACACAGCTATTGGAGGGAGATGGGAGAAATTTCACCTCTTTCTTTTACACTAATTCCTAAGGAGGAGTTTGTGAAGATTGGAGTGTCATAAGAAATACATGCATAAATGCTGTAATTATATTATTAGTTAAAGGCTTAACTAGTAAGACAGATGAATCCATTTCAAGTCTAAACAATAAAATGACAAACCATAAAGGTGGTTCTCAAATTACTTCATGGGGGAGATAGAAAGCTGTGTTCTGAAAGTATTGTATTTGCAAAATGCCTGAAGCAAACAAAACATGCTGCTGAGGGAATTCATTTCCAGAATTCAAATTTTTGAAACAGCTATGAACAGTTATTGCCAACACTAGCACATTATTTATATCCTGCTAGCTTAGAAGTTTTTAAAAACTAGATAAGTTTAATTTCAAATTGTAACTTCTTAGGACTGAAAGTCTCCTGATGTCTAAAATGTGACCTATAATTTCATGGGAGAAAAAAATGATATTTATGGTAAATGTAAAGCCCATTACTGGATAAATCTTCTAAATATGTAAGTTTTTTATGCAAGAAAGATGTGAAGACAAAAAAATTTCCAACTAGTGGATCATGAGACATAAAGCAGTGGTTCAGTGGGTTAGTATAATATTTTAGGAATAATGACCAACCACTGTGAAGGGGAAAAATATTCATAGAGTACTTTTTCTGACTGTGAGTCATGCTTAGAATTTCCTTACCCAATCAAATACATATATTCACCATCTGCCTTTACATTTCACATTTAAAGCGTTAATTCAGGCTAGGTGCAGTGGCTCATGCCTGTAATCTCAGCACTTTGGGAGGCTGAGGCAGGAGGATCACTTGAGTCCAGGAGTTCAAGACCAGCCTGGGCAACATAGCGAGACTGCGTCTTTACAAAATAAAAATTAAAAAATTAGCCAGATGTGGTGGCATGCACTTGTAGTTCCAGCTGTTCCAGAGGCTGAAGTGGGAGATTGCTTGAGGAGTTTGAGACTGCAGTGAACTATGATCACACTGCTGTACTCCAGCCTGGGCAATAGAGCGAGACCTTGTCTCTAGAGGAAAAAAAGCAAAACAAAACTTTAATGCATTTTGAATTTATTTTGTGTAAGACATAAGATAGGAAATTTATTTTTTTCTAAATGATAATGCATTCCAATATACTATTTCTCCAGTTATTGAGATTATGATATCATAAATTCTTACAGAAACTTGAGTACATTTCTAAAGTTTCTATTGAGTTCCAGTGATTGGTCTATTTATTTGTTGACGAAAAAAATATTGTTTTGCTTATTAGACTGTAAATTGATGTTTACTATCTAGTAAGAGGATACTTCTCCTCCAAAATTAAATGTTATTTTACTGAAAAAATCTTGTATATTCAAGCAAATGTATTGTTCTAGATAAATCAGGACAATTTTGGTAAGTTCAAGAACAAAACCCCAACGGAGTTCTATAAATTTAAATGTATTATATTACATTTTTAGATTCTATAAATGGAATTTATCAACTTGTGCTAAATACATAGAAGAATTAATACAGGAAGTCCTAGCCAGAGCAATCAGGCAAAAGAAAGAAACAAAAAGACATTCCGATTGGAAAAGAGGAAATCAAAACTATCTGTTTGTTGGTGATATAATTATATACCTAGAAAACCCTAAAGACTCCTAGATCTCATAAATAAACTCAGTAAACTCTCAGGTTATAAAATCAGTGTAGGGAAATCCATAGCAATGCTATACAACAACAATGACCAAGCTGAGAATGAAATTAAGAACTCAATTCCTTTTACAATAACCACAAAAAAGCTAGGAATATACTTAACCACAAAGGTGAAATATGTCTACAAGGAGAACTACAAAATACTGCTAAAAGAAATAATAGATGGTACAAATAAATAGAAGTACATCGCATGCTTATAGATTAGAAAAATCAATATTGTGAAAATGGCCATACCGCCCAAAGCAATCTACAGATTCCATGCAATTCCTATTAATATACCAACATCATTTTTCATAGAATTAGAAAAACAATCCTAAAATTCACATGAAACTAAAAAAGAGCCTGAATATCCAAAACAATGCTAAATGAAAAGAGCAAATTTGGAGGCGTCATATTACCTGAGTTCAAATTATACAACAAGGGCTGTAGTAACCAAAACAGCATGTTATTGGTATAAAAGTAGATACATAGACCCATGGAACAGAATAAAGAACCATAAATAAAGCCAGATACTTACAATCAATTGATCTTTGACAAAGCACACAAAAACATAAACCGGTGAAAGGACACCCTATTCAATAAATGATGCCGGGAAAATCGGATAGCCACATGTAGAAGAATGAAGCTGGATCTCTGTCTCTCACCATATACAAAAATTAACTCTAAAAGGATTGAAGACTTAAATCTAAGACCTGAAACCATAAAAAAATTCTAGAAGAAAACCTAGAAAAAATTCTTCTGGACATTGGCCTGGGCAAAGAATTTAAGACTAAGATCCCAAAAGCAAATGCAACAAAAACAAAAATAAATAAATGGGATGTAATTAAACTAAAAAGCTTCTCCACAACAAAAGAAATAACAAAGCAAACAGACAACCTACACAATGGGAGAAAATATTTGCAACGTATGGCTCTGACAAAGAACTAATATCCAGAATCTACAAGAACTCAAACAAATCAGCAAGAAAAAATATAATCTTATTAAGAAGTGAACAAGTGCCATGAGTAGACAATTCTCAAAAGAAGACATTCATGCAGCCAACAAATATATGAAAAAATGCTCAACATCACTAATCATCAGGGAAATACAAATTCAAACTAGAGTGAGATACCACCTTACCCCAACCAGAATGGCCATTATTAAAAAGTCAAAAAACAATAGATGTTGGAATGGATGTGATGAAAAGTGAACATTCATACATTGCTAGTGGGGATGTAAATTAACACATTCTCTATGGAAAACAGTTTGGAGATTTCTCAAAGAACTAAAAGTAAATCTACCATTCAACCCAGCAATCCCTCTATTGTGTATCTACCCGAAGGAAAAGAAGTCATTAAATCAAAAAGACAACTGGACATGTATGTTTATCAAAGCACAATTCACAATTGCAAAGATGTGGAATCAACCTAAGTGCCCATCATACAATGAATGGATATAGAAAATATATGTATATATACACCATATATATACACGATATATATATCATATATATAACCATATATATCATATATATAACCATATATATATATCTCATGAAATACTACTTAGCTGTAAAAAAATGAAATAATGTCTTTTTCAACAACTTGGATTGAACTACAGGCCATTATCCAATGTGAAGTAACTCAGGAATGGAATGGAAAACCAAATATCACATGTTCTCACTTATAAGTGGAAGCTGAGCTATGGGTATGCAAAGGCATACAGAGTGGTATAGTGGATGTTGAAGACTCAGAAGTGGGGAGGGTGGGTAAGCGTGAGGGATAGAAAACTACCTATAAGGTACAACATACACTACTTGGGTGATGGGTACAATAAAATCTCAGACTTCACCACTATACAATTCATCCATGTAACCCCAAACCACTTGGATTCTTAAAGCTGTTGAAATTAAAAATTTAAAGTTAAAACACAAAATAAATTCAAAAAATAAATAGACATAGGTTTGATATCTATAATATGTAAATAGCTTTAATAAATTAAAAGATTATAAACAATCCATTAGAAAGGAAATATGTAAATAAATCATGCATATCCATACTATGAAATCCTATGTAGGAGTTAAAAATGAGATATAACTATACTACCGTAAAAAGAACTCCTAAATGTGTTCTTGAATGGAAAGCAACCTGGGGAATAGCATATTCAGTATGATTCTATTTTTATGAAAGCTATATGTTTGTGTTTAGATGTAAATGTACAACTAAAAGTATGTGAAGTTGCCGATGAGCGTGAGCATGAGAGAGGCTTCAAATCATATTTTATTACGTAAATTTTGTGGTTCTATAATTCAAAAAAAAGAATACACGTCTCCAATCCAGAAGAATGCTGTCTTATTCAAAAATTTTATGTCTTGAAGTAAAGCGTTAATTACTTTGCAGTGACTCTGCGCATTTTTTAAGTTTATTGCTAGTATTTACATATTTTTAAATGAAAATATGTAGTTTTTTTAGCTTTTCAAGTTATTGCTGCTATGTTGGAAAAATATTGATTTCTGTGTCTTGGATTGCTAACCAACCATCCAATTAGAGTTTGTTATCAATTAAAGTAGTGTTAATCAATTGATTCCCTTGGATTTTTCAGATAGACAATCAAATCATCTGTAAAGACAGATAGTATCATTTCCTACTTTGCAGTATGCAGCTTCATATTTTTCTTATCTTATTGCATTATCTAAAATCATTAGACAATGCAAATGCAAATCAATGATGAACCATATGAGTAATAGTAGGCATTTTCTGTTGTTCTTGATTTTAATGAAAATAATTATATTCTTTAATTATTAAATATTCTTTAGTTGCTGGTTCCAGTGGGTTACTATGTTATTAAGAAAATGATATTCTATCCCTAGTTCTAGAAGCTTTTTAAAATTCAGAAAGAAATACTCTCAAGTACCTTTTTTATATTTATCAAAATATCCTAGCCTTTCTCTCCTGACCTTTTTATTCATTCACGAATTATAGAGAGGGTTCATTTATGTTAAATCACATTCACATTCAAGCAATAAAATCTGTTTAGGCATGCTATATTATTACTAGACTATACTGCTAGACAATATACAGTAATATTAAAAGTTTCACTTCTGTGATACTCCTGTAGTTTAAATCATGGCATTTGTTTTTAAAGGTATCATCATGATTATTTGTAAGAATTATCTGGCCATCCCAACATTGAAGACAGATTTTTGATAAATTTTAAATTTTCAAGAGCCCTTTCTGGTGTTCTAGTTCTTAAAAAATCCATTTGAATTATTTGCACCTTTACAACAAAATGTCTATTTCATCAGCGATTTCAAGTTTATATAGCAGCTGGCATGTTACCTTAGGGAAAATAAAATGATACAAATATTTGATTAATGTAAAAGAAGTCATGAAAGGATGAAAAAGGAACACAAAGCAGGTGAATCAAACAGAAAGAAAATAGTAACATGGTAGATATAAACATAACTATATCAGTAATTATGTTAAACATAAATGGTCTAAATGCTCCAAGAAAAAGATTTAAGATCGTCAGTTGAGGCTATTAAAACCAGCTATATGCTGCTTCCAAGAGATAATAATTTAAATATCAGGACACAAAAAGATTGAATGTAAAATGATGAGAAAAGGTAAGCCAGGAAAACCAAACCAAAGCTAGTATAAATGTACATATATATATATATATATATATATATATATATATTTTTTTTTTTTTTTTTTTTTTTTTTTTGAGACAAGTTCTCACTGTGTCATCCAGGCTGGAGTGCAGTGGTGCAATCTCAGGTCACTACAACCTCTGCCTCCCAGGCTCATGCAATCCTCCACCCTCAGCCTCTCAAGTAGCTGGACCACAGGCATGCACCACTACACTCCACTAATTTTTTGTATTTTTCGTAGAAAAGGGGTTTTGCCATGTTGTCCATCCTGGTGTAGAACTCCTGGAATCAAGTGATCTACCCACCTTGGCCTCCCAAAGTGCTGGGATTACAGGCATAGAAAGCTAGTATATTTATACTAATATCAGACAGAGTTGACTTTAAGGCAAGAAGTGTTACTAAAGATAAACATTTGAAAATGATAATGGGGTCAGTTCACTAGGAAGATATCATAAATTTTAATCTGCATCAATCTAATAACAGAACTTCAAAATATATGTAGAGCAAAACTAACAAAATATGAAGAACAAGTGAATAAATTCACAACCATAATGGTAGATTTTAACACATTTATTTCAAAGCAGATAATTTGAATAACACAATTAGCAAGGTTGGCCTAATTATCATTTATAGAATACTGCACTCTAAATCCATAGTATACACATTCTTTTTAATTGCATGTGAAACATTTACCAGAATTGATTATAGCTGGTCAGTAAATCAAGCTCCCAAAATTTCAAAAAATTTAAATAATGAAGATAATTTTCTCAGAAAGTTAGCTTGGGAAAAAAGAAACTGGAAAATCCCTACTAGTTTGAAAATTAAGCTATACAGTTCTAATAACCTATGGGTGAAAGAAGATATCAGAAAGAATATTAGAGAATATTTGGAACTGAGTGATAAAGACAATATGACATATGAAAACCTGGCAAAGATTTTAAGCCATTGATAAGGTTTGGTTGTGTCCCCACCCAAATCTCCTCTTGAGTTGTAGTTCCCACAATCCTCATGTGTTGTGGGAAGCACCTAGTGAGAGGTAATTGAATCATGGGGGTGGTTTCCCCCGTACTGTTCTCATGATAGTGAGGGAGTCTCATGAGATCTGATGGTTTTATAAGCTTCTGGTATTTCCCCTGCTGGTACTCATTTCTCTCTCCTGCTGCCCTATGAAGAGGGGCTTTCTGCCATGATTGTAAGTTTCCTGAGGCCTCCCCAGCCATGCAGAACTGTGAGTCAATTAAACTTTTTTTCTTTATAAATTACTCAGTCTCAAATATTTCTTCATAGCAGTGTGAGAATGGACTAAAACAGCCATTCTTAAAATAAAAATGCACAACCTGAAATTCATATATTACAATGAAAAAAAAAATGACCAAAAGTCAATCTTAGTTTTTATCATAACCTCAAGAAACTGGAAAAAGAATAACAAATTTTTAAAAATAGAAGAGGCTGGGCGTGATGGCACATGCCTGTAATCTCAGCACTTTGGGAGTCCAAGGCGGGCGAATCACAAGGTTAGGAGTTGGAGACCAGCCTGGCCAACATGGTGAAACCCCGTCTCTACTAAAAATACAAAAAAAATTACTTAGGCATGGTGGTGGGCGCCTGTAATCCCAGCTGCTCGGGAGGCTGAGGCACGAGAATTGCTTGAAACTGGGGGGCGGAGATTGCAGTGAGCCCAGATCAAGCCACTGCACTCCAGCCCAGGCGACAGTGCAAGACTCTGTCTCAAAAAATATAAAATAAATAAATAAAAATAGAAGAAAGAATGCAATAAAAAACAAGGGCAGCAATCAATGAAATAGAAGGCAAATGTACAATACAGATAATCAATAAAGCAAAAAATGCTCATTCTTTGAAAATGAATACACACATACAATAAAATTGATCAAGAAAAAGAAAAAAGGAAGACTATATATAACCAACATCAGGAATAGAGAAAGGGAAATTACTGTACATCCTACAGCCATCAATCTTACACAAACTCTTTCAGAGAATGAAGAAGAAGAGGCAGCTTCCAAGTCACATTTGAAGCCAGTGTAACCTTGAACCAAAATCTGTCAAGTATGTTACAAGAAAGGAAAATTATGGGCCAATCTCTTTTAGGACTATCGATGCAAAAATCCTAAATAAAATATAAGCTAAATCTAGCGATATATAAAAATGATGATACATCAGGTCTAATGTGAATTTATGACAATATAAGGTGGGTTTAATATTTGAAAGTCAATCTATGTAATTTCTACATTAACATAAAAAGGAGAAAAATATATGATCATCTATGTAGATACAGAAAAGTTTTAAAAATAAGATTTAACACCTATTTGTGATTAAAAAGAAAACACAAAAAACTAATGGAAATCAGAAATAGCATGGTACGTCTGTAATTTAATTTAAAAATTAGCAAAAAAACCAAAGTAAACCTGTTAATGATAAAATATGAAAACTTTTTCTCATGAAATTGGAAATGAGACACAGATATCAATTATCACACTTCTATTCACCCTTGTATTGGAGGTCCTATCCAGTGGGATAAGCCAAGAAAAATGAATAAATAAAGGCAAAAGAATTATAAAGAAATAAATAAAACTCATTATTTGCTGATAACATAATTGTGTACATAGATAATCCAAAGAAGTCTACACAGTATTCAAATCAATAAGCAAATTTAGCAAGGGTACAGAATACAAAGTCAGTACACAAAACAATCAATTGTATTTCTGCATACTAACAATAAATAAGTAGAAAATGGATTTTTAAAAATATATTATTTACAATATCATAAAATAAAATACCTACAAATAGATTATGAAAAGATGTATAGGACTTTTACACTGAAAACTGCAAAACTCTTTAGAGAAATTAAATAATATTTACATAAATGGAGGAATATGTCATCTCCATGGATTGGAAAACCCAATATTGCAATCTGTTGCCCAGGCTGGAGTTCAGTGACATGATCTCGGGTCACTGCAACCTCTGCCTCCTGAGTTCAAGTGATTCTCCTGCCTCAGCCTCCTGAGTACCTGGGATTACAGGCGCCACAATTCCCTCAAATTGATCTATGGGTTAAATGCAGTCCTAAGTAAAATTCCCACATTATTATTGTGGAAATTAGCAAGCTGATTCTAAAATGCATATAGAAATGCAAAATGCTAAGATTAGCCAAGAGAATCGTGAATTAAAAGAACAAAATTGTAGACCTCTGTCCCTTCAACTTCCAGCCTGTTAGTATCAGTTTTTTGTAGGCATGACTCATAAATGGCACTTGCCTGTGTGTGTGTGTGTGTGTGTGTGTGTGTGTGTGTGTGTGGTGTTTCTTTGTTTGTTTGCTTTTGTAGAGATGGGTCTTGCCATGTTACCCAGACCAGTCTCAAACTCCTGGACTCAAGCAATCCTCCTGCCTCAGCCTCCCAAAATGCTGGGATTACAGGCATGAGCCACTGCTCCCAGCCACTTGCTTGTGCTTTGTCTTAGGGAACTTTCTGAAAGTTTTCTTTCTTACATGGATATTTGTACCATCTATTTTTTAAAAATCTTATTGATACATTTTTGCTTGCTTCTATTATCTTGTTCTTTGGATTTATCTTCCACTTCCTTATTGTTTCAACCTTTGTCTTGTAATTAATTATTTTGCGTGTTGAGGAGGCACTTTATATTCTCTACTACTTTGAAGTTATACATCTTGGCTTTTAATTCTAGAAATGGTTATATTGGTGATTTTTAAATATAAGTGTCTTCCTTAATTTTCAGAGTTAACATTTAAATGCTTTTAAAAATTTACCACCTAGTGCCCCAATCCACCCAATTGCCCGTTGTATACCTGCACGCACACACACATACTCCACAATGATTTTAATTGTCTTCTCTTTGCCACTTCTCCACATGTTTAACAGAATCTGGCATCTCATATGCAGTTATTTAATTGCACTGTTATTTTATTTTACATTCCAAATCTTCTCTTTTGAGAATAATTTTGTTCTTTGTATTCTAACAGTCTTGTGCTCGCTCCCAGCCTTGTCTACAACTTTGTCTTTCTCAGTGCTGGCTTTTGCTTTGTCTCAGCCAGTAGGAGCACATTTTCATGTAACTCATTCTGCTGAAAACTTGAGTATTCAGTACACATTGGCAGAGTCTGTTATGGGTTGTTTTGGCTGCTTCCATTGACTAAAAATTAAAGTGAAATAAACTAAAAACATAAAATAATAGAATAAGTGTATTAAAAGAGTCAAAAAGTTTTAAAAATAAAAAAAAATAATTAGGGAAGAGTTTACCTTCTAGAGATCCAAAAATACTGTAAGAATGTTGTATTCCCAGGATCTTATATCTAGTAAATTATTATTATTGTCATCATGATTATATTGAGATGGAGTTTTTCTCTTATCGCCCAGGCTGGAGTGCAATGGCACAATCTCAGCTCACTGCAACCTCCACCTCCCAGGTTCAAGCGATTCTCCACCCTAGCCTCCTGAGTAGCTGGGATTACAGGCATGTGCCACCATGCCCAGCTAATTTGTATTTTTAGTAGAGATGGGGTTTCACCGTGTTGGACAGTCTGGTCTCGAACTCCTGACCTTAGGTGAGCCACCTGCCTCAGCCTACCAAGTCGTGAGCCACCGTGCCTGGCTTCATATATAGTAAATTAATAAGCACACAGAGAACACTAAAACAGACCCAGATAGCTGTGGATCCTAGTAGATGAAAAGAGGTAGTATTTCAAATACCTGAGGAAAATACAAATGATTGGCTTTTCTTTAAGAAAAAAAAAATAAAGTTGTATATCTATTTCCCAATGCACACCCAAATTTCAGATGTATTAAAGATTAGATATTTTAAAGTGAAACTACAAAGTTTAGATGTAATTATAAGAGGGTATTTATTAGGCAATCTTTTTCTGATAGACTTTTGGGTTTAAAAAAGCCTTTCCTACTTCTAAGACATAAAAACTGAGCACATTTTCTTGCTGAAAGGAAAAAGTTAAAAGACAAACACAAAGAGAGAAAATATTTGCAACTTATCCAACATATAAGCAATATATTTAATATATAAAGATCTATATCAAATCAATAAGAAAAAAATGAACATTTCCAGTAGAAAAAAGTGGGCAAAGGTTGATGTTATCTATTGTTGCTAAGATGTGGGTAGCATCTTGTGTGTGAAGTGCATTCGACAGTGTCTATGAAACCTAGACATCCTTCTACCGCTGAGGGTCTATCCTACAGAAACACAGCCATATGTGGCCAAAGCGACATGGATATGAGTATTCATTGATCATTTCTAGTAGTGGAAATGCAAAGATAATAAGTATGCATATGTTGATAATAGACTAAATACAATATGTTCACCCATACAAAGGATTACCATAAAACTTTTAAAAAAGATAATGTTATAGGAATTATTGATATCAATCTTTTTTTTTTACATGGAGTCTTGCTCCGTCGCCCAGGCTGGAGTGCAGTTGCGCGATCTTGGCTCACTGCAAGCACCGCCTCCCGGGTTCATGCCATTCTCCTGCCTCAGCCTCCTGATCAAGTTTTTAAAAATACATACTTTATATAATTTCATTTGGCCAAAAAAGTGAAGTACACACACACACACACACACACACACACACACACACACACACAGAGTATAGAGAACATTTGGTGTATTAATTTTCTATTGCTGCTGTAAAAAATTACCTCAAACTTAGTGACTTAAAACCACATAAATTTATTACATTATAGTTCTGGAGGTCAGAAGTCCAGAATGAGTTTCACTGGGCTAAAGTGAAGGTGTTGGTAGGGCTGCTTTCTTCTGAAGGTTCTAAAGAGAGGGTCCCTTTCCTTGCCTTTTTTAGCTTCCAGTGTGGCCTGTATTCCTTGGCTTGTGGCCTGTTCCTCCCTCTTCACAGCACATCACTTAGTCCTCTGCGTCCAGCATCACGTGGCCTTCTCCTCTCCAACCTGCCTGCCTCCCTCTTAAAGGACCCTTGAGACGACACCGGGTCCTCCTGGAAAATCCAAAGTAATCCCCAATCTCGAGGTCCTTAATTTAATCATAGCTGCAAAATTTCTTTTGCCATGTAAGGTCACAATCACAGGTGCCAGAGATTAGGACAATGACATATTTGGGGCTATTTTTCAGTTGACCACAGTTGGGAATAACTACATAAACAAACCAGCAGCTATCTCAGAGGTGAGAGATTTGAAGTCAGGAGAAGTATTTAAATCTCTCTCTCTCTCTCTCTCCCCCCTCCCCCAGCTAATAAAATGTTTTTTTCTAATAAAAAACATAAAACTCAAAAATATAGAAGAAATATAAAATGAATAATATAATAATGTGGTCTAGAGGCAGAGGTCTCTCAGATTTTCCAAACGTCAGTGCCAGGAGCTCTGAGCGTAATCCCTGAGATGTGGGAGAGCTGGAGGGACATCTCCTATTCATCTGAGCCTGCTGTGCGTGTGTGAGGGTGCGTGAGTGAATGTGTGTGTACACGTATGCATGAATATGTGCGTCGGGAGTATGAGAGTGTGCAGGTGGGTGTGACTGAGTGTGAGTGATATTGAGCATAGATATGAGTGTGTGTGAATGCTTGTGAATGTGTGAGTGCATGTGCGAATGTGTGCGGGTGGGTGTGTTTTTGTTTGTATTTTGGGTGTGGGGAGAAGGAGGAAATAGCTCCATTGAAGAAGCATCATATTTTTTAAAAAGCTTTAATGAAAGTGGTGAAGGGAAACCTGATTGGGTATTTAAGTGGTCCTAAAACCAAGGGCAGCTTTCTGCTAAGGCCTTTACATGCCAAGCTGCCAATCTTCAGAAACTCCCGCTGGAGCATCCACATTTCACAGGCAAGAGGAACGAGGTTCAGGGGGTTAAATACCCGTCCCAGCGTTTCAGATACAGGCGGTGTGAGCCTAAAGCCGGCCCCTCACAGCTGTGCAGCGCTGGCTCCGAGCTGGCTCTGCCCCGGGCGCTGTCCTAAAGGTTAGCTGCTCCGCTGTGCGAGCGTGCAGATGAATGCCATCAGTAGAAATGGGCATTTAAACGTTAACGGATGCACTTTCATCTTTTCTGTACATTTCAGTTGTTAGAGTGTGTGATCTATTTTTAAATGTATTCACATATAATGGTTATTCTCTTGAATCTGGTGTTTCTGAGCCTGTTTTACCGAAATGCTTTCTAGAACCTGGAATGCCGTTTTATTAGGAAGCGCATCCGGGTCGAAGAACCAGGGGCGCTGTCCATGGTGTTAAAACACCTCGCTCAAACCTCAGAAAGTTTTTCTGCTTTTCAGAGGGGCTGTGTGTGAGCAGCAGGGAACAACTTTCAGCTTATAATTCGGGACTTACAGGAAAGAAAAGAAAATGTCTACTCTCCTAAGAGAAATCTGATCATCTGCCGGCATAAATGTTGGTTGACCTTGACTCTTCTCTTTGGATGCCTGAAAACCTGAACAAGGCAGTTGGGGCCAGGACAGCCCAGAAAGGCAGGTTTGAGTGGGGGCCCCGGCCTTTACAGAAACATTCTAGTGTCCATGGTGATCCTACCGGAAAGCCAGTGTCAAGAACCACTGAGCCCCAGGACGCAGGTTTCCTTGCCTCTATCAAGATACAGGCCCCGCTACAGTACTGCTGAGAGCAAGAAATAGAAGCACCTGCAAGACAGTGCAGCCCTCACAAGCTAGACATTTGATGTCATGGGAAAACTTGCACCCAGGCAGTTGAGTGCACTTGTTCAGCAGACCTGTTGGGGATAATGGGAAGAGGGAGCATATCTGGCTGACCTTGAGGACAGAAAGGAACTCTCATCAAAATTACTTGACCAAGAGAACATTCCAGGTGCCCAACTCTGCCAAACATAATAGCAAATATGTACCAGGAAAGTAAGAAAAACTTATGGGTTAAAACTGTACCGAGTCCTCCCTTCATTTCCATCTAGCTTGACCCAGACCCCTTACAGTGGTCCCGCTGATCTGGTGTGGCTTCCTCTCCCACCCTCAACTTTGGAGCACTGTCAATGCCTCCAGAAGGCCAGGCTCCTCCTGCCTGGAGCACCAGGCTATTATTTCCTGTCTGGAAGCCCTGGAGGGATTGGCTCCTTCCCACCTTTCTCACCTGCCCTGCCTCACCTTTGCTATGATGTCACCTTCTTGGAGAGGCCTTCTTTGGCCCCCCGTCCCTCCCAGCACTGTGCCCCATGAGGTTCACACGTGCATGAATTGGATTCTAATTGCACATTTGTTTTTGTGGGTACTGGCTCATTGGCTTTCTCATCTAGGAGTTGCCCATCAATAGGGGCTTCCACTGCCTACCCAGCAAGTGGTTCCATAAATAACTGTAGCGTGGTGGTGAGGCAGTTAATTTCCTTCAGATATAAGGGCTCAGACAGTAAATGTACACTCAAAAATACTCCTGTTGGGTTAGTCAGTTTTCTGGTTCCTGAACACATCTTGACTGATTTTTCAAAGGCACACATGGCAGCCATCTGACCTGCTTCACACTTGCGATGGGAATTTCATCCCTTTAGGAAATGGGAAATGCCATTGTTACCTGTTTGAGTTTTAGTGACTTTCCTCTAACATGCTCAACTTTAAGCTGCTTTATCACACTACATATTAAATGTGTTTGTTTTGGAGAGGTTTTTATGGTACCCCAGGAGATAATTTCTGATGACCCCGTCAGAAACACAAGAATGGGGAGAAGGGTGAGCAGCCAGGGTTAGAAATTCATGTTTTTATAATCTATGCTATAGAAAAAGTCTTCAGGATCAGTACTTGTCTTTCCTGAGACTACTTGCAACAGTTCAAAACTGTCACAAATAGCCTTGAGACATGTGTGGTTTGATCTTTATTTATGGAGTTGTTGAAGGATTCTCAAAATTGCCCAAGGGTCACCTCCTCCCAGAAGCCTTCCCTGACTTTCCTGGAGTGTGGGAAGGTCATTCCTTCCTCCCCGAAAGCCAACCTCAGAGCTGCCAATGCCCTCCCTCCAGGCTAATGTATCTCCACAATCACCCCTCCACCCTCAGTCAAGGTTTTCCTGGCAGCCACCCCCTTCAGACTGTGGGCTCTGTTGGAGTAGAACCCACAGTTTCCTCATCCTCGCATCTCCAGGGCCCACAGCAGGAGTGGCATGCACAAAGATGGAGTGAATCCACCTTGAAAGGAGGGGCAGCACAGGCACAGGGGCCTGGAGACAGGAACATGAGCATCTGAACTGTCAGCTTCTAGCTTCTCTCCTATCCCACCCCAACACATGGCACAGGTGGAAACCCAAGAACCCGTGGGGTTCACCTGGCCCTGGGGGTTCACCTGGCCCTGGAGTCATGCTCTGAACACAGTGGAGCAGGCACCGGCTGTGCATCCCACACTGTCTGCTCTGCGGGAAGAAGCACATCTGCTTCCCCAGGACCACCTGCAACAGCCTCTGCACAGTGTCTATGTCTCTGCCTGCCCCAGAGGGTCTTTTTGAGATGGAGTCTTGCTCTGTCGCCCAGGCTGGAGTGCAGTGGCACAATCTCGGCTCACTGCAACCTCCGCCTCCCCGGTTCAAGTGATTCTCCTGCCTCAGCCTCCTGAGTAGCTGGTATTACAAGCGCGAGCCACCACGCCCGGCTAATTATTGTATTTTTAGTAGAGACGGCATTTCACCATGTTGGCCAGGCTGGCCTCAAACCAGGAGGGTCTTAAACCCTTTCTATGAATTACTCTCCATTGAAATTAGTAATTTTTTGTGTATGTCGTGATATTTTCCAGTTCCAAGTCTTCTGAAAAGGGTAGGACGCTAACTTGTAAAGGTTACTGTGATGGTAAATTTTAGGTGTCAACTTGGCTAGGACACAGTGCCTCTTTGTTTGGTCAAACACTAATGTAGGTGTTGCTGTGAAGGTATTCTGTAGATGTCAGTAAAGGAGATTACCCCGGATAATGTGGTGGGCCTCATCCAATCAGTTGAAGGTCACAGGAGCAAAAACTGAAGTTTCCCAGAGAAGAAATTCTGCCTCAGGATGGCAGCACCATCTCCCGCCTGGGTTTCTAGCCTGCTGGCCTGTAGATTCCAGACTTGCCAGCCCCCACAGCTCAGTGAGGTAATGCTTAAAATAAATATATTTATCTATCCATCTATCCATTCTATCGGTTCTATCTCTCTGGAAAACTCTGACTGATACATGTACATATTTAAAATATAATACAGGTATCAAAACACCTGCATTAGGAATAGATGAACACACCCATATAAAGTATAAGCTTTTTGATAGAGGTATCTGGTTGACTTTCTGTATCAATCAATTGAATGAAGTCAATTGGGAAATTTCTGTCATTTTTGTTTTTCTTATGTCTCAAGAATCTGAGATGAAATCAAATCACTAATGTGTAATTAATGTTACTTAGCTACATGTTATGATTTGATTATTTATAGAAACTTATTGATATACAACAGTATTAATATATCACATTTAACTTTACATTGTCTATGCATATGAAACATCTGATTACTACTTGTTTTACAGAATAGTGTCATTTTGCAGGGAAAATTAATATCCTGCTGTTGTTATTGTAGAGGGGATCTAATACCTGGGGATAAATCTCCTCTGTGAGAGTGAATCGAGGCAGAATCAAGAGAAGCAAGTGAGACCCGCTGTGAGTGGGTACCTCACATCCCACACATCTACCTCCACCTATGAGGAGCCACAGGACCTGCCTGCCTGCCTGGCCGCTCTCCGCAAGCGCACAGAGCCTTTCTGTGCTTAGGCCACACGTGCCCAGCATATGGTGCAAATAACCATTTATCGAGTGCACTGAACTGAGGCCTCAAGGCAAGCTTACCGCTGTGCAGGGTTAATGACAAACCCAAGGTGGGCAGCCTGGAGCTAGCCACAGTCCAAGCCAAAAGCTCCAGTGACATCTGCTCTGTGTCCAAAAGGTAGAAGGAAAGGAAAGAACACAGTGTACCAACTTATCTCAAATAAAATAATTACTTATTACCAACATCAAGTATGAAATGTGAAGCTATTCTGTGCCAGTTACAGAAAAGCTATATTACTATGTACATTACAGAATAAATTACTAAGTTTTGACTAGAGTATAAAATTTATTTGTCTTAATTTCTAGTAAGTTTTATTTGTTGAAATATAGACTCATAACATTCAAGACAGTGCTGGGTGTCGACTTCTGAACACAGCACACACTGGATAGTGTATGACACGCTGTGCAACACAACAGGGCAAAAAATTGGAAACCTGCTTTTCTGCAGTAACTTTTCATTTGCCCTAGACAAGGAACATTGCACGGCTTATTTTGACAATGATGCTCTTGTATTCATTGAATAAGTCATCTAATCTGTAAGAATCTACGTTTTATTCCCATGTGACTTAATAAAGCATTTTCATTATGAATAAAAATGTGAACTGCATAAACATTTGTATTTTATTTGAATTGGTTCTTAAGGGGGGGATAGGGTGTTGTTTTTCACTGCTTTATACAAATGTAAGGCATAGAATCATTCTCTTAAAAAATTAAAACAAAACATTTCATTAATTATTTACTTACTTGCCTAAAAATGTCTTTATGACCAACAAATGGAACAGCTTTTGCACTTCAAAGTAAAATCTTCACTTTCACAAATCACCAGCAGCGCAGCAGAGCCAGCCATGGGAGGCAGACGAGGCACGAGACTTCCCAGAGCCTGTCGATCCCCGTCACTTCTGTCTGTCCTGGAGTCTGAGCCCTAGCGTCACCCCTCTAGCCCCGACCCTCTAGCCCAATTCCTCTAGTCCCGCCCTTCTATCTCCACCTCTCTAGCCCCGCCCCTCTAGCCCCGCCCCTCTGGCCCCACCGCTCTAGCTCCACCTCTGTAGTCCCACTGCTCTAACCCCACACTTCTAGCCTCACTTGTCTAACCCCACCCCAAACCCACCCCTCTAGCTCCAGCCACTCTGGCCCCATCCTCTAGCCCACTCATCTAGCACCACTCCTCTAGCCCCATCCCTGTACCCCCACCCCTAACCTGACCCTTCTTGCCCTACTCCTCTAGCTGCACCCCTGTAGCTCCACTGCTTGGCCCCTGCTCCTCTGAGGCTGCCCTGCTCCTGTGAGGGATTTGAGCAACCCCTTGAATTTGGCTTCTAGGCTTTCAGTAGCTCCCACCCACTTGCTACTTGATTTTGGACTTTTCATGTTGAAAGTTAAACAAGCTTATTTCCCCACTGTGGTAGTAGCCAGCTTTTGTTGACTACACACACACACACCCCCCACACACACACACGATACACACTGCACATACACACACACCACGCACAGATACACACACACCCCACACAGATACACCACACAGACATACATACCACATACACACACATACACACACACACACACACACCACACACACATACCACATACACACCACACATACAGATGCACACACTGCACAGGTACACAGATACACAGCACATGTACACACATACATACACAAACCACACATATACACACACATATAGTGACACACAAACACATACACCACAGATATAGTCACACACCACCACACACACCAACTCTGTTATGGATGGAACTGTGTGCCCAAGTTCCTATATTGAAGCCCTGCACCCAGTGTAACTGTATTTACAGATGGAAGCATTAAGGAGGCCCTCAGGGTTAAACAAGGCCATGAAGGTGGGGCCCTCATCTAATAGGACTGGTGTCCTTCAGGAAGAGGAGAAGACACCAGACCCCACTCTTTCTCTGAGCACACAGAGGAAAGGCTATGGTGAGGATGCAGTGAGAAGGTGCCATACACAGGCCAGGAAGAGAGACCTCACCAGAAACCAACCCTGCTGGAACCTTGATCTTGGACCCCCAGCCTCCAGAACTGTGAGAAAATACATTTCAGTTGTGTCAGCTACCCAGTGTGTGATTTTGTTATTGCAGCCTGAGCTAATATAGTATCGAAAGTTCCTTCCTGATCATCGAATTCAACCTGCATAATTCCAGCCATATAGAGGGTTGGTATAACATTTTCCAGGATGTCAGAGTAATCAAGTTCCCCACAGCCTAGGTTATGGCAGAGTGAAAAAAGGTGAACACGACTCTGAGGCGGGACTGTGAAGGTGTATTGTTGGCCCTGCTGGGTAAGCGCAAACCCCTTTGCATACAGTACTTGCAAATTGGAAAAGAAATTGAAAGCATTTGTCAGATCAATAGCTGCCTATCAAATACCAGGAGCTGTGATAATATTTTCCAATAAACGTGGAAGAGCAGCTGCTTTTGGATTCACTGCCTAATTAAATTTATGGTAATCCACAGCCCATACCTTCTGAAAAAGCTGAATAGGTAAGCTAAATGGGGACGTAATAGTCTTTCAAGTTACTCAAAGAGAGTAACCTGGTCAAAGTTTACTGCAGAAATACTGCCAGTGCCACCATTCTTATATCTTTGAGGGTCATGCCAATCTCTGCAGTCTACTCAGGAATATGGTATTACTTTGGGTTTATTGTCCTAGAAGGAAGGAAAAGTTCCAGGAATTCTACCTGCTGTTTCCTCCCATACTAGCTCTTATTCCAAGCATCAGAGAAGCAACGTGTGTAGTCTTTCCATTTCTGATGGCATGTATTCCACCTAATCTTGGCAGGCACTGGAAAATAACAGCAAAGTGGACCCATGGCCAACTGGACCCACTGTGGAGCTTAGGCAAAAACTCCATTTATCATTTAAACAACATAAGCCTTCCCTTTCACTAGTGAAGCTCACTGTTATCATTATTCCCACAAATTAGCATCAATTCAGAGCCATCATCTAGCAATTCTCCAAATTCTGAGAATTTCCTTTTCTCCACTGCACATTTGTCCTACTGAATGGACACTGGTCCTTTGGAGAGTGCTTGGAGAAAGACTGACAGAATAAATACGTGGCAGCATTGCAGGGTCTTTAGTTGTATACCTAGTAGTTCAGTAACAGTACTGTCTTCCCCCTTGGACTCCAAGATCCGTCAACACAGAGGTATGTCTGCTCAGCTCACTCTGAGATTCTCAGAACCTAGCACAGACCCAGACACAGAGGGGGCTTGTGAATAATTTCTGAATGAATGAAGCAGGGATGAGCTGAGGGAAAGAAAGCGACACGATGCTGGGCCCTATGCACACAGGTTTGGGATCAAAACTCCAGCTGCTCATAAAGTGTCCTGTACTCAAGCTTGTGCATCTGTCTCCCTCAGGCTCCCCAGCGCATGACAGCTTCATAGAACCAGGTTCCAGGTGTTCAGAATTCTGAGTGTTGACCATCTCAATCTTTTTGTGGGCAGAGACAGCCTCTTTTTTCCTACTTACCTCACTGTAAGTACTTACCTCTCCATCTCTGGATTTAGCCATGGCTCAGCTCCAAGGATGATTCTGGACTGAACACATAAAGGATGGGAGAAGCACCAGCCCAATCTCTGAGCCTGAGTGTCAAGTCACCCCTGCCACTTGCTTGAGTCTGACTCATGCCCTCTATGTGTGCGTGGACATCTGGGTGCCCTGGAGTTGGAGGCTTTGCCCTAACAACCTGTGTGGTCCCTTGATGGCTAGGATCCTCTTGGTCACCTTCATCTCCCTATTCGTCTTACCAGGTCCTTCTCCTCATCTCTTGCCGGGGGTCTTTTGGTGGAGTTCCCTGATAGCTATTTAGATTTTCAGTTGGATCCCATGCTTTGCATTTTATTTTTTTATTGTTTTATTTTTATTTTGTAATAGTTTTAGATGATCAGAGAAAAGTTTCAAAATAGTACAGAGTTCCCATAAATCCCTAGGGCAATTATCAAATCAGGAAATCGACAAGGGTACTGCCCTTTTAACTAAATTGCAGATCTTATTGAAGTTTTGACAGCTTTTCCATTAATGTCATTTTTCTACCCCAGGGTATGATACAGGATCCCACATTTTGTTTAGCTGTCTTGTCTCCCTAGTCCTCTCCAGGCTGTGATAGTTCCTCATTCTTTTCTTGTCTTTCATGACCTTGACATAGTTGAAGAACACTGGTTAGGTATTTTAGAATGCCTCTTCATTTGGGTTCTGGGAAGTATTTTTAAATACAACATTATGTCATAGTATTTCTGGCCTAACATCCATGCTTCCATATCACTTGCAGAATAACATCTTCAACTTGCCATCGGGACATAAGGACTCCTTATTATGTGGTCCTGCTGTCCTTTCCTCCTCTTTTGCACATGGCCTTTGGAATCACCAAGTCCTGCAGCCATCCAGAAACTATCCTGAACCCCCTCTAATAAATATGTTTGAGCATTGTTGTCCTTTCTTACCTGAAATACTTTTCTTCCTTCCCCCTTGTCTACTTTGTGAACTCACAATCATTATTCAATACTATGCTATTCATGCAAGTAATGTTAGAAGCTATAATAACTCCCAAGTCTCAGTGGCTATTTTAGTCAGGGTTCCCCCAGAGAGATAGAGCCAGCAGGATATATGAAAAGGGATTTTTTTTAGGGGGAACTGGCTCACATAATCACAGAGTCAAAGTCCCATGATAGTCCAACTACAAGCTGAAAAACCAGAGAAGCCAGTGGCTCAGTCCAAGTCCAAAGACTCAGAACCAGGGAGGCTGACAGTGCAGTCCCCATTGAGCCCTAAGAGCTCCCAGCAGGCTGCTGGTGCCAGGTTCAGAGTCCAAAAGCTGGAGAACCTGGAGTCTGATGTCCAAAGGCCAGAGGAGAAAAGTGTCTCTTTCCAGAAGAAAGAGAGAAAGCAAAGAGGACCAATCTTCCTGCCTGTTTGCCCTAGCAAGGCGCCAGCAGCTGTAATACCCATATGACATTGCTCAAAGTCAATCACATGGCTTCATCCATATGCAACAGGATTGGGGAATGTGGTCTTCTGGAGCCTGGGAGGAAAATGAACAGTTTAATGAAGGCAGAGTTATCCACCATTCTGGTCACCAATTGTTTTGCTTCTCTTCCCATATGATAAAACTTGCTCCCCCTCTGCCCAAGGGAGAGAGCAGAGGTGCCCACCCAGTCATGGTATGTAGTTGGAGCCCAGGATACCTGAGCCATTCAGGACTCTCCACCAGAAACTGAACTGCTCCTGCTCCTGTTGGTCTGAGCGCCTATGATCTGAGTGATGTGCTATCTGCCACCCTGCTTTCCGATAGACAGTGATGGTTCAAGAACAGAACTGTGTGTAATTCTTCCCTTTGGAATGGAAATCTCATGTCCATCTCTAGCCCACAGTTGTACTTGAGTCCTGTAGATGTTGCATGGTGATGTTTCCCTGTTCTTAATGCTGGGAAAATTCTGATTAGATCCTGTTCTTGTGTCTTCAGAATTCACCCTCTGGGGGCTCTTCTTTCCACATTATTATCCACAGTCACCTAAGAATAGATGTTGGCCAATGTGTTTGGCTTGGGGCAGTGCAGCTTTTGGAAGTCACTTTCTGTTCAGGAAAGACTGGGTACTCAAAGATTGTTTTTTAAGTCTCCAATAGTCAAAGAACTTTTTGGTCCAGGGTTATGGTATTTTTTGGCAGTGCAGTTGTCTCAAAATCTTAGTGACTTCTGATCTATTTGCTTCCAGTCAATTTCATACATCAGTAACCACATTTAAAGACCTTTCCTGGACATTGTTCTCTAATCTCCTTTGGTTCCCACCTCTTCTCCACGGTGTTCCTCCCACTCAGTGGAATGGCAGCTTCTTTCATGTCACTGGGCTTGAGTGGGAAGTCTATACCCTTACTCACATATTTGCCCTGAGTTACTTTAATTAGCTTAGAAAGTTCACTAGATCTTTGTCAGCTCAAATAATTTTTTATTTTCATGTTTCACTGTCGGGACCAAAAGCAGTTACCTCTTACAACCCTATAAGGCCCTAAATTTCTGGCCTCTTGTTACCTTTGGTTTTCTGTTTTCAAAATAGCCAATTACATCTGTGCTCATCTCTTTCTTGTATTTCTTGCCTTTCCAAAGAGAATAAATTCCAATTTGTACACATTTCTAACATTCCATTATCCAATAACTGCCATGAGCCTATAGTGATGGAGTCAGCCTTCCAAGTTTCTGCACATGACCATTTGCCAGATGTCTTGTCACTATGTAACATAGATGTCCAGTCACCCAGCATGCTGTTTCCACCCCACCTCTTGTTCAACTGCTAAGAAAATGGCCAGATATTTTTGTTACTGCAGCAACCCACTTCAGAACACCAATTTCCATAGTATTAAATAAATCATGCCAGTTGTTGCAAACGACCTCCAAATTTTAGTGACTTAACAAAAGTTTATTTCTCACCCACCTGTTGTCTAATGAGGATGTTCCAGTTGAGTCATCCTTCTCCAGGCAGTGGAGTGACTCAGAGATCCAGGCTCTTTGCATCTTGGGATACTGCAGTCCCCAACATGTAGCTTCACATTTGCCACAGGAGGAGAAAGAACTGCATGTAAGAGACATTTCATGGGATATCTTGGAAGTGTCACACATCACATTTGCCCACATATCCACCTTGGTGAGAATTAGTTTCATGGCTCTACTCGGGTATAAGGGTAAATGTGATCCTCCTGAGTGTCCAGGAAGAGAATTAAATGATCAGCAATAATTAGAGCTATTTCTGGATTATTTCTGCCATGACTGTTAACTGGTGGCAAGTCAGGATGGGCTCCCCTCGTCCTTGATCCTTGTCTTGGGAGAAAGAATTCAGCCGAGAGACAGAGGTAGATGTAAAGCAGACATGACAGTTTATTGAAGCAAAGTGAAGTACACTTGGAAGGGACGAAGCGGACAACAAAACATTTGAATGCTTTGCCTGATTGTTGGCTCAGGGCTCTTATTTATAATTTCCCAGTTTCTCCCAATCTTCTCCCCTCATCTTTCCCTTTGGGTGGGCTGTTGGCTAATTGCCAAGTGCACAGTGACTTGCTAGTGTATGAGGGACCACGTGTGTCATTTGGTGGTTGAAGCTATGTGCATGCTGTCTTAGGACAATTTTCCCTTACTGGTCTAGCACCCCCAGAGGAAGGTCATATACGGGTCAAATGCTGCCATTTTGCCCCTTACTGTGCATGCTTAGACATGTCCCAGAGGAAGATCAAACTTCACCATTTTAAGTTTTTCTTGGGAAGTTGTTGCCCACAAGCTCAAGATGTCTCCTGTTTGTTAGGAAAATTTCCCCTCCCTATTGCCAGCTCCCTGGCTGTCAACAATCACCCAACAGTAACCTGACAGTCACCTGATGTTCTTTGGGGCCCTATGCTGCCCTGCTCATATCTGCCTAATTACCTACTCTACCATGACCATCTCAAGTGTCACCTGATTTCTTTGGAACCCCCATGTAGAATCAGACATTTCCCTCTCTGCTTACATGTGTATTGTACCTAATTTGTATCATAGCACCTACCGTGTTGTATTAAAAATTATTTTTTTGTTTATGCACTTATCAGGCCATGAGCCCCTTAAGGCTAAGATCTCTCTCGTATTCATCTTCATGGCACCAGTGCCCCAGACTCTGTGCTGAATGAGAGCTGGTGGAGCAAATGCTGAGATAGGAAGGAGGACAGGCTTAGAGTGGACCTAGAGAGTCAGTCCTCTCCAAGAGCAAGATGGGGTTTCTCTATTAGTAAGAGAAAAATTGGGGTTTTGTATATGACATATTGTCTAATAAAAATGAAAGCATCATTATTTTATTTTTCATTTAATCAAGAGGGAAGCCTGTTCCTCCTCCCTGCCCCCATACTTGCTGTTCACTAGGTAGTTTAGCATTTCCCAATGCATTATTCTCTACACAATGTAAGACCTCAGTAGAGGCCATTAATTATGTATTTTTGAATAACCTCTTGTCCTGAATGAAACTGTTACTTTTGGTAGACAAAAAGTCTCTAAAATGTGGGTACCGGAAATTCTCAGGACCCAAGCTGCTATTCAGTACTGGAATGGTGGCATGTGGGCTCTCTGTCCTCTGAAGATTTAGGATTGTGCCCCAGAGCTTCTCTATTCAAGAAGCCCAAGATAGAAAAATTTCCTATTCAGGCAGAACCATTTCCAATTAACTGATGGAAATACATGGAAATGAGGAACAACAGCACATTTGTTTGCTATTACTCTAAGGAACAAAGGGCTCGTGATGAGCCCGCACGAAGGGATTCTGTACGTCATCTGAGATGTCTCCTGGCTCCCAAGGACAGGGCCTGTGGGTGTGGAGAAGGACGCTTCCCAGCGGCCTGCCTGTCCTAGTGGATGGAGGGAACTGGCCACCACGAGGTCAGATGGGCCACCTTCCGACAATAGGTGGAGGAGGACACCATGTCTACGGGACGTCATCAGAGGTACAGACATCACAGGCTTATATTTATCTAGACAGTTTTCTAGCAGATGAAAGTGAGTTTTCTGAAACATCAGAACAGTGTGACAATTTTCTGACAGGTAGATGTGAGGCATCTGGAAGAAGAGCATCTTTTTAGGATTGTCCCCAAGGTGCCACCTGAGCTTCCTGCAGCCAAGGGGGCAAGCCCTTCCCACCAGTCCTAACTCTCCCCTCTGGCAGGGCTCAGCCTGGGGAGGAGACTACATTGTGAGGAGGAGAGGAGCATGTGGTCTGAAATCTGACTCCAGGGAAATTGGCCTCTGGTTGTGGTTGACACACCTGCCTTTGCAAAATCTGTCTAGCACAAAGGCACCAGAAGCAGCTCATGGAGTTACTGACCACCTCTCACCAGAGGCAACAGAGCATAACCCCAGGAATCAGAGCACGGGAGGATGGAAACCTCAGGGGCGAGGCTGGCAGAGCCTTCTCCCACCTTCTGCAAGTTTACGCCCAGCCAGCTGACTCCATCACATGGAGGACAAAAAGTCCATCCAATGAGCAAAACGCTCTTTTTCCACTCAGTTTTTTTTTTAATAGATTTAATTTTTTAGAGCAGCTTTATGTTTACAGAAACATTGAAAAGAAAGTACAGAGTTCTCACATATCTCTCTCTCCAACACGATTTCCCCTATTAACATCTTGCATTAGTGTTGTACACTAGTTACAGTTGATGATATTAACATAATAATAATAAAGCAAAAATTAAGTAGCATCTAAATTTAATAATTAAATAACATTTTAGATAATAATGAAAATAAGTAAAATAAATCATTTTAATTAAATAATATTATTAATAAAAATCCAGAGTTTACATTAGCATTCATTCTTCATGTTGTATATTCTATGTGTTTTGAAAAATGCATAATATTCTATATCCATAAAGTATCATAATAATAGTTTCACTGCCCTAAAATTTGTTTGTATTCTGCCTGTTCATCCCTCCCTTCATCCAAAACTCTGTTCTTTTTATTGTCTCCATAGTTGTGCCTTTTTCAGAATGTTATACAGTTGGGATCATATAGTATCTAGCCTTTGCAAACTGGCTTTTTTCACTTACCAATATGCATTAAAGTTCTTCCTTATCTTTTCATGGCTTGATAGCTCTTTGTTAAAAAAAAATCTCTGACACTAGTATTCTATTGTATGAATAGATTTTCCTCATAGAAATAGAATTGGATACAATTTCTTTATCCGCCCACCTATTGAAGGACATCTTGGTTGCTTCCAATTTTTGGCAATTTTGAGTAAAGCTGCTATAAACATTCATGTGCAGGTTTTCTGTGTGGACATGTTTTCAACTCCTTTGGGTAAACACCTAGGAGCAAATCTACTAGATTGTTTAGTAAGAGTATGTTTACCTTTTTAGGAATCTGCCAGACTGTCTTCCCAAGTGGCTCCACCACTTTGCATCCCCACCAGCCGTGAATGAGAGTTCCTGTTGCTCCACATTCTCACTAGCATTGGTGATGTCAGTCTTCTGGATTTTGGCCATTCTGATAGGTGTGTGGTGGTACTGTTGTTTCAATTTGCAATCCCCTAATGTCATATGATGCTGAGCATGTTATCATATGCTTGGCACTCAGTTTTGTTTCCCTTTCCTTCATGGGCCTGATGGAGCTATTTCTGATTCAAAGCAAAAAGAACTGGCTTATTGTTATGGGAGAAATATGTTTCTAGACTGATTGCGCCAACATTCCCTTCATATATCTTTCAAGAGTGATGGAGAATGATACTAATGCCAAGTATCATTTCCTTTTTTGGATCCTTTCAAATTAGACAGAACAATCGGTGCTAAAAACAATAGGAAATAATTGATGCCCTCCCCAGAGGATCTGAATTGGGAACGGAGTTTTCCCGGCTACGTGAAGCCTTTGAGAGCAGATTTTGCTGCTTTGCAGTGGGGGAAGCAACTAACTCAGACTGTCAATTACCTTACAAAGAGCTAGACGCTAATTAATTTGAGATATTTCTACAATCCCGCCTCCCACATGTGTATTTTAGACCAGATCAGCTAGATTTTAAGAAAGAAAAGAAAGTATTATTTTATTGAGAGAACTAGCTAGTTTTTTAATTCTGTTGAATAAAAGAAGTTAAACATAGGGTCTGTACTTGCTCCAACAAATTCTCCATAAGCCAATATTTATTAAGACATAGGAATTAACATATATCTTAAGGTATACCATGTCAATCACAGCAAGAGGTGCAAAGAGTGATGGCTCACTCCTCACCTTGAGAAGTTTACAGCTGTGTTGGGTAGACAAAATTGATATATAGACAACAGCAGGGATAGCCAACATTTGCAAATAATAATGCAACAGTTGGGCCGGGAGCTGTGGCTTGTGCCTGTAATCCCAGCACCTTGGGAGGCCAAGGTGGGTGGATCACTTGAGGTCAGGAGTTCAAGACCAGCCTGGACAACATGGTGAAACCCTGTCTCTACTAAAAATACAAAATTAGCTGGGCATGGTGGCATGCACCTGTAATCCCAGCTACTCGGGAGGCTGAGGCAGAAGAATTGTTTGAACCCGGGAGGCACAGCTTGCAGTGAGCCAAGATCGCACCATTGCACTCCAGCCTGGGTGACAGAGCAAGACTCCGTCTCAAAACAAAACAAAACAAAAAACAAAATAATGCAACAGTCAGGAGTATCAACAGCTAGCTTTACCAGGACACTTGGGCTGTTTCAATATCTAGTTTGACATTGATTATTGGAATTATCTGCTCAGAGGCATGCCACTCCAAAGAAGTAACTGCCCTCAGTGAGACTGCATGAACAGAGGCTGGTGGCTGTTGGCCCAAGATCATAAATGGGAGCCTGCAGTGGTCAGTGGATTGTTCAGCATAGTCCCTAAAGTCCCGCCCAACTCACAACATCAATTATTTTCTTCCCTAAGCACCAGGAAATAACAAACGTTCATATCTCAAAAACGTATCTGTAAGTCAACATTTTCAGGAATCCTGCTGCAAAAAGGCAAGGGGAACAGGGGAGGGCAGGCAGCTCTTTATGTCCCCACGAGGCTCAGTGGTGGAGAGAGGACCTGGAATAGGTCGATGAATATCTTTTTTTCCCATAAGTTATTGGGGGTACAGGTGGTATTTGGTTACATGAGTAAATTCTTTAGTGGTGATTTGTGAGATCCTGGTGCACCCATCTCCTGAGTAGTATATACTATACCATATATGTTGTCTTTTATTCCTCACCCCCCCTTACCCTTCCCCCCAAGTCCCCAAAGTCCATTGTACCATTCTTATGCCTTTGTGTCCTCATAGCTTAGCTCCCACATATCAATGAGAACATAGGTTGTTTGGTTTTCCATTCCTGAGTTACTTAACTTAGAATAATAGTTTCCAACAATAAAAACAAAGATAAATAGATGGGACTTAATTAAACTAAAGAGCTTTTGCATGGTAAAAGCAACAGTCAGCAGAGTAAACAGACAACGCACAGAGTGGGAGAAAATCTTCACAATCTATACATCAGACAAAGGACTAATATCCAGAATCTACAACAAACTCAAACAAATCAGTAAGAAAAAAACAAACAATCCCATCAAAAAGTGGGTTAAGGACATGAATAGACAATTCTCAAAAGAAGATATACAAATGGCCAACAAAGTATGAAAAAATGCTCAACATCACTAATGATCAGGGAAATGCAAATAAAAACTACAGTGCGATACCCCCTTACTCCTGCAAGAACGGCCATAACCAAAAAAATCAAAAAACAGTAGATGTTGGCATGCATGCGGCAATCATGGAACACTTCCACACTGCTGGTGGGAATGTAAACTATTAGAGCCACCATGGAAAACAGTGTGGAAATTCCTTAGAACTAAAAGTAGAACTACCATTTGATCCAGCAATCCCATTACTGGGTATCTACCCAGAGGAAAAGAAGTCATTATTCAAAAAAAGATACTTGCACGCACATGTTTATAGCAGCACAATTCACAACTGCAAAATCGTGGAACCAACCCAAATGCCCATCAGTCAACAAGTGGTATATATATATATACAATGGAATACTACTCAGCCATAAAAAGGAATCAATTAGCAGTATTTGCAATGATCTGGTTGATCAATATCTTAAGAAAGGTGGTTAAGCTTTGGTTACAGCAATGGCCGATAGAGAAGATTATGGCTGTATCAGACACAAGTGAGGGTCCCTTCCCTTTTCCTTGCTTTTATTCTTGTTATTTTTTTCTACCTAACATTATTTTAGCTACTTACTTGTTTCTTACCTGTCACTCCACCTGGGCCAGGACTGTTTTTTCTACCCATCCGTCCTCAGCACCCACTGCTGTGCTTGATATACAGTAAGTGCTTGGCAAATGTTGTTGAATGCACAAATGCATGCACCGCTGGCCTTGGAGACTAAGGAGGAGATGGGTACAACTATTGTTCTCTGCCTCATTGGATTTTAGCTTTGGTCATGATAGCAGTTGGCTGTGGTCTTCCTACAGATAACAGCAGACAGGGTCTGGACGGAAGGAGAGAAATGGGCTTTTGGGTTCCAAGTTCTGTCAGTGTTGGGTGACTGAAGTCGTGCACAGAGGCCTCTCTGAGGGAGAAGCCATGGCCATGCCACCCCCTGGCTTCCCTGCAGCTTGAGGCAGGAGGTAACCAGCCATTATGGGGCAGGATCCCTATAGGCCAAAATGTGGAGACTTTATTTTTTTCCTGGGATGCCAACACCTAGTTCTCTGGTTTTCCCCACTTAGTTAATTTTTGTGTTAGGAAAGGCCACCTCCTCAGCCTACCTTCTCTTCCCCGGCAATGGGCACATGGCTCATTTCTGGGCTCTCTGTGCTCTCCCTGGAGAGTGGGGGTGCAGAGGACACTGCTTTCTGCTGCAGGCGCCATGTTTAGTTGGTCTCACTTTGAGATGCTCATTTCCCTCTGCCTTCTGTCAGCCCAGATGTGAGGACCCAGGGTCTCCGCAGGGTGTGCACTGTCATGGCCTCTCTGCTCTGCCACATCAGGCCCATCTCCACCCGTGCTGTGGTCCATCTGCAGTGGTGACTCTCTCTCACTCTCTTTATGGGGCCACTCCCCCACCTAAATTCCTTTGAGGTGATTTCAACTGGGGTCAGAATAGAGAGGGGAGAAGGAAAGGTGTATGTTCAGCTCATCAGATTTAACTGGAAGCTCTCAAGGCTACTTTAAAAATCATAAAAGCCATTCCCAATAAGCTTGTTTGTTTTAAAGGAAATCTCCTTTCCAAATCACTGTAGATAGTAAACAGAAGAAGTTGAAAAAACCAAATAAAAACAGGAAATATGATGAAAGAATGTTTCGATGTAACAATTAGTAAAAGAATTTGAGCTACCTTGTTAAATGGCAAAGTCTATTTATTATGTTGTTAAAGACAACTGAAACAAATGGCATTTAAAAACTCCAGATGAGATGATAAGGCAAAGCAATGCCAGATGAATTCATCAAGATAAAAAGCAGTATGGCAATGTTTTTATCAAAGTAGAATTCAAGTCATGAAGCATTCAACAGGAAGATTATTTTATATTGATAACAGGTACAGGCTATGAGGGGAAAGCTTTGCAAAGCAACAACAGCAAAACAGAAAGCAAAAACTATTAGAAGGAAGATTAGCTATGGAAGAAAAAGAAGGCTGTAGAGAATTTTAACAATTATTATGTTTCAATCAACAAAGAACAAACAGGATAAATCTTAAAAAGTGGTCTTGTTATTGTTACAGAAAGTGATCATTCTTTACACTACAAGGGAAAACTCAAAATCTACAAAAGAGAAATTTCACAGACAACAATCTCTACTATATCCATACGTGGGGAACAGAACAAAAAAACTAGGTCTAGACTAGAAGACAGAGAGAAACCATGTCAGACCAGAGCACATTGATGGCTCACGGTGAGTGACCCATGGCCTAAAGGTGCCTGTTTAGGGCCCAGGAGCCACTCACACAGGCAGAGCAGCTTACTCCGTATGAACCACCACCAGCACCCCTCCCTGCCCGGTGATGTCACCCGGTGGGCTGGGCTGGAACAAGTCCAGATGCCTTTGCCTCACCTTGGAAGGGCCACGAGGAGCTTCCTCCTCTATCCCCAAGTTCTCCACTTACACACAGCACCTGACACGAAGGTTGGCAAGTTTCCCCCGGGCCATGACTGCACAATGGCTACCCCCAGCCTCTGTGGCCTCCGAGAGAGGGCTCCTAGACAGATTCCAGCCCTATAGGGGGAGGGAAGCAACACTGCAGTTGACCTTGAAGAGATCACTGTAGGGGGCTATAGAAGGGATTGTGACATTTATTGTTCTGAAAATGCCATCAAAGACAGTTGTAAAGTCTAGTCTCATACACACTTGGCAAGACATAGCCAAAAGAGGTAAATTTGAAATTAGAAAAAATATCAGCAGTTATTACCCAGAGCTTGAAATTCTGACCTGTTACACAGTAGGATATTCAACCTCCATTTCAGCGTATTTAGGTACTTATTAGGTAGATTGCAAAATTACTAGAAAAAAAATTCCTAGAGGACATCTTGAAAATGATAAAGTAGCAGGAAAATTACAAAGATATAACTTATTTACAAAGTCCATAGAGAAGCGCCATTGGAAAGCTTCAAGTTGAAGATAATTTCATGAAAAACGCACTTAAAACAAAAATGGAATTATAATTTTTCTGAACTTTGGATACTCTTCAAATTTCCGGAGGTACCACCTAAGAAAAAAAAATTAAAAAAGGAAATAATTCTGTCGCTTAGACATTTAACCAATGCTAACAAAAGTGACAATATTTTTCATTACAAAAGAGTACTCAGTTTTTTAAATGTAGTAACAAAAACTTTGGCATTTCATACTTATAGTTTAATTTTGCCTATTATCATGAAGAATTAAATATATCTAATCATAAAGTGTGATTCAGAAGAAGTAGCCCATAGAATTCACCTTTCTATCTGGAAGGAAAATTACTGACATTTGATGAAAATACTGATCAGCACATTGCGGAGCTGTCTTTTCAGCCCCCGGGGAAAGCATGCAGGCTGGAGGAGGGGCAGGACCAAGTAGGTGCTTCCTGAATACCTGCTGGTGACTCCAGCAGTTTTCTCCAGCCTGCAGTTGGGAACTACTGGCCTAGCCCAGGGTGTGTAGAGTGGGCACCCAGCTGCATACCAGGAGGCTCATGAACGCTCTTAGTAAGGATTCGGTGAAATCTGGGGAAATGCAATATGGCATTGTCCACCATTCAGCCTTGTGCTCGAAACAAACATTATTTTCCGTTTTGATATAAATTGTATCAATGCAGGCGTGCTCATTTGTTTTGGGGATAATAGCCAGTTGGGAAAGGTGGCAACTAAGTGCATGGAGTAAAAATTAGAAATAATTTGACAAGATGGAGAAAGGGAGTTTCTATAAACACACACAGAAAGATTAAACAACAGACTAAAAATCATGATAGAAAGCAATTAGCTCATTGTTAATGTGGTAGAAACATATGAGGACGAGAAACTGAGAGGGAGTTGGCAAAACCCTGCTGGTCTTAGTTAAGTTTAACACCGGAATCCACAAATAGAGAATTCGAACATACTGGGCGGCCACGTTTACTTTTGTATGTTCTGTGTCCCCAAAAAGGCATGTAATAAGAACAATTCTAAGAAGTCGGTCAGGACTTCCGGATCAAGCGTCACTTCCCCTGGCATGAGGCCTCGAGACTGCAGCCTTTCCAGCTACGTGGCTCAGTGGTGGCGCATGGACCCACGAGTGCCCAACACACAACGTGGCCAAGCCTAACAGCTGGTGTCAAACCTGCGAAAGTGCATTGCAAACATGTTCGCTGGTTAGAGGCTGAAGGTGTTCACAGGCCTGCTGGGATCCAGGCCATCCAGCACTTGCAAGTGCTGAAGAGCTTCCCCATGGGCCAGCGGCACTGGCCGCCGCACAGTGACATAGCAGGTGAGCGCCTCTCTCCCAGAAACTGCCCGTGGGAAGATGGGCACCCTGGCCCGAAAAGGCAAGGGCAGAGTACATGACAGCAGGAGAGCCTGAAATGGGCAAACACGAGAGGGCAGGTGGGAGATGGGAAACACAGGACTGCCGCAGGATGCCGAGAAAACGCGCCCCCCCACCAGGCTGGGCAGCAAGGCTGGGCTCCGTGACATCAGAAAGAACATGTGTGAGGTCAGGGTGTTCTCACACAATGAAGGGATGTTGGCTGAAGAGGTTAAGTGTATTTCACAGAAACCATTATATAGAAATAAAATATTTATTTTTAAATGATTAAATTTTTCTTACTCCTTAGAATACCTTTAAATTTTGCCCTTTAAGAGAATATTTGTTAGCAACCCAGCACAGTTGACTGTTTCTGACCTAGAAATCAATGCATTAACTATCAATGCAATCATTTATGAATTTAAATACTGATTATTATAGAAAGATTTCATTGAATACAATTTTGTTTTTAGAACGTTATAATCCAGTCAGGCGCGGTGGCTGACGCCTGTAATTCCAGTGCTTTGGGAGGCTGAGGCGGGCAAATCACGAGGTCAGGAGATCAAGACCATCCTGGCTGACACGGTGAAACCCCGTCTCTACTAAAAATACAAAAAAATTAGCCGGGCATGGTGGCGGGCACCTGTAGTCCCAGCTACTCAGGAGGCTGAGGCAGGAGAATGGCGTGAACCTGGGAGGCAGAGCTTGCAGTGAGCCGAGATCGCGCCACTGCACTCCAGCCTGGGCGACAGAGCGAGACTGTCTCAAAAAAAAAAAGAACATTATAAATGGAGTGCAAGGAATAGATCCTTGGCATGTTTTCTTTTGGAATACTTTTATTTGATGGCTTAATTAGTTGGGTTTATGAAAATATTTTTTAAAAAGGAGTTTTTATTTTATTCTCAGCTTGTAAGTCCTACATTTCTGAACATACTTCTGCAAAACTGAATTGATTAATTCTTCAGGGCTTAAAACTGGTTTCACACTGACACCAATTTAAACAGCAAATGAATGACAAAGAGCTCTTTCAACTCATGAACTCTTCTGCAAAGACTATCTTTGGGTTTTCATTAGCAAAGACTTTCATTTAGATAACTGAATTATTTATTTTCCATTTCTATATGTTTCATATTCAAATACTGAGAGGGGCTTTCCTGTTTCCTGATTTCATTTGAGAAAACATCTTTGCCACTGACTTGGTGTGCCCATGTTCAATCTTACTCTGATCCGTGTTTTTTTAAACGTCAGTGTTATCTCATTTGTTTCTTTTAATGAGAAATGAGCCATTACTCACTTCTTCACATCAAATATTAGGAATATAAAAGGATGGCATCTTCACCGGGAAGTGAGGCCCAGGCCAGGTGCAGTGCTGGGAGCAGCGGGCGCAGAGGGGAGGAAGTCAGATTGTAGAATGTATATTTAGAGAGATAACGTTGTATTTCAACCAAACCGGTGACAACAAAGTCATCTGGCGGAGGAGAAAACAGAGGGGTTCACCAATCATACTCCTGCCCTTACTTTCCCAGTCAATTTTAAATGGCTGGAAGGCTGGCGTATCAGTTCCCTGTGGCTGCTAGAACAAAGTTAACCACACACTGGGTGGCTTATAATAACGGCCACTGATTCTCTCCCAGTTCTGGATGCCAGGAGTTGGAAATCAAGGTGGCAGCAGGGCTACGCTCCCTCTGAAGGTTCAGGGAAGGTTCCAGTCCCATTTCCCCCAGCTCTGGTGGCACCACGTGTTCCTGGGTTCATGGCTGCATCGCCCCCGCCTCTGTGTCCATCTTCGCATGGCCTTCCCACTCTGTGTGATCACCTGGTGTACGTCTATCCACGTTTCCCCTTCTCATCTCAACTGATAACGTTCTCCAGTAAGGTCGCTTTCACAGGTGCCAGGGCTTAGGACTCTCATATGACCTTCTGGCAGACACAGTTCTCAGCACAGAAGGCCCATTCCTGGCCCACAGTGTTTTCTGCCATGCCTGGCATTGAGCCTCCTTCTCAAACCCTCTCTGCCTTCGGCACTCACTCAACTTTCCGCAGACCCCTCTGTTTTTCTCAGCAGCTCTGGGATTTAGGTAGGTCGTGGCTCTCTGATCTCGCTCTCTCCTCACTGTCTATGCGTGAAAATACCAGGCCACTGGCACGATGGAGTGTCTCGAAGAATGCGGGGCGCTGCTCTTAGAGCTCACATTTATGCTATCACTTCTTCAAGTATTAGACAAAGAGGCCAGCCACGTTGGCTCACGCCTCGAATCCTAGCACTTCAGGAGGCTGAGGTGTGAGGATTACTTGAGTCCAGGAGTTTAAGACCAGCTTGGGCAATATAGTGAGACCACAACTCTACAAAAAATATAAAAAATTAGCCAGGCCTGGTGGTGCATGCCTGTAATCCCAGCTACTTGGAAGGCTGAGGTGGGAAGATCACCTGAGCCTGGGAGGCAGAGGTGGCAGTGAGCTGAGATTGTGCCACTGCACTCCAGCCTGGGTGACAGAGTGAGATGCTGTCTTAAAAAAAAAATTAGACAAAGAGATACTTCAGATATGACCTTTCTTCTTCTTATCTCCAATAATCATCCTTTGCATCTGCAAACTCGTGGTGAGGCTGGGAAGTACACCTAGGTACTCTTCCCACTATACCATATCAATCTATTCTTCTTTTAGCTTTTTCTCTCTGTCCTTAGTCCCAAAAAAGATGATAAACTCCATGAAGTAGGACAGAGTTATACATTTTTGCACCTCGTAGCATCAGCAGCATTGGAGATTTCGATTAGATGTTTTGAGTGGATGAAGTGGGTGGCTCAGGGGACATAGTAAATGTGCATACCAGGCTGGCCGCTTGCTAAGCCCAGTCTCCATCATTTATTGTCAGGGACACGCGCCAATGTCAGGGCAGGTAAAGATCCCACGTTGCTCCTGAGATCTCTTCCCGTCAATGAGATGGGGCTCCTGGCTGGCCTCAGACTCTGCTCCCTGAACCTCAGTTTCCTCATCCATTGGATTAGAAAGATGTTCTCTAAATTCACTTCAGCCTTGACATCCTTCAATTTCTTTTCCTTTTTTCTTTTTTTTTTGAGACTGAGTCTCACTCTCTCAACCAGGCTGGAGTGCAGTGGTGCGATATCGGCTCACTGCAGCCTCCACCTCCCAGGTTCAAGGGATTCTCGTACCTCAGCCTCCCGAGTAGCTGGGATTACAGGCGCCCGCCACCACGCCTGACTAATTTTTGTATTTTTAGTAGAGACGGGATTTCACCATGTTGGCCAGGTGAGTCTTGAACTCCTGACCTCAAGTGATCCACCGGCCTTGGCCTCCCAAAGTGCTGGGATTACAGGCATGAGCCACCGCGCCCAGTCCCTTTGATTTCTTTATGAGTGTGTTGGTCAAATGGCTCGCAAGCCTTTTGGGGGATCAGATAAAAGCCAAGGACCCGGTCTCTGGAAAATGATGTCATTTTAGGGGGCATGCAGAGCTTCTGTAGCCCATTAAGGACCCCAGGTTCAGAGCCATGGCCTAAGCCACCACATAGCTGGAGAGCTCTTGTGTGTATGAGTTCTGCCAGTGTCGCTGGGCTCTGAGATTCACCTACCTCTTCAGGACTTCCTCAACCTGCAGCATTCGCAAGCTGGCCATTGGCTATTGCTCAGTCAGGGATCTGTTTTAATCAGTATTTCCCATTCAGAGCCCTGAATCCCCTGCTTGGTGTCTAACTTGACCACTGAATTCAGCACTGTCAATTCAGAGAGGCTAAGGACGTGGTATAGAGAACAACTGTGCTGATGTGGACCTGATTATTCCCTAGAGCTGGGTGATTCTACAGCTATTTGGTTTTGTACTTGTTTGGCCAAAGCACAGAATAAACTGGAATTCAGCGATTTAAATTAACACTTCAAAAATCTAGCCTGAAAAATGGTAATAATATAGTCAAAGAACAAATTACAAATGGTAAAAGTGTTTTAAAACTTACTCATGATGCTCTTTTGCTCTACCAGATAAAAAACAAAACGTGAAGAAAGCAAAAGCCGCGCCTTGGACAGACCAGCTGGCCAGGGCATAGCCACACCACTCCATGATTTCTCCAAAATAGTTGGCTGCAGTTACGTATTCAAATAAGCCTCCTAGAAGAAAACACAGACCAAAGTAGTGCATTTACTACAAAATGAAATACGGACTTCAGAGATGCTAGTGAATACTTACCTGGAGAACATAAATTCAAGAACGGAAAAATATTATCCTTACAGAATGTTAATCAGTAAGACATATCCAGCGTTACATGGTTTACTAATTCATATCACAACTTCTGATCATCAACTACATATGTATATCAATACCTGTCTATGTGAATACACACACATACAGTTACAGTGGAAGACACCAATAAACCAGTGCACCTGCTGATGGATCATGCAAGCAGAGAATACAGAGTAAACCATGTAAAATGGACCTAGATAGAACCCTAGAGCAATGAGGGACAAAGATATTCATTTTCAAGCACAGATTCATTCATTCGTCACATCTTCACAAATGCACTGAGTCCGTATTATGGGCCATGCCCTGCCCAGGCACTTGGACAGACACCCTCCCCACATCTAGAACCATGAACTCCAGTGTCATGAACAAGGAGAGCACACAGCTCATGGAGGGGGAGGAGTAGCGAGGGGCAGGGCAGAGTGAGGGGGCCCCGGAGCTGGGATGGGGTGGAGGAGGTCACTATCACAGAGTGGCTGGCAACAGGCCACAGGGAAGGTGAGGGTCGATTCAAGGCTTGCAGGTGAGGGCCAGCCTGGCAGGTGCTGGAGGTGCTCTCAGGAGTGCTCCAGGCAGGAGAAGAGATGCAGCAAAGGCCCTGAGGCAGACAGCAATGGCTGGCACACTCCAAAGACCAGATGAGGGGTGGGGAGAAGGGTCCCAGCAGAGAGGGAGGGCAGAAGGCCCCTCCTTGGACTTGGGACTCACCCTCAGGCTGTAGCTTTGTGGTTACTCAAGTGTGTTTAGAGAGGCCTGGTGTGATCTGCCCCAGGTTCCAACTGGACACTATGTCTGCAGAGCTGAGAAAATTCTGAAGGCATGTAAGGACAGAGCTTTTTTTAAAAAAAAATTAGGCTGGGCGCAGTGGCTCACGCCTCTAATCCCAGAACTTTGGGAGGCTGAGGCAGGTGGATCATGTGAGGTCAGGAGTTGGAGACCAGCCTGGCCAACATGGTGAAACCTTGTCTATACTGAAAATACAAAAATCAGCCAGGTGTGATGGCACACACCTGTAGTCCCAGCTACTCGGGAGGCTGACGCATGAGAATCGCTTGAACCCAGGAGGCAGAGGTTGCAATGAGCCGAGATCGTGCCATTGCACTCCAGCCTGGGTGACAGACCTAGACTCTGTCTCAAAAAAAAAAAAAAAAAAAAGACAAACCTATTACGCCCTAAGTCATAAGACCAATTTCAGCAAATACTGCAGCATAGGGTAGAGACTACATCTCTGAGCACACTGCAACTTACATGCATGCATGAGGGCTTTTGGCTACCTTTTTTTTTTTTTTTTGGAGTTTTGTATTTTTAGTAGGGATGGGGTTTCACTATGCTGGCTAGGCTGGTGTGGAATTCCTGACCTCAGGTGACCCACCTCTCTTGGCCTCCCAAAGTGCTGGGATTACAGGTGTGAGCCATGACACCCAGCCTGAGATGGTCTATTTTTTTAAAAAGAAAGAAAATGGTTTTGCTGAGCCCGAGACAGCACAGTGCTTTTCTTTTTCTTAAGGAAGGTGGGGTATGTAGACGTTTGCAATAATGAACTCTCTACTACTTTTCTGTAAGCTTGAAATAATTCAGAATTGTAAAATAATACTGATATGGTTTGATTCTGTGTCCCCACCCAATCTCATCTTGAAGTGTGATCCCCACAGGACAAGGAAGGGACCCAGTGGGAGGTGACTGGATCATGCAGGCGGTTTCTTGTGATAGTGAATTCTCATGACATGTAATGGTTTGAAAGAGTGAGGCAGATCCCCCTTCACTCGCTCTCTCTCCTGCCACCATGTGAAGGTCTTTACTTCCCCTTTGCCTTCTGCCATGATTGTAAGTTTCCTGAGTCCTCCCCAGCCATGCGGAACTGTGAGTCAATTAAACATTTTCTCTTCATAAATTACCCAGTCTCAGGTAGTTCTTTATAGCAGAGTGAAAACAGACTAATACAAATATCAATATTCATTGACAAGTGAACTTTTTAATGACAATATAAAACATAAAAATATCAAACTTAATGCCCAATAAATAGAATGTCATTCGCCATGTGTGGGCATGTGCACCTGCAGAAGCACCTGCAAGAATGGACCCAAAGCATTCACAGCGCTGTTCCTTCTGGGCCATGGAGCTTAGTCACTTTCACTTTCTTATTCACCCATTTCTGTAACTGCTTCAACTTTCTACAAGATTACGTTAATCATGATCTGTATTTCATCAGAGCCCTGGGCAGGTGAATCCCAGACGTGGAAGGACCTTTGTACCATACCCTGCAGATGCCAGTCACCCAAAGGGCAGACAGCCTGTGGGCAGGGCTGGGGCCACGATGCCTTCCTGCATGCCGCCTGCTCAGTGAACCTTCTCTCTTAAGTGTCTGGTGTGGGACACACGGTGTGGTGGAACCGTATGGGTGGACTGGTAAGCATGGAATTAGACTGGAAAACCTGCAGATGCCAATCTGCTAAAAAATGTCCTCTTGAGACACAGGCTGCTTACAGATGCCACATTACAAAACCACAAACTGGTTGTCACACACAGCCCACAGCACTTGTCCTAAGCCCTAGTTCAGCCTGTATGTACTGACTATGGACGTCACACCTGTGCACCTCTCTTTATCTCTTTATTTGTTCATTTTGTCACTTGCTCCTTTGACCCTAACCAGTTATGGCACCATGATTAACAGAGTCCTGCGAAGCGTTTCTGAAAGACCTCACGGAGTCACTGGATGTAGACGGCACACCTGTGTATTAGAAACCATCAATGTGTCACATGAAAACGCCCTGCAAAATTAAGAGTCTGCAGCGAAGGGAGCTGGTCACAAAGCCGACCATGGTGGAGTCTTCATGGGGCACAGCACTCAGACTCCCTACACCTGAGTCTTCAAAACCTGACAGATTTTACATGAGGGACTCCAAAGCTAGGATAATATTTTGGCTTCCACGTTCCTTGGGCCTCTCGTGTTGCTGCCTCTAAGACCCTGGCACGGAACGCTGCCCTGAAGAATCTAACGAACTTTCCCTTACAAGCCACTCATGGCACGTGCAGATGATCGTCACTGTTTCCTGTCCACTTCCTCCGGTATAGGGTGCGTACCTGCAAACGGCAGACGCTCTTGTGTCTTGTTTTACTTCACAAAAGCTTTCTTGAATTAGTTTTTAAAATATATTCTGTTCCAATGCTTTGGATTTCTTCTTCATGGACTTCAATGTGCCTAGGATGGATATATTTTCCCTACCTTCTCCAGCTATCACCAAAACATCATTCACAATAAGAATGATCTTTTTTGGCCGGGCACGGTGGCTCACGCCTGTAATCCCAGCACTTTGGGAGGCCAAGGTGGGCGGATCACGAGGTCAGGAGATCGAGACCATCCTGGCTAACACGGTGAAACCCCATCTCTAGTAAAAATACAAAAAATTAGCCAGGCGTGGTGGCGGGCGCCTGTAGTCCCAGCTACTCGGGGGGCTGAGGCAAGAGAATGGCGTGAACCCGAGAGGCAGAGCTTGCAGTGAGCCGAGATCGCGCCACTGCACTCCAGCCTGGGTGACAGAGCGAGACCCCGTCTCAAAAAAAAAAAAAAGATTTTTTTTTTTGAGACAGGGTCTCCCTCTGGAGTGCAGTGGTATGATCGAGGCTCACTGCAGCCACAAACTCCTGGGTTCAAGTGATCCTCCCACCTCAGCTTCCTGAGTGGCTGGGACTACAGGTGTGCACCACCATGCCTGGCTAATTTTCTTTCAATTTTTTTGTGGAGATGGGAGTCTGGCTATGTTGCCTAGGCTGGTCTCGAACTCCTGGCCTCAAGTGATCCTCCTGCCTCAGCCTCCCAAAGTGCTGGGATTACAGGTGTGAGCCACTGCACCCAGTCTAGGTTTCATATTCTTTGCTTTTCCATTTCTATCTTCTAACATGCTTCTGTGGTTTGTTTTTTTTTTTAAATGATTAGAAATAAAGAATTTTGATCTTGTCTGATCTTGGAAGCTAAGCAAGGCTGAGCCTGGTTAGTACTTGGAGAGGAGAAATTAAGAATTTTAGAAGCATTTTCTTCCCTAAGTCTCATGTGTCCCATGTCATCTGCACCGATGTCTGGTGTCACCTCCTGCTGCCTGAGAGTTACAGCCAAGCTTCTGCATTTCCTTTGGCCTGTCTGTTCACAGAGATGCCATTGATGGCCACAGGCCGTCAGGAAGCTGGGTTGATTACTAGCTTCAGGAAGGCGGCTACATGCTGTGGGGAAACATCACAGGGAGAGGTCTCCCTTTACTGCGACAGGTAATAAGTTTGTAGATTGCGGGTTCGTCGCAGGTGTTCTTTAGCTGATGGGTATAGACTCTGCAACTGCTCCATTCACATTTTATTTTTTTTATTTTTTTTAGACAGAGTCTCACTCTGTCGTCCAGGCTGGAATACAGTGGCATGATCTCAGCTAACTGCACCCTCTGCCTCCCAGACTCAAGTGATTCTCGTGTCTCAGCCTCCCAAGTAGCTGGGATTACAGGCACGTGCCACCACGCCCAGCTAATTTTTGTGTTTTTAGTAGGGATGGGGTTTTACCATGTTGGCCAGGTTGGTCTCGAACTCTGGACCTCATGTGATCTGCCCACCTCGGCCTCTCAACATGCTGGGATTACAGGCGTCAGCCACCACGCTTGGCCTCCATTCACATTTTAAAATTCATGTTGGAATTTTGATTACAATTTTCCCCTGCTTTGTGAAACACGTTTCTGCTCAGGTAAGTTTTGCTGCTTTTTTGCTGTCCTAATGTTATGACTGCACAGATTTGGGGATTGTACCTTTTTTGTTGTTCAGGTTTGAATATGTTGGATTAGAACAAGGATCAGACACTGAGAGCAGGAAATGGAGGGACAGGGGCTGAAAAGTTTTTGTGGCATCTCAACTACTGTGGAACAGTGGACAGGACCCTCTGTATAAGGCACCGCAGGCCTTTCCGTAACCAGCCTGGCCCAGGAGGGCCCTCCCATGGGATCCTGCCGTCTCTGGGGATGCCCTTTCTTTTGGAAGTGGTGTTTCTCAAATCTGCCAGTCTGTGGCTTCTGGTATCTTCTGCACCTTTTCATTCTGCCTTCCCCAGGACTGTGCCCTGTCCCTTCTTAGTCTGGCTCATGGCAGCTCCTCCTCAGGACAGGGCCCTCTCCTTCAGGGGATGAACACTTGCCGATTAATTTGGAATCATGCTGTTCCCCATGCAAGGGTGCTGGGCAGGAAGCGAGGGGGCCACCATCCAGCTTACACTGTGCTCTCCCAGCCACTGTACCTGCCAGAGGAAGCGGCTCCTTGGGATGACCCCATGAGGGTGCAGTTTGCTCATAAGCCCAACACCAAAGAGAGGATTCTTCCCCAATCCACCCAGGGGCTGAATAGGTGATCAGCAGCCTGTCTAGGACTCTGTCATGTTTTCTCTTCTCTGCCACTTCTATCACACTACCATCACGTCTGGAGCTGGCTTTGCTGATTCCAGGTTCTCAGGGTCACAGTTTAAGTAATTTGAGGTTTGTAGCATTGTTTGTTTTTGTTGCTATTCTCATATGGTTTCTAGGAACATAAGTGGAAGAATTTCAAACTAAGTGATGTCACGCCCTTTCTCCATTAAAGTTTTAGATTTATGTACTTTAAAAAATTTTTTCTGAAGCTCTATTGGTTTCTAGTCCTTTTATGGTACATTGCTTCTTACTCCTAATTGTAATCTACTCCTTTTAAAAAGCATTTCAAGTACTCACTTTATAATGTTTCCATTAATTCTAACATCTGAAATCTTTCATGTTGAATTACGCTCTCCCTCATGGTGCTGTACTTCCTTGTGGGTTCTGTACCTTGTGACCGTGCCTCTTACTCTGTGGAACGTGGCACATTGGGTTCTTTGAGACTCAGGTTGAATGCACATCCCCTTGGGGATCTGGGCTTTTGCTGGCCAGGAGAGTCCACCACTACCCCAGGCCACGGAAATTAATTTATGGCTTGAGATTTTTCATACTATACAAGTAGTGCGAATCTGGGTTATAAACCAGCATGGTGGTCGGCGCCTCATCACAAATTCTCAAAAGACACGCTCCAGATTCCAACATTCACCTAGATCTTGTCCTCTGATGATTAGTTCCTTTCTTGATAGTATACTGATGCGTTTAAGAAGATTTTCAAAATATTCCAATGTTTTAAACTGTTTTCAGAGGAGGGTCAAAGTATCTATTCCATTATACTGCTAGAAACAAAAGTGTCAGACACTCCTCGTCAATCATAAATTCTTCCTCATCCTCTCTTCCCAAGCACAGATATAACTGGAGTTTCTGCTTTGTTTAATAACTGTTCAGTTAGCTAGATTTGGGTCTTTTGTTATTCTAATAAGACAATAACAATAGCACTTGTTATTAATAATGATGACTTACACTGAAAACTTGTAGCTAATAACTACTACGCTACTACTTCTTAGAGCTGGCAACACTAAAATAGCCAGGAACCATGGCAAGCAACTTTCACAGAAATTCTTCACTTTCTGTACGTACCCCTTGGTATTTTGTATCCAGTATCTCCTGGTTTTCTGAGATTCCTTAGGATATGATCTGAATGGATGTTTATCAACATGCCCGTTAACCACAAGCCAAAACCTAAAGGAAAAAAATTGCAAGATGATTATGGCTAATAAACCGTAAAATTTCACTACGAGCCCCAGCCTGACTGAACAGTATTATTGCAACCCTTCAGATTACCATTGTTAGTGTAACATATTAGCCATAACTGGTAGTAAAAACCATTAAGGACTGTTGTCAGGTATGCCAAGCAGGGCTTTGTTTTCCTAATAATACAAATACATCATCTAATGTACTCAAAATACTTTGACCTGTTCATCACAATCTACATCTTCAGGATGACAAGTATGGACAGAAATCTGACTTGGGCACACGGCTCCTTTCCAGGGAGCATCAGGGAGTCAGCCCACCAGACAGACGCATCCCACTTATTTCTCACAAAATCTGCATGAGGCAATGCTGCCATCTCCACCACATGAACCAGGAGGGGTGATGCTCCTGTGCTGCTCTGTCACCACTGGCTGTACGTCACCCCTTGAAGGGTGGCAGTTCCTAGGAGTAGATCTCTGGTCTTCTCTTATTTACAACCTCATTTAAACAAATTAATGCGCATCTATGTTTCCCCCACAGCAGAATTCCTGCAGGCTCATCAATCAGCATTGCTCGGTCAGTCCTTCCTCCTCGGTTCTTGACAAGAGTCTCCCGTGGCCGCCTGCATGGTTCTCCCCAGAATCCCACGGTATCCCCAGTTTTCTCTCCTATTCTTACGAATCCGCAGGGATTTTTCATCACTTAAAGGAGAGTTGTTAGTATCACATCAATTAATTCCATCAAGAAAAGGCAAAAGGCCAAAACAGTGTTTTATAAAAGAAATATTGATAAAAAGAGGTTAACTTGATGGTTCTGATATACTTTTTTAAAATGGGAAAGACAGATGCTGCTTAGTGCTGGCATTCAGTTCAATATTAAATCAATGTACACGTGGGGCATCATTATTATCTGAGTCATCACCAGTGACATTGAATACTTTTTCACAGTTAGAAAAAGGACATGGAAAACCTTCTGGTCTATAGCAAGGGTTTCAAGATTTCTTCCTTCTGATTTTGCCACTGTAATCAGCTTTTATTTTTTTTTCCTAAGCAAAGCAGTTCATACCAAGTTTTATAATACGTTTTGTAAGTCATTTATTGGATCCATACATTTATAGTTGATTTGCTACCTTTTTGGGATTTTAGTATTTCACCCCTAGGTAATTTGGCTTCCAATATGAGATTCTAGAAAGGAATCATGTTGTCTAAATAACATGGTTACTTTATGTTTCTTCCAGGAGACAAGCTCCCTTTATTGCTTAGATTGGAAGAAAACTAGTACTTGTGTTCATCTAAGCTAAATATTTAATTCCATTTATAAGATCTTAAAATCTGGCTGGGCATAGTGGCTCACACCTATAATCCCAGCACTTTGGGAGGCCAAGGTGGGTGGATCACTTCAGGCCAGGGGTTCAAGACCAGCCTGGCCAACATGGTGAAACCCCATCTCTACTGAAAATACAAAAATTAACCAGGTAAGATGGCGCAAGCCTGTAATCCCAGCTACTCTGAGGTTGAGGCACAAGAATTGCTTGAGCCTGGGAGGCACACGTTGCCATGAGCCAAGATCACGCCACTGCACTCCAGCCTGGATGACAGGCTGCCTCAAGAAAAAACAAACAAACAAACAAAAAAAAAACTTAAAATCTTTCTATAAAATATTTTAGATTAACCACTTTTGCTGTTTTGAAAAACCTTTTGTTAGAAATTTGCTGGGCATGGTGGCTCACACCTGTAATCCCACCACTTTGGGAGGCTGAGGCGGGTGAATCACCTGAGGTCAGGAGTCCAAGACCAGTCTGGCCAACATGATGAAACCCTGTCTTTACTAAAAAAAATAAAAAAAATTAGTTGGGCATAGTGGCATGCACCTATAGTCCCAGCTACTCGGGAGGCTGAGGCAGGAGAATCTCTTGAACTCAGGAGGCAGAGGTTGCAGTGAGCCGAGATTGCACCTCTGCACTCCAGCCTGGGCGATAGAGAAACTCCATCTCAAAAAAAAAAATATATTATTATTATTTGCTTATTACTTCATGGTAACTACAGTAGGCATAATTACTTATTTATGTAATTTCACGTCTGTTTCCTCACAAAAACAATAAACTCTAGGCAATAAATATAACACACAAAAGGTAACCTAGATTGTCTTCCACTTGGCATATTTTTTCCTTTTCAAATCCTTCTGTTTAATTGTAGAGAAGTCAAGAGGTCTGTCTACAATTGATTGGTGTTTGGAATCTCTGACCAGCTTCACAGTCACCTCTACGTGATGCGAACCATCTGCGGAGCTACTTTAAACAGGAGGGTTCTTCTGTTGTTGTTCACCATAGAGGTGAGTCCCATGAGACTCTCTGGCAAACATTTAAAATCTGTATCTTTAGTTAAAAAGAAAAAAAGAAAGAAATTCCCCTTCCTCTTATTCCTTGTTACCACTTGCGGAAGCTCAGCTTGGTGAGGTGGTGGAAATCACCGCTCTGCCATTCACTGCGTCTAGATGTCTTGGGCCAGCTGTGTAACTCTTCTGACCTTTCACATCTTAGGGACATCCTTTCTGCCTCAGAGAACATGGGGAGGCATAAATCGTGTGATCTGCACAGGAACTCAAAAGCCTGTTCTTCCTCTTGACAGGTAGGGCAGAAGAAAATAAAGTAGTCAAAAAGCAGGTAAACCAAGAAGATATTTGGGGGTAGTGTACAACAGTTTAGTACCAAAGAATTTAGTCTAGCATTTCATGGAGGCACAGACTCTGGAGCTAGAAAAGGATCTTGAAACGCCTTCTCAGCCAACCCTCCTTTTGTAGAGGAGGGACAGGTGTCTCACTGTAACGATCCTCAGGTATGATGAAACCTTGGAATAAAATTCTAATTCACCAACAAAAAACATGGCTGAGAAATGTGAAAGGGATCTCTCAGCAACAAAGTACTATCCAAGTGTTAGTTTATTTCTATGATTATAAATTAATACACATGGAGAAAAAGCACAATGCAATGTAAGGTCACTTTATGTAGCTTAAGGTGAAGCACTGCAGGGTAGTTTGCAAATCTGACAGACTGACTTCAGACTTTTAGCATGCTACCATTGTAAGCAACACCTCAGTATGGTTTAATATCTAAATGCTAGGATAGACTAAACAAATATATAGAAGAACCTTTCTTATATATAAGATCCCTGAGTTTTTTTTTTTTTTTTTTTTGAGACAGAGTCTCACTCTGTCACCCAGGCTGGAACGCAGTGGCACAATCATGGCTTACTGCAGCCTTGATCTCCTGGCCTCAGGTGATCCTCCCACCTCAGTGCCTCTGAGTAAGCTGGGACCATGGTGCGTGTCACCATGCCCAGCTACGTTTTTGTATTTTTTGTAGAGCTGGAGTTTCGCCATGTTGCCCAGGCTGGTCTTGAACTCCTGGATTCAAGTCATCTGCCCACCTCAGCCTCCCAAAGTGCTAGGATTACAGTGTGAGCCACTGCACCCAGCCAGAGTGTTAATTTTTAATGCTCTTGCAAATATTTTTGATGGCTGTTTTATTTTCATTTTTGCTTAGAACTTAAAAAGTTATAATTAGAGGTTGAAAATGTACATTAATTCACATTAACTGATACAAATAAAAAAATTCAACAACTTCATAGACCTAAAAGTTGATTCAAGTTCATAGAATCACAGAAGCTGCACTGTAGGAAGCTAACCCAGTCTGGGTTTTCCTCATGTCATGGAAGGAACCGCAGGAGATTATGTGGTCAATGAGTGGCCAAAGGGTCTCAATCTTTAGTCCCTGCTCATTCTGCTACAGCCCACTGCTATTTTTGGGTTCTTGGCCTGACCAGGCACCTGTGCTTCAGTGCCTGCCCGTGCGGGGGAAGGTGCCCAGCACCTGCGTCACCTCTCTGCCCCCAGCTGTGCTGAGACAGCTGGGCTCTCCCATGGGACTCCGGGGTGCTGCTGCTTTCTCTGTTGTCTTTGTTCTCACAGGAAGCTTGGACTTTCTCATTAGAAACCACTGGGACATCAATATAAAAGCAATGATGTGAACAAGGCGGAGTTCACTGCTGTGGACACTCACCTATTAGAAAACGGGGATCTGTTACCCAGTCATCAGCATACACTGCACAATGGCTCAAGTATCTGCTTTGCAAATAGCCGTTACAGGTACAGAACATAATCGCCATTGTACACGCCAACAGTGGCATAGGCTTTCCTCCTCGCATCAGAAATGGGTAAATTAAGCACCTTAGGAAACAAGAAACAGGCACAATTTTTTAAAAAATTAAAGATAATCATTTCTGTAATCCTATCTTAAATGATTTGGGTTTTAAATCTTACTTTCTTGTACAAATGTCATCCTCAGTAACATTTATACTAATTTATTATATCTAAGCTAAAAGTGGATTTTGATTTTAATTTTATTTTTTGAGACAGGTTCTTGCTGTGTTGCCCAGGCTGCAGTACAGTGGCTTGATCATGGCTCACTGCGGCCTTGAGCTCCAGGGCTTAAGCGATCTTCCTGTCCCAGCCTCTCGAGTAGCTGGGACTACAAGCATGTGCCACCACACTTATTATTATTATTATTATTATTTTGTAGAGACCAAGTCTCAATCTGTTGCTCAGGCTGGTCTCAAACTTCGACCTCAAGTGATCTTCCTGCCTTGTTGTCCCAAAATGTTGGGATTATAGGCGTGAGCCACTGTATCCAGCCAAAAAGCAGATTTTTCAATAAAGCATTACCACGTTTCAATCATGTTTACCACAGTGTACAAACTCCAGATTCTACTTACATGCAATATAAAACAGAATACACTGAATTTGAGAAAACTAGGGGCTTCAAGAGGCTCTCAAGATTTCCACTATCCTAAAACCATTAACTAGTCCTAGTCTAAGTAATAAGATTTGGAACACATCATCACATCATCCATCACCATTGCAATGGCTTCCATTCACTGAGCACTTTCACCTGCTAGCCCCACCCCCAATTCCCCCAGCAACTCCTTGCCCCCAGCTCAGCTAACCAGGCAGAGGCACTCTTATCCACATTTGATAGAGGATAAAATTAAGACTCAGAGTGGTAAAGTAAGTTGCTCAAGGCCACAAGCTAGTGAGTGGCTGAGCTTAAATGTAAATCGGGGCAATTGAAAGATCATGTTCATTCTCAGTAAACTATCACAAGAACAAAAAACCAAACACCGCATATTCTCACTCATAGGTGGGAATTGAACAATGAGATCACATGGACACAGGAAGGGGAACATCACACTCTGGGGACTGTTGTGGGGTGGGGGGGAGGGGGGAGGGATAGCATTGGGAGATATACCTAATGCTAGATGACGAGTTAGTGGGTGCAGCACACCAGCATGGCACATGTATACATATGTAACTAACCTGCACAATGTGCACATGTACCCTAAAACTTAAAGTATAATTAAAAAAAAAAAAAGAAAGATCACGTTCTGTTGTACCACACTGGCTTAGGTGCATTTTACTAAAGGTTTAAGGAGTTAAAATAAAAGGACAAGAAATTAGAAAATTATAAAGAGAATGCAAAATGTTATTCTCTGTTTGAATTTTCTTTTTAATATAAGTGTATAACACATTGAAAGAGGGGACATCACTACATATCCTACAGACCTTAAGAGGATAATAAGGAACTCTTTTTTTTTTTTTTTCAAGACAGGGTCTTGCTCTGTCACTCAGGCTAGAGTGCAGTGGGGCAATCATGGCTCACTGCAGCCTCAACATCCTAGGCTCAAGTGATCCTCCTGCCTCAGCTTCCTGAGTAGCTGGGACCTCAGGCACACACCACCACACCTGGTTAATTTAAAAACTTTTTTTTGTAGAGACAGGGTCTCTCTATGTCTGATCTCTAGTCTGGTCTTGAACTCCTGGGCTCACGTGATCCACTCAGATAATAAGGAACTATTATGAACAACCTTATACCAATAAATTTAACAACTTGATGAAATAGACAAAGTCCTTGAAAGACACAGATGACCAAAACTGACCCGAGAAGAAAGAAAGACAACATGAATAGCACTGTTACCAATGAAATAAATCCAATTTAGACTTATGAAATTCTAGAAAAGGCAAAATGAGACTCAGGGGAGAGGATTAACCACAAAGATTAACTTTCCCTTTTTGGGCAATATTACTGCTCTCTATATATTAATAGATTGTGAAGGGTGGGCGGGCAAGATGGCTGAATAGGAACAGCTCCGGTCTTGCAGCTCCCAGCGAGATCGACACAGAAGGTGGGTGATTCCTGCATTTCCAACTGAGGTAACTGGCTTATCTCACTGGGACTGGTTGGACAGTGGGTGCAGCCCACGGAGGGCGAGCCGAAGCAGGGTGGGGCATCGCCTCACCCAGGAAGTGCAAGGGGTCAAGGGATTTCCCTTTCCTAGCCAAGGGAAGCCATGAGAGACTGTACCAGGAGGAACGGTGCATTCTGGCCCAGACACTGCGCTTTTCTCATAGTCTTCGCAACCAGCAGACCATTCTCTCCAGTGCCTGGCTCAGTGGGTCCCATGCCGATGGAGCCCAGAAAGCTAAGATCCACTGGCTTGAAATTCTCGCTGCTCCAGAGCAGTTTGAGGTTGACCTGGGATGCTAGAGCTTGGTGGGGGGAGGGGCATCCACCACTGCTGAGGCTTAAGTAGACGGTTTTACCCTCATAGTGTAAACAAAGCCCCAGGAAGTTCGAACTGGGCAGAGCCAACCGCAGCTCCCTGGGACAGAGCACCTGGGGGAGGGGGCGGCTCTGGGCGCAGCTTCAGCAGACTTAAACGTCTCTGCCTGACAGCTCTGAAGAGAGCAGCGGTTCTCCCAGCACACAGTTCGAGCTCTGATAAGGGACAACCTCCTCAAGTGGGTCCCTGACCCCCTGTGTATCCACACTGGAAGACTCCTCCCAGTAGGGGCCGACAGACACCTCATACTGGAGAGCTCTGGCTGGCATCTGGCGGGTGCCCCTCTGGGATGAAGCTTCCAGAGGTAGGAACAGGCAGCAATGTTTGTTGTTCTGCAGCCTCCACTGGTGATACCCAGGCAAACAGGGTCTGGAGCGGACCTCCAGCAAACTCAGGCAGACCTGCAGCAGAGGGGCCTGTTAGAAGGAAAACTAACAAACCGAAAAAAAATAGTATCGATATCGCCAACATCAAAGACCAAAGGCAGATAAATCCACAAAGATGGGGAAAAACCAGTGCAAAAAGGCTGAAAATTCAAAAAGCCAGAATGCCTCTTCTCCTCCAAAGGATCACAACTCCTTGCCAGCAAGGGAACAAAACTGGATAGAGAATTAGTTTGACAAATTGACAGAAGTAGGCTTCAGAAGGCGGGTAATAACAAACTCCTCTGAGCCAAAGGAGCATGTTCTAACCCAATGCAAGGAAGATAAGAACCTGGAAAAAAGGTTAGAGGAATTGCTAACTAGAATAACCTGCTTAGAGAAGAACAGGTGAAGACATGATGCAGCTGAAAAACACAGCACAAGAACTTCGTGAAGCATACACAAGTATCAATAGCCAAATCAATCAAGTGGCAAAAGGATATCAGTCATTGAAGATCAACTCAATGAAATAAAGCGAGAAGACTTAGAGTGAAAAGAAACAAAGCCTCCAAGAAATATGGTACTATGTGAAAAGACCAAATCTACGTTTGACTCTTGTACCTGAAAGTGACGGGGAGAATGGAACCAAGTTGGAAAACACTCTTCAGGATATTATCCAGGAGAACTTCCCCAACCTAGCAAGGCAGGCCAACATTCAAATTCAGGAAATACAGAGAACACCACAAAGATACTCCTCGAGGAGAGCAACCCCAAGACACATAATTGTCAGATTCACCAAGGTTGAAATGAAGGAAAAAATGTTAAGGGCAGCCAGAGAGAAAGGGCTGGTTACCCATAAAGGGAAGCCCATCAGACTAACAGCAGATCTCTTGGCAGAAACCCTACAAGCCAGAAGAGAGTGGGGGCCAATATTCAACATTCTGAAAGAAAAGAATTTTCTTTTCTTTCATATCTGGAATTTCATATCCAGCCAAACTAAGCTTCATAAGTGAAGGAGAAATAAAATCCTTTACAGACAAGCAAATGCTGAGAGATTTTGTCACCATCAGGACTGCCTTACAAGAGCTCCTGAAGGAAGCACTAAACATGGAAAGGAACAACCGGTACCAGCCACTGCAAAAATATACCAAATTGTAAAGATCATTGACACTATGAAGAAACTGCATAAACTAACAGGCAAAATAACCAGCTAGCATCATAATGAAAGGATCAGATTCACAGATAACAATACTAACCTTAAATGTAAACAGGCTAAATGCCCCAATTAAAAGACACAGACTGGCAAACTGGATAAAGAGACAAGACCCATCGGTGTGCTGTATTCAGGAGACCCATCTCACGTGCAAAGACACACATAGGCTCAAAATAAAGGGATAGAGGAATATTTACCAAGCAAATGGAAAGCAAAAAGCAGGGGTTGCAATCCTAGTCTCTGAGAAAACAGATTTTAAACCAAAAAGGTCAAAAGAGACGAAGAAGGGCATAATGGTAAAGAGATCAATGCAACAAGCAGAGGTAACTATCCTAGATATATATGCACCCAATACAGGAGCACCCAGATTCATAAAGCAAGTTCTTAAAGACCTACAAAGAGACTTAGACTCCCACACAATAATAGTGGGAGACTTTAACACCCCACTGTCAATATTAGACAGATCAATGAGACAGAAAATTAACAAGGATATCCAGGACTTGAACTCAGCTCTGGATCAAGTGGACCTAGTAGACATCTACAGAACTCTCCACCCCAAATCAACAGAATATACACTCTTCTCAGCACCACATCACACTTATTCTAAAATTGACCACATGGTTGGAAGTAAAACACTCCTCAACAAATGCAAAAGAATGGAAATCATAACAAACAGTCTCTTATATCACAGTGCAATCAAATTAGAACTCAAGATTAAGAAACTCACTCAAAACCACACAACTACATGGAAACTGAACAACCTGCTCCTGAATGACTACTGGATAAATAACAAAATGAAAGCAGAAATAAAGATGTTCTTTAAAACCAATAAGAACAAAGATACAACATACCAGAATCTTTGGGACACATTTAAAGCAGTGTGTAGAGGGAAATTTATAGCACTAAATGCCCGCAAGAGAAAGCAGGAAAGATCTAAAATCGACACCCTAACCCACAATTAAAAGAACTAGAGAAGCAAGAACAAACAAATTCAAAAGCTAACAGAAGATAAGAAATAACTAAGATCAGAGCAGAACTGAAGGAGAGACAGACATGAAAAACCCTTCAAAAAAATCAATGAATCTAGGAGCTGGTTTTTTGAAAAGATCAACAAAATAGATAGACTGCTAGCCAGACTAATAAAGAAGAAAAGAGAGAAGAATCAAATAGATGCAATAAAAAATGATAAAGAGGATATCACCACCGGTCCCACAGAAATACAAACTACCATCAGAGAATACTATAAACACCTCTATGCAAATAAACTAGAAAAATCTAGAATAAATAAATAAATTCCTGGACACATACGCCCTCCCAAGATTAAACCAGGAAGAAGTCGAATCCCTGAATACACCAATAACAAATTCTGAAATTGAGGCAGTAATTAATAGCCTACCAACCAAATTCCTCAAGGATCTAGAACTAGAAATACCATTTGCCCCAGCAATCCCGTTACTGGGTATATACCCAAAGGATTATAAATCATTCTACCATAAAGACACATGTACACGTATGTTTATTGTGGTACTGTTCACAATAGCAAAGCCTTGGAACCAACACAAATGCCCATCAATGATAGTCTGGATAAAGAAAATGTGGCACATATACACCATGGAATACTATGCATCCATAAAAAAGGATGAGTTCATATCCTTTGCAGGGACATGGATGATGCTAGAAACTGTCATTCTCAGCAAACTATCACAAGAACAGAAAACAAAATACTGCATGTCTTCACTCATAAGTGGGAGTTGAACAATGAGAACACATGGACGCAGGGAGGGGAACATCACACACTGGGGCCTGTTGTGGGGTGGGGGATCGGGGGAAGGATAGCATTAGGAGAAATACCTAATGCAGATCACGGGTTAATGGGTGCAGCAAACCACCATGGCATGTGTATACCTATGTAACAAACCTGCACGTTCTGCACATATACCCTAGAACTTCAAGTATAATAATAAAGAAAATAAAAAAAAATAGATTGTGAAACTGAATTTAGACTTACGAAATCCAGACAAGGCAAAAATAGAGTCAGGGTGGAGACTGGCCACAATGACACAAAGGGAGTTTTTTAGAGGAATACAGCTGTTCTACCTCTTGATTTGCGGTGATGATTACACAACTATATGCAATCACCAAAATTCATCAAGCTACAGACTTTTTTTTTTTTTTTTGAGATGGAGTTTCGCTCTTGTGGTCCAGGCTGGAGTGCAGTGGCGTGATCTCGGCTCACCGCAACCTCCGCCTCCCGGGTTGAAGCGATTCTCCTGCCTCAGCCTCCCGAGTAGCTGGGATTACAGGCATGTGTTACCACACCCGGCTAATTTTGTATTTTTAGTAGAGACGGGGTTTCTCCATGTTGGTCAGGCTGTTCTCGAACTCCCGACCTCAGGTGATCCACCTGCCTCTACCTCCCAAAGTGTTGGGATTACAGGCCTGAGCCACCGCGACCAGCCCAAATTACAGACTTAAAATGGGTGAATTTTATTATTTGTAAATTATACCTTAATAGAGCAGGAAAAACTGTAAAGCTTGTTATTTGTTTCCATTCTGACCATGTGCGCCAGGGTAAAGTCATAATTAGTCATTAGTTATGGTTATGAACGTCGACAGTAATCACATAATAGTAGTGTCATGCTGGCTGTGCATCCTCAAGCCACTCTCTCCCCAGCACTCCCACTTAACTCCTGGGGAAGACATTCACATGAGTCAAAAGCAGCCTCCAAGGTTCTCATCTCATTCAGGCCAGGACCCCTAGGAAGACTTCATACTGATTTACAGCAAAGCACGTGTTGGCCAGTAAGTGTGCATTCAGATGTTGTGTCATCAGTGAGGTGGGTATTCTCCTGGAAGCTGCAGTGTTGCCAAGCAATGAATAAGAACAACGAATCCCAGCAATTTCTCTCTGCGTCTTGGAATCATGATTCAGATCCGGGCAGACAATGGGTACCATGGGCTGGCATTTGGGATGTAGGCACACTGCAAGTGCTTGCATACCAACATTTCCTGTGGAACAAGCAGAATTTGGTTTTGACAGAGGTACGTGTGGGCTTCTTGGACTGTCATAGGCTCCCTTAAAAACAGGAGGCAATCTTGTCTTGTGATCAGACATCCTTCCTGCCTCGGCCCATTTGTCAACCAGAACAGGAGGCCTTGTGTTAGACCCGGATGGACAGAATTAATGGCAGAAGACAGAGTGGCTCTCACTCTACCCCTCAGTGTACCAAGCTGAGAAGTACCAAGAGCAAGCAGCCCACTTCTGAAGTCAGCTTAGGAGATTCTCAATGCGGCAAAGAGCAAAAGGGACACCGGTATGAGAAAGTTGAGAGAAAACTTCCCTGAGAGTTACGGCCTCAAGTTATTTCCCACTAGGCAAACTGCAGGATAGAGGTGAGAAAGTGTTCAAATTCTAAGTTTGAGGAAATACAGAAAAAAAGAGCAAGACATAAAAGGGGAATGTAAGGCCTGGATTTGGTTTAGCAAGATGTCTATTAAAATAGAAAGGACTCAGTTCATAAGAGGTCGGGCCTCTGGACCTGAAAAAAATCCATCCTAAATTCAATACTGGATAACAGGAAGGCAAGGTGAAAAAGAGGAAGGGAAAATATTAGCAAGGTTGAAATACACAGAATTGAAAATGGCTTAAGACACTTCTGCATTGGATGTCACCCATTTAAACAATGGACAAATGCAGTGTGAGAGAAGCAACTCCCAGGAAACATTCTGCGTATGTGGTGGACGTTCCCTCTGGCATATCAGAATCACATCCAGCGAACCTTGATCCATTTCTCCCAATTTTCTTCTAAGTTGTGGGTTGAATTCTGACCTGAAAAACGTCAGCTGGCAATGACACTAGAACTGTGTCAAAAGAATATAATAGAGGATAATATTATCAGACTCTGCACTCACCAGCCTATTCCCAACTCACAGAAAAGCACTGGTCAGAAAAACTAGAACATTTAAGGCACAGAGGCCAAGGCAGCAGGATTTCTTCACAAAACAAAGGAAAATGAGGCTGCAACCAAAGTAGGTTATCGGGCGGCTCATTGGTTAGTGAAGCAAGGAAAGCTGTGCATCAACGGTGAGTTAATCAACAGCAGCAACCAAAGAGGCGTGTCCAGAGAATACACACTTGTTTCTCACAATTAGCCTTTTGGGGAGAACACTTGCTAGAGGAGTTAAGGACACTGGGAGCACCCTCAACAGTCTATTTAAGCAAGGCAGGACCAGATGCAGTGGCTCATGCCTGTAATCCCAGCACTTCGGGAGGCCAAGGCAGGTAGATGGCTGTGACTAGCCTGGGCAACATGGCGAAACCCCCTCTCTACAAAAAATATGAAAATTAGCTGGGTGTGGTGGTACATGCCTGTAGTCCCAGCTACTTGGGAGACTGAGGTGGGAGGATCATCAGAGCCTGGGAGGTGGAGGCTGCAATAAGCTGAGGATCATGCCACTGCACTCCAGCTTGGGTGACAGAGTGAGATCCTGTCTCAAAATAATAATTAAAAAAGAAAAAGCAAGGCAGATGATGAGCAGTCTTTGTCGGCTCTGGGTGAGTCTATGGATGTTACTGATATGGCTCAGTTGTTTATTTGAGGAGTTCACATCAAGGCTGAAGTGAATGAAGGGTTAGGCTCTTTAGATAGTCTGTGCAGAACAACTACCGGTGAGAATATTTTCAAAGATGTTGAGAAAACACGAATTTAGTAGAATCCAAAGTGGAATCTGCTAAGCTGTTGCAAATGATGGTGATAAAAATGTATGGGACAAAAAAAAAACAAATTACAAACTTACAAACTTGTAAAAATGTAAGGTGTTTCATGCTATTCCTTGTATCAGCAGGTCTTTTGCAGAAAATCTGTTGTGTGTGATTAAGCCCATAGTGTCAACAGTGAATGACAATCCCTCTCATGGACTCAACTATCATCAGTTCTCTAACTTTTTGTCACAAATAAGCTGACTATGCCGATTTGTCCCACATAAATACACCAGTTTGATGGCTTAATAAAGTTTCATCACATTATTTTGAGCTCAGAGCTGAGACTGAAACTTTTCTGAGCAAGAACTGCCCTCACCACCATTATTGAGTTCTGAAGGGCTTAAGTAGCTTTTACTGCAGACTTGATAATAAATTCAACCTAAAGCTGCAAGGCAAAACAGCACTTGTGCAAAACTCATACTGTGTTAAAGTCATTTTGATGACAACTGCCATTGTTCCAATCACAAGTCATATCAAACTGCGTTCTGTACTTTCCATGCTATTAAAATTAAAAGAAGTGAGCTCTCCATGCTCACATGAGTTTGCAGTGGATATAAATTCTAAGTTTAAATACAGTGTGTGAACCTGGATTTCCATATTTCAAAATCCATTTAGCTGTGCAGTGGAAGAGTTGCCATCTAATCTTCCATAGGAAGATATGAATCTGTAATGTAATACCATATGGAAAGGCAAAGATCAAGAGAAGAATCTAACAGGATTCCATGAGTGCCTTCCAAGTGATGATCATGCTCAATTAAAATCATATACATGTGGACTGATGTCAACGCTTCCATTTATAGAGATAAAATACGTAAAATCTCATGACAGATCAACACTGAGAGGAACATTTACAATAGATGTTGATAATAGGAAACACTAACTTTGAATCCCAATAAGTGAAATGTTATCCCTCACCAAGAAAAGAATTCTATTCTTCTCATTAGACATATATTACAAAAAATGCACTAAGATAATATATTTTGAATTTACCACTGAAACTTTTGTGAAAATGTGTTTTCTCTCATCGTAAATACCTACCCAGTATCTTGGCCCACAAAGCCTAAGATATGCACTACCTGGCTCTTTCCAGAAAAGCCTGCTGACAATTAGTCTGAATTAGCACAAGTGTGTTATATTTTGGAGACATCAACTTGACATCAACTTGCTCAGGGCACTGGTGCTACATGGCTGCAGCTGCTGCGGTCTAGGTTTGGCTGTGCTCTGGGAGTGAGGACGTGCTTCTGCGTAGCTGCATTTTTGAATGACTTCTGCTCTAGCACATGCCCTGGATAAGACATTCACAAAGAACCTCAGGATAAGATTTGTCCCTCTTTTTTGTCTCATGTGAATGTCTGAGAACTGCAAGGACTGGAAACCGAGCCTTACAAAGATCGACACCAGTCTCTTCTGGTGTTCTCTGATTCCTGCCCTGGAAGGGGACACCAGTAACCCTGATGCCTATAGGCCTGTCATAAAACCGCTGAAGTCAACAGAGTGGTGGACAGGGGAGAGGAGGGGAGTGCTGCCTCTGCCTCCAGTTGCTAGGAGAAGGTGAGATCTTCTTCCTGACTTCCCTCCCTCTAGAGAGCTCTGACTTGGACCTAGCACTCCGCTCCAAGGAAGCGCTCTGCCCCTCTCAGCATCTCCTGGAAGGCTTTTCTTCTTGCGGGCCATTCCCTTTAGCTTTACTCAGTTTACTTCCTTGGAAATCCATTGTTGTCGGTGAAGATTTTCCTTTGACTGTGGCCAATTTGGAACTCGCGTGGGGTGGGGTCGGGAAGAAGGTGTCTGGGCATGGCTTTTACCTGAGTCTTTGTTTAGACTCTAGAGGGACGACAGCACTTGAGAGAGTGCAGCGGACCCCAGGCATAAATGACAGGGTCCTACTTAGGGCCATGGGGCCAATTTCAGATAGCAAGGAAGGTGGGTGCACCTGCCTGGACATAAATTACTCATGGAACTCACAGCACATCAGTCTGCGGCCCAGACTACCCCAGTTAGGACAGGCATGGGCACTCACAGCCCCTTCTCCTACACCATCCCATTCGCACCCAAAATCACCCTTCCATAGAGGAACAATGGGAAACAACTATTCCCTCTCTTTGAGAAAATAAAGGATTGAACAAGAAGGTGACAGTCCCTTAAGATGGAAACCATTTTTAAGAGAAACTATGAAGCACTTGGATTAAAAAGGATGTTGAGTAATGTGTCATATATCTGTTTTCTGTTCTGATTACAAGCTAACGAATACAAAACAGTCAGGTCTGGGAAGCTACACAGAGATTCTGTTTGCTGATTAATCAGAGTAAATGTAAGATTAAATCTGACACTTTGTTCTCTGTCATGTTATAATTTTCCTATTTTATCTTATTTCTTTCCAGGCAAAGAACAAGGCTTTGGCCTGGTGTGGTGGTAATCCCACCACTTTGGGAGGCCAAGGAAGGAGGACTGTTTGAGCCCAGGAGTTCCGAGACCAGCCCAGGCAACACTGGGAGACCCCATCTCAATTGAAAAAAAAAAAAAGAATAAGACTTGCTTTTCATCAAGTTGTTTTTATAACCCATGAAAACTGCAAACCTTGGTGTCTGTGAGGCCACCAGGAATGGGAGACATGTTTGATGATGGAGCTGAACTGAGAGTATTAATGTGCCAGAATTTATTTGGTGCTTTAATGGCCAGGACGATTTGCAGTTGCCTTTTGGTTAAGTTTACAAGCTTAGATATAATATAAAAGTGCATCTTATAGTTCCTTATCAAAGTGTTTCTAATAATTCCTAATCCTATACTAAATGCCCTTTTTTTACACTGCAAAACTGTGACTATTATCCCTATTTTACAGATCAGAACGTGGAAGCTCACAGGAATATGGTGACATGGCCAGAGAACATCACAGAGGCAGGGCTGGCTGGCAATGTCCCTTTTCCCAGGTGCTCCAGCCACCACACCATGAGGACCCGTTGAGACATGGGAATGTCTGGCCCAAGCATATGAAATCCTCACTGTCAGTCATTTTCATTAAGTGTTTCTATTAAGTCAGAAGAAATACTTACCAACTGCTAAAAGTAGGTTACAAGATGTTGTATGTGTATGTGTGTATCTCTACTGCTTAGAAAAAAACTTATTAAAAGCAATGAAAGATATGGGAAAAAGATAATACCACAATATCGTCAGTTTTATCTCTAAGATGAAATTATAGGCAACTTTTCTTTCTTTCCTTGAATTATTTTCTAAGTTTTCTACAACAAGCATGTATTTCACCTGTAAGTTTGTTCACATACAATATTGACAAGTATCTTAAGTCCTGGCACCTAACATTCAGAACAGACAGAATGAGAGACACGGAGAAATTCAATTTCCTGGGCTAAATTCAATTTCCTAAAAAGGCTTGGAGAAAATCAGGCGAAATTAATAAACAAGCAAACACAGATTATCCATCTAAGGAAAAAGAAAGTGCCCTATAAGCACCCAGGAAGAAAAATGGATTATTGAAAAGAACAAAATCATCGGGGCTGCCTCCATGTCCATTCTTACTGTCCGCGAGGGCTGTGGGGTGGCACCCACACAAGGGCACTGAGAACTCTGAGCTTCTCAAACGTCTGCTCCTAAGCAGCACTTGAGTGATTTCTCCAGCTATTCAAACGGGCAGAATTACCCATACAGTATAAACCCAAGTAACTGGTAAATAACTGTTCATACTCATATGCTCGATGGGACCTGCTCCAAAGGGGAAAGACTCAAAATATAGCACAGTATGCATTCCAGAGGATGAAAATGCAAGCAACTACTTGGAATGACTATTCTTTAAAGCGTTTAAAGTAAGATGTTTGGGTTTTGTCGTCTTGCAAGCAAGTTCTATGCCTGTTTAATTCACACAGGGAACTAAAGAAGTATGTCTTGAAATATTTTCCCAACAAACTGGAATAATAATCCCTTGGTTTACTTATAACAACAAGGCATTTATTCAGCAAATGATTTGACTCTCAAAGCGTCTGGACGTCATCTTTCAGGACAACCTATAATGTTGTACCCCCAAGTTTGGGAACAATGAAATAGAGAATTTGGTTATATGGGAGTAATTTAGGTCATGGTGGATTTAATAATTTTTAAATGTTTAAAACTGAGAGTGGTTAATTTTAATGATCGACTTTATTGCTTTTTTCCCCTAACAACGTGAGACCATTGAAATCTATGGCACTTCCTAGATTTGGGTCTGTTCCTTTCACCTAGCCTTTCCTTCTGTAAAAGACTTTTGAAATGATGGCCAAATTGCACAGCTGCCAACAAAGCATGCTTAAAATAAGTGCTTGGCTATCATTATTTCACTTTTCATCATCCTACACTTTTGAATAGAAGTTTTTCTTTTCTCAGATTATTCCAATCTATGAGGCAAGGGCCAAGGATTCAGTATGCCCTTATTAAAACAAATTAATTAGAAGGCCATCAGGCTGAGATGGTGTCTTGTGTCTTACATAAGCACATGGAAACCCAACAGTGGAAGGAAACTTAAAGCAATCAGAAACTGCCAATTGACTTCTAATGAGAGATTGTTCCAAGGAGAAACCACCCACTAACCTCCGGAACTTTCCACTCTGACCAATCAAATGCTTCCTTTGTCTTGCTTGTGCAAACACGTCTTACAAAATGGCTTTCCCACACACCTTCTAGGTGGAGCTCATACTGCTTGTGGTTTGGTGCTGATTCATGAATTGGTCTGCTCCAAAAAACGCTATGACTTCTTTTTAAGATGGAGTTTAGTGCTTGTTGCCCAGGCTGGACTGCACCTCCACCTCTGGGTTCAAGCGATTCTCCTGCCTCAGCCTCCCAAGTAGCTGGGATTACAGGCATGCGCCACCACACCCAGCTAAATTTTGTATTTTTAGTAGAGACAGGGTTTCAGCATGTTGGTCAGGACGGTCTTGATCTCCTGACCTCGTGTGATCCACCTTCCTCGGCCTCCCAGCGTGCTGGGATTACAGGCATGAGCCACTGCGCCCAGCCTAAAAAAACTACAATTTTAATGCACCTGAGTTTATCTTTTAACACACTTCACCCTCAAAGTTCCCTGCTGTGTTTTAACATTACCCACCGCACATTTAAAAGTGAAGCTGGGCTAGGCTCCCCACAGGAGCCCATTAATAGGATTACACGAGAGATACAAGGAATCAAAGTAGGTGCAATGTTTTGAGGCACCATCGTCAGAGATAAAGACAGAAGCAAAGTCCCACAAGGTCATGGACCTGGCTGAGTACAAACCTGGGACAGGTGTCAGAAAGAGGAGGCCTCTGGGCATCTGACTGTGCACTCTGGGCACCATTTGGCCACCAGTCCTAACAAAGGCAGTCACTGAGGACTCCCGTGGCAAGCGGCACCTCCTGCTCAGGCTCCTCGGAGTTATTTGTTAAATGAATGTGCAATGCAGAGACAATCCCCTGACTAATTCACTGCTGATAGTGGGGAAGGAAAATCCATGAGCAAAGCAGCCTGGGTTCAGGGAATACTGAACAAAGCTGCGTGGGTGGAGAGAAAGAGCATGAGGTCAGGCACAGTCTGCAAAGCCCCCCAGCGACTCCGACACAGTTCAGAGCTAATGCCCTTGACTCCGGGAGACTTTTGCTGTGTCTAGCAAAGCAGGATTTACAAACGAGGGTAGAGAAAGACCAGTGGGGAAGAGTGAAGAAGCCCAGCAAGAACCAACACAGATGATGAGGACCTGGGTTACAGCACCAGCCCAGGGAGACAAAATAGAGGGCCAGGGAACAGGGTAAATGCAGCGGGGCGTCACTGTAATCACAGAGCAGAGGGCAAAGGTGATAGGAGTAGGCACAGGCTTCGGAAGGCCCTAGGGAGGCCTGCCAGGAGGCTGGGGAAGGCACCTGCCTCCAGGGGCTGCCACCATGCCAGACGCCACTCCATGCTCTACATGACTAGGGCCCCAGTGAGACGCTGCCGCCCCTGCACCCAAGAACCCAAGCGCCCTGGGATCAGAAGGAGGCTTCAGCACAGATAGGAGGCAGGCAATCCTTGTCGCTACCGTGAGCCCTAAAGATGTTCCTGAAAATGTCCTTTGCCCTCCTGGGGGAACTGGTCAGGACCACAGCTCGTCCTGCGTCATGGCTATCCCCCCACCCCAGCCCTGTCCCCTTCCAGGCAGCCTGTCCTTCCCTCCCTGGTGTTTGTGTCCAAAAGACCCCATAGATTCTCCATAACCTGTCTTTTACTCCTCAACTCAAAGGGAATGTCTTGTCACTATATCCCCAGCACAACGCCAGGTCCAGAAATCCTCACTGGCACGTAAGTCTTCCTTAAGTGTTTGCTGAATAAATACATGAAAGCGCACCATTCCCTCTATCCCTTCCTTCACCTTTCCTCCCTCCTTGACCTGACTGTCCTGTACTCATTGTTCCCAGAACAGTCAGTTGCTCTGGGAAGAGCTGTAGCTCTGCTGCTGCCTTCAGGCCTCATGGACTGTGGAAAGTCCCTGGACCTGGCTCTGGTCCTTGCCACTCCCAAAAGAGGCTCTAGTTCCCCAAGGCAGGGCCCAACCTCACTCCAGCGAAACCTCACAGGTCAGCACAGGGCCTGTGTGCACACCTGTCAGGTTGTGTAAGGTGGTACTGGCTCTGCCTGGCCAGCGCCTCCTCAGGCTCACTTTTCTCCTGCCTTTCATAAGAGTCATCCTTGTACCCACAGCCTCCTCTCACCGGGTGTGGTGTTCTCCGTTCTCTGCAGGGCCCTGTGCAAATAAAGGGCTCCAGGACGCTTCCAGGGGCTGCTGGGATGGTTTGTGTTCAGTGCTAAATGCTGTTTCCACTCTGGTTCTCTTCCAAGTGCTCATGACTTAGATCAAGTGACTGTTTAATAAATTAGTTGCTTGGGTAGAATGGAAAATGTTTATCTTTTCTATTTGGAAAATGTAAATGTCCCCAAACCACATAGACTATGTACACAATAACATGTACAACTCAAAAAAAAAATAGCCTAGCAATTTAAAAAAAAAACTATACCTGACCCAGCCAATCCTCTTGGAGCAGCTTTTAAACTATTAGTATAGGAAGTGGGCTTTCATCCCAGCAGCTCCTTATCCAACAGCCTCAGGGAAGACAGCAGCATGCTGTGCCTCCGTGTTCTACTCTGTATGAATGAGCTGTTCAAGTTCTATCATTCAAGGTGACTCTGGCCCTTTGGGAGGCTGCATTCATTTTTCTGCTTGAGTGAATGTAGGTACAATGAAACATGATGTCTCAAGTTAAAAAGCTTCCACTTGGGATGTCAGGCAAAACTTTGTCAAGTGTTCCCTTGATTTCCAACACCACAGTTTTGCTGGCACATGAGGCTGGCAGCAGTGCACATGAATGACACACAGAGTACATGTCTGGATGTGCATTCACAGCAATGCAAAATAGTGCTAGGTATTGTGTACTGAGCACGCAGATGCGCCAGCACCATGCAAGCATTTTAGGGAGTTGCCTTTGCTCTAAATTCATGTGATCCCACAGGGGGGTTCCATCACCATGCCCATTCTACAGGTGGGGAAACCTTGCTGCGGGGCAGCTTAGTAACTCATCCAGGGTCATGACTGATGGGACTAGGATAGCACCGAATACTCTGACCTGAGATTGCTTTTAGCCATAAAGAAACAGACATACAGCTTCTGGTATATTTATGGAAAAGTATATACAAACAGCAAAGTCTGACTAATATTCAAATTGTAGCAATGGTTGATCCCATTCCAAAAAAAAAATAAAGCAATGGTAAAGAGTTTCAGGCACACAGTACTCACTAAGCCTCTGATGAATGTTGACTTGCCCTTGTTTAAAGTGCAAGTCATCAAAGCACACTGAGGACACAGACTGCACCAGTTACAGGGTAAGGTGCTGGTTTTCAGGGAACTCAGGTACCAAAAACTGTGCTGGGTACAACACTGGTTCCAAGTAGTGGAGCTGTGTACTTTCTCTTCGCTGGAATGCATGACACCAGGAGAAAGAAGAGAGGCTTATAAACACACACTGAGTTCTTCCTGTCTCTCTGGGAAGTGAGTGTTTTAAGGTGGGACCCCAAATCAGAAAGGTTGGGTAAACTGCCCATAGTCACACAGCCAGTGAGTTCAACTTCCTTGGGTGTAGAGACATCCTTTTTAACTGTGAAGCTTTCCAGAGCCTGAATGAAAACGTTTAAAATTTAATTTTGAACTTTCGACCTGTCGTTTGCTTTGGCTGTGTAAAAGCCAAAAGATACGACCTGGAGAGAACCCCAACTTATTAGAAGGCTTGAAGATTTCAGACACAGCCAGTTTTCAAATATTCAAAAAAACAAAAACCTTGAAAGATTTAGAAGTCATCTTTAAGACTTCGTTTGTTTAAGGTTTAAGGTTGCTGGCTTTCCACCCCCACAATCCTGGGGTCCCTTGCATAAGGTGGACATGAAAGTCTCTGAAAGTGATCAAGCCTATAAGGAGAAACTGCTAGGCAGTTTTAGGACAGCAGGTTTCCAGTTGCAGCTGATCACTTGGCTGGGAGAAAACAGCTCCACCATCACCAAAGATACCAAAAGGGGAACCGGCAGAAAGGAGTAGAAACCAGTGGCCCTCAAGACCGACCATCAGCATTAGACTCTAGGCCAACCCCCTCCCCCCCGCCCCCACAGTCGTGATCTAAGGGAACAAAATCTAGTCTTCATTTTTATTTTACATTTTTACTTTTTAACTCTTTATTTTTATATATTTAATTTTGAGACAGAGTCTCGCTCTGTCACCCAGGCTGGAGGGCAGTGGCGAGATCTCGGCTCACTGTAACCTCCGCCTCTCGGGTTCAAGCGATTCTTCCATCTCAGACTCCCGAGTAACTGGGATCACAGACAGGCGCCACCGCGCCCGGCTAAGGAAACCAAACCTAGGACCACTGAGTGGCTCTTTCCAGATCAGTTTCATCATGTTTTTTTCCATCACTCCCTTCCAGTCCTTTGTTTCCCGCCCTTTCCAGACGAATCCCTTCTGGTTTCCAAACTCCCGGGGCCGGGGGACTCGGGGAAGGGCACCCGTGCAGATGGGGGACGCCCCGGGGGATCTGGCAGGGAGAGGGCATCTGGGTGGGGGAGGCTTCGGGGAGAGGGCACCGGGCAGTGAGGGGAGGGTCGGAGAGGACGCCGGGCCGGGAGTAGGGTAGGGGGCCGGGGGCCGGGGACGTTACCGATGCCCGTAGTGGACGAGGAACATGGCCAGGAGGATGCAGTTGGGCGCGCTGCGGAGACGCGGGGCGGACTCGCTGGCGTACTGGTAGAGCGGCAGGGCCAGCGAGGGCAGCTCCTGCACCACCCAGGCGGCCCGCGCCGGCACTCGGAGCCTGTGGCTGGGCAGCGCGTGGCGGCCGTACACTGAGTTCGTCTGACGATTGCGCGCGAAGACCGCGCAGCCCACGGCGCACTGCAGGTAGGCGAGCGCGGCCAGCAGGCGCTCCTCCGCCACCCCCGTCGCCGTTGCCATCGCCAGGGCTGGGCAGCGTGCTCCATGCCCCAGAGGCCGCGGCGGGCAACATATAGGGCGGCGGCGCGGGGGCAGGAGGGGCGGCTACCGGAGGGGCGGCTACCGGAGTCCCGCACTGCCGGGACTCTGCAGAAAGGGTTCTCAAGTCAGGCTTCTCCGGGGTAGCCGGGGCTGTGGGTGCGGCCCCGGGGGCGGGGCGAGCACTTGCGCGGGGAGGGACCTGCAAGCGCCCCACCCACGCCGGGGCCGCAGTAACCCCGCGCCGCTCTGCGCACGCGCGGCTTCAGGCTGTCCGCGGAGCTCCTTGAGCCCGCGTGGGAAACCTGGGCGCTTCGCGCGGAGACGCCTTTGTGGCTGCTTCCTGGAGCATTTTTTTCCCCTTAGAGCTGTTCGCTGTTTTCCCTGTCACGCCGCTTTTCTGAAAGACGGGTTGTGCGCTTTGGGCTTATTCCTGGACGGTCCCCAAAGGTCCCCGAAAGGACCAGGCCCGGACACGTGGGGCCTTGGTTTCCGGCCGGAAGTCCCGGGAGGTGTAGGGCTAGAGTTCTGGCCGTGGCGGGCCGGTTTCTGCGTGCTGCGTGCGCGGCCGCGTGGGCTATGGGGCGGCGGTCGCGGGGTCGGCGGCTCCAGCAACAGCAGCGGCCGGAGGACGCGGAGGATGGCGCCGAGGGTGGTGGAAAGCGCGGCGAGGCGGTAGGAGCCGGGACCCGGCGGGCGGGCCAGGGGCTCCTCCTGGGCTTCCCGGACCCCGAGGCCTGCGAGGCGGCGGCGAGGGGGCGGCTCCTTGGGCCTCGGGGTAGACGTCTCTTTCCTTCCTCAGGGCTGGGAAGGAGGCTACCCCGAGATCGTCAAGGAGAACAAGCTGTTCGAGCACTACTACCAGGAGCTCAAGATCGTGCCCGAGGGCGAGTGGGGCCAGTTCATGGACGCTCTCAGGGAGCCGCTCCCGGCCACTTTAAGAATTACTGGTTACAAAAGGTAGGGAGGCAGTGCCTGATTTTTTGGGAGTTGGGGCCAGGATGCTGGAGGTTAAAGGCGACGGTGTTTTCTTCGACAAGTGTTACAGTGCCAGAGAACCGTGGCGTTTCAGCGGTTTGGATTCAGGAAGCATTGAGGTGGGGAGCACAGGGTCCAATGAAATGGTCACGGAGGTATTGCAGGCGCAAGGTTAGAAGACGAAATGAAAATGAGATCTGAGGAAGATTCGGCTCCTGGGGAATCTTCCAGGAGGGAAGCTGAGGGTCTTACCTTTTGGAACGTAAGAGAATTTATAGAGAATGCATAAAACCCCTTGGTTCTCCCCTCCTCCGCGCCCCCCCTCCATCTTTGTAGTTACATCTTTCTAAATGAGTCGCAAGTAAAACTTAACGGTAGGATATGCTTAGGAGAGAAGGAATGCAGTGTTGCTCTTAGGGCTCAAACAGTGTGGATTGCTTAAATTTTGAAGGCATACAGTGTAAAAGTAGTGACTAAAGAATGTTTACTCTCCATGCAAAAGTTGGTTTTAGTTTTAAAACACTTGCAGTCTTAAATTTAAGAAGATACAATGTATTAACTTAGTTTTTTAGATCAGTTTGAAACTTCCTTATTTTTCAATAGCCACGCAAAAGAGATTCTCCATTGCTTAAAGAACAAATATTTTAAGGAATTGGAGGACCTGGAGGTGGACGGTCAGAAAGTTGAAGTTCCACAGCCACTGAGTTGGTAGGTACCACAGTGCTTCATGCCGAATATTTATTTGGGATATTAATCTCTATCACTTGAATTATATTTCTTGGTACTGCATTTGCTGTTAAAGAGCTTGGGTATACTTTGCAAACATCCTAATGTTCTAGTACCTGGTGCTTTTATCAACATTATATTGCTACGCAAGTTTTCATGCGATTTGCGATTTGCAGCTTTATGAGTCACTGATTTCAGCCAGCTCTTCCTAGTACATCCAGCCTCTTCCTTTATGTCACCACTTCCGCCAGCTCCCTTTTACAGCCCTTGTTTTCTCACATCAAAACTGTTGCAGAGTGGCTGCTTTGCCTTCAGAAAAAGGACAGACTTAGCTTGACAACAGTCTCCTGGTAGGTAGTCTCTTAGTGTTTTCCATTACAGACAGGTTACCACTGTCTGCTGTCAGGTTGTCTCCTGGTACTTCGCAGTACAGACTGCACCAGCCAATGTAGCATTTCCGAGTCTCAGCACCCAAGCGTGCTACTACTCTGGGAGCTACCTCTTTCTTGACCTGTCCTGGAGGTGCCTTCTGGGTTACCTATTCCTCATGGCTCGGTTCTAGTCTCAGTTGTATGAAGGTGATCCCTTGTGCTGATAGCATCTTGTAAAGATGCTTGGAGAACTCCGGAGGCGCCAGTCCTTCAGTTAACTTACATAAGTGGGAAAGTCGTTATTATTAACTTTGAGGTATTGAGTTCTCAGAAAAGTAATGCACGAAAAGGTGAATTAAGCCGTTTTTTGTTTGTCTGTTTGTTTGTTTGGAGACGGAGTCTCACTCTGTCGCCCAGGCTGGAGAGCAGTGGCACCATCTTGGCTCACTGCAAGCTCCACCTCCCTGGTTCACGCCATTCTCTTGTCTCAGCCTCCCGAGTAGCTGGGACTACAGGTGCCCGCCACCACGCCCGGCCAATTTTTTTGTATTTTTAGTGGAGACGGGTTTTTACCTTGCTAGCCAGGATGGTCTCATCTCCTGACCTCATGATCCGCCCACCTCGGCCTCCCAAAGTGCTGGGATTACAGGCGTGAGCCACTGCGCCCTGCCAAATTAAGCGTTTTGCATCAACTTTTGAGGTTTTGACTATTCCAGTACGTAGTGTTATCTTTCCTTTTTGGATAACCTTTAGTGTTCGCAAATCAAGGTCAGATTTTCATTAATCATGGGGTACAGATTTGCTTGTTTTTCTTTCATTGGCTATTTGGATTTTCATTGTCCCTATCACAGATAAGCATATACATTCACAATGAATGCTGACTGGCCAAACATTAAGTCAGTATTCAACCAGTATCAAGACCGAATATCACCATCATGGAATGTGTTGCTGGGATATAGGAATAAATATGACCAACATCGTGAAACCCTATCTCTACTAAAAATACAAAAATTAGACAGGCATGGTGGCACACGCCTGTAATCCCAGACACTAGGGAGGCTGAGGCATGAGAATCGCTTGAACCCAGGAGGTGGAGGTTGCAGTAAGCCAAGATCATGCCACTGCACTCCAGCCTGGGCCACAGAGCGAGACCATGTCTCAAAAAGGGAAAAAAGAATAGATATGCCACATCTTAGATTTTTAAAAGCTTGAAGGGTACAGTATAGGAAAATGATACGGGTGCTACGTTGCTGTTAGTGGTCACTAATTGTCCACTGTAGTGAGATCAGTGGAAAAGGTAGATGTTTTTCAGCCTCTAGTTATGGCATTGCTGAGATGAGGTAACCTTCACGAGATCAAGCTTTTCTTCCTCCTGGTAACTAGGTTGTAGACTTTGCTCAAGTCGTTTGGTTTGAAGATTTGATTGACGACACTGATTGTGTTGTACTTGAAGTAGAGGTCTGATACTGTAGTAGTCCATTTTCACACTGTTATAAGGACATACCTGAGTAATGTATAGATAAAGGAAATAGGCTTAATTGACTCACATTTCCACATCGCCGGGGAGGCCTCAGGAAGCTTAAAATCATGGCGGAAGATCTCTCTGCACAGGGTGGCAGGAGAGAGAATGAGTGCTGAGCAAAGGAAGAAGCCCCTAATAAACCATCAGATCTCCCCCTGAGAACGAACTCACTGTTGTGAGAACAACATGAGGGAAACGGCCCGGGGATTTAATTATCTCCACCTCGTCCTGCCCTTGACACGTGGGGAATATTACAATTCAAGGTGAAATTGGGGTGGGAACACAGAGCCAAACCATCTAAAATATTTTAAGAAGACAGGATTACGATTCTCCTCGGGCATGTTTGTATTTTTAGCAGTGATGCATGTATGTGCTGCTTCACACAATCACCTGGAAACATTTGTTTCTAAAACCTTGTGTTTAGAAGCGCAGAGACGGGATAAGAAATGCTTTTAAGATGAAGAAGTTCCTGTCCAGGAGGAACGTTTCAGCATGTGTCTATAGGGAAGAGGTGTGCTCTTAAGGCACCTCCATGTGGGCATTTTCTTCTGCAGGCTCCAACAAACTAGGAGAAACCATACGATGTCAATAAGGCTTGCTAGTTTTTTATTATTCTCTGCAAACTACAGTTACACTTGGATTTGATCAGCCCTTTTAACATTTCATAGCTGCTTTTCCACCTTGTTTAACAATGTGTCTGGGTATATGACAAGGTAATTACCAAACTCTTAGAATCTGCAGGTTGTCTGTAGTTGAAGAATGAAGGTGAATTGCTCTCTGCCAACAGCCAGCTATGTTTTTGTTTGCTTTAATTTTCTGAACACACAGCTGAAGGGTATGAACAAAACATTGTAGATCTGGGTTTCTAATATTTGGCTTTTTCCATTATCAATGATGGTTTCTCTATATTTTATTTTGAGACAGGGTCTCACTCTGTCACCCAGGCTGGAGTGCAGTGATGTCATGACGGTTCACTGCAGCCTTGACCTCCTAGGCTCAAGTGATCCTCCCACCTCAGCCTCCTGAGTAGCTCGGACTACAGGTGCATGCCACCACGCCTGGCTAATTTTTTTTATTTTTTTGTAGAGATGGAGTTTCACCTTGTTGCCCAGGCTGGTCTTGCATTCCAGGGCTCAAGCAATCTTCCTGCCTTGGTTTCCCAAAGTGCTGGGATTACAGACATGAGCCACCATTCCTGGCCAATGCCAGTTTCTTGGCAGCTGTATTCTCTAAACATTTATTTATTCAAATTCATCTGTCAGTTTTAGGGTACTAAATCTCTCAGCAAGCAAGTAAAGCAGAAGCTTTCCAGGACTTCTGGTAATTTTCTGTATTGCTCAAGATGCAGGAATAGATCATGTAATATTCTTCCCAATCCTCTGGTACATAGTGAAATATAATTTAGGAAAACGTTTTTTGAAATTACATTTTCTAGAAGGAAAGTTATGTATAGGACCATAGCTTGGGCCAGTTTCATTTTTTTCTTACTTTCCATAGACTCAGAACAATGAGAAATTATCCTAAAGCATTCTTATAGAAGCATTGTTTTGACAACCAATTGTTCAGAGTGCACCTTATTATCATTCTATTTATGTGCTGTTTACTTATATTTTTTTTTGAGACAAGGTCTCTGTTGCCCAGGTTGGAGTGCAGTGGCATGATCTCAGCTCACTGCAACCTCCACCTCCTGGGCTCAGGTGATCCTCCCACCTCAGCGTCCCAGGTAGCTGGGATTACATGCCCCCATCACCATACCCAGCTATTTTTTCTATTTTTTGTACAGTTGGGGTTTTGCCATGTTGGACAGGCTAGTCTTGAACTCCTGACCTCAAGTGATCCGCCCACCTTGGTCTCCCAAAGTGCTGGTGTTACAGGCATGAGCCACTGCACCTCGCCTGTTACGTGCTTTTTAATGTCTAGATTGAGGATGGTTTGTCATAGATGTTGTATATATTTACAGAGTCCTTACCACTTGAGAATTTTTAATATGCAAAGATGACAGTGGTCCTTTTAACTTATCCTCTAAAAAGCCCAAATAGGATTTTTTCTTAAAAGACACAAGCTAAATTTGAAGTAAGTAACTAAAAATTAAATATACCTCTCATTTTGTTTGATGTTAAAATCTACAAAGATTTAATAAACATTTTTTGGTTCATAAAAAGATGATGCTGTTCCTAAAGCTGTATAAGAAACATAATTTAAAAACATTTCTTGTAGAAACAGGGCCTCGCTTTGTTGCCCAGGCTGTTCTCTGTACCCAGAGGAAATAAACATTTATCTGTTAGTTTCTGTTTGTATTTAAATATTTCAGAGTTCCTAAATGTTTCTTTACATGAGATCAACAGCCTTCACAATTATAAATACTGTAGAATTTTAATCTTGTAATAGTACGTTTACATTTTGACTATCAGAAATTTGACGAAAAAGACATATAAGGCTATATTTGTTCAAAGTATATCTAGACTGCTTATCTATATTTGAAAATGAAAATTCAGCTCTTTACAATAAGTCTAAATGGCATGTGGTGTTCATATTGATGTCTTAGTGATTTGGTAAGGCAATAACTTACATGATCGTACTAGCTTTGAGACAGACAAGTTCAGGAAGACCAGATACTATATGAGCTGGCATTTGGCTGTTTGCAAGTAGAGGTTACAGTGGCACAGCAGATATTTGCCCAATACTATAGCAAATGCCAAATTTGCATGTAACCTACTATTTCGCCTCTAATGAGTCCAAAAGATTATTTAAAACAATTCTTTTTAAAATTGCCTTATGAATATGATTTTCTTTTGGCTTTATATTTTTGAACACATTAAATGTCGAGGAGGGAACTGGGCTATATGAGATAGAATCAAAGCGCTGGGGACCTTTGGAGGGTGGCCGTGGACAGATTCAGCCAGTTTCGTCTTCATTATTTGGTAGAAAATGCTTTTCAGGTATATTTTGTAATATTTTGACTTGAGCAGTGTCGGGCTTTTAAGTCCTGAGTTTGTTTCCATCAAAAAATCAGAGTTTAAAAGCAGTCAAATGTGTTTGTGTTTTCCAGACATTCCAGTTTTATTTTCATGGTTTTCACTCTAGCTACAATTTGACGCATGGAAACATTGTGAGCCTGCATTGTTAAATTGAGTGTATTACTGCATCTCAGGTTTAGTGAGAATTGCTGAAACTACACTAAGATTTATGGCCGTGTGACGTGGTACACTTGGTTTGGCATTGGATTGAGCATGGTGCTGCATGACATCAGTGTGCTCATTTGTACGGTGCAGATGCCTGTATAGGTGCAGGCCAAGTTTCAAAGCACATCCTGGGTGGGGTACAGTGGCTCATGCCTGTAATCCCAACACTTTGGGAGACTGATGCGGCCGGATCACTCGAGGCCAGGAGTTCGAGACCAAGCTGGCCAACACGGCAAAACCACATCTCTACTGAAAATACACGTCTGTAATCCCAGCTACTCAGGTGGCTGACTGAGGCATGAGAATTACTTGAATCCAGGAGGCAGAAGTCACAGTGAGCTGAGATTACACCACTACACTCCAGCCTAGGTGACAGTGAGACTGTCTCAAAAAAAAAAAGGCAGTGTTTTTAGTATCCCCCATTTCTCCCCTAATTAAAAAAAATAAAAAAAATAAAAATAACATTGATGTCATCATTTATAGAAAGTTCAAATATATTCACAGATATGATGGCAGGAAATGCTTTATTCTTAGTTATATATAGGTAACAGCCTAGGAGCTCAAGTTAATGCATTAGTGGTTTCCAAGGTAGGATTTTTTTGGTATGTAAAATATTTTAGTGCATTATTGAACTGGTGTTAGAAATAATGAAAAATATATTTTTTAAAAAACTAATCAGGTATTTGTGGGACACTCTGACACTGCATTATTTTGATTCTGTGTGATCTGCACATTAAGTAAGTCATCTTGTATCTTTTTTTTCTGATGACCTTACCATTGTTACCTTATAATGGTGAAGAGCAGAGGAGTGTCCGCTTTTTCATCTGATCTCGAGCGTTTCATCATTATAATTTTACAGTAATATGCATAATCTTGTAACCCCCATGGCTCTCCTGTTTCTGATTGGGCCACGGTGTAGCTAGAGCCATGTTCCTTAAGCCTACAGCGACATCTCTGAGTGTTGCTGACTGTCCGTAGAGGATTGTGAATAGGAGCAGGGAGAACAACATTCGAAGTCTCATTTGGCATGCGACTGATAGAAGCACAAAGTTGTCAACAGACGACTTTAGTATTTATAATCCATAAATGTTTTGCTTTCTTTTTGGTCAGGTATCCTGAAGAACTTGCCTGGCACACAAATTTAAGTCGAAAAATCTTGAGAAAATCGCCACACTTGGAAAAGTTTCATCAGTTTCTAGTTAGTGAAACAGAATCTGTAAGTTGATTTCTTTAGACTTGCTAGTTTCCTTAAAGCTGTAAATGCATAGATGTAGTGTAGTTCTGTTTTTAGGTTCTTGTCACTAGAAGCAGTAGGTGGACATCACACACAGTAAAGACAACTGCAGTGTGTGCACCACCTGTGATTTCTGATTATTTGTATATCCGTTGCCTTGTTTGGTTTATCTAGTCATGAAATTTAGTAAGGATATCGATGCCAGCTAGTTAATTTCTTGTTTCCTCTTGCTTGTGTATTTGGATGGCTATAGGGTTGGGGTGAGCACTGCACTCTCATTTCCTTCTTAGGTACACATTTCAGATGCCTGTTGTACATAAAAAGTAGTATGTTTTTAAGGCCATCTTGGTAGGGAATAGGTTTTTGGTTCTGTTTTTTAAAATTGATTTATTTTACTAAAAATGAAGCTTTTGATTTTACTTTTTACTGTGTTTTTTTTTTTTCTTACCACACATTGCTCTTGGTAACCACAAAACACCTAAGCACCACAAAACCCCTAAGCACAGCTTTGGTCCTCACAGGACGGCATCTGTCTTCACATTCTCCGTAGCCACCCACATTCCTTGAGTGCAGTTAAGGTGCTGAGCTTTTTACCTTTAGCATCAGAGCATCCCCAGCAAAACAGCTATTTGCTTATGTACTAAATAATTCAATGAATGCCCATAAAGTTTGGGTATTTTTTTTGGAATTCTTAGTCTCACATTTAAAATCAGAGGTTTCGTCCTTCCTATTTTCTAAACTACTACCTTCTAGTAAATCTGTGTGTCACCAGATTATGGTTCTTTTTCACTTTGGCCTTCTGTCATCTAAGTAACCGACTAAACTGGGCTTGTGTCTGCCTGGCTTTTCCTTCCTGAATAGTAACAAGAACCAGGAACTAAGTGCTGCCACATAACCCCATTTCGTACTTGAGACCAGTGCACGAAAGGATTCTCTTGCTCAACTTTCAATCTAGATGGAAGGCCAAATAGAGATCAGTAAGCTGCTAGAGAACAGCTCAGGTTTGCACTTGGAAGAGAGCGTGGGGTTTGTGGGGTGTGATACACATGGATAGGTTGGAAGAGCCAGGTTTTGGCATGTTTGGAAGATGGAGGAGATGGGAGTTTAGGGTGGGTAGCAAATGTTGTAGGGAACTAGTATAGGTTTTTGATTAGGAGTCAGCGTGATGAGAGCTCTTGAGATGAATGGCAATAACCTCTGGGTTATGGAAAGCTGGCCACAAAACATCTACACAGGGTGGTCATGAATCTGGTTACTGTCTGCCGGGATGTCCCCATCTTACTTAATGCTTTAATCAAAACCTTGGATGGATACAGAAGGCAGGCATATCAGGATCACACGTATAACTCAAAAGCTTGGAATCAGTGTGCCTAGTGAGTGAATCACCACAGACTCATGCTGGCCAGAAACCCATGAGGTGAAAATTAGCAGCCATCAGTGTAAAAGCCTGTATTTAAGGCTCTTGACAGTCACATGCCTGAGTTTAAGGTGAGTGATGGATGCCTGGGTGGCTGTTCATTTCCAGAAGTCCCAGCTTTTGTAGGGTTGTGTTGGAGCAGAAGCCTCAGCTTCAAGGCGATTAAAGTAGAGGTGTGGTTGAGGCTAGTGCTGGGCAGGGCAGGAGGATTTTGTCTGCACCTGAATAGTTCTGCCTTGTAACAGATGTCCTGGCCGACTAGAGAAGACAGAGGGCAGGGAGTGTGGTGAGGAATTTTAGATATTGAAGGTCTAAAGATGGAAAGATGGAAGCAGTGGTTGATGTCTTCATCTCTTTGAAAGGTAGTTATGAGAAATAGAAAGTGGGCATGGGCTATGTCTGAAAATAGTGGAGGACTAAGAAATAGAATTTTAGGCAAGAAGGAAAAACCATTTGACAGTCACTTTCTGTCCTAAGTTGATGCTGTCTGTTGAAGGTATTTGTTTAAATATTTAATAGCATTTCTGTCTTTGAGAGCTGCCCCTCTAGCTTCTGTGCTCTACTGCTATGGGGAGTTGGGGCTCTGTAAGCTTCAAGTCCCTTTTCTTTCATGGAAGTTGGTATTATACCTGAATTTCTAATATTTGAATGGTATAGCAACCATTTGTCCGCTAGTGTACAGATCCATCTCATTTAGTGTTCTGTGTGATAGTATGAGTTCTCTCATTCTGTATAAGATTATGTGCTGTTTTCCTGTTGCCTTTGAAACAATGCCAAAGATTGAAATTGTCTGCGGTTTTTTTTTTTTTCCTAATTGTTGCTGATTTTTTTTTTTTCCTCAAGGGAAATATTAGTCGTCAAGAAGCTGTTAGCATGATCCCACCACTGCTCCTCAACGTGCGGCCTCATCATAAGGTAGCATATAGCAACTAGAAACGTGGGGGCGGGCAGCTTGTTACCAGTGTCATGCCTGTTTGTTTTGATGAAACCATTTTTTCTTAATATAATTAGTCCTTTTTTTCTTCTTTTCACTTTGGATAGAGAGTGATATGTACGTATCTTAGTTTCTTTTTTTTTTTTTTTTCTTTTTTGTCCTACTTAATTTTTATGGTTTAGAAAATTTTCTCCCCTTTAGTTTTACTGATTTGTTTACCATATGGATTGTCTTCAGTGATGGTGATTGGCTAAATTAGGTTGAAAATGATAGTGAACATGTATTGAGAGCTCATTGTATGGCAAGCATTACTCTGTGCTCTTTTTTCTTTTCTTTTTTTTTTTTTTGAGATGGAGTTTCACTCTTGTTGTCCAGGCTGGAGTGCAGTGGCGCGATCTTGGCTCACTGCAACCTCCGCCTCCTGAGTTCAGGCAATTCTCCTGCCTCAGTCTCCCAAGTAGCCGGGATTACAGGTGCGCACCACCACACCCTGCTAATTTTGTATTTTTAGTAGAGACGGGGTTTCTCCATGTTGGTCAGGCTGGTCTCGAACTCCCGACCTCAGGCGATCCGCCTGCCTTGGCCTTCCAAAGTGCTGGGATTACAGGTGTGAGCCACTGTGCCTGGCCTTGCTCTGTGTTTTTTAGGTGAATTAGTTGGCTTTATCATTCACACAACCCTCTAAGGGCAGATACTGTCACCATCTCCATTTTTCCAGATGAGGAAAAGGAAGCAAGGAGAAGTACTTGAACTGAGGTTACGGAGCTGTTAACTGGCTGAGCTGAGATTTGAGTCTAGGTAGCTCTGTTCCTTAGCATTATGTTTTCATGATTCTTACTTGTTCATCTCTATATTTAGTCTCTCTGGCTTACAGTTTCATTCTCCTCCCATCCTCTTTGGAGACTGTACCTATATCATTCTGTGATTTTGGGGCAGTGTAGAATCCCTAAAAGTAAATTATGTCATGCTATAGACTCTGTAAAGAAGTATATTTAGATCTTGGACTAGAAATTGAAAAACTAGAATTGCTTTAAATTAAATGTAGAATATTTGGTTTTTTAAAAACATGAAACAGTTTCTTGCTTTGTTAATAGATCTTAGATATGTGTGCAGCACCTGGCTCAAAGACCACACAGTTAATTGAAATGCTACATGCCGACATGAATGTCCCCTTTCCAGGTATGCATTGGACTTGTGTTCAAAATGGTAGGAATGCCACTTTGGCAGATTGTAGACAAGGAAAAGACTCTAACTTTGCCTGCTAATTTGGCTCTAAAGTCTCCTATGACAAGCAGTTGGGTTTTCCGTCTACCGGAAGTAGAACTGGACATCTTGCCTACCACCGTCAGTAGTACTCAAACAAACACACTCATACCATGGGGGAGCTTTATTTTAGAATTATGTGTGTTTTCTATAAAAACGAATGGCATTTCTTTTTTTTTTTTTTGAGATGGAGTCTCACTCTGTTGCCCAGGCTGGAGTGCAGTGGCGTGATGTTGGCTCACTGCAAGTTCCACCTCCTGGGTTCACGCCATTCTCCTGCCTCAGCCTCTCGAGTAGCTGGGACTACAGGTGCCCGCCACCATGCCCGGGTAATTTTTTGTATTTTTAGTAGAGACGGGGTTTCACCATGTTAGCCAGGATGGTCTCGATCTCCTGACCTCGTGATCCGCCCGCCTTGGCCTCCCAAAGTGCTGGGATTACAGGTGTGAGCCACCACGCCCGGCTGCAGATGGTGTTTCTTTATCAAGCCTACTTACAGAAGATAGATTTCACTGTTTGAATTTTTAGTAACAATTTCCCCTTTCCCCCACCTTTGTTCATTATTATTACTATTATTATTATTATTATTACTTACTGCCTTACATGAAGGGTAGTAGTGTGTAGTTAAAAGCTACCATCAGACTCCCTGGGTTCAAATCCTAATCGGCAAGTTACTTACAGTGTTAGACATCCCATGTGAAATGGGACGAATCAGTATGTAGCTTGCGAGGTGCTCAGGAAATGTTAGCTGTTATAGTGACACCACGCCCCTTTCTCTTAAGTGGAAACAAATACCCATCGTGATGTTTTAGAGTCAGCTTTCATCTCGTCCTATCTTTGTTCAGGCAAACTTCTCTAGTTCTGTTTTAATAGGCATATTTGTTAGGTCTGTTTTTTGAAATCCTCTTTTTTACATTGTTTAAAGATAATGCCTTGGCTAAAAAGCCTGCTTCACTTTTCCCTGTTTTTAGTTGTTTTCTCCACATTGGCAGTAAAGAGCCTTGGCGTCCCAGTAGCAGCAGGTTCTCCTTTTTGTATTGTGGATGTTTTGCATTTCATACTGTTGTGAAGAGTGGCTTTGATCATACATGTTGTTGGTATATTTGCCTTTTTGCTGGGGGTGTGAGAAGAACCAGAGATGAGCAGAGGTACACCCAGTAGACTTCCCAGCCTGCAGAGCCTCCCGGGAAGAGCTTCCGTGTTCAGGTGCTTGGGGCCCCACCCTAGGAGCCTGACTCACAGTCAGAGCAGGGTCCCGGCTTGTGTTCAGGATTTTGAAACATTTGTAAGGTGATTTTGTTGTTTCTACACCTTTCTCCTCATCTTTTTTTTTTGTAGTTAATCGTTACTAATAACAGAAAAGACATTTTTGGCATGGTAATTGGCACAAAGTGAATAATTGTTGAATAGATGACTTTTGAGGCTTTCAAAATTCGAGTGTCCATAAAATCCATCCAGAGCCACCTGGTTCCTTTTTTTGAACCACTTAACGTAATTCTGGAAAACCTTGACTGTGGGTCTTAAGTTTGGTGGATTGCTGCTTCTCACTGGCTGACCTTTGGAGGTCGCATATTTCAGGATGTGATTCCACTTAGGCTCCATTTCACCTGACACTGCAATTCTGTGCCTTCAGAGGGATTTGTTATTGCGAATGATGTGGACAACAAGCGCTGCTACCTGCTCGTCCATCAAGCCAAGAGGCTGAGCAGCCCCTGCATCATGGTGGTCAACCATGATGCCTCCAGCATACCCAGGCTCCAGATAGATGTGGACGGCAGGAAAGAGATCCTCTTCTATGATCGAATTTTATGTGATGTCCCTTGCAGGTATTTATCTTATTGGCCAAAAAGCCCAAATCCACTAAAGAAATCAAGTCAAATAGAGACTAAAATGAAGTTGTGCATGAATATGACACAATTGTACATAAGTCTTGGGGTGCGGAGAAAGATAGCGTGAGCCTAAACCAAAAGATGGACACGTAGATACGTCTTAATGAGAAGCAGCACAGCAGATGCTGGATAAAGAACAGAAAGGGGTGGTTGCAATAGCCTGCAGAAAGATAAAGAGAAAACAAAACAAAACAGAGAAAATACGTAAGAGGAAAATAGAATCGTAGACTCTTATTGTGGTGTGTTTTAGGATGTTATTGCTTGGAACAATTTGTGCACCCCAACTATTTTGTATTAGTTCTTCCAGTGAGTACAGTATATAAAAAACTTTGTCATAAAATAATACGTAATCACATTGGATTTTATGTTATTTAGTTGAATGAAAGAAATTTCGGAGTTCAAGCCCTTAAGAAATTCATTTTGCTTGTGTTTTTATACCTTTCTTGAGATAATACATCAACATTTTAGATATTTAGAGTTTAGATATAAAATAATACTCATGGTATAACTGAGTAACAAGTTTTTTTAAAAGGAAAGAAACAAAACTAAAGACATCATCTGTTCCGTTCCCATAGGAGGTGCACGGATGATGATCCCAGGTGATAATGACTTCTGAATGACATAAGTTTGTCAAGACCAGAATTCAAAAGCTGCCACAAAACTTGTTAGCACAGAATGCAAGCTTTAGATACGATACCACATTATGGAAGAATGCCATTTTGTTTCAGTAAGTGGCAGAGTTACTGCTCATGGCAAAACTCAGTATGAAACTTGCAGCTGGTGGCTCTGAATATAGCTGAGTGTTAAAATAATCTGGAAAAAGCCCTCTTTAAAGTAAAATTTAAAATACATCATGAACTAAAGTTTTTTTTTCCTCTAGGTTGCAATTTTTCAGTATTCCTTGGGGTCTCATGTTTTCCTACCCCTGTTTTTTGATCAGAAAGATAACTCGTTCCTTGTATCATATTCTGAGATCTGAGAACGCAGTGACCTTATGAGCAAGAGGTTGCAAGCTGGGGAAATTTCTGAAATTGTGGTGGGATTTCTACCATGCAAACAACTAGTGTACAGCCAGGAATGCCATTGCAAAGTGGGGATTACATCTCATGGGATAATTCCATCCTGCAGACCTAGTCCCTCGTGTACACGCGGCTAGACCATCAAGGAAAATCAGCATTTACAGAGAAAGCCAACAAAAACAGGCGTTACCTTCTGGGAAAACAGGGCAGATAAAATTAGACACAGAAAGTAACAAATCCAGTCTTTACTATAAAATATACATGGAAAGAGCTTCCATTAACAAAAACATGAAAATAACTTCCATTAAATAAAAGTAGAAAGTCAGAAATTTAACGGTGATTGTAAGAAAAATTTAGCTATTAGTAAGAAAAATTTAGCTATTATATTAGCTTAATTGAAATTACTATGGAAAATTTATTAGTCATTATTCATATAATTCTGATTAAAATGCCATTGTTGATTAACTGAGTTTTTCAATAGTATTTTAGGTTCTGAAAAACATGAAAATAACTTCCATTAAATAAAAGTAGAAAGTCAGAAATGTTTACCTGTGATTGTAGGAAAAATTTAGCTAATATATTAGCTTAACTGTGGAAAATTTCTTATTAGTCATTATTCATGTAATTCTGATTAAAGTGTCATTGTTGATTAACTGAGATTTTCAATAGTATTTTAGGTTCTGTGTCCTAGGTCTGCAAATTAGTCTTGCTAGTGTTTTTTCCAAATGGAAGCACATTAATATCTCCTTAGTGAATGGAGTTTACTGTTCAAATCCATTATTTTCTGCTTGAAAATTGAAGTATAATTTAAAACTATAATACATTAGAAAATCCCTAAAACAAAAGCTGAAAGCAGATTGCAGTTGGTGAAAATGGAGATTGTTTCCTAACTGATATTTGTAACACTTGTTTTGTAACTTAGCTTGTATGTGACATATCTGTTAAAGTGCAGTCATCCACCTGTAGGGAGCTTTGCACTCATAAATATCTTTTTTCCAGTGGAGACGGCACTATGAGAAAAAACATTGATGTTTGGAAAAAGTGGACCACCTTAAATAGCTTGCAGCTACATGGGTAAGTAAAACTTCATCACTGCTAACACTGTGTGACAAGTAGATCAGCAGAGATTTATTGTTATGCAAGTGAGCATCCGATCTTTAATTAGAGAGCTGTAAGCATCAGAGGATGGTCAATGGCCACCTTCAACTGTTTTATCAGAAGTTATTTGAAAACCTTTCAAGAGCAATAACTGCAAATTGTATACATTTCAGATAACACGTTTATTAAAAATGCCTTCTATAAAAATTTCTTGCAACACTTCAGATATGTATTTTTCCATGAAATGACCGTTTACCTCTTGATGTATGCATTACTAATCTTTTCTCTCTGTTTTTGTTCTTTTGTATCATCGTTTTGCTAAGAGACATTTTGATCTCTTAGAAATATTTTTCGGTTGGCTTTTTATGATGGGGAACTATTCATTAAAGAACAATTGGAAAATTCTTAAAGAGAAATCTCATAACACGATGATCACGTCTGTTAATGTTTGGTGTGTTGTATTGTTTTTCTGTTTACAGGGATTTTTTAAGTACTTTTTCCAAATACTTTTGATCATGCTGTCTGTAGAGCAGTGTATTCTTTTTTTCATTTGACATGACAAATGCCATGGTCTTGCATGCAGGACTGTACTGTGCCTGAGCCACAGAATACTAATTAGCATCCACCACAACCAACTATAGCAGGAGGCCTCGTCTCCATAAAATACTGTCTACTGTTTTGTGACACAGAGACAAGAGTTAGGACTGGAATGTATGATACCAATTTTTCATAGAAAAACCACATATTTAGGAAGTATGGAGGTTTTTTAAATAGTGAAATTTCATCTAATACATTGAATTCTGTTGTTACTGAACTTTATACTCTGCTGGTTGACATATTGGGAAAGGTTAACAGAGCAGTAAGAATATTTATATAATACATTTTTTTTATTAACATGAAACACTTTATATAAGTTTACTCTAACTTCATTTAGATCCCTGGAAGGTTTTTTTTAAGTATAATTGTGTTATAAAAGCTTGTAATGAATATGTGACATAAGGAGGTGCTTCTAATATGTGCACTTCATGGATACATTTGGCCTTGCAGTCATCTGATATCTCCCCTTAGCTTACAGCTGCGGATTGCAACACGCGGGGCTGAACAGCTGGCTGAAGGTGGAAGGATGGTGTATTCCACGTGTTCACTAAACCCTATTGAGGATGAAGCAGTCATAGCATCTTTACTGGAAAAAAGTGAAGGTAAGCACGCTTGATGGATCTTTTATTAACAGCATAGGGGGCTTTTCATATGTGTATGGTACAATACACATAACGTGAGGTTTACCATCTTAATCATTTTTGAGCCTGCAGTTCAGTCCCGTTAGGTATATTCCCATTGTTAATCACCACCACCATCCATCTCCAGAAATCTTCACCTTGCAAAACTGAAACTCTGAACTCCTTTAAACAGTAGCTCCCATCTCTCTCTTCCCTGCCCCTCACACCACCGTTCTATTTTTTGTCTGTATGACTTTGACTACTCTAGACCTCACAGAAGCGGAATCATACTGTATTTGTCTTTTCGTGACTGGCTTATTTAACTTACTGCAGCGTCCTTGAGGCTCACTTGTGTTGTTGTCTGTGTCAAAATTGCATTGCTTATTAAGGCTGAACACTATTCTGTTGTTTATATAAACCGCATTTTGTTTACCCATCCATCTGTTGATGGACATCTGGGTTTCTTCCACTTTTTGGCTGTTGTGAGCCATGCTGCTGTGAGCATGGTATACAAATACCTCTCCAAGATCCTGGTTACGATTCTTTGGATATACACTCAGAAGTTGAATGGCTGGATCATATGATCATATAGTAATTCTGTGTTTAATTTTGGGGGGACCCCACCATGCTTTTTTTCACAGTGGCTGCGTCATTTTGTATTTCTACCCCCAGTGCACAAGGGTTCCAATTTCTCTACACATTCAGGGACACTTATTATCTGGGGCTCTTTGTTGTTAGTAGCCATCCTAATGGGTGTGAGGTCACCTCATACAGTTTTATACTGAGGAACTGACAGATAGTACAGAATATTCTGAAACAGTAGTGTATTTCTACAGTGTATTGATATAAAATATTTCTCCTTTTATGTTTTGCCAGAATGTTAACTTTTCCCATCATATTTTCCTTAGAGCCAATAATGAGAAATTTCAAACTTAGCATGTTTCCTGCACCCACGTGTGTGAAGTCAGTTGGTGCATAGTCAGTGAGAGAGGCCTTTCCTGGGCAGTGCCCACCTGCTGCTGTCCTTCCAGTGAGGCTCCCCTTGGCGGCTGGCTGGTCTGGGTTGTGCCCTCAGCCCTGCGGTTGTTGATGGCCTTCACGGTCCTTTAAGCTGGAATGTAATGTTGTGTTTATTTTCCTGTGCTCATGTAGACCTCTGTAAAGATGTCATTTCTGGGTGATGTTTTCTTGCATGGTCATAATTGCCATGGTGTTGGTGATACTTTATTCCAAAAGGTGTGTGAGGGGGAGTATGGGGCACATAATAGTTTAGTTGTAATGAAATTACACCTTCAAGTGTGATTTGGGGTCAGTTGTTAGGACTGTTGAATCCTGCTCAGATTTTTGTGTTCATTAGCTAGGAATTTAGGAAACCATGATTCCAGGCAGCTTGAGCAGCACAGACACCTCCTGTTTCCCTTGCCACAGTCTGCTTTCAGATCCCTGAGAAAGAAAATGGACTGCATTTATTAATTTGCATGCCTAGTTGCCATTTACGACTCAGACTTGAGGGTGGGCCCCAGTTCCTGGGCGCACTCACTGCATTCTTGGCTGGTGCTCTTTGTCTTTTGTAAAGACAGCTTCCCCCGGTTTCTCGGTGAGCAGCTTTCTTGACTTGGGGTGAGTGGTCACAGCCCCATCTTGTGCTGCTTAGCTTCAAATGTTTGTAGATTCTTTAAGCATTTGCTACTCTCCTAAGTCTGTGTTGGCTAGTTAAGTACTCTAGGTGTTTAATTTTGCTCCTTTTTCTCTTGTAAGCTTTTGGCTGGGACCAAAAGCCAGGTCTCCTGAGTTCTTAGGTGAGAGAGGCTCTTGTCCACACAAGCCTGTCCTCACTCGTGGCTGGAGTCACTCTTTGCAGGCAGGACTTGCTGGCCTGAGTCCACCGGGCTTTCTTTCCTCACATTGGAGATACTTGCTGTTTGCCTGTCTCATTACCGCAAAATTGTCCCCGCTCAGAGAACATGCTGTGTGCTCTGTGGGCTGGCTGTGCTGTCAGACCGGGTTACTTGCCTGGAGCTCTGGATGCTTCTGCCACCCTCACCCATTTCCTGAACGTGCCAACGTTTGAAGGAGTGGCTTCGTGAGGGGTTGTCATCTGAAAGCAGGTTGAATCCAAGTTCTAGTTCTCATTCCCATGGGTCTCTCTTTCCAGCAGCAGTGGGGAACCATCATTCTCCTGAAAACCCACTGATCTCTAAGGGAAGAGTGGACAGAACCTCACACACAGTGCACCATGTTCGAAAGTTAAGAATGAGCAAGCGTGACCCAGGCACGGGGGAGTGAGGAAGAGCTGCAGGGTGAAAAAGAAAACGGGAATGCTGGTGATCAGGATTGTGAGGAGGGATGAGCAGATGTGGGATTGTCCTGGGGTACTGATGGGTTCGTCTTCATCCGGTCTGAAACCTTTCTTGATTGTGGATTTTCATTGGTCTTTCTGATTTTCAGACTGGCTGGCTGGTTCTTTTTCTTGTATTTAGAATGTTACTGCTGGTTTTCTGAGTGAACGCTTGCAGATCTTTTCAGACTTCACCAAATTTGTGGCTCTAGTTGGCTTTATGTCTGTCTATATGTGTGTGTTGTGGGTTTTTTTTTTTTTTTTTTTTTTTTTTTCCGAGACAGTCTCGCTCTGTTGCCCAGGCTGGAGTGCAGTGGCGCCATCTCGGCTCACTGCAACCTCCATCTCCCGGGTTAAGTGATTCTCCTGCCTCAGCCTCCCGAGTAGCTGGGACTACAGGCATGTGCCACCACGCCCAGCCAATTTTTGTATTTTTAGTAGAGACGGGGTTTCACCATGTTGGCCAGGCTGGTCTCAAACTCCTGACTTCAGGCAGTCTTCCCACCTCGGCCTCCCAAAGTGCTGGGATTACAGGTGTGAGCCACCATGCCTGGCCTGGCAGGCTTTCTTTTGAAAGCCCAGTAAATAACACCCTCTTTCCCTGTCCAGCTTCTGAACCAATTGACAAGGTAATGGAGCAAGGCAGACCAAGGCCAAAATCGCACCTTTATTACCAATAGAGCAGATGATATGCTTTCAGATACTTACCTTTAAAATGAGGCTTATCTCCTCATTGTCACAGGTCACAGAAGGTGTTAGACTATGGCATGCAGTTGAGCTTTGTTCTAAGGGCAAGCTTCACTGCAAGACAAGAAAGGAGACAGTATGCTCAGGTTCTTTATTCAAATTTTGGAATCATTTTAGCTTTCTGAGATGCCAGGGGAGATACCTTGGGGGTGGAGGGAGTTCTTGGTCAGGGGCTGGCTTCTGCCTCCACATAGGAGATTTCAAAGAACAGCCAGCACCGTTTGGCCAGTGGGTTTTAAGTATAAGGGCATTCATATTTAGAAAAAAAGTACATGGATTCTTTTCCTTCAAGTAACTGCATTGCTTTTTGCAACTTTTCCTCTAGTCTTCACTGTGTTGAATAGTTTTGATTGTGTTGTGTATATCTTAAATACCCTGCTTTTTCACCTAACATTCCAATATGTCATAGTAGTTTTTCCTGTTAGCAAGTGTCAAAAATGAATTACTTCATTCAGTGAGTCTCCTATTCTGTAGTCATTTTCTTACTGGACAGGTGGGTTTCCAGCATGGACCTGTGTACAGTATGATGTCACAGCCAACTTTTTGCATGTGGGTGGCTTCAGACCGTATTGTAGATGCTTCCTCCCTTTTCTCTGTCAGAGGCGGTGTGCATGGATATGGCTTTATGCAGGAAGGAGCAGACCTTGGCTGAGCCTTAGAGTGGGTGGTTGCTGGTGATTTTGACTGGAGGGGGTGTGCGTTCCCCACCTGAAAGTGCTCAACAACTTTACTGGAGAAGGGGCAACATGGGGTAGCATTGGCAGCTTCCAACCCAGGTGCTGGGGTGTGGAGATAACACCTGCTGCCTGCCCTGCTCATCTGTGAAGCCCCTGGACAGTGTTTGATGGAGAAGCCCGCATGTTTGCCTGCACTGTCATTTACTGTTAGCTTTTAAAAGGAAGAGGATTCAGAAATGATGGCAGAAGTCAGTACGATGCTTGCTTCAAAGGTTTCTTACTGCCATTCCTCCACCTTGGAGATTCTTTTCCTTTGTTTTTGTAATTGTCCCATTTTCATGTTTTCTGGGAGATTTGTTGAATTTTCCTCTGCTGAGAGGCTGTCACATCAGTATCTGTGCTAGTAGCTGGTCTCACTGGTTTCCTGTAATGGCCTCACCTTATAGCTTCTTATTGTGTCACTGGTATGGACACTTAAGGCCAGTGTGTTTTCACAGCTCTTATCGCATTGTTTTTAAAACTGGGCTGACTGTGTCCCGATGGGCAATTTTAGGAAACTTCCTGGGACCACGAACTTGAGGTTTAAAAATTCCCATAGTTCATTTTCAGCATTGCTCTGGGATGTTTGTTAGACATGCCTGCGTGAAGACCTGCAGCATCGCCCTGGTGTGCATTGGAATGGGGAGACGGAGCAGGCGTCCTGCAGCCCAGCCTTCTGGTTGTCTTCTTGCGGAGTTAGTCTCGCGTCTGTGGCAGGACTCCTCAATGCCCTGTCATTGGAACAACTTTATTGAGCTGTCGTTTACATATTGTTAATGTTTGCTCATTTTAAGTGTACGGTTCAGTGATTTTTAGTAAGTTTACTCAGTTGGCAGCGCCTTACCACAGTCCAGCTTTAGGCCGTTCCCGTCACCCTAGCAGACCTTTCCTGCCCAACAGCACTTGCTCCCCATTCCAGCTGAGCCCCATCGGCCACTCATCCACCCCGTCGGCCACTCATCCACTTTCTGTCGACGGGTTTGCCTTCCCTGGACATTTTCTGTACATGGAATCATATAATATGTGATCTGTGTCTGGTTTTTTTCACTGAGCATAGTGTGTTAATACTTTTTTGAAAAACAAAAGACGTCCATGCTTTTGCTGCACAGGTGCTTTGGAGCTTGCTGATGTGTCTAATGAACTGCCAGGGCTGAAGTGGATGCCTGGAATCACACAGTGGAAGGTAACCTTTCCTCGAGAACTTTCATTCTAAAGAGTAGGTGCAGCATCACTGAAGTAGAGTCAAGTTTCAAAGCATTCACGTGTGAGTAACTTGAATAAATACTACATCTGGTTATGCCAATTAGAATCAATTTCGGAGTGTTATTTCATGACACATTTCATGACAAGTGGCATGTTTATTCCTGGCAGTGGAAAAGTTTTTTTTTCTCCACGTACAGAAATAAACTCTTTTACTCTCATCCCTGTAAGGGTAGCTTTGCTTTTTTTTTTTTTTTTTAAATTGGGCCGGGATTCAAGCCTTGTTTCCAATATGAAGTAATTCATTACAATTTTAGGCCAGAAACAGCCTGAGGCTTGTTTAAAAAGAAAAAAACTAGATGGAAAATGTTATTTTATAATGCTTGTCCTGGTTTTTAGAATAAATGTATTTCATCTTTGTTTTTAACAGAATTTATGTATTAATAATTTGGGGATTTTCTGTAAAGATTGTTTTGTTTTGTCTTGGCAAATAATCTTCCTATCTTTGGAGTGAATGAGAATCACCATTTGTCACCTTTGAGAGAATGGATACTCCTGCCCTGTGATTTTTGTTGGTATTGGATAGTGCTAGTAATCTGGAATGTACCCTGTGGTTCTGCAGGTAATGACGAAAGATGGGCAGTGGTTTACAGACTGGGACGCTGTTCCTCACAGCAGACACACCCAGATCCGACCTACCATGTTCCCTCCGAAGGACCCAGAAAAGCTGCAGGCCATGCACCTGGAGCGATGGTGAGCTGGTGGGGCCTCCAGGTGTGGGGAGGGGGGAAGGTTAAGCCCCATCCCTGGTGAGCTGGTGAGTCTTGTTGGGGTGAGTTGGAGGCAGCAGGTGACATTGCTGTGAGGCTTGGGTTATGCCAGGGTCAACCCCATGTGTGTGAACTTCCCAGCCAGTATGGCTCTTGTGCCTGTTGCTGGCATTGAGCATTTATTAATAGTGAAATTGGCTAGAATCTAAATGGTAATGCTTAGGGTACTTCATGAACTTTTTTTTTTTTTTTTTGAGAGAGAGTCTCACTCTGTCATCCAGGCTGGAGTGTAGTAGCTCGATCTCGGCTCACTGCAACCTCTGCCTCCTGGGTTCAAGCAATTCTCGTGCCTCAGCCTCCCAAGTAGCTGGGATTACAGGTGCATGCCTGGCTAATTTTTGTATTTTTATTAGTAGAGACAGGGTTTCACCACGTTGGCCAGGCTGGTGTTGAACTCCCAACCTCAGGTTATCTGCCCACCTCGGCCTCCCAAAGTGCTGGGATTACAGGCATGAGCCACTGTGCCCAGCCGTCATGAACTTTTTAAAGATTACAAAGTGGGCCAGGTGCAGTGGCCCAATCCTGTAATCCCCAGCACTTTGGGAGGCCAAGGCTGATGGATCACTTGAGCTCAAAAGTTTGAGACCAGCCTGGACGACATGGCAAGACCCCATCTCTACAGAAAAAAAAAAAGAAAAATACAAAAACTGGCCAGGCAGTGTGTTGCATGCCTGTAGTCCCAGCTCCTTGGGAGGCTGAGGCAGGAGGATCTCCTGAGCCCAGGAGGCGGAGGCTACAGTGGGTTGAGATCACACCACTGCACTCCAGCCTAGGCAACAGATCCAGACCTTGACTCAAAAAAAAAAAAAAAATTTAAGTTTACATATTGGCCATTCTATGAGTGAGGGTCGAAGACATGATTTTTCTCTTGTATCATCTTTGCGGTATTTGTCTTAATAGTAAAAGAATGCATTTTTGATTAGTTCAGAGGTGTGAATTATATATATATATTTAGCCTTAGGATATTACCCCATCATCAGAATACTGGAGGGTTTTTTGTGGCAGTATTGGTGAAAAAATCTTCAATGCCGTGGAATAAACGTCAGCCAAAGGTGAGTTTTTCTTTTTCCAAAATGACATAACATTTGATCTTGTACATTTAAGACAAAAACTAACCGGAGTTTAGTAGAAGTACAGAGGAAAGAGGAGCTTCTTGCTGTGGGCAGCAGGAGAGCTGACCCTGAATGAGGGGGAATTTCATTTAAATATCAAGTTTTCCAAAAAGCAGAAATTTCTCATAGGTGATAGGTAAGTGGAGAAGTCAGTGTTTGGGGGAATGTATTCCTGCCACACTGTAAATCCAGTTATTTAATAAAAATTGAAAAGACATGAAAGATTGCTCTGTGGCTCTCAATTGGAAGCCCCAGGTTTCTGTGCTCTAGTTCCTTGTGAGTGGTTCATTTCACCAATTACAGATAGCAGAGCTCTGCTGACCCCAAGCCAGCCCGGGTTCACCTTGGCTGCAAGGAATGATGACGGCCTTGTCCAGACCTGGCTAGAAAGATGCAGCCCGGCCTGTTTGCTATGGATCTAAACTGCCTGCTGGTTCCTTTCCAAGGCAGGCCAGGAAACAGTGGTGAAGGAGTGTTGCCCTCATCCTAACACGCAGTCCTTTGTAATGCGTGCTGTCTCACCTGTATCACGCCAGCATTATTTATTAGTTCATAAATCAGCCTTCCATGATGAAAGAACCTGGCCTGGAATCAAAGTCTGGAAGTCTGTATTTCTTTAAGATCCATGCTTGAAAATTAGGACAAAAAACGCTTAGCTTTGGAGGAACAAAAAGGAAACAGTTCCGCAAAGAGCTCCAGCCTTTTTCTGGGGCACGGTTTGTGCAGTTTAACGTTGGAACGTACAGCCTCAGACGGGCAAAGGGGGCGACTGCACTTCTGCCGCCACCAGGGTTTTTCTGTCAGGTTAGAAAGTATTTCACTTTGAGGCTAAAAGTCTCACAAGGTATCTTAACGCTGATGGAATGTTATTTTCATGGAATCAGTATAAGAAATTATATTGTAAAGTATTAGATACTTTGCATTCATTCATACTAGGTTTCAGTAGCTTGTGTTTTAGACTTTGCGCTTGTCACATTTTAAGTGGTCAGTGACCACAGGCTTGTGGCTGCCCAGCTGCAGAGCACAGTGCAGTCACAGAGGAGCCTGTCTTAGAGACGCGTGCTTTAGGTTGGCCTGCATTAGGGCTTACATTGATGTTTCTGACGTGTTAATACTTACATAGAAAGGTTTTGACATTTTTTCAATTAGCCCCTTATGTATAGTCTTACTTTTTAGAACAACTTATTGTCATTTTCTCGTTTAAATAATATGAATACTTCTCTCTTTCTGTTACTATGTCAGTTTCTTATTCACTTAGTTCAACAGATCTAGTGCTAGCATGGCCTGTGCTGCTGTTGGTCCTACTGGGAACGCAGGTAGAGTCTCCATGGTCAGGATGCCGTGTTCTGTTGTGGTGCTGAGGCCTGTAAGCACTTGGCTAGAAGTTAGGCCAGGGAAGCTCACACTGACCTTGGTATTTGAAGGTCCCAGAATGAGGTTGTTGAGGTAGAACAGAGATGGGAGAACATGCCCTTGGAGCTGGACTCAACAAGAAGGCCCCTCTGGGGGAAGCTGAGGTTGGACAGGAAGGGCGTGTGCCCTCACTGACTTGCTCACAGGCTTGGGGTTCATCTGTTTTGGTTTTTGCTTTTTTACATTATATTAACATGGAAATAAAAGGTGTTCCCTGGGATGCTCCCGGCTTCTCTGCTCAGTAGCTTTGTGGCTCTGAGTAAAATGAACTTGCCTGTGTTGAAATATCCTAATTTTTAAACTTACTTCATAGGGACTGAGGAATTACGACTTTTATCAATTTTGTGACCTGTTAAAATGTTAAAAAGGACATGTATTTTTTAAAGATCTTTAAGTAAAACATTTTGCTCATTCCCAAAGCCAAATTTAAATTATACCATGGCCCTAATTCAGAAGTTCATTCTTTGGCAGGTGTTTCCTTGGTGCCTGGGGCACTCTCTCTTTCTCCCAGTTCCTGTGGCAGTTTGTCCAGGTGCCCAAGAACAATTCATACCCTCCTTTCTCGTTATTTATATACTTGTCTTTTTGCCCCTGCCGGGTATTTTAGAAATCGTGCTTGGTGCACTTTGTGTCCTTCAGTGTGCCTTACCCAGAGCAGATGCACGATAAGCATTTTTACACGAGAACAAGCTGGTGGTGTAGGCCTCTGCTAAGGAACAGGCTGTATATGCTCTTTGTGGGATTAAGGTAGAATCAGCTTTAACTCCAAAGAAACTGTCCATGAATTTTGTTTATAATAGCAAGTAGATTTAAAATGACACTTTAAAAAAATTCTGTTGTCTTTCTCTACATATAATGCTGTAGAAAAATATAACTGATGGATTTTGTGAACGTGGTATTTTTAACTTTTCGTAGCAGCACAAAGAATGCTCCTCTTTGTGTGTCAATGAAATTGTTCTTTATGACAGCTTCAGGGTAAATCTGCAGAGACCAGAGAAAGCACACAGCTGAGCCCTGCAGATCTCACAGAAGGGAAACCCACAGATCCCTCTAAGCTGGAAAGTCCGTCATTCACAGGAACTGGTGACACAGAAATAGCTCATGCAACTGAGGATTTAGAGAATAATGGCAGTAAGAAAGATGGCGTGTGTGGGTAAGAAAAGTGGTTATGTCTTGATCTAATACGCTGGTGTCTTCACAGTCCTTTTGGATTAAATGGGATCCCAGAGCCACTTCTTGGTCGGTTTGAGGGGGCAGTACATGTGTGGTATCAGGCACATGCAGTGTGAGGGCTGGACTCTGTGGAAGCCGGAAGGTTTCAACATCTGCCGCAAACCGTTCCATGTTGCACAGAACTGACAGAAAGGAAGAATGTGCTTTTGGTATTGAAGGTTACCACACATTACAGATTGATTTGTCTCATCCTGATTCCCTTTTTAGTCCTCCTCCATCAAAGAAAATGAAGTTATTTGGATTTAAAGAAGATCCATTTGTATTTATTCCTGAAGATGACCCATTATTTCCACCTATTGAGTAAGGATTCAGCCTTTTTAATTATTCATTTAAAGAAATTTACTATAGAGTATCAAATGTACAACTGATCACATGTAACCATTGTTTTGTATGTAGTTCTGTCTAGCTTTTTTTTTTTTTTTAACCTTTTTAACTGCATATTAGAGCAGGATGAAACTTTAGAGGTTACTCAATCTTTTAATTTAAGGAGAAAGTAAACTTTTACTTTGTGAACATGATAGATAAAAAAAAACTGGACCGGGCGCGGTGGCTCACGGCTGTAATCCCAGCACTTTGGGAGGCCGAGACGGGCGGAGCACGAGGTCAGGAGATTGAGACCATCCTGGCTGACACGGTGAAACCCCGTCTCTACTAAAAATACAAAAAAAATTAGCCGGGCGTGGTGGCGGGCACCTGTAGTCCCAGCTACTCTGGAGGCTGAGGCAGGAGAATGGCGTGAACCTGGGAGGTGGAGCTTGCAGTGAGCCGAGATCGCGCCGCTGCACTCCAGCCTGGGCGACAGAGCGAGACTCCGTCTCAAAAAAAACAAAAGAAAACTGGACTGTGATTATGAATCTAAATTAGTTGTGATCCTGAACCTAAATTACTCAATTGAGTATATAGACGAGTAGCCAAGGTTGTCTAGTTCAGTTTCTGTAGAAGAAATGAAGAGCAGCATGGGTGAGGGCTAATTAGGGATGACATAGACAGAATATAGAGGAAAAGGGTTTAGGACAAGTCTGACATTCATCTGTTTCTTATTCATTGAATTTTAGAATCTATTTACCAGGGCGGTCACTTACTGTCTTTTTTAATAACTGGTCCTTTGCATACATTTGTAAAAGTCTATTAAAAAATAAGTCTCAGCCGGGCACATCCCAGCACTTGGGGAGGCTGAGGCAGGCAGATCATGAGGTTAGGAGTTTGAGACCAGTCTGACCAATGTGGTGAAACCCCGTCTTTACTAAAAATACAAAAAAAAATTAGGTGTGGTGGCGTGCACCTATAATCACAGCTACTCAGGCTGAGGCAGGAGAACCGCTTCAACCCGGGAGGCAGAGGTTGCAGTGAGCTGAGACTGCGCCACTGCACTCCAGCTTGGAAGACAGAGCAAGACTCCATATCAAAAAAAAAAAAAAAGTCTCAAAAGTAGTGTTATCAGGTCATTATCATTGGAGTAGCGGCTGAGGGAGAGAAGCTGCACTTGTTAATTTAGGTTTCTGATGGAGTTGTGCCCCAAATAAATGTTACGTGGAGGTTTCAGGTGGAAGTGGATGAAGTTTAGAAGCTGGAGTCCAGAGCAGAGCCCAGTGCCCTTGAACCACACTGCAGTTTTGGGGATTGAATTCTGGAGGAGGAGAATAAGATGTTTAGAAACAGTCTACCAGATTTTGAACTCATTGTGGATAAACAACAATGTTGTTATGTACAGGAAATTTTATGCTTTGGATCCTTCATTCCCAAGGATGAATTTGTTAACTCGGACTACAGAAGGGAAGAAAAGGCAGCTCTACATGGTTTCTAAGGAGTTGCGGAATGTGCTGCTGAATAACAGTGAGAAGATGAAGGTGCCAGCCGCACAGACGCTGAGTGCTGTGTGATGCGGGATGCGTGTGGCTTTTCACAGCGGCTTAGATTTCATTTGGAGCAGACCGTGACATCTGCCCTCCCCACCTGTAGCGCTGGCTGTGGGTCCCTGAGCCTGCCCTTTGATTTCAGAGCTGTTGACTGACACAGGGCTGAATGGTTCCTGCCAGAGTCCTGAATCTGGTGGCCTGTGTCTTTTCTGTGCCCCATTCCCGCAGGGGGGTGAGCCATGGTGTAGTTCTCACAGCTCGCCCTCCTGGGCAGAGAAGGTACTAAAGGTGTAGAGGCTGCGAGTACTGCTGCCCCGACCCTTGGGATTTGTCCTTTGAGGTACTTCCCTTAGAATTTGGCCATTTGGGGGCCCTTCTTTCATTTGCTTTACTGTCCTCCAAACGACGTAATCACAAGTTGTGAGTATCAGTTCGTTCTTAACCGGGGTTTCTCGGTGGGTTTCTGCTTCTCCTCTCCTTTCCCATTCCGTGACGGTTGCTCCATGTGGCCCGGCATCCTTACAGGAGATGGTCCTGTCTTCATCTCTCTGTGTTTCATCTTATTTTTTTACTTACAGGTTATTAACACGGGGATCAAAGTCTGGTGTAGAAATAACAGCGGTGAAGAGTTTGACTGTGCTTTCCGGCTGGCACAGGAGGTAATTTTGGAAGTGGATTTGAACAGCAGTAGCCACAGATGACTGAAGCAGTCGGGAGTAGATGGGCTTGCTGGTCAGCCAGATGGTCTGAGTGGCTCAGGGCTTGGCTGGCACCTACCAGCCACTTGACCCTCACAGGTTATAGAGCTCTCCCAGAGTGCTGGTTTCCCCTCCTAGGGGGGGGTGGGTTCCACACCTGTCCAAGGGGAGGGGCCATAGTGAGGGCTCGACCACCATAGCCGCTAAGAGCATAGCCCCTGAGAGCAGGCTGTTGTCGTTCATGAATGACATCATGGTATCTGTTCTCTCATTCTCTTTATTCACACAGGGAATATATACATTGTATCCATTTATTAACTCAAGAATTATTACTGTATCAATGGAAGATGTTAAGATACTGTTGACCCAGGAAAATCCCTTTTTTAGAAAACTCAGCAGTGAGACCTACAGTCAAGCAAAGGACCTGGGTGAGTAGTTGGAAATGCATAGAGACATAACTTGTATTCCCTTTATAAGGCCAGCAAAAATGCAGGTGGTGTGCGTTGGGGCATATTTATCAATCATAGTTTTCAGTTTATTTATGGCTACATCAATTTCCAGAGGGTTCTGTAGATCCCTGATTGACAGTTCAGAATGCTAAGGGTCAAAGGCATCTTGGGGTTGGTGTACTTCCCCAGGCTCTGGTGGTGCCCTGCTGCTGCCCAGCAGCCTGTGGTGTGTCTGTGTGGCGTGCAGGGCTGGCCTTTGCTCACCTTGCTGGGCCAGAGAGTCCGGGGAGAGGAGGGGTCAGCCTGTGAGCAGCCCTGGCAAGCCTCCCAGCCAGAGCTCTTGACCCACTTGCCTGTCAGCAGGTCGGGGGTGGGTGGAAGCAGGTCTCTGTGCATGAGCAAATTTGTTTTTTTCTTTTTTTGTTTTGAGACAGAGTCTCGCTCTGTCACCCAGGCTGGAGTACAGTGGCACGATCTCGGCTCACTGCAAGCTCCGCCTCCCAGGTTCAGCCATTCTCCTGCCCCAGCCTCCCAAGTAGCTGGGACTACAAGCACCCGCCACCACGCCCAGCTAATTTTTTGTATTTTTAGTAGAGACGGGGTTTCACCGTGTTAGCCAGGATGGTCTCAATCTCCTGACCTTGTGATCTGCCTGTCTCAGCCTCCCAAAGTGCTGGGATTACAGGCGTGGGCCACCGCGCCCAGCCAGTAAATTTGTTTTTTAAGGTACACAGCCTCACGAGACTGGCTAACATGCAGATTTTAATCACCTGTGTTAGAGCAAAATAAGAGTCTTGCCAGCAGTTCTGACTTTTCTGCTAGCCAGCTGGAGTAGATTATTGGTCATATTGCTGCTTTTATATTTCATCAACTTCCACTTCAGATCACTCCAGTGACGTTTTCCCCTAAGCATAAAAATCATTTCTCCAAGCTGTTCTAATTTTCTTTCTGTTGTCTTCATTCTTGTTTATTTTTTTAAATAACTTGCTGTTTAATATTTTTGGCTCAATTTGATCAAAAGTACGTGAATCACTTCTTGCAGTTACGTTTCTTACTTGCGTTTAAAACTTACTCGTGTGGTTCCTTTGGGATATAAAACATGCTCTGTGGAGTCTGTCTCCCACTGCCGTCTCCAGGCAAGAACCACAATTTAAAGTAGAGATTCTTGTAAAGGATAAAGGACCTGTTTATACTGGTTTTCTTTTAATCCTGCACTTAGATGATTGCAGTATTGTTTTAGACAATTTTTATGTATTTCATGCCATTCTGGGAGTTGGTGTTATAGTTTATTTAATTTTGAATTTTGAAGAATTAACCAGCAGTTAATCCCCAGCCTCCTTGCTTCTCAGAGTGGATTGTCAGGTGACATCCCTTGAAGTCCCTGAATGGCTTTTGCCTGGGTCCTCTTCCAGATCGTCCCTACTGCGTCATTTGGACTTGGTTCATGTATCCAGACGGCCTCTTTTCACCATCTAGATCCTTGAAGCCAAGAATGTAGATTATTTGTTGTTTTCTTTCTTCAGAATACTTAACACATCACTAGGTGCAGAAATGTGCTCAGCGCATGCATCCACTACCTGGAAAACCTGGCAAATGTGTGTCTGTTTCTTTTCCAGCAAAGGGAAGCATCGTGCTGAAGTATGAACCAGATTCTGCGTAAGTCAGTACACGCCCTGCCCTTAGACACACACGCCTTGTCATTAGCTACAGTGTTCTCGTTGGTGAGGAAAGTGACTTGGGAAGGTGGGAACCTTCTTCAGGCCTTTTGTGATTGTTCCTCAGAAGTAGCCTTGTGAAAACTTCAGAACCAAAATATTCCTGTAGGTCATCATGAAGATGCTGTTTCATAGAACACTCAGCTCAGGCTAAGTGAATTTTTACTTACAGAGAATAAAATGCATAGTACTTATTTTTTAAGCATTAGAAACCAATGAAAATTTCTGTCTTGTACAGAGTAAGTGTGAAGATTGGACAGTTGAGTGAGGTTCCGTTCTTTTGTCCTCATGGCTGGTTCAGCCATGTGTGTTGCTGACATGTTACTGCATCAGGAGTGCTAGGGCCGGAGCATGGGATTTGCTCACGCTTGCACTCACGGTCCCCACGGGACCACTGCTCCACGCTGCTTGCATGTATTCACGCTGCATCCTTGTGGGGGGCCTTGGGGGAGCAGGTGCTGGTTTTGGCAGCACTTGCCAGAGGAGGAAGCCGGGACAGAAAGTTAGGTGGCTTGCCCAGAGCTCCTCAGCTCACGAGTGGCAGAATTCGGATCTCACCTGCAACAGCTCCGTCTTGGTGACATGCAACACCATTTCTGAGAGGAGGAAACAGAATGGGGTCCACGGCTGACTGGGATTTGGGGGAGTGAATAGGTAGAACCACTGTACAGATTTCTTTGGGAAGTTAGTGTTGGACCAGGGATCCAGTGCTAACTTGAAGGAACCACCAAAGCGCAGATCCTGAGGCAGGTGCAAGCTGGGGGTCGGGGCGGGCCCAGCCAAGTAGGGAAGGAGGAGGGATAGGTAAGAGGTTGGCAGGGAGGCCGAGGGGCCACATGTCCTCAGGGTTCAGGCTGTCCGGCTGCCATGTGGAGAGAGGACAGGTGGGGGCTGAGGTGGGAGGGGCAGGAACTTGGTGAGGGAACAACAGATGGATGGGCTGGAGAGGTCAGCGAGGCCGAGCGCATGAGCACCCTGGGGACCTGCTGGAGGCGGATGGTGTCTGGATGGTGAACGGGCAGGAGCATCTAGTGATTGATGGCTTCTGGGTGTTTTTAACGAGAGTTTGAACAAAGACTCAGAAATGGTTTTTAAAATAACAGTCCCATGTGGCCCACATAGAAAATATTGGGATATTTTAAGGTGTGGATTCACTTTTCCATATTTAAACACTTGTTTCTACTTGGTGAAATACACAGGTGACAGGTCAACTTCAGGAATAATGGTTTTTTTTTTTTAAGAAGATGGGAGTTGGGAATTTCTTATATTTTCCTCTCACTTCTTAAAACCACCTTTGTGCCCCTGCTTTACATTAGGAAAAATGGAAAGGTGATTAAACACGGCCGTTAGGAGCCTAAAATCTAGGTCAGAGTCCCGTATGAAAGAAATCAGATAAGTTGAGAGAGGGCGTGTGCAGGTTGGAAATGGTGGCGTCCATCTCTGCTGGGGCGTCGATGCCTCCTGGCTGGACAGGTGGAGCCTGGAAGGTAGGGAGGCTCGGAGCATGTTCAGAGAGGCAGGGATGTTTTTGACTGTGGGTAACACTGCATGCTGGGAACGGAAATGAGCACTGTGTGCCCAGCAGGGCTCAGACTGCCATGTGGGGTCCCTGGAGAAGAAATCACGCTAACACTGAGTATCAAAAGGATGAGTGGTCCTGGGTTCTGCTCTGGCAGCCCTGCTAAGGGCAGAGTCTCCCGGTGGTCCTGGGTCCTGCTCTGACGCCCTGCTAAGGGCAGAGTCTCCCAGCCTCTCAGGAGCTTCAGTCCACTTAGGAAACTTGAGGTGAGCTGCAGGGAGCCTGTGGAGAAACGCTTCTCATTTAGTGGGGTGAGGTGACACGGGGTGGCGGGGACAGTAAGTTAAGTTTGAGAAGGAAGTATGTAGAAAGTGTATGTGAAATCTGTAGATTTGGGGCCTCTACTCCATTGTGAACTTAAAGAGGCAGGGCGAAAGCGAGGGTGAGAATTTTACTCAGGACATGAAGAAGGAAGTCCTTTGAGAAAACCTACCCCTCGGATCCAGATGAAATGTCCTCCCAGTAGTTTTGGGGGTTTTGTGGGTATGGGTTTTCTGTGGTTTTCTTTTTTAAGCAGTTGCATATTACATCTCATTCGATTTAGTTATGGGAATGTTTAATGTTCTACATGAAGCCACTTTCACTTGTAGGAATCCAGACGCTCTGCAGTGTCCCATCGTCTTATGCGGATGGCGGGGAAAGGCCTCCATTCGAACTTTTGTGCCCAAGAATGAACGGCTTCATTATCTCAGGATGATGGGGCTGGAGGTATTGGGAGAAAAGAAGAAGGAAGGGGTTATCCTCACAAATGAGAGTGCAGCCAGCACCGGACAGCCAGACAATGACGTGACTGAGGGACAGAGAGCAGGAGAGCCCAACAGCCCAGATGCAGAAGAGGCCAACAGTCCAGACGTGACAGCAGGCTGTGACCCGGCGGGGGTCCATCCACCCCGGTGAGCAGGCCCAAGGCAGCGGGGGCCCACACCCCTCACACGCAAAACTGGCTTCTTCTGGTCACTGGTGTCTGAAACCAAATCCAGAGCAGCCTGTGGCCTGTAAAGCATATATTTCTAATGACTGCAGACTGGTGGGATCATAGGAGCCTTCTGAATGACCAGGACTGCTTTCTTTGGAGCTGATGAAAATGTACTCTTTTAGCGTGTTAGAAATCACTTGTTTTATTTTGTTTCTTTGGCCAAGCTGGGTCTAGTGTTTCTTTTGCTGGGAATAGACTTTCAAAAGTTGTACTTCTATCAAGAAACAAAACTGCCCTTGCAGAAATTTCAGGTCTTTTGTTAAGCCTGTATTGGTCTTAAGGTGCAGTATTTTTTAAATTATTATTTATAGAAAGAATCTATAAATTCTTGGGGAAGTGTGTTATAAGCTTTAATAATTACATTGAGCTGCACCTCAGTGGTGTGTCATTAACATGCAGTGGGGTTAATATCTGAGGCCTCAGATGACTTTGTGCCTTTTGGAATAAAGGGTAAAATAAACTCTCCCAGAGTAAGAGCTGTATCGTGAATTGTCATACTAATTATTGAGGGGGACTTATGTGCTTTTATTGAATGGAGTGCTTTACAATTTTTATTTTTAAATGGGGTTGGGATCCTTGGAATATTTCAATAAAATTGATAAAATATATACATGTGTGATTCCTGTTTTTGCTCTTAGGAAGCAGAAAGAACAAACTTACTTTTGGCTAAATGGCAGTGTTAGAATACATCCTTATTTTCTCTAGTGAAAGCGGTTTTACTGTGAAGGCTGCTGTCTTCCTGTCTACCTCATTTTGTGTGTTGGTCTGTACAAACACCGACCACACACTGCCTTTGGTGGATTTGTCTCTGGAGTCTCCACTGTGGAATACTTTCAAGCTCTGTGGCGTGAAGAGCTCCTATTTCTCTTTCGCCCACATTCTCCACTGAACATTTCTCTACATTTGCATTTGCATCCTCTGGTGTGCTTGCATGTCACTCATTGTTTTCTGAACCCTTTGACAGTAAGTTACAGACGTGTTCCGTTACCCCCTTGCTCCTGTGGTGTTTCCTGGAAACAGAGGCCCTCTTTACAGCTCGCAGCATAGGCGTCAGAAACGTGGATGCAGGTCACCCTCAAACCAGCAAGCTCGCTCCAGCGGCCCAGTAATGTCCTTTGCAGTCACAATGTCCAATTTTGTCTGGGGTGACACCAGTTGCCTTTGGCTGTCTTGTCTCGAGTTCACTACCGTCAGAAACAGTTCCCAGTCTGTCTTTTATGATTGAGACAGTCTTGCAGGGTACCGGTCAGGTAGTCTGAATGTGCTTCAGTTTTGGTTGGTCTGAAGTGTCCCTGTGATGTGTGCGTTTTTGACAGGAGGACCACAGAGGTGGTGCTGTGTTCTCGCTGCGTCATGCCAGGAGGCTGACGATGTTGGGTTTTCTCTTTATAGTGGTGGTGAAGTTTGTTTTATTATTAGTAACATGGTATCTGTCTGCCAAGTTTCTCCACTGAAAAATTTGTAAGTATTGTGCAAGGAGACATTTCAAGACTATATTCCTCTCTCTCATCAAACTTTTAACTGCCAGCTTTAGTATTTCTTGATAATTTGCCTGAGCCAGTTTTTACTGTGACAGCTACAAATTGTTTTCCCCCATTTTTCATCACTTCTACATTATTAGTTCTCATTACATAGAATAAGCACTCCTCTGTCCTTTGTTTGCTTCTTGATTCATTTTCTGTCAGTACGGATTCAAGGATTCTGTTTTATTCAGTTATTTATTTATTATTACTGTCATTTATTTTGGTTCTCAGATTGTCCCGGCATTGGCCAGTGGGAACTGTTTCCAGTCAGTTTCAGTGCTTTATCCTACTTGCTGGTCCAGGCCCTGGACTGGGGACACCGGGCACGGTGGGGACCTGGGGGCCACACAGGTGTGTGGGGATGGGTTTAGTGCTCTCAGCATCTTTCTCCTCCCTCAGCCCCCAGAACTTTTAGGGCAGTGAGATCTTGGTCTACAGAAGGGGATTGTTGAAAGATGCTTCTCTGGGGAAACTGTCTAGCTTCAAAGAAGCCGTAAAGATAGCGGCCTTAGGGTTCCTGGGAAGTAGCCCACTCTTATCACCCTGTAGCGACGCTCAAAGCGAGGAGTCACTCCCACACTCAGCACTGCCTGTGAGCACCTTGCCTTGTCAGAATAGGCAACCCCGGGTAACCAGACACAGAGCAGCCTCCAGTGTTGGATGGATGTAGGGGTCAAAGACAACAGAATAGCAGCTAGCAAGTACAGACCACACAGGGAGAAGAAAACTTAAAAATTGATAAATAAGGTGGACAGTTATTATGGTGTATGGATAAGCCTGAGGAAACATTCAAGAGAAGACTGCTCCTAACATGGAGGATTTTCTTTCTCTAACTTTAATCAGCATTTTGGTAAGGGTCTTCCGATTCCCGAAGAGTGCACGGCAGAAGAAAAGACATCAGCTGAAGGAGTTTTCGCTTCCACCCAGCAGGGTTGTCTCTGATGAGGGCCTCTCTGAAGTAGCCAGCCCCATAGGTTGGGAGTAGTGGTTGCCTTCTGGTGGGGGTGCTTAAATGGGAGAAAAACTTTTTACTGAAAACTCTTTGTTTCCTTTGAACTTTGACGTACCTGTTGAGTAGATGAATAAAATAAATTTCCTAAAAAGAAGGACAACTTTGAGCCAGCGAGTCCACTTCACAGGCCCACAGATGAGTCAAATGTGTCTGCAGAGTCATTTGATGCAATGTTGTTAATAGCAGAAACCTGGAAGCCCTCAGCATCAATGACGAGGCACTGGGACACCAATGGTGCAGAGCCCCCACGTGGACACTGGCCAGCAAAGGGGCTGAAGCAGCTCGCTGTGTCCTGGAGTCCAGTGACCACCAAGAAAGAAACGCAAGGTGTAGAGAAGAATGTGCATTCTGCTGCCATTGTGTACAGGGGGAAAATACACAGGCTTGGAGACATGTGCTTTTGAATTTATGTAAAGTAACTGGAAGGATACAGAAGAAATTGACAGTTTTGGTTGCCTCTGAGGAGGGCATCTATGTGGGCTGGCCAGTGTTAACAAGGAGATTTTAAATACAGATGCTCTTCAGCTTACGATGGGATTATGTCTTGATAAGCCCAGCATTAGTTGAAAATGTCCTACATCAAAGTGCATTAAGTACACCTAGACTACCTTCAGCATGCTCAGAACACTTCCATGCTACAGTTGGGAAAATCATCTGGCAACACAGTCCCCTGCAGAGGGTTGGTTGTTTACCCTTGTGATCGTATGGCTGTTGGAGCAACTCGGCCATTGCCCCACATCACAAGGATATCGACTACAGATCACCAGCCCAGGTAGAGATCAAAATCCAAAGTACAGTTTCTATTGAATATGTGTTGCTTTCCTACCATCATAAAGCCAAAAAATCATGCGTTGAGAATTGTAAGTCAGGGGCCCTCTCTATTAAAACATGGTAATCTTAGCTCTATTCAGTTAACAAGTGAGTAGTGAATAAGTGCTGCGAAAGAGATATCTGTATCTCTGTGAGCCCAGAGGACAAAATTATTAATGGGCATCCGCAAGTCTGGGATTGTGTATACACGCGCTTCACCCTAGCAAATGGCACTCCATTCCCAGAGCACTTCTCAGGAAGTGGGTTTGGGACGTCTCTGTTCTCGCTCACTTCAACGAATGCTGCACAGCCTGGGGTGGAGGGTGAGGGGCTTGACTCCTGGCTCTGCCGCGGTGGCCTGTGTGCCTCCACAACAGCCCCTTTGACCCCCGCCTCTGGGGTTCATGTCCTGGTGCATTCTCCTGTGTGTGTGGGCTGCACCTTGTGACTTGCTTCTGATGTATAGAATGACGATGGGGCAAAACTTCCAATGAGATTATACAGAAGACTCTGACTTCCATCTTGTTGGTGATACTCTTGTGCTGTGTCGGGGTTCCCAAGACCCACCCGTGGGTTTGGTGAAGACTCCCAGGACTCAGCACCTAGTCCTACTCTGCTATGATGTATTACACAAAAGGCTTGTGACTGCAGCAAAGGGAAAGGCACATGGGGTAACATCTAGAAAAAAACAGGTGCAGGCTTCCGAGAGTCCTCTCCCAGAGGAATCAAACAGGACAGACTTGATTGACCCAGTGAGTTGTGATTACACATGCAAAGTGTTGTCTTTCAGGGAAGCTCATTAAAGACTCAGTGCTCAGGGAGCTTACAGGGGTCATGTGGGCACCTGTCTGGCACCTCCAACATTCCAGACTCCCGCAGGGAAAGCAGGCACTCAGTGTATTGTTTGCATAAACAGTTTAGGCACATTGAACCACTCTTACCCGTTGGGATGTTGGGAACACTCCCAAAATCCAGGTTCCCAGAGGCCAACTAAGGGCCAGTCTTGCATTCAGGCCTTTTTAGGGAGAGTGGCCTTGGGCCTGCTGGGTAAAGTCCTCACACCTGCCTTACTGCAATGAATTAAGTGCAGCATTGGAAAAGCAAGGAACTGAGGCCCTTAGTCCAGCAACTGCCTTGGACCCTAATCCAGCCAACAACCCCATACATGAGCTTGGAAACAGATCCTGCCCTAGTTGAGGCTTGAGTCAACCCACTTCTTGAGAGATGTTAACTTTAAAAATACAAAAGCACTGTATTAGTCTGTTCTCATGCTGCTAATACAGACATACCTGAGACTGGCTAATTTATAAAGGAAAGAGGTTTAATTGACCCACAGTTCCACATGACTGGAGAGGCCTCACAATCATGACGGAAGGTGAATGGGGAGCAAAGTCACGTCTTACATGGTGGCAGGCAAGACAGCTTGTTCAGGGGAACTCCGACTTATAAAACCATCAGATCTTGTAAGACTTATTCACTACCATGAGACCAGTGTGAGAAATCACCACCCCCATGATTCAATTACCTCCCACAAAGTCCCGCCCACAATACATGGGAATGATGGGAGCTACAATTCAAGATCAGGTATCATATCAACCACAATTAATACATTTAGAAAACAGAGGAGACTTTATTTCTTGTAAAGGTTTCAGCCTGCAAGGTGGCCATCCTGCAGCCTGGGAAGCACAGCCTCCAGCCAAGACCAGAGAGAAACACCATGGAGGAAGAGAAGCTGGGACAGGAGCTTTATGCCGAACTGGTTGGCTAAACATGCATATTCAACAGGTGACAGGAGGAGCTATGAATATTCAGGATGGTCCTGGCACATGTGTATGGGACAAATGTTCGTGTAACATACCACCCATGTTCACTTTGGGATGGAGACTTAACATTTAAATGTACTACAGTTAGACCCTATATGTCAAAAGGTCTTTTCAGGACATGAAGGTGTCCAAGTGTACAGCCAGCCAGGACCAGTTCATGGTCAGGAGAAAGTTACTGGAATCAATCGCTTTGTACTACAGGCTCTTTGTAGTATACAAAGAGATTTCAGTAAGTTCAAGTCAAAGCTGCAGTTATGGCTGGTGGAATGGGGTCGGTTGGTTAACGTCTCTGAGCTGGATGAGCTGGAATTGTTTAACGTATCTCGAGGCCAGTGCTTGTTTAGTTGCTAGAGAAAAATACCCTTGGCCGTTAGAAGAAAGGTTAGGGATGTGTGATGTAACCCTTGCCTGGCATGGCCTTGGGTCCTGTTTACAATCTGGTATCTTACTGCTACAGAGAGTCTATTTGCCAGTCTTAAGATCTCTGTGTTAACATTAATGTCGGTCAGTTGTGTCTAAACCACAAAAGGGAGGGGGTAGAATGAGGTGTGTCTGACCTCACATCCCACTATGGCTGGGAGTTTAGTTTTAAGGTTTTTCTGGGGTCCTCTTGATCACAAGGAGTCCATTCAGTCAGCAGGGGGCTTAGAAGTTTATCTGAGTTTACAGAGACTTGGAAGCAGAAGACCCAGTTAAGCCCTGCCAGCATTTGTGACCTACAGAAGTTGTGAGATATTAAATATTGTTTCAAGCCACTACATCCTGGGGTAATTTGTTACAAACCCATAGATGACTGATACAGTCACTTACTTCTTGACTATGTGACCCTGGGCAAGTTTCTTATCATCTCTGGGCCTTTATTTCCTCATCTATAAAATGGGCAGATGGTAGCACCTACCCAGTAAGGTGTGCTGAGGCCTGAGTTAGTGAATACGTGTGTTGGGAAAAAGCTGAGTGTTGGGAAGAAGCCGAGGCAGGGCTTGCATGTCTGACATAAAGTAAAAGAGTCTTGGAACATGTCCGGGGTCCAGGGTCTAAAACCCCTTGTGCCCTTTGGCACACCAAGCTCTGTGCTAAAGAGTGGAAGGCTACCCTGACGTACCTAATCTAAGCCCAGGGCATAAAATCCCTCGTGGCTTGGATAGAATCCAGGGCTTGTGGCTCCGGAATGTGTCTAGGCTTGCTGGCTCCTTGCTCCTTGCTCTCCCAGGATCGATTGTATCTTGAGTTAAAAGAACCTGCTCTCCATTATCTCAAGTAGAGCAAATGCTAAACCATCACAGCTATAAATCATGTGCTTGATGCAACACGCCCTTTTGACCCCCACATTCTGGCCACCTCCTTCTCTGTTGGATTACCAATAAATAGCGTGGGCTCCCAGAGCTCGGGGCCTTTGCAGCCTCCATGATCGCGATGGTCCCCTGGCCCCACTTTACTTCTCAAACTTTTTCTCAATCCTTTGACTCTGCCAGACTTCGTCACCCCCACGACCTGGTGTTGGGTCTGATCACCCCAACATATGTGCAGTGCACTGAGAACGGCACCTGACAGCTAGTGTTTCAAGGTGGGGGCTGGTTGGGGTGCGAGGTGCTAAGACAGCACATTTACTGATAATCATTTATTTATCTATTTGCTAGTGAATAAAACTTTTTGACTGGGGGATCCAAAGATAAGGTGGGTGAAGCATATAGAACTTAAATGTCATCTTTGCTCACATATTTGCCTGCTGCAAAATCTTCAATACTAGCAGAAACTAACATAGTCACTGAATCACAGCCCTGAGAACCAAGGAGCATCACATAGTTCATGTGTTCTTGTTCTAATTTCCTTTTATTGGTCTGGGGAGGAGGTACCTCGTGCCCTTCTGCTGAGCTGTCAGTGTCAGGGCACCCTGGAGCTGGTTGCAGCGGGAAACACAGAATTGCATAACTGACTGCTTTTTAATGTCAAACACGAATTTCTACTACCTACCTCTCACATCCTCAATGCCAAACTTCAGCATCAAAGATTATTTTAAACTACCTTATGAAAAACTAATAAAAACTAGAAAACATTGGCCCTGCACTCCAAGTATCCAAGCACCCGGCAATTGATGCAAATTTGTGTTCTGATTAGGTCATTAGGTTATTTATAAGATAATTGTTGGTGTCAAGAGAACAACTTCACTTTACAATTAAAATTGAAATATCTGTGGTATGCTTTTCCAGGTGGATTTTGGTTACAACAAATGACATTTTCCAGTATCAAGATCTCTGAAATTTCAACCCATTTTAAACAACTACAATATAAAGGGTCCAGAGAATGTACTAATGGGATATTACCAGAACCAGCACACAGATAAGCCTCTTCATAAAACTGATCACCTTTCACGATCGGCCCTGCCCATTTGTATATTATGGTGTGTGTTAGAACTTGTTAGACAAATCAATCTTTGGAAGCCAGTTTCCCTGGGAAACACTCTGCGCTAGAGATTTGCGTGCAGGAAGTTTGGATCATTCCCTGCAGCTGAGTGAAAGAAGCAGGGTTGGGTGGATGGGGCTGAAGGAGACATGGGGCTGTGTCGCAGGCATGACAGGCCCCAGCGGGTCCCACGGGGTGCTCTGGAGCTGCATGACGTGGCAGAGTTGGGGTGAGAGTTGACACCGCACCTCCAACATCAACCAGCCGTTAGATGTGGGGTGTGGGCTGCCCTGGGAAAGATCATGACTTCGGCAGGGAGACTTTCTTCAGCTGGGGGAACTCCCCAAGAGTGTCCCAGCTACCAGCTGAGACTGTCTCAGCTCCTGGACAGCTCCAGACCTGAAGACCTCCTTATCTGCTCCACCACTTCAATACGTCTGTTCACATGGTTGAGTAATGATTAGAAAGACAGCAATAGGAAGTATAACCTCCAAATCACTAGAAAAGAAAAGTCACAAAATTGCATCAGTCTAAGGAAAGAGAAGAAAGGAAGAAAAAAGGATAGAAGGCTGGGTGCGGTGGCTAACGCCTGTAATCCCAGCACTTTGGGAGGCCAAGGCAGGCGGATCACGAGGTCAGGAGATCGAGATGAGACCATCCTGGCTAACACAGTGAAACCCCGTCTCTACTAAAAATACAAAAAACATTAGCTGGGCGTGGTGGCGGGTGCCTGTAGTCCCAGCTACTCGGGAGGCTGAGGCAGGAGAATGGCGTGAACCCAGGAGGCGGAGCTTGCAGTGAGCCAAGATCGCACCACTACACTCCAGCCTGGGCGACAGACCGAGACTCCGTTTCAAAAAAAAAAAAAAGATAGAAATAGCAAGAAAACATACTAACCAGAAAATGCAAAACAGCTCACAAAATGGAAATAAGACTGACATACGTAGGCAAATGCTAATGCAAGATGCAGGTGTGGATACTTAATTTTAATTATGTTTTGAATAGTTAAACACTGAGTTCAATATTTGAGAGATTCAGCTCTGTGAAATGCTCCCTCCCACCCCCTTGCCCAGCCCCATCCTCTGTGGGCAGCCAGCAGTAACAGTTTCCTGTCCATCCCTCGAGATATTCTGTGCAGATAGGTAGATATGATTTTCCCCTGTTAAACATTTTTTTTTTTTGAGACAGGTTGTCACTCTGTCACCCAGGCTGGAGTGCAGTGGCATGATCTTGGCTCACTGCAACCTCCACCTCCCAAGTTCAAGTGATTATCCTGCCTCAGCCTCCCCAGTAACTGGGATTACAGGTATGCACCACCACACCCAGCTAATTTTTGTATTTTTCATAGACATGGGGTTTCACCATGTTGGCCAGTCTGCTCTCAAACTCCTGACCTCAAATGATCTGCCTGCATTGGCCTCCCAAAGTGCTGATATAGGCATGAGCCACCTTGCCCAGCCGTGTTACACAAATATTGACATCTATTCAGAATGTTTTGTTCCTAGGATTTGTTTTTGTTTAATCACAGGTCTGACAGATCATTTCCTATCAGTACATAAGGAGGTCATTCTTTCCAGAGTGGCAGAGGGTCCCTTGTTTATCCAGACCCCTGTGAATACATATGTGGATTACTTCCAATCCTTTGTTATTACCTACAAAGCCTGCAATGATAACGCTGTACCTTTCATTTCAAATATTGCACACGTGTGTGCGTTAGAATAAATTCCTAGGAGTCGTATTTATTGGTCAAGGAGTATGTGTGTTTTAAATTATGATAGGTATTAGGTATGTCAATATATCAAAAAAACACAGTTCATGGCAAGACACAGAAAATAGGGGAACAGGGAAACTTTCTACATTTGATATTTATAAAAGGAATAACCTGTCAAGAACACATGACAGCACTTAATCTTAAAGCACCTTACAACAATCACCACAAACACAAAATAATTCAAAAAGAACTTAAGCACCTTACAACCACCACCACAAATACAAAATAATTCAGAAAGAACTTAAACAAGCACCATACAACAATCACCACAAACACAAAATAATTCAAAAAGAAATAAGCACCTTGCAACAATCACCACAAACACAAAATAATTCAAAAAGAACTTAAATAAGCACCTTGTGACAATCACCACAAACACAAAATAATTCAAAAAGAACTTAAGCACCTTCCAACAATCACCACAAACAGCAAATAATTCAAAAAGAACTTAAACAAGCACCATACAACAATCACCACAAACACAAAATAATTCAAAAAGAACTTAAGCACCTTACAACAATCACCACAAATACAAAATAATTCAAAAAGAACTTAAACAAGCACCTTACAAGAACCACCACAGATACAAAATAATTCAAAAAGAACTTAAACAAGCACCTTACAAGAACCACCACAAATACCAAATAATTCAAAAAGAACTTAAACAAGCACCTTACAACAATCACCACAGATACAAAATAATTCAAAAAGGACATATAAAAGCACCTTACAACAATAACCAAAAAATACAAAATAATTCAAAAAGAACTTAAAAAAGCACCTTACAACAATCACCACAAATACAAAATAATTCAAAAAGGACATATAAAAGCACCTTACAACAATAACCAAAAAATACAAAATAATTCAAAAAGAACTTAAAAAAGCACCTTACAGAAATAATCAAAAATAAAAAATAATTCAAGAAGAATTTAAGCACCTTATAACAATCACCACAAATACAAAATAATTCAAAAAGAACTTAAACAAGCACCTTACAACAATAACCAAAATGCAAAATAATTCAAAAAGAACTTAAACAAGCACCTTACAACAATCACCACAAATACAAAATAATTCAAAAAGAGCTTAAACAAGCACCTTACAACAATAACCAAAAAATACTAAATAATTCAAAAAGAACTTAAAAAAGCACCTTACAACAATAAACAAAAAATACTAAATAATTCAAAAAGAACTTAAAAAAGCACATTAGAACAAAATATTGGGTAAAGCAAAAACTGTTACCAATATAATAAGAAATAGACAAATCTACGGTTATATAAAAAATTTTTAATACTAGCATCTAACAGAAATTGACAAAATACAGGGATTTGAATATCAATTAACGAGCTTGAGTAAACACAGAATAGTGTGATAGAACACATGGTACAGGTGATCAATAACTCAAAAGCATATTCTTTTGAGAAGACCAATAAAATAAGACAAATATATGTTAATTGCTCAAGGAAAACAGAAAGAGAGAAGGTCATTACACTAATGGAGACTCTTACGCTTGCAAGAACATACTAAGTCCACTTGCACACCAATGGATTTGAAAATATACATGAAGTAGAAATAGCCAAGTAGGCACAAGTTAGCAGCATTGTTCCAAGAAGAGAAAAGCCTGAGTAGGAATAATATTCATAGAAAAATGGAAAAGGCATTTGGAGATCTACCCATTTTCATACCCTTTAGCCCCAAGAAAAGAGGCACTAGGCCAGGGAGGTTTCCAGGTAAGTGTTACCACATTTTCAAGAAAGATCTATTTTCTGTGTTAAACTCATTCTATAGAAAAAGCTGGAAATTTCCGCCTGCCATTCTGTGATGCTAGCATATCCAGGAGACTCACGGTAGATGAAGGTACCCACAGAGGAAACACTAACACTCTTACCATCGCCGACATAAATAGGCCTCATAAAACATCAGTGGCACAAATCGAGCAGTGATTAAAAAAATGAGCCTGTCACGATGCATTCATGAAACATAAGGAAGTATACTCTCATATAATGACATGCTTATACATTTATTAATCATTTGTATGATAAAATATATATGAATTTACATCTTTAATATGACATAAGGAATTATAAGGAATATTATGAAGTTAAAGAATAAAATATAATTATTGATACACTAAAATCCAAGATTCATTCCTTATTTTAAAAAATAACAATAAACAAGAGTAAAAGGAAACTTATTTAATTTGATAAGGCGTATGTACCAGAAATCCTGTATCAAGCATCATACTAACGGTAAAATATTTTGTTTTAATTGTTAACATTTTAAATGTATTTAAAAATAGAGAGGGTTTCTCCATGTTGGCCAGGCTGGTCTTGAACTCCTGGCTTCAAGTGATCTGCCCACCTCGGCCTCCCAAAGTGCTGGAATTACAGGCATGAACCATTATGCCTGGCCTTAACGCTAAAATCCTAAAAACAGAAACAAGGTAACAGATGTTGCTGTCAACATTCCACATCTGAGGTGCAGCCTTGGGAAGATGAGACTAACACTGCCCCTATTTGCACTTCATATAATTATCTATGTAAGAAAATAAACTGAAAAGGCATAAAAGCTCACAATAGCTTAATAATTTTTTAAAGATGAAAGACATTATAAGAATTTTTTTAAAAAGTGACACACTGGGACAAAGTATTTGCTGTGTATGTTAGACACCCCACATCCATAATATGTAAATAGCTTCTGCAAATCAATAAGAAAAAGATGAGTCATTTGAGAGAAAATTTGGCAAAGGAGTAATTTGCAAAAAAAAGAAAAGGACATACAAATGGCCGATAAACAGCTCCACTTATACTAAAAACTAAAAAATGATAATATGAATGAATTTAAATTTTTACTCTTCAAAGTGGTACAAGTTTAAGGAGTAGAGACATTCAGCTAAGAGGATGCTACAGGGATATGGGTACTTTTGGAATAGCTGGGTCTTCTTGCAAGGTGGGCTTTCCATGTGCTTCTGATCCAGAGAGGTGGTGGTGTTTGTGTTTGACGAAGCTGCTGACACTGCTGTGCTGACATCTGGCGAAGTGAAGGTCTGAGTACAGAGAAGGTGGCTACTCTAAGACTTCCACCGCAGTAGTTGCAAAAAGCCAGCAAATCAGATGGATGATGACCTTCACTTACAGCAGCTGGTCCTCCCATGGTGCTGCTGGACAATGGCCAAGTTCATCCCTGGTCATGGCTGTGCTGGCTGTGACGTCTCCAGAGGTGGCAATCATGGCAGAATCCTTCATTAGCGCGAGATGCACAAAGAATCAGAACAAAAACTGCAACTATGTTCTTAAGCATCACCGGAAAGTCCGAGACCACGTTTTTTGCCTGTACTCTTTCACCGGCTGAAATTAATTCTTAGGACAACATCATCTGCTTGTTATAAACTCAGGCAAGAGGGTGGCATCACACCTTTTCTGCATCATGCTGTATATTGACTTGCTTGTTTTGTTTACTGTCTGCCTCCTTCCCTTTTGAAAGCAAGCTCCATGAGGACAGGGAAGTTCGTCTCCATTCCCAGTGTTGGCCTCAGTAAGTGTTTGTTGAATGAATGTTGGTGAACAAATAAATCCCCAGCCTCTGGTGTTCTGTGCAATCCCAGACTCTCCAGGGGAAGCACTGAATTACTGGTCCCTGCCACAGGAGACTTCTCTGCTGTGCTGATCGGGGTTGCAGTTTGGAAGGAAGGAGGTGGGACCAGCGCTCTGGCCATCCATGCAGGAGGTGTGTAGGGGTCTTTGATTTGCCTCCCTCCCCACACTTATCACGGGACTCAGGGAAGGGCTTTTGACCAACCTGCCGGGGACACCTGTGTAACCAGAGTAGCTAACTCTGATTCAGGCAATGCTCATTCACCGTCTTCTACCTGAGCCACAGCTCCCCTCTTGGAGCCCCTTTTTTTTCTTGGCCAACATTTGTCAAGGGCTTAGTGTCTCAGTTCAACATGGAAACACGCTCCCTGGTGGCATCATGACCTGACTCGTCTTCCATGAAGAAGCTGAGGTGCAGGCAGAGGGGCTTGCTGGGGGATGGAGCTGGGGTTAGCTGCTAGGCTGGGCTGGGACGGGAGCCTGGCCAGGCTGGTTGTGATGCTGGCTGGTGGCAAGGAAGGAGGAAGTGTTCGTGCACCCAGCAGATGTGAATCCATCTTACCTGGTGAATACAATGTCTCTAAGATGCCAGCATGAGATCGCACTCAGTGCTCTGAGGGACAGAGCCTTGTCCTAAGGGAGCCGCAGTCCTTAAGGGAGCTAACCAAGCTGAGGCGCTGCCTGGGGAGGGAGGGTAGAGTAGAAGAGCAAGGCTGAGTGCCAGGGAGGAGGAGGGAGGGGGTGGAAGAGAAGACACGGGTCTGCCTGAGGGTTGGGGCCAGATCTGAGGGACAGGGAGGACTGGGTAGCAAGCCGGGGGCGGAACACCCACTACCCGCAGCCCTAGCCCCACTCCGCTAAGTCTACACTAGGACACTCACCTGCTTTAACACTGCACACCTGTGGATGTCTTAGAGGCACTTTTCATGCTGTTGACATGTGAGGAACCTGGGGCTCAGGATGGGCGCCGTGTACCGCAGCCACCTCAGCCGGCCCAGTGGCAGAGCTGGAGTGTGCTGTGTGTAAATGCCTCCACAGTCACCACACGCTGATCTGGGACATGATATTCTGTCTCCACCGCCCAAAGCAAGGTTTGGCAAACAAGCTTCTCTAGAGTTTCTGGATTTCCCAGGAGCTGTAAAAAGTAAAAAAATAAAACCTCACTAGCACTGTTGGAAATCATTCCTTTTTACATTCTGCTTTAAATCCACATTTTTAAGCAATTCCAAATTGAACTGGCTTAATTGCACCCTCTTTCAGGATGCTCCTAAGAGAAGTGGGTGCCACGTGGTTGCCTTCCCTGTGAATTTCAGGGATGGATGACTTTTCTCTCATGCCCTTTGGGGACTGGCCAGTGTTTGGGCACGGTGTCTGGTGTGTGCTGGGGCAGCAGGCGAAGGTGGCTGCCTCTCAGGAAAGGAGAGGGGAAGATGACTCACTTTGAAGCTGGCCTGGGCTGGGGGGCCTGCCCTTTTCATTGCCTGCTAGCGAATTGTTTCAGTTTCCTGGGGCTGCCATCACAAAGCAGCACAAATTAGAGGCTTGAACAACCGAGATGGATTGTTTCTCTGTTCCGGAGGTGGGAAGTCCAAAGTCAAGGTGTGGGCAGGGCTGGTCATCTCTGAGGGCTGTGTGGGGAGGACAGGTTCCAGGCCTCTCTCCTTGGCTTGTCCATGACCATGTTCATGGTCACACTGTGTTCTCCTTGTGTGTGTGTGTGTGTCTGTCGCCACATTTCCCTTTTTCTGTAGGGACACCAGTCATATGGGCTGATGCCTCACCCTGATAACTCGATTTAACTTGGTAAAGACCCTCCCTCCACATAAGCTCCCATTCTGAGGTACTTAGGATTAGGACTTCAGCACATGCATTTCAAGAGGGACACAGTTTAGCCCATTGCACGCATCCTGGGGCCAGGTGCAGGGAGCACACAGCGTCAGATGGAAGATGGTCATGGCCATCCTGAGCAGCTGGGTGGGGCGCTGTGGAGGAGAGCCCGAAGGCCAGGCTGATGGGCTCTGGTCCAGCACAACTGCAACTGCACGGGGCTGATGGGGGTTTGTGATGCTGACTGTTGTGATGCTTTGTTCACAGGAGGCTGGGTGACGGCAGTGAGGGGAAAAGACAAGGTTAGCTATGAGCCCAGCACCTCAAGAAGGAACTGAGCCCGGGATTTTTTTTTTTTTCATCATCCCGAAGCAGAAATTGCATACCATGAGGGCCAGGTGCTGGGCTACCTTGTCTCTTGACCTTCCAGGTCCTCACTGCAACCTGGAAACAGAGACACTCACTGTTGCCATACCCTTGGCCTTCCCATCACCAAGGCTGGGCAGAGTGGTTTGGACTAAAGATTTGATAATTAGGAAAAAATTAAAGCCCCAGCTCATCTTCTCATCTTCCCCTTCCAGGGAGAACACAGAGAGGACTGGGCCTGGAGAGAAGAAGCCGACCGAGCATGTTCCGGGGAACCGGCCATGGCCCCCCAGGGCTCACCAACCAAGGGGAACTGCAGGGAAACAGCTTCGTGGAAAAACTCCCTGCCTCTTCCTTTTCCCCTTCTTCCCTCCCTCGGTCCTTCCCTCTAGTCTACCACAGCCCTCCCCTGCAGCACACACAGTCTGGATACTGGCCACATCCTTAAATACAGGCCTTGCCCTGGAGTGGCTCCCTGGGTAGTCAAACTAATTCTCAAATCAATATGTCATGTATCATGGGCATACTATATCACATATGACATATGTGATGTATATGTATATGTGTTAGGTAACATCCAATGATATCATGGAAAGACAAGTCCCTCACTCCCTGCTGAAATTTTCAGCTGCGATGTGACCTCGGAGTGGGGGCTGTGCGGCGGGGTCGAATTCCTCAGGGGAGAGACTGCCTCGTGCTTTTATTAGGGGGTAGAGTTTAAAAGCATATGTATTTAGCATTATGAGTATAAATTCTGCATTAAGAATATAAATTCTAGTTCTATGAATATAAATTCTACGTTTGGAAGAGGAAACTACAAACTTAGAAAAAATAACATAAACTGCAGAAAATTAACAGATTTTTTGCCTTGTGGAGCATAGAAAATCCACCTCCTGCGGTGACGGCACCCTTACCCTCATTTACTCCCATCCGGAGTCTATGGGGGAGGTCAGCGTGGGGAAAGAGATGCTCAGCTTCGTCCAAAGCGGTTTCCAAAGGTCCCAGAACCCAGGGCTGTAGACGCAGAAGGCGGGGCGGTGTCCACACTCGCGCACCGCAGCCCGGTGGCTCTCAGGCCCCCACCAGGCGCGACCCTTCCCTCTCCTCTGCCACCTGGAAGGGACGGAGCACCTGACGCGCGCATCGGGGGCAAACGCCGCAAGTTTCTGTGACGTGAGGTCTTTGCAGGTTGCCGGGGCCTTCCTCCCACAGGGACACGCGGCCTGCGCCCTCCTAGGCGTGCAGGTGCGGCTGGGAACTGGCGCCCTTCAAAGCCCCAGTGTCCCGGAGCCGACAGCGCGCGGGTGGAGGAGCTGCAGAAAGGGGCCCACGCCGCAAAGGCGCTGTTGTCGAGGTCCCCCATGGGGTTCCAGGGCTGGTGCTGGCGAGCCCCGGCCGCGCCGCCCCATCTTTACCGCGCACCCCGGCCGCTCCGCCCCCTCTACCGCGCACCCCGGCCGCGCCGCCCCCTCTACCGCGCACTCCGGCCCGCCCAGCCCCCGCGGCCCCGCGTTCCCCGCCTCCCGCGGCTCCTCAGCCCAGCGGCCAGCAGGGGATGCTGCCGGGCTCCGAGGCCCGGGTCCTGCGCGGCGCCGCGGGGAGACACGCGAGTCCCGGGCCGGCGCCGCCCTAGGCCGGGAGGGTGTGCAGCGTGACTGCGGCGAGCCCCGACGCCCGAGAAGCGGGGACCTGCTCTCGGGGGGATTCTTTGGAGACAGCCTGGGCGCTGGGGAATCCGGCGGGTGGGGAGGACCCAGCTCGGCCCTTGAGGCGCTCAGGCCTAGTCCAGGCCATACAGGTGTGCAGGACAGGGACCAGCCACAGGCCGCACGCACCTTAATATGCAGTGAATAAAAAAGACCAGACGGACCTGGGGTTGATGACGCCATCTGAACAAAGCGTCCCCGCCCCACATACCGTTCGCCCCTCCTGAGTCCGTCTCGTCGGTGGGAGCAGAGCCAGGGAAAATCACTAAGGACTCTCCCCTCCAAGGCGAGGACTTGCCTGACCCGCTTAGGCAGCGCCAGCCTCCCAGGTGCAGGTGGCTTCGCCCTCCCCTAGCTGGAGTTAGGGTGTGTCCATGCTCTGAGTCCTGGACTCCAGGAGGTACTCACCGTGTCAGCAGAAGGACGCATGAATCTATTTGAGGTCACGTACCAAAGAGCTGCAGCGCCTGGCTCCTTAATGCAGAGGCATTAGGAAGCGAGTTGTCTACTTGCGATGAATGATGAAGGACTCCACTTTACAGAGGAAGAGAGAAAACCTTGCCGCAAATCAGTCACCTTCGGACTCCAACCTAATTGACCAAAGTTAGGTTATTGATGAGGTTATTGATGGGCTGGACACCAGTGAGCTGAGAACGAGCAGTAGTTAATCCCCAGTGTCCACAAAGAGCCTGATGGCCACTGTCCCTCCATGTCCCCTCCCGGCCCAGGAGTCAGCCAGGCACCTGGGCACCGTTCACTGGGTTTTCCTGCAGGGCTGTGTGGGGGTGAGCACAGGGTGGCCCCTCTCCTTCCCGAACCCTTAATTTCTTATTGTTATATGTGTCCTTCTCACAGGGGAAGCTGAACCCAGGATGAGCTTATTCAAAAATATGTTTTTCTATTCCCCTCAAAAGGAATTGGCAGTAAACGTGTTTCTCTTTTTTACTCTCTGGAATTTTATCTGTATCTTGAAATTCCTGCCAAAACCCACAATCTAAGGCGATGCATTATTTAAAAATCAACTGAATTTCAACTAGAAATGGAATGTGAACATTATAAAGCAGAAGCTACTCTTCAGCTCTTTTCCTGGTTCCCCAGAGAAACCAGGCAAGGAGATGATGTGGGGGTTGGTCAGAATCTGGGGGAGACAAAGGGTGGGCTTCCTGGGGCCTGTGCTTCTTGGGGCCAGTTAGCTGGGTGACCTCAGGAGACACCCGACGGTGTCTCAATTCTCTCACTGCTGAAAGAGGCGGGTGGGACCTATGGATTGTCCGTATCCCTTCCAGCTTGGATCTGTCATTCCACGGCTAGGTGCTGAGAGCCTACAGGTCCCACTTGGCAGCCTTCCGAGTTACCTGCTTGGGGAAGGTTTCATGATGCATGGTTTGCATCCTGTCCCCTGAGTAAAGGGTCTTCTCGTGAATCCCTCAGATCTTCTCGTACCCTTCTCCAACTGTCAACATACAGATCAATGTGAAAAAAGACACTGATTTATTTCTGTTTTACTTATTTATTTTTTGGAAATGGGGCTTTGAGCTGTGGCCCAGGTTGGAATGCAGTGGCACCATCATAGCTCACTGTAACCTCAAACTTCTGGCCTCAAGGGATCCCCCACCTCAGCCTCGAAAAACTCTGGGATTACAAGCATGAACCAGTGCACCAGGCCCTGATTTGTCTCTGAATCATGAAGTTTTGCCAGTTGTCTTGCAGATAGAATGCTTTAGCATGTGTTTGTGTTGTAATCTGAAGCTAATGATTGTAACCTCTTTGGGACACCCTGGTACCCTCCAATGGAAAGGACAACTCCAATGTAAGGAGTGCCCTCCCCTCCCTGCTCCTAAACTTTCTCATAGAACTATTCTGACCCTGGAACAATCCTCACATTTGGCTTCCAGTAAACCTTTCTCAAATTATTTCTGCCTCAATAGCCTTAATTTTGGCTGACAGTATTTAGCAGTTTAACTGCAATAGAGTTAAATTTTATACATTGTGTGTGTGAGAGGGGGAAGTGTGGGGATTTCAAGTCAGCAGACTTGCAGTCTTGGAGTGAGGAAGGCTTTTAAAATTTTGAACCCAAACCCAGATACATTAAAAAAACAATAAAATCAACCACACAAAAATCTTCTGAATGAAAAAAGACCCATAAAATAGTCATGACAAAAAAAAAAAAAAAACACCAAACAAACAAACAAAAGGAAAGGCATCCCAAATCAAGGGACTAATTTATTCTTTAATAAACAAAGAGTGCCTCCAAATCAAACAGAAAAAGATCAACAGAGAAAGAGGTAAAAATATCTATCTATCTATATATATATATATACACTAATGGCCAATAAACATGTTGATATATGCCCCATTTCATTAGAGGGTGCAAAGTTGAACCATGAGCTTTCTCCCATAGCTGTATTGACCAGGTACCTTCATATATTGCAGATGAGGGTATGCATTGATTAAACCTACTGGCTGGTAATAATTATCAAATTAAAAACACTCATACCTTTTGACTTAGGAATTGTACTTCCAGGAATTTATCCAACATATCTTTTGGTAAGTGTTCGAGGCAGATGTGCAAAGTTAATCACACAGCATCGCAAGAGTGAAAGATGGGAAACCACCTGCTAATAGGGAACTGATTGAATAAATTACCATGTATCCACAAAAGGGAATGGCATCGCACACTTGCTGAAAGCGTCAGGCAGCTCTGTATTTGCTGATGCATGTTTCTAATATATCTTGGTGAATGCAGAAAAGCAAGGCGCGGATGGGCAGAATCTCTGGCGTCTGTCTACTTTACATGGATCTCTCTGGAAAGACATGCAGGGAGCCTGATCCAGGGCTCATCTCTCGAGAGGAGACTGAGTGCCTCATGGATGGCAATTAGAGGGAAACACATTGTATACCTTTAAATTTTGTTCCACATCTGTGTATTACTTGTTAAAAATAAATAGGGCACTTAAAAAGAGTAAAGTTAACTCCTATGGGAGAACATTTGTGTGGTCAGAATGAAAGTGTGGTGGCTTTTGCACTGGAATTGGAGTGGATCTTCTCCACGTCAGCCTCTGATGAAGGAGTGGCTTGTAGTGAGGAAACCCGTCCTCAAACTCTGGCTGGGAACTGAGACTGCCCGTGCACAGCAGCGGAGGCTGCCCATTCCATGCTCACCATGGAGCTCTGCTCATGAGTCCCAGGGTAGAGGGAATTGCCTGCTCTGTGGAACTGGTTCCCATGTCTTTTAGAGGGATGTTGAATGTACATGGCAAATTCATGTCCTGTGTGTCTACAATGCCATCTGGGTCTCACCAAGCTCGCCTGAGGAACCAACCTTCTGGCCACCTGGGCCTGGCTTGCAGCAGAGCTGCTCATATGGTTTGGCTGTGTCCCCACCCAAATCTCATCTTGAACTGTCGTTCCCATAATTCCCAAGAGTTGTGGGAGGGACCCAGTGGGAGATAATTGAATCATGGGGTGGTTTCCCTCATACTCTTCTCATGGTAATGAATAAATCTCATGAGACCTGATGGTTTTATAGGGGGGAAACCCGTTTTGCTTGATTCTCATTCTCTTCTCTTGTCTGCCACCATGTGAGATGTGCCTTTCACCTTCTGCCATGATTGTGAGGCCTCCCCAGCCACATGGAACTGTGAGTCCATTAAACCTCTTTCTTTTGTAAATTGCCCAGTTTCAGGTACATCTTTATCAGCAGCATGAAAATGGACTAATACAGCTGCCTAAATTTATCCACACGCCTCAGGGCTCCTCTGAGTTCCCTGCAAAGCCCCGGCAGGAGGTGTCATCCACAAAAAGTGGAGGTGGCGCCTGCCCAGTGAGACTGTAGACTGGTAACACACTGTCCTGAAGAGAAAAATGTGGATGGAGGCCACTGGAGAGACATTAGAACCTGCGCATTCCAAAGGCATGGCCCCCGCTTCAGCCCACTTAGGTGATTCCCTCAATCCTCCTGTCCATGGTCGCTGCCTGCCCTTGCACAAGATCTCTGCTTGTGCCATGTGCCGGTACTTTCAGGAGACTTTCCTTCGTACGGTGGGAGGTAAATTTGTGTTTGGCTGGAATTTGCATTTCTCTGAAGAATGAACACGTTCCAACATTCCAAAAGCTTCCAAGACACGCAGGAACTACCAAGAGGATTGATTTCTTTGGAAGTGAGTGCAGTGGTTTATGAGGTGTGCTTGCAAATATTTGGAATGCTCCCTTTGGTCACCCCCACCTCCCCACCGTGGCATCTGTGGTGACATGGAGGTGACTCGGAGGCAGTGTAACTTCGGGACCTTTCTTTCTCCAGCCCTTCCACACCTCTGCACCTTCAGGACCATTGCTGTGGGGAGCCACGGGTGGCAGAGAGCTCTCAGATGATCCTCCCGACAGTCACAGAAGCTCTTTCACCAGGCAACAAGGACGGATGAGGGCACAGACACCACAGGCATTGTGCAACGCATTTCTAGAAACTGCTTTGGAAAGCAGGCAGCATTTTCCCAAAGGAACAATGGAAGTAATGGATGGTATAAAGTGATTGGGGATCTCCTGTCATACCGAGGATGTGGCAGCAAATAAGTCATGGCTAAAACCAAAGAGATGTCATGGACAGAAAAATATAACAACTATAAATTTCTGTAATCACAGAAGAATGTCATTATCTGCCAACACACAGAATTTTAGGGCTCAATTAGCCCTCCCTGTTCATTTTAGAGGATGGATGGGGAAGGGCATTCACCCTGAGTCACAAAGCTGGGACTGCAGGGCATCAGCCCGCACTTGGGTCACCTTCCACAGCTCATGGTACCCAGCTCCCCAGTGAAGGGTGGGGCGCAGCAGATCTGGGGGCTCTTGTGTCACTCCCCTGTACACCCCACCTGTGCACAGAGACATCGTTCCTGAGGACTGCAAATCCCAACTTCTCTGAAATCAATACCCTGCTATAACACATGAGAGACGTTCAATGGATATTTTTCTTGATTTGATATGGATAGTTTTTGAGGTGAAGGGAGTTGGGGGATTATTTGAATAATCCTTGTCACTTCAAACTGAACCAGGGTAAAGAGGAACTAGTGGCTCTAGTCACGTGGGGTTTGTAGTCATGTGGACAGCAGCATTTTCAAATAGAATACATGATGTGGGCCTGACGGCCAGTCCTGCATCCGCCGCTACTTGGGAGAGTCACATGGACTCCCGCTCAGGCCTCCGTTTCCCAGCCATACATGGGGTTGGACAGGGAGCGAGAAGAGGTGAAACCATCTCTTGAGCTCTAAACCTGTGGTCTCTTACTTTGTTTGGGAGTCTTGGAAGGCAGAGTTCTCCTTTATTTCCATGCATATTCAGAGGGCCCATGGGGCAGGGGCTGAGAGCTCACTGTGTGTGTCTTGCTGCCTGGGGATGATTCAGACACCATTGCCCTGTGCCTCTTCAGATGCCAGTCAGTGTCGCCTGCCTGGGCAGCCCAAAATGGCAGGGAGAATGATGCACACTCTAGTTGGAAGGTTAATTTTTCCTTTTCTATTTTTTGAGACAGGATCTCACTCTGTTGCCCAGGCTGGAGTGCCATGGTGCAGTCACAGCTCACTGCAGCCTTGACTTCCTCAGTGCAAGCAATCCTCCCCACTCAGCCTCCCAAGTAGCTGGGATTACAGGTGCGCACCACCACGCTGGAAGTTTAATTCTGTATTTTGTGATCATCAGTTTCATGGGTCAACTTGGCTAAGTTCTCGTATCCACTTATTTAATCAAACACTAATTCAGGAGTTGCCTTGAAGGTATTTTGTAGCTGCAGTTAACATCTGCAATCAATTGGTTTTAAGTCAGGAAGGCTACCCTCAAAAATGTGGGTGGGTCTCATCTCGTCAATGGAAGACCTTATGAACAAAACAGGTTTCCCAGAGAAAGAAGAAATTCTGCCTCAAGGTGGCAGCAACAGCTCCTGCCTGAGTTTCCAGCCTGCATTCTGGATGGCCTGCCCTATGGATTTGAACTTGCCAGCCCTGATAATCTAGTAAACCAATGCCTTTAAACAAACCTCCCTGTCCCTGTTTCTCTGTCTGTCTCTCTCTCGCCACATGTCTTAAGGGTTCTGTCCTGTGTTTCTCCACTGCAACCCTGGATCACAGAGTGTTCTCAAACTGATGAGCATTCAATATCCACTTGTAATTTAAGGCACATCCTGTTTATTTCTTTTCTTTTCTTTCTTTTTTTTCTTTGTGTAGCATTTGGCATCGTTTAGGCGGAGAGAGATATAGGAAGGGCAAATGTTTTTTCTTTTCTTGTTGCCATGAATCAGAAGAAACTTTGCTCAAGGAGGAAGTGATTGTAGAGAAAAAGAAACATTGCAGGGCATGCTGGCCCTTGAAGGTTGCCGGGGTGGAAAGGATGGAGTGACTGGGTGAGGCTTTGGGAAGAAACTTTGCTCTTGAATGTCAGGTGGCTAAGATCTGTGAGAAACCAGGACTTTCTTGGAACACTGTTGGGCTCTTTGACTAATGGTTTTGAGGGACAACATGGCTTTGCTTCTAGGAATTTTGCAAAAGACTCTCCCCCACAGCTGGGTCTTACAGGTCCCCTATCCACCTGCTTTGCTGTTGAGAGAGGGCTGAGGTGAGGCCGGAGCCCAGGTCCCCTGCACTCTCCCTGAGATGACTGCCTGGCTTCCCCTCACATCGGGTCCTCCCTGGAGACACTCCTGTGGGATGCCTCCTTTCCCGTCCAAATTAGGGTTACCTGAGAGGACATGCCACCATGGCTACTCCCCAGAATAGCGCTGACTCCTCTGGGTTTTACAGATATGGAAATGGCACTGTCACTGGACTTGAAACGTGAAACATGCCCCCAGTCAGTCTGGTGGTGTCGCTCAGGACACCAAAGCTGGTGGCAGCCTTCCCAGAGGGCAGGGTTCCAGCTGGCTGCTGCCTCAGTCCTGTTCCAACAAGCTGTTTCCTTGCTTTTTTCCTTTCTTTTTCTTTTTTTTTCTTTGAGACGGAGTCTCGCTCTGTCACCCAGGCTGGAGTGCAGTGGCGCGATCTCGGCTCACTGCCAGCCCCGCCTCCCAGGTTCATGCCATTCTTCTGCCTCAGCCTCCCAAGTAGCTGGGACTACAGGCACCCGCCACCACGCCCGGCTATTTTGTATTTTTAGTAGAGACGGGGTTTCACCGTGTTAGCCAGGATGGTCTCGATCTCCTGACCTCATGATCCACCCGCCTCGGCCTCCCAAAGTGCTGAGATTACAGGCGTGAGCCACTGTGACCAGCCTCTTTTCTTTTTCTTTTTTTTGAGATGGAATCTTGCTCTGTCACCCAGGCTGGAGTACAGTGGTGCAATCTCGGCTCACTGCAACCTTTGCCTCCCAGGTTCAAGCAATTCTCCTGCCTCAGCCTCCCGAGTAGCTGGGATTACAGGCGCCTGCCACCATGCCCGGCTAATATTTTGTATTTTTAGTAGAGACAGGGTTTCCCCATGCTGGCCAGGCTGATCTTGAACTCCTGACCTCATGATCTGCCTGCCTTGGCCTCCCAAAGTGCTGGGATTACAGGCATGAGCCACCACGCTCAGCCTACTTTTTTAAGACACGATGTTGGTATTAGGGGACAAGACATATATTAGTCTATAGATAAATCATAATGCCAGACTTTTACTGAATAATTTTTTTTAAACATGGCTTGGTTTGCAGTGTATGCAGAACATGGTAAACACAAGCATGCTATCACGGGGCCTGAGTATAATTTTAAAATATAGTGAAGTGTGGCCAACAATTCGTTGAAGATTCATTTCACTCAGCAATGAGGGGAGCAGCAGGATGGTGGAGCTGGTTTAATGGGCATTTGATTTATGCAGTCCGTCAGAAAAGAGACGCTGGGATATCTTGGCCACGGACATGCAAAATTGGGCCATCGCCTACCGAGAGTAAGAGTGTGGCCTCTGGGGTCATCTTTTCTCCTGGACAAATGTATTTGCACTTTATCAAGTTAACAGCTGTCATCACAGAGTGTGGGCTCTGATCAAGTCAAAAGCATTCCTTGAGCACAAAAGACACCCTTGGCAGGTGTGCCGAACAACATTCAGCATTTTCCAGCTTGGAGTCATTCTCAGCAGGTCCCTCCCTGACTTCTCAGCTCATAGCCCTTGATGCCTCGGGACAGGAGAGGGGAGAGAGTCACTTGCTGTCTGTAATTTACTCAGTCTGCCATACAAGGGCAGCACCCAACCACATGATGTGGCAAGAGCGTGGGTCCAGCCCGGCTGTGTGTCCTCAGCTTCCCCATCTGGAATGAGGAGGAAAGGGAAGCACATGATGTTGCTATGTGGATCTGATTCATGAGACATATGTGACCGTGGGACCCTTAAGCAGTGGTCAGGACACCTGTCTCCAGCTGCAGTGGCTTTTGGAGAGCACAGATGTGGTGCACATTTCCTGCCAGCTTCTTGAGCTGGCTCTCCCTTGCAGCCCCTCCTTTGGCGGCCCATGGTGCGTGTGAGCCCTGAGCACTGCGGCAGCTCCCTGACCCTCCGCTCACCCTTTGACATCTTGGGGATAGTGGCCCTGCTGCCAGGAGCTATTCTTTCATCATCCCTGGCCTGTGGGTGAACAGTGGCTCTTAACGTACCTACGAGGAAACCAGGGGAGCGCCGGGAGGAGTAACTGTGAGTGAAGCGCAGAGAAGGCTGGGCCAGAGACGCCGACAAGAGGAGTCTGGATGTGGCAAACGTTCAGCTGGGGAAGCCAGGGGTTGCCAAATTTAGCAAATACAAATACAGGGTCCCCAGTTCCGTGTGACTGACAGATCGGCAGTGCAAATATAGCTCTAAAGCACAATATGTCCCATGCAATATTCTGGGTACACTTTTGCTAAAAAAGTATTCATTATTTGAAATCCAAATGTAATGCCCAGCCTGTATCTTATCTGACATCCCCACCTGCAGAACAAGTAAGCGCAGAAAGGGGAGCAGAGCCACGGAGCAGGGAGGAAAGAAAGGTACAGAAGCACTTAGAGAGGATTCCCCAGGGTGGGGACGTGGGGCACAGGGTCAAAGGATAGTGTGACCTTCAGAGGAGCAGCAAGGAGGGCAGGACAGAGCAGTGCTTGCCAGGGCCGCCCCCGGCATGTGCAAGGCTGGAGGAGAGCAGTCCAGAGTGCAGAGTTATGGAAATAAATGAAGACCAACCACAAGAGAGGAGCTCAGGCTACTGAAGCAGAGCTCGCTGTTGATAGGGCTCAGCCACCACCACCTGTGTTTTAGCAGACACGCCAGGGATCCTGTGGACTCACATCTCGCTCTGCATCGCACGTGCCACACGAGGCACTGTGGGGCCTGCTGGGGACACCAGCAGAGAAGCCCACCAGCCAGGGTGGAGACACGTGCAGCTATCTCAGGCATTCAGATTCCATAGACCCACACGGTTCTCAAAGGCAATCGTGGGGACCAAAATGTGATTGCCAAGAAGGATCGTGAAACACAGTTTTTCTGGATCATCAAGATCTTCAAGAGAGAAGGGGCCGTTCAATACCAAGAGAATAAGAAGTACTTAACTTGGAAATGCAGGGCAGACCTTCCCCCAAAAAGGACAGTGTGCAGCCCTCCTCCTCAAGTATCTCGGTCTTTATTTATCTGGTCCGCATCGAAGGTGGTGGTTCTCCATCGGGGGCGATTTTGCCCCCTGGGATAGGGTATGTCTGGAGACATTTTGGTTGCTACAACTTGTGGGGGGAGGGTACTCTTGGTATCAGGGGGGCAAAGGCCAGGGATACCTCTAAATGTCCTCCAGTGCGCAGGGTGCACCTGTGGCAGCAGTGCCCAGGGTGAGGAACCTGCTCGGAGGTCAGGAATTGGGAACCCCGGCTCCTTTCATGCCCGTCTCGAAACGTGACACCCTTAACCAGCCATCCAAGCTGCTTCTCCAAGGCCTTTGGAGCCCTTGCGAGCAGAGGCGGTGTGCGGCAAACTAGGGTTGCGATGAGCATCGCTAAATAAAAAGACTCTGGGACGGCCACCTGCCCTGAGCCAGGGACCCTGCCCACACTTACTCAACTGAGTCTGGCAGACCGTGGTGGGGCACAGGAGTGACCGGTGAGTGCGGCGACCCAGGACCTCAGCCACCGACGTCAGCTTAGGCCCAGGGATCCCCTGATTTAGTGGCTCTCAGTCAGACTTCCACCAGAGAAGCCGACCATGAGTAGGAATTTGCCGCAGGGACTGAGCCTACGCCATGGAGAGGCTGGTGATAAAGCCCACAGGGAGGCGGTCAGGAAGGGAACCCCCTAAACACGCGGTGAGACTCCGCCAGGATGAGCTGGGGCCCCGCAAGCCAGGACCTCCTGAGGATGGACTGGGACCCGCATCCGTCCTCACTGCCCCTGACCTCGGTGAGAGGGTGTCCTGCAGAGGCTGCGCCTTCATCCCGGGGCTCACACAGCCTGCCGAGGGTGTGGGAGAGCCGAAGGCCCTGGGGAGGGGCGCCGAGGATGGAGCAGATGCAGATCCGGCTGCTGTTTCACGCAGCAGACCCTCCAGGCAGACAAGCTGCAAAGAGGTTGACTCCCTCCCCTAAAACTCTCAGGAGAGCATATCCCTTGCTGTCCGCTCCACGAGGACCACACGAGACAGAATTTTGGGCAGTGTAGTTCAGCCCAGCCAGCTTGCTCGCCGCAGAGCCATCACCCCAGGCTTCTCCTGTGCGGGATCGCCCTGCACACAATGGGGGCTGATGGAGGCCGAGACCTGTTTCCCTGTGAGACCAGGAAGCCGGCGCTGTGTATAACCCAGTCGTGAAGCCTGGAACTGCCAACTTGGGGTCTTGGCATCCTCCTGCAAGGCTCAGGTCTTCCCCGCTGATCTGAGCACTGCATTTTCAATATTGCAATTCAATGGTCCAAATCCCAAAAAGCTTTGTGTTTTCTTTAAAAAGTCTCCTGTGATAATCTCTTGAGCTCAGGAGTTCGAGACCAGCATAAGCAACATAGGGAGACTCTGCCTCTGTCTCTAAAAAAAAAAAAAAAAAAGAAAAAGAAAAAGAAAAAGATTAAAAAGGTACAAAAATAAAAGAATAAAAGTTCTCCCATGGAATATGCCATAACCTCCCTTAATGACAGACTACTTCCTTTTTTTCTCCCTCCCTCTCCTCTCTCCCTTCTCTGCCTTCCGCTTCTCTGCCTTTTTCCTCCCTCCCTCCCTTTCTTCCTCCTTCCCGTCTTTCCCCTTCTTTCCTCCCTCTCTCCTTCCTTCCTTCCTTCCTTCCTTCCTTCTCTCCTCCCTCCCTTCCTCCTTCCCTCCTTCCCACCCTCCTTCCCTCCTCCCTCTTTCCCTTCCTCCCTCCCTCCTTCCCTCCTCCCTCTTTCCCTTCCTCCCTCCCTCCTTCCCTCCTCCCTCTTTCCCTTCCTCCCTCCCTCCTTCCCTCCCTTCTCTCCTCCCTCTTTCCCTTCCTCCCTCCCTCCTTCCCTCCTCCCTCTTTCCCTTCCTCCCTCCCTCCTTCTCTCCTCCCTCTTTCCCTTCCTCCCTCCCTCCTTCCCTCCTCCCTCTTTCCCTTCCTCCCTCCCTCCTTCCCTCCTCCCTCTTTCCCTTCCTCCCTCCCTCCTTCCCTCCTCCCTCTTTCCCTTCCTCCCTCCCTCCTTCTCTCCTTCCTCCCTTCCTCCCTCCCTCCTTCTCTCCTCCCTCTTTCCCTTCCTCCCTCCCTCCTTCTCTCCTTCCTCCCTTCCTCCCTCCCTCCTTCTCTCCTCCCTCTTTCCCTTCCTCCCTCCCTCCTTCCCTCCTCCCTCTTTCCCTTCCTCCCTCCCTCCTTCTCTCCTCCCTCTTTCCCTTCCTCCCTCCCTCCTTCCCTCCTCCCTCTTTCCCTTCCTCCCTCCCTCCTTCCCTCCTCCCTCTTTCCCTTCCTCCCTCCCTCCTTCTCTCCTTCCTCCCTTCCTCCCTCCCTCCTTCCCACCCTCCTTCCCTCTTCCCTCTTTCCCTTCCTCCCTCCCTCCTTCTCTCCTCCCTCCTTCCCTCCTCCCTCCCTCCTTCCCTCCTCCCTCTCTTCCTTTCCTCCACCACTCACCCTTGTGAGCCTAGGACTGTGATGTGTGCTCAGGACAGCTGGTGAGAAAACAGGCAGGACCTGCCTGGGCCTGTGAAGATGTCACTCAGCAGGGGTCTTCAGTGCATCCCTAACGTGGCTTATCCCCTGTTTCCAGAAGAGAAACCCACTTGTCCTCCATTGGGTGTGCTGTGGAGAAGCAGCGTGGCCCTGTACAGTTCCCCTCCCCCAGCCTGTGCTGTTAGCCTTGGCTAAGGACTTTCTTCTTGACTCTGTCCAATGTGTTCTTTGGAAATGTGGATCCCCAAACAGGAAACGTTTTCCACAAGGGCTTGACCGGACTTGGTACGGGGAGAAAATGAGTGCTTGTGTTGATTCATTTCTGCTCTGTAAATAGCCATTGGTTTTTCAGGCCCTCTCTGGGCTGCACACTGTACCCAGTGCTGGGGGTTCAGGCCTGTGGACCCTGAGGCTGCTCCCCACTCGTGCTGTGTCTAAGGGAGGCACACGCCACAACAGATAATCTCCATGTCGTCAGCCAACAGGCTGTGGCAGGGCTCGCAGCCCGACATGGGGTTTTGCAGAAGTCTGCTTTCTAGACTTATACGTGTGCCAGGTAGTAATGTGCAGAGTTTGAAAAGTTGAGTATTGCTAAGGGTTTCATACAACAGTTCTCTGCTCCACTTTGAACTCTTAGCTTTTTTTTTTTAAATATACCTTTAAAATTTTAATTGATATGTGTATTAGTCAGGATTCTCTAGAGGGACAGAACTAATAGGATATATTATATATTATATATAATAGGATATATATGTGTATATATAATAGGATATATATGTGTATATATAATAGGATATATATGTGTATATATAATAGGATATATATGTGTATATATAATAGGATATATATGTGTGTGTATATATATATCAGCAGGGGTCTTCAGTGCATTTGTAACATGGCTATCCCCTGTTTCCTTTATATATATATATATACACCCACACACATATAAAGGGGAGTTTATTAAGTATTAACCCACATGATCACAAGGTCCCACAACAGGCCCTCTGCAAGTTGAGGAGCAAGGAGAGCCATTCTGAGTCCCAAAACTGAAGAACTTGGAGTCCAATGTTCGAGGGCAGGAAGCATCTGGCATGAGAGAAAGATGTAGGCTGGGAGGCTAGGCCCGTGTAGTCTTTTCATATTTTACTGCCTGCTTTATGTTCTAGCCATACTGGCAGCTGATTAGATGGTGTCCACCCAGATTAAGGGTAGGTCGACCTTTCCCAGCCCACTGAGTCAAATGTTAATCTCCTTTGGCAACACCCTCACAGACACGCCCAGGATCAATACTTTGCATCCTTCAGTCCAATCAAGTTGACACTGTATTAACCATCAGAATATGTCATTCTTTTGTCTCTTGATTTATTAATTTAATTTAGTTAAGTTTCTTTTATGGAAAATATCAATCATACAAAAGTGGGGAGAATGGCACAATGACCCTTCCTCATGCAGCTGTCACCCAGCTCCAACAAGTGACAACCTTTGTCTAATCTAGTTATATCTATGCAGACTGGTCCCCTGATGCACACACACACACACACACGAGACACTATCATTTCATTCATAAATTTTCAGGATGTGTTTTCTCTTAACACAAATGTGATGTGATTTTTCTCACCTAAAGGCAGAGTTGAATTCTGCTGTGCTCCAGTTTAAAAACAAGCTCAGGATCTTAGCAGCTTGAAGGACACATTGTGTTGCTACTGTATTATCCCCTCCCTCTCCCGTCTTTCCCCTTCCCGTCTTTCCCCTTCTTCCCGTCTGATTTCCAGGGGACTATCAGCTCCAGGAGGCAGGGCCCCTGTTGAGCTTGTGCACAACTGTCTGTGTCTTAGCACCCTGCACTTGGGAGTACTCGATGCGCACTCATAGAATGCATCTGGATGTCCTGAAACAAGCCATTTCCTCCCCATTTGCATTTCTTTCCAAAATGCATTTCCACGCCCTGCAGGGCTCTACTTCTTGCTCTAATAAACTGAATCCCCTTCAACAAAGTCAACTGGTATTTTAATTTTCATCTTGTGAGAAGTGGTTTCCCAAATGATTATCCAATCTAGTGGTTCTCCACCCTGGCTGGCCATTAGAATCACCCGAGTGGCTTTGAGAAAACCCTGGGCCCACCTTAGAGAACCTAAGATGACAGGTCTAGGTGGGTGGGTCCCTGGGTGGTCTTGATGGGCAGCCATGGTGGAGAAACTATAACCCAGCCCATTCTCAAAGCACTGACAGTATCCAGAGGGCAGACAGGCTGGTTAGTGGAAATAACTGCTCTGAATGCCTGAAATCATTTGCTTGACCCAGTTTTCTTTCTTTCAAGCCCAGGCAACAGCTGGGGCCGGACTATTAAGCCAATGAGCTCAGCCTAATTGGAAACCACCAGGGACCTCATTGTCCAGTGAGATGGAGCAGCTCGTGCTGGCCCTTCCAAATGCGCGTGTCTTACAAGTGATGCTTCCCAGGTGTTACACAGAGGCAGGGCCCTTCGGAAAAGTCAAGACTCATCTTTATTCCTTCAACACCCCAGACTAAAACCTTTTTTCCCCCGAGGCTCCACAAACTAAGTGGAGAACCTCAGTGTGCACCTGTTATCACCTGGGTGCTTTCGGGTAAATGAGATGCAGTGAAACATCTTATGGGCATGGGAAGGTGTGATGGGCAGAGTTCTAAGATGGCCTTCAGGATTCCTGTTCCCTGGTGGGTATGCCCTGGGTAATCCCCTTCCCTGGGTGGCAGGCAGCCCCTCAGAATGTGATGGGACATCATGCCCATGAGAAGGCTGCCAATCAGTTGACTTTGAGTTATCAAAAGCAAGATTACCCTGGTAAGCCTGACCTGATCAGGTGAATCCTTAAAAGGGACAATCCCTTCCTGGAGCAAGAGATGGCACATCTGAGGGACCCTTGCCAGATGCCATATGGCAGGGGCCTGTGGGTAGCCTTTAGAAGCTGAGAGTGGTCCCTGGCTGGTAGCTAGAAAGACAACAGAGACCTCAGTCCTGCTAAATTCCCTATAACCCCAAAAAGATGGGGGGTGGATCTTTCCCCAGGGAAGCCTCCAGACAAGAACAGTTTACTGAAACCTTCATTTCAGCCTGGTGAGCCCCTGAGTCCCAGGCTCCACAGACAACATGAGATGATAAATTTGTGGGATTTTTTGTTTGTTTTAGTTTTATTATTGTAGTTATATATATATATACACACACACACACACACACACACACACACACACACACACACACACATATATATATTATAAAACATTTGTCAGTTTAATCTTTTTTTTTTTTTTTTTTTGAGACCGAGTCTCACTCTGTCCCATAGGCTGGAATGCAGTGGCGCAATCTCGACTCACTGCAACCTCCACCTCCCAGGTTCACGTGATTCTCCTGCCTCAGCCTCCTGAGTAGCTGAGATTACAGGCGTGTGCCACCATGCCTGGCTAATTTTTGTATTTTTAGTAGAGATGGGGTTTCGCCATGTTGGCCAGTCTGGTCTTGAACTCCTGACCTCAGGTCCTCCTGACCTCCTTACCTGCCTGTCTCAGCCTCCCAAAGTACTTGGATTACAGGCGTGAGCCGCCATGCCCAGAGCTGTTTAATCATTTTAAGTGTACAATTCTGTGGGGTTAAGTACATTCATGATGTTGTGCCACTATCATTACCGTTTCAAAATATTTTCCTCATCCTAAACGGAAACTCTAGGCTATTAAACAATAACTCCCCATTCCCCTCTCTGCCCAGCCCTGGTCACTGCTATTCTACTTCCTGTCTCCATGAATTTGCCTATTCTAGGTCTCTTGTATAAGTGGAGTCACCATATTTGCTTTTTGTTTGTGGGATTGGCTTATTTCATTTAGCATAATGTCCTCAAGGTTCATTCATGTTGTCGCATGTGTTGGAATTTGTTTTCTTTTTACGGCTAGGTAATATCCTATTGCATGCTGCCCTCTACCCAGAATGACTCTGCAAGTCCACAGGCACCATTCATGCCCAGGTGGGCCCTGATCCTGGGCTCCCTGTGCCCTCATAACATGGACATGCTGAAGCTTGGTTGCACATCTTCAACAAGAAAGGACGTAAACATTTTATAGTGAACATTTGGGGAAAGTTTTTGATGCAACAGGGACTTTGCTAGAAATATCATTCTCAAACATATATTGGATGTTGTTCTATTATATCTTTATTTGCACATGACAAACTAAGGCTTGGGAAGATGGAGCAACTTGCCCAAAGGGATGGGCACTGTATTCAAAAGATCATGTTGCCATGGCTACAGTCTGTACCACTCCATGGCAAGTTACACTCTCAAGCTAACTAGACTTCTAGGGAAACTGAGGAAGGAGCAGGCTGTTGAAGAGAGGAGCCCAGAGAAGGCGCTACACCTGAATTTCTGGGTTCTAATTCTAGGCTAACTGGACTTTGTTCAGTTCTTAATGTGAAAGTTCCATTCAAAACCTCTGCTCCTCTGCGCTAGAGCCAAAAGGAGCAAAATTTTTCTTATAATCAAAATGACTTAAATAAAATAAACCACTACGTAACTCTCTCTTGTTACATTTTGCATTTTTTTTGCATAAGAAATTCCAATGCATTGCAAAGAGGCTGGGAAAAAATGAAAGCAAAATGAAATAATTCGTATTTTCTTATTTTATTTTAAATTGACAAATAATAATTGTATATATTTATGGGATTCAGTGTGATGTTAAAATATATGTATAGATTGTGGAGTAAATAAAGCTAATTAACATATCCATCACCTCACATACTTACCTTTTTTTTGTGGTGAGAACATTTAGCGATTTTGAAATATAAAATATATTATTATTAATAGATCACTAAAACTTATTCCTCCTGCCTAAAACTTTGTACCCTTTGAACAATTCTTCTTTTTTAACACATGGCAATTAATACTGTTATTTGTTCTTTATTCATTTAACTTTTTTCTATATCAAGATATGTTACAAAATGTGACGTTAGCACCTACAGTTTTGTCATCTGCATGAACGCTAGATTACTAACATCTTTTTGTAGTTGACTAGGTTTCATTGAATAAATGAGCCATAATTTATTCAATAGCATATTATCAACTGTCTGTGTTTATGTTGTGATCAGCATCATTGTTAACACAAAGATTGTTTTAATCGATTGTTCTCTAACTGAAACCAAGGTGGTCACTCTTTCTTCCCAGTGGGCCTGTACGTGGAGAAAAGAACCGTATTATACCAATTCAATTAAGCCTGTTGTGTTTCTGGAAATATGCCAGCAGTTGGCAAATGCTTGTTTGTTGATAAACTGATGGACTGGTTCACTGTAAGGTGACAGACAGCATGTGAGATTGCTACATGGAAAAACATTTCTAACCCTAGCTGCAGATTAGACTTACTCAAGGGGGCTCTTCATAATTACAATGGCTTGGCCCAATCCCCCTGAGATTCAAATTTAATTGAGCTGGTGGGTCCCTCATAAGCATTTTTATAAAAGATCCCCAAGTGATTTTAATTTGTGTCCAAGCTGAGGAACACTGACATACTCAGTCTCCAAAAAACACTTGCTTGTGTATATATTAATAACTATAAAATGCCCCTCTTGTCCCATTTTGAATTCTTTCCCATCTTGCTCACTGGGATGAACAGGTTTGTTTGAGGAGGCCAATAAGCTGATTTAGAAAAGTTAGTTTATTCGAGAGAATTTTCCTCCCTCATTTGATGAGCCAGGTCTGACCTTAAAACCAAAACTAAACAAGGACAGTTCAAGAAAACCAAATTGTAAGCCCATCTCACTTATGAAGATGGATGGAAGGATCCTAACAAAATAGCAAGCTGCACCCTACAGTGTAGAAAAATGAAAATTAATATGTAGAAATTGCCTAGGAACTCAAAGATGATTTAATATTGGAAAATGTAAAAATCATTACTGTTTTGAAAGAGGAAATCATCTCAGTAGATATAGAAAAATCGTTTGATAAAATTACCCATTCGAAATGAGAAATAAAAACCTTCTTTTAAAACTAGGAGTAACTAACAGTAAATGTTCCTGACCTGATAAAGAATTATCTAAAGATATACAAAAAGAATCATTATAATGATAAAATATTGGAAGCACCTAGTTTAAAAATAGCAAGACAAGGATGTCCTATACTACTATGCTTCTCTTTGACATTATATAGGAACAGGAATTAATAGCATATGATAGAAAAAGAGAGAAATTTGTCATTATTTGCAGGTGATATGATTATCTATAGAGATTACCCAAAATTCTATAAATTATTATAAATAAAATATGTTTAGGCTGGGCGCGGTGGCTCAAACCTGTAATCCCAGCACTTTGGGAGGCTGAGGCAGGCGGATAACAAGGTCAGGAAATCGAGACTATCCTGGCTAATACTGTGAAATCCCATCTCTACTAAAAATACAAAAAAAGCCGGGCATGGTGGCAGGCGCCTATAGTCCTAGCTACTCAGGAGGCCGAGGCAGGAGAATGGCGTGAACCCAGGAGGTGGAGCTTGCAGTGAGCCGAGATTGCTCCACTGCACTCCAACCTGGGCGATAGAGCAAGACTCCGTCTCAAAAAAAAAAAAAAAAATATGTTCAGGAAGGTGGCTGGATATAAAATCAATACACAGAAGTCAATAGTAAAAAAGTTATAGAAAAAATTATAGAATAAAATGCTGCAGATTGTCTTGAAATAAATCTAAGAAATCATTTGTAAGACCCACACAGAAAACCTGTATACACAAATATTTTAAAGAAGTACCAAATAAATGGATATATATCCTGTGCTTATGAGTAGGGAAACTTTATGTATGGTAAAGATAATTCTCTTCCAATAGATCTCTAGATTTAATGCAGTGCCAATAAAAATCACAACAGGGTTCTCATAAACCTGGATTTTAACATGTGTAGAGAAGATCAAAGGGATAAGAATAGCCTTCAATCTTCTAAAAATGAAATACGGAGAAGGAGGATTTGCCTATCAAGGTTAAGACCTATTTATTAAGCTGCAGTAGTTAAGACAGTGTGGTGCTGGTACAAGGATAAGAAACTGAGCAATGACTCAGAATAGAACACCAGAAACAGAACCACAGAGTAGGACTACTTGATATATGACATCAGTGGGATGAAAGATCATTGGCTGAAGGGGAGACTGTGTAGTCGATGGTGTGGGAAAAGCTAGTTTTCCATTGCTTATGTAGAAAAAAGTAAACTGGATCTCTACCTCACAGCATATACAATAAAAATTTGAAATATCAAAAGCAAAACAAAATTTTTAGAGGAAAATATAGGTGGTTATTTTCCTGACCCTGGGATAGGAAAATATTTCTTAAAAGAGGCACAAAAAGCCTAAACTCTGAAACATTGATGAATTTTGCAAGTTAAAGAAAACACATTTCCTGCAGAAAGTACCAACACAAACTATATGAAACAAACTTCTAAAAATTAATTAAAAAAAGACAATTTAATTTTAAAAAATTGGGTAAAATCATGAACAAGCATTTCAAAGAAGAAAAAATACAGGGAGCCAATAAGCTATGAAGAGATGATACATATCACTAGTAATCAGGGACATTCTAGTCACACACTAACATAGCATTGCATACCAAATTTTGATTGGCAAAACCAAGAAATCTGATACTACCAAGTATTGGAGAAGAATGGATCAAGAGTATATTTTATACTTTACTGGTGGGAACTTCAATTAGTACAACCATTTTGCAAATTAATCTTGTAAATTTGAATATTAGCATACCCTGCAATCTGGCAATTCCATTTGTAGGTATATGTACCTAAGACAAATGCTTGCAAATGCATGTAAGTTATGAAGAAGAATGCTTGTAGCAGCTCTGATTTTAATAGCAAAAACCTGGAAACATCCCAAAGGCCCATACAGATCTGAATCTATTCATATAATAAACTATTATACAGAATTGAAAAGGAATGAACTACAGCCAGATTCAACACATGGATGCATCATAGTAACATAATGTTGCATGAGAAAGCAGGTCTCAAAAGACTCATATAATATGATATTCTTTTATATAGTTTTAAAAACTGCGATAAGAACACTTAAAATGAGATCTATCCTCTTAACAGATTCTGAAATGTACAATACAATGTTGTTAACTATAGACACAATTCCACACTGTAGATCTCTAGAATTTAGGCATCGTGTATAACTCAAACTTCATAACCATCAAATAACAACTTCCCATTTCCCTCTTCCCCCAGCCCCTGGGGGTTGCCATATATCTTAGAACATTTTCTGTTGCTTATAACAGAATACCTGAAACTGGGTAATTCATAAAGAAAAAAATTTACTTCTCAGAGTTATGGAGGCTGAGAAGTCCAAGGTCGAGGGATCATATCTGGTAAGAGCTTCTTGCTGGTGGGGGCTCTGCAGAGTCCTGAGGCAGCACAGGGAATCCCATGGTGAGGGACTGAGTGTGCTATCTCAGATCTTTCTTCCTCTTGTTTTAAAGCTACCAGTTTCCCTCACATGGTAGTTCATTAACCCATTAATCCATTCATGAATGGGTTAATCCTTCATGAGGGCCAAGCCCTCATGATCCAATTACCTTTAAAGGCCCCACCTCTCAATATTAAGTTTCAGCATGAGTTTTGGAGGGGATATTCAAACCATAGCACCATTCTACTATAATCGTCTATGTGTTTGACTATTTTAGATACCCCAAATAAATAGAATCATGTAATTTTTGTCCTTCTGTGACTGGCTTATTTCACTTAGCTTAAAGACATCAAGTTTCTTTCATGTTGTCTCATATGACAAGATTTGTTTTTCAAAAGGCTGACTAATATTCCATTGTGTGTATGTGTATATATATAATTTCTTTTTGATAAACATTTAGGTTGCTTCTACATCATGGCTATTGTGAGTAATGCTGCAGTGAACGTGAAAATGTAAATATCTCTCTGAGATCTTGATTTCAATTCTTCTGGATACATACTCAATTGAGGGATTTCATATGGTATTTCTGTTTTTCTGTTTTTAACTTTTTGAGAAACCTCCATGCTGTTTCCCATAGTGGCTGTACCATTTTTCATTCCCATCAACAGTACAAAAAGGTTCAAATTTCTCCACATTCTCATCAACACTTGTAATCTTTCATTTAAAAAAAAAACAGCCATTCAAACAGGTGTGAGATGATATCTCACTCTGGTTTTGATTTGTATTTTCCTGATGATTAATGACATTAAGCATCTTTTCATATGCCTCTTGGCCATTTGTATATCTTCTTTGGAGAAATGTCTATTCAAGTCCTTTGCCCAGTTTTAAATTGGATTATTTGTGTTTTTGCTATTGAGTTGAAGGAGTTTCTTATATATTTTGGATGTTAATCTTTATCATATATAACTGTTCACAAATACGTTCTGCAATTCCATAGGCTGCCTTCTTACTTTGTTGTTTCCTTAGCTGTGCAGAAACTTCTAGTTTGATGTAGTCCCATTTGTCTACTTTTGCTTGCATTGCTTGTGCTTTTGGTGTCATATCCATGAAATTATTGCCAAGACACATGTAATAAAGTTTTAAGCACTGCATTCTGTCGCCAGGCTGGAGTGCAGTGGCAAGATCTAAGCTCACTGCAACCTCCACCTCCCAGGTTCAAGCGATTCTCCTGCCTCAGCCTCTAGAGTAGCTGGGACTACAGGCACATGCCACCATGCCCAGCTAATTTTCCTCTGTTTTCTTCTAGGAGTTTTATAATTCCATGTCTTACATTTAAGTCTTAAGTTCATTTTGAATTGATTTTTTTAATGGAGTAAGACAATGGTTTAATTTCATTCTTCTTCATTGAGTTATGCAGTTTTCCCAGCACATTTGTTGAAGAGACTATTCTTTCTCCATTGTATAGTTTGGACACTCTTGACAAAGATCAGTTGACTGTATAGGTGGAGTTTATTTGGGATTCTCTACTCTGTTCCACTGATTTATATGTCTGTCTTTATGCCAGTACTATACTGTTTTAACTACTGTAACTTTGTAATATATTTTGAAATTAGGAAGTGTGATGCCAACTTTGTTCTTTCTCAAGATTGTTTTGGCTATTCAAGATCCTTTGTTGTTCCAAATGAATTTATAATTTTTTTTTCTATTTCTGTAAAAAATACCATTGGTATGTCCACAGGGTTGCACTGAATTTGCAGATCGTTTAGGGTAGGATACATGTTTTAGCAATATTAAACCTTTCAACCCATGAACATGAAATTCCTGCCCATTTATTTGGTCTTTTCTTTAATTTCTTTCATCAGGGTTTTATAGTTTTCAATGTGCAAGTTTTTTTTTTTTTTTTTTTTTTGAGACAGAGTCTCGCTCTGTTGCCCAGGCTGGAGTGCAGTGGTGCAATCTCGGCTCACTGCAAGCTCTGCCTCCTGGATTCATGCCATTGTCCTGCCTCAGCCTCCCGAGTAGCTGGGACTACAGGTGCCCGCCAACACGCCTGGCTAATTTTTTGTATTTTTAGTAGAGATGGGTTTTCACCGTGTTAGCCAGGATGGTCTCCATGTCCTGACCTCGTGATCCGCCTGTCTCGGCCTCCCAAACTGCTGGGATTACAGGCGTGAGCCACCGTGCCCAGCCTAATGTACAAGTCTTTTACCTTCTTTGTTATGTTTATTTCAAGTGTTGTATTCTTTTTTGGTGCTATTGTAAATGGAATTTTCTAAATTTCCTTTTCAGATAGTTTACGGTAAATATATAGACATTCAACTGATTTTTGTATGTTGATTATGTATTCTGTAATAAATTTGTTTATTAGTACTAGCAGTTTGTGTGTGTGTGTGTGTGTGCACACAGTCATTAGGGTTTTCTTCATATAAGATTGTGTCATTTGCAAAAACAGATAACTTTACTTCTTTCTTTCCGATGTAGATGCCTTTTATTTCCTTTTCTTGCCTAAATGCTCTGGCTAGGATATATGTTTTTGAAAATGCACAGCTAAACAAAATATGCTTAAGCATATATATGTATATCATAATGCTTTTTTTAAATAAAAAGAAAAGAAATAGTAATCCCCAAATTCAAGATAGTGGTTGCCTCTGGGTAAAGAGGTTAAGTGAACAATGGGTGTGAATATCTGCAATGTTCTCATTCTTAGGTTGGCTGGTGGGTTCATTATATAATACGGATAGACAGATGCACATACCAAAGAGAATAATAATGAACCAATGATGATATCATAACCTGAATTAAGGATTATGTCTACCCAATTCTGTGCATCTGAGGTCCAATTAAAAAAAAAAGAAGAATAAACAGAAAAAAAGCCCCTTATTTTAATAGAGCAGTCAGGAAGTTTAGCAGTAAATGATGCAATGTTTATTAATCTGGTGAACTGGCTTTACTTTCAAAATACATCTTCCAAGATTGACAGCCACTCTTGATTCATGGGGTGTATGACAAAAGCTTTAAAGGTCTTGCAATATAATGCTATGTAAGTCTTTTAAACAATCTTGATGATCCCCACCCCAAGCAAATACATCTTTTGTTCCATGCTACTCCTAAGTTTAGATAGAGAATCTAGACAAAGCATGCAGCTGTCAACAACTTCCTTGAAACTCTTGTAATTTTGTCTTTCTGGCAACAAGAAGGAACATTGCATTATCAAGGACTTGTTATAGTTGAGGCCCAGTGCTCTTGCTCTGTAAATGCTCACCGTTTGAGGAAGAGACTGCTGACATGCAAAGAAGTTCCTTTCCATAAAATTAAGCTGCACTTTGCCTGTTCCCTGGCATTGGGTGACACGTTCTGACCCTCTTTAAGGGTTTTTGAGGTGACTGACTTCTTGCCATGCAAACATTAACCTTCTCGGCATCAGGAGGTCTTTTCCACAGTGATGCTATTAACCTAGTTCGTTTGTATTCGTGTATGTTTCACTCTGACTTACATTCTATATTGAAGTTATTTAATGATTAATTATTAAAGCAACCCTGTTCATGCTCAAATATTCGGTCCTTGAGCAAACAGTTTTATGTTGCTCAAAGAAAGAATCTGATGGAAAATACTGTATTAATGAACAAAGTGAATAGTCTCACTTAGATATTTATTATGAGTGGCCTTTAGGACATATTTGCAAATGGACATTTTAAAATTTAAAGACTTTTTAAATGGTCTAACTTTTTTCCACTCTAGCACACAATATTGGTGATACCTAGTGGTATCTCTCAAAAGAGATTCAAAGTGATTTTTTATAAAAGAGTAGAGTGGTTTTCCTAAGAAGAGGTACAACCTATTTGTATGAAAGTGGAATGCCTGAGTAGTCTTATTCAAAGAGGGACAAGTGATGAACTCTATTTCAGTTTCAACAATGCTTATTAGTCTACCATTTGTACCACTTCTTATTGCTGAATATCTCATCACTCCAAACTTAGTGACTTAAAGCAAAACAATAATTTTATCATTATTTTTACTCATATTATTCCCCTTCCTCCTCCTTTAGGGAGTTCACTGAGCTCAGCTGGCTGGGCCCTGCTTGGGGTCTCTTCCGTGATTACAATCACATGATAATTACGGGCAAGCACCGTCTCAAAGGCTTCCTCACTTGCACGTCTGGTGGCTGGTGCTGGCTGTTAGTTAGGACCTCAGCTGAGGCTGTTGTCCAGAGAACTTCCGTGTGGCCTCTCCATGTAGCCTGGGCTTTTTCACAGCATGGCTGCTGGGTCCCAAGGTACTGGAAAAGGAATCCTGTTTTTTTTAAGGCCTGGGCTTAAAAACTGGCCCTAGAGGTCATGCCATGGCTCCCTTGACAGGAAGTGAACACAAAAGGAAGGAAATAAGTGCACTCCAGGGAATGAGCATTTCCATGAGGTCTCAGGTGGGAAGTGGCTCTGAAGTGGGCAGTGAGGGGGCCTCTGCTTCTGTCTGCTGAGCATCTTGAATGCCTGGCATGGCGGTTAGCTGCCACACCTGCCCCTTTTGAGGCTGGTTCCTAGTCACCTTCTCTCCAGCTCTTTCACCTGTCTCCTGCTGAGAGGTCAGAGGCCCCTAGTTGACAGTAGGAACAAGGAGACTGTCATGCAATTGGGTGTTGAGGAGGTCAGTTAAGACAATAAGCTACAGTGAAAGTGACCACCAATCCTTTATGCACTTACTGTGACAGGCACAGGCTCCTGGGGTTCATTTTTTTCCCCCAAGAAATGCACCAGGTGAGGGTCAGGGGGACCAGCACAGATGGGGAAATTTTCTCACGGCCCAGGGACCCCACACTAAGGACTCCTCTCTCTTTATGGACCTGGCATCCGAAGAAGGGAGGGGAAGGGGTAGGAGTGGAAAAGTTCCGAGTCAGCCTGGAGAAAGTGCCTCAGCTGAGGTCTCTTAGGAGGAGGTTTTGGGTGGAGGAGCTCGGTCAAGGAATTTGGAATTTGGGTCTGTGTGTGAGTGCATCTGTCCCCGGGGGCTTGAATCCTTGGTTGCAGTGAACCCCAGGAGAATGCAATGCACTTACTGTGCACCAAGCTCCACAAGCAGAGGGCAGCTGCCCCCAGGAGGCTCCTGGTGAAGCCTTGTCACTGCCTGTGGTTGGGCCTGTAAGAGCACACGTAGGGTTTTGACCTGAAGCTGGACTCCTCAGGGCCCAGAACAAGCCCCACCAAGCCAAGGTTGCATAGGACAGACCGGGAAGGGGCTCCAGCTCCACGTGACTCTGCAGCACTCACCCCTTCCTCAGGCAGGAACTGGAGGCAGGTGGGCCACACCTTCGGTCCTCCCCAGCCACCCGCTGTCTTCTGGGGTGTGGGCTTAACAGCCTCACTGTCCTCAGGGTTTTACTCATCAATGTTCCACCTCCCCAAACCCTTTTGAAGGATCTTCCCCCGGCTTCCTCCCCGCACCAAGTTACAGTGCCCACTCCTCACCATCCTAAGAAGACAAATCCTTCTCCCTGTCCTCGAGCTCTTGCTCTTCTTCTCCTGGCAACATGAGAGCATCACCTGCTTTTTCACCCACCCTTCCTGGCCACATTCACTCCTTAGCTCATGCAGCCCAGTGCCCCTGGCCCCCATTGCAGTATCAAGGGTCCCCATCTCCTTCTGAGGGGGCCTCTTCATGGGCAGGGCAGACACTGCCACAAGCCTGTGCAGCATGTACTCACCTTCCTTACAAATGGACACCCAACTTCATAGGAGGCAACACAGTGTCCTATGAAAAAGTGAGTGTTTCCGGTGCCCCTGCAGCTGGGAGGGAGAGGTGCTGACTCCATCGTGAGCAGCCCCTTGGAGGAGCAACAAGGCTTGCCATGTTCCCCCATGAATGCCACCAGATGCCTGCCCAAGCTATTGTAGGTTGGGAGCTTCAGCCCAAGGACCGTGATGCAGCTGATGCCCCCTGAGAACATCCCTGTCTATTTGTGCAGCACCAGTCATGGAGGAAGTTTGGCAGCCAGGTAGGTTTCACCTCTTCAATTTGTTGCCATCATGGACTGTCTAGGCCAAGGCACGGTTCCCAGGGAAACCCAGCTTCTGAAGACTTCTGGAGGGAAGCCCTTGGAAATGAGTTTGCAATGTCAATTGCTCTTCGGAGCATTTCTGAGCTGTGCTGCAGAAAGGCCATTCTTTTTCATCTTTGCCAAGAACGCCACAAGCTCTTTTGGAAAAACAGTTTCTGAAGGGCTCATCTTGGCCAAAGCCCTAGTGTCTAGACAGCCAGCTTGCCAAGACCCAGAGCCTGCAGCGAATGAGAGGAAGATGGCAGATGCAGGTTGGAAGGCTTAGGGAGCTGGTCTAGGTGCTGACTCACTCCCCAAACTCCCCAGGCAGGGAAAACAATAATCTAAGTAAGTACTAAGAAAATAAGATTGAAGTAACGAAATCAAGAACATTAGCCTTTACAGTTAATGAGAGTGAAGCAGTTTCTACCATTAAAGGTACCATTAGAGGACAGATTATGTGATTGAGTTAAAAAACAAAACCCAAGAAATGCACTTAGAATGATAAAGTTTTGACCAGGCATGGTGGCCCATGCTGTGCACTTTGGGATGCCAAGGTAGGAGGATCGCTTGAGCTCAGGAGTTTAAGGCCAGCTTGGGCAACATGGTAAAATCCCTTCTCTACAAAAAAATACAAAAATTAACTGGTTGTGGTGGCATGCACCTGTGATTCCAGGTGGTAGGATTGCTTGAGCCCAGGAGTTTGAGGCTGTGGTGGGCTGTGATCACATCACCACACTCCCACATGGGTGATACAGTGAGATCCTGTCAAAAAAAAAAAAATGAGGAAGTTTTGAGATAAAAAGATGAGCAAAAAGATACTAGGGAATTCCAGCTGAAAGGAATCAGAAGTGATAACATTCATAACCAATGGATAATCCAAAATATCAAATTTAAGGTTAAAAGTGCTACACATGCAAAGATAAACACTAAATGTTACATAAAGATAAAAGGTTTAGTTCATGAAATGATATAATAATGTATTTGCATGTACTGAACAGTAGAGCAGAAATACATAAAGCAAACATGCTTAAAGATGCAGAAAGAACCTGATGAAAAAATACAATGGAGAGGGAGGAATTTCCATTTACCTTTCTCAGAATTACATCTAATTAATACCAAAAATAAGCAGGATACTAAGGATTTGAAGAACGCAATTAGTAAACTTGATGTATTAAGTAAAAAAGAGCCACAGATCTGCTGAAAGGCAATGTACATTTTCTCCCCCTAGGTCGAAGGAACACTTATAAAAACAGTGTTTTGCCAGAAAGAAGATTGTAATACATTCCAAAAATTAAAGCGTACAGGCTGCAGTCTCTGATCATAAACCGGTGAAGCTGGAAATAGGTAGTGATAAATAACTTAAGATAGTTGGATATAAGAAACACATTTCTTGATACCACTTAGGTCAAAAAAGAATTAAAAGGAAAATTACTATGTAGAAACCATAAAAAGAGAAAAATTCTTGCTAAAATCAGTGAGTCAGAGAGAATAACACTTTCAGGAAATGTGTCATCTCTAATGCCTTCATGATTAAAGAAGAAAGAGGAAAAATAAGAATACTTAGAATTCTTTTCACAAATTTTGCAAAATAACAATGCAAACCTTAAGAAATTAAAAGAGAGAGGATTAATACAAAACTTTTCTTTTTTTTTTTTTGAGACGGAGTCTTGCTCCGTCACCCAGGCTAGAGTGCAGTAGCACGATCTTGGCTCACTGCAAGCTCCGCCTCACGGGTTCACACCATTCTCCTGCCTCAGCCTCCCGAGTAGCTGGGACTACAGGTGCCCGCCACCAAGCCCGGCTAATTTTTGTATTTTTAGTAGAGACGGGGTTTCATCGTGTTAGCCAGGATGGTCTGGATCTCCTGACCTCATGATCCGACCGCCTCGGCCTCCCAAAATGCTGGGATTACAGGCGTGAGCCACCGCGTCTGGCCAGATTAATATAAAACTTAAATGAATGAAATGGAGAATGAGAAAGACAATTCCGAAAGCTGTGTGGGGCTTTTTTCAGTACAGCCCAATCTCTTCCATGGAAATTTGTATATTCATGTTTTCCATGTCTGATGTTCTGTGTGGGGCAATGTGGCCCGGCTGCCCCTAGGAGATCTGGCGTTCCTGGGTTCCTCTCCCACCCCCTGGATCTGAAAAGGAGCCAAGCTCTCCCCAAGTGTCTTAGGACGAGCCAGGTGAGGGGCCCTGGTCCCACCCTGGAAGCGGGAAACACATCTGGTACCTGTTGGGCATCTGTAACTGAAGCAGAACTTGTGGGCGCCCAAGTTTCTAGCGGAGGAGCGCTCCTGGGGAAGCTGGATAGTCTGATTCATTCACAGCACTGAGCTTCCCAGCCAGAGAGGTGGACAGGCGCTGGGCTGGGCCGGGGTGGGTCTTGCCCAGCTGCAAGGAGTGTCTGCAGATCTAAGTGTGCAACTCTGCTCTGCTCACTGGTGTGGGAGGCGGACATGCCGTCTCCTCCTTCAGCCTTAAAGAGACCCCAGTCCTTCCTCGTGAGCTGTGTGAGGCCACGTGTCCCTGTGGGGACCCTTCCAGCAGGCCTGATCTCCTTACCTCCCTCTCTCAATCCTTCTTGGAATTCTTATTTTTACACGTGCACACAGGTTTGTATGATTCTATACTGATTTATAAACGTGATCACATTATACTTATTGCTGTGTGTGTGTGTGTGTGTGTGTACACAAAATCTCCCTTTCACACTTTGGGAGGCCAGGAGTTCAAGACTAGCCTGACCAACATGGCAAAACCTCATCTCCACTAAAAATACAAACAATTAGCCAGGCGTGGTGGCGCATGCCTGTAATCCAACATACTGGGGAGGCCGAGGCATGAGAATCACTGGAATCTGGGAGGCAGAGGTTGCAGCGAGCTGAGATTGTGCCACTGAACTCCATGCTGAGTGACAGAGGGAGACCTTCTCGAAAAAAAACAAAAAATCTCCCTTTCAGCTTGGCTTCTCTCCCCTTCTCCCTCCCCAATGCCAACCGGCCTCCACGTGCAACCAACATTCATAAGATCCCTCCCTCTCTCCCTCCCTCTGTTTCCTTCATTCCCTCCCTTACTGACTTCCTGCCTCCCTTCTTATCTCCTTTCTGCTCTCATCCTTTTCTTTTCCCTCCCCGTCTCCCACCCTCGACCCTCGCAGGATGACAGCATCACTCAGCCCAAAGGTGCTGGAGGGTTTGAGTCTCGGGAAGATGAGTGCCTTCTCTGCATTTTTGGCAAGTCCTCTGGGATGACACTTTTCTTAATGTTTATTTACGAACTGTCATTTACTGGCGGGGGAGCAGTGGAGAGCTGTGCGGGTATTCAGGGCCCGTGGCTGCTCGGGACTGGCCGTGTCACTCTGCCCAGTTCCCCGCTGTCCCCATGCCATGGTGGCACAGGGCTCTGTGCACAGGAGATGGCGGCTAAATATTGAATACGTTTATTGACTTCTCTCCCTTGCCAGACCAGAGCAGCTATTTGGGAATTGCGTTCATTTTTCTGGATAGAAAATGTAGAAACATTGCAACTGGGGAGTTAGGGGAGCGCGAGAGCCCGTCCAGCCTGTGGCCTCTGACCCTGACTGCACACCAGGGAGTCTTTACATGCTGATGCCCAGGCCCACGGAGCAGGGTTCTCTGGGACAGGGAATGCTCATAAGTTCCCCGGGTGGTGACACTGATCAGAGGTCATGAAAACCGCTGATGCCCAAAGACCAATGATGATACCCAGAGAAACCTGCTCCACATTGGCATCCCAGAGGGTCAACTCTGCCCTGTGCAGCCCTGGACACAGGTCTGGAGTCTCATGTGCACTACTCTCCCCGGACATCAAGGTGAGTGTGTCAGACAAAAGAGGTGTCTTCAGCCTTGGCTTCCTTTTAGCTGACTGCAGAATGCCTGTTTTTAACCAACGATGAAATGAAAACGCATTGTGGGGCCAGAGCTGAAAGATGGCCCAGAGTTCTGAACGTGCAATTGGATGATGTTGGCTGGGATCAGAATAAAGGCCAGGGATGGCTTTCTGAGCCTTTTTTATTTTTCATGCTTTCACTGATTTTGCAAACAGGGAGGCAGATGGCAGAGACCAGCAGAGAGGAGGCTCGTGGCAAAGGGTCCCACCTGGCTTTGAACCTGGCTACACTGCCTGCTTGCTGTGTGATTCAGTCGCGTTTCAATCCCCTCTGTGCCTCAGTTTCCTTATTTGTAAAAGGAGACTAAGGTGAGTACTACAGAGGGTCACTGCCCATGTTGAATAAGTTAATCTGTGTGAAGTCATGAGCAGTAGGACTGTGGCATGCCCTTGTGACCATGCGCCGTGGCCCAAGCCACTCCTCTGCTCCCCATAAGCTCTTTCTGCTTCACTTCTGGAATATTCCTGCCAAGAAGTCATATCCCTTCAGCTGTCGGTGCTGAAGGTCTCCAGATGGCAGAGTGCGAGTGGCTTCCTTCATAGAATCACTTATTTGACACCTGCTATATGCAGGTGCGAGAGGTGCTGTGGATATGATGGTTATGGGACACAGATGAGGCCGGGCTCCTGTGGAGGGGCTTCCCTTCAGCATGGGGGCGGGGGCGGGGGGAAGTAGGTGAACACACAAGAGAAAGATCACATCATGCCAGACACCGTGCAGAGCCCGGGGAGTCAGCCAGACAGCGGCCGTTTCAGCCAGGCTGTTCAGAAGCCTCTCGGAGGAGGTGACCCTGATGCCCAGAAGCACAGTAGATCCGCAAGGCCGGGAAGGACGGCCCTCCAGGCAGAGGGCACAGCCTGGGCAAAGGCGTGGAGAAGGGACACAATTTGTGTATTTAGGGGACTCACAAGGAGGTGAGTTGGCTGGTACAGAGGAGGCCAGTGGGGCTTGGGCAAGATGTGCCAGCTGGTTGGATCATGGAGACTTCCTGGGCTGGCGGGGGAGACCAGCACAGTGTTCTGAGCATCCTGCCAGGGAATAGGCAGTGAGCCGAGGCTACCAGCTGTTCAGCCTTGGATGAATCACCTGCTGTGTAACCTGGGCCAAGCCTGTGGTCATGTTGGGTCTCAGTCCTCACCATGCTATGCGAGGGTGAAATTGGGACCACAGGCCCCTCCCACACCCATACGCCATACTTCCCATATAGGCACGTCTCCCAGATCATCACCGGCTTGCCTCACTAGCTGCTGAGCTGCTCCAACTGTAACATGTAGCTCATTGCAGTGGAATGCAACACAATAAATGTCCACTGCAGACGTTACTATATTACTATATCCACTTTCTGTCACCCTGACATGGGAAAAGTATCCACAGGACACCATCATTACCTCCCAGGGGGCTACCATGATATTCAGGAGAACAAAAACTATCTTGGCACTGTGACCTATTTGTGCAATACTATTTAAGGACATGTAATAAAAAGCCCAACGGTGCAGTAGGAGCTTAGAGGGGAGGGGTCATTGATGGAGTAGTTTTGTGACTCCTCATGGATGTGGAATGGTGTGCACTGGAACGATGAGGGGAGCGGCCCTTGATAGGTGAGGAGAGCAGACTCATCGAAGGGAGCCAGTTAGGGCCTGGGCCCAGAGAAAAGCCAAAGAAGCAGCCCAAAGAACGCACGCTGCAGTGGCCAGAAACCCCAGCTCCGTGGAGAGTAAGGATGGTGGCCACTTTTGGCGAGTGGGTGTTGAGAAGACATGAGAGGCTGCTGAGAGGCTGGGAATTTCTTGCCCTGGGGCATGACATGGGGACCTCAGGCATGGGCTAGAGGCAGAGTCTCATGCTGGGAGGAGGTGAGCTGGGAGGGGAATGTTTGCTGTGACTGTGGCTGAGTCTTAGCCTGGATGATGGAGGCTCATGGGTAGCAGCAGTCGCTCTACCCTGAATATTGTTCAAGGGTTGTGCAAATGTTGGTGTGGGGCTGGTGGGACAGCAGCTCTGCTGCTGGTGTGGACTGCAGGGGAAATCCAGAACAGCAGTCATGAGGTTGGAGGGCCTGGGCTTAGATAGTGGCATCAGGAATGAGTATTTGGTATACTTAAAAGTCATTTCACACTTTGGGAGGCCAAGGTGGGTGGATGACTTGGGATCGGGAGTCCAAGACCAGCCTGGCCAACATGGTGAAATCCCATCTCTACTAAAAATACAAAAATTATCCGGGTGTGGTGGTGGGCACCTGTAATCCCAGTTACTTGGGAGGCTGAGGCAGGAAAATCGCTTGAACCTGGGAGGTGAAGGTTGCAGTGAGCCGAGATGGTGCCACTGTACTCCAGCCTGGGCAACAACAGTGAAACTCCATCTCGAAAAAAAAAAAAAAAGTCATTTCATGGAGAAATCGGACTTCATACACTGCTGGTAGGAATGTAGGATGGTGAAGCCATTTCAGAAAACCATCTGGTAGCTCCTTCAAGGATTCAACACAGTTACCATATGGCCCAGCAGTTCCCCTCCTAGGTATATGCCCAAGAGAAATGAAAATATATGTTTGCACAAAAACTTGCACATATGACAAGTTACAGCAGCATTATTCATAATAGCTAAAGGGTGGAAGGAATGCAAGTGTCTATCACCTGATGAGTGTATAAACAGAATGTGGTCTACCTATACAGTGGCATAGTATTTGGCCTTGAAAAATGAAATACTGATACGAGCTACAATATGGACAAACCTGGAAAACATTATGCTAAGTGAAAGAAGCCAGTCATAAAATGACAAATATTGTGTGATTCCATTTATATGACGTGTCCAGAAGAGTAAAATCTATAGATCCAAAAGTAGATTAGTGGTTGCTTAGGAGTCTGGGGGTGGCTGAGGGGCGGGGGGCATGGCTAAAGATAAAGAATTTCTTTCCTGAGGTGATGAAATGTTCTAAAAATGATTGTGGTTGCACATATCTGTGTATACTAAAACCTATTGAATTGTACACTTTAAGTGGGTGAAGTGTATGGCTGTTTTTAAACAGTCCTTTCAAAGGAAGCATTCACCAAATTTTTGGACAGACTTGATTTGGGAGATGAAAAAGAGGGAAGAGAAAGCCCACTGGGCTATAGGTGTAGCATGTTGCCTGTAGGAATTCACCCTGTTCTTGTTCCAATTCTCCTCCCTTTTCATTAAGATGGGTTCCAAAGTAAATCGTGGTGTACAGAGCGAGAGGAGAGAGACCAAGCCTAGCCAGGACACACACAATTGTGAAATTACCGCTGAAAGGTAATTGTGAGACCGAGGCTTTGAAGGGAGAGTGCAAGCATTTGAAAGCTGGATGGGGAGAAGGCATTCCGCCTCCGCTGTGAGTATTGCTCAGTGTACATATCTCAGGCCTTCCCCATTCGTGTGAGATGTTTTCTAGATTTGGGCAGGAATACACCTTGAAAGTGGCAGTAGATTAAATGGCCTGGAAGGGACGGAGCCCCAGTCCAGCTTTGTTGCTGCTTGCTTTACGACTTGGAACAAGCCATTTCATCTTCCACCCATCGCTTCTAGCTACATTGGAGGTCACAGACATCATAGATTTCTTTGGAAACTTGTTCGTGCTTAGAATGCAATAAAAAAGTTGTTGTGAAGTATTTATATCCATCAGGTCTTTGAAAAATGCTGAGTGCTGATAAAATGGTGATGTGAAGGTTATATAGGTTCCTCTCTGATGATACATTTTACAGAATAGCTGCAGAAGAAAAGAGAGAATACTTTTATTAAAAACGAGGCTCTTAAAGGAACATGCAGGGAATTTTCCCCCAACATTTTCCAAACTGCAAGTTTTCCTTCCCTACTGCAGCTACGAACAAAGCCCAGTAAGTGAAGTGAAAATCTTTTCTTCCTGGGAAAACAGAACTTCCTTTCGATATAATCTTCTTATTTCTCTAACATCCCCTTTGATGCTACTGGGGTGGAAAGGCTCAGTAGTAATCAATATTCATTGGCGCTGCCCCCTTCCACAGACAGAAATATTGTGAGAGGCAGGAAAGTAGAAGCTCTCACTCGTCTCTCGTTTCCTTCTCATGCACTTTGGAGCAGAGGTCTGGCCAGGCTGGCATATTAGTTTGTTCTCACACTGATGATAAAGACATATCTGAGACTGGGTAATTTATAAAGGAAAGAGGTTTAATTGACTCACAGTTCCACGTGGCTGGGAAGGCCTCAGGAAACTTACAATCATGGCAAAGGGAAAGGAAGACACATCTCACATGGCAGCAGGCAAGAGAGAATGAGAGCCAAGTGAAAGGGGAAACCCCCTATAAAACCATCAGATCTCGTGAGACTTATTCACTACTATGAGAACAGTATGGGGAAAACCGCCCCCATGATTCAATTATCTCTCACTGGGTCCCTCCCACAACACGTGGGAATTATGGGAGCTACAATTCAAGATGAGATTTGGGTGGGGACTCGGCAGCTGTGGTTATTTGGCAGGTGTCTGCCCTAGGCTCTGCCTGTGGGCGGCCTTCCATCTATGTTTAATGTGACCAGTGAAAACCAAGAGAGAAGCCAGATGCAAAAATTCCTTCACATGCATTGGCCTGGGCAGGGAGCTTAGAGAAGAAAAATGAAACTTCAGGTTACCAACCAACAAAATTGCTGCAGATGATTCTAGAGTCAACGGGGGTCAGAAAAGATGAAACTGACCCGAGCCATTCAGCTGATGCTTCTGTGTCATAATGTACCTCACACCGGATCTGCCTGGCGTTTCTTTCCTCCTCCTGCCTCCCTCTTCCTTTTCTTCCCAGGTTGCTTGTAAATGACCTGAAGCCCCCCAACAACGAGGACTCCAGGGAGACCACAATCTGTGAGGTGGGAGTGCAAACACTCACTGTGCTAACTGTGGTGGTTCAGACTGGAGTTTGGGAGCCTTGGAGTTGGGAACCTGAAAACAATGAGGGTGAAGCAATTTAGGAGCTCTTAGGAAAAGACCAGAGTAGCTACAGTAGACAGGTGGGAAGATAAGGAAAGACAACCTCCAAGGACTGAGGCACCGGGGCCTGCACGTAGCAGCCACCTGGAGGTTTGTAGAGTGAAGAGATGGTCCTCAGCCTTCATGGCTGGAGATGAAAGTATTGGGGGAGTCCATTTAGGTTCCACGAAGTGAAAAAAGAGAGGAAGGAGCAGAGTCCTCTGTGCCTAGGGGGAAAGCATTGGAGTTGGAGGTCAGATTCTGAAGTACCTGGGCCCAAACCAAAAAGTGCTCAGCTTCCTCAGGGACCAAATGGCTGAGCTGGGCTGGAAGGACCATGTGCCCCAGGTGGCCTGGAGTGGGGAAGAGAAGGGCTCGTGGCTGCTGCATACAGTGAAGTCTGCACTGCAGGGAGCTGGAGTGGAAAGGGAAGGGAAGGGGCAGGTTTGGGACTCAGTCATCCCAGCCCCAGGGCTCAGTCACCCCTGCACTGAGTCTCAGATGGCCCAGTGCTGAGGCTCAGTTGTGAGGTGAAGTCTCTGGGTGTAAAAGAGGAGGTGGCACTTTGGGAGGCCGAGGTGGGTGGATCACCTGAGGTCAGGAGTTCAAGACCAGCCTGGCCAACATGGTGAAACCCGGTCTTTACTAAAAAATACAAAAATTAGCTGGGCGTGGTGGCAGGTGCCTGTAATCCCAGCTACTTGGGAAGCTGAAGCAGGGAGGATTGCTTGAACCTGGGAGGCGGAGGTTGCAGTGAGCGGAGATTGTGCCACTACACTCCAGCCTGGAGTCTGGGCGACAGAATGAGACTCCATCTCCAAAAAAAAAAAAAAGAGGAAAAGAGGAGGTGGGATCCCATGCACAAGTGGCACACAGAGAATTCAGCCTCCTTCGTGGGAACTGAAGGCAGAGGAGGGGCACACATGCAAGTAGGTTGTCAATTCTGTGGCAGGGTCAGTTTTCTCTTTCTCAATCAAGAAGCAGGATGGTCAGCTGGGAGTGGGAAGAGTCGCAGTGGAGACAGGAGCCTGAGGCAAGGAGAGGCATGACGTTGGGTGCTGGGCAGTGCCAGGGCCCAGTGGATGTCCCTGGCTGTGAGGTTGAATGAGGCTGGCGTGGTAAGTGCTATTTTTCTAGCTATATTCAGCTACCCAGACGTAGGAGCAGAGTTGGGGAAATTGGATTTAACTGGCTTGGGGATTTGCCAGGAGCATGGATGTGGGTGATGACGTGGGTGCTGGTGTCCTCAGAAATTGTGGAGGAAGAAGCAGTGTGTGTGGCGCACGGTCTGCAGGTGCAGAGACCGCCAGGGGCCGTGATAAATTCAAGTTCTGATTCTCCGGACCGAGGCGGGGCCTGAGACTCAGCATTTCCCACAGGCTCTCAGGGAAGGCTGCTGCTGCTGGGCCCAGAAGCCCACTTCACACAGCAGGCTGCGGGGATGGCAATGGTAAGAGGGCAAAGCACAGAGCTCCGAGGACCTGGGCAGGGGAGCGGTCTTCGGGGGCAGCTGTCACAGTGAAACTGCAAAAGAACTGACATAACGAACTCCACTTTTGTTTAAGGGATCTCTACCCCCATTCCTGCATGTAGGCTAGGATAATTTTAGAGCACTGAGATCATATGCAGAAACAGCAGTCGAGGAGTTCTAAAAACTCACTCTGGGATGAAAGGGAAAGTATGTAAACAACGATGTTTTGTTAAGGGTTTATAGGAGCACGGCTGCCTGATCAAGCACAAATACTTTCCCCACCTGCTTTGACTCTCCCTGGTGCCCCGGTGTCTGCAGCTGTCATTCCCTTTTGTTCCCAATCCCCGTTTTTCCACCTGCCCTTAACCTACAAAGGCCTAAAATTTGAACTGACTTACGATGGTGCTTTAGGACGCTAGTCGGCCACTATCTTGGTTTTCTGGCTCTCCGAATAAACCTGCTTTTCCTCCCGCCAACTCTTATCTCTTGACTTTTGGCTTTTGAGTGGTGAGCAGCTGAGCCTGGGTTCAGTTACACCGTGAGGAGTACAGGGGAGTCGGCCCACTCCACTCGCACTGGTGGAACTGGGTGTGAGAGAACGGAGGACTCCGGGCAATGTGATGCCTTCTGGGAATGGTCAACTTTTCATGGGAGAAAGGAGGGAATGACGCTTCAGAGCAGAGGGTGAGGTGACGAAAGGTCCTGCTGGAGGCCTGGGAGGTCCTAGGCTCAGGGGAAGGGGCACTGAAGAGCCCACAGGAGGACCAGGAGAGTGCAGGCTGCCGAGGTCACAGGAGCAGGGTAGGGGCACGACACTGGCCTCCGTAGACTCCCCAGCCAGCTTGTCTGCAGGATGCACCAATGCTGGTGCTGGGACACCCATTCCAGCTCCTTTGGCGACAGGGGTGGGCAGGGGTAGAGACAAGTTAAGGGAGGCAGTCCAGGTCAGGGAGTTGGATGAGTTGTGTCTGGAAGGTGCTGGCACTGATCTCGTGGAGAAGGAACCAGGCCTCATGGGATCACAGAGTCCTGTGCAGGGGACCCAGTGGGGATGGTGATGGCTGGGTGAAAGGACCCCAGACGCCGGCACATAGCCAGTGCAGGTGTGGTGTGGGTGGCATGAGGGTTGTGGTCTCAGGGGCACCAGAGGCTCTACATCCCCAAAACGTTTCCCCATTCCCATGTTACTTGTTCTTTGGTGACGGTTACTGACAATTCTAATGAACGCACCAATGATGTCACAGAGTGTGGATTTGTTTCCTGGGGCAGCTGTAACCAATTACCACAAATTGGGTGACTTGAAGCCACAGAAATTTGTTCTCTCACATTTCTGGACACCAGAAAACTGGGATGGCGGTGTTGGCAGGCCAGCACTCCCTCTGAGGGTGGGGACGGTGGGGGGGTTCCTTCCTCTTCCTCTGGCTTCTGAGGGTGCTGGCTGCCCATGGTGTTCCTTGGCTGTGGCCGCAGGGCTCCGGTCTCCACCTCCATCTTCATGTGACTGCCCATCCTGTCTCTGCCTGCAGACCTCTCTCTCCTCCTAGGACACCAGTCATTGGATTACGTGTCCAGTATGACACCTTAATTTGATGACATCCACAAAGACCCTATTTCCTAAAATAGGTCACATCCACTGGTAAAAGGGGCTGGGGCTTCAGCAAATCTATCGGGGGCACAATTTGCCCACTACAGAGGGGAGTTATGTGAAGTAACCACGAGTCATTCACCCCTGAATTCAACGCATCCCCCTTTAGATTTCCCACTGGTTACTTAGAGCCCAGGCAGAGGGCCCATTTGGAAGGGCTATGAGATGAAGGCAACCAGGGCCAGGAATGGAGGCCAGGAAGGCGCTGGAGGGAACGGGGCTGGGGCTGGGGTTGGGGTCAGGGACCAGACCAGAGGGAAGTTTCATGGCCCAGGAAGGGGATGAACAGGTGCTAAAGATGCCTGTGAACTCCATCCTGGTGGACCGTTTGCTCTTTCGGTGTTTCTGGGATGCAAGACCCCCAGGGATGCCAGGAGCCCATGACCGTTTTACATTCTGAGGAGCAGGGAGTGGATACATTACAGAGTGGATAAAATACTTTTTTGCATGGCCGAGTTCTGGTGAGGGCCCTCTTCCTGGCTTGTAGATGGCCTGTGTCCTCATGTGACCTTGCTCTCTGTGTGTGTGTGTGTGTGTGTGTGTGCGTGTGTGTGTGTGTAAACATGGAGTGGGGGAGAGAGAGAGAGACAGAGGAGGGATAAAAGAGCTCTCTTGCTTTTTCTTATAAGGACACTGGTCTCCCCATCAGGACCCCACCTTCACGACCTCATCTAAACCTAATTACCTCCCAAAGAGCCCACCTCCACGTACCATCACGCTGGTGTTTAGGGCTTCCACATGTGAACTTTGGAGAGACACAAACATTCCATCCATCACAGGGCCCAAACTGAAGGAAACACTTAGTCCCATTCATCCCGACCCTCTTCTGTCCCTTTTTGAAGATGTCACAGTGACTTTGACAAGATCTAAGTAGAATAAGCAGAAAGCATCCAACTTCCAACCACGGCAGAGGGCAGGTCCCTGAGCCAGGATGCCGTTGGGGATGTGTTTCCATTTCAGGGTCCTACTCCCTAGGAGGGGGGCTCTGTGCAGGGAGCTGGTGAGGAGGGACTGCCCTTCCAGAGGCCACTTTTGACATCACCCCCAATAAGGGTGAGTAGGTGAGATGGTGTGGGGGCTGGCGCTGGGTTTGTGACCTTCAGCTTGGGAGACCCTCCCTGCTGAGCCCCACCAGGACTGTGGGGGCAGAGCCACACTTCATGACATCCTCCTTTTGGCAGAGTTGTGTCGGCCGAGTTCCTTACATCAAACTCATCTTCCTCCATCAGCAGGCCTACTGAGGTGCTCAGTGGTTGCCCACTTCCCACCTCAGGGTGCCCACCTGTGCCACCGGGCATACAGTGACACCCTCCCACTGTGACCTCTGTGGAACCGGGGCTCCCTATGCTGTGCTCCATGCACTCTGAGGGGACCATGGAGCAGCCCAAGGACCAAGGGAGGACTTTGGCACAGCCAGCATCTCGGGTCTTCAGTAGTCCTGTCTGGGGGGCACGGTGCATTTCTTGGTAAGGACATTCCTGCTTTACCCGCTGCACAGGGCACCTGGCCCTCAAGTCTGGCTGGGGAATTTCCAAAGTGGGCAATTGTAAGACATACGCCGCATTTTCTTTTGGCCCTAACTGGAAAAACTTTTCTTCCCTATTTCCTTAACTGAGCCTGCCAGATGGTACCACCAGAATGCTCTGAATGGCTTCGTGTCTCCTCCAGAAGAGGAGCCAGTTGGAACCCAGAGTGTCTGAGAGCAGCTTGCTGTGCTGAGCAGGTGTGGCTGAAGGAGCTCTGTGGGGTGGGGCCCCATGCAGCTGGAGAAGGGGTGAGGTCAGGACTGCTGAGACAAACTAACAACCCCAAGGCCATCTTTTCTTACCTTGGTGAACAACAACCATTGCTGAGTCTCAGCAGGAAGACATCATCCCCTTTAGCCACCTGCATTTCCACTGGGATCACCCCTGCTTCGCCATCACCTGGCCTGACAGGGGCAGCTGGCTGGGTGAGCTGACCCACACCCTTCTCTCTGAAGGGGGGCGCAGAGGCTCACAGCCCCAAGGGGACTCCCCCCGAGGCCTCCAGGCCACGGTTCTGGTTTAGGATCTGTCTGGACATAGTTGAGTCTAAACCATTGGTTCCCAACCAAGGGCAATTTTTCTTCCCCAGGAACATTTGGCAATCTTTGTAGATATTTTTATTTTGCTTGGTATATATATATATATTTTTAATTGAAGTGAAATTAATTCACATAACACGAAATTAACCATTTTAGTGTGAACTACTCAATGGCATTGAGCACAGTTGAGCACATTCACAGTGCTGTGCAATCACCACTTTTTTTTTTAGACGGAGTCTCGCTCTTGTCCAGGCTGGAGTGCAGTGACACAATCTCAGCTCACTGCAACCTCTGCCTCTTGGGTTCAAGCAATTCTCCTGCCTCAGCCTCCTGAGTAGCTGGGATTACAGGTGCCTACCACCATGCCCGGCTAATTTTTGTACTTTTAGTAAAGACGGGGTTTCACCATGTTGGCCAGGCTGGTCTCGAATTCCTGACCTCAGGTGATCTGCCCGCCTCGGCCTCCCGAAGTGCTGGGATTACAGGTGTGAGCCACTGCACCTGGTGCAACCACCACTTTTATCTAGTTCAAAAACATTTTCGACTAAAAGGAAACCCATCCCCATCAAGCAGATACTCTGTATTTTCACTCTGTCTAGCTCCTGGCAACCTCCAGTGTGCATTCTGTCTCTATGATTTACCCACCTTGGATAGCTCATATAAATGGAATCACACACTGTCCACACTTCTGTATCTGGCCTCTGTCATTTAGCATTATATTTTCGAGTTTCATCCCCATTACAGCATGGATCGGTGTTTCATTCCTTTCTATGGATGAATAATATTCTATTGTATGGATAGACTGCTTTTGTTTACCCACTTTTCCACAGATGGGCATTTGGATTATTTCTGCCCCTTGGCTATTGCAAATAGTGCTGCTATGAACACCAATGTATGTCTGGAGACATTTTTGGTTGTCATAATTGGAGGGGAGATGTGCTACTAGCAGCAAATGGGTAGAGGCCAGGGAAGCTGCTAAACATCCTGTGCACAGGAGAGTCTCACACAACAAAGAACTACCCAGTGCAAAATGGTGGCAGGGCCAGGGTTGAGAAACCAGTCCTGGCATTTCCACGTAAAGATTCTAACTTATTGGACCCCAAAACTGCTTTGTCAGGAAAGTTACTTTTGTAGAAATTCATATCCTTGAATCTTCTTTGTCTCCACTGGCAAATCCTGTTGACTTTCTCTTCAAGGTATGTCCACAATCCCACTTTCCCTCCACTTCCATTTGCTGCAGTATCCAAGCTCCGATCATCTTTTGTCTGGATCCAGCAAGGGCCTTATACTTGAGCCACCCACACTGATGCCTTCAGTTTGCATGTGGCTGTACAATGGTGACCCAAGTCCCTAGGTGACCCCCAAAAACCCTACGTGGCCAGGCTATCCTTCCTTCTGCATGCTCTTCCCCTGTCCTCCTCACTTATCCTGCTGTAGCACACTGGCCTTCTTCATGGTCCCAGAACACGCTCTGGGTTTTCCAAGGTGGATTCTTTGCTCTTGCTCTTCCCTTGGCCTTGAAAGCTGTTCCTTCAAACATTCGCACGAGCTGCCATCAGTTTGGTTAGTGTAGTCTCTGCTGACATGCTGCCTTCTCAGAGAGGTCTTCCCTGTCCAAGCCTCTCTCTTTTCCCCCTTGCTCTGTTTTGTTTTTCAGAGCACTTATTGTTACCTAGTCATATAAACTGTTTGTTATATTTATTTGTGTATGTTTCACTCTTTTTTTTGTCCTTCCTGCTAAAATGTAAGTTCCATCATGCAGGAACTTTGTCTTTGCAGGGCTCTCAGCTCCTAGAATAGCGTCTGCCACATAAACACTCAGTGCATACTTGTAGGATGAGCAAATGATTATATATTGTGAATGAGCTCAGGCTCCCTGAAACATTAAACTCTCAGGGATTATGATCCTGTGGAATATAGTGTTGAACTCAAAGCTGTGTGCAAAAAAAATTCTCAAGCAAGTAAACTAGAGGTCACAGTGTCCACCTGCTAATGCTTTTTTGTGTGGGTATTTTTAATGTAGAAGAGTCTCTCCAACTCTTACTCAGAGCCTGTTGAAGACTGTGACTTTCGATAAATTTCCAACAAATGTTGCAAACTGCTTTTCCAGGCTGCCACAGGCTGGATGCAGAAAATCAGAATGGATCAGACTTGGTAGCTTAAGACCTAGGGCTGCAACAAGAGATGACAGCAGCTTGGAATTATCTAACGTAGGCCAAGAACTCAAAAGCTCATAGCCATCTGCATGTTGAGGAAATTGCTCTGCGCACCAGCACATCACCTGAGAGGGGTCTGGGCAGTGCTAGGACAACTCCCACTCCCGAAGCTCACACTGAGTTACTATCGTGTTTATAACTAAGGCAGAATTCTTTACTCAGAAGTATGGTAATGTGCACCCATATTTCAGTGCTTTTATCAAAAATGGCTAAAACGCTTAAAGTTTTGTTCAAACTTTATAAGATTTTTGTGGACTGGAAAACCACCTTTGTGGATCAACACATCCTATAATAATGCTGGAGAACAAAGGGTTGCCATAAGTGAGCTCATGTGCTCGTAGACCAGGATAAATCTAAGGCTGGCCCTGACCAGTATTTCTGCTACTGGTGAAGTCCAAGACTGGGATCCCTCAGGACTAACTTCTGATAGGCAGGAGAACCAGGGAAGTCCTAGGAAAACTCAGCTGCTGAGAAGTCTGTTCCTAGCTAGACTGGCTCAGAAGAAGGTCTACACCAAAAAGTTTCAAATTCTGTGCTCACTTGCTTAGAACTGTGAATGGAACATGGCCCATGTCCAGTCTCTGTTCACCACTTCCCCATCCTCACTCTATACTATAAACTCAGGCACTTGTACAAGTATATAGCAGCACATGTGCCTGACAATCTCTACTCTTATCGACAGGTACCAACTAGATCTACTGGGGATCACAGTGCATTGATTTGAAACACTAGAGTATAATGAGAACAAATAAAAGAACAAGGGTACAGAGTAATCAGCTTCATTGAGCCACTCATCCATCCATCCACCCACCCATCAATCCATCCATCCACCCACCCACCCAAGCATCCATCCATCTATCCATCCATCATCCATCCAACCATCCATCCATCTATCCATCCATCCATCCATCCATCCATCCATCCATGCATCATCCATCCACCCAAACATCCATCCAACCATTCATCTATCCATCATCCATCCAACCAAGCATCTATCCATCCATCCATTCATCCATCCATCCATCCATCCATCCATCCATCCATCCCTTTATCTAACCATCCAACCATCCATCCCTTCATCCATCTATCCATCAATCCATCTCTTTATCCAATCATCCATCCAAATATTCCTCCCTCCATTCATTTAACAACTTCTCGCTGGGCACCTACTGTGTCCAGACATTGTGCCAGCCAGACAGTAGGCAGTGGACATGACAGATCAGGGTTCAGCCTTCATGACACTTAGATAAAATGCTGGAAATGAAAGGACATGAGGGATTATTTCTCTCACTCTTTCCTATTAGTGATGGCACAGTGAGGCCCAGAAAGGTGATCACCCATTAAGAGGGAGTAGGTGGTAGAGCTGGATGAGAATACACATGTTTTGGCTTCCCACCTGGCATTCTCAGAGGCTGCTGTGAGCTCACTGGCACTCTGCAGGCCATGACCCAGACTGAGCTTTTCTGAAGCCATGTAATGAAGAGATTCCCAATGCTCTTTATTAGGGTTCTCCAGAGAAACAGAATCAGAACCAATGAAAAATATATACATATGTGTATATGTCTGTGTGTGTGTACAATGTGGGGGTTAGGGGAGTCAAACTCTGAGAAGTTGAAGATCTGTTTATAACTGTTGACCTTCCAAAACTTTTGACTCCCAAAAAACTTAACTACTAGTAACATATTTTTGACCTGAAGCCTTACTGATAACATAGTTAACACATATTTTGTATGAGATATGTGTTATATATTGTATTCTTACAATAAAGTAAGCTAGAGAAAATTTTACTAAGAAAATCATAAGGAACACAAGATACATTTACTACTCATTAAGTGGAAGTGGATCATTATAAAGGTCTTCATCCTCATTGTCTTCACATTGAGTAGGCTAAGAAGGAGAAAGAGAACGATTAGTCTTACTGTCTCAGGGGTGGCAGAAGTAGAAGAAAATCTGAGTATAAGTGAACCCATGCAGTTCAAACCCATGTTTTTCAAGGGTCAAATGTAGGGGCATATGTGTGTGTATACACATAGAGCTTATATATATGTAACGATCTGCCGTTAGCAAGCTGGGCTCAGAGTCCAAAAGCAAGAAAAAACTGTCACCCCAGTTTGAAGATCATCAGGCAGGAAAAATTCTCTCCTACTCGAGGAAGAATCAGCCCTTATATTCTATTCTGGCCTTCAGTGGATTGGATGAAGCTCACCACATTAGGGAGGGCAATCCACTTTACTCAGTTTATTGATTTAAATATCAATCTCATTTCAAAGCACCCTCATAGGCACACCCAGAATAAAATTTGACCAAATATCTGGGCACTGTGTGGCCCAGTAAAGTTGACACATAAAATTAACCCTCACACACTACAAGGAGCTGCAGACCTGTCCAGCAGGAAGAGGTCATAGGATATGAGAGGCATTGTGTATGATGGGGGTGGTTTGGGAGCTGTGCTGTAGAAAAGCTAAATGGTCACCCTGAAAGCCAAACACAGCATCCTTCCCTTCCTGGTGGGTAACGCTGTGAGTGTCTGGGATGAGGGAGGAATCAATTTTCTTTTTTTGTTGTTGAAGGGAGAGCTTTTGGTGACTTTTATCTTGTGTGTATAGGTTATTGCTATTTTCTATTGTTCCCGAGCAGAGTTCTTTGAGAACCTGCGAATCCATCACTAGAAGATGATAAATGATACACATTGCAGAGGGAAGAGGACATTTCACATGTGCACACTTCTTTTTTTTTTTTTTTTTTTTTTTTTGAGGCAGGGTCTCACTGTGTCACCCAGACTGGAGTGCAATGGCGTGATCTTGGCTCACTGCAACCTCCACCTCCCAAGCTCAAGCGATTCTCCTGCCTCAGCTTCCTGAGTAGCTGGGATTACAGGTCCGTGCCACTACAGCCCAGCTAATTTTTGTATTTTTAGTTGAGACAGGGTTTCACCATGTTGGCCAGGCTGGTCTCAAACTCCTGACCTCAAATGATCCTTGGCCTCCCAAAGTGCTGGGATTACAGGCATGAGCCACTGTGCCCGGCCTCACATCTCATATCTGCACACTTCTAATGAGAATCTGCTCTGCCTTGAAATTAGGTCTGCTAATTTTTTATTTTTTCTATGAAAGGACAGCAGAAAAAATTGTTCTTTGGTGACTCTGGTGGTGACTGTACATCCTCAGTAAGCCGAAATTGGGGGGTTAGAGAGCTGAGAGTGGCTGTCAGCTCTGGCCTATATCTTTTTCCTGAGGAGAGCAGTAAAATACAGCAGAATGCCTCAGAATGGTCACCTGGTGATCAGGTCATGGAACCTGTACAGGGAAGAGAACAGTTCTTTGCCCCAGAGACTGAGTGACCACACTTAGAGGCCCTGGACTATTTAAAGACTGAGGGTCTGCACCCTTGCACAAAGGGCAGGAGTGGAGCAGGTCATAATCAGGTGTTGCTAGACATGGTATTCTGTAGGAACAAGGTCCAGTGAAGACCATTTAGCTGGTTTTTGCCTCTTGGTAAAATGTCTGCTTGTGGTGAAAGTCCAAGTTTGGAATAGCCCAGAGAAAGGAGAATCCCACCTTTAGTGGATCCTTGAGCCTCAACATGAGTGATGTTGACACAGAGGTATGGGGTATTGGAGATGGGAGACAAGAAATCTGGGTCCTGAGTTCCCTGCAGGGGCCCCTTCTGTGGCCCTGGGTTGATGACTCTGGGCAACAAGTGACAATCTGAGCTATTAGCAGCTGCATTGGAGGTCTCTGTGGCAGGCCAACAGGCTAGGTCACAGCCTGGATTAGGAGACTTCTTGGGGAGTAAGGCACAAGGGCATGCCAGCTTCTGAGGTTGTTGAGGCCTGCATTTGTAGGGAGCCCACAGACCAGCCCTCTCTAGATTCTTTGGAGGAGAAATCATTTCTTCTGATTACCAGGGAAAACAGCAGGTCCAGGGAGGAATGGAACAAATTTCTGCTCCCAGCCTGTGGACTCGAAAGAAGACAAGGGTCCTAGCCCTGCCTTGGATTGGCCTGACCCAGTACCATCTTGGTTGCCTTCTTAGCTCTATGGGTCCTACGTGGCAAAGACTTATTGACAGGATCCTCAAAGGACCAAGGGGCTCTTAGGGTCACCCACAACCAGAGGCAGGGCTGAACCTGAACCTCGTGAGATCTAAAGGCATTTAGCAAGGTGGTGTTTGTGGGTAGAAGGGACAGATAAGAATACCAGGCAGATTGTTGAGTAGAAGCATATCCAATAGAAAGTCCCTGGTCAGGGCTGTGGAATGGGGAATGATGGCATCAAAAACCTCAACCACAGCCAGGACAGGGGCCTTGGATGGAGGCAGGATGTGGAGGTGGAGGGCTGAGGCACTGTTTACAGGGCTCTTGGCCGTGGCTGGTGAGGACTGGACAGCTCAGTGCTGAGCTACCTTGCACTATTGAATTTCTTGTGTTTTATCATTTGTCCTTTATCCCTTGTCCATACTGTCTTTAAGTCTGTTGATACAACTGTGGTTTCTCTTTGATAATAAGTACCCAAGGGAAGGGGCCCTGTATCAGATCCAACCACTCATGAGAGAGTCAACAGCCGTGTTTGTTTTTTGCTCAACCTAACTTCAAAAATCAATGTGATAGAATTTTTCACTTCCTTAGTGACCTCAGATAGGTTGAACACATTCTTCTGATGGCCCATCATTCACTTATGCATTCGATAAATATTGATTGAACTTCTTTGCACTTTGCTTGCTACTATGGTGTTAAAAGATGGGTCAAGCATGGATTCTGTCTTTCCAAGGAGTTAGATACATGAATAATTTTAATACAAGATCAATATTTGCAAGCTATTCAATCATCTTCCAAGAAAAACCAATAGAATCAACCAATGATTACAGTAAAGAGAAAACTTACCAATGCTGATGGATACCTGATCAGTTAAAAAGAATCCAGTGTTTTTGTACAACAGAAATAACCAGCTAGAAAAACAAAATATAAAGTATCTAGAAATCATTTAAGAGTATATGAAACTTCTATGGGGAACATTTAAAACTTTAGTGACAGATATGTTAGATACTAGAAGTTGATATGAATAAATAGAAAATAATCCCTCTCCAAGCTGGGATGACAATATTTTAAAGAAGACAGTTCTTAAATTAAGTGAGACATCCAATAATTGAATTTTTTTTGAGGAACTTGATAAACTTATTATAAAATTTGTCTGAATCTAACAAAACTAAGAAAGGAGTGGGAAAGGGGACTTGTCTTATTAGGTATAAGGACAGCCTGTAAAGATGTAGTAATAGAAACAATATGGTATTTTTGAAAGAAAAAACAGCCAAGGTAACATAGGACAGAGCTCAGAAAGAGAGATCCTGAGAATCTCACACGGGAATAGAATATACAACAAAGGTGGTGCCTCCTTAAAGTAATAGAAGATAATGTAAGTGATGTCTTTGTAATACAGAGGTGGAGAAAGACCTGTAAATCCCAAAATGCCATAACTGAAAAAACTATTGACGAATTTAGTATTACCATGATAAAGATTTTTGTTCAATGCTGCCTGGGAGAAGATATGTGTAATGTCTAAAACCATTGAGTGAAAAATAAGTAGACCATAAAAGGAAACATTGAAATTAACAAGGAAAGGGCAAAAACTCCACTAGAGAAATGAGCAAAGTATGCAAAGAGGCAATTTACAGCAGAAGAAACATCAAAGACTTGCAAAAAGAGAGAGTTGTTTAAATCCACTAGTAATTAAAGAATTTGCACATTGAAAGACACTGTCACTTTACACCCATTAAAACTCTCACTTTATACCATTAGGCTTGAAAACGTTTTCAAGTTGGATAATGTCACTTGTATCTAGGGATAGAACTTTCTCCAGGGTGGGGGTGGGGGTGGGAGTGAAGGGTGGGGAACGGAAGTATAGACTAGTGTAGTCATTCTTTAGAGCAATCCGTCAGAATTAGTGACATTAGGGATACACATAGCTATGCCACAGCAGGTCTGCTCCTACAAATGAATCCTGAAGAGACTCTCACCGACGTTCTTAAGGTGACCTGCATGAAGGTGTTCATGGCAGCATTCTTTACGCGGGTGAGAGTCGGCTCCAAGCAGACGGGTAGAACATGGAGTAGGCACCTGTGATGGTGCAGTCTTCTCTGTCAACCTGGGAGGCTCCAATCCCCAGTTATTCAGTCAAGCCTCATGTAGGTGTTGCTCTAAAGGAATTCTGTAGGTGTGATTAAGGTCTACAATTGTTACTGGAAAGGGTTCCCAATCCCGACCCCAAGAAGGTTCTTGGACCTCTTGCAAGAAAGAATTTGGTGGGTAAAGAGTAAAGTGAAAGGAAGTTTATTAAGAAAGTAAATGAATAAAAGTGGCTACTGCATAGGGAGAGCAGAGGTGCAGGCTGCTCAACTAATCATACTTATAGTTGCTTCTTGATTATATGCTAAACAAGGGGTGCATTATTCAAGAGTTTCCTGGGGAAGGTGTGGGCAATTCCTGGAAATGAGGGTTTCTCTCCTTTTTAGACCATATAGAGAAACTTCCGGGCATTGCCATGGTATTTGTAAGCTGTCATGGTACTGGTGGGAGTGTCTCTTAACATGCTAATGTATGATAACTAGTGTATAATGAGCAGTGAGGATGAACAGAGGTCACTTTTATTGCCATCTTGGTTTTGGTGGGTTTTGGCTATCTTCTTTACTGCAACCTGTTTTAACAGCACACTGAGCCCTGGCTCCCACGGGCTGCCTCCTGATGCCTCTGTCATGATACTTCTTCTTCTTTTTTTTTTTTTTGAGATAGAATTTCACTCTTGTTGCCCAGGCTGGAGTGCAATGGCGCAATCTCGGCTCACAGCAACCTCCACCTCCTGGGTTCAAGTGATTCTCCTGCCTCAGCCTCCCCAGAAGCTGGGATTACAGTCATGAGCCACCACTCCCAGCTAATTTTGTATTTTTAGTAGAGACGGGGTTTCTCCATGTTGGTCAGGCTGGTCTCGAACTCCTGACCTCAGGTGATCTGCCTGCCTTGGCCTCCCAAAGTGCTGGGATTACAGGCGTGAGCCACCACGCCCAGCCCATGGCACTTCATGACGCTTCAGCAAGAAACACCAGGCAGCTGTTGCCACTGGCCTCCTAGCCCCTACTCTGGGGCTTGGGGGTCAACTTCCCCAGGACTTACCTTCCAAAACCAACTTTCTTCATTTTGTATTCTAGGTACGAGACAGTGATTTACTTCTCTTTTCTCCTCCTCCCTACTGTTCCTCCCCATGTTTTCAGAAAACACTTCTGCCTCCTGTCCCTTCTTGGTCAATCGGTTTTTGGTCGACCCCTGTTCTCGATCCTGTTTTCTCCTGTCCCCAGGATGCAGAAGGTGGTGAACCCAGGAGCTGAGGAAGGAGGTTTCCAGTTCGTTTACATTAAGGGCCCTGGGGGAGAATAAAGCTCAGAGCAGGAGGGAGTAAGGAAACGTTTCCTTTTTGTTTGTATTTGGTTGGAGTTTCTTATGTTTGAAAACACTGCAGTATCCATGAGTTGGCCTTGCGGAGGGTGTTCCTAGGTAGAGGTGAGAATGGGGAGGCAAACTCCCAGGCACCAGGCAGGAGGTGTCTTGTTAGCTAACTGGGCAGATGTGGAGGTGCAGTGTCATCTGCATCTCTGGAACTCTTCCAAGGCCCAGTTTCCCCTCACTCAGCCTCTTAAATATCATTTCCCCTATTGTGGGGATTGGACCCCAGAGTCCTCCAAAGAATCGGTTGCCTGCATCGTTGGCTCTGCTGTGATCTAACTGGGGGAGAGACCAGTTTCTGATACTCATCCTCTGATTTATACATATGCATTTTTCCCCTCTGGCCTTTAGATGGCCTCAGGCCCGGCTACCATATGCCCCTGCAGTTTGCACTTTAACTGATGGTAGTTCAGCTGGGGTACTTGTTTTACGGGAGTTTTGATGGATTTACCTGCCCTCCCACCTTCTTTTTAATTCAGTGGAATCTGAGGTTAATATAAGGTTTTTGGAGACGTTATAGATAAAAACACCAGTGGCAGCTACTCAAGTCCAATCTCCACTGTTAGCGTCCTCCAACTCCAATTCTTAACTGATATTCTTGCCAACCTAGCTATGGAGTATAGGTTTGCCTTTCCTGGAGATTTAACTGGGTAACTGGGGAGTGTCTCAGGATAGCATAGGCCAAGCTGGGGATTAAAAAGGAGGTCGGGCAAAAGGGAGGAGTTTTCTATCCTGTCCCGGGTTTCACATCCAATTTGATATCCATTACCATGACTTTTCTACTTCCCTGTAAATAGGTATGATGTTTATTCCCACTGTATAGTCTGTTCTGTCTTCTCTCTCCTATCAGGCCCTGCTTCTTTCCTCCTTTGTTAATATCTTGAATTTAGTCCCTCCATCCTTAATCCCTACCCCTCCCCACCATGCAACCAACGGTTTAATCCATGTACCACCAGGGGCAAGTACCACAGAGGCCTCCTTGGGGCACCTTCATATCACACCACCTGTTTCTGTGGACATGGAATGACTGGCACTGAAGGTACCTTACAACTGGCTCATTATCAGAGGACACTGGTCCTTTCTAAATCTCTAGCCTTTCTTCATGTCCCTTATCACGTGTTTTAAGATGTCTGTGGGAGGCCATCAAGGCAAAAGAGAACTTTAAGTTCCTTGTTCCAGCCCAGAGTTTTGGTAAAGAAAGAGAGAGAGAGAGAGAGAGAGAGAGAGAGAGAGAGAGAGAGAGAGAGAGAGGAAGGAAGGAAGGAAGGAGGAGGAGGAGAAGGAGAAGGAGAAGGAGAAAGACAAGGAGGAGGAGGAGGAGAAGGACAAGGAGAAGGAGAGTCACGGTGACCTAGGATTAGAACCTTTCTGCCCTTTTGGCTTGCAGACTGCCTTCTATTCCATAACAGCTGAGAAATCTATGAAGCTGAGATTCTGAAGGGCCCAGCTTAGGTTCTTCCACTTAGGCCTCAGTTCCCTTCCTTTTCCAGTGGCAGCCTTAGTTCCCATGGCCCTGAAACACACACATTTCTCCCTGCCTTTCCGAGAAGCCTCTAGCCCCCCCAGAGCACTTAGTGCATCCTTTTTACAAGTGGAAGAACTGGGATGGCTTTCTAAAGTCTCTTAGAAATGAAGTTCTTTCTCTGTCAAGCTTTGCCCCATGGAGCAGGAGTGAAGGTGTTTCATTGTCTTGGGGCTCGGAAACCACTTATCCAGGCTTCTCCCCCATCCCACCCCTATAGGAACAGGATCTAGCCTTAGCTTCTGGGCAATCGGCTACCTTCCCTCTACTTCCTACCAGATCTTCTGCCTTCCTTTGAGCTCTGCTGGGCTTGGGGATGTTAGTTTTTTTAAATTTCCCAGCTCATTTTTCTCTTCTGGCCAGTTTTTTTAAGGCAGTGGAGGCAGGGGCACAGTGTTCTGGTTTTTTTCTTTTTGTTTTGTTTCTAAGAAAGCATTTACATTTCTTCCTCTCCTAACATAACAATCGTGGTAACAGAATGTGACTGCTGATTTACTGATGTATTTAATGTAAGGAAAAAAAGGAAAAAAAGAAAAAAATACCCAATACAGCTATTTTCATTGTATTAGATATTATAAATAATCTAGAGATGATTTAAAACATGAGGGAGGATGTGCATAGGTTATATCAAATACTATGCCATTTTATTTTTGAGTCAGCGTCTTGCTCTGTCACCTAGGCTGGAGTGCAATGGTATGATCTTGGCTCACTGCAACATCCGCCTCTGGGCTCAAGCTATCTTCCCACCTCAGCCTCCTGAGTAGCTGGGACCACAGACATACACCACCATGCCTGGCTGATTTTTGTGTTGTTTGTAGAGATGGGGTTTTGCCATGTTTGCTCATGGTCTCATACTCCTGAGCTCAAGTGATCCTCCCACCTCGGCTTCCCAAAGTGCTGGGATTACAGGTGTGAGTCACTGCACTCAGCCTATGCCATTTTATATGACACTTGAGCATCCTTGGATTTTGGTATCTTTAGGGGTTGGGGGTGGTTCTGGAACCAATTCCCCATGGATACCGAGGGATGACTGTACTTCATCTTGGTGCTCAGTTGGGGAAAATGCTGTGGTGTGGCCACAATGGCTGGTTGCTTCCCTATGTCTATTCTCCTCTTCTTTCACAGTAACAGACCCCAGTTTTGTTTGAGGCATAAATAAATGAAAAATGGTTCTACCTCTTTTGGAGTCAGCTTTTGGCCAATAAGACATAAGCTGAAATGTTGTGTGAAGTGTCTAGGAACTATCTTCAAAAGACAGAGGCATAACCTTCATCCTCCCATCCTCTTTCCTGTTGTCTGGAATGAAGATGTAATGGCTGGAGCTTCAGCAGCTGCTTTGGACGATAAGGCAATGTACTGGGAACAGGAAGGAGCTAGATAGAAGTATCCTGGGCCCTGGCATCCATGGGGTCACTATACCTGTCTCCCAAATAAACCTCTGATGTGGAGGCTCCCGACTTTTAATGCCAGAGACTAAGTCAGGACTTCTTCCAGAGCCTAACCATCTGAGGTGACTTTATGTGAGATCATAATGTATTTTTATGTTTTAATTTCTGTGGTTTGGAGGTTTTTTGTTATAGGTAGCTGAACCAAATCCTAACACACTTAAGGAAGGGAGATTAAGACTATTGGTTGATCCATGCTGGTGGCACAAGATGCAAGTATTGATGAGTAGTTGGTGCAGGAGGTGTGAGGAAAAGAGAGAGGTTCAGATGCCACCCAAGTTTTATGCTTGAGTACTGCACTGACAGAGCTGGAGGTGGGGAGAGAAGTACATCAGGGAATGTACTGAGCTTGGTTTGGGTCAGAGAACACTCAGGCTATTGGAAATGGGGACCTGGGAATTAAGGAATAGGCCTGGGGTAGAGATTACACTGAAGTAATAGGTAGAGACATACAATGAGTGAGATCACCCAGGAGTATAAGTTGCAACGTAAGATGGTAATCAGTTACAACTAGCAGGCAAGAAGGGAACCAGGAGGAGCAGGGGAGTGGGTGGTGTGGTGGGAGGCACAGGGGAGAGAACACAGAGAGCAGAGCAGCCTCCCCAGACAGAGAGACGGGGTGGGTGCCAGCCAGCAACACCAGCTGCTACTGTTCATCAGGCAGCCCCTGGCCAGGTGTCCACACTTATTTTTCTAGCAAAAATCCCAAATGGGAAGGAAGTTTTAGGGAAGTGATGGGCACTGGCACAGCAGGGAGGAGGCAAAGGCTTAGAGGTGCTGCCAGGAGCAGAGCTGACAGTTCCTGAGTCCAGGTGGGTGGGAAGTGAGTGTCGCCTGAAGGGGCCTGGGGAGAGGGTACCTGGAAGGGGTGAAGATCAGGGCAGAGATTGCCATGAGGATGGGGACCATGGTCCATGGGAAGGAAGGGGGAGTGAGGAGATAAAGGGTGGTGTTTGGGGTGGGCGCTCAGAGCCTAGAGGTGGGCACAGATGTGGGTGCTCGGTGCTTCCTCTGCGTGTTCGGTGAGCCAGTGATGGCCTGCAGCAGGTCCCTGGCCCGGGAAGCTGAGGGTGAGACTCGCTGGGCTGTCTGAGGAGGGAAGGATGCCGAGGCCCTCTTTCCCAGGGTGGGGGATGCCCAGCCGACTCCTTTATAGCCCCTCTGATTCTGGCTGTTCATGCCGGGACCTTGAGCCCATTAGCAGGCACTCTCACTGCATCCGTGTTCTAGGCAGGCATCTTCTCGGTGCTCTGGGGCTTGTGCTTAGCTTGGTTGTGGCTCATGTGCTTGTGATACCAACTTGGAAGGTGCTGAACGCAAAAGGAGGTCTGTGGGACTCTGGAGCCCTAGAAAGAGGGGCTGACTTTTGCGGGAAAACTTATTCAGATGGCCTGACTCAATTTACCTTTCAAGAAAAGGTGCGACATGGTTCCCACTCAAAGCACCCAGACAATTTCCATGAAGGCCCCGGAGGTTCTGCGTATTCAGAGACTGCTGCTATCCCTTCCCTACCCAGTGAGCATCAGGGCCAGACCACAGCTGGCTCAGCCATCCTGCCTGCAGGGAGACCCACAGCTGCTGGCTGGCACCTGCTCCCCAAGGGTAAATGCTGGCTCCTTCTCTGACGCTCACTGTTGTTGCTTGAGTTTGGCAAATGCCTCCCACAATATTTACTCCAGCATTCCTGCTCGCCAGGGGATTCTTAGTACACAGTCCCTAATGAGAGGGTCTCAGAGCTCCTGTAATAAACAAACCCGCCTTCCATGGCTCACCCAGCACAGTTCAAGGTGACTGGGCCGAGAGTCCTTTCCTGAAGGGTCCAAGGAACCTGATCTTGTCTGGCTCAGCCACCTGGCCCTGACTGGCCCTTTCTGCCCCTGGTGACCTGATTAACCACAAGTCTATTCCAGATTCCTTCTTACTTAACCCCCTGTCTACACTGACTCCTCTCGCCGCATAAGAGAAGATTATAAAATTCAAAAGGCCCGAAAGATCCAACATGTTCAAGTCTATAAAAACAAATCTGCCCTAAAATGCAAATCCTAATAGTGGATCGGGATCCAGAGTGTTCTGAGGTCTCATGAATGCATGATTCTTGTCAAAATGAAGCTTTTGGGGAAAGTACATCTCCCTAAGATTTCAGCTATGTCCTTTTGTTGTTGGTAAAGTAAAAAACAATTTTTTCTAGTTTTTTAGTTTTCTATCTTAGCGTAATGACTACCTGCAGCTAACTCGGTGGGTTGTAATTTTTTTTTTTTTTTTTTTAAGAGCAGAAGGGTATGGCCTCTACTTTATTTTATTTTCTTCTTTTTTTTTTTTATTATACTTTAAGTTTTAGGGTACATGTGCACAATGTGCAGGTTAGTTACATATATATATACATGTGCCATGTTGGTGTGCTGCACCCATTAACTCGTCATTTAACATTAGGTATATCTCCTAATACTATCCCTCCCCACTCCCCCCACCCCACAACAGGCCCCGGTGTGTGATGTAAAACCTCTCTTTGACTATTTGGGTCCAGGTAAATGGCTTGGCTGCCTTTCTGCACAGAGTGACCCAACTGATTGGGGACGCTTGTTTGTAGCCGACATACCCATGTCCGCACACTGTCCCTACCTGGCTCGCTGGCCTGGGTGGTGACGCCTAATCTTGAGTATGGATGCCCGTTGTCTTGAACATGTTTCTTTCCTTAAAACCTTCAATTAGAGGAATGCAATGGGGATTTTCATCACACTGAATACCACATCTCAGCGGCAATTACAGAACAATGAAGACAGATCAAAACTTGTCAGTAGACAGACATTTAGAGAGAAAAACCTTTTCAATATTTTGAAAGAAAAATAAATAGGACTCAAATCAACATACACATACTCGTGCATCATTGGAACTTCTCTGCTAAGAGGGATGTTTTGAGATCAAGGTTCACGTGAACCCCAAGTAAATAAATGCTATCAGGGAAAGCAAGTGGCAGTAGAGGTGGCAAGGGGCGGAGGCTGATGGTGTAGCTGGTGCCAGATGGGGTCCTGAATTCTCTGACCAGAAGTCTGGAGTTCCCTGGGAAATCTCGCCACACTGTCCACATAGAGATGGGGATGTATTATAGTTGGAGTTCTTCAAAGAAACAGAATCAATAGGCTGGAAATTAGGGAGGAGTTGGTGTTGTTGTCTTGGGTCTGAGTCTCACAGTGATCTGGAAACTGAGTCAGGGTGTCCATGTTGCTGTCTTCAACAGAATCCCTTCTACTTCGGGAAATCTCGCCACACTGTCCACATAGAGATGGGGATGTATTATAGTTGGAGTTCTTCAAAGAAACAGAATCAACAGGCTGGAAATTAGGGAGGAGTTGGTGTTGTTGTCTTGGGTCTGAGTCTCACAGTGATCTGGAAACTGAGTCAGGGTGTCCATGTTGCTGTCTTCAACAGAATCCCTTCTTCTTCGGGAAATCTCGGTCTTTGCTTTTAAGGCCTTTGACTGGGTAAGACCCACCCAAATTATGGAGTGTCATTGGCTTTATTCAAAGTCTTCTGATGTAATTGTTAATCATATCTTAAAAGAAATAAAAGACTTCGTAGCAACATCCAGACTAGTGTCTGGCCAAATGACTGGGGCCATATCCAGACAGGTGGACACATAAAATTAGCCATCACAAGGGGGCAGCCTTTCTCCCTGGACCTCTGCTGCTTGGATGGGGTTTCTGATGTCACATTCCCTGCTGGCGAGTCCCTTAGCATGTCCTTACCTTACTTTCCTCATTTCTGAAATGGGATCGTAATCGCTCCTTCCCCAAGGAGCTGCTGTAAAGGCTGGGCGTGGTGAGGCTCCGACAGTACCTGCCCCTGGCCAGCTGCTGTGGGGTGCTCGTGAGAGATGCGCTTATTCAGGCACGTGATTTAGTGTCTTCTCTCTGGTTTCCCCCCACCCGCTATTTCATGGGGTGACCCGGTTTTTATGTTCCTTGTTTCTTCGGGTGAGGTGAGTGTGAGTTATATTACATGGTCAAAAGCGGAAGCCATTTGTAAGAAACTTCCCTCCCTGTATTTGAGAAAACTAGAAACCAAGGGTGGAAGTTTGCTGGATGTTCAGAGGTAGGTTCCAGGTGTGGAGGGGACTTGGGGATCCCTGGGGGGATGGCCTGGCTGCAGAGGGAAGAACTTTGAGCCCTCAGAAGGACCAGTCCCCAGGCAGGGCTTCTGGAGTTCCCATCGGGGGGCAGCAGAGTTGCTGAACTCCTTAAGGGTCCATTGGGCTGGACAGTCGGCGTCCCCACAGTGACCAGGGCAGGTCACTAAGGGAGGACTCTGGGGCCTCCCTGATGCCTGGCTGAGATTCAGTTTCCTGCCTGATGGCAGATGGGGGACTGAAGTTAGAATTGAATGGATTTAAAGAAAATAAAGAAATGACTTGGTCTTACTTTCTTGTTTGTTAGACTAAAATTTACATCTGCCTCCACTTGACCGTTAACAGTCATCATCATTGTTAGTTTGTTAGTTATTCCCACCAATAGCCATAGTCACAAGATTGTGCTGATTTATCCACATCGTCCCCTTGTTGACACTGTGGCCTTGTCTGGACTGAGTAGAGCTTCCCTTCTCTGCAGGGACACCTGGCCAAGCATGGCAGGCCACAGAGCTAGACTTCATTAGCTCTAGCTCCAACCCTGTGGAGAGAGGGGCACAGCTTCTCCTGCCCCGTGCCTCCCAGCAACCAGGCCAGCGCCTGCACCCACTTGGTCTTGCAGACAAGGCTGAGCCAGGAGGGGCAGCACCTCTGTCCATTAACAACAAATGCTGCAAAGGTGACCGATCCCATTGCCTTTCTCCTGTGGCCGTTCCAATCCATCTCGTTTCTGGGAATAGACCCTGCCCCCTGGAATCTCGCCCAGTGTCTCCCAGGGGCCCCTGGGCTTGCTTCCTTGGCTCTATCCTTCTCCCTTGCAGGCAGCAGCCCCTCTCCCTCTTGAGGACTTGGGGCCTCATAGTCTTCACTCTGTCTGGGGTATCGAGGCCATGAGGATGCTGGAGTTGGAAAGGACATAGACTCTGTCATGCCTCCTACCCTTAAATCCAGAGACCTCTTCAACACTCCTCACTCATGGGCGTTCAGCCGTTGGATACCCACTGTGATGGGGAACTCACTTCTTCCGCAGGGTGATTTCTTCCTTCTCCCAGAGCTCCGTTCTGTAGAAAATTCTTCCTCACACTGGCCTCCTTGTAACTTTCTTTTTTTTTTTTTTTTTTTTTTTTTGAGACGGAGTCTTGCTCTGTCGCCCAGGCCGGACTGCGGACTGCAGTGGCGCAATCTCGGCTCACCGCAAGCTCCGCTTCCCAGGTTCACGCCATTCTCCTGCCTCAGCATCCCGAGTAGCTGGGACTACAGGCGCCAGCCACCGCGCCCGGCTAATTTTTTGTATTTTTAGTAGAGACGGGGTTTCACCTTGTTAGCCAGGATGGTCTCGATCTCCTGACCTCATGATCCACCCACCTCAGCCTCCCAAAGTGCTGGGACTACAGGCGTGAGCCACCGCTCCTTGTAACTTTCCATCAGGGGTCGTGGCTTGGCCACGTTCAGACACAGAGGGCCGACCCCCTGTGAGGGGACCATCCCTAAATGTTGAGGACCTTTGGTCCACACACAGGAGGTCTGTGGGATGACACCAGGCTGTTGACCAGTGTCTGTTCCAGAGGGGACAAAGCCCCAGTGTGTGGCGGAGGGAGAGGGAGAGGAGGGCTCAGTGCTGTAAACAAGTGTGCTGAGGAGATGAGACCTCGATTCCTTGCATAATTAGAAGCCTTTCTGAATTTGTCTCTGCGCCCAAATGCACAATGTAGCAGAGAGCAAAGATGGAACACGCCATCCGTCTCCCTGAGAAGGGCAGGAGGACCAGCCAGGCTCAGGCATCCTCATGTGCTCAGGAGAGAAAAACCATCACAGTGCTCATCGCCAGATGAATGGATAAACAAGATGTGGTCCATCCTCACATGAGAATATTATCCATTCTTAAAAAAGAAGAAAATACAGACACATGGTACAGGGGGTGAACTTCGAAGACATTGTGCTAAGTGAAATAAGCCAGTCACAAAAGGGCAAAGGCTGTGATTCCACTCCTGTGAGGTCCCCAGAGGAGTCACGATCTTAGAGACAGGAAGTGGAATGGGAAGTCTGGGAAGATGAAACATGTTCTGGAGCTGGATGGAGCTGATGGCCACGCAACAGCGTGACTGTGCTTGGTCCCCCTGAGCTGTATACTTCGCAATGGTTACCATAGCACATTTTATGTTATACATATTTTATTAGAATAAAAATACAATTTGAAATGGAGAAAAGAGGGTAAAAAAAGCACCAGACACTAATAAAAGCAAAAGAAAACTCAAACCCCCCCACCCGAATCTCACTTCAAAAGCCTGGTGGAAATGCTTTCTCTGGTTCCCCTTCTGCGAAGGGGACGAGGGCAAATCCACAGGGTCATGTAGCAAGGGTGTCAGGAGCAGCTTCCATGGGGCAGCAGCTGAGCCAAGGGCACGGGAGGCGCCCCCACCCGGGCCAGCGTGAGGGTCAGAGTCCTGCCCACAGGTTTGTGGGTGCAGCCACCAGCGCTGTCTAGAGCAGGCTGAGCCAAACGTCTAACTTGGGGCCACCCACAGCCTGAGGGCCAGGAAGTGCTGCCCTGAGAGGGACCCGCTGGAATGCTGGAAGGCGGTTCCCTGGCCATACTTTATTTCCTTCAGTTTCAAACACTCCCAAGTTCACCCCGACCTCCCATCCCTGCCTCAGCCTGTGTGGACTGCATGCATCCTCCCAAATTCATGTACTAAGGCCCCAACCCCCAGTGTGACTGTAGGCAGAGAGTTGGCCTTCATAGGGAGGTAATAGGGTGGGTCCCAGGTGCAGTAGGGCTGGGGTCCTTGTAGATGGAAGAGACATCAGAGCTCTCTCTCTCTGTCTCCCTCTCTGCCATGTGAGGACACAGGGAGAAGGAGGCTGTCTGCAAGCCAGAAAGAGCCCTCACCAGACACGCCCCTGCTGCCACCTTGTTCTGGGACCTCCAGCCTCCATCTCTGGAAAAATAACTGTCTGTTGGGTGCGCTGCCCGGCCCGAGGTACTCTGTCATGCAGCCCAGCAGACGAACACAGCGTTCCTTAGTGCTTTCTGGTTGAAAGCCACCGGCAAACCTGCACTGATTTTGGGGGAAGCACAAGCCCTGCCCGAAGGCTCGAACACCCTCCTGCGCTTCCGTTTGATCTTCACAGTCCCTGTTCTGACCTTGTGGGCCCTGCTGGGTGCAGGTCTAATTGCTGCCCAGACCTAGTGAACAGGTGGTGTGCTGCGGGCCCAGCCCGTGCACCCCCACAGAGCAGCCCTTGCCGTCCCCTTCGTTATCTTGCCATAAGGCTTGGCTCCTGCCTCGAAAATGCGTCCACAGCCTGTGATTAATCATCTTTCCCCTAACCCAATCATCTGTGAGCACAAAGCCCCCTCCCCTCATATTCTTTGGATGAGCCGAGACTCTGTAAATGGGTCTTGTATCTGAGAGACCTCCCTCTTTTGTCCCATCCCTATCCCCTATCCCCTGTGAGGTCTTCACCTCCCCACTACTGCTGAGCTGGCATCCTGCCCCTTGTCAGTACAGACCTCAGACCTACAACTGAAACCCCTCAGATCCCGAATTCTTTGCTGCCACAACTTGCTCGGGGGTTCCAGAGCCACCCCTGCTGGCCTGCGTGACTGCCTCTGCTGGGAGTCCTCTGAGCCTGGCTCAGCCTCTCTGTTTCTGCCCTGCGGACTCTGCTTTCCCTCCTTACAGACGTCCCTGCTGTTCCCAGCATGTCTCACACCTACATCCATCTGAACCGTTTCCCTCACTCCCCTGTATCTGGAGGTGAGTCCTTGGGGTGTGTGGGCTGTAGGGGAGGCATCTCACCACGAACTTGTCTCCTGTCCCCACAGATCCCTACAGATGGACAACGCCAGGGTACAGGAACCACCTCAAGCCCAGGGTCAGCCTCGGGCCTCAGCGCCACCATGCTTCTCTGGATTTGGGATCTAGTCTTCTTCTTCTTTTGAGGTTTTTCCTTATCTTTTTGTGAGCCTAATCACACATTTAAACAATAGGCCTTTCTAGATGCTTTGGAGCCTTTCCAGGCTTTGGAGAAGAGGGTTTCCAGCCTTTCTAGGTGCACTGGAGCAGCGGGTTTTCAGAATAACTCCCTGGATATTACAGCAGAGAAACATGGACCAGGAATTAAAATCAGTTCACTTCATGTGGTCCCAGTAGCAAATGCCAGCAACAGTACCTGCGGCTGCGCCACCCTGACCTACACGACAGGTGTCTGTGTTAGCTTTGGCAGCAGCTTGTCACTCTCTGATCCCAGAGCTGCATCTTCCCTGAATTATAGAAAAGGCCGCTTAACTTCTATTTGTGTAATCAGGATGCAGGAGTTTATGTTTATGTTGTTTAAACTTCACCTTGCTTGTTTTGGCCCAACATTTGCACCTGGCAAATTTGGTCTCTGAACCTTCATTCTGCAATATGTGGTGTTTGCCTCCCTCTAAACACAGATTGTCTGCAAACCTCATGAGAAGCCCATCCATAGCTTCACCCAAGCTATCAGCCAAGGTCTGATTGGAATACTTATGGAGGTTATTCTAAGATCATTCATTCCATCCACCCCTGGAGGCAGCCAGGTATCCCCCTGGCATCAGGAGGGATGAATATCTTGAATGGAATAGGATTTGGAGCCACTGAAGGACTCTAGGTTGACCTCAGACCAGTAACCCACACTCACAGGCATGGCCATCCAGTGGTTTTGAATCCACTGGACAATGCTATTGCCCAGCTCATATTCCATCTTCCTACCCATGGGACATAGGCAGGGGCTTCACAAGTTTGCCCCAGAACCAAGATGCACCATGATCTGCCCCGGAGCTCCCTCACCACACACTCACACCCCCGAGGAGAGGATCTTTTGCCCTAACATGTAAGTGAACAGCCATGCTGGACTTTGGCAAGTAATTATCAACAGTCACAGATCTAGGTTTCATAGAATTGCTGTTTCTGGAACTATCCATGTTGGAAATTGAGTCGGTATTTGCTCACCTGTCATTTTCTGGGATGGCCTCTCCCATTCCTCCTGATTGTGGAATGGGTATGGGCTGCTTGGGAGCCACACCCTCTGGCTCTCCTCCACTGCAACATGCAGTTCCTGCTCTGAGGCCCTCAGAGCTGGGGCCAGACCATTTGGGGCATAGGAAGGGGCTCAGGTCTGTGGGTGCCTCTGCCCACACAGATGGGGCTCATGTTTGCCCTGAGCAGGAAGAAGCTCAGTCTCTGGTGGCCAGTTCACCTTGCTCTACTCCCCAGACATGGCAGACGGCTCCATGGTCCATCTCTGCTGACTTCCAGGGCTGGGGCTGGAGGCCTCGCAGATGCTCCAACTTGGGAGAGCACCTCATTTGCTGAGTCCTCACCACGCCTTCTCAAAGAGGTGCTGGCATCAGCTGAGGTATTTTTAAATGAAGGACAGGGACTTGCAAAGTTCTTAAGGGGCTGAGCAGGACTGGACTGGAAAGGGGCGGGCTCGATCCAGGTCTGGAGGCAGGGGGAGAAGCTGCTCACTGCCTGCCTATGGTCAACCTATGACCCTTCAGGGGTCCTTCCCGTGCCACCCTTCATCATGCCTGTACCTCCTGTCCCTGGGGAGGCAGCTCCTTGTTTCCTCCCTGGCTGGGAAGCTTGAGCCTCTGCTGTCTGATGGGCAGTGCATGCTGAGCGGGATATGGAGAGAAACCAGCTGGGGAGAGAGCCAGGCCTCCCTGCCACAGTGGGGCTTGTGCTCAGCCTCTGAGTCAGGAAATTTCATGCTGCCACAGTGCCTCCCAAGGAGTCTTCCCTCTGCTTGGGATGCTCCAGGATGCTCCAGGGTACAGGATGTTCCAGGGTATAGGATGCTCTGGGGTACAGGATGCTCTGGGTAGAGGATGCTCTGGGGTACAGGATGTTCTGGGATACAGGATGCTCTGGGTAGAGGATGCTCCGGGGTACAGGATGTTCTGGGATACAGGATGCCTTGGGTACAGGATGCTCCAGGGTACAGGATGCCCCGGGGTACAGGATACTCTGGGGTACACGATGCTCCGGGTAGAGGATGTTCTGGGGTATAGAATGCTCTAGCGTACAGGATGCCCTGGGGTACAGGATGCCCTGGGGTACAGGATGCTTTAGTGTACAGTTGAAATAGACATAGGATGTGCAGTTAAGTTTGAATTTCAGATAAAAACAATCAACATTTTAGTGTAAGAATGTCCCATACCACATTTGGGACATACTTACACTAAAAAATCACTCGCTGTTTATCTGAAATTCAGCTTTGACTGGGCAGTCTGTATTTTTAATTGTTAAATTTGGCAACCTGCCTGAGATAGGAAATGTGACCCTGCAGAGACATGATTCAATCATTCAGGACTTTTTTTTTTCTGGGCTTCCACAGGTCCAGCCCTCTCTGAGGCCTCATCAGAATCCCCGGGGATTTGTTCACTCTCCTCCACTTGTTCTTGTAACAGATGCTTATTGAGCACCCTACAACCAGGAAACTGGACTTTACAACAGGGTGGTGAGGGCTATGACCCAGTCGGGGTGCCAGGAGGAGGGGCAGGTGTGGAGAAGCATAGAATGGGCAGGATCAACCCAACCTGGAAGGGTCATGGTGGCCTGTGTGGGGCTGATCTAGCCTTGCCCCAGGCCAGGAACAGAATGAAGTCCACTCTGGTGGGCAGAGAACAGGTGAAACGGGGGGAGGCAGTGAGAGATGGGAGGTTCCTCCATGCCAGGTGGTGCCTAGGCAGTTGGGTGCACCTGTGCACAGATCTTCACCACACATAGAGAGCCATAAATTCCAGTTTAATACACAAGGAGTGCACACTGTGAAAGTTGTCAGATTCAAAATGGAGTCACTTGTGTCAACCTCTGACAAATAGTGCCAGGGAAGCAGCGGGGGTTCTCACGTACCATTTGCCTGATAATGAGAGCTCTCACAAGAAATTTTCCCAAACTGGAGCTCACTAAGGAGTCACACGAGGGCAGCCAGCAGCACCAGGGCAGCCAGCAGCACCAGGACAGCCCCCTGCTCACACAAGAACACTCGCCTGGCACATTGTCACACAAGCCCCATACAAAATGACAAGGACCTAACCCTAGCTCCAAGATTGCAAGTCACACCCAGCAACCGCTCACATTTGCCCGTTGGCACGCACCAGCTCTTGCAAGTCACTGCCAGCCCCAGTGAACTTTCTTTCAAAACGACATGGGGCAACTCCTCTTTCCCCTATCAACTCTAACTTTTCCTTTGTTCTCTGTACCCACCAGAGGTCACCCTGGTCTGTATGGATGTCCCAGATTGTAATCCTACTTCTTGTATATTATTCCAAATTAAACCTTCTTATTTAGAGATTCAGCTCTCTTTTTTTTTATGTTGACATAACCTGTTGTCAGAAGTGGGGTTTGAAGCTGACTCACCTTGGAGAGATCAACGCCCCTGGAAGGATTGCATGGGGTGCCCACTCTGGGGCTCCTTGAGTGTCCCTGCCCCTGGCTTCCAGGGGTTGCTTCCTCCCCCGGTACCATGACTCTTTCTTGAGTTGAGCTCTCATTTTTGTTTCAGTTGAGTTCTTTGGTTTTATTTGGGTTTTGTTTGTGAGGGGTCTTTTCCCCTCCTGCTGCTGAGGTCTCCTATTAAGAGGGGTGATATGGTTTGGCTGTGTCCCCACCCAAATCTCATCTTGAATTCCCACGTGTTGTGGGAGGGACCTGGTGAGAGGCAATTGAATCATGGGAACAAGTCTTTCCCATGCTGTTCTGTTGATAGTGAATAAGTCTCATGAGATCTGATGGTTTTAAAAAGAGGAGTTCCCCTGCACAAACTCTCTTTCTTTCTTTTTTTTTGCCTTCTGCCATGTATGTAGATGCGATTTGCTCCTCCTTCCCTTCTGCCATGATTGTGAGGCCTCCCCAGCCATGTGGAACTGTGAGTCCAATTAAACCTCTTTCGTTTGTAAATCGCCCAGTCTAAGGTATGTCTTTTTCAGCAGCATAAAAATGGACTGATACAAGGGCCTTTTCTTCTCCTGATTTATGAGGGACTTTCCCTCCTGTTAAAGAAGGCTTTGTCGTCCTTCCCAGTGAGCACATACCTTATTCTTTGGTTTCATTTTGCACGCCTGATATTTTGCTTTTATGTGCTTGGCCTTAGTGCTGACTTGCCTCGATACATTGGTTTAAAGTATGGGCTCTTAAAGTTCAAAGGCAGGCTAAGATAGTTCCCTTCTTCTGGGACTCTAGCTGGTGACACGTTCAAACATTATGGAGGTCATTCAAACGGTTTGTTTTTCTTAGAACTATACGAAAAGACTCTGACTTAAAATCAGATAGTCCAGATAGGATGGGCATCTCAGTGGGTAACTCAAAGCTTCAAGCTGCACCCAGGACTCAAGGACTGCCTTCCTGCAAAACACTGTCTCAAAGCCAGCTGGGCTGTCTCCCCTTGGGAGCCTTGCCCACCTTCCCACGCCTCCTCCTCAAGCTAAAATCTATTTTCCAAAACTCCTCAGCTATTCTGGCATACTGACTATATAAGTAACAACACTTGAAAAACAGCAGGTACAAAAAAGAATCATTTGACCTTCATGCTGTTTCTTAAAAGCAAAAGATGCAATTCCCATGTAAAAGACAAACTCCCTGAACTAGAAGGAAAAACAACACTCTTATCTTCAAGGACCAGGAATTAAAGCGAAGGAAATACCGCACAGACCTTGTTAGAGTAAGTTTTATCTTTTAAGCCTCCTCACATAATTTGGTTCAGAGCCTTCATAAGATTAGCTATCGGGGCAAATGAAAAACCTCCGAGTTTAGCCTTGTTCCATTTTGTCAGACATATATTTAGAATTCAATTCTCTTTTTATAAACTAATGACTTTATATTACTATGTTTTATTCATGACAAAATTTCTTAAATTAAAACTGTAAGATCTTTGTCTATATGTTTATATAATTTTAAAAATGTTTATATGCTAATATGATATTTTTCTACCAAAATGTGTAAAATAACTCAATTGGCTTAAAGAAAAAAACAAGCACTTACATAAAATAATTGATCACAAATATAGTAATTATCCTAAATTCCTTTTAGGTCATCTGACTTAATTATCTTTGATAAATAGGCTGACTTTAAATTGGTTGACAAAATGAAAATGAAGATACCTTCAGAATTGTTAGTACACATTATTGTTTTTGTTGGCGGGGGGGGGGTCCTGGGTTTCTTGGCCAAAGGTTATATTTGTCTCTGTTAAATGATTTAAAATCATAAAAGTACGTGTTTGACCTAAGAACAAAAGTACAGAAAAGAGTGCAATGCCATGTCCATTGTTTCCTGTATATTAAAGACAATACTTTAACTTTTAGGGTTTTTCTTTGACAGGAAAATAATTTGAAATAATAACTAGCTCTGTCTAACATCTCAGTTTGCATAAGTAATCTAGGTACAATTGTTAAAAATAAAGTGAATATAAATGGAATAAATGTTTATAGTTAAACTTTTCATGGAATTTGAAATCTTAGATATGTTACGTTGAATTAAATAATAGAGACTCATAAAATAACTGAGTCGTTTCTTTTTTTCTTTTTTTTTAAGTTCCTGGATACGTGTGCAGGCTGTGCAGATTTGTTACATAGGTAAACATGTGCCATGGTGGTTTGCTGCATCTATCAACCTGTCACCTAGGTATTAAGCCCAGCATGCATTAGCTATTTATCCTGATGCTCTCCCTCCCGCCGTACCTCCTCCACCCTTCAGGCCCCAGTGTGTGTTGTTCCCCTCCCTGTGTCCATGTGTTCTATAGCTGGGTCATTTCTAAATAAAATACTGAAACATGAATTGTTAAACAGAGATTCAAGTTTACTTACTTTTGGTTTCCTAAATTGTATAAAAAGACAAAAGACATTTGGGTCTATTAGTAAATAAATGTGTCTTCCTCCACATTCAGAAGTTGTTCTATAAAAATGTTTTTATAGATTTTATATATATATATATATATATATATATATATATATATATATTTTTTTTTTTTTTTTTTTTTTTTAGACAGAGTCTCGCTCTTGTCACCCAGGCTGGAGTGCAGTGGCGCAACCTCAGTTCACTGCAACCTCTGCCTTTCGGGTTCAAGCGATTCTCCGGCCTCAGTCTGCCTAGAGGCTGGGATTATGGGCACCCACCACCACACCCAGCTAATTTTTGTATTTTTAGTAGAGATGGGGTTTCACCACATTGGCCAGGCTGGTCTCGAACTCCTGATCTCAGGTGATCCGCCTGCCTTGGCCTCCCAAAGTGCTGGGATTATAGGTGTGAGCCACCGCGCCCAGCCGAGATTATAAAACATATAGTCATGAGCTGTTAATATATCCACAGGATATAATAGTTCAAAGTTACTTTCTGGGTTTTTACTAAAACTTAAGGTTACTAAAAATTAAAACTTCAAATTAATATATGTAATAGATGTATATTCTGTATGCAAAATATACACAAAATAATTTTTGTATGGGAAAGAATGTTGTGTGGTCTCAGCGACAAAGGGAATAAAGATAATTTTTGTCCTAAGGTAAAATAACTGAATGTTTCAATATATAAAAAGGGGGAAACATAGGACCAAGACTGGGGGCTTAGGAGAATGCTGAAAGGGTTGAGCAGCTCATGCAGAGTTTGTGAAGAATGGGCCTGGCACAGGGAGCTGGAGTTTCATGTGTGACCAGGCTGGCTGGGATCAGAAGGGAATCGTTTACAAGGTTTTCTGAGAATTGAGCACTGATGTCAGGGCACACTGATAAAGGCCTGGAGTCTGTCCTGTATGTTTGGAGCAGGGTTTTCTTAAGATGTTGATTTGCTCTTATGAAAAAACAAAACAAAGCATCGTAAAGGGTTTTGATTTCAATTTTGAAATTGGTTTCTTTAAATTTCCAGCCATCTTCTGAACTACAGCTTTTTCCTGTTTTACAGTTTCTATCTAATTTCAAGTTGGAAGTGCTGTCTTCTTCATTTAAAATGATGATTTTATTTCTCAGTGTAGAGTCTTCCTCTTAAAGTGTTTCTGATTCAGGATCTCAAGGGTCTGGCTTCTTACCCATGTCACTACATGCAATCTGTGGGTCATGCATCATTGCCTTCCACTCCTCTTCCTTCTCTCCTTAAAAAGGCACATCTTTTTGCTTAACTAAAGCGGTGACTTTCTCCCTCAAATTTTTCTTCTTTTGCTATAGCTTTTACCACTCCAGATCTGACTGCTGTTGCGGTTTGATGCTGAGAGTGCTTCGCTAAGGCCTAAGAGAACAATGTTTTCTTTTATAGAACTTGATTCTGTACTCTTAGATTTTCTCGTGGTGCCTAAATTGCTGTATGTAACCGGGCAGTCTCACATTCTTTTAGTTTTTCTGGAAGCCATGCATTCCCCTGCTCAGGTATTGGTTCTCTTGATTATATGATTCTTCTATAATATTGGTGTACACGAACAACCTTAGATGCCTACTATTCCATTACCTGATTGAATTCAAGTACTTTTTTCATCAGGTTTGACTTCCAGGTTATCCAAACAGGCTTCCAATAAAAAGAAGCAGTCATATTGTAGGAGATGTGTTTTGTTTTGTTTCTACCTTTTAGATAAACAGCCTAAGAAACAGAGATAGTGTGTTGTAAGGCAGTTTCGTGTGCTTTGTGCCATCTTTATTAGGTTTTTGATTACTTGGGAAAATGAAGTCATCTCTAATTCAGGTCTAAGATTTTTTCCTCTCAACTATGTAACTTTTTGCATTTGCTTTTGACATCTTTTAAATATCATTCTGGGTAAATAAGTGACTATTATTTCTCAATGACAAGTGATTCTATTTTAATTAAATATTTTAAGCCTTTTAACATCTTTGACAAATTTCTCAAAATCAGATTATAATTAAAGTCTTTTTAACCTAAAATTGACTTTGGGATTTTTCAGTTGGTTTCCTTAAAAGCCTCAAAGGATGTATTTCTCGTTAGGCTTATTTGATATTTTAGATTATGTAAAAAGCACTGCCAAATAATAAAGTGATACTAGATCTTTTAAAACTTATATTTAAGTGGATATGTTATTGATGTGAATATTTAAACATTATATGACATTTATAAAAGTCTAATAGTTCTGATGTGATGCTGTCAATTATGATTCTGGTTGTTATCTTAAAATGCAATAGAAATAACTGAATTTCCTTGTCGATTGCTGAACTTTATCCAATTTTAATTATTATCATTGTAAGTTATTGTCATCTACAGGTAGATTTTTCTCTAAAGGCATCTGCAATCAGGTTAATAAAAAAAGACTCTACTGAGTGCTCTTAAATACAGGCTTCTAATAACTTTTAAGATCAGTGGACTATAAAACTTTTAAAAACTCAAATGAAAAACTGATGGATTCATGAAACTTCTAATCAAGATTAAGCAGAACAAAATTATGTGAGATTGAATAACTGATAAAAATTATGATTTTTTTGATATTTGTTTGAAATGTTGTTGGTTCTTTATTTGAAACATTGTTGATTCTTAAATGTTTTGCTTTCCAGACTAAATACAACTTTCTGTTTTAAGTTACCCATAGTTCACAGCAATTTGGTGAAGTCTAGCATTATAAATGAAGGTGAAAACATTTTTTTTTCTTCCAACTTGATCCTTCAAAATTCAAAAACTATTTGTGAATTTTTAATTTATGATGATATAGCTATTTGCATAAGTTCATACAAATCTGTTTTCTTTATAACAAGATGCATCTAGAAATGTCAATTGTATTACCAAGATTTTAGTAACATGTCATGTTTAAAATTGCATATAGGCATTATAGATAAAATCCAAAGTTTGCCTTGAGGCTCTCTAGCCTCAAAAAAGAAAAAAAGTTCAAGCCAAGATTAAATCACTATTCTTGCTACACTTTTGTAAATAATCAGGCCAAATCTGATGAAACTAAATTTATTTTACAAGCAAATTATTCTTACTCCAATTATCTTTGGCAAATATATCAGAATGACTATAATATCACCTGCCATTGGACTGCAGCTCTGTGAATTGTTTTTGAGTTCTTGTTATCTACCTGTAGGCTGTACTAGATCCTGAATTCGAGTTCTCCTCAATATCTGGTTACAACCCTCCCACTAAGAAAAAGAACAAGAACTGTTGTCTTCCTGAGGCCCTATAGGCTGAAACTGAATGCACTTCAAGGGACAAATCTTGTGCCTGATGTTTGGACCGTACAGAGAGTTCACCAAACTGCCCAGTGCCATAATCAGAGACATTTGCACAACAATTTGCCAACTTCACGCTGTAGACAGCTTTTCCCAAGACATCAGAGCAAGCCTCCATATTATAATGAGACTCCTACACTCTTACCTTTGTTGCTTGTCAGGATTATGCCGAAGGTAAAATTTCACAGTTAGTAACTGCTATGGGTAACTTGACAGAACTTGACCTAAAAATTCCTTTAGTCCATCTAGTGGGTAACTTTAACAACATCCTTAACACAGCTCTTTGTTCAAATTGTGCTAGTGGTCCCTTTTGTAGAGTTGGCACTCTGCTTTAATTCAGCCAAGTCATGGAATGCTACTCAAAGGCTACAACAGGCCTTGCCCAGTTCCCCCCTGGCCTTTTGATTAGTTTAGTTGTTGCCCATAGGCTTGAGCTTGGGCTCTTGGTCCAAAGCCATTGAATATACTGGATTTTTTTTTTTTTTGAGACAGATTTCCACTCTTTTTTTTTTTTTTTTTGAGATGGAGTCTCACTCTGTCGCCCAGGCAGGAGTGCAGTGGCGCGATCTCAGCTCACTGCAAGCTCCGCCTCCCAGGTTTACACCATTCTCCTGCCTCAGCCTCCCAAGTAGCTGGGACTACAGGCACCCACCACGCCCGCTAATTTTTTTTGTATTTTTAGCAGAGATGGGGTTTCACTGTGTTAGCCAGGATGGTCTCGATCTCCTGACCTCGTGATCTGCCCGCCTCGGCCTCCCAAAGTGCTGGCATTACAGGTGTGAGCCACCGTGCCCAGCCAGATTTTCACTCTTGTCACCCAGGCTGGAGTGCAGTGGCGCGATCTCAGTTCACTGCAACCTCTGCCTTTCGGGTTCAAGCGATTCTCTGGCCTCAGTCTGCCTAGAGGCTGGGATTATGGGCACCCACCACCACACCCAGCTAATTTTTGTATTTTTAGTAGAGATGGGGTTTCACCACATTGGCCAGGCTGGTCTCGAACTCCTGATCTCAGGTGATCCGCCTGCCTTGGCCTCCCAAAGTGCTGGGATTATAGGTGTGAGCCACTGCACCTGGCCATAAACTCAATTTTTTATGCTCCTGCATAATAAATAATAATTATGCTGGAACATAATTGAGTTACGCATAATTCAATTTACTCTGAATTATTTCCTTTAAACATTGTACCTGTTGTCTGTCCAATCTCTGCAGGAATGACACTCCAAAAATAGTAATGCTGGCCCAGCACTTCAAATGATAACTAACACTTACGGAACTGACAACATGAAACTTAACAGTGGACTCCAGGTAGACTTAGCCTGACAGCCGCATTCTCCAGACCTCCTTGGTTGCTCAAATGTGGCTAAGAGGATTTTGACACTAACTCCTCTTTGCCAATCACTTCCCCTGACATAGGACCAGACCAGCAACCAAGGACAGGTCTGTCCTGGCACAGCAGGACAATCAAAACCTAACCACAGAATAGTTGATCTGCAATACTTTCAGAGAAAGATCTTCATCAAAACGGGGAAATGTAAAAGTTGTAAGACTCAAAATGGAATCACTTGTGTCAAACCCTGGCAAATGGAGCTGGGGAGGGTAAGAACGGGGGTGATATGGTTTGGATTTGTGTCCCCACTAAATCTCATGTTGGATTGTAATCCCTGGTTTTGGAGGTAGGGCCTGATGGGAGGTGATTGGATCATGGGGACAGTTTCTCATGGTTTAACACCATCCTTCTTGAGATGTTGTCATTGAGCTAGTGAGTTCTTGTGAGATCTGGTTGTTTAAACGTGTGTAGCACCTCCCCCAACTCTCTCTTGATCCTGCTCCAGCCGTGTAAGATGTTCCTGCTTCCTCTGTCCCTTCCACCATGATTGTAAGCTTCCTGAGGCCTCCCCAGAAACAGAAGCCACTATGCTTCCTGTACAGCCTGCAGAAATGTGAGCCAAAGAGGTTTAATTAAACCTCTTTTCTTTGTAAGTCACCCAGTCTCAGGTATTCCTTTATAGCAGTGTGAGGACAGACTAATACAGGAGGGGCTCTCATGCACTATTTGCCTGATAATAGGAACTATCACAAGAACTTTTTCCAAACCACAGCTTACTAGATAAGTCACACAGCACAGCTAGCTGCTTACTCATAAACAGTTGCCCAATACACTGTCTCACAAACCCAGTGCAAAACTACAGGTGCCTAACTCTAATTCCAAGATTAGAAGTTGTATCTAGCAGCTACTGACATTTGCCAGTGAACACTCACCAGCTGTTGTAAAATGCTGCCAGTGCCATTGAACTTTCTTTTAAAATAACTTGCATAAGGTCAGGAGATCGAGACTATCCTGGCTAACACGGTGAAACCCCACCTCTACTAAACAAAAAATTAGCCGGGCGTGGTGGCGGGTTCCTGTAGTCCCAGCTACTCCGGAGGCTGAGGCAGGAGAATGGCGTGAACCCGGGAGGCGGAGCTTGCAGTGAGCCGCGATCGCGCCACTGCACTCCAGCCTGGGCGACAGAGCGAGACTCCGTCTCAAAAAAAAAAAACAAAAAAACAAAAAAACTTGCATAACCTCCTGTTTCTCCAGGACACCCTAACCTTTCCCTGTATTCTTTGAACATGCTGGAGGCCATTCTGCTCTGCATGTATGCCCCAGAGTGCAATCCTACTTCTTGCATATTATTCCAAATAAAACCTTTAATCCAGAGATTCATCTCTTTCTCTATTTTTTTTTTTAAATGTTGAAACATGGCAGGTAAGGCCCAGCAAAATTCAGGGCAGGGCAAGGGGGTCCGGGAGCTGGGATGGGGTGGAGGAGGTCACCATCACAGACAGAGTAGCTGGGAATGGGCCCCACGGTGAAGGCAAGTGTCAATCCAAGGCTTTCAGGCAAAGGCCAGCTAGCAAGTATTGAGGAAGGAGCACCTCAGGCAGGAGAAGGCAAAATCCCCGAGGCAGAGAGCAATGGCTGGTACACTCCAAGGACCGGGGAGGAGCAGGAGAGGGGTCCCAGTAGAAACGGAGAACGGGAAGCCTGTACTTGGGGGTCACCCGGAGGCTGTGGCTTTGCAGTTAGTGAAGGGGGACACTCAAGGGTGTTCTAGAGAGGCCTGGCATGACCGCCCTGGGTTGGAACGGGCCACTTTGTCTCCAGAGCTGAGAGTATTCTGTGGGTGTTAGGGATGGTCAGTGATTTCTAGACCAGACCAAAGTGGCTCTTCACAGGCCTTTCTGGTTCTCACAGGGAGAACAGGCATTCCAGGGCAGAGCAGGGCCACGAAGGCCAGCCAGGTCCAGGCAGCAATCCAACCAGGGAGGTGGTGGAGAAGGCGGTGCCCAGCCTTGGGTCCTGGTCCAGGATCAAAGGCCGAGACTGAGTGGGTGTCGGCTGTGTGTATGGGAGCGACGAGGACTCCAGCATGGGTGGAGAGTGGGTTGTGGTGACCTTCACAGAGGAAGGCAAAATGAGCGCACACATGTTCAGGTGGATGGCGAGTCCCTTGGGGACCGTTGAGCCTGAGGTGCTGGGGGCGGACACAAGGACCAGATGCTGTGATGGGAGACGTGGCTGAACATGATTTGGGAGTGTTGCCATGTACATGTCTCAGAGTGAAGCCCCAGCAATCAGCCTGGACTCCTCATGCCGCTCACCACCCCCGAGGAGCACGCTGTCACCAGGTGCTGCCACAAGTCTCAGTATCTCCCCTCCCCCACACCCATGGCCATTGCTGCCCAGATGTATGGCTGGCCTCTCTCTACTGGATGTCTGTAATGAATGGCCTCCCTGTCTTGGGCCTTTCTGCTTTGGGCACTGGGGACAATCAAAGATGGCCATTCCTGTGCTATGGCCTCTCGTTGCTCTAGAAATGCAGCTCAGCCTTCCCTGTGCTTGTCTGGCTTAACGTGCCCATCGCTGGCTGTGCACCCCTCTGTTCCTCCAACCATTCCTGCCATTTCTTGCCTCTGTCACCTTTGCTGAAGCTGCTCTGCTGCCTGGGATACTCCCTGACCTGGCCATGGCAACCCAAAGGTCAGAAGCTGCTCCCCAACCGCACTTGCTTCTACAGGAGCCGAGGCCCCCGAGCTGCTCCCCGGCTCACAGAGCTCATGCGAATCTGCCCTTGTCTGTGCGTCTCTTTCCTTCACTGGGACTTCTCTCTCCCAGGAGCTGCAACTTCTACCAGGGAACATGGGGGCTTCGTTTATTTTGTCCCCAGAGTTCATCAGGTGCTGGGGCACCTCGAACAGAGGTCACTGACCCCCAAGGTAGCTCTCTCTACCCTTCCGGGGTTGGGGGGCATGCTCTCCCCTTATTCTTTAGGCCTGGGGTGCTCACAGGTCAGGTGCTTCTAGACTCAGGTGACCGTACTGTCCCCTGGGGACCCTACGCCCCCAGCCACCCTTGTCAAAGTTTCTTCGTTAAACCCCCGGAATCATTCTCACCTTCAGAGCCCCACTCCCTGTGGCCCTGGCTGGATGACAGTCCGATGTGATAAGCATGGGAACAGCCCGGCCCTGGGATTTTCAATGTCCTGTGAGTGTCGAGGCCCCAAGGTCACCTGCAGGGACCTTGGGTCAGGCTGCTCTCACATTGCTATAAGAAATACTGGAGACTGGATAATTTATAAGAAAAGAGGTTTAATTGGCTCACGATTCTGCAGGCTGTACAGGAAGCATAGTGCTGGCATCTGCCTCTGGGGAGGCCTCAGGAAGCTTCCGATCATGGCAGAAGGGGAAGCTTGCACGTTACATGACAGAGTGGGAGCAAGGGAGAGTTGGTGCCACCCTTCCCAACAGCTGGCTCTCTTGAGAACTCACTCACTGTCATCAGGACGGCACCAAGCCACCAGGGATCTGCCCGCCATGACCCAAACCCCTCCCACCAGGCCCCTCCTTCAACACTGGAGGTTACAATTCAATATGAGAGTTGGAGGGGGCATCCAAACTACATCAGACCTGCAGCTCAGGTAGCTCACCTCGAGGCTCAGGTGTGTTGGTTTCCTGTCACTACCATCACAAAACACCACAAACATAGTGGCTGAAAGCACACACACTTGTTGTCTTACCATGTAGGAAGTCAGAAATCCCAAAGTCAAGCTGTCAGCAGGGCCGGCTCCGTGTGGGGGCTCCAGGGGAGAATCTGGTTCTTCTAAAGGCTACTGTGTACCATGACTCCTGGCTTCTTCCTCACATCACTCCAACTCCTGCCTTCTGTCGTGACGTCTCCTCTGACTCTGACCCTCTTTCTCTGCTCTGATAGGACCCTTGGGCTGACACTGGGCCCACCTGGACAATGCAGGGCAACCCCTGCAAAGCCTTCACTTCATCACCCCTGCAAAGTCCGCTTTGCCACTGGAGGTGACATAGGCACAGGTCCTGGGGAAGACGTCTGCTAGGATGTCCTCAGAGGCCATGAGTCTGCCAGTCGCACCGGGCCAGGCCTATGTTTTTCTCACCCCTGCTGGTCTCACCTGTGGCAGGTCTTGGGCCTTTTATGGTCTGCTGGCCTGGGCTGGGCTGGGCTGTGCAGATGCGTCCTCACCACTGAGAATTCTGCTCTTTGGTCACCGGAGAAGGGCACCTGGCCTGAAAACTCCTGTCTGATGAAAGGGGTGCGTGACCTGTGGTCCCCAGGCTGGCCCCGAGTCAGTGCTAAGGGACTTTCAGGAGACCTAACTGGGTTAACTTGCACGTCCTTCGAGGCCCACGTGCTGCAGGGTGCACACACGGGGCCGCCGCAGAGGCGGCTGATGAGCTCAGAACAACCCGCCTCCTTTCTTCTCTTGCCCCCTCCTCTCACCCATGCCAGCCCCGGGGTAGAGTCAGGTGATCCCCCATCCCTCCCGCTCTATGGTCCGCCTGACATTGCGGCAGCCCCTTAAATATCTTAGATGGCCCCCTTCAACTCACACAGTCTCTTGGAGCCTCCTGACCACAGATTTCCTTTTCATTTCTGCTTTCTCACTGCTCCCTTTACCTTTGATTCCTTTTAAGTAAAAATGTACAGGAAATATAAAGTGTTTTTCCCTACTAAAATGGGGAAAAAAAAGAATCCACAGAAATAGAATTCGAGGAAGCTCAAGTGGGCAATTTGGGCCATTCTGTGTGAATTCTGTCACTTGCCGGCCCACGCAGCCCTGCTTCCTCCCAAGGAATCTTTGTTCCAAGGGCCCCTCCCTGGCAGGCCTCAGTGGAATCAGTGCAGCCTCAGACCAGGCGACCCCAAGCAGGACGGGAACCTTTTATGGATGTGTCCCGCACTTCCACCCCATGTTCAGAATGATGGGGGAAGCAAAAGGGAGCTTTAGAAAGAAAGAAGAAAATGAGAGGGAAAGTAAATTATAGGGCACACTCTGGACTGATATTTTTGCTCAGGTCTTGCTCATGTGGCAGGCTTGTGTTCTGTTTGTGGTTGGGAAATGACAGTCTTCTGTTGGTGGCTTGGGATGGGAAGGCACATGTCTTCCCGCAGGCAGGTCTTGCCAGCAGGTCTGCCTGGGCATGAACCCTCTGCACCCAAGGGCAGCACCAGAAGCTTTCACCCCTGCCCTGGATTCCTGCGAAGGGCTGTCTCTAGGACCATCCATTCCAACAGAAATTGCTGGCCCCGGCTATCCCGGAGAGACAATCTGATCCAACGCAGCAGTCTGATTATTTCACACATGACTCTGTGTTTCATTTAGTCCTGGCCTGATGAGCTTTGGAGAGAAAGGTAATGAACCTGGCCCAGAACCTCCCATGCAGTTGCACATGCGGTCCAGAGGCTGCTGGCCATGGGAAAGGGGCAATGTCTGGCCTCTGTTGCCCTCTTCTCTTGGTCCCTATTTCTAATTTCTCTCTTGTTAAAATGTTCCCTGTTTCTGTTTAACCCTGCACCAAGTCTTACAGAATCCATTCTGCACAAGACAGCTCTACCAGGGCTATGCACTGGGCTGAACTCTGGCAGGCGGCTGGGAACAAGCAGGTGCTATTTAGCGTTGATGCAGGCCCCATATGTGTGTTGAAGGGGGCAATGAGGGAAGTTTGTTTTTCAGAAAGCAGCAATGTTTCTCGTGGTTATTGGTGATGAAATTATAATGACTGGCCCCTTCCTTTCCTAGAAAGATTGATCTTTTTTTCTGTTCTTTCTCCTCATGCTTGAATTGCCCCTGAAGACGTCTGTTCCCAGCCAGGAGGGGCACAGGCAACGAGGGCTGATGAGTCAGGACTGCAGGGAACATCTGCAGAACCAAATGGCAGGACTGGGGTGGTCAGCTGGTGACTCAGCAAACATTTAACTGCAGGTTTTCATTACTTAAAGCAGAGTCAATAGAGGAAAATCCAATTAAAGCAAAAAGGTACACTTTGGCAGCTGGTGATTCACTCTCCTGAAGGAGCCAGCTTGGGGTTTCCTAATGAAATGAGCTGTTCTGATGATGTCCTTTGTGGACCCTAAGACCAAAGAGAACCACAAGTGCCTTGCCTCCTCTTTTCTCCCTAGACAACGTCTCCACTGGAGAAGCAGAAGGACCAAGACCATGTGTCCCTCCTGTCACTGGCCTTGGCCTCGGGTGCACTGACCTGCTCAATTGGGCCAGGCCCTGCCCCCACCCAGCACAGGAAAGATGGAGCTGAGTGGGCTCTGGTGTGGCAGTGCCATGATCGTGGAGCAGTGTGAGTGGTGGGGCTCTGCAGCTCACAGAGGAGGGAGGGGCTTCCTCTGAAGCCAGCTGCAGGTGGACCAGGGATGCAGGTGTTCGTGCCGATTTCCATGTTGACAATGATGCTGGAGTGGGTTGAGAAGTTGCCCTCAAAAAGATATGTCCACGTCCTAAACCCTGAAACCTTTTCTCCTATTTGGGAAATGGGTTTTTGTAGGTGTAATTTAATAAAAGATCTTGAGATGAGATCATCCTGGTCTATCTGGGGGGGCCCTGAATTCAATTCAGCTGCCATTGAATCCCATGACAAGTGCCCTTATAAGAGGAAGGCAGAGGGAGATTTGACACAGACAGAAGAGGCTAGGAGAGGAGAAGGCCACGTGAAGATGGAGGTAGAGACTAGAGTGAGGCAGCCACAAGCCAGGGAGCGCCCGGGGCCACCAGACACTGGAGGAGGCAAGGGAGGGTCTTCACCTAGAGCTTTTGGAGGGAGCATGGCCCAGCCAACACTGTGATCTTGGACTTCTGGCCTCTGGAACTGAGAAAGAATAAATTTCTGTTGTTTTCATTGACCCAGTTTGTGACCATCTGTTATGATAGCCCAGGACATAAATAAAATGCCCAAGGGCACACTGGTAACCACGTCTAAATAGCTGGACAAGGACAAGCCCTCTGAACTCTACCAGAGCCACCTTTTCATTGCTGAGCTTAATGTCTCAGGGTAGGGGCAGACCAGGGCAAAAATGTGAGCTTTGCCAGGTACATTAGTGGCTGCATAATAAATTACTATGAATTTAGCAATTGAAAAAAACGTCTATTCATTATCAACCTGGGTGGAGTTGGAGACCATTATTCTGAGTGAAGTAACTCAGGAATGGAAAGCCAAATATTCTATGTTCTCACTTTTAAGTGGAAGCTAAGCTGTAAGGACCTAAAGGCATAAGAATGACATAATGGACTCTGGGGACTTGGGGGAAAGTGTGGGGGAGGGGGTGAGGGATAAAAGACTACACATTGGGTACAGTGTACACTGCTCGGGTGATGGGTGCACCAAAATCTCAGAAATCACCACTAAAGAACTTATCCTTGTAACCAAGCGCCACCTGCTCCCCAAAAACCATTGAAATAATAATAATATTCAAACAAAAAACCACCCAATTGTTTTAAAAAACCCATCTATTTATTATCTCCCAATTTGCATAGGTTGAGAGTCCAGGCACATGGCCTAGCTTGGTCCCTTATGCAAGGCCTCACAAATTTGCAGTCGAGGAGTTGGCTGGGCTATGTCTCTTTCTGGGTGTTGGGGGTCTTCCAGGCTTAGGAGGTTGTTAGCAGAATTTAGACCCTTGCAGCAGAAGGACCGAGGTCCCTGTCTACTGTGGGCTGTCAGCAGGGGCCACTTTTAGCTCCAAGAGGCACGTACAGTGCCCTCCCCTGTAGCCCCCTCACAATTTGGCATCTTATTTCAAGGCCTTCAGGAGGATCTTTCTTTTCAGAGATAGCCTAGGCTCGCATTTAAGGGCTCAGCTGATTAGGTCAGATCCACCCAAGTTAATCTCCCTTTCAATAACTGGAACTCAACTGATTAGGGCCCTTAATTACATCTTCAAAAACCTCTTCATCTTTGCCATATAATGTAACATAATCATGGGGTGATATCCCATTCCCTTTGCCGTATTCTATTGGTTTCCCCACTTCAGGGCAGGGGATGATGTGGTTGTGACTCATTGGGGAGGTCACCTCCAAGTGTGACTGGCTTACCTGCAGGGACTTTTTTCCTTGCTCTTCTTTGCAAGCTTCTGATTTCTTCCTAGCTCCTTTCCTTCCTCACCTGAAGCCCAGCACCCATGCACTGCTGGGACCTTTGCTCTTTCCTCCCAGTGGGACAAAGTATTGACAGCACTAAGGCCTTGGCACTTGAATTTTCAGAAAGATAGAAACTCAAAGGGATGGCTTTCAGTGAATCCAATAATCTGCCACCTACGAAGGAGGAATCCTGCGGAATTTATTCTATACTCGATTCTGCTCATCAGAGTGTGGCTGTGGGGGGGTCGCTTCAGCTCTTTGGTGTCTCTTTTCCCTGAACTGTGAACACTAACATTCCCTCAAATGCTGACACTAACATGACATCAGATGAATGTAAATGGGACCATGGGTGTCCAGCTCTGAGTCTAGTGTCTGGCAGGGGCTCCCAATCCCAATGCCCGGCCGCTCCATGACCTGCAGCCCTGTCTGAAGTGGTCCTTTCCCTGCAGGATGCTTTGATACAGAGGGCAACAGAGGCCAGACGCCACCCATTTCCCATGAAACATGCATGACTCTGTGTTTCATTTAGCCCTGGCCTGATGAGGATTGGGAATAAAGGTAATGAATCCAGCCCACAACCTCCCACACACTTGCACATACAGTCCAGAGCATCCTACAGGGACAGGACCACTTCAGACTGCCAAGTGCCAAAGGCCTCTGAAAGGCTTCTCTGAAGGCGGATAGTTTGGAAAAAGCCAGGAAAAACATCGAGTTTTAACTTGCTGCCTTCTGTCCAGGATCTTAGGGACTTAGGGAGCAATTCCCTGGGACATAGTACAGGATATTATTCTCTGTGCTCGTGAATTATGTCTGAAAGGCAGTAGAAGCAGCATAAAAAATAAAAATTCCAAACTCTGTTATAATAGACACTAAGGATGCATTGAAGGTCTTACCAAAAGAACAAGAATAAATATAAATAAAACATAGTGAATTAATGGGCATAGAAGTATATTATCTAGCAATTTCTGCTTTGCATTTGTTATTTTGACATGGCAGGAAACGAGGAGCAAACTTTCCATATGCCTGAGGATTTCTTACTTACACTCTTATCTGTGAGGTCCTGCGTGATTAACATGTGGTGGATGGGACTCGAGCCTAAATTCTGATCTAGACCACCTGGACACCTGAGGGCGATATCTGCCTGGTGGACACTCTGGCAGGTAAAAGCTGTGTTCCTGGCCTGAGCTTTGCCCCACTGGGCTCAGAGGAACGCTGAGCGCTGGTGGTGGATTGCGGGGAACTGTGTCTTCTGTAAAGAAGGAGAACTCTTTGTGTGCCTCTGGCCTTTGGTGCTAAGAAGCAGAATGAACTGCTTCTTTAGGCTCCTTTCCTGGGTCCCCATAGTCTAACCTAAGCCCCTATGGGAGAAACAACCTTGCCTAGAAAAAATGTCAAGGGAGAAAATATTTCCATGTAAGGGCCATAGGGCAGGCCTGAATCATTCACCATCCACTATCTAATCTATTTATTCATTTATCTATCCATCCATCCAACATCTATCCATTCATTACATCCAACCATTTTTCCATCCATCCATCCATCCATCCATCCATCCATCCATCCATCCATCCATCCATTTATCTATCCATCCATTTATCTGATCATCTGTATATCCATCCATCCATCCATCCACCCATCCATCCATCCACCCATCCATCCATCCATCCATCCATCCATTTATCTATCCATCCATTTATCTGATCATCTGTATATCCATCCATCCATCCATCCATCCATCCATCCATCCATCCATCCATCCAGTCACCCAGTCCATCCATCCATCTATCCATTCATTCATCAGTTCATCCAACCCATCCACCCAATCACTCATCCGTCCATCCTCTGCATTCCACTTGGTTTCTGTCTGACATTTTCCACCCAAGTCCTTTGCACTTCACCAGCCCTATGGGAGAAGACTAAATTAAAGTAAGTTCAAAAAGAGGGAGAAATCCAAAGTGACAACCAAATGAGCTGGAAACTTCCAGGAAACTGAGTCAACAGAAAACTCTCATTCAGAAGCCCATGCTTTTAATCTATTTGTCCCCTACCTGCAAAGCTTCACACTATAGCAACCTGGCCCCAAAATAATCCACTTCTTCTCTTGACCATTATTGGTATTCCTTCACTATGAGGGGTGGGACGTTGGCACCCCTGGAGGTTAGTGCTTAGAACTTATGTGGGAATTGACATTATTTGAAAAGATGTGGGTTTCAGTGGTGTTTTTGAAATGGTGTGTTGTATTTTGTAAGGAATCCTCTGGCCCACTGACAATGACCTACACTATTGCTGTGACCCGTATATAGTTGCTAGTGGTTCTAATTTGGGTGGCTGATTAACAAAATCAGATTTTAAACAACTATGTGTCCTCCATTGTTAGATTACAAAATTATGTGCCCTAATATAGCCTGAAGTGAGTAAATCTTACCCAATTGAAGAAATTCTTTTCTCTTTTGGGGGGATCATTCATAAGAGTATAAACTTGGGAGGTATGTATGTATCTATTTCTATATCTACATCTATATCCATCTATCTCTACCTATATTCTTTTCCTAGGGCTGCATTAACAAATTAACACAAATCTGGTGGCTTAAAACAACAGAAATTTGGCCGGGCACAGTGGCTCATGCCTGTAATCCCAGCACTTTGGGAGGCTGAGTCACCATCCTGGCCAACATGGTGAAACCCCATCTTTCCTAAAAATACAAAAAAATTAGCGGGGTGTGGTGGCATGTGCCTGTAGTCCCAGCTACTTGGGAGGCTGAGGCAGAAGAATCACTTGAACCTGGGAGGCGGAGCCTGCAGTGAGCTGAGATCGCGCCACTGCACTCCAGCCAGGCAACAGAGTGAGACTCCATCTCAAATTAAAAAACAAAAAACAAACAAACAAAAAAACAAACCCAGAAATTTATTCTCATGGTTCTTGAGGTCAGAAGTCCTAATCAAGACACTGCCAGGGTTGGTTTCTTCTATTTTCTTTCTCCATGTTCCAAGGCAGTGCCGCACTCCTGGATTCATCCTATGCATGTGTGGGCAGATACACTTTATATTTCTCAGGCAGCATGACTGAAGTCTCAAGGCCCCCGTGTCTGGTCCCAGCATCGTAATACACTACGATGAAGCCCCCAGACTCTGAATTTAACTTCCTGTGCCTTAAAACAATCTTTCAGAAAATGGGGTCTCTGGGTTATACTTCCCTTCTCATAAAGAATCCTTTCACTCTAAGAAGTCATTGGACTAGGCTAGTTTTAAACCCCTCTACGTGAAGGCATGGAAGTGTGTTTGAACAGGCTCTGAGCTGAGGACTGAGCCTAGGGCAGACAGAACCAAATTAAATCACGGAGTTGATCCTAAGAATCCCTGAGGCCCTTTCCATTTATTTATTAAGTAAATAATTGGCACGAAAATTATAAGTCATATGCTTTGCTTTAATTTTTGATGCTATCTTTCTAGAGTAAATTTTAACAAGCTCCAAAATATCACTTACCAAAAGCAGCTTCTATTCCCATTTGAATATGAGAAGGTCTGAACCTTGGATGCCATGAGGTCCAGGGCTCTGAGGACATCAGACAGGGACACAAGATCCCCGGCAGGCAAGAAAGGAGGCCCCCCAGGAGAATCAGGAGCACAGAAAAGGAGGAGAACAAAGGAGGCAGTGTTATAAGGAACTGTATGCTGTTTTGGAAATTGGCATGTTTTATGGAAAAGCAACACCATAACATGTAGAAACTAGAGTAAAGTGAGAAGAAAACCCTTGAAACAATGAGAATAAGATTACATAAATCAAGTTTATGTAATTAATGGGGGTTTAAAACTCCCCATGAATTGCAGTGAGAGTCTGAAAGTTCGCAGTGACTCAAGGTATACAGATCAGCATCCTAGCATTGTCGTAATGGCAACCACATTCATGAAATGAAGTCACATTGTAGAGAAGGCAGGCAGGAATGAAACCAAGCACATGTGTGGGAATATACACAGCATTTGGTAAAGGCGAGGAACACGATCTAATGCAAAATTATGGGAAGCATTTAAAAGAGGTTTAAATGATACAACTGCAAAGTTGTAGCTAGAAACATCCTTGGAGTTAGAGACTTAAAAGTTGTTTTAGTATTGACTTAATGTAATGTTGTAGTGACACAGGAAAGTAATTGACCATATTTAAGTAAAATCAGATTAGAAAAATCAATTATACTTAATGCCTGCTTCTGATCTATAAGCTGCACACTATTGCCTACTAAATCTGCTTCTCAGTGTTGCCTAGAGATGAAATGAGAAGATAGTTCTAAAAGGTCTTTGAGAAATTAAAAACTTTGCAAATGTAGGAAAAGAAAAAAAGGATGTTTTCCTATGGGAAAGTTTATTCATGCTGCTTATAATTATTCCATTGGATTTTACCTTCAAAATTATTATATGAAAACCTTTAATGACTCAAAAAATAATCTGTAATGGGTTTAAAAAAAATTGTACTTTCAAAACTCACCGTATCCTGACCTTGTTGCTGGTATCCTGGCTCACTGCTGTACAGTTATACATAATCCCGACACTCGAAGGTTGAACAAACGAAACTTGAACTATTTCAACTTCATTTTGTCAAGCGGTTTGTATGTATGTCTACTTTAATATCTCTATCATTTCCCCTTGTTTAAATAAAAATAACTTGTTTCCAATAACATTTATTCTGGCATGGAAATAGACCTGCAATAGTCCATTCTCATGCTGCTATGAGGAAATACCCAAGATTGGGTAATTTATAAAGAAAAGAGGATTAATTGACTCACAGTTCCACATGTCTGGGGAGGCCTCAGGAAACTTACAATCATGGTGGAAGGCATCTCTTCATAGGGTGGCAGGAGAGAGAATGAGTGCCAAATGAAGGGAGAAGCCCCTTTTAAAACCATCAGATCTCATAAGAACTCACTCATTATCATGAGAACAGCATGGGGGAAACTGCCTCCATGATTCCATTATCTCCACCAGGTCCTGCCCTTGACATGTCGGGATTATTATAATTCAAGAGAGATTTAGGTGGGGACACAGAGCCAAACCATATCAAGACCTCTCTTAAGACAAACACCTAAGTGGCAAAGAAGAGCTGGAGAGCATGAATTTTATATAGCTCTGCCCTGCACCTATCCTACTGACACAGAACACACCTTGAATTGTCAACGTGAAAGGCCAGGGCTCTGTTCAATCCTGCTGGGCCTTTTACTTTGGCCTTAAGAAAAATACGTCCCTGGACACAGATCACCCAGACCACTGCCTATAACTCTCTGACACAGCTGAGGCTGGATGCACTCTGGGGAGAGTTTGTGATTTGGCACACTTCCATCTCCATCACCCCACAAGTTCAGAGTCAATGCCCTATTGACGGTGTATCTTTCATGCTTTCACCCAAAGGAAAGGATGCAAATTCACCTGGATGAAATGAACAGCCTGAAAGTGGATCCCAACAGCCAACTCAAGTGGTCAACTTGACTGTGTCAAATCAATCTCACTGTTATTTGTACAATAATGTACTGAGTTCTAGTTACACATCAGGCCCTGGGCTCTTGCTTCCCACACATTTCCTGTCTTGTCACTACAGCCCTCAGCAGTAGACATGCACTGCAGAATTTCAGTTTGGAAGGTGCAAGCCAAGTGTCTGGGTGTAAGGCTGAGTGCCTTATCTACATGTGATAAGAGGCGTGGTTTTCTGATCTGATCAACAGCCCAGCCCTGTTCAGTACTAAAATAGCCACATTTTGAGATTTTAAAAAATACTCTCTTGATTAGAAAATGATCTTGAATATTGACTAGGGCTGAGAAATTCCTCGGGTAAACAGCTTAAAACAAAAACTGAATACCAACATACATGTTAGTATGAAAAGTGAGCTGAAGTACCTCTTCGATAAATTGTGCTTAGGGCACTTGAAAATTGTCATTTTCCAGAATTGTTACTCTGTAAGTTCTCCAAAGAAATAGCTCTATAGTTCAGTAGTAGTTTAGGCTACAGTTTTGTGCTAAGCACACTATTTCACTTATATTGAGAAACTTTAATGGAAATCTTTGTCAATAATGTTTAAGCATCTTTATAATGCAAATGGCAGCTGAAGGAGAAATCTAAATCACACTGATTAGATTAATTAGATTTGGTTCAGTTACATTTCATTGATTTTTGTGGAGAATACGCATGATATACTTCAAGGTTTTCATTTGGCAAACCACGAATGAGTCAAGGGACACAAGATCAGAGGGTGCCAAGTGACAGAAAGTCACTCACCATGGCCCGTGGGGAGAACACATGTGGAGACCCAGATAAATCCTGAGAATTACTGAACACAGACCATGCGAGGACACAGCAAGCATTCCGTGTAAAGACGTTTATTGGTTTTAAAGTTTTATTTTCTAGAATCATTGTTTTTTTTTTCTCATTAGGGCAGTGCCTCTAGATTATTTGACTCATGCACTCACCATCTTCCAGTGGTAAACATTTCTTTCCTGTTGATTTATGCCACATGCGTTTTTTTCTCTTCTTTTGAGGATCACAGAAGAGGACAACTCTGGAAACAGGATACACCAAAGTCTCCCCATGAATTGCGGTGAGAGTCTGAAAGTTCGCAGTCACTCATGGTGTACAGATCAGCATCCTAGCACTGTCATAATGGCAACCACATTCATGAAATGAAGTCACGTTGTAGAGAAGGCAGGCAGGAATGAAACCAAGCACATCAGGTGACAGCAGTTTCTGTGTTAGTTCAATTAGTGTCATCACCAGTGACTGCCCAAGGTCTAGAGGTACAAAACGATTGCATGTCTACAAAGTAGGACAGTCACTTAATTTACCACCAGTAGAAGGAAAGAGAAAGCCACCTCCTGGCTTTAATTCTGCGAGAGACACAGGGTGAATTGGCGGTTGGGGGCAGTGCAGGGATCTCTTTATCCCTCCATGCGGCCTTACTGACCTGGGAGGACGGCCTCGCACCTGACCCCCTCATTGCACTCTATTTGTCTAGCCTTATCATGACCTTGAAAGAAAATCTTGCTCCCCTCTGCTTTGATTGTTGCTGTTTGGCCAGCACACTTTGCTCCCGTGTTTCTTCTGGAACCAAACTAACATTACTTATTGCTTTCCCGAATGTCAACAGAGTTTGTTTGCCTTTCCAGATTATTGACCACATTCTGTGGATCAGACAGGCCCTGGGCTTAAAAATGATATTTAATACTATGGGAACTAGAGGCTGCAAAAATTAGAAGGATAAGTAGAACCTAGCAGAAAACTAAGAACAGAGCTGTACATGATTTCACTGTCTTTGGAGAAAAAAATTACAAAGTTCTGACTACAGTCCCATAGGCTGAGCTCCAAGCCCCTTACAGAAGCTTCCCAAAACAGTTGGAGGGAATTTCTGCCCTTTGCTCCAATTTGCTTTGGGCACAGAATGGATCCTGTGGGTGTTTCTCAGCTGGCTTGGAAGACTTGCAACTGTACTGATTCAATGATGGGGTGAAGAGTGTGTGTTTGGTGAGGGCCACATGAATTGCCTAATAGTCTCATGAAGCAACATAAAGGATCAGAAAGCCACAGTAAGGCAGTGGCCTTGTGGCTCCTGTCCTACTGTGGACAAGCCCCTCAAAGTCTCTGGGCTCGCCTCCTTCACTGCAGAGGGTGTAAAATTAGGCTAAGTGGTCTTCCAGATTCAGTGGCTCTACCCTCACTACAGTCAGGAAGTAAGCTCTGCCCCTTTAGAAAGCAAATTCCATTAAAATTTCGCATGCTATTGGATGGGTACACTGAAATATAATTGCTACACACAGGGCAAGCTCCACACGCCAGGCTAGGCTGTCAGGTGGGACCGTGTCCTGCTTCCTGAAATCAGCTCCATGAATAGGGACTCTGCAGGTGAGAGGTGGCAAGGGGACTCCAGTTCTCCCGTTCAGGGCCAGTGAGGACAGAGTCCACGCTCCCTTTCAAGGTGCCCTCAGCCCCTCCCATTTCTACACCTGCTACACCTGCCCTTCTCCTTCCCTTTGCCCAGCCATGGCTCAAACCTGATTTACTCCATGAAATCTTTCTGGTTTTCAGTCAGAAAATCTCTGGACTTGCACATGTCTTTAATTTCTGCAGTGCAATTTGGCACTTGCCTTGCTTGGTGCTGGTGCCTGTGCGCTATTCCTATCTTTTGAGTTCCTATCCAGGGAAGGGGCTGTACCTTAATCTTCTGCATGCCCTGCATTTAAGAGGAGAATGCTGAGTGAGTGGAGAGATGGCCAGTTAGTTATTGGTTGATTTTTGGGTCAGTTGGTTGACTTAATGTAAGAACTGGGGACAGAAAGCAAGTATATGATTACCAGGTATGTGTATTTTAACCACTGTAATTGATCATTCTGAGTCGATATCTAAGTGGGTTCTAATTAAAGCCTGCTGTAATGTAAACGTCCTAATACTACGAAAATGACACTTACATTTCGTTGACAATCTTTAGTCTCCAAAGCACTTCTGCTGCGTCATTTTGGCCAATTCCCACACTGACCTGGTAGGAGCTCACAGCTGAGGAAACCAAGGCTCAGGCAGGTGGAGTGACTGGCCAGGGTTACATGGACACATGGCTTTTTGTCTTTCAATCCTAGGTCTTTTTCACTCATCTACATATTTTTCTCTTAAAAAAAGGTCAAATTTTGATAGATGGAGCTGAAAACTTTAAGCCGACACCCTGGTTTTTCTGAGTAGTGGATTTTAGAAACAGCAAGTCTTTGCAGGAGTATTGGCACATGTGCGTGTGTGTGTAACTAGGGGGAATAACCTTGCTGCTCACATAGAACTCCCTAAGGCATAAGCAGTTCTCAGTCTTCTAGAAAGTTACAGACAGACCATGTGCAGGCCTTACCCAGCAGTGGAGAAGATACCCAATAACAAGGGTGATTGGTTCAGGAAAATTATTGGACGGGAAGGAGTTCTGCATTGAGAAGAGGACAGATGGGTTTGTGATTTTCTGTTTGTTTGGCTCTGTGGGCTCTGGCTTGGTTTGAGTTCCCACAGATACATGGGTGTGTGGAGCTATCGGGACATGAACATTTGCACCCACTGTCTGATTATTCCCTCGCTGTCTGTCCAAAGAGGAATAGGTTCCTTGGCTTGTGTGGGAACGTGGCCCCAGGCTTCAGGCCTCTCCTTCTCACCCTGGGCTCCAGAGGCAGGTGTCCACTTCAGTGGGGTGGAAGGAGGCTGTGGCCAAGGCACAGGCAGCCAGGCCTGTGCTCAGTGTCCTAAGGGTGCCTCCATGGCTGGGCACCACCGTGCTTGCCTACGAAGGGAGTCTACCAGAAAGGGAGTCCGCACTCCTAACAGTCCAAGCAATGGTAGAGTTTTACATCACTTCCTACTGCTTTTAAAATGAAAAATTCTTACCAATTGAGTGAAAAATGGTATTTCGTTCACTAAAGAATTGATTTCTTCTATAAGTTTCTAACAAACCTAATGGAAATGCCATGCAAGAAAAATCAAACTCTGAGTGTATGGAAGGAGCGACACTGAGCTGAGTGTCTCTCTGCTCTGTCGCCGGCTGCCACCCAGCCCAACCCGGGGTCAGACCAGTCTCTTGGCTGCACCCCTTGGTGCAGTTCTCAGAGAGCACCGTGAACCTGTTTTTCAATCAGCTAATAAACACTACTGAAATGACCTGCCTTTGGATATATTTTTCCCCCTAAAGTAAAGCTGCTTTTAGTTTTCATTAGAAGAGGAAAATATTTAGAAAGGAATAAACTCAGGTGCTTTCCCTAGCAAGATGTTTCTGTCCTAGGTCTTTCATCTCCACAGTGTAATTCCATGATGACCACTAGCTCCAGGGTCCAAAGACCGTCAGCCAAATGTCAGGTTTCCAGGATGGAGAATGCCACCATAGAGGGTTGGATGAATGAACATCGTAAGTTCACTGTCATCAAGTTTCACGACTATTATGACTCACAGGGAAGCTGAGCAGGCCCTGCATTCTTAATACACTGTCATTTTGGTCTGGCAGAGCTGCCTGTGTGCACTTGGGGGCAAATAAGAAAGTGGTAAAGAAAAACAAAAGTAACAATAAGTTTGGTGAATGGGCAGCCCTGCTGAAAGGCGCCAATCCTTGTTCTTTGAGGCAAGGCCTCTTGGATCTCTGAAAACCTTGAACCAATGGGCAGGTCCCCAAGTAGACAAAACTGCCTGAAGAATTGAATACATTATCCCGGAAGACTTTTCCTCCTTCACAGCAGTAAGATACAATTGGCAACATCTGAACTTGATCGAATCATCCCTTCAGCTCCTTGGCTGCTTCTGGGGACTATTTCAATCTACTGAATTTTTGCAAAGACTATGGGTTCCTAAGACTCATTTCTGGTACCTGACTTAGAACGCTGCTCTGGAATTACATGTTGTAGTATTTGCAATATTTAAAAAATTTAAGAATATCTGAAATATTTTAAATGGAAGGATAGCCCACAATGACTGGATCCTTGAGGCAGTGTATCAGGTATGCATGATTTTATTTAAAATGTGTCCAATAAGACTTGCCACTTGGAATGAACATTTTTACTTCTTTCCTCATATTATTAGAAACAGTATTTCCTCATTTCATGGAGTTTCTTAGAAAGTTCTAAGTATTAACAGAAGAGAAAAATGAAACCGTGGGGGAGATTAAATAACAGGAAGTTTACACCACAGCAAGGGTGCTCACCCATCCCAATTTCGGGGGACACACAAGTGACTATTGGGTGAAATAGACCCGATCATGCAAATCATCGTATGATCACTTGGTATCCTTTGGCAGTTCTGACATTCATTGTCACTAGCACAGATATTAAAATGAGTCAGATGACTGCAGTGAATGGGAAATCATCTTTTGCTTTTGGTGGTGGAGAGAAGACAGGAACACAAAGGCGCGGCCGTAGGACCATTTCCTAACATCGGACGAGACTGTTCGCAGCTGACCATCCGTTGCTCTGAGCCCCAGAGGGCGCACCTGGTGTCTACGCCACCGTCTGCCAGGGGTGGTCGCAGTATCCTCTGCCTTCCATCTAATGGCACTGGTTTATCTGTGGACAGCAGCACACCACAAATCAGCATCGAGAGCACGTTTTCACCAAGTGGGCAGTTGTGGTTTTAAATCACTAGAACCTGGCAATGTTAAATTTGTGTTTTCATGAGCCAAAGGTCATAGCACAAATGAGGTCTAAATGTCATCACAGCGGACCATGGGCCACAGAAAGACACATTTTCAAGTTATGTTGACCTTCCAGGAAGAAAAACAGAGATACAGAGCACAGCAAACACGTGCCGGGGACGCACGGCGGAGATGCACGGCGTCCCTGTGAAATATGAACGGCGCCATTTACATGGAAATGGAGCCAGCAGGGGCATTGAGTTTCCTGCCGGCTCGTCGGAGCTGCTGTCATGGAAAGAAGCTCAGGGCAATGTGACCGGGGTGGGCAGAGGGGCAGGCAGGCTGGGAAATGTCACCATCTCAACATGTGTTCTAAAGTGACTTCGAGGTGATCATTCATTTATAATCGAAACATAATCCGAACGGCATTTGCTCCCTCTTCCTCTCTGTACACACATCTTTTCATAAATAACTTAAACGTCTCCTGGGCATTCAGGATGCAGTTCTGGCTGGAGTAAAAACGGGTGGAGGATGCACAGCATTGAGGAGATGTCAGGGTACTGGTGTGTGTGTGGACAGGCGCTCGAGCGTCTACTGCACGTGGCAGACATCAGCCGTCGGACACGGGCGGGGTGACCCAACCATATTTTTCATGCGTCTTCACCAAACTCTTAAAGGTAGCTTCAGCTTCCTTGCGACTGAAGGACTTTTTTGATTTGCCAGCTTTTCTACAGATCCGTCCCTGCGTGAGATGAGAAGAAAAACCAGGTTAGAACGTCACTGGGAATTCTGTTTCCTACCATCTTTATTAAAAACACACAGAGTCGTGGGGATTTCTGATGTCTGAATCAATGCAATGCACTGGCCACCAGCAGGGTGGGGGCAGCCTCACTGCCCAGATGCAGAACAATTCAGCTCTGGCACCAAACAGATAGGGCAGCCTGGGGCTGGCAGCCTTTTAGGGGAGGGGGGTGCTGTCTTTACAAACCCCCACACAGCACTGGCTGAATCTGAACTTGCTCATTCCACAGTGCTGCAGAGAAATCTCTGCCCCAGTTCCTGAGACACGCAGGAGGGGACGGCCTTACCAAAAGGGCATCAATTCACAGCCAAGCATTCTCTCCCTGAGGCAATATACTGTTCGAACTTCCTTTCCCTCCCTCAAAAGAATGCCTTTAATTATCACTTCAAATTCCTCTGTGATAACAGGGAAGATAAATATATTTATAGAGAGATGTGTATATTTGTATATTTCTACTAATATTTAAAACTCTATTTTTTAAAATTCAAGTTCCAGAGCCATTAGTGAATTTATTGGAATTCATGTCACTTCAGCACCATTTTGTGAGGTGACGGTGGACATTTTCATGGAAGAAGAGACCCATCCTCGAGGTCCAAGAGAGGGTAGAGGTCAGGGCAGGTGCTTTGTCACACGATCCCGGGAGGGGGTGGGGCCAGTGAAGAGGGCCACGCTCCCTCACAGTGACCAGGCGTGTTCTGCTCCCAAGGACAGAGCACTTGTCTCTGCAGTGGTCAAAAGGGACTGACCCATCTTATGACGGCACAAGACGGCTCTGGACTATGCAGAAGAAGAAACCAGGCAACACTGCCCATGTGACAATATCTTGGGAAGCCCTGGCAAATGTGGAATATCTGGCATCAGAGGGGAGGAGCAGATGGAAGACAACCAGGAGTCGGGGTGATGCTGGCCTCAGTTGGACCTGTGGCAGCTCTCACACTTCCAGCCTCAATTACTCTTCATTAAGCCTCTTAATGGTGGATCAACTGAAACGTTCCCTTAGCCTCTGAGGCACATTTCCTTCCACTTAACCTCCCCCAGGCTCTCCTGGAAGATCTGCTCCTCTCCTTGGGCATCCCATGTACATGTTTTGCAGATGGGGCAGAAATGCCTGGAAAGAACTGGCTGAGCTTTATGTACTGGCAGGCGCATAATTACCAACCATCGCCTGCTGTTCAGGAACCTTCGCGAACAGAATTTCTCTCTGAACAGACCCTCTGCACTTCCAATTCGGGGCACTGGTGCTACAGCACAACTGTGGGCACGTACTGGGATGTGAATGGGGACCAGGCCTCCCCACCAGCAGCTCCTACAACACACAGCAGCCAGGTGCCTTGGACAGCCATAGAGGGCAGAAGCCATATGGGTCTGTGTGGCCACCAGCAAGCACGATCCACCTGATCCTGGCTCTCTGATAACTCACTGACAACTCCAGTGGGAAGGCAGCTGCAATGGCCTCTAAATCTACTGGGCAGACGGTGCCCAACCACCTGAAACGTGGAGTGGAAGAGGCCATTTCATATGCTTGTATTCGGAGCCTACCTAGGCTTCCTTTTCAATAATTGTCTTTTCAACAGTGGACACACAGGCCAATCCATAGTTGAGGAGTCAGGAGTCCAGGGTTACCAAACTCTGCCTGCTCTGGATATCCCTCTGGTTTCACTTGTGCATCTGTCACTGGGGGCAGCAGAACCTTTTCCTTTTTTAAAAAATTTTTCTTTTTCTTTTTTTTTTTTACAGACAGGATCTTGCTCTGTCATCCAGGCTGGAGTGCAGTGGCGCGATCGTAGCTCACAGCAACCTCAAACTCCTGGGCTCAAACAATCCTCCTGCCTCAGCCTTCTGAGTACCTAGGACTACAGGTGTGAGCCACCACATTTATCTAATTTTTTATTTTTTATAGAGATGGGGTCTCACTATATTGCCCAGGCTGGTCTTGGACTCCTGGTCTCAAGTGATCCTTCCACCTCAGCCTCCCAAAGTGCTGGGATTACAGGCATGTGCCACGATGCACACCTTTTTGAAAACGCTGTATAACTCACATAGGAAGAGTTGCTAAAAGGATGAAGGAAGATCGGAGGAAAAGATGACAGGAAATGGCCATTTATTGACTGCTAGCAACATCCCCATGCCTCACTAGGATTGACTCCTATTTTGAGTTTTATAACTTCAAGCATATTTGCTTATGCGATGTAATTATGCTTGATAAAAAGAGACCACTCAGAGCTAATATATTCATAATCATCATAATTGTGGGCTGAGATCAAAGTCCAAAGTTATCTTATTAAACATATGAAAACACATCTTTCACATCTTTGCGAGGATGTTAGCATCAATTTCTTCTTTTTTTTTTTCTTGAGACAGAGTCTCACTCTGTCATCCATCCAGACTGGAGTGCAGTGGTACAATTATAGCTCAGTGCAACCTTGATCTCCTGGGCTCAAGAGATCCTCCTGCCTCAGCCTCCCAGGTAGTTGGTGCTACAGGCATGCATCACCACATACAGCCAGTTAAAAAAATTTTTTTTATAGAGACAGGGTATCGTTTTGTTGCCCAGGCTGGTCTCGAACTCCTGGGCTCAAGCAATCCTCCTACCTTGATTTCTCAGTGTTAGGATTATAGGCGTTAGCCAGTGTGCCCGGCCAGCATCAATTTCTACATCAAGTGACAGCAAATATCAAGGGTTGATTTTTTTTTTTTTTTGGCGAAAATGCATATTTTAACCATCTGTATCCTTTTTCTCCACAATACTGAAAATCTATGGTATTATTTGAAAATCCTGAACTAAAGGTAGCTAGACCAATAGAGGCTCACAGTCATCCTGGACTATTCTGTGGTTTTTGGCATGAACCCACACTTTGCCTATTCTTTGTGAAAGTCTCAATTGTTACAAGAAACAACAAACAAAACCCCAGAGGAACAGACCACTCTTTGTTGCCTTTTCTTCCCTGGAAGAATTATGAACAGAAAGCCCTAGTGCTTAGTCAATTCCACAGCTGGGAGACAGAGCCCGTTATGAGCCAGTCAGAGGCTCAGCGCATTTATTGCACTACACTGTGATAAGGAGCTCTCATCGCATCTCCTGTCTCTTACACCCACGTTTACAATTAACAGTTTTTTTTTCATAGGTTCATCTTCTGACTGGCTGTTTAAATACGACACAGTGAAATGCTGGACTTGGAAGCCACTCCCTGCATTCCCCCTTTATTTCCTGGCTCTGCCAGGGTCACAGAGCCGTTTTTCTGACATGCCCTTGCTGTGCCCACTGCACCAAGAAGAGGGGGGACCCCTCCATCCCGTGTTCCCTGCTTGCTGCAGGTCTTTGGGAATTGCCATTCATCCTTCCAGGATACAGTCTCTTGAAATGTGAACTTCTGGGAATCAAGTGCAGACGATACCCATGTCACACATCATGACGAACATCCAGTAAGATAATGCATTTGAAAATACTGAGGACTTTGAACTTCATACAATTAACAGCGTTTTTCTTATTCTCATAACATTTACCTTTCTCCCTTGTCTGTTTCTATTTAACTAATAATCAAAGAATCTAGTCTGAGATATTTCCTTTGAATAACTCTCATTTCTTCTAAAATATCTCTACTTGTTCTTAATGTTAAAAGGCATAGATGTGACTCTTCACTCATCCACTACAACAGCTTTGTGTTATCACTCAGAGTTTACAGCAACACTTCCTCTCTTTCCTGAGCCACACATGGTTAAGTGTATATTTATGAACAACTACAGGATTTTGCCATCACCACCTTAAAAGTCTCATTGTAATACAGAAGTCGAACAGTGTTAATGAGAATACAATTCTCCAGGGCTGCATCTGTCAAACAAAACCAGTAGGTGGTATTTTGATTTGATTCTTTTTTTCCCTTATGGCCTTTTGAGGGCCAATAGCAATGATGCAGCATGAAAACATTTCAACACAGCTAATAAGATGACAAGTGGCCCCAAACTTAACTCCCCAGTTCGGCCCCCATGTAATTGAATTTCAGCCTGGCACGTCTGCATCTTCCTTAATTGTCTAATGCTTCTCATTCATTCATTTATGCATTCATTCAATGTGTTAGGTGCTGGGTCAAACAAGACAAAGTGATGCCAGGTCTCTGCCTTTAGGGCTTAGAGTCCACTGTGGGCGGATAACCAGGCATGTTGCAGCTGTTGGGACAGAGGGTGTGGAGCAGGCAGGGTCTCTCACTCTTGGTATTGTTGGCATCTTGGGCCAGGTAATTCTTTGCTGTAGGGGCTATACCTGCATGGAAGGAAGTTAGCAGCATCCTTGACCTTTACCCACTAGATGCTAGTGGCACCCCATGAGTAATGACAGAAATTGTTTCCAGACATTGTTAAACGTCCCCACAGGAGCAAAACCACTCCTGATTGAGAACAACTGGTGTGTAGAACTAAAAGAGCCAGAGGCAGGAAGAGTCAATTCATTCTTTATTCATTCAGCAGACGATTGCTGCAGGTCTTCCCTGTGTCAGGAACTGTGCTGGTGACCGGGACTTCAGAGCTTTCTAAGGAAAATAATTCTGCTCCTTATGGAACTTATAACCCAGACAGTATGACGGATTCTACACTGGGGAAGAGAGAAAGAAAGGAGAGAGAAGAGGGGTGGTGGCAGTGATTTGTGTGTTCAGAAAGATTTCTGTTGACAATAACGTAAGCTAAGCCTTGAGACATAGGTGGGCAGGTGTTTACCAGGCTGTGGTGGGAGAGGACAAGGGGTCCCAAATTGAAGGTGTGAAATGGCTCACTATGCTTGGGGGAGGGGGAGGCTTGGGCATGGAATTTAAGTGTGTGTGTGTGTTTGTGTGTGTGTGTGCTTGTGTGTGTGTGTGCTTGTGTGTGTATTTGGTGGGGAAGGAGTTGCATAATTCAGTAGACCTGGCTTCAAATCCCAGCTCCAATACTTCCTGGCTGTGTGACCTTGGGTGAATCACTTAACCTCTCTGAATGTCGATTTTCTCATATGTAAAATAAGCATTATAATAGTATTATGTGGCATTGGATTCTATAAGAATTTAATATGTTAAAACATAAAAGATGCTTTGCCCAATGCCAGGCACAGGGTGAACACAATAAATGGGGCTTCTTATTTTTTCAGCTATCACGGAAGATCTTCTCCTTTGGTAAAGATAGTTTCATTCTGTTCTCTTGAAAGAATACACCATATTTCTGTCTTTTCATGTAGATTTTATGACGTATTCAGTCACAAAAATGTCCACAGGCAAATTCAGTATATTGCATTTACATAGCTAATTTCTTAGCCTTTTGAATTATGTCTGTCTTAACAGGTTGACATTAATACATTAATTCTATACTTACTTGATTAGCTTTTTCTCTCATTCCTTTTCTTTGCAAACATACTTTCTTGGTATTTTTGTGTTTCATTTGCCTATGAATTACAGACTTTTGCCCTCTAAAAATAGTTAAAATTTTCAGACTGCTTACGTAAAGTTTTGAGTTTCCTGCACTCATTTCCTGAGCCAAAATTACAGAGCTGCTACTTGTTTTTCAAGTCTTTGAAGGAGTAATTGTCAGTCTAAAAGCACTCGTAACCTTAAGCTCCCTGACATGGGTTGTAAACGTGTGCAAGACTCATTTTAGGTTTCCCCTAAAACTTCTATCTGGGGGCAAAAATTAAAGCTCACTAGGCTCTTGGCTTGAGGAAAACCAATGCTTACAAGCATCTTTCAAAGGAGGTCCGCTTTGGAAAGACATTGGGGATTTCACCTTTCTCTTAAGGTTTAATGTTCAAAGCAAATCCTAGAAAAAAATCAACTTGTAAGTTTCTAAAGGACAAATGAGACTCTACAACAGATCAGACTCTTCTAAGAAACACATTCCCAAATCAGATCAATGACACTGAAGCCACTGACAAGCAGGGGACTTCAGCTGGATCTAGTCGGATGAGACAGGAAACAGAAGGATCCAGAGAAGGTGAATATAGCCCTTATTGTGAGCCTGGGGGTGTGTGTGTGCATATGTGAGCATGTGCACGAGTAATGCATGTACATACATATGCATTTGTGTATGTGTGCACGTGTGTTCATTTGTGTGTTTGTGGGTACTTATACACATGTATCGTGTCACATGTGAGCATGTGTGTCCATGTGTGCACATGCAGGTGGCTATGGTGGTTACATTCAAACTGCAGGGACCGATGTGAGCCTCCCTGCTGTGGAATGGCTGCTGACTAGAGCCCACAGTAACCTGAGGGAAGGCTCTTGGCTGAGTGGAGGGAGCCCCAGGCCACATGAGCCAGTTTAATGGGTGGTCCCTTTGCACAGGGAGAGCTTCAGCCTGGTGGGTTCCGAATCTGTCAGAACCCGACCCAGCACTAACCAGTGCAGGGAGGGAACAAGCAGAGAGGGCTGGGAGAGCAGAAACAGGGGAGGGGGAGAAAGACAGGGTGGGAACATGCTGTTGGAGCTGATGAGCCGCCAGTGAGGTCATGTTGAGGTTTTGTCTGAAGTGCAACCCGGGAGACTGCTGAGTCCCCACACCGTCCGCAAGTGCCACGGTGACTGCTCCGTGCTCAGCTCGACTCTGATGTGCGACTGCTGCCTGGCTGTTTTCACATCTCATCTCATTAAATGTTGACCTGGGCAACCTTTGCAACGAGTAGGAAACTGGGCTTCCATTAACTGACTTGCCAAGGGCTATAGAAGAGCTGGGTTCGAATCAAGGACTCCCGAGACTGAAGGCAGAGGCACCGCAGAAGAGCATGCGTGTGGCCTGAGGGTGCCATGAGGGGCAAGACCAAAGACAGGCAGCCTCAGGGCCAGGGCCTGAGGAGGGGCCCAGAATCCTCAGGGAAAGGGCTGGAGGCAGCCACACAGGCTGGGCGACTTCCTCCAGGAAACCAGGACTTGGAGTATGCAGACCAGCCCTCCCTGCTCGCTGCCCCTCCGACGCCAACATGGGCCACTCAGGCTTCTGCGCTCCCTGTTGGGTTTCACTCAAAGTTTGTGCCCAATATGGCTTGGGGTTCCTTTCATCGTTCAGACACCAACAGCAGACTCATTCATATGCATCCCCCATGACTAGCTGTGATTTAGTTCCCAGATCTGGTAGCTAAAAAATGTGTTGAATGGTTTCTGGAAAGTACCAACTCAAAATAGTCACCTCAGAAGCCATAAACCTGATCTTTCGGTTACACTTTCAGAATGCACTGTTTGCCCCAGAGACCTGTTGACTCACGCCCAAGCCAAACACATACAGGCGACCAGAGAAGTGGCTTCACAAAGTAGATGACTAGAACATCCCACCAGATCTGAGGGCATAGAGGACAGTGCATTGGGTGGTGGGGCACGAGGGGCCACATGGCTACATGGACCAGCCACACAGGGATCAGCCACAAGGGAACCAGCCCTTGGCGTGGCTTTAGTGGAAATGACGACTCTCCTCCATGGCCCTGCTCCCACTTTGATAGAGATATGTAGTTTCTGCAGAAAAAATGCACTGGGAAACCCATTCTTATTACAGTAAAATTTCTCTCTCTAGCGAGAATGTTTCCAGGCCTGGAACTGGGACGGAAGGGCTGTGCGTGTCCAGGAGAGGCGAGCAGAGTCCCAGCAGGTGATGCGGTGTCCTCAGGAAGAAGGCTGGCTGCGCCCTGCTGACATGCAGGGAACACGATCCTTCACTCCAAACACACCTGCCGTGCATCACATCTGTGGGCTCCTCATTTTTTTTTTTTTCTTATTTTAGACAGAGTCTCACTCTGTCACCCAGGCTGGAGTGCAGTGGCACGATCTTGGCTCACTGCAACCTCCGCCTCCCAGGTCCAAGTGATTCTCCTGCTTCAGCCTCCCAAGTAGCTGGGATTACAGGCCTGCACCACCACGCCCTGTTAATTTTTTTTGTATTTTCAGTAGAGACGGGGTTTCACCATGTTGGCCAGGTGAGTCTTGAACTCCTGACCTTGAGTGATCCACCCGCCTCGGCCTCCCAAAGTGCTGGGATTACAGGCATGAGCCACCGCACCTGGCCAGGGCTCTCATTTTTAAAGGCGTGTTTGAGCCTATCAAGACGTGGAAGAGAGTGTACAGAATACAGTAAGCATGTCTTTTCTTCTTTGGGTGCTGACAAGAGCATTGGTCTGATCAGAGTGTGTTGGACTCGCAGCAGGGAGGCCTTGCTGGCGTGGTGGGTGGTGCGCAACCACGGATGTGCAGTTTTCCCACTTGGAGCTGGGAGACAAGATGAAAACATCTGGCATCTCTGCAGGAGCAGGTGTCCTCTAGATGAGAGTGCCTCTGCTTGGGCCCTGCTGACGCTGGAGCTGGATCATCCCCAGCTTGGGCGCTCCTGTGCACTAAGGGTGTTCAGCAGCTTCCCTGGGTCATTCCTGACCATGTGCACCGCAGAGTGTTGAGCAGCCTCCCTGGGTCGTTCCCAGCCGTGTGCACTGAGGCTGTTCAGCAGCCTCCTGGCCTCCATTCTCTGAATGCCATTAGTACCCCTCTCCCGAGTGGTGGCAACCAAAAATGTCTCTGCCTATTGCCAAGCACTCCCTAGGGGGCTGAATAGCCCTGTGGAGAAGCCGTGCTCTAGAGTGGACTGTGGGAGTGCAGGAGGGGGTACCTAAAGGGGCTGGGGGCCCAGACGAGTGGAGGAAACTTCCAGGGGAAGGTGGTTCAGGAGCTGAACGCAAAAGACAAGTGGCAATGATCCAACCAGAAAGCAGGAGAGGGGGCAGCAGGAGCAGACGCCACGTGAGGGTGGGCAGTGAGCATCCTGAGGCTTCCGGGAGTCAGAGCTTGCTGGGGGGTGGAGGTGGGCGAGGCAGGGATGGGAGGTGCCTTAGTTTCTTGGGCCTGCTGGAACACAGCACTCCAACTGGGGGCTTGAAACAACAGAAATATGCTCTCTCACAGTTCAGGTGGCCAGAAGTCTGACATGGAGATGAGGGCCCAGGGGAGGGTCTGCTCCAGGACTCTGTTCCAGCGCTCAGGGGCTGCCAGCACCCTTGTGTGCCTCAGCCTGTTGGCACAGCGCTCTAATCTCTGCCTCCATTGCCATACGGTGTTCTCTGTGAATCTGTCTCTGTATCCAAATCTCCCTCTTCTTACAGTGACACCAGTCATTGGATTAGGGACCACCCTAACCCAGCAAGACCTCCTCTCAACTCAATGACTTCTGCAAAGGCCCTATTTTCAAATAAGGTCACATTCACAGCCACAGGGGGTAGGACTTCAACTATTTTGGGGAGGACATAACTCTGCCCACGGCAGGCATAAAGCTGACAGAGAGGCCTTTCACCTGTACCTCAGCACTTGCACCCATTCTGCAGGTGGGCGCACATTGGGCCATGTTTTCCTTGTGGATGGTCATTTGGGAGGTGGTATGGCGGTCAGTTTTGGGGTGTTGTCCAGTTAGGTTATTGTCATGGTCCAGAGAAGATGGCGAGGGCCTGGCAGAGGCCACTCAGTGAGTCCAACTAAGGTCATGTGGGCAAGGCTGGGGGAAGGATCAGTGGGAGGCCCGAGCCACTCCAGGCTTCTGACCCAGGAGGAACAGGTTTCTAGGATAAGATACTGAGTTCTGTTTGGGTTGGCTGGCTTTGAGGTGTGCACAGAAATCCAGGCAGGAGGCTGCTGGGTATAGTGGTGGGAGCTCACACCAGGGAACCTAAATGATGTGGTTCTGCAGGGAGAGGTGTGCGGGGAGGGGAGCGTGCCCCCTCTCTGCTCTCTAGCCATAGGCCCGTGAGCAGGTCACCCTCCCTGCACCTAGCCGCTGCACCCATGTCACTACCCGCCCTCACCTCCTGCATGGGGATAATGAGCACCTGGCGTGCAAGGCGAGATGGGATGGAGGTGGTGGGCCACCATGCCAAGTGACCCGGGGCCAGGCCTGCAGAGAGAGACGCTGTCTTAGGAGCAGGCTGTGGGGTCCTGGGAGGATGGGTGTGTTTGGCTGGGGACAGTCAAGAGGAGAAGCAGGAAATCTAGAAACGGGGAATTAGGGCAGGTGCAGCCACAACGAAGCGTGCACAGGTGAAATGGCCCGAGAAGCACGCTCCGGGCCAACTCTTGAAAAACAGTCATCTGAGATGTGTGATGGTTACTTGGTTTATAATACTATCAAAACCTTAAAAACTCCTATTGACCTTATTTTTTAGCACTCTTTACACATTAAGAAAAATCTGGTTCTTTAAAAAAGTGTAGCTTAGCCATGAACAAGTCCAAAGAGAGCAACCTGTAACCCCCAGAGGTTTATGAAATGCTTGCCACCCCACAGACGTCAAGCAGGGTATTAGGAAATGCCGGCACTCAGAAACTCTTTCTTAAAACTGTGAAACCTCTCAGGATGACAAAGCCAGCATCGGTTTCGTGTATACTTTGGTGATACTCATAAGGAATTAAAGCGAAGCCACTCTACTTAATACTATACAAAATCCTCCAGCTCTGGCAGCACCAAAGGCACAGTTCATGGGCGCTTACAAAACAGAAGCAGCACTTGCCTCTACATTTTAAAGAAAGTACTAGCAATTACTGAACTGTTTTGAAACAGATGGTACTTTCTTGGAGGAAGCAAGCGCAGAAAAAGGAACTTTTTGCTAAAAATGTAATGATATGAGATAATCCTCTCAAGGTTATTTTTTGGAGATCCCACTAATACTTATACTTTTGCATAGGCAGCCGGATCCCAGTGGGTTTCATTAATGTGCACTTTAAGACAGGTAAGTGACAGATACGCTCATTAGTGACATCGTGGTGGCTGTGTCGACTGTGTCGAGGGCTGTCTGAGCCAGGCCCTGTTCTCAAGATGGGGCAAACACTCTCACTGAACCATACTGAGACACTCCAGCAGGTGGGGTCTGCTGTCATCAGGTCTATTTTACAGACGAGAAAATGGAGACACACAGATCAATAAGGTGCTTGGAGTCACTCAGCTAGGAAGTGGCCAAGGGCCAGGATCCCAGTGCAGGAATTCCTGGCTTTGGAGGCCACACTCTGAACCCCAAGGCCAGGCCAGCTCTCAGAAACGTGCGGAAGGGTCACAGATGTAAGAGAAGGCAAACAAGATACTGACCATTCACTCAAACAAACAAACAAACACAAACGAAAAAAGTGACCCGCCTGGCTGTGCCCCCTGGCACTGGATGCTCCTTGGCCACCAATTACCTGTGTCTCTCTCAATGTCATCTCAACAGGGAGCTCCTGGCCAGCCATCCTGTCATTTGCCACATGGTTTATGTAAGCCCCGAGATGATCAGGGCCCTGAGTCTACCTTTACTACGTACATTCTGGTCTTTGCAGCACATGTGGGGGCCTCGGCACACGCTACCTGCCTGACGTGGTGAACAGGGTGGGTGACCTCCCTGGTGAGTCTCTGTCCCGAGATGATGGGGGCAGTCTGTGTTTGTCATTTTGGCCAGGACCAGAATGCAAAAGGAAGCTGCTTTTCTTGGGCCGCACCCAGGATGCTGCACTCCACTCTCAAGGCCGAAACACTTACTCAGCACAAAGGAGACCCCCGGTCTGTGTTTTCTCCTTGTGAGATCATTCCAGCTGTCTTCACAGAGGATTCTGGAAAGTCTTAATGAGCACAGCCTCTGCCCTTTTTATGATGGACAGACTCACCGGAGGATACAGACATCAGCACCTCTTCATTTGCTTCAACATTTTACTCCTTGGACTTGGCTCCATTAAGGCACACATTTCCCTGACTAGCCCCAGAGACCCCCCACTTTCTTACTGAAGTCGCCCCTAAGTTGAAGTCAGCTCTGTCTGCTCCTACGCTCAGTGAGTGACCTGCAAGAAACAATGGTGTTCTCCTACCCAACTTGACCTCTTAGATCACAATCCGGCCAGCTCTTTTCCCTGCACAGTTGGTCTTCCTCAGCGTTCCATGTTTTTCCTTCTTCTTGGAACACATACTGAACAGGAAGAGAATCCAGGGCCCCATCGCTATCTCAGCCCACCCATTCTCGGTGGCTTAATTCTCACTTTCGCCCTCTTGTTCCGGCAGGTGGGACTCTGCTCACTCAGCTCTGTGGCCTCCCGTGCTGTGTGTCCCTAGATGCCCACGGCTGCCTCCACCCTGCCACGCCTCCCTGATTTCAGGATGAGGCACTGGGGATCCAACAGACTCCTGATGCTGCACACGATAGAAGGGACGCCCCCAGGGCAGGCAGCTCTGTCATGAGGCCTGGCCTTCCTCACTCCTAGGAAGGATGAAGCCCCTGAGCAGGAAGGAAGCAGAGGGGAGTGGAGGGGTGCCAGGGAGATCAGATGCACCGATGGGCACCCACTCTCCATGTCTCCTGCCTTTTGCCTGTTTCCTGACAGAATGCATCTGCACGTCCTAGGATCACTCTCCCACGTGCGCAGGAGATCATCCACCTGCAGCCCTAAGCCCTTGCCTGTGGTCTGCTGTGGCTTTGATCACCCGTGCCATTGGGTGATCAGGACACTTCATTTCACAACTGCTATGGCCCAGCCTTGCTGCGGAACAGTTCTCTCAGCACAGATAGTAGGTACGGCGATGCTGTTAAAGTCCAAAAAAAAAAAAACCGAAAGAGACCAAGAATGTCACTAGGAAATGTGACAGGAATCAGAGCCTGGGAATGAATTTGTCAAAACAGAGGCAGCCACCATTCGCTGTCTGCCCTGCTAGCAGGAGCTTCACGACTTTGACCAAAAAGCCCAAACTTAGTTGTTCTAGAAATATTGCATCAAGAAGGAACGCGTGATTTTCACAGACAACCCAGGTAAATGGCGCCTGGTGCTTTCACTGCTGAGGTGGCTTCAGGGAGGCTTTGCGCTTGATGGTGGCAGTTCACGGCTGTGGTCTCTTTCCAAGCCATGTTACTTACAATGACAGAGAAAGCTCATGTCATACAGCATGCTCAGCACTAGAGTTTCACAATGCAGAAGGAAATTCAGCAATGTCAAAAAATAAAGTAAATGAGATTTTGGAACCACTGGAAGTCTTCAGATATATTTTCAGGTAAAATTTCCGTGTGAAAATATGATCTGGGCACAAACTCTATAAAAGATAGGTTACTTTCTCAAATAGTCTGTTTTTGCAATAAAGCACAGCAATAATAAGACTCTACATGGATTATTTACTTCACCTACTTTGTTACTTTTCTGATTTTTAAAAGAAGGAATTGTGCTCATAAAGATGTGAGATTTAATTTATGCCCCTAGAGATCCCCAATACCTGCCAAGCAGGTATTTGACTTTATTCTAGGAGGGTGGTTTCTGGGGAGACACCAGGTCTGTCTTTTGTCTGGCTTGCTTTCTTGAGGCACTGAGTGAAGCTGCAACTTGTGCGATATGGGATATGGATGAAACCTCCTGGAACAGCCTTGCATATGCAATTTGTTTCCAAAGAACCACCCAGATTTGGTCAACAGCCCACTTGGTCTTTGGCTTACACGTGCCACATGGGGGAACTCTTGAAATTCCCGCCTGCAGCCTCTCCCTGCCACCCAAATGCCAGTTCCACACACCCGCGTCCTGCTGGACACTTCCACCAGGCCAGCAGCTGCTGTCTCCATGTGGATGTTGTAAGATCCAGCTCATCAACTTTCTGCCTAAATGGTCTCTCTTTTAACCTCTTTATTTTGAACAAAGCCCCACTGACTTCTAGTCAACCATTTCCTTAAAGTCTGGAATGTCACCAGGTCCAGCCTTGGGTTTTGGTGGTGGGGGTGGTGGTTGTAGGGCCTCCGGGCACACCTATCCTCAGCAGGCTGATCTCCGGGCGCACCTGTCAGCAGGCTGACCTCCGGGCACACCTGTCCTCAGCAGGCTGACCTCCACGCACACCTGTCCTCAGCAGGCTGACCTTCAGTGCAAGGAGTTGTGCTCCGTGTGCAATTCACCAAGAATCTTTGGCATGACTAAAATGGCGACTTGGTCTGCAATGGTGGCAGGGTGACTGGGAGGAGGTCACGGCCAGGCCAAAGGTCAGTTTGTGAGGCCCAGTGAGGCCTGGGGGGCACGTGGAGGTCAGGATGGAGAAGCACACAAGGTGGGCTGTTTGAGACAGTGTCATGGTGATCACTGGCCCTGAGAGTGTGGGCGCTGGTGTAGGCATGGGGGTGTGTAGAGGGTCCTACTTCCTGCCCCTGTCCCTCCCCAGGGCACCCTCATGTGACTGTGGACCTCCAGCACTGGTGTGGGCTGGTGGTCTGTGGGCTTCCATGTGGGCCATCCTGGGGAGGATGGGGTGAAGGTGGGAATTTCGGGGTCCCTGGAGTTTGGGTCTGGTTTCCAAGGGGAAGGGGATGTTTCCACTCTCTCTATGCCAAGAGGGGGCCACTCCTGTCCTTGTGAATGGCAAATCATTATTGGTGGCAGCTAGTGTCCAGTGAAGACAACGCCGTTTGTTTTTACAAATCTCAACTACATTTTCCTGTGAAGAAACCCATTAATTAGCAAGTGGGCATCTCTCATGTGATACGACCAAAGGTCACTCCAGGCAATGAAAGGAACCAAAAGGTACTGCCCCAAACCTGCCATGCATTCGCAGAGTGTGCTTTGCTTTCTGCAGCAGTTCACAAATATTATATAGTAAGCTTAGGAGCAGGTAAAATAGTGTACACCTGAGGGGTGCCGCATGTGGCTCTTTAACCGAGCCCCCCAGGTGTTTCCGTTTTGAGGTCATTGTCTCATTGAGTCAGGACAGCACAGCCCTGGCAAAGCTTCTTCCTGCAGCAACCCTGACCCAGCAGCCCCGTGACCCAGAGGGCAAACTCCAAACACATTCTTAAAATGGGATGTTTTCACCCGTGGGAAAATTAGACCTTTAAGTGCTGAAAAACTTTTAACAACCAAACACCTCAAAATAAGCTGGAACCATGCTTGGTGCATTTGCCCTGAGGGCACCGCGTTGACTGCTTTATGCCTTGGCTGCTCCTGAGGTGCTGCTGAGGTGCAGGCTCTGCAGAGGCAGCAGAGGTGTCTCCTCTGCACAAACATCGGGACCCCACCCCCTCCCTGCTCAGGCCCCGCCTCCTAGGAATAAGGGAGCCCCAGTGCCACTGGAAAGCTCCCTGAGCTTTCCAGATACTCATCCATGACTAAGCAGGCATACCCCACCCTGATTTTGAAGTCCTGAAAGTGTTCTGAGCCATTTCAGTGGGTGTGATGAACTTATCACAAGTTATCCTAATATACTTTAAAAAATAAGTGTATTTCATAAAGCATTCTTTCCGACAGGTCTTGGGGTTAAATCCAGCACCTATCAGCAGGGGCCAGGCCCTGGAGAGCCTGTGCGTTTCTGCCCAGCACATCATTGCTCTAGCTGGTTCTCCAGCTTGCTCCACAGGGGCAGGGCTTGTCTCTTGTGGGCGGGGTCCTCTCCAGCTGCAGGCTGGAGGGCCAGTTCCCTTCCAGCACCTGGCAGAGCTTCGGCTTCAAGGCTGAAGTCTAATGCTCCCTTTACAATGACCCTGCCTCCTCCAGCACCACCCACCCCACCCCCCATGCTCACACTTCCCCCGGGCCCTGCCTTCCTACCCCTTCCCTTGGCTCACACTGGTTTCTTGTTAAATTAAGAGCTCTCAGTGAGACTCCACCCAGCAGTGTGCTACAAATACTGGATAAAAGGAATGGACCGAAGCCATTTCAGGGCCATACAGTATCATTCCACCTTTCCAGACTGGCTGGTGTTATACAGGTGATGTAAATGAAACCCAGCACACACTTTATGTTTGCAAGGAAATAGGGGACAAAGATACGGCATAAGATAGCTTAGTCAGTGTAGACAAAGCAAATTCGGGATCTCTGTGGAAAATGCCGTGTTCTATTATCGTAAAAGAGTCTTAAGAATGTAATCAAGAGAGGAAGTTGATTCTAAGTTCAAATTCCTAGTCTCTGGTTGAAAAGCTTAGAAAACTAAAGGACTGCTTTTGATTGACCTAATAAAATTAACAAGAGATTTTCTATAAGCAACTAGGATGGCTATTATTACTTTTAGGTCATTACTTTGGGAGATGTTCTGATTTTAATTCTTTTATTTGTATAAGGGCATTGCAATACAATCTCGGCTTTTTGATTAAGAATCATAATAGCTAAAGAAAATAATTCAATCGGTGATTTTTACAAGCGTCACTTGAAATCTTCACTGTTTATCTTATGATAGAATATAGGGAAAGCTGCGCCAGTCACTGCCACAAGGACTTCACATGCACACACATGCTCAGTCATCATCGGGGAAAGACTGCTCCAGCCTCTCCTCAAGACGGAGAAACGGAAGCACAGATGTAAACTGCACAATGCCATGCAGCTGTCAGGTGCTGGAGGTGGGATGTGACCTGGTGGGACTCCAGTTGGGTTCTGGAGACTGTGCTCAAAGCCCCTTCTCACCACGTGTGAGGATGGAACCTCCAGGTGATGCCCCACCACGCATTATTCCAGTACTAAAGTGCTCACTGCCCCTCTCAGGTGCTCAAGCTTATTTACTGAGGAATGAACGACGAAGCCTGTGGGGTTATCACTATGAGTCTGAAGGCCCCCGCATGCCACAGTTAGAATTCCAAAGAAAGGATGGTATGCATGTTACCATTTTCCAAAATGTGTCCCACGCAGTATTTTACACATTATGTCATCTAATTCTCACCCAGGAGGGAGATGCACTTGGGATTTTTCAAATGATTGATGAAGAATGAAGGAGCAAGTAACTTCTCTGTGGAAGTAGAGGCAGGAAGAGGCAGTGCCTCACCAACCCAAGCCTCATCCCGGCACTGGAGTTGGAGCCCTGTGATGTCTGAGCATTGGCAAGAAATATCAGCACCCTGCTGGCTCTGGGAATTTTTCAATAACGTCTCCTAAGCCAGGACTTCCCAACCTTCTCCGGCTATAGCATGCCCCACTCCAATGCCATGCACGTACTCCTGGTTGTTAACCTCCTAAGCACGGGTGCTCCATGCTGGAAGATCCACATGCAGGCATAGACCGTGGTGTACCAGCCCTCAGGCTGTACACTACACACCACGTGCACAGGCAACATCATTTTAGCCCTACAGGCTTAAAGCTTCTGCCAGCACTCAAATTCTGATCTCAGCTTCCCAATAAGTATCTTTTAGAAGGTAAATGTTTTCAGGAAACTGGACTTTCAAAGTAAAATCTTTCAATTTTACTGAAAAGACCGTATGCAATATGTTATGTTTGCAGCCAATAATTTTTTGAGGGCCTACTGTGGAAGGCACTAAATCAGATGTTAAAGGGAGCTAAGAAGTAAGTCATCAAAACTGCCCTTTTCCTAGTAATGGAAAAGTTAATCCCAGGTATATTTGGTGACATTTTAAATGGCATAAGAACAATTTTACAGATTAATTTTCCTGGCTTTGTTATTGTGATATTTACATTGGCTTGTGGTAAGATTCAAAGGTAACAAAAAATCAAGCTTCTTCAATCTCCATATTTGAAGCAGCAAAAATAAGTTTTGTGCTGGCTTTGTTTGCCTGGCTCTTACGGTACTGAGGTTTTCTGCGTCACTGGGATGTGACTTTCTGTTGACCTCATTATTTGTAGATGCTAGAATTGCCTACATAGAAAATCCTAAAGGCTCAGCTATTTTTGAGGAACTGAATTTGTTAGAGAGCGTTAATGCTCCACAAATAGCCATGTGGGTCCTTACATTTCTGCCTCCCTTGCAGTCAGATGGGGCCATGTGGCCAGTTCTGGCCAGTGGGTGGTGAGCAGAAGGAGGCGTGTGTGTTCCGGGTGGAGACAGTCGGGCGCTGATGCTGACATGCTCCCCTCACCCTGCTGTCACCCACTGCTGCTGTGAATTTGGAGGCTGTGTGCTCCAGATAGAGAGCAGACACTGGCCTGTATTAGACTCTGTGCCAGAATATATGTTTCCTGTATTAAACTGCTGAGATTTCAGGGTACGCTCTTGTGTGGAAATGAGAGTTCACTGATCAGAGTAAATTTCTTGACAAATAATTGAAAAATTACAAGGTCCACAAAAAGCTAAGATGATTTTGAAAAGGAAGAGCAGAGGGGGTTGTAGTCTGTTGGCTGTTGGACTAGGAGGCCGCATTCCTAAAGGCAGTGTAATATTTGTACAGGAGCAGGAAAATTGGGGAACTGAGCAGAAGAGAGAATTGTATTTACATGGGACTGTCATGGGATAACAATGGCAGCAGAAAGCCGTGGGAAAAGACCAGGTGGTTCAGACAATGGGGCCAAGAAAAGTGTTTACTGCAGAGAAAGGAAGCTGGGTGTCTACCTGGCAGCTCACATGGAGAAGGGCTCAAGATGGATGAAATCCAAAATGTGAAAGGAAAAGCTCTAAAGCCAGTGGGAGGAGGCTCAGGAGGATGCCTCGTGATGGGACGGTGAGGAAATGGTCTTCCCAAACAGCCTCGATCATAATGTAACTTGTTCAAAATTAGGGAGGGCTTTTTTTCCTCAATAAAAGATGAGAAAGAGAAGAAGATAAAGAAAATTTGGGGAGAAAATATTTGTGATGTCTAACACTTGCACAAAAAATTAATACCTGGAAAAAGAAAAATTTTCTGAAAATTGAGAAGAAAAAGCTAGACAACCCGGACACAATGCAGGGAAGGGAAAGAAGATCAGCAGATGTCTAAAGAAGAGACCTGAATGGCTGACAAGTATGCAGCGTGATGTCCAGATCCCAGTCATCAGGAAAGCACAAGGAAAGCAGCAGTTAGATGCCTCTAGGGTCCTGTCAAGGGGCAAAACAGAGGGGAGGACGATGCCAGGTGTTTGCGGGGAAGTGTGTCGATCGGCCGCTTCCAGAATGTCAAAGGCATTCTGGAAGTTTCTGGCAATACCTCGAGACAATCCACATACCGAGGCTCGTGCTCTTGTGAGCTCACAGCTGGGTATCAAGCCCAGAAGATCCACTTGCAGGTGAGTAGCCATATTCCTGTGACCACAGGGAGGTGGGAGATTGCTGGCATCCCCAGGGGAGTGGATGAGCAAAATGTGATCAATTCACATCTTGGAAAAATATGCAGGTGTGAAAAGCAATGGGCCAGACACACACACAGTGACACAGCCGGCCCACCAGCCCAAGTTCTGGGTGAAATAACTAAGATTCAGAGCAAGGCACAGAGGACAGCACTGGTTGGGCTGATGAAACACACATATGCACGGAATGACATGACACACCTGACAGGATGAAGTGTATCTAATAATATCTGCTAGAAACAGAATGGGCTCCCATGGGCCTTGCATGGATGGACTGGTGGGATATCATTAACCTCTCCCTACACCTGAGACAAAAAGTGAAAGTCACAATACAAATGTGGTTTACATGAACGTGTATGCCAGAATTTATTATGCATGTGTAAAAATGTGATAGTTTATATATACATCCATAACTGATTTGAACATACAATGAAAACAAGATCCTACCTACGGAATCAGCTAATATTATGCTCCTGTATCAGGCAGCCCTTAAGCTGTCCCAAAAGGATTTCCGATTCCTGGCGTTCACTCCCTGTTTGACCTCCTACCCCTGAGTGCGAGGGACCTGAGCTTGCTTCTATTGCACAGAGGATGGCGGAGTGATGGAAAGTCACTTCTGAGAGTAAGCCACAAAAGACTGCAGCTTTGATCCTGGGTAACCTCTCTCTCTCTCCCTAGCTCCCTATGAGGGAGGCCAGCTGCCATGCTGTGAGCTGCCCCATGGAGAGGCCCATAGGCAAGGAACTGAGGCCTTCAGCCAACACCACCCAGGGACTGCATCCTGCTGCCAGCACATGAGTGCTCATGGGAACCAATCCTCCCCAGTCAGACCTCCAGATGAGACAGCAGCCCTGGCCTGCAGTTCCCCTGCAGCTCTATGACAGACCCAGAGCCAGAGGCACCCAGGCATGCAGCACTCAGATTCCTCAACTACAGAAACTAGGAGAGAAGACATGTTGGTGTCTTCAAGACACTGAGTTTTAGGATAATGGGCTATGCTGCAGGAGATAACCAATGCTGAGGGCTGGGAATCCACTTGACAAAAAATTCCTAAAGATAATAAGATAAATAACAATCAAACGAAAAATGGACCAAGGGCAAAATGAGAAAGTCAAGTGGCCAAAACCCATTCCCTAAATCCATCCCTACCAAAATACAAAAACCCAACTGTATGAAAGATGCTACACCTGAATAAAATAGAAAATATGTAAGCCAAAAAAGATGAGATATGCTATGCCAGTGAGATCGGGAAGTAGTGAAATCATCAGGGTTGGAGAGGCCTGGGAGGTTTCCAGCCTCCTGCTGCTGATGGGACTGTAACCTGGGGTAACCTTTCTGAAGGGCAATTTGGCAGCACTGTATCCAATCAATATGGAGGGTGTTCCCACCCTTTGATCCAGTACCCCACTTCTGGGAGTTTCCCTATGGTAATTAGGGTACAAGGAGCAAACATGATACACAGGACAGTCCCCGTGGGTTGTTTAGGGAGGGAAGAACTGGAGGCCTCCTAACTGTCACCCGACAGGGCTGGCTCAGACGTCCACATCAGCCTGCACCCTTGGGGGCTCAGCAGCCTTTTGAAGACTTAGTTGACCAGGAATATGTCCAGGGACCTTATGAGAAAAGATGTGCACACCTCAGACTATCCTGAACAGCATGGGCCCACTGCTGAAAAAATCATGTATGCCTGTGGAAGTGTGTGTGTGCACACGTGTGTGTGCATGTGTGTGTGTTCACGGGTGCAGAAAAACAGCCAGTATCTCTAACAGGTGGAATCATGAAACTTTTCATTCTCTACCTTAGCATGTACTATTTTCTATAATCAGAAAAAAATTCTTAAGAGTTTTACAGGTTAGACAACATAACATATACCATTATAATTCTGCACACAGTCACGTAATCCACGCTTTTCCTGGCCTCTTCATGAAATACCAAAGCACTGTAAAATGATAATAGTAATAGTAAGAGCAATCATAGCATTATATAATTGGCTAGTTGCAGGCCTGGACACACATGGATCACCTGGAGGTGCACAAAGGCACAAGCCCTCTGGGGAGCACCAGGCTTCCAGGGGTCCATCCTTCATTTAGAGGTCAAAGTCATCACACCATGTTCTGCTCTCTAAATAACCATGAGCCTTTAGAGGAGCTCTGCGTTCAGTGTTGGTCCACACAACAGAGCCGCCACTGGGCTCTGAACACTGCGGCCCCGGCATCGCTGTTGTCTTATAATCGCCACAGACCATTGCAGGGTCCCGCCCGGCACCATCACCGAATGTCCTCTGTGTTCACTCTCATCACAGAGGGGTGTCTGATTCCAACGGAGTAACATTTGTTAAACTGAACCAAATTAGAGCCATCTCCTTCTCTAATAAATTGTTATCGTCATGAGGGCAGATCAAAGTTGGCAGCAACAGAGAAAATCTATTTATATTGTTCTCCATTTAATTGGCTTTTTTGGGTTAAGAGCACTTAGAGGAAGAAAAAAGTCCCTATAGATCATTTAAATTATGACATTGTGAAAGTCAGGGGTGTCATCCTGAAATTGAAATGTAAACATATAAGTGTATACTGTTTGAATAAAAAAATTTATATAACTACTTTAAACATACATTTTCATTTTACAAAGAGCCTTAGTGTGTGTGTGTATATATATACACACACACACACACACTTAGATTATATATATGTATAATCTAAGGATATAGATATACATAATTACATATATATAAAAAATATATATATAATATGAACACTGTAGCTCAACACCATAGCTTATATATATAAGCCTTAGATTATATAAATATGTATAGATTAGAATATTTAGATATAAATATATAAAATATAGATTATGTTCATATACATATATATAAAGAACCCAGCCTTATAATATTTTGGTGGACTCTGACATCTCTGAAGTTTATGGAAAATCCCTCAACTCATGAAGCATCTGGAATGGATTGGCCTGGGTGCCTGAGCATGGAAATGATGCTTTGTGTTACCTGCCCAGCTGTGCATCTGGACACATGAAGATAACAATTGATCTGGAGAAGACGCAGCCAAAGCTCAGGCAGATTTGCTGCCCTCCATCAATGCTGGTGGAGGAAACCAAGTCGGCCCTGCTCTTGCAGAGTTCAAGATTCCAAGGAGGCAAGAGACAGGAGGCTGACCAAACAAGAAGAACGTGAAGAGATGCAGAGGCGGCGGGCTGGTTGCACGCACAAGTCTGTCAGCCTCTGCAGGAATCATGAAGAAGGCCATTCTACCCTCTTCTCAAGTCTTGTGGCAGACCGGTGGTGATAATTGAGGATATTTTAATGAATTTGTCTACTTCTGAGTAAAACAAGAATGCACGTAAAGTGCACATGATGGAACATAACTGTTCTCTGATGCGCCTTGTGACTGGTCTGGTGTATCCCCCAAACAAGCACTCTGGTAGGTGCTTGTTTCAAACAATTTGATCAATAAAATTAACAACTAATAATCATTTCCGGAAGTAACTATAAGTTAACTGAGTAAAATTCTCCTAAGAAGTAGAATTGAAGGCTTTCAGAAAGCATCTTCCATCTAAATTTGGTAAAACATTTAAAATGATGAAAATGGTGATTAAGAAAAAGCATCAACTTGGTACATCAGCATCAAATCCAATGGAATGAAAAGATTCCCCATGATCATTTCAGCCTCAGCTCCTCACTGGAGAGCCACCTTCAAGTTTCACTGATGCTCCAGGCGGCTGTTTGAAATAAGGATCCACCAGTCAGCCCGTGTCTGTTGTCCCGCCTGAGTGTCTGCACTGCCTGCCTGACTCCACCCCTCCACACTCTCACTTTGCCGGTTGCCCTCTTTCTCTGTCCTCAGGCCAGTGCACACAGCAGGAGCATCCCTTCACCCACCCCGCGCCCCTGCTCCAGCTCCAGGGAGGATGACCGGCTTCCCTGAGCAGTTAGCAGTGGTGAGGCGATGCTCCAAACCAGAGCGAGGGAACAGGGCAGGGGGCTCGCTCAACCAGGACAAGGCATTTTCAAGACAGCAGTGGCTGGAAAGGAAGGAGAGAAAGGAACACTGTTAACCTTGGACACATGCAGAGGAGCAGCATGAGAACAGGGACGGGGGAGGTTTATAGAGACGGTGAAAGGTAAAGTGAGACAAAAAATAGTGTCATCCAGGGATCACAGGGAAATGGGAAAAGTGCCAAAGAAGATGGATCGAGTCCCTGTTCATTGATCTGGATGAGAGCAAGGAGAGAGGCCCAGCAGACAAGGCAGGAAGAATCCTGAAGGCGGAGGGAAAAGTCAGGCGTAAGAGATAAAGGCGATACAGTGATCTGAAAAAGGAAGAAAGAAAAAATTCTGGGACAGCTAAGAAAAACAGATAAACCTGCAAAACCTAAAGTTTGTGAGGAGGAATGTGTCGATGCTGCAGGAACAAAGGGGGATGGGAAGGAACACAGTCTGGGGGGCGCGGGTGGAGAGGCTGGGGCGGTGGGGCCCGCAGGGCAGAGACCCCCGGCAAAGACAAACAGGAGGACATCTGAGAGGCAAAAGCTGCAGGAAAGAAGACAAATGAACAAACTCATACGTGCTTGGAAAGCAAGGCTCTCCTGTGGGCTGAGCTGTGTCCTCTCAAATTCCTATGCTGAAGTCCCAGCCCTCAGCACCTCAGAACGAGACTGTATTTGGAAATAGAAATCTTTATAGAGATAATTACCTTAAAATGAGGTAATCAGGTTGGGGCCTAATCCAATAGGACTGGTGTCCCTCTAGGAAGAGGAAATTCAGACACACGTAGAGGAGACAGATCCTGTGAGGACCCAGGGAGAAGATGATGTCTACAAGCCAAGCAGCAGCCTCGGGATCCAGCCCTGCCCACACCTGGATCTCAGACTTCCCCTCTCCAGGAAGTCTGCGAGAGAATGCATTTCTGTCGTTGAAGCCCCCAGCCTGTGGGGACTTTGTTTTAGCAGCTCTCAAATAATGTAGGATAATGCAGGCTCCAAGAATAAAAGTCACAGCTGAATGGAAGGAGGAAAGGGGAGGAGAGGGAGGGAGAGAGAGCAGGGAGGGAGGGAGGCAGAGAGAGACAGAGAGATTGTGGGAAGAGAATGAATTTACACAGTAGCATAGAAATCTTCAATCAGGGAAGGACTACAATGAAATAAAAGAAAAGATGTTTACAGAGAAGTTATTTAAATGACACCCCTAACATTAAGTTACTTAACAAAATAAACAGCAAAGCCTCATGTGCCGGGTGACAGTCCCAGGCCCAGAACAGTGAGCAGCCTCCTCCATTTAGTGCCTCTTGACTCAAAATACAAACCTCTCTCAAACGTCCTGCTGGTGTGTTTTCTGGCGAATGGTATGATGACATTTCAAGGGCACGTGATTACAAACAAAACCCCATAAAGCTTATTCTCACGTACTAAAACACTCTGACCAATAAATTCAGTGTTTAGAGAAAGATAATTCACATGATGTATGTAGGGCCGGAGTGACATGCCTTTGGCAGTCAGCATCACCAGAAAGCCTTTTGACGGCCCTGGCTTTGTGGCTAAAAATGTCCACTTTCCTGACACTGCAGTTAAGGTGCACTCCACACCCTTCGTCTTTCTCTGATGGTTCATGATCTAGCAGTGCCTGAAGGACATCAACTCAACCTCATTCTCCGATAGGTGCTGAGCGCTTACTAGGCGCAGGGCTGGGCTGGTCCGGCAGGCCCCATGTTGCTGCCCGCCAGGGGCCACACTGCCCAGCCCCACCTGGGGGAGCGTCCAGCCCCAGATTGGGAGACAGGACACAGCCCCCCAGGAGGCCCACGGGCCACAGCCAGCTGCAGGTGGCCTGCTCTCAGGTGGGGAAGGGGAGAGGCTGTGGGAGGAGGCAGATGGGTTGGGGGGACTCCAACAGGACACCTGGCCTTGGGGTGTGAGGGGCTCGTGAGCAGCTCACACTTCCTGAGTGCTGAGCAGTTCGCTCCCCATGATGGCTGCCTGGTGCTGACAAGGACTGGAGGTGACCCTGGTTCCAGTTTTTGGAAGAGGAAACAGGGAGGGGAAGAAGTGGCTAGTTCCACCGTGAAGACGCTGGGCGCTGCATCGCCGTGGCTGCCGAGTCAGTGGGGAGGCCTCAGCCTCTCCATGCCTCCCCGCACTGCTCAGGGCCCTGGGAGGGTGGCAGGGGCAGAGGGAAGGAAGAGGGAGGGGCAGGAAGGGAGGATAGAGGGTGCAAGGGGAGTGTGAGGGGAGGGAGGTCGCCTGGGGCCCCTGGGCAGCAGAGGGAGACAGGCTGGTGTCGGGGGAAGGAAGGGAGCAAATACACTGAGAGGAGAAAGTGGAAACGCTTTGCGCGGGGTAAAAAGCAAACGTGGAAATGCAGAAATGGCGAGGAGTCCAGGTTCCGTCCTCACGGAGGCAGGTTTAAGGTGAGGCAGCAGCTCTTCTGCTGCGCCCTGGAGCTGGCCTCCGGAAGCCTAGACCATCAGGGTCCATTTCCAGCAGCGATTCCCACGCAGGAAGTGAGCGAGGGGTCATCCCGGAGGGCTCTTTCCTTTCCAGGACACAGAGCAGCTGTGTCTGAATTGCTGGGGGCGGAGAGGGGCACCCGAAGCATCCCAGAGCCCCCCCAAGAGTCCCTGTTGAAACGAGGTGCAAAGCGCCCTCCACCCCCAGGCACTGGGGAGTGGAAACCGAGGTTGAGAACCACTGGATCCTGAGATTGGGTCTTGGAGAAAATTACTTTTTGCTCATCTCCCAGTTTTCTGTTATGAAATTAAAATATTCACTTCTATTTAGACTCAGCCTCATTACTGTCTGCCACTTCACTTGGCTCTGCAATCCATTAAGACAAAGTTTAAGAAAACTAAATGTTTTCCAGCTCTGTTTCCTAACTCTGCTTAATTATGTAATTCTAAATATTTGTTGTTGCTTTTAAAGGTCTAAGAAAACTAAAATGCTGACTGTGCGTGGTGGCTCATGCTTGTTATCCCAGCACTTTGGGAGGCTAAGGATGGTAGATCACCTGAGGTCAAAAGTTTGAGACCAGCCTGGCCAATGTGGTGAAACCCCATCTCTACTAAAAATACAAAAATTAGCCATGCATGGTGGCGCACACCTGTGGTCCCAGATACTCGGGAGGCTGAGGCTTGAAAATTGCTTAAAGCCAGGAGGCAGAGGTTGCAATGAGCCGAGATTGTGCACTGCACTCCAGTCTGGTTGGCAGAGTGAGACTCAGTCTCAAAAAAAAAAAAAAAGAATAAAAACTAAAATGCTAGTTATAGTTAAAAAGTGCCTGAGCCTGGCGACAGTGCCTCTGTAGTCATACATGAGGGTGCTATTGGTAATCCATTGAATTGTAGCTTCTTATCAAGGGACCAGCACAGATGGCCCTGCAGAGCTACGAATGCTGTTGACTGCAAGAGGTTAAAATACCCGGAGCAGAAATTAGCTGCACTCTAAGTCCAAATGAATCTCTATTTTTGAAACGTCATTAAGGCATTTAAAATTCTACTGAGGGTGACCTGAGGCACCCGGTGTCACCCACCATTGAAGCCCAGAGAAGGCAGACACGGCCCTCCCTGCTGCCCCTTTCAGGCCTGCTGGCTGCCAGCATGTTACTGGCTCTGAGCGCCGTAAGTCATCTCCTTGTTTTTTCTTTCCAACCTCCAGAAACTGTTCAAGTTCCTCTAATTAAGAAGTGCAGCTAGCAGGGGCCAAGAACCCTCAACTACAAGGCAGGGAAATCAGCTACTTCTGATAAAGACCTTCAGAACCTAATCAGACACAGGAACAAACAAAACCACAAGGTATGTGCTATGATTCTATGGGAATGCACTGGGAGCTATTTCCCGTTCCTTTTCGACTTGTGAGACATCTTGTCATCTTGAATTTGGAATTGTTTTTTGATATGGGATTGTAAATCTTTTGTAGTTTCATTGTTCCTACTGCAGGACCTAAAACACTCATGTATTGGGAAGATAATTTTCTCTGAGTGGTTAGCAGGTGCCAAATGTAGCTCAAAACATCACTCAACAGCTCAAAAGCATCACTGAGGTCTTGGTTTACAACTGACCTTGTTTGCTAGGCCTGTTTCCCAATTCTACTTAATTACGTAATTCTCAATATTTGTGTTTGTGTTTTTAAAAAAGCCCTTAGAAGACAGGAGAATCACTTGAACCCGGGAGGCAGAGGATGCAGTGAGCTGAGATCACGCCATTGCACTCCAGCCTGGGCAAAAAGAGTGAAACTCTGTCTCAAATTAAAAAAAAAATCTCTTAGAATAATCTGAAACAAAAATTTGGTGCAAAATAACAGCACAGGCTGGGCGCGGTGGCTCATGCCTGTAATCCCAGCACTCTGGGAGGCCGAGGCGGGTGGATCATGAGGTCAGGAGATCGACATCATCTTGGCTAACATGGTGAAACCCCGTCTCTACTAAAAATACAAAAAATTAGCCAGGCATGGTGGCGGGCGCCTGTAGTCCCAGCTACTCGGGAGGCTGAGGCAGGAGAACGGCGTGAACCCGGGAGGCGGAGCTTGCAGTGAGCCGAGATCGCGCCACTGCACTCCAGCCTGGGCGACAGAGCAAGACTCCGCATCAAAAATAATAATAATAATAATAATAATAATAATAATAATAATAATAACAGCACAAATACAAAGCCTACCTGGGTTTCGGGAGAACTTCGGACCACGGTCTCGCTCCCGGTCCTGCTGCTCACAGAATGTGGGGAGGGGGTGGTGATCAAAAAATCAAGGGCGTTTGCAGTCTGCACCACGCAGAAAAGTGAGGCCACCACCCTGTTCCTTACTTAGCACCTTCCTTACCCAAGGCCCTGCACCAAGGACACGCCAGCCTCCTCTTCACCTGTTCATGTGACCCTCTTTTCACTGCTATCCTCCAAACTCAAATTCTTTCCCCAGCCTTTCTTTAGGATCACTGTATTATACACTTAAAATATGTTTGCAAGCTCTAGAATAAATAAAAGAATGTACTCACCCCATTTCAGGGTGAAACCTTCTAGCACAATTTGAAATATTTTTAAGAATACTACCAATCTGTAAACATCATGACTTACTAATTTAAAGGAATAGCAGGTAACAATGAAATAAATGAGACTGAAGGGAGATACAATTAAGATTGGGTGCAATGTACCAATCTTTGCTGTAATTATGTCAAGAAAATAACAACATCAAAAGAAAGGAAAAGAGTCAGTAGCGAAGAAGTGGATGATTTAGAGATGCACACTCTGAAAGCTTTTACTTATGGAAAATGCTGCCTTCCGTTTATCGTTCACTCCAACTGTGCTTGACGCCTTAGTTAATTGCACACTATTATTTTTGTTAAGACCAAACAAATTACAAATCAGCCTTTCACGCTTGGTTCAGAAGCCGGAAATGTCAGATTCCTTTTCCTGCAGCAGAAATCTTATATTTCCCTCAATCTCCCTGGGCAACTTAATCTAATGGTGATGTATGGAAGTTTCCATAGAATTCTATGGGGAAAGTCCCACAGGGATTTTGGGTGAGGCTTATTCTGCCCTAAGTGCACGCTGAGTGAGGGTGGCCTTTTTCTTCCTTGAGCCCTCCAATAGGTCGTTCTGTCAAGCCCGGCAGTTAGTGGCCTCTCATACCTGGCACTTGACAACTCCTCCTTGATGATGCTTCCACATGAGGCAGCACAGGGAAGATGCCCCCGGGCAATTCTCACTAAGCAGGAGCAGGAGGAGCTGGGCCCTGGCAGCTCCTTGAGGAGCACTGGTCTGCTTCAGCCATGCCACCCTCGGGAGCATGAGAACACAGGAACTGGCCTCACTCCTCAGTCCAGGATCCCTCTGTTGCCTGGGCTTCTGGGAAAGCTTGCATGCCCCGTCCACTGGAAAGCTGAATGCAAATCTGGGGTGGGGGCCTTGCCTTGCTCTTGCCCTTACCCTCAATGGTGGCCCTGCAGCTGCCGGCAGATCCCCCTCCTTTCTTGATACCAGGTCCCTGACTCTCAGGGTAGCCCATTGGCTGCTTTTTTCATACGCCTCCTCCCACATCTGGGTCTTGAGTCCTAGGTTGAGATTGTCTTTTCTGGTCGAGTCCTGACCAAGACCCAGTTCTGAAGTCTCGGAGCATCTTCTGGCCACAGAGACAGCATGGGGTGGTCTGAAAGGCCTGTAGAGGTTAAACGACCATCACCCTCGCTTGGGCTTGTCCAGCCTACTGGCCTTCATCATGGCCAATAAGGTCAAGTGCTGACCAACAGCTGCTGCAAAGCCTGCTGTGTTCACCTTTCCAACAAAGCTGGGGACGCCGAGGGCTGAGAGCCTGCGGCTTATCCAAATGGGACATTCGGTGGAGCTGGGAAACCAGTGGGAACCTGAGACCTCTAAACGGTGTGTGACTGGAGCCAAGGTGGGGATGGAGGGCCTTTAAGATTTTTCTCAGGATAGGGTGATCGGAATCATCTCACTAAAAGATTACGTGACAGCTAAATAATGTGTTTAACAGGAGCAAAAAGGAGACATAAATAAATATGAACAAATGGTCTGAGCACTGTAGGGCAGGTCTGTTTCTATTTGCTGATATTACAAACCTAGATCAGTAGTTATGGCAACACCACCCAGGCCCAGGAACTGATTTAGATATCATTGCAGGCTCCATTTCCACATAAAGGATAATATTCCTTCCTAGAATGATATGCCGGCGGGGGGGGGTGGTGGGTGCTGAAAAACACTGGGGATAGGAGGATGCTTTCTGCCTATAATCATCTCAGATGAGGACATTTCAATATTTCTAAACTATGGGAAAATCACTGGGAATACAATAAAAACAGCGTAGAAATCCTGGAGGATCAGTTAGCTGTATCCCACACTCTGTCCCATGAGAATGCAGAGTCTACCCACTTAAGTCTTCAGATTGGGGGAGAACCCTAGAGATAGCTGGTCAGTCTCTTCCCAAATGCAGAAAGCCTCACCCTAGATTTTGGGTCAATGCTCAAGGCCTCAGTTGACTGACCAGTTAAGAGAATGTGAAGCAGGCATTGGTATTCCACTGTTGAATAGCCTCCAATTGCAGTAAGACCATATGTCATATCACAGGTGTTTCTGAGAAACTTGGCTAGTCCTGCAGGTCGAATATTTCAGCTAGGTTTCTCTTAAATTCTACTAAAGAAAGGATCTTTCGTAAAAGTATTAATATTAGAAAGGATCCATGTAATTGACTACAGGGAAATTCTCTTTCAGTTGTACTGAAACAGTTGATGTTCATTCTGTGTGACTTGTGATAATTGCTGGGGTCCACAGCTTTTTACAAATTTTAAAATTTGATTTATGAACCGGTTTTTCACCTTGAAACAAAATGGTAGCCAAGAAGTTTTCAAGTGGGCATTGCATTCTGTAACAAAGAATGAATATCAACAACATTTAATGGCTAACAAGGACTTTTGATGTGCATTTAGGGAGCACAGAGGTAAATGTTTTAAATAAGAATATTCTTCTACATAATTTTCTAACTGAACGCCAGCAAAAGAAATCAAGCTAATTTAAAGATGCTACCAATGTAATGGAATTCTTATGATACCAAAGTTAAAGAGGTGAAAAAACCCAGATATCAATCTGTGCTGGAACAATAACATAATCCCATAAATCAGCCCCTGATGGTGCAAAATCATTTGATGATGGCATGTCAGCAAAGGCAACAGCAAGCGTCCACAGCAGTAGATTTATGAGGGCAAAAAGGAGGCTCTTCTGAGTTTCCTGTGAATCTCTGTAAAAACACAGTCATGGACGGAAACACCCGAGGCACCTGGAGGTGAATATTGCCATGAAACACTCATCATTATGAAAGCAGATATCTGTGTGCATTGGAGGCTGCTGTGTCTTGGCCATACATTTCTGTGCATTTAATTCAATAAATCTCCTTCTTCTTTAGAAGCAGGAACATCTATTGATCACCTTACCTATGCAAGGAACACGTGTCATCATTTCCTTTGATCCTCATGATTCATGTGAGCAGTTGGGTTTATGCTCCTTGCCTTTAGGGGAGGCATCTGATGCTCAGGGAGGTGGGTGCCTGCCCAGGAGTGAGCCACACTCAGAAGGGGTAAGGCGCTGGAGCCTTGCCTCTGCCTGCAGATCTCCAGCTTTATCCCAGCCCCACCCACCAATAACACCAGAGAACTGAGACACCTGTTGGGCTCCTAAATCTTGATCCCAGTTGCTCTGGCCCTGAGCTGCAGAATAAGGTTTAGGATCTTTCGCAAGACAGCCATCACCACCTAGAGCCACACACTACCTCGAGTTCTTAACCTGGGGCCCATGCACTCCTCCGGGTATATATATTTGGATGGGAAAAATGTCTCCATTTTCACTAACTTTGAACTGCAATTCAGCACTTCCTATAATTAGGATTGAAAGAAACCACAGCAGTATTAGCAATGCCTTGGCTTTGTCACCAATAGGCAAATGTTTTAAAATCGCATTACAGTTGTGATATTGTTGTAGATATTTTGAAATGTCATTGATATTCATTATTGTCAGATTAGGAGAGTGTTAGACCTGCCTCTAGATCTTAATATTTAATGTGTTAATAAAGTGCTTTTTAATTTATTTTAGTTCATCATGTTTTAAAAACATGTTCTGATAACTGTATTTAAATATAATTGGCTTCCTTTGAAATCCTATGCATTTTGTTTTGTGCAACGAAAGACGTTATTCTGGGGAGGAGTCTGCAGGTGTCCCCAGACACCTCGAGGCCATGCAGTCCTCCAGGTGGCTTCGAGGGGTTTGGGGCAGCAGGAAGGGACTCCTGTGGTTGGTCACCTGTTTCTCTTTGACCGATCATCAAGAATAACCAAGAGCCCTCTATCTCTCTTATGAAAAGGCAGATGCCAGGATACCCTCTTAAATGAAATTACTAATAAAATAAGCACTTTAATTCAATTCAGTTCCAACTCACTTTTTATTAGATCAGTTTTATTTGTGACTTACGGTAATGTCCTTTAAGTGTTGTGAAATTTTTATCTTTATAGTTAGAGTAGCAGTCTTGTATGAGTTCTCTAAGATAATGATGTTTCATAGGGTACATTATGAAAGAGATCAAAGGAAGTCAGCAGGGCTCTGGAGGGGTGGGGTCACAGCCACCAGTCTCTGCAGCTCTCCTGCATTAGTTTTAGGCATTGTTCACATTGGATGAAGGCACTTCCCCTGGAGGATCCTAACCCGCTACTGTGGACAAGGCCCCTGGCTTTGCTGTGCTCTTCTCTCCCACCCAACCTGGAGGAGGAAGGCTCCCACCCGAGAGGTGCTGTCAGACGCAGGCACATGTGCGCTGCAGGAGAGGGCTCTGATAAAGAACAGCCTCCTTGCACAAAGCCAGGTTAAATACATTATGATTCATTTAGTATTTTGATGACTCTTAAAAAGTTACATTTTAAAGGCTTCTAATACTCAACTAGTTACAGTTAATTTAAGCTTGTAACTCACTCAATTCTGGTGAAGTTTCCACTATGGTATTTTTATTTTTCCTTGGCTGAGAAGCAGAGTTGAGTAGCATATGTCACTAATCATGAGGGACTCCAGCACAAATTAATCCTAGCAGCAATTGATCTTTACTTGGTATAGTTATATCCAATTCCTGACAGACATCTTACGGGAAGCAATATGGGCACCCAATCTGACACTAAGTAATCACCCTAATACATACATATTGATCCGTAAGGCAAAAATAATTGGTTTAATAATTTTGTGCACAAAATGTCCAAATTCATAAAATATTAATCACAGCTTTTTATTAGAACCAAAATGTAATAAGTTCTGTAACTCCATATTCTGATATTTGCAAATGTCTGATCTTCAAGATCAAAAAATGAGAATTACCCTTCAAATATTTTTCTGGAAATTTTCCCTTCAATTTCCAAGTGAGCTGAGGACAATTCAACTTTACGTGTAACTGATCCTTTACCAGACAGTATTTCCTTAGCTCCTTCATCAAAGAACTCAGTCAAACACCTCGAGAATGCCTGCCAAATACTGTGATGAAGAATTAGTATTTATTTTAGAGAAATTATTTTAAGGTAGACATTCCTTCAATCTGAGTGATTTTACCAATGTAACAATTATGTTCAAAAAGCACTTCTTTCTTGAGTTATTTTCAGAATCTCTAAAATGCCTTTCCCTTTCATATACAAAATAAATAAAGCTGTAATAATTATCTTTCTCCTACGGTTTGAAGCAATTAACACATTCATCGATTTTGCTCAATCAATACAAGGAGCTTATGATGAATCTGGGCCAATATATTTGTCCAACGTTGCTGATAATTCCGTACCATGTGTCAGACTTGATGGATGCACCATCCGTCCTCTCGTGGATTGATTCTGAGTATTGTAGGAAAACCATGCACCATGGAACTGCAGAGGCATTCCTAACATCCATATGTGCCATGAGGAACAATAATGCTACACGTGGTACTTGCCAACTAGACACCTCCTCAGGACCAGGTGGCTCTGGCACTGGACTGGTTGCCTGGTGGCAGCTCAGCTCTGTGCATGATTCAACCTCAGCAAGCCTCAGTTTCTTCCTCTGTAAAATGGGAATAACAACAGCACCTACCTCTTAGGCTGCTACAAGGATTTAATCAAATCATTCACATTAAGCATTCTGCACAGCAGCTGACCCACAGTAAGCACTTACGTTGCATCGCAAGAAGGGGCAAAATGAAGAGGATGGGGAGTCTGCTCAGGGAAACAGATCTTGTGGCAAACATCTATTTGGCACAAACAAAGTGTTGGACATTTAGCAAAGAGAAGGGGCAATACAGTTGTAATTATGTAAACTGGCAGGATAAGCACAGAAATGAACTTTTTCTAAACAATGCCGAGCTTCCTCCTCTGCAGTTCAGAGGAGGAAGTCATCGCTTTTATTGAAGGAGTGGTTGAGGAGCTGTTTGCAGAGAAGTTGGGGCATCTGGGCAGGGTTTTTAAGGATGGCCAGGGACTCACCTGGTGAAGATGGGCAAGAGGGGCTTCCAGGCAGAAGGGGCTGGTGGAAGAGGAGCCTCAGTGGGGGCTGTGGCGGATGCAGGAATGCCATCATGGCTGTACAGTGCTGGGAAACTTGAGCTCTATTTCATAAGGTTCATAACCAGATGTGATAAAGCTAGGTCTGCATTTTAGAGGAGCCATGCAGGTGGCATCAGGGAGGATGGACAGGGACAGAGAGACTGGATGGGGGCACTGCAGGAATCCAAGCAGAGGACAGGCACCCACGAGGCAGGAGCACAGGGCTGGAGAGGAAGAGAGCGGGAGAGGAGAGCCTAGCACTGAAGAATAGGAATAGAAGAGGCTCGGTGAGTGTGGCTCCCTGACCATGCCCAGCCCTGCTGGCCAGGTAAGGGGCAAGGTCGGGCAGCTTCTTCTGGCTTCTGCAGACACACCTGCCCTCATCTCACAATCCTCTGCCACCTGATTGGTCCCAAATCTGCTCTCCCAGTCCGGTGTCCTTGGTCCTCCCACTCAGCTGGTTTCCTCCCAGCCTTGTGGGATTAGCAGGCCAGGGAGAGGACCAGGGGAGGGTCGCAGACGTTACGCAGAATGGGGAAGGGTCGTCATGGGAATGCCAAGGGCAACGTCACTACAGTGCTCAGTGAATGAATGAATGATGTGTGTAACAATGAGAAAATAACTGAACAATTAAACCTTAGCTTAGCTTGCCGACTTACTGAGTAGGAAAGTGTAGACATTACTGGAAACATTTCTGCCATTACTACAACTTCTTGGTCAGTGTGGGGGCATGCCTGGCCTTTCCATTTATCAGCAATGAAACCGTATTCCAAAAAACACTGAGTGACTAATGCCCCATGTTAATGTCGAGTCTCAATCACCCTTAAGTAGAGTGTTTCCTCTAAGAACATCACTTGGAATTTCTGAAGACCCTGCTGATCCCAGGACCCCACTGTGCCCATGTCCCCACTATATACCCAGGCCACTGTCTATTGTCAGATCCATGGATATTTCCTAAATATTAACAAAAAGATACTTGTGAAGCCACTTGGCAGGTCAAAAGCAAATGTGAAGGGTTTTGTCTTCTCCCCATTAGAGGGTACGTTCCCTGTGGCAGGCACTTGATGTGTATCTGATCCCCCAATGATGCCTAGGAAGTTCCTGCATGACGGGAGGCACTCGATTCCCGTGCTGTATTAATTTGTCAGCCACGGCTCTGGAGGGTCTGCTCACACCACCCTCCGCAGCTGCGTCTCATCGAGGGTGGAGGGAATCATCCCTACATTTTCTTTTTCAGGGTTTACACTCCCTCGTAGTCTACATAAGCAGTCCAGGGAGGAAGGCTGGCTTTAGGATGGCATCTCTACAGAAGTCGGGCTTTGAAGGCGCTGAGTCAGGGTTGACCTAGGACAGGGAGTGTGAGCCAGGTGGGGTGGGGAGGTTGGGGGGATTAATTATCACCACTTCTGAAGCTCTGGGCTGTGGTTACTGGTGGGTGAGGCTGTGTCTGCCAGATGGGTGGGGAGGGAGGAGGTGGACCATGGCCAGCGTCAGGCAGCTTTTCCAACCCGGGCTGCCCATTAGAATCATGAGGAGCTCTTTGGACCAGCCTCTGTCAGGGCCTGATCCTAGACCACAAAGTCTGAGTCTTTGAGGGGACAGCCCTGGTACTGAAATAATCTGCACACTCCTCAGGGCATCTAATGTGCTGCCAGGGTTGGGAACCACTGGCAGAGAAGAAAGGACTAACACTTGTGGCCAGCCGTCCTCTCCCCTCCCGACTACATCAACACATCTAGGGCAGCAACAACCTCTGATTCTAGGAGCTCCAAAGTGGGGCTCAAAATCCCTGCCACAAGTGTCTGTTTTGTTTCCTGAACTATAAAAGCCATTTCTGCTGGTGTCTTATCTGCCTCTGACATGGTACTAGTGAGGCTGCCTTCCTTCTAAACCTGGGTGTGGACGAGTCTCTTCCTGACGATGAGAAGGGAGACACTGACCAGGTTGTGGGTGTCAGGCCTTCATTCAGACTTCAGCTTAGTGTCCACATGGGCACATTCCACTAAGAAACAGCCATGAACCTACACTGTCCTTACAGAGAAAACCCAATCTCCCCCATCGCTTAAGGGAAATCAGAAAAGTATACAAAAATACACTACAACCCTCTTCCTGCAAGTTCAGATTCTCAAAGTCTCATGGTGAAGTAAAAGTAGCTTCTACCAGGAGCTGCCCCATGCACCCCGGGCTGAGCTGCTGGAGCTCTCCAAGCGGGTGTGGGGCTATTTTTAGGATGCAGTCCTGCCTGTGTCCTCCTGCCTGCCCTACTTGATAGAAGAACAAGTAGCTATTTTTTCCTCTGAACAGTCCAGTGTATCGATACCTCAAGCTGCACAGTCATCGGTGGTGGCAATAATCTCCGTGCCCTGTACACAGTGCAGGACACAACACAGTGACTCATAAGCACGCTACCAAAAATCCACGTCTCCCTGGACGAATCAGATGGCGTTACCCACCCCTGCCAGTCACTATTTTTGCTCTAGGTTGTTCTAGCTTCCCTCCGGGTGTGCAGCCATCTCTCTGCTCAAAGCTGCGGGCAACATTCTCCATCCAGTGCCTCCCTCCGTGTGGCTTCATCTACTGCTTTTCAAACTAGCACAGCAGTTGCAGAAACAAGATGAGCAACTGGTTAAGAAATGCCTGTTTGGTTGTGTTATGGGCTGAATTGTTTCTCCTCCCTTCACCAAGGTACATGGTGAACCCCTAACCCACAGCACCTCAGAGGGTGACCTTATTTGGAGACAGGGTTTTTAAGAGGTAATTAAGTTAAAGTCAGGTCAGGAGGATGGGCCCTAATCCAATCTGACTGTGTTCTTACACGAAGAGGAGATTAGGACACAGACACACACAGAAGGAAGGTCATGTGAGGACACAGGGAGGACACAGCATCTACAAGCCAAGCAGGCAGGACTCAGGAGAAATGAGCCCTGCTGACACCTTGATCTTGGACTTCCAGGTCCTCTGTTATGGCAGCCCCAGCAACCTAATACAGGGCCTTTAAACATTTTGTGTGTTGTATGGCTGGGTGAGGTGGCTCACACCTGTAATCCCAATACTCTGGGAGGCCGAGGTGGGAGGACTGCTTGAGCCCAGGAATTTGAGACCAGCTGGGCAACATAGTGAGACCCCTATCTCTACAAAAAATAAACAAAATTAGCTGGGCAAAGTGGTGTGCACCTGTAGTCCCAACTACTTGGGAGGCTGAGATGGGAGGATTGCTTGAGCCCAGGAATTAAAGATTACAGTGAACAATGATCATGCCACTGCACTCCAGCCTGGGTGATAGAGGGGACCCTGTCTCAAAAAAAATCTCTGTGTTATAGCCGGTTAGAAGCCCACAGATTTTAGGAGCCCAACAGGCTGTTCATCTTTGTCACTCTTTCTGATGAGACTGCTGGTTTTACAGTCATAAGTAAAGTGCTATTTCTAGGCCTAGTATTTTGGAAGATGGGCTTTATGTATGTCTCTGTGTGTGTGTGTGTGTGTGTGTGCACATGTGTGTGCACTTGTGCTTCCCAGTGACACCATGGTGTGGCCCCCTCTCAGACCTAAGGTGGATTTTAGTGACATCACTGCATATCATTTCACAAAGCTGAGCTGCAGAGCCCTTTACTGTTTCCTTACACTTAGACAAGTTTCCTTTATTAAAAAACATCCAGAAACTGTCAGGCAAACAGAACTTGTCCTGAAATTGCTTTCCAATTTTAAATTCAAACAGTTAAGACTCAAGGATGCTTTAGTCCTGATGTTCTGTGAATCTTTTGCGGATGGCTGGCTGAGCAGCTCTTCTCTGTGGATAGAAAGGATTATCACAATGGTCACAGTTAATAAACGACTGCCTGGAAACAGCAAGGTGCTTGGATGGCACCTGGCCCGACTGCCATTTCCAACAGCTTTTACTCATGCTGATGAAATTTCAGAGCCTTGCCACTCATGAGCTGTTATGAGAGCATGTGGCTGTATAAACTCCACCTGACTCTGTGAAACTACAGTTTCCTCACCTGTACAACGACCATCAAAAGAGCAGAACCAGGGAGATTCAAACATCCTCAAACATCCTATGTTCTCTGCTGGCCCAGAGTTTGGCACAAGCAAGTAGGAAATGCTTCCTGCTGCTGCTGCTGCTGCAGTTATTATTACCAACACTGTGTGCATGCCGAATTGTATGGTTGGCTCTGAGGGGCCAGGAGAGGAGTGAGGAATTGTCACTCAATTGCCATTTGGTTCCCTGCCCCTGGCGATGCCTAATTAACTAAAAAGGGGACACTCAGGAGGTGAGCCACAGTGAAAGCAGGGCTCTGAGTCAGTGCACCATCAAGCAGCTTTTGGGGACCCTGCTGCTGCACACACAACTGACAGAACAAGGTCCCTGGCCAGTCACGCCATCGTCCCACGCTCCAAGCCTGGAGTGGAAGCCAGTAAACTCTGGCACTCTTCATGGCCAGCATTCCCCAATGCTGATGCTACTTTGTCTAGGTTTACAGAGTCCGAAAATGCAGTTTTTGTAGGTTAAGCTACCTACTAGGTGCAAGCACTGTGCTGGGATTACAGGCTACTTTCATTTCAAAACCAACATCTTCCAGCTTTTGAAAGGCAAAAATCTTACACTGGAGCTGTGGGTTGTATTCTTTTGGTTCAGTAACTAATAAAGGATGCAAATAATTATCTAAAAGTATACTTTTAACATTTTCACCAGTTCATTCTAAAAGTACAGAGTTTTAAAATCCAATTATAAAAAACTAAGAGTTACCTAAAAATGCCTCTAGTCAAAAGAGGGTTTAGTAATAGACAAAGGGGGAAGATATGTATATCATTATTTCTACATAGAATATATCATAGAGGAAATTTATATATTAATTTAATTTAAGACAACCAGAATTCAGACAGCAACATGCAAGAGATTTTGGTAACACAGGCCAGAGAGTCTCTTAAAAGCCTCACGAAATGACTGAATTTATCATATGATGTGATAAACCTAAGCTTTTTATTGTACACAAAACTGTTAAGCAGATATTTTTATGTTACACACAAAACTCTTAAAATTGTTTTACAATTTCTCTAGAAGTATAGAAACAGCGTATCCTCAATTCACAAAGTTCAGCTGAGCAGTGAATGTTTTCCTCTATAAAAGAAGCAAACCAGCCTTTTCTAACTCTGCAGCTTATGAAAATGCATCCTAAAAAAGAAATCCCGAGAAGTATCAGAACATAACTAGAATATAACGACTCTCCCTTTTAAAGTAATTATCGGTTTGGTAGCTGTCCCAGTTCTCCTTGAATACCTAATCAGGTATTTTGATTGCTTTCCCAAAGCATATTACCTCTAACTGAGGAAATAATTTGGTAACTACCATATGTGCTCTGAACAACCAGTAGGTAGTGAATTTGCAAAAGTACATAAAGAGACAATCAACCTCAGGTTACCTGAAACACCATCAGAATCCTTTTGTGCACAGAATCCTAAAACATTAATGACTATTCATTTCTTCCTTTCTTTCATTGCATTTTGAATATTTTATGTATGCCACACATTACCCTCTCTTAGACAGCTGTATGTTGGAAGCAGCATGAAAAAATGCAAAGAAATTGAACTTGCACTTTAAAAAGTGCTGAGATTTTGCCTCTATTTAGATGTGGAATAGACAACATAACATGACATGCTAGGTGGAGGGCAATGGGTTCAGTTAGGATTTTATCAAAGTAAGAAATGAAAAAGTTGATAATTACTTTCAATAAAGAAATCTCTCACTTGCAAACTGTATGTTAGAATCTCAATTTTAAATACAGAGAAAAGAAAATATACTTACAAGGACCCGTGTATTTTATATATTGCCCATTGCTATATTGCCGCTTGGCATATGGGCACCAAAGGAATTATTATTATACACAGCATTAATGTAGAAATAGGAAACATTTAATTTCCTGAGGTCCCTCTCTCTCTTAAAAAAAAAAATCCCCATTTCTCATTTCAAACCTTTGTTTTCTCGCATCTTTCAAAATATAGGCAGTGGTCCAGTTCATCTCTAAGATCTCTTCCAAGTCTAAAATGTTAGGACTCTGTGATCCCAGAAGGGAATACACATTCCTCTTCCCCTGATCCCCAATGTCATCTTCATTGCGAAGAATGAAAAACAATAACAGACTGTTCCAAAGAATTCTGATTAGCAATGATTCAAGAAGCAAATAACCAAGGCATTTCTGCAAAGAATTCTTCCACTTCATTTGTATAAATCCTGTTTGAAAAATAAAACTGAGATCCCCTACCCCCCATGCTTGCATTCTATCACATGAACCTTTCATCAGACTCAACATGTAACTGCAGGATGGAAAATAAACCTCTGATATTAAAGCACTAAGCCTCCCTCAGCTGAAGATGTTTTTCTAGAGTTGTTACACCTATGCTATTTCTAACTCGGGAAATGTGTGGAACCTAAACCTTAGAAAAGAAGGACTGGCAGGATGGGTCAGGAATTACCTGACCTTCTCTGCTGGAGTTAGGATGCTATTTGTTTGGAATCCCAGGGGTTCCAGCTTTAGTGAAATTGGCAGAACAAGCATTATTTGATTAGTGTGAAAGAGCCTGCAGTGAAAGTGCCAGGCAGGGAAGAAGTGATGGCTTCTGATAGGCCGCCTGTAGAAAGATCAAGCCGAGGTCATTTGGGGTCTTTTAAAGAAAACGATGATTTTTTCATAAATCTAAAAGATGCCCACACAGCAATGTAATTTTCTTAAGTAATGCTTAATATTGATTCAGGAAAACACCAGAGAACTCAACCGCAGTCGACAGCATATAATTCGAGCAGATAACACCATCACGCACTCACCCTGCTCTCAAGTACTTTGGGGTTTCTTTGCGTAAAGCTGCCATCTGATGCAATAGGTGAGAAGGCTCAGGAGAACTGTTTGGCCCTTCGTTTCGTATTTCGTTAAAATCTTTAGCCCTGATAAAGGATTTAACTGCTTGGGGCAGTGAGGTAAGGGGATGAAGAAAAAGAAGCAGGTCTGAAAGAGACCAAGACCTGGAACGTCTACCCCAGAGGTGGTGGTCCTAAGGGGTTCGGGGAAGGAAGGGGGTGCTCTGAGGGGAAAACAGGCATTGCCGTGGGGGGGGGGGGTCTGGTCTTGTCTCTTAAGGGAATGCCCAAACCACACCGCCGCCTCTCTAGAGTGAGTTCCCAAGAGCAAAATTTCCACCTTTCCAGGAGAGGCAGCCCAGAAGAAGGCAGGGGGCGGATTTACAAGCAGGCAGCTGTCCCTCCCCACGGCACCCACCTGCAGATCTCCCACCCGAGTCCCCTGCGGAGGAGCCTTGTGTGTGTGTGTGTGGGGGGGGTTGGGGAGGTGGGAGATCAGCTAGGTTGGACACTTAAATCCTGAGGTCCAGAAAAAGTTCTCACCTTCATAGAGATTATAGGGACAGGAGATTGAGGAGCAGACAAGAGAGGGGCGAGAAAAGGTGAGACGGAGGGGAAAGAAGAGTAGGGGAGCCAGGGAGGGTGGAGAAGGAAAAAATGAAAAAGGAACGGGGGTGGGAATAGATGGGGGGACAGAGAAAGGGGTGAGAGGAGAAAGAGTCCAGGAGGAAAGGGAGAGGAGGGTATGGGAGAGGGAGGCTAAGGAAGAGGGATGGAAGAGAACTATGAAGGGATGAGGAGAGAATGAGCAAGCTAGAGAGACCAGAGAGACGGCAGAGACCGATACCAGAGAGACGGGCAGAGACTGAGACCAGACGGGGACGGGAGAGACGGGACGGAAAGCAGGGGCAGGAAGAAAACGCTCAGGGAAAAGAGGTGGAGGCGCTCGGAGCATCCCCGTGGGGCGCTGGTGTAGTCAGAGCAGGGAGCGAGATGGCCGGAGGGGCCGGCGCTGGCCCTCACCACGGGGCCCGGGCGCCCGGCGGCGCTGCAGACCCGATCTCGGCCCCGCGCCCCCAGCCCCGGCGCGCTCGCCTTACCTGGCCCTTGACCAGGCTGGCTGCGAACTGGCGCATGACGGCCTCCACGGTGTAGGCGCTGGACCAGCCGCGCGGCGTGAGCAGCTCCATGCAGATGGCGCCGCCGTCCAGCACGTAGCCGTTCTCCAGGCGCGGGCTGAGCACCCGCATGAAGGGCGGCGAGAAGGGGAAGTTGTCGGGGAAGGTGAGGTTGAGCAGGATGAACTCGGTGTTGGTCTCCTTCATGTCCTGCCACAGCACCGAGTCCTTGTCCACCTGGTGCAGCTTCACGTTCCAGTCGAACAGGCTCTCGTCCACCAGCTCCACGGAGATGAAGCGGTCGCTAAGGCGCGCGATGTCCTGCAGCTCCTTCATGAGCCGCCGGCTGCGCACCTGCGTGCAGTGTTGCTGGCGCGCCGCGGGGACCAGGCTGCCGCCCGCCGCCGCCGCCACCGCCGGGCCCGGCCCCGCCCTGGCGCCCGCTGCCCTCTCGCGGGGGCCCCCGGCCCCCGCCGCAGCCGCCGCCGCCGCCGCCGCAGCCGCCGGCGCCTTGTCGCGCGGGGCCAGCTCCGCCGCGCGCTTGCCCTTTCCCTTGCCGGGTCCCGGGCTGGCGTCGCCCGCGCCCCCGGGGTGCTGCTGCTGCTGCCACTGTGTGGTGTGTGTGTGCGAGCGTGGTGTGTGTGCATGTGATGTGTGAGTGTGGTGTGTGGTGTGTATGTATGTATGGTGTGAGTGTGGTGTGGTGTGTGTGTGAGTGTAGTGTGTGTAGTGTGTGGTGTTTGCATGGTGTGTGTGAGCATAGTGTATGAGTGTGTCGTGTGTGAATGTGTGATGTGTGTGTGGTGTGTGTGGGGTGTGAGTATGGTGTATGAGTGTGTGGTGTGTGTGCATGTGTGTGCTTGTGTGATGTGTGAATGTGTGATATGTGTGGTGTGTGTGTGGGGTGTGTGAGCGTGGTGTATGAGTGTGTGATATGTGTGTGCGTGTATGTGGTGTTAGTGTGTGAGTGTGTGGTGTGTGACTGGGATGTGGTGTGAGGGTGTGGTGTGTGTGTGCTGTGTATGTAATGTGTGTATGGTGTGTGTGAGAGTGATGTGTGAGTGTGTGAGGGTGTTTTGTGTGTGGTGTGAGGGTGATGTGTGTGGTGTGTGTGTGTGGTGTGTGTGTGGTGTGTGTGAGTAGTGTGTGTAATTGTGTGTAGTGTGTGGTGTGTGTGGTGTGTTGTGTGTGAGCGTGGTGTGTGTGCTTTGTGTGAATGTGTGGTGTCTGAGTGTGGTGTGTGGTGTGTGTGGTGTTTGCATGGTGTATGTGAGCATAGTGTATGAGTGTGTAGTGTGTGAATGTGTGGTGTGTGTGGTATGTGTCGTGTGTGTGGTGTATGAGTGTGTGGTGTGTGTGTAGTGTGTGTGCATGTGTGTGCTTGTGTGTGGTGTGTGAATGCATGATATGTGTGGTGTGTGTGGGGGTGTGTGAGCGTGGTGTATGAGTGTGTGGTGTGTGTGTAGTGTGTGCGTGTGTGTGGTGTTTGTGTGTGTGTGGTGTGTGACTGATGTGGTGTGTGTGTGGTGTGTTTGTGGTGTGTGTGTGAGGGTGTGTGTGGTGTATGAGTGTGTGGGAATGTGTGTAGTGTGTGCGTGTGTGCGGTGTGTGTGATGTGTGTGTGATGTGTGTGGTATGAGTGTAATGTTTGTGGTGTGTGTGTGATGTGTGTGGTGTGTGGTGTGTGTGTGCAGTGTGTGTGTGGTGTGTCTGTGTGTGATGTGTGTGGTGTGTGAGTGTGTGTGGTGTGTGGTGTGTGAGTGTGTGTGGTGTGTGGTGTGTGAGTGTGTGTGGTGTGTGGTGTGTGAGTGTGTGTGGTGTGTGGTGTGTGTGTGCGGTGTGTGGTGTGTGTGAGTGTGTGAGTGTGTGTGTGGTGTGTGGTGTGTGTACGGTGTGTGGTGTGTGTGTGTGTGTGTGTGCGGTGTGTGGTGAGTGTGTGAGTGTGTGGTGTGTCTGTGAGTGTGTGATGTGTGGTGTGTGTGTGAGTGTGTGAGTGTGTGGTGTGTCTGTGAGTGTGTGATGTGTGTGGTGTGTGTGGTGTGTGTGTGCGGCCGAGCTGTCCAGCGGTGAGGCTGTAGTGGTGGCGAAGTACAGGAGAGATTACGCCGGAAGCCTGCATGGTTTAGGATTGTAAACCTTGCTGCCGCTGCTGCTGGTGGTTTGGCTTTGAACTTGAGGAGCGTCCGAGTTCTCCAGGAAAGCCTTTCACTCTGGGTGCCGTCATGGTGACTTCTTGTTTTTAACTTCTTTTACCATTTTTACCTTTTCTAAGTTATTAGAAATTTTCACTGAAAAATAACTCTTCTGGCCACTGTGGAAACAGTTTCAGGCCTGAAAGGTTTGGGGTCGGGTGATTTGGGGTTGTCTGCGGGAGAGCCAGTTGACAGCGTGAGCTAAAAGAGTAGGGGTGCCTGCACGCCTGGGTCCCCGAGAGGCGACCGGCAGACGAGTGCGTCTGCAGAGGGCTGGGGGCCTGTGCTCTCAGGTGGGTGCCCTGGCAGTGGGAATCTCAGCTGCGACGGGAGGGCCTATTTGCCCTGGTTTCATGGTTGATTTTGTTTTGTTTTGAGACCTTGCTCTATCCAGCTGTTTTGTCTGTTTGTTTGTTTGTGTTTTTTGTTTGTTTTTATATGTATGTATGTATTTTTAAGATAAGGCGAGAAGGATGACAGTGTCTGTCTGTAAAGTCCTGGGAGCTCATCTAACATGAGGGACCGGGCAGGTCGGCAGGCTCTACATGTTTGATTTAACTTCCACAGAGGCCCTCTCAGATTTCATCTGACCCCTTTCACTGGTGTAGAAACGGAGTCTCAGGGAGGCCCAGCAGCTTCCCCAGCTCAACCACGTGCTGGGAGGCCCAGCTGGGGTCCACACCCAGCGGGGACCCCCTGTGCCAGCTCCGTGCTTCTCTACCTGATGCCCCACGCCGGCTGCATTGCTGGGTCTCAGACTCAGTTGCGGTCTCTGTCCTGCCCTGGGAGGTGAGAAAACGTCTCCTGGGCGTGATTGTCCGGATTTCAGAACCCACTGACCTGGGCCGAGGCTTCAGAAACTCTTTGTAGCAGTGACAGCAACTGATCCCACTTGAAGGACACACGTCATCAGATGTGGTTTGGGAGTGGTTTAGCTGAAATTGCATGCAGCTTTCTGTGAGGCCTCTGTTTCTGAATGGAGTTATTGCTAGGGAGATCAAATACCTTACTGTCTGGTTGTAGATTTTTTTTTTGTAAGTGGAAGGATCACAATTAATACTGATGCTGGGTCTGGGCTCACGCCTGTAATCCTAGCACTTCGGGAGGCCAAGGTGGGCAGATCACTTGAGGTCAGGAGTTTGAGACCAGCCTGGCCAACATGGTGAAACCCCATCTCTACTAGAAATACAAAAATTACCCAAGTGTGGTGGTACACACCTGTAATCCCAGCTACTTGGGAGGCTGAGGCAGGAGAATCCTGCCAGGAGGATTCTGAACCCAGGAGGTGGAGGCTGCATCGAGCTGAGATTGGGCCACTGCACTCCAGCCTGGGTGACAGAGCAAGATCCTGTCTCAAAAAAAAAAAAAAAAAAAGAAAAGAAAAGAAAAGAAAAGAAAAGAAAAGAAAAGAAACTTTTGCTGAGACAAGAGGCCAAGCCAGAACAGGCTGGCATGGAGATGGTCATCACCTCTCTTGTTCCTGTCCCTCACACTTAGAGCACCTTGGATCAACTCTTAAAAAGGCTGGAGCTAAAGGTTAGTTAAAGATTGGAAACAACCTAAATTTACAATAGGAGGGAAAGTGTTAAGTAAATCACACTGAATCCACTTAGAATATATTTTGCAGCAAGAATGTTACAGTTATCAAGATTATATCGCAAAATGGAAATATTCATGATCTACATAATAATTTTAAGTGAGAAAGTAGAGTGCAAAATTATATCCACATGGCAGCTACAACTACATATAACTATGCACAGGAAAAAAGACTAGAAGGAGAAATTTTGAATGATGTTATCACTATTATCATGTTAGTACAGGTAGAACATCTCAATTTCGTCCTTCCTCAGTTCTCCAGCCCATGGATCCAAACATTTCCTTCAGTGACAGGATGGTCAGGTCAGGGGTGGGCAGAAGGGGCTGTGTGGTTTGTAAACCCCCCTCCTTCTTCCATCTCAGAAGATTCTAGAAAGTTCTGCTTTACCCCTGGCATGAACAGATATTTACCCAGCCCAGCAGTGTGTAGAGGTTACATTGTGTTTTAGTTATTCCATTTTGATTTTCAAATATTCTAAAATGGAATGTGTACCAGTAAAAATGAAAAAAAAATTATTACCGAATGTTGTCATTTTATTGAAGATTAGACTTATAATATTGAGACAGTTGAATTAAGGGCATTTATCATAGTTACATAAAATAATTTCTAAGGACAACTGTGGGTATGTAGCTCCTGCTATGTTGTTGAGTACTGAGGGGTGGGGAAGGGGAGTGGTTAGGGAATCTGCAGACAGCCAGACACCATGTTGAGAGGAAGCCCAAGCCACTGAGGGGTGGGGAAGGGGAGTGGTTAGGGAATCTGCAGACAGCCTGCACCAGTCTAGCATGAAGGGAAGAAAGGAAGGGAGAGAGGGATGCTGGTCATCACAAGAGGCCCATCATCTGAGAATAAGTCCTATCTGCCAATGACTCCTCCATGAACATTCACCCAGTGGTCCCAGGTGCCGCTGTCTCCAGCTGCAGCTTCTATGAAGACATGAAGAGCTGTGGTTTGCCCATTTATTACCTATCTCAAAAACTGCCTCCCAGTTTTTCAGTTGGTCCTATTTCCTCATGAGCCCCAGTCTCCTAAAGTCACCAAGACATTGCCTCAAAATACCCACCCTAAATGTGTACAGGTTGTTTACTCTCCTGAACTAAGGTGTTAAGATCACTGCCAAAATTAAAAAAACACTTTCTGCTAAAATAATTCACTGCAAGGGAGCATAGCGTGGGTATGTGATGTTACAGGTCATGTGTCCTTTTTTGCCATTCACTTCCCATCACCAAGCTGGCACTTAAATGGCACTTACATATCTTGAGCGCCATCCCAAGCACTACAAATGTATGCAACCATTAAATCTTTGTGACAGCCCTATTAAGTAGGTACCGTGCTTATCCTTACTTTATAGATAAGTAAACTGAAGCAGGGAGAAGTTAAGCAACTGGCTCAAAATAATGCAGTGAACAGTCAGTGGAGCCCGAATTCAGACCCAGCTTTGGCTCCAGACAGAGCTTGTAGCCACTGCTCAAGAGCACTCACTGCATGCAGTTTGCTGTAGAGACAGCAATGAAGAGATCCTAGCCTCCTGCAGCTGGGGCGCTAGGAGGACACCTTTCTCATTCTCTAATCACTCTACAGCAAATGGCTCCAGATGCTGAAGGAAAGAGCTTGGGGATGTCAAGGAATGCCTCAGGCTCACCTCTGCATTTGCTCAAGACACACAATGGGCGCACACACATTTTTGTTGTTGAATTGAAAACCCAACCCAATATTTATTTCACAGCACAGACGTCTGAGGTCCCAGCAGTGAGTCTTGCCCAGAGTCACATAGGAGGCTGTGAGAGAGGAAGCTGGGTCCCTGGTCCTGATACCTTGTCCAAGGCTATTCTCATGGTGCCACAGTGCACAGGCTGCTGGGCCTCTGTAGGGGGAAGGGCAGAAGGGAAGGAAGAGAGGAAGGTGAAGAGGGCTCGAAAAGGGGAAGGGGTGGCAGGGCAGGAGGTCAGGCAAGTGCTGCTACCTGACATGGGTGGCGAGGACTTCTGTCATGCTTGTCGTCCTCTGGCACCGTTGGCACACCCTTCCTGTGCTTGCAGAATTTCTCTCCTAAGACAGATTGTATTTTCCAAAGATGGCCAAGCTGACTTTGATTGCACTCCTCTCATGGAAGGCTGGGCTCTATGTTCTGTGGCATTGAATCTGAGCAGTGGCTCAGACTGCTTTGACAGTGTGGGGACACATGAAAGCCATGTGACTTCCAAGACTAGGTCATTGTAGGACACTGCTTTCCTCAGCTTTCTCTCAGGATGTTTCCAGGGAGACCCAGACGCCATGGTGAGAGGAAGCCCAAGCCACATGGAGTGGCTGCATGTGTGGGTTTTCCAGCCATCAGCCCAGTTGAGGTCTTTGCAGACAGCCAGCAGCACCTGCCAGACACGTGAGTAAGTGGGTCTTCAGATGATTCTGGACCCCAGTCTTTGAGTCGTACAGCTGAGGTTCCAGTCATTATAGAGCAGAAGCAATTCATTCTCACTGTGCCCTGACTGAATTCCTCACCTACAGATACTGTCAGAGATACTGTGAGAGATCAAAGAGAATATTGCAGATTTAGATCAGGCAAGAGAAAGAAATAAAGAGCACACAAATAGGAAGAGAGGAAGTCAAACTATCCCTGTTTGCAGATGACATGATTCTATATCTAGAAAACCCCATAGTCTTGGCCCAAAACTCCTTCAGCTGATTAAACAACTTCAGCAAAGTTTCAGGATACAAAATCAATGTACAAAAATCACTAATATTCCTATACACCAACCACCATCAAGCCAAGAGCCAAATCAGGAATGCAATCCCATTCACAATTACCACAAAAAGAATGAAATGCCTAGGAATACAGCTAACCAGGAAGTGAAAGATCTCTACAATTAGAATTACAAAATGCTGCTCAGAGAAACCAGAGATAACACAAATGAAGAAACATCCCATGTTCATGGATAGGAAGAACCAGTATCATTAAAATGGTCGTACTGCTCAAAGCAATTTACAGATTCAATGCTATTCCTATCAAACTACCAATGACATTCTTTACAGAACTAAAAAAAATTATTTTAAAATTCATACGGAACCAAAAAAGAGCCTGAATAGCCAAGGCAATCCTAAGCAAAATGAACAACAGTAGTAGTATCACATTACCTGACTTCAAACTATACTACAGGGCTAGAGTATGGTACTGGTACAAAAAACTGATACATAGACCAATGGAACAGAACAAAGAGTCCAGACATAAGGCTGTACACCTATGGCCATAGGATCTTCAACAAAGCTGACAAAAACAAGCAATGGGGAAATGACTCCCTATTTAATAAATGGTGCTGGGATAACAGGCTAGCCACGTGCAGAAGATTGAAACTGAACACTTTTCTTACAGCATATATGAAAGTTAACTCAAGATGTCTTAAAGACTTAAATGTAAAACCCAAAAACTATAAAAACCTTGGAACATAACCTAGGCAATGCCATTCTGGTCATAGGAAAATTAAGAACTTCTGCAGAACAAAGGAACTATCAACAGAGTAAATAGACAACCTACAGAATGGGAGAAAATATATGCAAACTATGTATCTGACAAAGGTCTAATATTCAGCATCTATAAGGAACTTAAACAAATCTACAAGAGAAAAACAACCCCATTAAAAAGTGGGCAAAGGACATGAACAAACACTTTTCAAAAGAGATATAGATGCAGCCAACAGCCATATGAGAAGCTCAACGTCACTGATCATTAGTGAACTGCAAATCAAAACCACAATCAGACAACATCTCACACCAATCAGAATGGCTATTATTAAAAAGTCAAAAAAATAACATGTTGGCTAGGTTGTGAAGAAAAAGGAACACATACACTATTGGTGGGAGTGTAAATTAGTTCAACCATTGTGGAAAGCAGTATGGTGATTCCTCAGAGAGCTAAAAACAGAACTACCATTCAACCCAGCAATCCCATTACTGGGTATATATCCAGAGGAATATAAATAATTCTACCATAAAGACACATGCATGCAAATGTTCATTGCAGCACTATTCACAATAGCAAAGACATAGAATCAACCTAAGATGCCCATCTATGACAGATTGCATAAAGAAAATGTACATATACACCAAGGAATACTATGAAGCCATAACAAAGAATGAGGTCATGTCCTTTGCAGGAACATGGATGGAGCTGGAGGCCATTATCCTGAGCAAACTAACACAGGAACAGAAAACCAAATACCGCATGTTCTCACTTTTGGGTGGGAGCTAAATGGTGAGAACAGATGGACACAAAGAAGGGAACAACAGACACCGGGGTCTATTGGAGGGTGGAGGGTGGGAGGAGGGAGAGGAACAGAAAAAATAGCTATGGGGTGCTAGGCTTATGATATGGTTTGGCTGTTTCCCCAGCCAAATCTCAACTTGAATTGTACCTCTCAGAATTCCCACATGTTGTGGGAGGAACCCAGGGGGAGATAATTGAATCATGGGGGTCAGTCTTTTCTGTGCTGTTCTTGTGATAGTGATTAAGTCTCACAAGATCTGATGGGTTTATCAGGGGTTTCTGCTTTTGCTTCTTCCTAATTTTTCTCTTGCTGGCACCACATAAGAAGTGCCTTTCACCTCCCACAATGATTCTGAGACCTCCCCAGCCATGTGGGAGGTCCCCAGCCATAAGTCCAATTAAACCTCTTTTTCTCCCCAGTCTTGGGTATGTCTTTATCAGCAGCATGTAAATGGACTGATACAGCTTAGTACCTGGATGATGAAATAATCCGTACAACAAATCCCTGTGACACAAGTTTACCTAGATAACAAACCTGAACATGTTCCTCTGAACCTAAAATAAAAGTTAAAAAAATTTAAAAAATATACTGCTGATTTAGGCCATTATATTTTGGGGTAATTTGCAATACAGCAATAGGTAACCAACACAGCTTATCGTAATCCTTGCTTCCTTGAAGCCAGAAACTTGCTTTCTCAGACTCCCTTGCAGCTAGGCACAGGCGTGTGACCTGGTCTCAGCCCATCAGACACCCCAGAACAGATGTGTAGTCTGGAAGAGGGAAGCCCAAGGAGAGATCCTTCTTGTGAGTAGGTGGGGAGCCAGCCAGCTTCCAGAGACAGCAGCAGCTAAGGTCCCCATGGGACTTTCGAGCCAGGGTTGCTGGTTCTGTCTAGAGTGCTTGTACCTGGCTAAAGGTGGTGTCTTCCCTGGGGTGGTTCAGTGGTATAATCTTAATTATACCACTCAGATTATGTGAGTGTCATTCTAGGCTGTGTAGCTTCCTAGTTAAATTCCTGACCCTCCTAGAGATTCTTCAGGAGACATCTCTACATTCCTTTTGGTTGAGCTGGGTTGAACTCTGTTGTTGGTAAGCAAGGACTCTGACTTACACACCTGTAAGCCAGTTTAGACTGCCCTTGCTAAGAATAGTGGCTGACACAGAGTGCACACTCCAGACATTTTTGTTGTTGTTATTTACTGTTCAGTGTTCCCTAACTCATGGACCCTCCTGCTCCTCTTATTGTCTCAAAGTCTTCACTTCAGTGACCATCCCATTTTGCTGTTTTCCATACAGACCTAACTCAGGATGGTAAGTAGATTTTATCTCTTCACCAAATTGGGTCAATTAGTGGAAGCTGCCAGTAGAGAAGCACTGTGTTAAGGATTGGTGTTGGCTTAGAGGAGAGTGTGGTCATCGATGAAGAATGTCTGCTCTAAGTGCAGGGGGCGGGGTTTGGCATTTCAAATACCTTGCTGTCTTTGACTTAACTTCAAGGAGTCTGGGGCAAAGTAATTTGGTGAAACTAATTCACATAAAAATTTAACATGTAGTTCCCTAGGAGCATTTATATTTTAAAATAATACACCTTGTATTAGTTAGAACACTGGTCCTTTAACAGAAAGCCATCCGGAGGATCAAGTCAGAAGCTTCTCTTCTATGGTATATGACATGCAGTTAACTCATGGCTTCCATGGTGGCTCCAGCTGCTGCCTTTTCCAGAATCTGGAAGTGACTGTAACTGAATGACCTGGAAGTTACACACACCACCTTTACTCATATCCCATTGCACAGTAGTTCCAAGGGGCCCAGGAAATGTAGTCTTCAGCTAGATAGTGTGCGTCCAGATTAGAACCACTAGAAACAAACAGGGACATATGGACACTGGGGACCAGTTAGGAGTCTTTACTACATGCACTTTCCTAAGTGGATCACAACAGCTCAATTCTGGAGAGTGAAACTATAAAATCAAGGATTTCAGATTCTGCATGGATGTATGTGATCTTTATTAGGCTTTTCCTCTAGCCTGAACCTGGGTAATCTTCCACTCTGCCCTTCTGACTGGCACACAGGTTCCTGCCCGTATAAATTAACACCATCTTGCAATTCTTTGGGGGTATAAGCTATTTTCTCTTGGGTTAGACATGGCCTTTGTCCCCTTAGGGTGTGCTGGGCTCTGGTTTGCTGGGCATGAGAGGTATTGGGTGAGTGTTGAGGAGAACCAGTGTTCCCTTGCAAGGCAGCTTCTAGGTGAGAGCAGTATGAGGGCTTCAGGCAAAGGGAGTCCAGTCTCCCAGCCAGGCCAAGAGAAATGACTTCTATGGGTGAGGGAGGCAAAGGGTGTGAGGGGTGTAGGTTCTCAAAGGTTTCTGAGTCAACCCAAATGGACTCATTTCAGTTTTCAGGGTCTGATTTATTTCCAGTCTGTGTTCTGACTCTCACATTGGAGGGTTGGCATGACTGCGAATTCAATGCATTTTGTAATTCTGCAACCTCAACAGCCAAATTTTTGGACTGATTTTCAGCAGTATCAGTCCTTCAGCTAGAAGAGCTTTGGTAATCTTTTAGGGCTTTCATGGTGTTTTTCACCTGTTCTGACTCTTTCTAATTATTTATTGGCTCTCTTATGGTTGCAAGATGACTTCCATACATCAACAATTACAGCTGTTCTTCCCTTGTGCCTTTTAAAAATATATAATTTTTTTAAAATTGGCAAACAAAAATTGTTTCTCTGACTCTTGGTGAGGTTTTCAACCTTGGAGCTTGTCCTTTCCATGGCACTCAGAAGCAGCCCAATCCCCGCTTTCCCCTTCTTATCATCCTTGCTTCCATAATGGTCAAGTTCAGTAGCAACTTGCTCCCCTAGAGCTTTCCTTTCCCTATGTGCTTTGCCTCAGGCAACCACAGCTGGTGATAATTGTGGAATTATCATGCTATGACTTTACACTCACTACTGTTTTTCCCATTTTCCACTGACTCCAACACCATTACTGAGTTCAGGGTCAAAGTCGATTAATAACTCAATCTTTAAACCCACTTCTGGCACAGAGCCCTAAGTTAATATGCTAAGTGTTTCAACGGAAGGGTTGTTTTTGTGGTTGTTGTTGTTGTTTTTAAGAGACAGGGTCGGCTGGGCACAGTGGCTCATGCCTATAATCCCAGCACTTTGGGAGGCTGAGGCGGGTGGATCATGTGAGGTCAGGAGTTTGAGACCAGCATGGCCAACATGGTGAAACCCCATCTCTACTTAAAAAAAGTACAAAAATTAGCCGGGCGTGGTGGCACATGCCTGTAATCTCAGCTACTCGGGAGGCTGAGGCAGGAGAATTGCTTGAACCTGGGAGGCAGAAGTTGCAGTGAGCCAAGATCATGCCATTGCACTCCATCCTGGGCAACAGAGTGAGTTTCACCTGTTCTCACTCTTTTTAATTTGAAAATTAAAAAAAAAAAAAAAGAGAGAGAGAGAGACAGGGTCTTGCTTTCTTGCCCAGACTGGAGTGCAGTGGCACCATCATAGCTCACTACAGCCTGGGCTCAAGCAATCCTCCTGTCTCAGCCTCCTGAATAGCTGGAACTACAGCCTCAAGCCACCATGCTCAGCTAATAGAAAACATTTAATTCAGATAATTGGTTATAAAGATGAGGAAATGTTTAAGGAACAGAAGAAGAAATGGGGCATTAGCCTAAGGCTTCGGAGCATGAGCTTACCCCTGGAGCTGTGCTGCTTTGATATTAGCATGGCTGCAGAGGTGTTGTCAACATGGACTGCTCAAATCCACAGTGGCTTCACCTCCATGGTCATGGCAGCAACTGCCAGAAGCTGGCGTAACATCATAACTCGTTTGTGAATTTTGACCTCCAAATGTCCAGTGTTCAAATCCAACACAGTGGGTTTGTAGACTGCCTGGAACCGTCTTTGTGAAAATCTCTGAACGATTCCTCTTGGCCTATACTGTACTTAGCTTTTGCAGCAGAGAAGGAACCTGAGATGGCTTTTGTAATTATGGAGTATAGATTTTCTCTGGCAGTTGAAGGAATTCTTGAGTGATGAAATGAGTCATGCATTCCTTTCTGAAGAAGAAACTGCTTGGTCCTAAAGAGATTTCCAGAGATAATAATCTAATTTTTCCTGTCCCTTTCATCTTTGCTTGAGGCAAAGGCAGTTACTTTCTGGTTGTGTGGAAGTGTAAAATGACAGCTGATATTGCATGTCAAGGTAGCGTCTGTATTCAATGCTACCTTAAATATTAGGTCTAAATATAGGTCCAAATATAGTATTCTGAGAAAGAAAAAGTCAATTCTGTTTCCTGACATGGCTGTGGGGTGGTGAGTGAAATAGTATAATTAGTCGAAATTGAGAACATGTATTATATTTATAGTAAGCATTTTTAAAGCATTAGAATGTAATGAAATCTTTTGAATCTTTTTGCCAGCAGTTTATGACAGTAAATGCCTTCTTGCTCCCATGTCAACCTAGAAAAATATAATTAGGCTGGGTGCAGTGGCTCACGCCTGCAATCCCAGCACTTTGGGAGGCCAAGGCAGGCAGATCACTTGAGGCCAGGAGTTCGAGACCAGCCTGGACAACATGATGAAACCCCATCTCTACTAAAAATACAAAAAATTAACAAGGCATGTTGGCGTGCACCTGTAGTCTCAGTTACTTGGGAGGCTGAGGCAAGAGAATTGCTTGAACACGGTAGGTGGAGGTTGCAGTGAATTGAGATTGCACCACTGGGCACTCCAGCATGGGCAACAGAGTGAGACTCCATCTCAAAAAGAAAAAAAGATAGTATCTGATTTTAAAAACTATTTAAATAGAGAATTAATTTACATACAGTGAAGTGCACACATCTTAGTTGTACAACTCAGTGGGTTTTAAAAAATGGTTCTTACCCATGTAACTTACCCCAATTAAGACATGGGATATTTCCATCACTCTAGAAAGTTCCCCCATGTTCCTTTCTGGTCATGCTCACCCCACCCCTCCACCAGAGGCACCCTCTGTTTTGATTTGTCTCATCAAAAACTAGTTTTGCTTATCTCTGAACTTTGCATGAATGGAATGATAAAGTACGTACTCTTATATCTGGCCTCCATTAATCCACATATAATCTCATGGTGAGATTGGCCCATGCTGTTGCATAGGTCAGTAGTTTGTTTTTATTGGCCAGTAGTATTTATTGTATGGATATTCCACCATCTGTTTATCCATCCTCCTTTTGGAAAGCATTTGGGTTGCTTTGGTTCTGACCATTGTGCAGATGAACAATGAACACTTGTGTGCAAGTCTTTGTAGACCCTTATTTTCATCTGCTTTGGGTAAATGCCAAGGAGTGGACTTATTGCATCAAAGGCTAAGTATATGTTTAAATCTATAAGAAACTCCCCAACTCTTTTCTAAGCTGGCTTTACCATTTTACACTCCCGCCTGTAAAACTTAGAAAATGAGAAGAACCACCAGTGGACCTGGAATTGGGAGAAATCCCTGAAAGACGATGGTAGATAGAAGCAGATGGGCAGACAGGGTAGCCCAGAATATCCACAGCAGGTGTGTCCTGCCACAGAGCTTGGAGCTGTTGCAGAGGAAGCAGGAATGAAGAGCAGAGCACGGACCGCAGATCCTCATGACGGTGAACCTGGCTGTGCCAGCAGGAGGCAGCATTGGGAGAAGCACCCAGGCTCAGGACAAAAGCTGGATGCAGCCAGGGACCCCACAGGATGAGCTGGGAGCTGGTCACCTTGATGACAAGTACGAATTCCTTCCTTCTGGAAGTGTGTACCTCATTCTCAATCAAACGTTTGACGAAAAGCAAACTTAAGCAAAGAATTAACACCCGAGGAAACAAAGTTAAAAGAATGAAAGAGAGAGAGAGAGAGAGAGAGAGAGAGAGAAATATATAATGAATGTCTTCAAGAGAGATATGAGATAAATGTAGTCTCTCTCAGTGCATAGATTTCTGAATTCATTCTTACTGAATGATAGAATATGTGCATAAATAAATTAGTCCAGAAATGGATAGATATTTAGATGGAAAAGCTTGTGCCCTAATCAAAGCAATCTCCGTTGGTGATACCGCCTTTCCAGAAACGTATTTGTGCAGCTTTTCTCGTGCGGATCCAGGTGCTACAGATAAGGAGGAAGAACATTTCAGGCAGCTGGCTCTGGCAAAGTCCCACGTTGCTTTGAGAGATGTGACTGCACAGACAGTGAGGCAATACGTGGAAGAGAAACCACCACTGATTGGTCCCCAAGGTGGAAGGAGTCGTGACTGCAGCAAAGACCGTGACGACGACGCATCTGCCCTGAGCTCAGAATCCCTGATGCGGGGCTCAGGGAAGGGTTTCATCATTAGCGTGTGAGATACATTCATCCACAGGAGAGCCCTGGCACAGACTTCTTTCAAATGCAAGGAACAGGCTGCAGTTAGAAAAGAATAAATGATATTTTAGCTTAATTTAGGTTACTTACTAGGAAAAAAAAGATAGGAAAAACTGAATGTTTCAAACATGATAGCGATTTCAATGGAATGCAGAGTAATAACTAAGGAGTGTGCTCTTCCCATCCCATCATGGCTTTAGGATCTGATACCATTCCGAGTTGCAAGAGTATTAATTTAGCTGAAAGAAAGCTAGATATAGGGGATGGTAGGCACTGCTGATTAGGGACTCTAGATATTTATTTTAGGGTCAGTGATATTTTTGGTCTGAGTTGTCCTTATACCTCTATACCCGTATTTGTGTTTCACTTTGTCTTTCGTTTAAAACGTACATTTTAATTATAACTATTTCTGCAAAAAGTGTATGTGTTTTGGACGCATGAGATATGTGGGTGGGCTTTCACACACACAGGCACAATCACGAGAAAAATCTATAGTACTTTACTAGAAGTAAATCAACTGTTTTTGAAAATGTCTAAAACGTCCCATTTTCACATTGGAAAAGGTGGTCTGCTTCAGTGCACGCTGATACTGTGACGTTCCTTTCCTCTTTGTCTCTGGTTGCATCTTTATTGAAATCAGCTCATGAGACAACAAGCAACTAGATTGGCCTGTTTGTTGCTCTCTGGGTACCCAAGGAGAGATACTGTGGTTTTACCATCTGATCATGGTCCTCCCATCCCATAGAGCTTCCCGGTCCTCCCTGGGATGTCACACTTGCTCATGTGAGTCACACTCCAGATCTTCCCTGTGTGTTCTCTCTTAGCATAAAATACCACCAGGGCAGCATTAACCCTTTCTGTCAAGAGGGTGGGTGATGGGTGAGTGAACGACAGAGTAACTGCTCTTTGACCCTGAAAGAGTTCAAGTTTTACACGTTATTTACCCTTCCTATGTGCATAGCACTGGGATATTTTCTCATTTCTCCTATCTAATCCAGTCTAGGGTATTCTAGTATTTCATTTTTTAGAAAATGCTAAATTGGGCCGGGCACAGTGGCTCATGCCTGTAATCCCATCATTTTGGGAGGCCAAGGCAGGTGGATCACTTGAGGTCAGGAGTTTGTGACCAGCCTGGCCAACATGGTGAAACCCCAACTCTACTAAAAATACAAAAATTAGCCAGGCATCATGGCGCATGCCTGTAATCCCAGCTACTCAGGAGGCTGAGGCAGGAGAATTGCTTGAACCCTGGAGGCAGAGGTTGCAGTGAGCCAAGATGGTACCACTGCACTCCAGCCTGGGCGACAGAGCTAGACTCCATCTGAAAAAAAAAAAAAAGCTAAATTGATTTCACTTCTTTCGAATAGGCTTTGATTTGCAGTGTTAAAATTCTACTGTATATCATCTTCTACTGATAAAATAGAACCTTCTCTCCCTCCACACACCACAAAATATTTGTTTCATCGAAAGCTTTGCTAGGCAGGAAAGCGGTATTCTGGGCTATGACTGGAACACTCGAGATGAAGCCATCTTTTAAAGAAAGGGAGTGGACCTAGTACAACTTCAGGAGTCATCACCCTCAGTTATTCCTAAACCGTTCGGAGCCTGCCCGCTCCTTGCCCACTGGGGTGTGAGCCAGCCTGGAGCTCACCCAGTCCTAACCCACCCTGTGGGCATGTGTGGGCAGAACAGGCAGAAAACTTTATTTTGCGCCTTGCATTCACAAGTAGCTACAGAAAAGCTTATAATACTTCTCTCTGAGTCTTATCACTTTGCAATCTCATCTTTTCTGAGAAAATATTCTATTTTTTAAGTGCTGCTTTTTTGCCTAGGCTGGCAATTTTTTTGAAGAGAGATTTATTCAGAGTTAGCCTCTGCAGAATAAAAAATTAGGCAATTTAAAAAGATAGATATTACTTTCTCAAAACAGATAAGACACAAGTTGTACATATATATATTTTAAAAGCAATTACCATCTGCCCGATAGAGAAGAATAACTCTGTTAGAATTGAGGTTTATTGTGTAGTTTTATAATTAGGATGCCTCTGAACAGGATAATATCCTTATCAGAATTCATGAGGAATGCCTTCTAATATTTTCCTTTTATTTTCGAACTCATTATGTAAACAGCCCTTTGGTTTTCAGCTAGAGGAATTTAGAATATAGAAGGTTTTCTTGCAGGGCAGAGCATTTGCAAAGATATATATATTTTCTAAAGGGTTTCGAGAGGTGGAGGAGCTACTCGAGTAAGCTGAGAGTCAGGTCCTTTTTGATCGATATCACTCATGTCACTCTCGTCAAGGGTGCGTGCTGAACTAGCTGTTGACTCCTAACCCCGAAGCCAGCTCCTGGCTGCATGAGATGAGGGTGGGACCCACTGGCAAGGCTGCTCTGTGCTCCCCAGTGTCCCTCCCTCCTGCAGGGCTCCCCACATTTGGTTTTGCTTGTCCCCGGACCACTTATGTGCTCTGATCTGGGACATGGTCACTCTCGTGCCACCAGTCAAGAGCCTCTCTTGTCCCTGAGACGCCCTTGCCTCCCCTTCCTCAGTTATCTGTGGTCTCCCAGGAGTGTGGGATTATTTGGATCATTCAACTGGGTTTAAATGAGCGTGGGCTGGGGGTAATGAAAATGCTGTGTCCCCCCAAGACACACACACAGAATGTCCCCTGTTCAGGGCTAAATTGTGCCTCCTCTAAATTCATATATTGACGCCCTAACCTCCAGTGCTTCAGAAGGTGACTGCACTTGGAGATAGGGCCTTTAAAGAAGTAATTGAGGTTAAACAAGGTCATTGGGGTGGACTCTAACCCAGTGTGACTGGTGTCCTTATCATAAGAGGTAATTAGGAGGACATAGGAGGACACTAAGGAGAGAGGCCTCAGAAAAAGCCAACCCTGCCAATGTCTTGACTTGGACTTTCAGCTTTCAGAATGGTGAGACAATCAATTTCTGCAGTTGAAGCCCCCAGTCTGTGGTACTTTATTATGGCAGCCCTAGCAGACTAACACACCCCTCCTCCAGGAATCTGTTAACCCAAGTGGCATTTCACACAACACAAAGGGGAGATATCTTTGAGCAAAGCTTCCTTGCCAAGTCTAGATGGCAGTGGCTTCTATTTTCAGCCTCCCTCCCTAAGCTAGTTGTAGTTGATAACATAAAACACAGCAGACCCTGACTTTGGGAAAGGCTGTGTCCCCAAGGCTCGCTTTTAAGTCTGTTAGAAAACAAACCGTGTTTGTCCTAAAAATGCTATTATGCGCAGCAATTAGGTCCCCAAACCACTGCACAGTGGCTTTTAAAATCCTAATATATAGAATTATTTCCTGGCTGGTCTATGTCCTCTCTCACAACCCATCTGACACACAGACTTAGTCCCCACCCACAGAAGGCTACATTGCTTTCTGTTTTGCTGGTACACCTGGGGCTTTTCCTGGGCTCATCCAGCACAAGGTGCTGGGATCTGGGATGGTGTGGGAGGGGGCGTCCTTAAAGTCTTTCTCCATTCCTGTGTTTGAAGACTTTCATGTAATAGCTGGCTTTGCTTACTCTTTCCTGCCAAGTAGGTTATAAACAGCCTGTAACACAGGGTTCTTGCCTTCTCCTCTTCTGCACCCCTTAATGGCCAGCAAAGCCTGGCACCTGTAGGGGCTTGAAAATGACCTCTGAGATTGTGCAGATGGAGGAAGCTGTGGTCTCAGTGGAGGATGTTGGGGACCCAATGGGAGGGGGCATGGCCTCCCCTTCCTTTCCCTGTCCCTCCCCTCCCAGATAGGCGTTGGGGAATTGAACCTGGGGAGGTAGAAAGGTCTTCCCTCCCCTGTCCTTCCCTCTGTCTTATTGAAGGTGGAAGGGTCAGGCCCCAAGGGCCCTGGGAGAGGACAGCAAGAAAGGAGGGCAAATTCAGGAAGGGAGTGGCCCTGGGCTGTGGCCGGCCACTTGCCAGCATGAAGAGTCAGCTTTGCTCCTCCATCTCCTAGGTGGAAGAGCCTCAGAATGCATCTAGTCCATCCCTGGATTCAGGGACGGGCTCCTAAGTGGCAACACTGTCACAGAAAGACTTCACAGGTGGCAGCAAAATCAGATCCAAAGACTTCTGGGTCCCGGCAGGCTCCTAAGCCTGGGGCCCTACTGCTTGGCCGGTTCCCCAGCTCCTCTGTGTCCCCACTGGCCCTGGGCCTGGGAACTTCTCCAAGGGAAGGCAGAGCAGTGATGAGCTAGCTCAGGCTGGGAACCAGAAAGGTCTATTTTTAAAAGTCATACACAGAAGCCGAGTCTGTGACATAGAACAAGTCTGCGTACAAACAGAAAATGCGACCCATCTTGTGACGACTTTCAAACGTCACAGAGTCCTAAGTCATGATGACATACAAAAGGAATGTTTCTTAAAGGTCTAGGATCTGTTGAGTTTTATACAATAATAAAATTTGGAAATATTCAAATTTGAGAACAGTTTATTAAAATATCCACATTTGAAAATAGTGTCAAATTAGAAATACAAGTATATGACAAATTGCCTAATATCACTAATCATGAGGGAAATGCAAATCAAAGCCACAGTGAGGTCTCATCTCATGCCAGTTAGAATGGTTATTATCGAAAAGGCAAAAATGAACGAATTCTGACGAGGCTGCTGAGGAGAGGGAATTCCCACATGGGGTGTGGGAATGTAAACTAGCACAGCCATTTTGGGGAACAGTATGGAGGCTCCTCAAAACACTGCAAATAGGAATGTCACATGATCCAGCAACCCCACTAGTGGGCATTTGCCCAAAGGAAAGGACATCAGTATATCCAAGAGACATCGCACCCTCATGTTTACTGCAGCACTTTCCACACTTTCCAAGATATGGAATCCACCTAGATGTCCAACAACAAATGCATGGATAAAGAAAATGTGGTATATATATACACCATGGACTCCTATTCAGCTCTAAAAAAGAATGAAATTGGGAGGCCGAGGCAGGCGGATCACCTGAGGCCAGGAGTTTGAGACCAGCCTGGGCAACATGGTGAAACCCCATCTCTACTAAAAATACAAAAAATTAGCCAGGTGTGGTGGCAGGTGCCTGTAGTCCTAGCTACTCAGGAGGCTGAGGTAGGAGAATCTCTTGAACCTGGGAGGTGGAGGTTGCAGTGAGCTGAGAGCACCCCAGTGCACTCCAGCCTGAGGGACAGAGCAAGATTCTGTCTAAATAAAAAAGAATGAAATTCTGTCATTTGTGGCTACATGGATGGAACCAGAAAATGTTATGTTAAGTAAAATAAACCAGGAACACAAAGTTAAACATCACCTGTTCTCACTCATATGTGGAAGCTTAAAAAAGTTGATCTCATAGAACTGAAAAGTAGAACAGAGGATAGTAGAGGTTGGGAGGGGAGGGCAGATAGGGAGAGATTTGTTAAAGGATACAAAGTTACAGGTAGATAGATAGGAGGAATAAGTCCTAGTGTTCTAGACCAGTAGTCCCCAAACTTTTTGGCAGCAGGGATTGGTTTTGTGTAAGATGATTTTTTCATGGGCAAAGGTTGGGGGTGGGGGGGTGGTTTCTGGATGAAACTGTTCCACCTCAGATCATCAGGCATTAGATTCTCATAAGGAGTGTTCAACCTAGATTGCTGGCATGCACAGTTCACAATAGGGTTCACACTCCTTAGAGAATCTAATGCTGTGGCAGATCTGATAGGAGGTGGAGCTCAGGCAGCAATGCTTGCTGGCTTGCCACTCACCTCCTGCTGTGCAACCGGTTCCTAACAGGCCAGGGTGCTGATCCATGGTCCGGGGGTTGGGGACCCTGTTCTATACCATTGTGAGATGACTGTGGTTAACAATAATATATAGTTCCAAACAGCTAGAAGGAGGATATTGAATGTTTCCAACACACAAAAAAAGTGCTAAATGTGTGTGATGCTGGGTATGCTGATCACCCTGATATGATTACTATACATTACATATATTGAAACATACAATTTTATGAAATTCAGCAAACCCTACGACCCATAAACATGTACAATTGTTACATGTCAATTAAAAATGAATAAATAAGGAAAGTCTTGAAAACAAGCCTGAAAGTATTACCGTGTCTTAAGGAAAGCTCTGCGAAATGGCGGGTGAGACTCGTTGATTTATTCTGAAGTGCAACTCCTCAACATCCTACTGCCTCCTAAACTGAACTCATCTGATATCAGTTTACTCTCCCTCCCTCTCTCCCTCTCTCCTCCTCCCTTTCTTTCTCTGTCTTTCTCTCTTTCTTCTCAGACAAGAACATCCGAATGGGTAAATTGTCAAGCCTGGGAAAGTCCATGACCCACTCAACCAACTTTTGTCTTTGACCACCTCACCAAGATTTTTCAGACTACAAGGACAAGCAATTGTTGATTGATGATTGAAGATGAGACACAGTGTTAGGCCTAGTCTCAAGGGGGTTTCCAGAAAGATGCGATTGTCCTTTCAGGTGGCAGTTGCATAAATGTGCTCCAGACAGCCTACTTTCCCATGAGAATGGCATGGAAGCATTGTTCATGAACTCATGCAGCATCTTGCGGCTGAAATGTATTCTTAGCTTGCGTTGACTTTTGTTGATTATGGAGTCCTGCAGGTTTGCTCACAGTGGTGGGGCTGCTCTTCCTTCTGCCTTAGGCTTGCATCTCCCATGCTCTGGCGAAGCTGTTGTATTTCAGTAGAGATTTTGGTGAGTGGTCTCTGTTGGGTTGATTTTCCGGGCACCACCAACAGAATTACTTAATTGGGAGCAAGTTATTTAACTTCTGTGAAATTTGTGTTCTCATTGATAAAATGAGGATAGTACCTTCTCATAATGATTGCCAGATTAGATGTAGCATTTCCAGAATTCCTAGCACATGAGTCACTCAAATATCTGTGATCTGAAAGACATCAGTAATGGTTCCCTTCAGCTTCATTTTCATCTCAGGTGTCTACAGCATCGTGATTCAACTGGGGAATTTTCGACTTTGGCACTACCAACATTTTGGGCCGAGTGAGTCTTGGTGGTGGGGGTTGTCCTGCACATCCTAGGATGTTGAGCAGCATCTCTGGCTTCTACTGTCTGGATACCAGGAGCAACCCCTATGCCAGGTGTGGTGGTAAAAAATGTCTGCAGACATTGCCTAGCATTCCTGTGGGGGCAAAATCACCCCTGGCTGAGAACCACTAATTTAACCTAAAAGGATAGAGTTTCTAGTTATGAACTTCAGGCTCAAAGTGAGTTTGGAGGATTCTCCAGATGCCACCCTACAGCTTTCTGACATGTCTCTAAGGCATGTTAACACAACTCAGCCTCCCTAGTAGTTGGGATTATGGGCACGTACCACCACACCTGGCTAATTTTTGCATTTTTTGCAGAGACCGGGCTGGCCTTTAACTCCTTGGCTCAAGTGATCTGGCCACCTCAGCCTCCCAGAATGCTGGAGTGTACCCAGGTTGTCTGTGCAAAGAGAGGAATAGGCACTTGAACAGAAAAGAGATGCTGCTCAGAACTATTTAGGGACTGAATAGTGTTGTTAGAAATCTGAGTAAAAGGATGTGGTTTTGAGGCTATGACTACCCCTAAAGAAGATAATTGGTACTAGGAATTTGCCGTGTCCTTAAATCCTGTGACCATCCTTAATTTTCTGTCTGCTTCCAGAGAAATGTTGGAATAATTTTATGAACAGTGGTTGTACCAAGCATGATAAACTTTATTTCATTTTTTTGAGTTGGAGTTTCACTCTGTCACCCAGGCTGGAGTGCAATGATGCGATCTCGGCTCACTGCAACATCCGCCTCCCGGGTCAAGCGATTCTCCTGTGTCAACCTCCGGAGTAGCTGGGATTACAGGTGTGCACCAGCACGCTTGGTTAGCTTTTCTATCTTTAGTATAGATGGGGTTTCACCACATTGGCCAGGCTGGTCTTGAACTCCTGACCTCAGGTGATCCACCTTCCTCGGCCTCCCAAAGTGCTGGGATTACAGGCGTGAGCCACCGCATCAGGCCATAAACTTTATAGTGCTTCTACATTACAAATGTCATTTGATTCAATATCTATGTCTACACATCAATAGATGCATTCATGCTTCCACCTATTCATTTATTCTTCCATCCATTCATCTATTCATCTGTCAAAGCCCCTTAGAGGTAACCTATCTCAAAAGGCAAAAGGCTAAATGTTTTAGTCTAGTGCAGAGAGAATCAGGATCTCCAGTATGATATGCTTTTAAAGATTATATATATGCATATATACACACACACATATAGGTATATATATTTAAGTATACATATATATGTAACATATAAATATTTTTAATATATGATATGCATATATATTAATACATATGTTATCATAAATGACATAATTAGAATCAGGTACTCTAGGTGTATGTTCTCCAGTAAAAATGGCATCAGGCATAGAACTTGCATATGTTAGTGAGAGGGAAGACAATTTCTGTTCTCAAGGACATTTTAATCCAGTGAAGCATAGCATATGAATTAACAGAGTATATTTTTAAGAAAAAAGTAGCAGGAAATAAGAACATTATTATTATTATTAGCATTGTTATTATTTGAGACAGTGTCTCTCTCTGTCACCCAGGCTGGAGTGTAGTGGCACCATCATAGCTCCCTGCAGCCTCGACCTCCTGGGCTCAAGCAATCCTCCCACCTCAGCCTCCTTAGTAGCTGGGATTATAGGCATGCACCACCACGACTGGGTAATTTTTGTATTTTTTGCAGAGACAAGGTTTCACTATGTTACCCAGGCTGGTCTTGAATTCCTTAGTTCAAGCACTCTGTCCACCTCAGCCTCTCAAACTGCTGGTATTACAGACATGAGCCAGTGTACCCCACCAAGATTACATTATTAAATATGTATTTTCTTGTGAAGGAGAAAGATGGCTTGGTAATTGGGAGACTGTTATTTTCCTTATGAAAACTTATTTCTCTGTGCTCTTTGAGTCAGTGATTTCCTTTTGCTGAGTCTCAGTTTACTCACTTTTAAGATGTTTTCATTTCTATCTATTGGAAGTTCTTGCTAGAGCTTATTCCACGAGAAATTTGGGACTCCTCCATTGGCTGATATCACCTAGTCGATTCCTGTTTTCCTCCTTTACTTACACATTTTCAAAACTAGTTCTTAATCTCTTGCTTGTCCGAAGGAGGTTTTTCCTACTGTGTAAATGTTTGAGTCTAGCTGGTTGATTTTTATGAGCTGTTTGCCTGAAGCTTGACAAATAAGCCATCATTTAACCAGGGCTTTTACTTTATGAAGAATGAGAAAAGTTAAGCTGCAGTACTGCCAAATTTGATCCACAGCACGCTCGATGTCACAGGTACACTTACAGATGTTTTTATTGGAAACCCCCTTTTATTTGCCAGTTTTCATCCGTTTCCCATCTTTACAAGTTGTAGCTTATGTCTGCAACTCTCCGGATTTCATCTATTTCCAAAGTCAAATGATTTTTCATTTATTTGAATCAAATGAGGTCTGCTGTTAGTCAATTTTGCAGGTGTGAAAAAGATATTGTTCATTTTTTTCTACAGCATTTCCCTTTACTGTCAAATGACAGATTCTAGCAAATCAAAATTTGACGGGAAAGCAGTCTTTGTATTTACATACTCAGAATAAGCAATAAGCAGGTAACTTTTAAAACTCTTCCTTTTAACCTAAGAATTTAACTCTTCCTTTTAACCTGACTAATAAATAAAAGTTTCATTCATTCACTCTTCATTTATTTAATTAACATTTGTTGAATATGATAGACTTTGCTAGGCTTTGATAGAAAAAGAAAGCAAAGAAGGAAGGAAGGAAAGAAGAAAGAGAAGGAAGGAAGGAAAGAAGAAAGAGAAGGAAGGAAGGAAGAAAGGAGAAGGAAGGAGGGAAAGAAAGGAAGAAGAGAAAGAAAGAAGGAGAAAAAGAAAGAAAGAAAAGAAAGAAAGAAAGAAAAAGAAAGAGAGAAAAGAAAAGAAAAGGAAGAAAAAGAGAAGAGAGAGAAAAGGAGAAAGAGAGAGAAGGAAGGGAGGAAGGGAGGAAAGGAGGGAAGGAGTAAAACACACCATCAGGGTTTTCCAGGCCTATCTTCTGGTTCTACCATTCTTGCCCTGGGCACACACAGACTCACCTGCACAGGGGTGTGGGGCTGTCTTGGAAAAAACTGGTGCTTGGCTCCCTGAGGGCCAATGAACTAGAACCTCTTGGGTGAGACTCAGACATGGGTAATTTGAAAATCTCCCAGGTGTAAAGTATGCAAGGTTGGGATTGCTGGCCTAGTTAGACAGGTGGGTAAACAGATCTCCCATGTGATGCGCTGAGTGCCCTAACAGAGGCTAGTGCCAGTGCCAGGATGGAGGGCACCTTGGTTCTGCCTGGTAGACAGCACACCCCGTAAGAGGCTGGGCTGGACGGGGAGGAGGAGCCCCTCACAGCTGTGCACGAATGCCTGGTTCTTGGGAGCACAGCAGCCTTCCAAACGCATTCCTGCTGGGTGAGGCCCACGCTGTGGTGCTGTGGACAGTGTCCTAAATGGCCAGTGTGGCCGATGTGAGTGGCCCAGGTGGATGGTGCTCCCCTCTAGGGCCACACACTGACTGTGGATCCCCCAAGGGACACTGAGGACAGACTCAGACTCTGAGAGGGGGGCGACCTTGGTACAACAATCCCATAAGATGAAGGTGCTGGCCTGTCACCTGTGGGTCACTCCCTGGTCTGCATTCTCCACTATGATGAGTAAGAAACACATCCTCCTGGATGAGGACCGAGGGCATATCACCAGACGGATTTGCCCAGCCGGGACAACATAGCATGATGCCCCCCTCTGCCCCAGCGATCCCAGACTGGAGGCAGAGATTCCATCAGGAAAAAGGGACTGCAGAGATGGCACCCCTGGTGACTCGTAGAGTTAAACAGAGTTAATCAGACTTCCTTCCTTCCTGTGTTTTTCCTCTAGATGGAAACCTTTTAAAGTTTCAATTCATTATTAAAGAATGCTGACAGATCTGCCCTTGCTCCATAAAACCAACCCTTCCTAGCACACGGCAGGGTCCCAAGTATTCCAAAGGGTGTCTGGTGGGACTGAGAAGCGTGACTGCAGGTGATTGTTTATAGCTGGCTTTAGTTTTTGCCTGTGTTCTCTGTGGCCCTCTCTAAGTTCCTCCTTGGCCTTTAGAGTGTGGTACATATTCACTTTCATGCCCATATCACCTCTCTCTGGTGAGTGCTTTTATTTGAACAGAGGAAGTTGGGCCAGGCAGAAACTCAGCACCATTCAGGTCAGCAGTGACTCAGGAGGAGCCCTGAGGGACAATGAGCTGGGGCCACGGAGTCCAAGCGCACGAGGCTGGCACTCTGGCCATCACCCGTGCCTCCCACAGCCCTGCCATGGCCTGGGTCCCACATTCCTCCCTCGGAGACTCCTTGTCCCCTTGCACAAATGTGCCTATTAAATTCCCAGCTCCTGGCCATGTGTGGTGGCTCTCGCTTGTAATCCCAGCACTTTGGGAAGCCGAGGAGGGTGGACCACAAGGTCAGGAGATCAAGACCATCCTGAGACCATTCTGGCTAACTTGGTGAAACCCCGTCTCTACTAAAAATACGAAAAGTTAGCCAAGTGTGGAGGCGGGTGGATGTAGTCCCAGCTACCCGGGAGGCTGAGGCAGGAGAATCGCTTGAACCCGGGAGGCGGATGTTGCAGTGAGCTGAGATCGCGCCACTGCACTCCAGCCTGGGTGACAGAGCGAGACTCCGTCTCAAAATAAATAAATAAATAAATAAATAAATAAATAAATAAATAAATTCCCAGCTCCCGAACAAAAGAGATGGTCAACAGGGAGTGCTGGGAAAATTGAGGAAATCATACATTTCAAATATTTGTTTTTGTTTTTGGTGGAGTCTCACTCTGTTGCCAGGCTGGAGTGCAGTGATATGATCTAGGCTTACTGCCACCTTCACCTTCGGGGTTCAAGCGTTCTCCTGCCTCAGCCTCCTGAGTAGCTGGGACTACAGGTGCATACCACCATGCCCAGCTAATTTTTGTATTTTTAATAGAGACGGGATTTCATCATGTTGGCCAGAATGGTCTCGATCTATTGACCTCGTGATCCTCCCTCTCGGCCTCCCAAAGTGCTGGGATTACAGGCATGAGCCACCACCCACCTCCACATTTTCTTTTCTTTTCTTTTGTTTTCTTCCCTCCCTCCTTCTCTCCCTCCCTCTTCCTTCCTTCCCTCCTTCCTTCCTTCCTTCCTTCCTTCCTTCCTTCCTTCCTTCCTTCCTTCCTTCTCTCTCTCTTTCTTTCTTCTTTAGTGAATTCAGCTTTTTACCACTAGCAAAATTTCTCACGTTGACTTTTAATGAAGTGGCCTGTGCTTCACTGTGGGAGCCCAGCAGAACCATAACACAGAACGTGAGTAACTGATGGAAAATGGGCTGGTTTCCTGGAGCTGCCGTCAGGAAGCACTGCACACTGTGGGGCTTAAAACAACTCAGATTCATTCTCTCGCAGTTCTGGAGGCCGGAAGTCCAGGATCAAGCTGTTGGTGGAGCCACGCTCCCTCCAAAGCTCCAGCAGGATCCCTCTTCACCTCCTCTGGCGTCTGGGGGCTCCCGGCCATCCTGGCGTTCCTAGGTTTGCAGCTGCCGCACTCTGATCTCTGCCTTCCTGGACATGCAGCCCTCTTCCCTGTGTGTCTCTGACCTTACATGGCATTTTCCTTTTGTTTTCTTTCTTTCTTTTCTTTCTCTCTTTCTTTCTTTCTTTCTTTCTCTCTTTTTCTTTTTTTTTTTTTTTTTGATGGAGTCTTGCTGTGTCACCAGACTGGAGTGCAGTGGCACGATCTCAGCTCACTGCAACCTCCGCCTCCTGGGTTCAAGCAATTCTCCTGCCTCAGCCTCCCGAGTAGCTGGGACTACAGGTGCGCATGACCATGCCCAGCTAATTTTTGTATTTTTAGTAGAGACGAGGTTTCACCGTGTTGGCCAGGATGGTCTCAATCTCCTGACCTTGTGATCTGCCTGCCTGGGCCTCCCTAAGTGCTGGATTACAGGCGTGAGCCACCGTGCCTGGTCTTTCCTCTTCTTATAAGGACACCAGTCATGGGATTAAGGCCCACCCTAATGATGTCATCTTAATGATATCTGGAAAAAAGCCTATTTCCAAACAAGGTCACATTCACAGGTTACCAGGGTTAGGACTTCAACATATCCTTTTAGGAGGCACAATCCAACCAGAAGGTGAGAGGAAATAAGAGTTATGCTCTTCTGAAAGATGGCAAACATGGGCTAGCAAGAAGGTGATGGTGAATGTGGGGAGCACGATCTTGGAGGGGTCTCCGGAGACATGAAGATGGGGCAATCGCAAGTCCTCTGCCACGTACCTTTGTCCCATGAAACACCTTCCAGTTCCCGTGGCAGTGGTTTTTCACTTGTGAATATGGTGTTAGGTCATTGACAGAATGTAAATGGACAGAATTTAACCATCTTGATTTGTGGGGCAGAGTCCACAGTCTGTCTTCCAAGCCGAGTTTTGGCTGGACTGGAAGGGGGAACTGGGTCAAGGTGAGCAGACACAATGAAGAAGGCGGACGATGACTTCATCTGCAGTTCTGACCTCAGGCACATACTTTACAGCAGGGCCCGGGCACGATGTGGCACCTCTGCAACCCCCGTCGTGTCTTCCATCTGGTGATGCCTGCTGCTCTGGGAGCTGTCCTGGCAGTGTGGGTGCACCCTCGGAGCTGTGCAGCCCTGCCTCTGATTCCAGAGGCAGGGAATTCTTCAGTTTAAAAAACAGAAAACAAATCATCAGATCCAAAGGCTCCAACACCATAATCACCATACTTAGAAAAATAACCATAAAGCTGAAGGGCTATACTTGTCCTCTAATTTAAAAATGTAAAATCGTAGAAGCAAGTTTTCCAGTGACACATTTGTGACACACAAGGGGTTTCTGGTTTTCTCTAGAGGAGCTGTAGGGGCTCTTAGATGCCATAAGAGCTAAATTAAGACTGATTTACTTTAATTACAAGGATGAAGAGAAGCAGTAGGAAGTGGCGGGTTGGGCTGGTAAGTGTATGAGCTTTAGAATTGGTCAGACCCAGTTTTTAATCCTGATTCTATAAGTCCTAGCTGTGTGAACAGGTCAAATTCTTTTAGGACAAATGCAAGTACATTTAACCTCTGCCTTGGGCTTGTGGTGGGTTGTGCCTGATAGTGTGTACAAAGAACTTGGTGTGATGCCTGGGACTTGGTGGGTTCTCAGCAAGTGTGTCTCTGCACAGAGCACTGATCAAGGATCAAACCCATGAATGCAGCGTGTTATGGATGGAACTGTGGTCCCCCCAAAAAGATATGTTGAAGCCCTGACCTCCCGTACTTCAGAGTGTGACTTTATTTGGAGATAGGGTCCTTACAGAGGTAATTAAAGTTAAAGCAAGTCATTAGAGTGGTCCCTAACCCGATCTGAGCTGTGTCCTTGTAAAAGGAATGTGTGGACACAGAGACAGCCATGCATAGAAGGAAGGCGTGCAGTGGAGTGGGTGGGACACAGGGGGAAGATGGCCAACTACAAGCCAAGGAGGGAGGACATGAACAGAGCCTTTTCTGGCATCTTCAGAGGGAGCATGGCCGTGCCAACACCTTGATCTTGGATGTGTGGACTCTCCAAACTGTGAGCAATAAATGTCTGTTGTTTAAGCTCCCAGTCCATGATACTTTGCCGCGTGTGCCAGGACATTAATACACAAGGGTTGAAGCATCACCAACGCAGGAGATTGGGGGCACAAATTCAGTGGATGCCGTAAAAGTTGGGGGCTGTTTGCACCATCGGGTCTAACCGTACTCAGTACAAGATCTGCATCAGCTCCCGTAAATGCCACAGCCGCCAAACACCAGTGAAAGCACAAACATTCAACATAAAGGTGCCCTTTTTAGCAGCCGCCTTGCAATTTCTTTCTCTATTTTTATTAGTTAGGTCTATAAAAAGACCAGAACATCTTGAAGATTGGGAAAGCATTTGGGTGCAGCATAGCCACTGAAAAACCCCCACCAGAGAGAAGAGCTCGAGTGCATCTCTGACATCATGCTGTAACAATGTATAATTATAGGAGATATTATTAAATTGTAAAATGTGAAGCTGGGAAAACATGTAATTTGGTAAGCTCGGGCTCCTGCCTGGTGTAATTACACGCCTCTCCTTCCGTTGACATTGTATTTACAGGGCGAATATTTTCTGGGCTCTTGCCAGTGGTTAATGTGAGACACGTCAGAGAATATGCCAAGGTGACAAGTCAGGGTCAAAAAGAACACTCATCTTATTTAGTACATAATTTTTTATTTACACTATGACGTGATAAGATTCATCATTCACTTTTAATGAATGCTGACTGGAAAGTTAATGGTGACTTCCTTCCTTAACAGTCTAGTTGCTTCTGTGGACTTTGTTTTAAATGGCCCGCTTTGGTATTTATGATATAATCATTTAGAAATGTAAGTTAGTAATGATTGGATTAGATGAATGACTTGAGTTTAAAAACATTGTAACAACTTATAGCCTGAATCTTTGGGGATTAGAGCAGATTTTTCAGCCTCGGCACTATTGATGGTGGGGTGGGGTGGGGTGGGGTCCCTGGCCTGTGCATTGCAGGGTGTTTACAGCACCCCTGCTGTGACAAGCAAAGTGTCTCTAGACACTGCCAAGTGACCCTTGTGGGAAGGGGGGTGCAAAATTGCCCCAGCAGAGAATCCTGGGCTATGGGAAGGGGGTAAAGGATTATGCAAGGATTAGTCAAGGTCAAATGTGGAGTGAAGTCATAGCAGCTAATGCACCATGCCTGATGCCGGAGTAGTAGAAAATCAGTGTGGATTTTTATCTCTGGACAATTCCACTTTTCCAAGTCAATTGTCTTGTTTGTTTCCCCAGTTTTGTATGATGAAATCAAATACATAGTTATTGATAAAGCTGAAGTGAATGCTAAGATTATAATCCTGTCCAGAAATACTCGTAATATGTAATTGATCACAGGGAATGGGGAGAAATGGACCCCTATCCTCTTTAAGCATGGTCTTTCCTTTCTAGCACTCCTTGTCCCCACTGGTGGCATCATCTTGTTTAGGGCTCCCTAGCTGATCTTAGCGCTTCCAGGAAAGTTGATTTGGAGGGTGTTTAAATTAGCTGATCATTAAAATTAGCCCACATGGCCTTGGAAGTAAGCAATGTTGGAAACTCATTGCAGATTATTAGTGAACAGGGGTGCCACAGGTATGAGGGGCATGAGGCTGGGTGGGCGACCAGGGCCACAGCTGACCCAGGCCTTCTCAGGCTGCCAGCATGGATGCCACTCATTGTTTTATCATCTGACACCTGCTTTTCCTCTTGCCCTCCAAGATATCCAAAGAGATGATTGGGGCCCTTCATGAATCTTAAAATATCCCGTGGTTTCTGGTGTCCAGGGTCCCCTTCATTTCTCTTCCTGTAAAACGGGTGGTGGGGTCAAGGGCATTCCATTTTCTTCCACTCTTAAAACCCGGGGCCTGTCCAGGTCTTCAGGCTTCAGCTCCCCCTTCCAGGTCCCCACTGTCCATGCACACCCCCACCATGGGGGCACGCGACCCTACAGCACTGCAGTCTCTCTCGTGGCCGGCAATACACCAGAGTGCCTCCTCAGTTCATCGTCAGCAGTGTGCGGTCCCCAGCCTCTTTGGCACGAGGGACCAGTCTTGTGGAAGACAATTTTTCCTTGTACAGGGTGGTGGGGGAAATGGTTTTGGGATGAAACTGTTCCACCCCAGATCATCAGGCATTAGATTCTCATTAGGAGCTGGCAACCTAGATCCCTGGCATGCGCAGTTCACAATAGGCTTCCTGCTCCTATGAGAATCTAATGCCACCACTGGTCTGACAGGAGGCAGAGCTCAGGCGGTAATGCTCACTCGCCCGCTGCTCACCTTAATGCCAACACTGGTCTGACAGGAGGTGGAGCTCAGGCGGTAATACTCACTCGCCCGCTGCTCACCTTAATGCCAACACTGGTCTGACAGGAGGAAGAGCTCAGGCGGTGATGCTCACTCGCCTGCTGCTCACCTCTTGCTGTACGACCTGGTCTCAGTTCCTAACAGGCCATGGACCAGTACCAGGGTTGGGGCCCCTGGCTCTTGGTAACACAGGAATGCACCTCCTGCATCCTCACAGGACCTTCCAAAAGGGCTCTCTGGTCAGAACTGTATTTTTGAGAAATTTCCCTCCCTTCTTGATCCAATGTCCCTTTTAGAGATGGTCTCCATGGACAGGTTCCTTCCTGTGGTCCCTGGGAAGGGCCATGCCTTCTGGGCACCCTGATGCTGCCCTGCCTAGTCTCCCAGGCCAGCACAGTCCCACGTTGTAGTGATGCCCTTCCTCCACTCGGATTCTCATCCCTTTGAACGAGGTCTGGGTTAGCAGCTCCTTTTCTTCCTTCTTCCTTCCCAGAGTGACTTTATCATCAAGTGGAAGCCAAGGAGCTTCATTTGTGCTTTTACAGTTATTTGTAATTGCCAAAGTAAGATATTTGTTAAATATACTAAAACCTCACCACATCTGCAAGCAGCAAACATCCCTTCCCCTGCCTGTCCCCTGAGGAGTCATTCCTGCACCTTTGGACAGTGTCTTGCCTCTGATGTTTGAACAAAAGAAACTGCCTGCCTGTGTGTTTTGGGTGAACTGGGGCCTCTGCAGCCCTCTGTGACATCCTGTACCCACCGAGGTCATCGCTAACATTGTAAGCCAGATCCCTTGCTAAGGGTCTACATGGATTCTCTCACTCAAGCTGCATTTTTGTCCATAGAAACTAAGGCCTAGAATGATGGAATAACTGGCCCCATGTCACTCTGGCAGCTGTGAGCTTCAACATTAGAAACTAAGGCCTAGAATGATGGAATAACTGGCTCCATGTCACTCTGGCAGCTGTGAGCTTCAACATAAGACCATAGCTCTCCCTCCCTAGAATTAGAGAGTGTAGGAAGAGAGGAGAAAGCACCCTTAAAGCAAGCCAGTGGAAGTCAATGTCTTCCTAAAGTGCGTTTGAGGACTGCCCTGTTATTCTCAATGTCTGGTTTGGACACTGGTTCTGACATCCATTGTTCACGTTGAGATTCCTATCTTCCTTAGGATAAAAATTTGGCCCAGGGTATTCCCTCTTTTCCCCAAGGTCAAGGGTGGTCTTGACGCAAGTGAGGAATAGACCTAGGTCTTCTGTCTTTAGTCCCATGTTTTTTTGTTTGTTTGCTTGTTTTGTTTTTGTGGGTTTTTTTTCCAGAAAAAAAACATCTTTTCACCTAGAGAAGGTGGAGGGAGGGGTACAGGGCACTTGTTCTCTTGCTTCAGAGCCATGGGATGCAGCGAGTTCCAGAGGTGAGGCTTTCAGGGAGGTATTTGGCAGAGGCATCTCATGCAGGTCACCAGGTGTGACTGGCTTCACAGCAAAGGCCCCACTGGAGGGAGAGTGGCAGCCAGGTCAGCTCCATGCCCTCACGCTCTCTTCCCAGGATCTCAGGAAACCACTGGACGTGTCTCAATGCCTGCGTTTTCATGTGCAAGACAGGGGATTTAAAAAGATGGGGCTGCCTAACTTGGACTGGGGGTATGAATTGCATGAAAGGCTTAAAGCCACTCCCTAGGATAGAGCCACGCTGTGCTGGGTTGGCTGACAAGACACTTCACGTTAAGCAGGAGACGCTGCATTGAAGGTTGTTTATTGAAATGTTTCTGTATGGAGGAACAGAACAGCATGGAGACTTCTCTCTGTGCACTGGCCGCTGGGACAAGACAGTGCAGTTGGCTGTGTGTTAAGGGAGCTCAAAAGACACTTCCCCATCTTTTTATCATTGCTTTCCAGAATACTTCAATGCATCTCTCTCTGTGTCCACCCACCTGGGCAAGGTACGGGGACGATGGCCACGACACCTGGAGTCCCCCAGCTCTCCAGGACTCAGCAAGGAGCAGGTGAGGGTGCAGGCTGTCTTGCTTGGGTTAGATCCACACCCCCAGCCTACCTCACAATGAAGCCTCACCAGAAGAATTTGGTGTGTGCTTCAAAGTGTCCTTAGCTCTGCCAGGTGGAGTCAGCCCTAATCTCCATCTTGACTTGCGGAATTTAGGATGCAAGGAGATGCACTGTTCCCTTGGTGTTCTGATTCAAACGCTTTCCCCAAGAATTGGTTGCGTGTCTTCCATTGGTGACCGTGCATCTGGAGACCATGAAGAAAGCACAACATTATTAACTTAAAAGATGGAGATCATGGCCAAGCATGAATACCACTATCCTGTAGCTTTGTTGCCCCCAGGATGGTTAGTTTGATGTGTCTCTTTGGCTAGGCTACTGTACTGTTATTCAACCAAACACTGATGTAGGTGTTGCCGTGGAGGTATTCTGTAGATGCGATGGTAGTGGATTGGATAGTGTCTCCCCCAAATTCATGCCCACCCAGAACCTCAGCACATGAGCTTATTCAGAAATAGGGTTTTTGCAGATGTAATTAAGGTCAAGGTCAAAGTCAAGATAAAACACTGGATTAGGGTGGGCCTTAAATCCAATGAGACTGTCTTTATGATGGAAGAAGATGCAGAGATGCAGAGGGGAAGGCCAGGTGAAGAGAGAGGCGGAGATTGGAGCAATGCAGCCACAAGCCAAGGAATGCCTGGAGCCAACAGCAGGAAGAGGACAGGAAAGATTCTCTCCAAGAGCTCCCTGCTGGCACCTTGATTTCAGACTACTGGTCTCTTGAACAGCGAGGGAATAAATTTCTGTTCTTTTTAAGCCTCCAGTTTTGTAATGTGCTAAGACAGCCTTAGAAATGAGTATAACACCCCACAGCCAGCTCCAGGCTTAGTCCGGGTCCTGGGGGCTGCAGGTGGTTAACAGAGTTCTGGATTCAGAGACAGAGGTTTTGGTTTACATCCCAGTGACAGCTCTCAGAGCTGCATGGACTTGACCATATTTCTTCATTTCACTGAGCCTTAGGGGAGGACTAATATTCATTCACCACTGTTTTGAGATGTATAGTAGATAATGCCCGTAGGGAGAGCCTGTAAATGGTCATGGAATGAAAAGGTTCTGCTATGATGTACATATACACCCACACACAACGTTCCCTAAATTACCTGTGAAACTCTCCCCATGCTGGAAAACGACTCTGGAGGTTTTATTTTATAATGTATTTTTGGTTGCTCAAGGATTGATTTTTTAGTTCTAGGATTTCAAAAAAAAATCAGTTTGCTGCTAGTTTGGCTTTTTGCCCTTTCCCAATTCCTCATCTTTCTAGCATGTCAAGAGACAAAAATAAATAAATAAATAAAAACAAAAACAAAAAAGGGTGACAATTGCGGATCTTTCCTTTATCCTGGCTGCAGCTGGGAAACACTTGGTGGGGTTGGGGGCAGATCGAAAAATTGTTTACTTTTTTATGCAAACTCTGACTCTACCTTTTAAATGATCACTGATTTTGTTTTCTAAGATGGGGCTTTAAGAATCTTCATTTAGGCTGGGCGCGGTGGCTCACGCATGTAATCCCAGCAGTTTGGGAGGCGGAGATGGGCGGATTGCCTGAGGTCAGGCGTTCAAGGCCAGTCCGGCCAACATGGTGAAACCCTGTCTCTACTAAAAATACAAAAAAAAAAAAAAAAAAAAAAAAAGAAAAGAAAAAGAATTTGCCGAGCATGGTGCTGTGCACCTGTAATCTAGCTACTCAGGAGGCTGAGGCAGGGGAATTGCTTCAATAAGGGAGGTGGAGGTGGCAGTGAGCTGAGATTGTGCCACTGCACTCTAGCCTGGATGAGAGAGTGAGATTCTGTCTCAAAAAAAAAAAAGTAACTTCATTTAAAATAATAATAAAATAGTTGATTGTGATGCTTATGGTCCTAATATTGCTTTAAGGACATCATTGGTACAATGAATACCATTTGAATATGAATTATGAATTAAATAAATGGTGTCAATGTTAAATTTTGATACTAAAGTGTGGTTATAAAAGGGAAGTCTTTGCTTTTGGGAAATATATATAGAGAAGTATTGAGTGATAAAGGGATATGATATTTCTAGCTAACTCTCAAATGATTCAAATGATAATAATATATATATAAACAGAGAGAATAATAAAGCACATAGGGAAAAATGTAAGTAACTGTATATATGAGTAAAAGATATACTGAAGTTTCTCATTCTATTCTTGCACTATTCTTGTAATCTAGAGATTATATCAAAATAGAAACTCACCAAAAACAGTTAAAAAATAAAAATAAAATTGTCACTGAAAATGGATTAATCTTGTTTATCTTAAGAGTTTTTATCAGTTCATGTTTGGACTTAATGATTGTCAGTTTTTATCAGTTCATGTTTGGACTTAATGATCTGATACAGAGAGCACCCGACAGACAGAAAGGAGAGGAGTGAACCTGATCTGACGTTCCATCCTGCATTCTAACATAGGGACTCAGAGAAAAATCAAAAGCTCAACACTGCACTCTCTGCAGAAGTGAGGAGCGGCTCTGAGCGGGTGTCCTCAGGAGGGGCAGGAGAGGCTTGACAGCTCCGTCTATACCCAGCCCAGCCTCTCTTTGGTGGACCCAACTGCAGGACCCAACCCCTACAATGTTCCCTCCTTTGTGCTTAACTGTCTTGAGCAAAAGCATCCCCAAACCTAGCAAACTCAAACCAAACAGCCCCACAGCCGTGTGCAGCCAGCCACCCTCCGGCACTGACTGCATTCCTTCTGCTTCTGGCTTTAAACTTCCATGTGGAATGTTACATTTCTCAAGGAGGCTTTTGATTTCATGAGCAGCCCATTCTGCCTTTCCTGAGAAAGCTGCCAAGATGGGGGAAAGGATTCCTACTCTTTGGAGGAGGAGGAACAGGCTTGCGTTTATTTGACAACTGTGCCGGCCACTGAGCCAAGCCTTGGGGATACAAGAGGGACCACACAGCCTGGCCCTGCCTTCACAGGACAGAGAGGAATTACACCTCACAAATCAGTGGCTTCGGACTCTGTCCATGATGAGGAGGAGAGGTCTACTGAGCTAGGAGGCCTTTCACAATGAGTCTTATCTTGAGGGAAACCAGGGAGGGCTTTCTGGAGGAAGTCAGAGCTGAGCTGAGATGTTTTAGAGAAGAATTTGTATGCTTGTTTTAGAAATGAAGGTCTTGATTTTCTCTATGTGATTTACATCCACCAGGACACTTGAGTTACAGTGAAACTGGCTATGATAAAATGCAATTTGGGATTATTTATTTTAAGGAATTTCATAAAATTTCTCTAATTAGGGATACCCCTTTGAATACAAACAGAGAGCCCCAGAGAGCATTAAGGGAGAAAAGTGAAATCTTTTCTGCTTTGCTGTAGAGAAGTAAAGGTGCCGTGAGCACAAGGGCTTGGCCCAGGAGGTGGGGAGGATGATGTGGTGGAAGCGTTTCTCGCAGAGATCTCTGGTTTGCTGTGACTCAAGGACCTAGAACAAGTGCAGAAACCCGCAGGTCATTGGAAACGTCAATCAGGAGAGGTGGTCTGGGAACAACTAGGGCCCAAAGTATTTAAAACTGCTACTAAGAGGAGGCACTTTTAGCCCTGGGGCATTTTGGGAGGAGTCCCCCCCCCATCCCCCACCCACCCCTGCCATCTGATTTTGGAGATAATTTCAGATGTTGTTCGGAGAGGAAAAATTCTACCCAGAAGAGAATGGGGGTGAGAGTTAGTCTCTGATTCTCACCTAAGGCTGCACATCAGGATTAACTAAGAACTGATAATGCAAACAATCTAAAACAATTAAATGAGAACCTTTAGAAATCTCCCGGGTTTATTTTCAGGCGCCGTCAGAGCAGTGAACCCTGTGCTAGAACTACCCTCAGAGAGAAAGGGATTTCAGGGCCTGGAAGACAGCGCAGCGCCAGGTTCGGGAGGAGCCCAGGCTCAGAGCTTTGGGATTGCTGTGGGCCAGGAGTTCTCGAACTTTACCGCCCATCAGAATCCCTGGGGCATTCCGAAAAGCCCGATGTCCACACCACACCTCACAGAAACGGAATCACAATCTGTGGCGATCGACTTGTTAGCATTTTTAAAATTTATTTTTTAAAAAATTCCCAGTGAGAGGTCAAGCATTTTGAAAACATATACAGGCGAGTTGGAGAACCAGGGTCCTAGACCGGGGTTCTCACACGTGAGGGTGGGTCGGTGCGACCCGGAGCGGGAGTTCATTCACAGATGGCTTGGCCCCACCTCCAGAGTTTAGGATTCAGCGGGCCTAGAGGAGGGGCAAGAATTTGCATTTCTGACAAGTTCCCAAGTGGTGCTTCTGTTGCAGGTCCTGGCACACCCTTTGAGAACCATGGTCAGGGTCCAGCTGACCCTCCTGGTCTCATCAGCCTGAGTGCGTGCTGGTTCCTGCCGGCACCGAACGAGGCACCCAGCGCCGACCAGGCCCATCATGCCGCAGCCCTGGGTTGCTGCTCTGAGGAGTGAGTCATGGTCCTCCTGTGGCTTCATGGAAAGCACACGTGATCCCTGGTTAGGTGCCTCTTGGGGGTTCCCGTCTGTCATCTGCCTTCATGGACCCTGCTGTGGCTGTGACTGAAGAGCGAGCAGAGCCAAGCGGAAGCAAGCCGTCGGAAGGACAGCCGCCTTCCAGCCACAGGGAGCCCACACCACCCGCGGGAAAGGAGACAGCCAAAGCCTCTAACAGACAGAAGGATTTATTCTGGGCGCTTATGTCTGAGAACCCCTTTCCCCCAACCCTTTAGAAAATCAAGCAAGGGTTGAGTTATTCAGGATAAGAAGTAGAGATAAATTATTCAACCAGTTAGTTTGACATTTAAAAGGCTATTTATAAAAATGATCATTTCTCAAGAAAATAAAAATAGTGAGAAACTCAAAATTGGCAGTTCTAGCAGAGGGAGATATAATATTATGCAGAAAGCATTTTCGAGGTTTCCTGAAAACATATTTTGGGTCTATTCAGTGTTATTTCTCCTCACTGACATTCGACTAATCCTCAGGCAAGATTCCTTAATCCTAAACCTTCTTTTTCACCTTGTCAATTTAAAAAAATGCTTATTTGTTCATTATTATGTCCACGCCAACGCTGGCATCAGATAATTCTGGAGGGGGCTGGCTCCCCACAGCTCCCCGGAGCTGCACGGTGGAGGAGGAAGAACTGGCAACTGTGTTTTCCACGTGTGGGTGTTTCGTGGCATTACACCGGAAGTTACGTGGCACTGCACACATGGGAGAACTCTTTTTAGCTCTTGATTCCAGTAGGAGGTGACTCTTCCCCCCAGAAAATGAATTTAAATCTCTTCCCTCCCTCCACATTGCCCCATGCCTGGTTGCAGTTTATTGAGGACACAGCTGACAAAAGCATCCACCCTCCAGAGAGATATCAGGTGGAGAATGCCTGGATGGGAGCGAGAGACCTGGAGCACCATGGTGTTCATTATTTCAGTTAACACGTGAAGGCCAAAACTCCCATGGCCAACAGGCGTGGGGCCACCAGGCAGTAGCATCCTCCCAGCCAGTCCAGATCATGGGAGTCCACATCGGTATGGGCCACCACTCAAGACCCAGCTGGATGCTGTCCATCCTGCTTTATGACTACAGTCAGTCCTTGAGGGAAAAGAAAATGACAATTCTTATCAGAACCCATAGTATATTATCCATGGTGCCTGTGAGCAGTACATAGAGTCCATTAATACATCAGTGGCCTGTGGGCCAACCATCCTCAACTTAACTTTGGTTGGGTTTATAAAGCCTCAAGTTAAAGAATCCCTTTAGGTATTGTAAATATGGATACTTTACCGGGGGAGCTCCTGCATGACTATCATGCCCAAGATTTGGTTGCTGGGACCATCTAATGCCAGTATCTCCTGTATTGCACATTTATCCCATAGGCCCATGTGCACCTGGATGGCAGGTACAACAGGACGACCCTTCTCTCCCAGGCCTGAAGTGGGCTAGACCCTCCTGGACATTGTGTGTCAGATTCTCCCTTTCTCTTGCTGAGCATGTAGCTGTTTTGTACCCTAAAGGAGATATTGCAAGGTTCTAGCCAGCGCCTTATTCTTTAATAAACTTTTTGTTTCGGAATAATTTTAGATTTGTAGAGAATTTGCAAAGATAGCACAGGGTCACACAGGGATGGTTCCAAAAGTGAGCACATTCCTAAATTCACACTCCAGCACCTCAGTTACCTACTCCTAAATCTAGCTACATTCCCGCGTATCCTTCACCTAGCTTCCTCTCATGCTCCCATCTAACGTGACCATCGTGCTTTTGCTACAGCTAAGAGATGAAGGTTCGTGCATTCCTATGATCCAAACACTAGACTTCATTTGGATTTCACTCATTTTTCTACTTATGTCCTCTTTCTCATCCAGGATCCCACACTGCTTAATCTTAGTTTGTTTGTGCTGCTGTAACAGAATATCTAAGACTGGGTAGCTTATAAATAACAGAAATGTATCTCTCACTGTTCTGGAGGTTGGGAAGTCCAAGATCACAGCGCCAGCAGGTTCTGTTGTCCAGTGAGGGCTGCTCTCAGCTTCCAAGGAGGCATTTTGTTGCTGCATCCTCCAGAGGGGAGGGACGCTGTGTCCACCTGTGGCAAAACAGCAGAAGAGCAAGCTAGCCAAATGCTGCACGAAGCCTCTTTATGGGGGCCTTAATCCTATTGACAAGGGAGAAACCCTCATGGCCTAATCAACCCTTAAAGGCCTCACCTCTTGATACTATCACATTGGCCATGAAGTTTCAACACCTGAATTTCGGAGAGGACACATTCAGACCACAGCATTGGTCATGCCTCTTTAGTCTCCTGTGGTCTGTGACAGTTTCTCAGCCCTTCCTCGTTGTTTTTCCTGACCTTGACACTTTTGAGGAGTGCTGGCAAGGCATTTTGTAAAATGTCCTTTCATTTTGCTTCTCTGTTGTTTTCCTCCTGTTTACACTGGGTTTCTGGGTAATTTTTGGAAAAAATACCACGAAGGTGAAGATTCCTTTGTATTGCATCATGTCATGGACATGACATCACTGGGGATGATAACCCTGACCTTTTGGGTTTGGGTGGTGTCTGCCAGCTTCCTCCGCTGTCATGTTACTACTTTCCCTTTGCTCTGCTCTTTGGAAGTGAGTCACTAAGTGGAGCCCACACTCAATGGGGCAGGGGCGGTGTTAAGCTCCACGGATGGAGGGGAAAGTTCACATACATTATTTGGCTTTTTTTTGAGAGGTGGGTCCACATGTCCCCTGAATTTATTTTTTTGCCAACAGATAACGAAAACATCAGTAAGGCAGAGAGCTCTTGTTCAGTGATGACATGACAGATGTTAGTGTCTGGTGTCTGGATGGCCAGTGCTACAGGAGTGGCCGTGGTACCCCAGATGATGGGGCACCTAACCAAAGGCAAGAGGTGGAGCTACGTGAGCCTGATCAGATGATCTGCTGACCTCAGTCCTGTTTTGGAGAGCTGCACTGACCACTAACCAGGAAACGAGGCTCTGCCCCAGCCCGAGACCTGCTGCCAGGCCTTGGTGGTGTCAGGGAATGGGAAAGCTCCCTGGCAATACATAGACAGTCATAATTAATGGAGACATCACAAGACAGTTTCCTGAATGAAGGTAGAAGTGACAACCTCCTCTTCAAGGCTATAATTAAAGAAGCAGTTGAGAAATGTTATCTTTCCAATCCTGCATATTCAAACTTATCTGTCACAAACATATTGTTAAACTCCCCCTTAGGTCTCGGTTGTCACTTTCAAATGCCTGCTTGCAGCCACGGTTTATTATGCCTTTACTCTTGAGTACTTTTACAGAGCACTTATGCCTTTCGAAGGGCTATCTAGGTCTTCCGTAGGAGGGTGAGGGTTCAAAGCAAAGCAAATCCACCTTAGGTCTTTTATCAATTGTTCCAGGTACCTGTACTGGGAACAATCTCGTAAAAAGCCCAGCTTTTTTAGATGCATTTTCTTCCTGTTAGGTTTTCACATGGGAAGATCAACAGTGTTACCAAAAATGGACTGGAGTCTATAAGTCATTAATTGAGCTCTGTCCAGGGTGCCTAGGATTTTGTTTCTCTCATTTAAAATATTTTAATGCAGTAGCTTTTACTTGTGATATTTATTTATTGTTGAATCTCTTCAGAAGAGGAGAAGCACTTTTCACCCCCATGGCCAGATCTGTGCCTATAATCTCTGGAAGGAGAAGAGGGAAGGAGACTCGAATTGCATTTGCAGGGTCAGCACAGGACTGAGCCATCGTTTCTTTTTGTTGCAAGTTTGTGATGTTCAGATGACACGAGGCAGGATTTGTGCCTTGTTGCTGCTCAGGGCTGGCGACACCGTGGGTATTCCATTATCGTATTGTAATCACAAAGAAAGCAACGTGGTGGCTCCGAATTCACGCCTGCTGGATCAATACTGCTTGTCTGGTCTGATTTGTTTGTTGTTGTCAAGTCAGACTGCTCTGGAATTGGAATATTGAGGGGAATGCATTTCAGACATAATCGTGGGAAATCCTCAAAGAAGCCACCCTGATGAGAGAGCAGAAAAACTTCTGGATAAGATCTGCCAAATAGCTGAAGTTACAGTGTCTGAGGGGCTTATTTATTTCATCCCCAGGATCTGTTAATTACTTCCTCTCCCCATTTTATTAGAGGCAGAGTGTGGCTGCTCCCCACTTCCCCCACCATTATTGCTTTGTTCTTGGAGTGGGCAGAATGGTCAGGCTAGGCTGTGCTATGCATTTTGTTCATTTCTTCACCTGGAGACACACATCCCTCTGCCCTATGATGACTGACTCATTCCCAAGGTTTCTGGGCTGATGTTAAGGTAAATGCTCTTTTCTGTACAGATCCCATACCTTCTTTGAAACAGAATCCTATGAACGCTGAAAGCAATGTGGGTTCAGAAAGTGTTGTAAGGGGTAGAGGGCGTGGAGGCTGGCACAAGGCTCGCAGCTCCCTGAGGTCTTTGTTCTTCTCATCAGCAGCTCCTGCCTGGATCTGCCCTGTTTGTTGTGATGTTGAATCGGGTCACCACCCAAATGACAGCTGGCTTTGGTTTAACCTGTGTTTTTCCAGAGAAGCCTTTGGCGTGGAATGGGCATTCCTGGAGCCACTGGAATTGTGTGGTGGCAGGAGCCCGGAAGCTGGTATGCCTCTGTGAGAGTATCCTTGCTGAGGAGTGGGGGGGGTGGGGGGGCACAGCTATTTGACCTCTAGGGCACCTCACCCCCCGCAGGAACAGGGTATGGCCTGTGCAAGCAAAAATACGCGATCAAGCTGTGTCTTTCTGCAGCCAGTTGTCCCATGGTCAACTCTGAGGGCTCCTGAGATGGACCATGCTATGAAATTGGAGCTGTCAAGGAGGAATCAGGCTCATTACAGAGATCCCTGCTCACCAGTGCTTCTGCCACAACAATAAGTCATGCCATCAATTTTCAAAGTGCTGATGCAAATGCCCATGGATCATGTTCAAGATTTTATGAAACTTAATTAAACAAGATTATTCACCTGTATTATGTAACTGTACATGCATATTTGCACTTAACAGTATTTCTAATTCAATGTCAACATCACAATTCACAATGAAATATGACCCTGAAAATGAAAGATGGAAGTTGACATGAACACTTTTAAAAGATTTTTAATGTGCTTCTCACTGAGATATGTAGCATTTTCAACTTTTGTACAATCTGAAATGCATTCAGCACATTGGTAAAGAGCTGTGCAGATTTCAGTTAAAAAACAAACAAACAAACAACAACAACAACAAACAAACAAAAAACACAAACTGTTGCTAAAGCCAGAAGGGACATTTCAAATGGCTTTTTTTTGAACTACATTCCATGGAAAAATTTTATTTCACTTGTGCCATAGAAACATGGGCTTCTGGCACTGGGACAAACCCTACAGGTCATTGGTCACAGAGCCCCATTTTGCAAGTGAGTGACCAGAAGCCCAGAGGAGGAAAGTGGCCCACCAAGGCTGCCACTAACGAGGGGAGAACCATGCACTTGAGTTGGGGCTGATGGCAGTTCTGGGCATGCCCACTGTTTGCTCAGGGAGATGCAGGCCTTGCTGGCTTCGGAAGTAACATCCGTGGATTTGACATCCCCGCCCCCCATAGATCCTGTTATTCTCAAGGCTCCTTTTCTTATATTTTGAAATTTTCTTCCAATACTTTGCCAATATTAAGTTACTTGCTAAGAATGCTGGGCAGAAATAATCAGATGGAATAGCCAAAAGATCGGTTATCACATTCAACTAGTACAGTCCTGCTACAAAACCACCTGTATTAAAACAGAGAGAATGGCAGGCGCCAGATGGTTGAAAAGGGAACTTTATTTGTGTGTGCCAAGTGGAATTGAGAAATATTTGGTCAACAAATATTTCTCAGGCTGGGCCTGGTGGTTCACGCCTGTAATCTCAGCACTTTGGGAGGCCAAGGTAGGTGGATCACTTGAGGTCAGGAGTTCGAGATCAGCCTGGCCAACATGGTGAAGCCTCATCTCTACTAAAAATACAAAATTAGCCAGGTGTGGTCGGGGGCTCCTGTAATCCCAGCTACTCGGGAGGCTGAGGCAGGAGAATCACTTGAACCCAGGAGGTGGAGGGAGGTGGCAGTGAGCCAAGATCACACCACTGCACACTCCAGTCTGGGCGACAGATTGAGGCTCCATTTCAAAAAAAGAAACCCAACAAATATTTCTCATTGAGATTCTGTATCCTGATGTGCATTGATTTCAAAATTGATAAGTTTTTTATTTTTTATTTTTGAGAAGGGGTCTTGCTCCGTTGCCCAGGCTGCAGTGCAGTGGTGTGATCATAGCTCACTGCAGCCACGGACTCTTGAGCTCATAGAATCCTCCTGTCTCCCTCCTGAGTAGCTGGGACTACTGAGGCCACCATGCCTAGTTAAAATTAATAAAATTTAAAGTTGTTAGTGGAACAAATGCACCATGTAAATGTATACTACATAGTCCCATTAAAACACTCCAAAGAAGAGGTAAGCTTCCCAGGTAAACTCTAGACACATCATCTTTTGTTTCTTCACTGAATTTCACTGCAAGTCAAATAAAGGAAAGTTAATAAGGGAATAGAAATACATTCTTTAAAGTATTAAGCAGATATAAAGATTTGGAATCCAAAGTAGATTTCTGAGGAAATGGTATGAAAATAATTTCTCACAGCAGCTGGTTTGAGAAAATTCCCATCTTTAAGATCCCAGGAAATGCTTGGAAGAGTTTATCATTACCAGAATAATTTTAAAAATCATTAATTAGGATACAGCCTTATGTCTTCCTTATAAGCACGGTAGTCACACAGAGATATAGCCATATGTGATTCAATTTTTTAAAAGAAAAATGGTCTGTGTGTATCTGGAATGAACAGTCTTGGGGAATGTGTCAGCTGGTATTTAACCACACATCTGGATGCTCATGATCTGAGGTCCATGTGCCTGGCTGGGGAACAGTGTCCTGTGGGTCACGTGGCACAGTGAGTAGAAAAGTCCCAGATGGGAAAGCCCCAGTCAACCAGCCAGTGATGGCTGTTCTGTTCTCTGTCATTTATTCACTGTGCAAATTTGTTCGAGTTACTTACGCATTTTGTTCTTCACCTGTAAAATGAAGACATCAGAGTGGCTAACCTCTAAGGCCTCTTAGAATTCCTAACACATTACAATTCGTCAAATCTCTGACTCTTCTTAGGAGCCATCTAAATCAGCTCTGACAGCTTCATAAGGAGTCTTGAAGAACCATTTGGCTTCCAAAAATTCACCTGCCCATTCAGACAATAATGGTTGGAATGGATTTATGCAAATGTGTCCAGGGGTGTCTTCCTTGTCCTTTAAAAGGCCACCTGAAATGCTAAGCTTATATTTCTCAGGTAATTTTGATATTCTGCAAGATCTGTTGGGATTTAGAACACCCAAAATTTCTGCTACCAGGACTTATGTCTATATATTAACACACCAGAAACACATCCCAGCCAGTACTTCAGCTAGAATACATCAACTCAAACCAGCAAAACGAGGGACAGGCCTGTTATGGTTTGAGTGTTTGCATCTCTCCAAAATGTGTATGTTGGAACCTAATACCCGCTGTGATAGTGTTGAGAGGTAGGGCCTTGTAGGAAGTGAGTAAGTCATGAGGACTCTGCCTTTTTGCCATGCTACCCTTCCATTTCTTCTGCTATGAGGATTCAGCCTTCTTTCCCTTTTGCCCCTTTCGGCCATGGAAGGACACAGCAAAAGGGTGCCACCTTGGAGGCAGAGAACAGCCTCCACCAGATACTGAGCTGTCGGCACCTGGTTCTTGGCCCTCCCAGCCTCCAGAACTATAAGAAATACATTTCTGTTCTTTATCAATTATCCAGTCCCAGGTATTTTGTTATGGCAGCACAAAGACAAGACCACAGTATTTTCACTCCAATCCCATCTCCCTTCTTTTATCTCCCACTTGTGCTTGCGTGACTTTGACATTTCACTTAAAAAAATTCCTTGGGCTTCAGTTTCCTCATCTCTAAAATTAGAACTTAAACCAGGTGACTACTAAGGCACTTTCCACCTTTAAGACTGCGGCAAGTAAAGCTATCTAGTTTCATATGTAATTTGAGGAAGGCTGATACACTGAAGTAAGAGGAAGCTATGAATAGTAGGAGCGTGCATTTCAGGAGAGACCACAAACCCATTCTGATGCACAGTAATTGAAGAGTTCTGTTTCATTTCAGCTCCAGTCTTTACATGCAGAAAAGCCTTGTGGTTTTAGTACTCGTCGGGGATGTCGTAAAAGTTTAGGCTTTATCATGATCTAAGAAGGTCAGACCATTTTTTTGTCTAGGTTTGAATTCTGCTAGTTTTGCTGGCTTCACAGAAATCTCTGATTAAATTTCCTTGCGCCTTACTGTAAGGAGTTTTTGACACGATTGTAGCATATGCTATAGTTTTTAAGGATTAAACACTCCTCCAGCTCCCAGGAAAAATATCATATTACTAGGAATTTTTTTCTAATACAAGCAACAATAACAACAACAAACACAAATAATCCCCATGCCCTCATCTACCCTCTTTCCCTAAAGTAGAATGATTTTCTTAAGGAATTCGATGAGATGTCGGGGGATAACTTAGGTAGTTCTGGAAACTGGTTTCCCAAGCAACACACTCTACCTTCTTGCATTTAGGGACCCCGAAGCATAATGGTCGCCTCCCACCATTCCTAGCCAAGCGAAGGGAAGGGAAGCCGGCCAGTTAATGAGCTCTACCCACACAGACTGAGCTCCTGGGCAGCTTTGCCCTGCTTTGTACTTAACTGAGAAGGGGTGAGAATCAATGGATAAGGAAAACAGATACTAGGAGCTAGAAAGACCAAGCTAGATAAACAGGAAAGGAAATGTGCCAAAGCAAACACAGCTAAACATGGAACAAAAGAATACTTTTTTGGTAAATAAGAAATAAACCCCACTATTTTGTATTCTCAGAGATTCAAGATATATTGTTTCTGCTAAGCAAAAATAGGGTTTTATAAGAAAAGGGAGCCATCAGAGAATAACAAAGCATGGCTGAAATAAAAGGCAATTGCTGAAATTAAAAAACAATCAATGAAGTTTGGAATATAAATAGAGAAATCTCCCAGAGGAGAGAATAATAGCAAAAGAGACTGAATATATAAGTGAAAAAGTAAAGGACCTGAGGGAACAACGTAGGAGGTCCAATACAAGACTAATAGCCAATAAAAAGAAAATCGAGTGGAAGGCATCACATACAAAGACATTGTGAATTTCCCAGAATTAAAGAACGAAAGTGTTCAGACTGAAAAATCCCACTGAGTTCTCAATGCTATGAATGAGGAAATGTAGGCCCAGATGTGTTCCTGACGGATTTCAGAAAAGCAAGCATGCAGGAAATCTCTTTCAGAAAACCAGCATCAGCTTGAAATAAGATCTCTTGCTCTCCGCCGTGGATCTAAAAGTCTACAGTGTGGCATTGTCCAAATTCTGAAGGAAAATGGCATCGAACCAAGATTTCTCTACCCAGACAAACTATCAATAAAACATGGAGGCAGGAATAAAAACTTTTCAGGTGTGTATGCATTCAAATATTTTATGTATCAATATCCTTTCACAGACAGATACTTACTTAACTTTGTGTGCAAGCAAAGCAAGAAACAGGAAGACAGGGATTCCATATGCCAGGTCCCACCCAGCAGGAAGGCGTCTCCCAGGGTGAGGTGGTGTCACCTGGACAGCAGCCAGAGCTGGGCATGGCACCTGGGGAACTCCTAGAAGGGTTTTTTGGGGGAAGAAGGACTTGGTTGAATAGAACAGACACTGGAGAGGTGGAAGAAAATAATAAAAGGATGTGAAGAAGGCAAATTTTTAAAAAGTAAAAGGGATTAGAAACTTCAGGAAAAATAACAAGCAGTACAGTAAAAGAAACGTAATCCAAGCACACTATTTGGTTGTAGGTAAGTATATTCTCATAGTCTTAGCAAGGTAAGCCCTGTTGGTTGGTTTATAGCAACCTCTTAGATAAAGCACTGAAGAGTCATTGAGTAGGGGCTAGTATCTTACACATTTGAGGGTCATAGTATGTGCGTTATACTTGATGGAACAATAAATGAATGTGTATTCCTTCATATTACAAAGGAACCAACAGGAAAACAAAAAATAGTGATGTACTTGATTGGGTATAGTGGTAGAATATAATTAAGTTGAACTCTCAATATCTCAGAGCATGCCATCAATAGCCAATGCTTAAATCGACAAGTTAAGTAATGCCCACAGGAGCACATTACTTAGAGAGATGGCAGAGACCACCAGAAGAGGTCACAGTGGGGACAGTTCACAGGGCTCCTCAGAGAAGGGGGACCGGGAAGCTTGGGGTGGAGGATGCTTGTTCTTATAAGTCCTCCTGCACTACTGGAGGCTTTTATTCTTGTACTGTGTTATCAGGGAAATTTATAAAACTGTACACAACAACTGAAAAACAAACAAACAATAGGTCTTTTGCCTGGATGGCCTGGGCTGGACAAGGGGTGGATGTGGGGTCTGCCTGGACAAGTGCTGTGGTGCTGGTCCTGGCTCTGGGCTCTGAATTCCATGCCCTTGATGCTCCTGACACTCCCCACTTTCCTGGCTGCTACCCCAAGGATGCAAGTTGCCCTCAATGCCCCAGATGTCAGGATCCGGTCCCATTGGAGTTTCTCCCAGGGACACACACAGGCCCTTCGTCCTGCTTTGATTCCTAGATGTCCCCGGGGACCTACAAGTCAGGTTCATTCACCTTCACTGAAGAATAAAGAAAAAATTTCAATAATAAAGTCAAAGATGATTCCTCCCACAAGTGCTGTGGCTGTCTCCATTCTGAAAGTCCCCATCTACCCACCACCCCCCTACACACACATATTCACAGATACAGGCACATGGTAACATACATGCATACACATGCAGATTCACACACATGCACATAGTCACACACACACTCTCTCACGTACACATTCATGCACACACACACTCAGAAACACACACATATGCTGGGGAAGAAGCACGTCAGGCTTCTGCAGGCTCCCACAGGACACAACCTGAGGGGACTCTTCTGAGTCGTGTCTGACTCACCCGACGGAGTAAGCCGTGGACTGCGGTAATTAATCAGCTGTGAGTTTTCCAACCTAGCATTTCGGGAAAGGTTCTGGCAAGTCCATGTGTGGAGAAACCACTGGCTGTCATCCCGTTTCCACCCCGAGGCATCCTGTGAAGAGGAACCCATCACAGAGAGAAGAGAATAGAAGAATGAGGCCAATGCACCAAGTAATAACAAAAGGAAAAATGGATGTCTAAAATTAATGATGGTAACACATGTAACAATGCCTGCCATAGAATGGTTCTTTAATACCTGTTAGCTAAAAAGAAAAAAAAAGATTCCAGTCCCCAATTTAGCATCTATAAATAGTGCCAAGTTTTGGGAAATGTTAATTCTCTCTCTTAAGAAATGAGAATTAATATAATTTTTGCAAAATATGGAATTCTAAAAGCCAGTAATTCTTACAGAAGCTGGGATAAAATATGTACCTTAGAACAGACGATTGATCAGAAGACTTTCTGTGTTAAGTGTAAAAGTCCTTTGAGAATTTCGTGGCCAAGCAATTCTTGGGTCAAGGTACAGTCACGATAGTCACACAAGTGTTATTTACACCTTTACTCAGAAACAAAGCTGGATTATTTCTGTGATGAGCATGCTTGTGAAATGTGTTACCCTGGGATCCACAGCCTGGAGATCAGCATGAGAAGAGGGAAGATTAAGAAAACACAGCTCTGGGATGAGGACGACGTTATTGTGAATATATATATATATATATATCTGTGTTTGTGTGTATATGTGTGTATATGCACACACACATATACATGTATATATATACACACACACACACACATATATATATACAATTCAGCAAAGCAGATACCAAGCATAGGCCCATGACCCTATTTTTTGTGATGGTTTCTGAGAAATGGATAAAAAGTATACCCAGGAAAAAGAAAAACTGATAAGCCGTGAAAAAACAAGACTTTCAAAAAAATTGTTTGTATTCGTTAACTTTTGCTGTGACCACAAACAGCCTGAACATGTCAATGGCTTGCAGCAAGATCTCTTCTGTCTTGCTTTTGAGACATGAAGTGGAGACAGGGACGGGGCCGGCGGTGGCTCAACTGGACCTGCTCAGTTGGGCTCGGGTTGGCGTAACTCATGTCTTCTCACCCAGAACCCAGGCTGGAGGGACAGCCACCTTCTGGGATGTACTGATTCTGTGGTGAGACAAGTGAGAGAGCCTGGACCAGGCCACAGGGTCACATGCAAAGGCTCTGCTGTGCTAATAAATTATGACACCTCTCTCCAAGATCTGGGGAAAAAAAGCATGGTATTGAAAGGAGCCAGCACCTAACCCTTGTTAACAACTGGAGTTGACTAGTGCCGCATGTTCAAAAGGCATTAGGGGAACTGCAATGTCATGGGTGGGAGGGGAGGCTGTCACTCCACGTTATTGCTCTGGACGCCTTTTGAGTACCAGTGTGGGGGGCAGGCAGCTGACGGCAGCAGAAAGGCTTGGACGAGTGGCTTGGTTGAAGGGCGACTTGCTTCTGGTTCCTTCTGCTGTACGATGAAGAATGATTTCAGGTGGTGAGAATGGGTTTGAGCGATGGCAGAAAAAGTTGTACTATACAAAATAAAATTGAAATATATTGAACCTGAGCAAATCTTGGACTCAGTCACCAACTTCTTATTCTTGCTGGCAGGTAAGCTGCTGTCAGACCCCGCCTCACTGAGGCTCATGAAAATCTGAATTCTGCTGGCATGACATCAGATGCTCACACACTCAAGACTCCTCGAGGTACATTCCAGGTCGACAATCCATTGCTTGTAGAATCTTCAAACACTCTCTGGGGACCTCACTTTCTAGGACCCAGCTGTGGTAACAGGAACAGTGATGTTTGGGACTTGAGGTGAGCAGGGAATGAGCTCAGGGCAGGCTCTGGGAGATCCTACGTGGTTTTCATATCAGAGCCTGTTAGTTTCCTAGAGCTGCCATAACCAGTCACCGCTAACTGGGTGCCTTAAAACTACAGAAATGTATTCTCTCGCCGTTCTGGAGGCCAGCAGTCTGAAATCGAGGCCCTTTCTCAGGGCTCTAGGGGAGGCTCCTTCCTTGCCTCTTCCAACTCCTGGGGGCCGCAGGCACTCCTTGGCTTGTGGCCGCACCACTCCAGTCTCTGCCTCACCCTCATGCAGCCTTCTCCCCTGTGTGTGTTTTTCTTGTCTTTTATAAGAACTCTTTTCACTGGATCTAGGACCCACCATAGATGATATCCTCATTTCCAAATCATAATTACAGCTGCAAAACCCTCCCCACCCCCAGCAAGATATGATCATATCCAAAGGTTCCAGGGCCCAGGACAATGGACATATATCTTCTGGGAGCTACCAGTGGACTTGGAGCAGAGATCATCCAGGAGAAGCAGGACACCTGAGGGAGGATGTGCTGGTGGCATCTCAGTGAGCCTTATCGCTGGCGGCAGCACTGCGTGTCCTAGGAATTAGACTCGGGGCCAATGGCCGTGCTCAATCCTGGCACGGGTCTCCACTGGCCTCGGGCAGACTACTCAGACTCCCTGTGCCCCTGCTCCTTATCTGAGAAGTGGAGACAGCAGTAATCCCTGTAGCTGTTGGGAGGATTAAAGAGTAACATGCACGAAGTGATTTTAAGGGAACCTGCCCATGCCAGCTCTATAGAGTGTTAGCTTCATTTTTAACAGCCTTGCTGGAGATAAGGGTGTTGCCATCTATGACACGCATACTCCCAAGCCGCAGAGACACTGTTCAAGACCCCGAACCTGCATCTTCCTAAGGCCCTGTTCACTGCTCAGGCACCCTATGATAGCAGAGCAGTCCCTGCCCCATGTGTCCCTGTAAGGCGGTAGTTTCTACTTCTTCTAGGTGCCTCACATGGGCCTTGTCAGCACGTGCTGCCCTGTAACTTGCCTGGTGGCCTGCTGCGTGACCTGCCCTGTGGCCTGCCCGGGGGCTTTCCCTGTCACCTGGCCTGCGGCCTGCCCCGTGACCAGCACTGTGAACTGCCCAGTGGCCAGCCCTGTGACCTGCCCGGTGCCTGCCCTGTGGCCAGCACTGTGACCTGCCCAGTGGCCAGCCCTGTGGCCTGCCCTGTGACCTGTCCTGTGACCTGCCCTGTGGCCAGCACTGTGACCTGCCCAGTGGCCAGCCCTGTGACCTGCCCTGTGACCTGTCCTGTGACCTGCCCTGTGGCCAGCACTGTGACCTGCCCAGTGGCCAGCCCTGTGACCTGCCCTGAGGCCAGCACTGTGACCTACCCGGTGCCTGCCCTGAGGCCAGCACTGTGACCTGCCCAGTGGCCAGCCCAGTGGCCTGCCCTGTGACCTGCCACCTGCTTGCCTGCTGCTGATGTGCCCGACTCCTGCCTATGACTGCGTTCTCTCTCAGCCCTCAGCCTCCCTGTTCTCCTACCTCTCTCCAGCCCCTCGTGGTGCCCTCCCTGCTCCCGCTGCTGGAGGCTGTCCTACCCTGCTTTGGTGCTCTACAGATTTCCCGGGCTCCCACCCTCAGCCCTCACGTCTTACTCCATGCTCTCTTTCAGCCATCCCACCTCTGAGACGATATGGAGATTGACAGCCTGTAATTCTGAAATCTCCTAAACCCCTCTCTTTACATCTATCACAGCCTTGCCCCCACGCACAGGGCCACACACTCAGCTGCCTCCAGACGTCCCATGAGGACCTCAGCCTCACATCACTCCCTTGATTTCTCCTCTGGAATCTTCTGTTATGTTTTGCTCTCACTCTCTCCACCAGGCATTTGAGCTGGAACCATAAATCACAGGCGACTCTTCTGTTCCTCTCTTGTCCCACCAACCCCTGCACCCTCCCGTCTCCAGCCAACTCCTCTCATTTCTCATGTGGATCCATGCACCAGCCGGGGACCACTCTGTGCTGTGGATGAGTCCACACTCACCCCGGTCACCCTGGCAGAGGCTCTCTGCTGGGGTAGACAAAAGTCCTGTGAATTGTCCCTTCACAGGACTCCCCCGAGAGACTGTGCTCCAGCTGGATGGGACCCACAGTTCTTGCCCAAACCTTGAGGTGGCCCCAGATCTGCGTCAGCATTCGGACTGTCTAGTTTCATTTATCATATGGTTGTGATGGTTAATTTTACGTGTCAACTTGGCTAGGCCATGATATCCAGGTATCTGGTCAAACAATTCTGGATTCCTGTGAGGGCATCTTATTTTAAATGAGGTTAACATTTAAGTCAGGAGACTTTGAGGAAAGCAGATTAGCCCCCATAATGCGGGTGGGCCTCATCCCACCAGTGGGAAGCCTTCAGAGAAAAAGACTGACCTCCCACAAGGAAGAGGGAATGCTGCCTTCAGACCTGACCTGCTGGTTCAGCTCCTCCATGGGTCTCCAGCTGGCAAATTGTATACTTGCCAGTACCCTCAACTGTGTGAGCCAATTCCTTAAAATCAGCCTCTCTCTCTCTATCTATCTCCTGTTGGCTCTGTTTCTCTGGAGGACTCTGACTGAGATGATAGTGCATAAAAGGATAGTATACATGAGTCTGGGTCGGTACCCTGTCGTCAAATGCATTATTATTTTTGAAGAGAAATGTATAAATGCACGTGCTCAGTTGTATATAAGAAGATTATCACTAGCCTTCTATTCAGTCCAGATCATATCCTGCTGCAGAACGAGTGGCCACACCCCTAGGGTTTGAGGCCTGTTGGGATTTGGGACTGAGCAGGAGGAGTGTGAATCCACACTCCCCGCTCATCTGCAATCCTCAGGGCACCTTGCTACGTGGCCTCGAGCCAGTTTTCAGAGGAGAACATGGAGGATTGGAGAAGCTGAGCTTCCTGCCGTAGCTGTCCTCACTGCAGGTGACAAACAGAGGCTCCAGTACCCCCTGCCTCCCCTGCCTTGTGCTGCCTCGGGGCTGTGCAAGAATGTCCTCTGTAGATAGGATGTGATCTCATAAATGGCCCACCCCCCATCCCTGCTGACCAGAAGAGTCTATCAGCTACGAGGCAGACATACCTATGTTATGTGTTATGTGTTATGTGTAACATGTGCCAGCAGACATCAGAATCTGCGCTTCCTGTGTGCCACCGCAGGGGTCTTAGGGCGGGAAGACTGCACTGTGTGTTATAGAACCGGGGCTGCTTCCATCTGGGTTGAATGCTCCACAGGATGAGACCTGGGCAGGACCAGGGCACGTGGGACTCTCCCGGGTGAACTGGGGGTGGGTTCTTCCAGCTGAGGGGGAATTAACCAGAGTGGAGGGTCCGGGGGAAGGGGTGGATGGAATCCCCGGGCTGATCTTGCAGCAGTGAGCAATCTATTGGGTTATCGCTCCCAACCCTTGCTCCTCCATGCGCAGGATGCTGGGTGACTCTTAGCGCTGCGTTTCCCACTGGTTCAGCTCTTGGGAAAAGCATCCTCCCACCACACAGGCTTGTGCTGGACCATGTGAAATGGGCTGTTCATCCATCAGAGTGTGAGTGGCCAGACACTGGCCATGGCTGAGCAGAGCCTTTGCATGTGAACTTGGGGCCTGGCCTAGGCTTCCTCACTTGTCTCACCACAGAATCAGTGCATTTCAGAAGGTGGCTGTCCTTCCAGCCTGGGTTCTGGATGAGAAGACATGAGTTACGCCAACCCAAGCTAAACCAAGCAGGTCCAGCCGACCCTGCCCCTGTCTTCACTTCATGTCTCAAAACAAGACAGAAGAGATCTTGGTGCAAGCCATTGACATGTTCAGGCTGTTTGTGGTCACAGCAAAAGGTGACAAATACAAATAATTTTGTTGAAAGTCTTCTTGTTTCTTCATGGCTTATCAGTTTTTCTTTTTCCTGGGTATACTTTTCATCCATTTTCTCATACGTGTAATGAGGGGTTGACTGATGTCATTTATCATAGCCTCCAGTTCTCCAATTCTCCATTCTGTGTTTCTTACAGATGCCAGTGGGTACAGGTGCAGAAGTAGGTGCCATCCTGTCGATGTCTTCTGGGGGGACCTTGTATCTTTGAGCATTCAGTATGAATGTCTAACAACTGGAGTCGCAGAGAGCAACTGAGTGCAAAGAACTAAGTGCTTGGAAACCTCTGGACACCTTGGACACAGCTCTAGTTACCTGCAGCCCCTTTTATGCCTTGCTAGAGAAGCCTAGATCTCTGCAGCAGACATGGGTGAACATGTGGAAGCCACCTGTGACTCTCAAGCTCTGTCTCCCGACTCTGGTCTGCATCATCAGTATGGAGGACACAGGCACCCACCTTTCCCCCACTGGGCTCAATTTCAAGTCAATGTCCTGCAGGACTGCTTCTGACAGGTGGGGCCTCCTTACCTGCACACTCATGCAGGAAGGCTGGTAATTGTAAGCTGAGCTTCTGGTCTCTGCATGGGAGAAGGGCTGCACTGGTCTCTGAGTACCTGCACAGGTGTCTCTCTCATTTCTCTTTCTCTTCCTCTTACAAGAAGCAAGAGAAGTTGGTTTCTCTTTCTTTTTTGGAGGCTGCAATTACAGATTTAGAGGGAAACTTGAGATGAAAAGCAAAGCTCCCCTGTCCTTTTATTCCTCACCACACACAAAGCAGCTTAGAGTAGTGGGACTCCAGCTGCATTTCTCAAGAGGGCACTATTGGCATTTGAGGGGTACACTCTGTTGTGTAGGAGTGTCTCATGGTGTGTGGTGTCCCCAGGCTCCAACCTACCCTGTGCCCACAGAGTTACTTTGGTGGGCAGAAGAATCCCTCCCTACCAGCCAGCAAAGATGTCCTTCTCTTCAGAGCCTGTGAGTGTGTTGGGTTCCATGGCCAGGACAGTTAAGGCACTGAGTGGGATTAAGGTTGTAATCAGTCGACTTTACAATAAGGAGGTGTAGTCGTCTGTCTTCACACCGCTGTAAAGAACTGCCTGAGACTAGGTAATTTGTGAAGAAAAGAGGTTTAACGGGCTCATGGTTCTGCAGGCTTGACACGAAGCATGACTTGGAGGCCTTAGGAAACTTACACTCATGGTAGAAGGTGAAGGGGATGCAAGGACCATCTTCACATGGTGGCAGGAGAGAGAGAGGGAGGGGGAAGGGCTACACACTTTTAAACCATCAGATCTTGTGAGAACTCACTCACTCACTATCAATGAGACCAGCAAGGGGAAAATCTGCCCCCATGATCCAATCACTTCATACCAGGTTCTTCCCTTAACATATGGGGGTTAAAATTTGACATGAGATTTGGGTAGGGCCATAGCCAAACCACATCAGGAGGTTATTTTGGATTATGCAGGTGGGCACAATGTAACACAACATGCCAAGGACCCTTAGAAAGCAAGGGGAAGGCAGGAGAGGCAAAGTCAGAGAGAGAGAGAGAGATGTGAGGACAGAAGGAGAGGCTAGAGTGATGGGATTTCTAGCTTTGTGGATGGAGGAGGGGCCGGGAGCCAAGGAATGCAGCAGCTCCCAGAAGCTGGGAAAGGCAGGAAGCCAATTCTCCCCGCAGCCCCCAGAAGGAGTGCAGCTTTGCAAACAGCTTGATTTTAGTCCCATGACACTCACTTCAGAGTTCTCACCTTCAGAATTTATGGACTGAGTGTGTGTTGTTTAAGCCACTGCATTTGCAGTAATTTGCTACAGCAGCAAGAGGAAGCTGGAGAACACAGTTATCCAGGTGTTGTGACACCGAAAAACACCCCCTCACCTTTCCTAATGATGCCTGGGTGAGTGGCCATCCCCGTGAAGAGCCGTTCCGCTCAGTGTTGCAAAGGTAAAGGGTGAGGAAGGATCTGGGCAGCAGGGACAGAATGCCTTTGTTTGGCCATGCTGCTGTTAGAGTACCATAGGGATTTGATGGCCAGGGGACACCTCAGAAGCCTCAATAGGTACAGTATTGGGTTTTCAGGTAAACTAACACTAGAAGAGTTATTTATGCAATCAGCCAATCATTCAGTAACCATGTACCGAGTACCTTCACTGTGCTAATCAATGAAGAACAAAAAGAGAAATGACAGTCCCTATCCTAGAGACACCTCCAAGGGAGACATCCAAACAGATACTGATATGACAACATGACACTTTATATAAGGGTGACTACCAACATTGAGTGCTTGATGGGGGCCAGACACAGCACTCAGTACTTCACTCGCATCACCCCCAAGAACCTGAGAAAACAAATGGCACCCGAGTGGTAGATGTGGGAGCCGTGATGCAAAGCCAGGTGCATTCGTGCAAAGCTAAGATGCTGTAACAGAGACCTCAAATGTCATCACAGTAGCTAACAAATGGGGATGCCATATTCTAAGTGTTTTACATTTATTACTTCATTTGATTCTCACAACAAACCCAGGTGATACGTGGACTCAGTGTCCCCAGTGCAGTGAGGAGAATTCTGGGGCACACGGAAATGAAGTCATTTGCCCAAGGCCATACAGTTATTAAGTGGTAGGGCTAGGATTTGAACTCAAAAGGTGAGCCCCAAGTCCCTGATATACCCATTATGTCATACTATTGATACTATCTTCCTAACTGTCCTAAAACATTGCCTTGTTTTTCTCTCACTCAACTGTTCTGAGATAAGTAATCCATTTAGGTGGAGAATCTCTGCTCCACTGGGCATTCTAAGATCCATGTTCCTTCCAAACCATTGCTCCTCCATCCTCAGGGGCTCTACTGGCTGATACAGTTGCCGCTGGTGACATGTGACTATTTTAATTTTAATTAATTTAAATACATTTAAAGACAATTGAAATTTCAGTTCCTAGTTGCACTAGCCATAGCTCAAGTGTCTAGTGGCTCGCGTGTTGGACAGCACAGATCTCAAAACACTTCTATTATCTCAGAGTGTTCCACTGCTCTGGGGTACTGTCACCTGCCTGGTGGGACCAATCACCAGCACATCAGGGACAGCCTGAAGAAGATGCACCTGATGCCTCATGTTCCCACCCCGAGCAGATACCCATCATTCCTGCTCCCATCCCTTAGTGCAAAGGCCACAGCTCACTTCAGGGAAGCCTGGGTGTGTTAGTCTGTTCTCACACTGCTATAAGGACATACCTGAGACTGGGCAATTTATAAGGGAAAGAGGTTTAATTGACTCGCAGTTCCACAGGTCTGGGGAGGCCTTGGGAAACTTATAATCATGGCAGAAGGGGACACAAATACATCCTTCTTCACAAGACAGCAGGAGAGAGAAGAATGAGAATCGAGTGATGGGGGAAGCCCCTTATAAAACCATCAGATCTCATGAGAACTTACCATCATGAGAATAGCATGGGGAAAACTGCCCCCATGATTCAATTACCTCCCACCGAGTCCCTCTCATGACACGTGGGGATTATGGGAACTACAATCCAAGATGAGAATGGTGGGAAGACACAGCCAAACCATACCAACGGGAAACACAGACAGTGGGTAGCAATGGGTCTGGCTTCAATTCCATTTCTATGGCAGAAGGGCAGAGCAGGTTTCATTGGGATGCAGGCAGTAACCACTAAACGCATTCTGTCTAAAGGTGGAGACGGTTCTCAGCCTCTAGCAGATTCTCTACCTCTGAGGAGGGAACAGGGCCCAGATGTGTCAGAGCTGACCAGGAAGCTATTAATTCTGCCTGAGGCAGTAAGCAAAAGCTTCACCAACATGCTGACATTTATTTCAGATTTCCCCAAGTAAAGCAGAAGGTATGGAAGAAGACTTTAAAGCAGAGAAAAGAAACCAGCAAAGGCAAAGAGGCGGGATTGGTGAGGGTCCCATGAGGCTGTAGGGCACTGGTCAGTGGGAAGGTGGTATCAGATCAGGTGGTAAGGATTTAGAACTTGTTCTGAGGACCAGCGATTCTCAAAGGAGAAATGAGGGCTGCAGAGCAGCTTCCTGGAGGTCGACTCTTTTCACACTACTTGTCTCACCCCTCCGAGAATCCTTTCCCTCTGCCAGGGGCACATGCACCCACTCCTCTCCTCCTGCCTCACCCAGAGAATTGGGGTAATAGAGTGAGTACATGGTCATGGGGATGGGGCTATGCAGAGAGAGGATTTTAACATCCCTGGTGTAGACAGCGGGGTGATGTCAGGAGGTTTTAGGTTGAGGAATGACATCATCAAATACATTTTTGGAAGAAGGAGCCAGTATACAGCACAAAAAGGAAAGCTTGGCTTTGCACATTTTGGGTAGAAACTGATAGAAGGAAGCCACGTTTACCAAATGCCTTCTACATTCCAGGTGCCATGCGAGATGCTCCACACATCAATAGGCACATTTCTTCTATTTCCAGGAGGAGAAATCTGATGTAAGTGAATCCAGCAGGGATCTGTTCACTGGGTGCAGCGAAGTCAAAGACTGATGTTGGGATAGTAGCAAGAGAAAGTGAGGCGTTTATGTAGGGCCCCAAGCAAGGAAAATCAGGCATCCCATGTTCAAGACCCAACTCCCAGATGGCTCATAGGTGAGGGTTTTTACCAACGTGGAGGCAGAGGTTACAAGTAAAGTCATAAATTCAAATATGGAGACTATACGTTGGTTTGACCTAAAAACGTAGGACAACTGGAAGTTGGGGGCCCACAGGTTATAGGTGGATTTAAAGATTTCTGATCTGTGATTGGCTAAGGAGGCAAAGCTTTGTCTAAAAATGTGGGATCAGCAGAAAACAATGTTATTAGGTTGGTGCAAAATTGCACGTTTTGCCACTGAAAGTAACAGCAAAAAAAAAAAAAAAAAAAACCTGCAATTACTTTTGCACCAAACTGATAGCTCTAACTTGTGGGTGTGACGTTCCCAGGCCCCTTAGGAAGAAATTTAGAACAAAGAACAGTGACCAGAGTTTAGTTTTTAGTTTCCCTTAATTTGAGGTCTATGTGTTAGCAAATCTGTTTGGTGGGGGTTCAGGTTTTTGAAAAATAACTCAGGGACATATGTTAAGGTGTTATTTTCAGTTTTTATAGGGAATAACATATCTCTTGACTAACTTTTTTGGCTACTGTTTTAAGCTACTATTATCTTTTTGTTTATTCAGTTATTTTTCAGTGTGAGCTAGGTGCCTGGAATTTTTCCTGAAGGAACTTAAGAGTTTTCTTTATTTCTTCACTGGGCAGGGGGTGACCTGCAGGCCCCTAGGAGGAGTCCCTGCTCCATCTCACTGAAGACCAAGACAATTCTAGAAATGGGCCAAAGTCATATACCAAAGAAGTACTGGGGCTGCGTCCCTTCCTGGCCATACCTGAGCTCCACTTTAGACAGCCAGGGGGACATAAGAAATGCCATTTGGGGTCACTGAGGGCTCAGTGTGGTCATGAGCTCCTTGGTGGGAAAGTACAATGGCTCTAGTTTCTTTTTTTTTTTTTTTTTTTTTTTGAGACGGAGTCTCGCTCTGTCGCCCAGGCTGGAGTGCAGTGGCGGGATCTCGGCTCACTGCAAGCTCCGCCTCCCGGGTTCACGCCATTCTCCTGCCTCAGCCTCCCAAGTAGCTGGGACTACAGGCGCCCGCCACTACGCCCGGCTAATTTTTTGTATTTTTTTAGTAGAGACGGGGTTTCACCGTTTTTTAGCCGGGATGGTCTCGATCTCCTGACCTCGTGATCCGCCCGCCTCGGCCTCCCAAAGTGCTGGGATTACAGGCGTGAGCCACCGCGCCCGGCCCTCTAGTTTCCAACATTGTCATTTATGAATTAAGTAGAATGAATGCTGCATTTATTTATATTGTAAACAAAAATTTATATTGTAAAAACAACCCCCCCCCCAAAAAAACCCACCAAACACTCAACTTTTTAGCTTAATAAATTCAGCGAACTCTATTTCTTATTGCAGAAGCAAAAATTCTCTCATTTGTTTGCTGTGGTAAGAATATGATGCCTGAAGGATCAGATACTCAACTCTACACCCTTTCTTGGCAAAATATTTACCCAAGTTTCAATTTCTTCATGAGAAAATGGGGAGCAATCATACCCAGCCTAGGGAGGATTGTTTTTGATAATTATATTTAATATATGTAAAATACCTAGTACAATCCTTGACTTTGGATAGGTTGTCAATAAATGGCATCATCATCATCATCATCATCATCATCATCATCATCATTACTGTTGCTTATCCTAATGTGGCACCCACAAGAATGCATCTTTCAGATATCTGATGGTAAGGGCAGAATTAACCAAGGGCCCTAATGCTCTCCTTTGAAATCTATTGCACTTTTTGCCTCCATGGGCTGCTCAGCCAATGACTGAGTGAGTGATGCAGGAAGGCTAAGGTTTGTCCATTCCTGGGGACTCTGCTGGTGAGCGATTTTGGTTTGGGGGCTTCTCAGTGGTCTTACCAAACTCTCCTTAGGACTGTACCACAGTCTAAGATGCTTCTAGACTCCCTTTGTTTCCTCCCTCCCTCCCTCCTTCCTTCCCTCCCTCTCTCCCTCCCTTCTTTTGGGATCAGACCTGCATTTTGTTCTGATGGTTCTTCCAGCCATGCTGGTTCCCTTTTTCTGTCACATGTATTTCTTCTAAGAAAGTTCTTGTTTAATCCCATCCTGGGATCTGCTCCTCAGAGGACGTGGACTAACGAAACTACAGCCACCTTCTAGAAAGTGAAGGAGGTGAGCCCAGTTCTCTTGTCTTGCGTATTAATAGCCAGGTATTTGTTCAAAGTTGTGCAGATGTTGGTCCTGTCTCCTCTGAGCTTCCATCCTCCATAATGAAGAATTTTCATATATTCTTACTTAGTTTTCTGAAAAAGCGCTTTCTTTTTGCTTTTTTCAGATGCTTTCTGCTGTACAGTCTCCTGGTTATCTGTCTTTCTTGATCAGAACCGGAGCAGGTGTTCCAGGCCTGCGTGCACCACGATTTTCTGCAAGGTAAGACTTTGTTTTCTGGGTCATCCACAATGAGAAGAGCATATGTGAGAAGAGAAATTGAGCATAGCTCATTTCTCTTTGGAGTGTTTAAGACAAACTTAGACTTCAACTGAAAGTCATTAATTTTTACAAAACGCTATGAGATAACAGGGCTTACACCGTGTGCCGAAAGACCCAGGAGGGTGAAGTTGCTATGCAGCCTAGAAAAGTTTGTATTTCTATGCTTGTGTGTATAATCTGCTAAGGAGTTAGATGTCTTACCTTATCCCTATTTCTGTAATGCTGTCCTGCCCTCTCTTTTGAGCTTGTGACAATTTGTAAAAAAAAAAAAACAACAAAACAACAACAACAACAACAAAAAAACAAAGCTGATAGTGAAAGCCAACTGCATACTTCCATTTGCTGATTGGATCACATGCCAGTCTGTATTAGTGTAATCTCATCTTTTTGCTTTTAAAAATTTGATCACATACATCACACAGAATTCCAGGTAGAGCTGCACATTGCTGCAAATATTGCATAGAAAGGAAAACAGAAGAGAAGAGAAATCTTACGGCTTCTCAATGCTTGTTAGTGTAAAAAAAGATACAATTTCTATTTTTTTATTGCACAAGTCAGGCACTCTCATTGGTATGTGAATCTAATAGAATGAACGGGAAACCTAATTTATTTGAACATTCATGTGTCAATGTAGCTCTTGAGGGAAAATAATGTCAGCATTTTCTATCAGATGAAATTATTCTGTCTCCTAATTCTGTATTTAGGGATACTTTTTTGGCTTTCTTTTGACCACATATGGTTCAAATTATAGTAGCTTCCTTTAGGGTTATGAAGAATAAATGAGACAGTCTATAATCTATAAAATATGTTCCAAAATGGCAGATATTGTCATCAGTATGATCATGACCATCACCATCATCACCGTCATCATCATCACCATCATCATCAAACAACAGAGTTGCAAATCTTCCCTTCTGCTAGAACTACTAATGTGCTGAAAATCTTCAAAGTGAGAAGCAGAAACCAGCTGTTCCTTCCTCTGGGTAGGAGAGCTGCATTTTTTTTTTTTAAACTTAAGCTGAATCTGGCTCTTAGAATAAATTAGAATGAATGGCAAAACATGTTCCAAATGATACCACTAAGGGCTTTGGATGCTGATGGAGCGATAATAGTGTGAATGAAAAAAAAAAAAAGGTAAAGAAGAAGGGAAAAAACAGCCTCCAGATTTCAAGGTCACCAAGTATCAGAAGTAAGGAAATTTCCTAGGGGCAGCTCATGTCGACTTCGGAGGGAAAACAAGGCGACAAAACGTATAGTCAGCAATGCTCTGTAGGCTTTCTGCACACGGCTTCCTACCAGGCCGACCTTCTGACTTACTGGAATTTTCCAACCTAATTTCATTTACATTTGGGGACTGGAGTGTTGAAATGTTAAAACGTTTCTTATAAACAAGCCAACAGTATTATGTTGCTAAATAAAGGGAAAGCAGCCATTACTTAGCTGTTTGAGTAAAAGGAAGAATTTCAATGTAGGTTTTTTGTTTGTTTATCTTTTTGTTTATTTATTTTTTTTTTTGAGACGGAGTCTCGCTCTGTCTCCAGGCTGGAGTGCAGTGGCGCGATCTCGGCTCACTGCAACCTCCGCCTCTTGGGTTCAAGCGATTCTCCTGCTTCAGCCTCTTAAGTAGCTGGAATTACAGGCACCTGCCACCACACCCAGCTAATTTTTGCATTTTTAGTAGAGACGGGGGTTTCACCATGTTGGCCAGGATGGTCTTGATCTCTTGACCTCGTGATCTGCCTACCTCGGACTCCCAAAATGCTGGGATTACAGGCGTGAGCCACCGTGCCCGGTCTCAATGTAGGTTTAAGTGGGCTTGGGATGCTTTTTGTTTCAGCAGGGAACAATCTTCACTGGAGTAGTCATTGTGGACAACTGGGAGATGAGTGCTTTAGAAACTGTAGCTGATGGTTAATCACAGGGACTAACACCATCATTATGCTCGTTATGGCCTGGTCCTGAATTAAACATCCCGCGATCACAATACAGACAACGAGTGCTGCTGGTCTTGAGCAGAGAAGGAGGGGTGTTACAGTTGAGTTATATCCCCTCAAAAAAGATATGTTGGAGTCCTGACCTCCAGCGCCTCCAAACGCAACCTGATTTGGAGATGGCATCTTCACAGAGGTAATTCAGTGAAAAACTCCAGTCATCAGGGTGGGCTCTAATCCAACCCGACTGGCGTCCTCATGAAAAGGGGAAATTTTGGCCACAGAGACACACACAGGGACAACACCGCGTGAAGCTGGAGGTGGAGAGGAGGGATGCTTCTGCCAGCCAAGGAACAGCAACCACTGCCAGCAACCACCAGCAGCCGGGAGAGAGGCCTAGAACACGACAGTGAAGCTTCCGGCTGTGTCCAGGACTTTAACAAACATGTTCCTGAAGTTTCATTATTGAGTCTAATGCTTTCTCTATGTTCTTAGTAGATAAAACATCTTTCATCAGGTTTAGAAAGTTCTTTTCTATTCTTAGTTTTCTCAAAGGTTTCTTTTTAATTTAATTTAATGTAATTTTATTTTATTGAGATGGAGTCTCGCTCCGTCGCCAGGCTGGAGTGCAGTGGTGCGATCTTGGCTCCTGCAGCCTCCGCCTCCCAGGTTCAAGGGATTCTCCTGCCTCAGCCTCCCGAGTAGCTGGGACTACAGGTGCGTGCCTCCACGCCCAGCTAATTTTTGTATTTTTAGTAGAGACGGGGTTTCACTATGTTGGCCAGGATGGTCTTGATCTGTTGACCTCGTGATCTGCCCGCCTCAGCCTCCCAAAGTGCTGGGAATACAAATGTAAGCCATCATGCCCAGCCTCTTTTTTATTTTTAAATCATGATTTGGGTTCAATTTTATTAATATCCAGTGTCTACTTAAAAAATCTACCTGAGGTATTTTATCTCCTTTAATCCTTAACAGACTGTTATAATAATGGATTTTATGATATTTCATAATTCATGCAATCCTAGGAAAAGCACAATGGATCATAACTTTTTTCCCAATGTGATGGGTGACAGGTTGTATTTTTCAAAAACAGCTTTGTGAAAGGAAAATAAATCTTGGGACCCCAAAATCACTAAGCCAAAAGGAAAAGCCAAGTTGGGAACTGCTTAGGGCGAACCTGCCTCCCATTCTGTTCCTAAAAAACGTAGCTACTAAGATTAAAAAGCGACATAACTCCCTCACAAGGAATTTCTCTGTGGACAAAGGACAGACAGAATTCAAAGTTGCCCTCTGCTCACTGAGATAAATGCATATCTGATTGCCTCCTTTGGAAAGGCTAATCAGGAACTCAAAAGAATGCAACGATTCGTCTCTCACCTACCTATGACCTGGAAACTGCCTCCCTGCTTCTAGTTGCCCTGCCTTTCCGGGTGGAACCACTGTACATACATATATTGACTGATGTCTCACGTCTCCCTAAAATGTATAAAACCAAGCTGTGCCCTTGGGCCCATGTTGTCAGGACCTCCTGAGGCTGTGTGACAGGCAGGTGTCTTTAACTTTGGCAAATAAACTTCCTAAATTGACTGAGACCTGTCTGTCTCAGATACTTGGGGTTCACGGCTTCAACAAGTTCTCATCTCACCTGCTCCTCTATCAATGTGACTTCTTACTTCTTCCACCGGGAAGACAGGTTATGTTCCCTCCCTGGGGATCTAAATGTGCCCTGGCTGTCGGGGGACTTCCCAGGCAAGGTCATAAGAGGTGGTGCTGCTTTCACCTGCTTCTCCTGAGCTCTGTGCTCTTGGCACCCTGCCACCATCAGGGAGGAAGCTCCCAAATCCCAGGGACACACCCACACGGGGGGGATGTGTGGTCGCCAGCCCACAGCCCCGCTGAATAAGCCATTGTGAAAGCAGGTCCTTCAGCCTCCAGTGAAGCCACCCCAGCCCATGTGACATGGAGCAGAGAGAAGCTGTGAACGCCATGCACAGGCCACAATGCAGATTTGTGGGTAAAATGAAGGACTGAGGTTGTTTTACGCCACTAAGTTTTGGCATGGTTTGCTATACAGCAATAGATGCCTGATGCATGACAACTGATCTAATTCTGATAATATCTTACTTAAGACTTTTGTATCTACTTTCATAAGGAAGATTGACCTATATTTTCTTGTATTGTCCTTGATGATTTTCATATAAAAGTTATACTGCTCTTTCAAAATGAGCTGGGATGTATTTCTTCTTTTTCTAGTCTCTGAATGTATCTGGGTAAGTTTGAAATTATTTGTTCTTTAATGTTTGATTTTTAAACAATTAGTATAAAAAACTGTCCGAGCTTATGTCTCTCCTATCTTTGAAAGAGATTTTTGCCTACTGGCCAGTTTATTGAAAGACTAGGAACTATTCTAATTGTTTATTTTTCTTAAGTTAATTTCTGGTAGTTTCCTAGAAAATTGTTTATATCTTCTAAGCTTTCAAAATTATGAACATATAAGTTTTACCCTCACCCTCACTCATTTATAATACTGTATATTTTTCTCTTTTAGCACCTTTCTTTTCTTCTTCTCTGATGAGACTTGCCAGAAGTATATATATTTGACTCATCTTTTCAACAATCAACTTTTCTTCATTTTTATCTTTCCAGCTTCGAATGCAGCTAGACAGAAAACTAATGCAATAGTTCTCATTTTCATCAGTGTCTGTCTTTACTTTTGTCACCCCTTTTTATGTATTTTTTGGTGCCTGTGATTTCCCTTTTGATTCTTTTTATCCTACTCTTTGAGTTGAAACTCCAGTTTATTTTTTCCAGGCTGTTTTCCCTCAAATTATTACCTCAGGAGTAAAGCAGAAGTTTGACAGGGAATTCTTGTCATTTAATTCCAAATGTTTTATAATTTTCCTTTTAAATAGGATGTCCACATAACGTATCAACCAAACTGGGACATGTTTGACAGTGAGTGGAAGAGTGCTATTAATAATCACACGAAGACAACAGACATAATTGGGTCTTGCCCATTCTCAGATGTATGTAAACTCATGAATTATTTAGAGTGTGTTTTGATTTTCGAACGTGTATGTATGTGTAGAAAATGAATAAATTCATAGATTTCTACTGGAATTACGAGGTCAGAAAATCTGGTCTATGTGATAGGATCTGAGTTTGCTGAAACTTTCTTTGTGGTCTAGGGAATGGTCAAGTTTTTGTAAGTATTTGAAATGTGCTTGGAAACAATCTATTCTTCAGGGGTCACTGTTTTTCAGAGATCACAATTCTTAATATATTACTTAAGTCTTCCATATTCTTCATATGCTTTTTGGCCTACTTGATTTATTGTTTTCTGATAGAGGTACTCCAAATCCTCTGTAATAATTATGGATTTTGAATTTTTCCTCATATTTTGTCAATTTTTGTGCTAGATAATATGGGACTATGTTGTCAGTTGCTTATAGGTGAATAGTATTCTATCTTTAATGAGTCTTCTCTTTACCATTAAAAGCATCTTTTTAATGTTTCTTTACTAACTTTTATATGCATTAACAACTTTCTTTTGGTTGCCTGCCATATATTATTCTATCCTCCCTCTTTATTTTCAACCTGTCTATAAGTTTGTTTTAGGTGTACCTTTGAAAAGCAACATAGCTAGATTAAAACAACAAAACAAAACACTTCCAATTGGATTCTAATCTGAGAGTCTACCCTAACAGTTAAATCTGTTAACATTTAACTGTTAGGATAGACTAACAGTTAAATGTTAAATTAAATAATTAATTAATTAATTAAATTAATTAAATGTTAAATCTGTTAACATTTACTGTGTTCACTAACGTATGTTTTTAGTGGGGAAGGCACACATTTAATGACAGGGAACACAGTTCATGATACACTTTTTAATTTTATTTTTAATTAACAAATAATAATTGTCTATTTTTATGGGGTACAGATGTTAGAGGCATTTGAAGCAGAGCAACTCCATCTTGAATAGGAGCTGGGTAAAATAAGGCTGAAACAAACCTACTGGGCTGCATTCCCAGATGGTTAGGCATTCTAAGTCACAAGATGAGATAGGAGGTCGGCACCAAATACAGGTCATAAACACCTCACTGATAAAACAGTTTGCTGTAAAGAAGCCAGCTAAACCCCACCAAAACCAAGATGGCAACGAGAGTTCTCACTGCTATACTCCCACCACTGCCCTGACAGTTTCCAAATGCCATGACCTGTTAGGAAGTTACCCTAAATGGTCTAAAACGGGGAGGCATAAATAAGCCACCACTTGCTTAGCATACAATCAAGAAATAACCATAACAGCAAGTAACCAGTAGCCCTCGGGCCGCTCTGCCTATGGAGTAGCCATTCTTTATTCCTTTATTTTACTAATACACTTGCTTTTACTTTACTATATGGACTCACCCTGAATTCCTTCTTTCACAAGATCCAAGAACTCTCTCGGGGTCTGGACTGGGACCTCTTTCTGGAAACACAGATATCTCTTTGACATAGTGATTTCAATTCCTTTGAGTATTGTGAAAGGAAAATAAATTTTGGGGCCCCCAAATCACTAAGCTAAAGGGAAAAGTCATGCTGGAAAATGCTCAGGGACAACCTGCCTCCCATTCTATTCAAAGTGATCCCTTTGCTCACTGAGATAGGTGCATATCTGATTGCCTCCTTTGGAAAGGCAAATCAGAAACTCAAAATAATGTAACTATTTGTCTTTCACCTACCAGTGACCTGGAAGCCCCCTCCCTGCTTTGAGTTTTCCCGCCTTTCTGGACAGAACCAGTGTATACCTTACACTTACATATTGATTTATGTCTCATGTTTCCCTAAAATGTATAAAACCAAGCTGTGCCCTGACCACCTTGGGCTCATGTCATCAGGACCTCCTGAGGCCGTGTCATGAGTGTGTGTCTTCAACCTTGGCAAAATAAACTTTCTAAATTAACTGAGAACTGTCTCAGATATTCAGGGTTCACAGTATATACTCAGAAGTAGGACTGCTGGATCATATGGTAATTCTGTTTTTAGAGTTTTGGGAAACTTCCATTCTATTTTCCATAAAGGCTGCACTAATTTACATTCCCATCAACAGTGTACAAGGGTTCCCTTTCCTCCACATTTTCACCCACACCCATTGTCTTTGGTCTTTTTGATTATAGCCCTTCTAACAGTGTAAGGTGACATCTCATTATGCTTTTAATTTGTATTTCCCTGATGATATGTGATGCTGAGCATTTTTGCTGGTCATTTTTATGTCTTCTTTTGAGAAGTATCTGTTCAGGTCCTTTGCCCATTTATAAATTTCTTCTTTTGCTTTTTTGCTGTTGAGTCGTGTGCCTTTAATTTTTGCACTTTACGTTGTGAGTTTTATTTTCCATGCTTGTTCTTTGCTTCTTTATTCTCTTCTTTTCTTGCCTTCTATTGAGTTGATTGTGTTTTCTTTATTCCCTTCCCCCTGTCTACTAGTTTGGGAATTATATATACTAGCAAAGAGATACCCTTAAATTTTTAAAATAAATACTTACCAAAGCCTAAGTTCCATCAATTATCTATCTTTCTTACTTATGAAATTGAGAAAGGCCGTTCACTCCATGTCGCTACCTCTACCTAATAACTTAAAATTTTTTATTTGTCTAATATTTTATTTCCACCTTTTTTTTTTTTTTTTGAGTCTTGCTCTGTTGCCCAGGCTGGAGTGCAGTGGCATGATCTCGGCTTACTGCAACCTCTGCCTCCTGGGTTCAAGCAATTCTCCTGTCTCAGCCTCCCAAGTAGCTGGGACTACAGGCGCACACCACCATGTCTGACTAATTTTTGTATTTTTAGTAGAGACAGGGTTTCTCCATATTGGTCAGGTCGGTCTCGAACTCCTCACCTCAGGTAATCCACCTGCCTTGGCCTTCCAAAGTTCTGGGATTACAGGCCTGAGCCACCACGCCCAGCCTCCATCTTGTTTTATAATTCCCTAAAGTTAATTGTTGTTAAATCAGGAGAGAAGTATTTTATGTAACATTTCTGTTTATCAGCCCAGCCCACCAACTGGAGTGCCCTGATTCCATAAGTTTGGCAAGTCACTTACCTTCTCTGGCTTTCCATTTCTGGTCACAGCTGGGAGAGGCTCTGAAGATCATCTAGCAAAGGAGCTCCCTCACTTTGCCTGTTTCTAGGCACTGAAAAGTACAGGCCACAAATATATTCAGTAAAATAAATCACTTGAGAAATTCAAACAGGCTAGAGGAGATATCCGCTATCATAGGAGATCGGGCAGAAAAGTTTCTTAAACATAAGAGTGAAATGACCTAAACTGAATTTCAATGAGATAAACAGCAGTTTACTAAGACAGGGCAACCCCACAGGGTGCTGTTTGGTCAGAATTGGCCCGAGGAGGTGAGACCCTGACCTACGAAGGCAGCAGGTGTCCGGGAAGCATGGTTAGCAGCAAGAGCTAGGGGAGGTGGCCGCCGATTACATAGAAGAAAGGAGGCAGGCAGGCGCTGATCCCAGGGGTTCTGGTAGAGGGGCAGGGAAACTACCGTTATTGGTCCTTCATGCAAACTTTAGGATTTTCATCCATGTGTGTATTGCTTGAAGATGCTGCATTGCAGAAAGTCTTCAACTTCTCCCATGACCGAGGCAGGTCTGATGAGAGTGCAAACAGTTAGTACTCGCCCAGCTGCGCGCCGAGGCCTCCTCCAGAATCCAGACCGCATCCCCGAAAGCCCGCCCTGCCCCGCACTTAGGCCCCGCCCCAACACGCCCGTCCCGATAACGAGGCTCCGCCCCCAAGAGCTCGCCCGCGCTCCCCCAGAGGAAACGGAAGTCGTATCTGTCCGGACGGAAGCAGGAAGCGGGAGCGTAGGGCCACGCCTGCGGCGCTGCTGGTTGAGGCTGTGTGGGTCGGGGACGGGCCGAGGCGATGGCGGAGAAGTTTGACCACCTAGAGGAGCACCTGGAGAAGTTCGTGGAGAACATTCGGCAGCTCGGCATCATCGTCAGTGACTTCCAGCCCAGCAGCCAGGCCGGGCTCAACCAAAAGCTGTGAGTGGCGGCCCGAGGCTGCCGGGGTCTCCCCAGGGCCTGGCCGGGAAGCGTGTGCTAGGGGAGCGGGGATCTAGGGAGCCCGAGCCGAGCCTGACCGCTACTCGTGCCCCGCCAGCCCTCTGGTCTGGTCCCGGAGCCCGGGGCGCCTTTCCTGGCTGTGTTCAGAGGGCGGGGCCCGCGCTCCAGCCTGTTGCCAAGAGCCAACCTCTTTGAGGCCCCTTTGGAGACGTCGTCATGGCCAGATGATATACTTTACGTTTCCCTATCAAGGGAATCATGCTTTCTCTTCTAGCGTCTCCCCTCTCATGTGTAACCCCCTCCCAGCCTTTTCCTCCTGGAGCCCTTCTGGGAATTCAGTCCCTGTCTCCAGAGGGGAGGCAGGCTCCACAGTGAGTGCACGCCCTAAACTAGGCCTCAGAAGGTGAGGCTCCGAAGCCACCTGCCGCATAGGCCTGACAGTGGAGGAAATAGCGGGGAGGTGGTGCTGAGAAAGGTTGCAGAACGTTTATTATTATTATTTCTTGGCAACAGCCTTGTGCTGCCCATGTTGCTAGGCCCTGGGTTGGAGAAAAGGCAAATGCAAGTACAGCACTTTCGAGAAGGGCTTTATATGTGGCACGGACATAGAAAATGTTGCACTCGAGGTTCCATACCTAGTGCTGTGGGAATAGCCAGACCAGCCTGATGCTGTAGGAAGGCTCCAGAGAGGAGAGGAAGCTAAACCAGACAGTATGGCTTTCTTTCCCTCAGACTTTGAGTATAGTCCGCTGCCTCATGTGTTCGCTGAAACCGCACACACAGTCATATGCACAGTCAGGTAATTGTTTTTGAGAGAAGGTTCATATTTTTCATCAGGTTCCCTCTCCATCCCCCTTACTGGCAATTTCTAGTTGAGAAGGAAAGTAACAAATATTTAAGGGTATTTTGTAACTCTAACGGTGTCCTAGGAATCCTGTAGCTAACCAAAGAGGTCAGAACCGTGTGTAACCCGCATAGCTGTGAGGAGAACGAACTTGCGTGGAGCCCCGGTTGGCTGGGTAGCTCTGTGGGTGGTGCTTATGCTGTCAAGCGAAATTAACCAGATGCCTGTGTGTTTGCCTTTCCCCCAGGAATTTTATTGTTACTGGCTTACAGGATATTGACAAGTGCAGACAGCAGCTTCATGATATTACTGTACCGTTAGAAGTTTTTGAGTAAGTAACATTCTTGATATTAGTCTTGGGTATAAATCTTGTTCAGTTATGGTGTGGTATCGTGACTTCTTCATCACTGGCATTCGAGTGCCTGCTGTGTGGTAGGCACAGCCTGGGTGCTGGGGATGTGCCAGTGGAAAAAAAAATAGACAAAAATACAAAAATACCTGCCCTTATGGAACTTCCGTTCTAATGGCATTACAAAACGAAAAAAAAGAATATCCTTAATATTCTATTGTGGAAAAAAAGTTACATGTAAATAAAAGCTTATTAAATATATGAAATACATCATAGGTCCTCAAAGCCCTGCTTAGGCTAAAGAACAGCCACAAAACTTTCTTTTTTCCTTAAGAGGTGAAAAGTCCTATGAGGGCTATATTGTAAATTTTTAAAAAATGGCAGCCAGAAGCACCTGAAAAGCAAGCTGGTCTGATGTTCCCAAACTGCCCGTGGAGTGCTAGTTCTGAGAGGTGAAAATATCTGCTCTGTCGAAGGAGGAAAGAAAGGGTTCTTATTCCAAGTATGTTTGGGGAGGCTGCTCACTGTTTTCTGTGCGAGAGTTGTGTGCACCTATGTTAGTAATAGTCCTGAGAACACATACAGGAATGAGCTTTTAGATTTTTAAAATCCAGGTTTTCTTGCATTGATTTGGTCACATCTCTGATTTCACACATGAAGGACCTGATAAGTAACTGCAATAGGTTGTTTACCTAGTAAGTGTCAGAGTTAAGACGAAACCCCCGGACTCATACTTTCTTGACCAGTGCAAAGCAGCCTCTCCCTGATGGTGCTGGCTTGGAACAGCAAGAACATTCTAGTATTTCTTGCAGCAAAACTGCAAATGTAAATCACTAGATTTCGTTAAGCAGTAAAGGGAAAGAGTTATGGCTGTTTTCCATCCCAAAAGGTCAGAGATACAAGTTCTAGCTATAGTGCAGCAGCTGCCTACAAAGACAGGACACAGAGGTGGTTTTCTTGGTCTCTGATCTTCTGTTCACCTGCTGATGACTTTGCCCCATGTTCCTTACCTGTGCTCAGTGGGCACCACTGAGGTCTCTGACTTCAGGTGGGACGAAGGTCTTGCACCTCAGGTAGCTCCAGACTCAGCTTTGGCTTTCTCAGTCCAGGAATACAGAGCATCCTCCTTTGTGCTCTTCTGATTATGAATGCAGGGGATGCATATAGTGACAAGTGGCAAGTAACTACTTGTGTCTTCTGAAGCAGAACAAATGGAGACTGATGTGAACAGACTGCTTAAGGGCCGAGGGAAGTGCTGGGCACGGGGATGGATGAGATTGACCTGGGGTATCAGGAAGAGTATGCCAGTGAGCCCTAATACAGAGCAGATGCTGGGAGTTTATCTGCAAATCGGTGGTTGGTGTCTACCCAATGTAGAAGGAATTTCCAGGTCCCAGTGGCCTTTGCAGCGTGTACATTTTCATACACACCAACTGTGTCTTTAGCTAAGGTGAAAGCAGCTTGGCCCTTGTCTCCAGGACTTTGTGTGTGGGCAGGAGTGGGTTCACCCTTCGGTCTTCAAAGAACCAAGTCTGAGCAGGATGTCCATGCTGTTGAAGAAACGACCGTCAGCTGACATGGTTAACCTTATTCTGTGAGCCTGTCAGGTTTTTCTTGAGAAATGGATAGATTTTGTTTAGAATTAACCATAATTTTGCCACATTACATTATTTCAAAAACACTGAAATGAAATAGAATTTCTAGAACTTGTGATGTTTTTATCTTTTGCTATCTATCAAGGCTACTTTTTATACCATTAGTAGTAACCTAATGATATCTTGTTCTGAAGTGATTATATATTTTTGGCCTCAATTATAAAATTCGAAAGTAGAGTTAGTTTTCAGTTTTTGTTTTTTGTTTTTTAAATAATGAATGATTCAGTTTAGTTGAATGATAAGGATTTCTTTAGGGTACAGAAAAAGGTAGGTGGCCTGCTCTTGGTAAAATATAGGTATTGATCTAGGCAGTATGTTTAATTAAATCTTCAGGATACTGAAGATAATTTCTGGGGGAAGTGTCAGAAATTCTAAGTAACAGTTTTATACTGTTTAGAAATAATTGGCCAGAATGTCTCTGTTATATTTAAGTTACCTAGGTGTATTTAGTAAAGTGGTATATCAAGCCGCCTCTTCTTTTTAAAGCAGTGGAATGGTTTGTAAAAGGATCTTGGGGTCGTCAGGGCTGGGGCTCTTGTGCTTGTAGTTCTCCTTTCCTTTCCCCTGAAGCTCCTCCACAGAGGAGGAGGGGCTTTGCCAAGCAGCAGGGCTGACCTAGAATGGAGGCTGCATCGTGGAAGGATCCGCCTATGTCACCCAGGCCCGAACCCCTGGATCTCATTTAGTTTTTTCTTTTGTCAAGAGTTGCCTTACCATACAAGCTGCTGTAAGGATCAAAAAGGTAATAAATAGCATGAACGAATTTTGAAAAGTGCAAATGCTAAACACATGTAAAGTGGTATGGCTTGTGAAGCGTGCTTGGGTTTATCAGTGATCATTACTTGATTTTATGAGCTGTTCGTATTATCAGAAGTAATGAAATCAGATGATCTGTACTTGTGTAAATGAGGGAATATTAATTCCCCTGGTTCCTACACTGAGTTTTGTCTAAACAAGGCCGTGTGCAGTTATATATACCTAACCTTTATTCCCCCATACCTTTCAGAAAGCTGTGAGAATAGGTGTCAGTCATGAGAATGCTAATTGAAATATATCGTGTTTCCAGATATATAGATCAAGGTCGAAATCCCCAGCTCTACACCAAAGAGTGCCTGGAGAGGGCTCTAGCTAAAAATGAGCAAGTTAAAGGCAAGATCGACACCATGAAGGTAAGACTCTAAGGAGTGTCAGAAATACAGTGGGAAGAGATGCCTTCTCAGTGGAATTTGGTTAAGAGACTCATTTTTTTCCATACTTGCTAGAATATTGACTTTCATAACTTCACATATTGAGATTTCTGAATTGTGTAATAGGCAGTAAGTAAAATTAGATATCAGCTGCGTAATAGCATAAAAAACATACACTAATCTTACTCTTAAGGAAATCCAGAGTAATTTTTGTGATAGTAGTTCTCACTGGCTGTGATCATTTTCATTTTTTTAAGATGCACTTTTATTGCATTGATACTTTCTATTTCTGTAGTAATTCCTACTGTTGAAGGCTTTCCCTGTAGTCATGGTTCTTTGTTTTAGAGGATTCTTGAATATTGATTTTTCTCTTTGTCCAGCTTCTGACCTCCAAACTTCTTTTTACCATATCCATTGTCATGAAATTCCCCAGATCACTTAGTTTTTCTTTGCCTTGATGAGATGTAGAGAACTCTCTGCACTTGAACATGAAATATGTAATTTTTTCTTAAATTGACTCAAATGTAGTTCAAATTGGTGTTTTGTTTCTTTATTTGGACTTAACGGCCACTCATTTCTGTTGGCGCCATGCGACTGTTGCCGTGTGCAGCAGGGACCTCTGCCTTCCTCTCCTCCCAGCTCACAATAGGTGCCTCTTCCTCCTCCCGGCCATCCACGCCGGCCTGGTTTTCGGTTCTGGAATACATCCAACCCTTTCGTTCGTGTTCTTTTCTCCTGTCATCTTCTCCGCCTGGAGCTCTTCCATGTTCTCTTTGCACAAGCGACTCTATCCTTCCAGTTTCAGATGATTTCACCTCCTCAAAGAGGCCTTTGGGACCAGCCTTTTCTAAAGCTTTCCTTGAGAATGCTGGTCAAGATTTACCTTTTAATTTTGTTTTTTCTGTTTGTTCTGTCTCCTCTGCCGGCTGCTTGAGCTCCAGGATCACAGAGGACATGAGTGTTCTGTTCCCACTGATGCCTGGTGCCAGACTGGGACACGTGTGCTCAGCCATGGCTAATGTGCGCAGGCAGGGATGGTCACACAGTGGCCTCTTGGCGCTCTGGCCGAGTGGGAGGAGCAAGGGGAGGAGCTGTCAGAAGGAGACCTGCCTAGTCACAGGCAGGTCACAGGGCTTCCAGAATCCCATTCAGGTGATCCCCTCCTGGTGGTAAACAGCACACCTCAGAAGTGGTGTTTTGTCATAGTTGTTCTTATGGCTCCCACAGCCTCATCTCTGTTTTGTCCATTTGGGATTGAGGAGTTGTTGAGTCCAGCGTCACCTTCAGAGCCAGTGCACTCCTTATCAATAGTGAGGGCCGCTCGTTTTGATTGTTCCGTTTCGCTTGATAAAGCTGAGTGAGAATTATATTGGCCAACAGAAACGTCTCTCTCCATGTGAACACAGCCACTGGGTCACCAGGGACGTGGCTTACAGTTCCAGCAGGCTCCTGTCACACTGGTGCCTTTGGGCAGTACAGAACTGTGCTGCTGGTGGTGACGTCCGGGGCTGTGCAGTGTCGCTTCCTTTTGCATATGTTGCTATTGGTGTCATTTCCTCTCTGAGATCAGTGGAAGTCTCAGGTCAGTCCCGTGGCCCTGTATTGCTTAGTGGGCCATGTGTTTAAACTTCCAAAAGGCATATTTTAAATAGTTATTGGAGTGTTGATGTGAAGAGCTCCTTTGATAATGTATTTTCTTTGTAGAAATTTAAAAGCCTGTTGATTCAAGAACTTTCTAAAGTATTTCCGGAAGACATGGCTAAGTATCGAAGCATCCGGGGGGAGGATCACCCGCCTTCTTAACCAGCTCACCCTCCCTGTGTGAAGATCCCCTGGGACTGCGATGCGGCGTGAGGCTGGGACTGCGAGTGCTGACGCCACCTTCCTGCTGAGGTGGGACTGGGCCCTGGACACACCCCTCAGCCCCTCTGTCCTCATTGTTTGGCCTCATGGGACCGAGGGGCTGGAGGAGAGGCGGAGCTGTGCCCCAGCTGTTCCAGCAGCTTGTCTGGCGTCAACTGGCTTTCAGAGTGCTGACCCCTCATCACTGTGGGGATCATTCTCTCTGAGGGCAGATGAGGCGCAGGAAAATAGTCTTGGAAATGTTAAATATGATGGGTAAATTAAAAGTTTTACAACATTCTACCTAATATTTTTCTTTTAACATACTCTTTCTGTTCTATTGTATTATGGTGTCCGAAAGCTAAATAACGACTAGGAAAAATTTTTTTAAAAAAAGAAAAATCAGTTTAATGTGGGAAGTACTTAAGTGGTATTATATTTTACATTTTCAAGTATAGTGCATAAAGAATGTTTTAAATGTAACTGTTTTCATGGATTTCAATTAGACATGCCTATAATAAACTAAGTATGTGGCTTATTCCATGTAATTATTTTTGTAATATAATACAATGTGTCTTGTAAACAGTTAATTATTACTTTCCCAGAGGGTTGGTAATATTCATAAGAAAATTTGTTTTCCAGGCATTTAGGCAGGAAAAGCTAAAGCAAAATGCAGAACTCCAATTTTTTCTACAAACCTTTCCTAGCGGCTATAGTACACCAATTTATTGACACTCTGGAAAGACGCCCGGCAGGGCTGTTTCAGCTTCAGTGTGCTTACAGATCCTGAGGGGATTCTGTGAACCTGCAGGTTCGGATTCACACGTCCGTTGGGCCTTGCAAACTGCATTTTTCATGAACTGCAGGTGGTGCTGTTTCTGTGATCTGTGGGCCACCCTTGGAGTTGAGGCCCTAGTGCGGCCTGTGCGGAGGTTGACCTATAGACCCCTGTGTCCGAATGGCCTGGGCAGGCTTGTTATTAAGGTAGGGCCCCAGTTCAGACGTGTTGAGCCTCAGGCTTTAGGATGGGCCCTGGGAATCTGTGTTAATTTGCCTCCTACGAGCGATCCTGAACCAGCCTCGATCCTAGCCAGGGCTGCCGGAATAAAACACCACATTCTGGGTGGTTTGAACAACAAACATGTATTTTCCCACAGTTCTGGAGGCTGGAAGTACAAGCTCACGGTGCCTGCAGAGTGGGTTTCTCCCGAGGCCTCCCTGGCTTGCAGACCTGCTTACTTTGACCTCACGTGGTCGTTCCTCTGTGTGTGTCACAGCCCTGGTGTCTCTTCTGTGTGTCCTAACCTCTTTAGAATCTAAGAACAGCAGTTAGATGGTATTAGGACCCACCCGAAGGACCCATTTTTAACTTACTTCTTTGAAGAACCTGTCTCCAAATACAGTTGCATTCTCAGGTCCTGAGGTTAGGGCTTTGACACTGGAGTTTTGGAGGGATGCAACTCAGTCCAGAATACTCCCCAGGAGGGTCGTATTTACCAAGAGTCAGGGGCCAGGCCCCTTAGGAAGCTGGTCCCTCGCTAGCAGTTCTGTTCTCTCCAAAACAGCACCAGAAAAGGACTCCTACTGCTACCAAGGGGAAGAATTTCTGCTAGAGTAGAGGAGGCCCCTGCTGGCAGGTTCGGGTGCCTGAATCGCTGTTCCGCCTTGTTTTTCTGGCATCAGGATGCTGACTATTGGCTGCTGCACGAGGGCCATGTGGGCACGCGGCTCGCTGGGCTCTTCCCACACACTTCACCTGCATCAACTCACCTGGCCCTCACCAGCCCTGTGAGGTCCGGCTTTCTTTATATTACTGATGTTGAAGCTGGGGCACCAGGGCTTAACGTGCCCGAAGCCCTGCAGCTTCGCCTCCCTCTGTGCTGGTTCTGGGTGGGTCCAAAGTGTCCACAGTCCCCTCTTCCTGGGCTCTGAAACATGGAGGATGTGCCGGCAGTAGGGGCTGTTCTACATATCCTGGGACTGAGTTAATCGGGTGGCCTCAAGCTGTTTTAATCTTGATGTCTGAGCCTTGGGAAGAGAGGGTGACTGTCAGCTAGAGATGCGTATCTGGTAGCCCACAGCATGACAAGTCTGCTGACCTAGGCCCAGCAGGGGCGGTGTAGCTGTCACACATTATTCTGGAATATTCACCAGTCTTTTTTTGAGTAAAAGTTTGGGTATATGGATGCACTGCCTTGGAACTCCTAACTTTCATCAGTGTGTCTGATGACACCACCACAGTGGGTCCCCAGGCAATGAAGAGGTGTTGGAGCCCCTCGACACTGTGACAGGCCACATGCCCCTTAATTCCACCCCACCTGCCATTACTGTTAGTCACAAGTGCCCATCACTTTCAAATCTCCTGAAATGCTGAGGAATCTACTTAGCTCGGAATTGATGTCAGTGTGAGAGGACTGGAGGGTTCCAGGCCGCGTTTGACACTCGGCGAGGCATGCTGTGACTGTCACTGACACTGCCTTCCAGAGCTCTCCACCCGGAGGAGCTTGGGTTCAGGTGCACACACCTGGCTGGCCCTTCATCCCTTCTTCTCAAAGACCTCATTTTGGTTAAAAGAATGATTGCGAGAGTCATCCTGGGACGGTATCAGCCATTTCGATCAGCTGCTTCACATCACCCCTGCCCATTGCCACCCAGTTCGTTCCAATCCCTGCTTTGCTTCTGACCTCTTCTTCCCCACCCCTTTCTTCCTGCAGACACAGATCGGGCAAACAGCCCCAGGGCCTACTGATTTTTGTTATGCCCAAGGACACCGCTGAACCACCACGAGGCAGGTATGGACTCAAACAGGGCCTGAGCCTGTGTCACTGTTCTAGATAATCTGTGCTGCCTCTGTGGGTCAGAATGAAAAAGCGAAAATTAAGCCCCACCTTTACACAGAACTAGAACATTCTTTATCTTTTTGGGTGTACAATCAGAAGGGTTCATTACAGAAAACTGAAAAATAGAGCTACAAAAATCTCCACATTTCTGCCCAAATTGTTACTATTGTGATTTTCATCCATCTAGATGTTCTCCTCTTGCACAGATGTGCACACACACTGAACAACTAGATGTGGAATTATTACTATGCACATGAGTTGGTAACCTTTATTCTTTTAACAGGATGCCATGAAATCTGGGCAACTCAAACTTCCTCTCACATAATTTTAATATTTAGCGTTCCATTAATGTGCTAACAGCAGATGTGTTGTTATTTACATGCTGGACACAGGTTAAGCACTTTCCATGCATTGCCTCAATTCCCACAGTAAATCGGTGAGGTTTACAGATGAGGGACCTGAGGCGCCTGCTCAGGTCACCCAGCTAACGAATGGGAGAGCTGGGCCTGTGCCTGCCACGTCACAAGACTGTGGCTCTCCTGGGCTTAGTTTATCAGCTCCCATTGGGTACCTGTGTGCTTCCCAGTTCTTCACTAATATGAAGTTATTATCTTTGACCATACATCTTCCACTTGTTCAATTGTTATTTAGGGTAAATTCCTGGAAGTTGAGCTGTTGGAGTTACACTTGATTAGGATTGTGATACCATCTGTCTCTATTGTGCTCAAGTCCTGAAATAACCAGGTGTTAGGTACAAGGGGAAGCGCTCATCTTTGGGGAGTATCAGTAATGTCACTGAGTAGTTTATCAGTTTTCTGTGTTCTTTTTTTATTTCCATTTTTTGAATCCTATCAAATATATATGAGTGCCTCATTAAAATATTTCTACAGTCAGTGACAATACAGGTGCTGGCTACAAACGAGGTCACATGTTTACCCTGTATAGCCAGGTGAGCCTGCTGTGTTTCCTGCCACTCACCTGCACAGAAGTGACCCATCTGTCCAAGTGACAGAGGTGCCATTGCCCCAAGGGAGTTCGACAATATACAGTCCTTGGTTCTGTCAAGACTCAGGTGACGTTAGGTGGCAGGTGTACCACTTCTTAAACTTTTTAAATGTATCACAAACCTAAGAAGTTACAAAGGAAAAGATCGATACATTTGGCTGTATAGCTGTTAGAAAAAAATAAATAACATAAGGCTAAAAACACCATAAACTCAAAAGGCAAAAAAGCTAAGAAAGTTCTTTTTTTTTTTTTTTTTTTTAAAAATAGAGACAGGGACTCACTCTGGCCCAGGTTGGAGTGCAGTGGCACAATCATAGCTCACTGTAATCTTAAATTCCTGGGCTCAAGGGATCCTCCCACCTCAGCCTCCTGAGTAGCTGGGACTATAGGTGTGCACTACCATGCCCAGCTAATGTTTTTTATTTTCATTTGTAAAGATCAGGTTTCACTATATTGCCCAGGCTAGTCTCAATCTCCTGGCCTCAAGTGGTCCTCCCTCCTTGGCCTCCCAAAATGCTGAGATTATAAGTGTGAGCCACTGAGCCCAGTTGTAATACTTATTATACATATCACAAGGAACTTCATGACTACTATGCAGAGCTCTTTCACAAATAAGAAAACCCAGCAGAAGAATAGGCAGGTGTTAATTTTTACATTATATAAATTTTACATTATATAAATTTTACATTATATTCAAGCAATAACTTGAATGTCCATTAATAATGGCTTAGATAAATCGTGCTTTATCCATTTGCTGGATAACTGTGCTATGACTAACATGAATGAAGGAATGAAGATCTGTATGTATTGATACAGAAAGACGGACAAATACATAATTACAAAACACGTTGATTCAGTCAACATTAGCTGAGGGTCGGCCTTGTCCAAGCTCCATCTGAATGAGTTTCTCCAAGGCAGACTTCTGCCTACTCGTGGCAGAACCACCAAGGAGCTTATTAAAATGCTGAATCCAGACCCCATTCCAACCAGCACAGCTTCCGGAGAGCCCTCTCTTTCCTTGACTTCTAAACAGCATGCTCCAGCAGAGGTTCAGGTTTGGGTTCCTCGAGGCATCTTTCCTTACCCACCCTCTCCCTGGACAAGCTCATCTATTCCCTGGCACCGGTTACCATCCTGTGCTGAGATTCCAGGTTTATAGCCCAGCCTAAATGAGTCCTACACTTCTGTAACCCAACTTCCATTTTTTTCCCCCTCTGCTATTCCCCAGGAACCTCCAACTCAGTGTCTCTAAAATTACACAGATACGTTTCCTACCCAAGTCTCCCTCTGTGTCTGCCTCAGAAAGTGGCATGAACTTTCAGCTGGTCATATCATCTTTGCCTCCTTTCTGTCCCTCCCTCTTCCCCTGCCCTGGTATCATTGCCATCACTAAGTCTCCTAAATACCCCATTTCCTTGCTTTTATTTATTTATTTTCACTCCAGTCATACTCGTATTTCATCCTCTCAGTCCACCACACCTCCACATAACTCACCTCTTTCCTGGCTCACCTGTGCGCATCTTTCAGGTTGCAGTGTAAAAGTCATTTCTGTTATCTCACCTTCTCTGACACCTCAGACCAGTGCTGGTCTGTTTGTCAAACTCTCCTTTGACATCCAATAAGTATCAAAGGTAGCTCTCAGAGTTACAGAGGAAGTATCTGACCTTCAAGACTGTCATCTCCTTAAGAGTCTGGACCACACCAGCCTCGTCCACTACTATACCCTGGACTTATCACAGTGACTGAGACGTAATGGGTACATATCAATTGTTAAACGAATGAGCAAACTGATGTATGCATTTGGCCTCAAATTCTATAACACAAGTAAGTCTGGGTGTTTAAAGAACCAGCAGCAGTGTTTGTCTTCTTCTTTGTACCAAAAGATTCTCTTCTGTGTTTTTGGAAGAAAAATAACTAAATGACACAAAAAGAAAACAAATGACATGACTTGGTGATAAGGAAGAAATACTGTGGGTGGCAGTGGGAGTCACACAGCTGAGAAAGCCAGAATTTTTGCAGATGGCCCTGGCATACACGCGCTTCAGCAGAACTGCGGGAGTGCAGATCCTCTGAGGGTAGGACGGGCTGCAGTGTGTGGGACCACCAGGCCATGGGGCAGGAGAGGTGTGTGCATAGGTCGCTGCCGGCAGGAGGCATGGGGAGAATTTCTGTGTCCCCAGCAGTGTGGCAGGAAGCCCCTGAGGACGCTCTGCCAGAGGAAGACTTGAACTTCCTCATTTCCCAGGTGGAGGTCAGTGCCCCCTTCCTGAGCTGGTAAGTACAGGTTCTCCACGGAAGACACAGACAGAAGCTCCAGCTTGTCATTTATACACATACAGTTTCAAAGCCACACACATACTGGGCTGTTTGTTTTTGGTAAGTGCACGGCAAACACAGAGTTGGGATGCACGTGCCCGTGTAATTTTAAACACATTGGAAAGATAGAGGAGGCCAGTTCTAATTTGAGGACTGTCTAGCTGCAGTGATTTATCGTACACAGACCTGAAGCATCACCACACTGCCGTGTTGGCACAGATGCAGATGGCATCGTTCTCACTGGTTTTTGGAGACTAGAGCCCTCTGAAGTATGAATACCCTGCTTACAAGCAGGCCGAATGGCATAGCGGTTGCATCACCAAGCTGATTGCTAAGCCAGGTGTTTTGTAGGCAGAACATTATTATTTTGAATAAACTCAATAGCAACTTTTTAGTATCAACATAAACCCAGCCTTTCAGGGGCTGGCTGACTGGCCATGGGCGTGTGGCTGGTCAGGGAGGGGCTGGGTGTCCAGCAGCATCCTGTGACTCACAGCCCTGTGCTCCATCCACTTTGATACTGGAAGGCTTGCACGCACCATGTGTACTCAAATGCTGAAGCTGAGACTTAAAAAAAGATTCCTCCAAAACAGTCATGAAGTCTACGTGGTTTGAGGTGCCCAAGCTGACCCATCTGGGGGTGTTCCCTTACCTGGGTGGACACAGCTGGGGACCCAGCTCCTCCATCCCTCTCTGGAGCCCTGTCAAAGCCCAGGTCTGCTAGACAGTGTCCCTGCGGTTGCCCCGATGATCCTGCCGTTTGAGGCTTGGCCTCATCACAGGGCTTGGCTCTGGAGGCAGATGTAGCAGCTTCGATGGCGCCACTGCAGAGGGCAGTGCCAGCTGCCATTGTCCTCGGGAGCCCAAGACCAGCATCTCCAACTCTGTGGAGAGACCCTGGAGCTGTTCCACAGTAAGAGGTGTTGATCACTGACTCTGGATCGGGCACTGTGCGCAGGTTTGAGGGATGGTACCTCGTTTATCCCCAGACCCATTCCACTCACAGAGGGGAGCCAGGGTCCCGAACAGGGAAGGGACATCTCCGGGGTCACACATGCAGTAGGCCAACTGCAGCCTGGATTTTGCTGGGAGGAGGCGTCTGCTGCTCAGACTGCCTTTGGTCATTCCATCAGAGAGAATGTGCTAGAGGTGGAGGGCAGGGGGTACTGAGGGAGATGGGGAAGGTGACTTGCCTCGTGCTGCGCGATACTAGGTGGGCCGTGCTGTGTGTGCTGGTCTCACCTTCAGCTTGCAGGAGCTCTGAGCACGTCACACCCTGAAACCACTGGGGCTGTACTCATTGCTGGTTGGGGCGAGCAGTGGAATGTATTGGGATGGTTGTTCAGGCAGAGTGTGAGTGGGAATGCAGGTGCCAAGGTGATCAGTAACCCCTGCATGGAAGATGCCATTTCTTCCAGCTGCCAAAGAGCTGCATTAGGAGCAGGGACCTCAAGGAACCCTGTTTTGGTTCCTGCTCCAGTCCCAGATTCCCGGTTCTGTTTAGAAGGCAGCCTCTAAGTAATAGAGCTAATTCATTTCAATATGACAATATATATACACACATATGTGTGTATCCATATGTATGTACTTACAAGCTCCATGTGCATGCATCTGTGTGTGTGTGTGTGTGTGTGTGTGTGTGTGTGTGTGTGTAGTCATCCAGTCTTTTAGGGACTTAGGGATAAGGCAGGGCAATTGGGGAAGTTTGCACATGGGAGCCTGGACTGGGTTGAATGGTTCTTCCCCCAAAATCGTGAATCGTGTCCACCTGAAACCTCAGAATGTGACTTTATTTATTTTTATTTTTATTTTTATTTATTTATTTATTTATTTATTTATTATACTTTAAGTTTTAGGGTACATGTGCGCATTGTGCAGGTTAGTTACATACGTATACATGTGCCATGCTGGTGCGCTGCACCCACTAACTCGTCATCTAGCATTAGGTATATCTCCCAGTGCTATCCCTCCCCCCTCCCCCACCCCACAACAGTCCCCAGAGTGTGATGTTCCCCTTCCTGTGTCCATGTGATCTGATTGTTCAATTCCCACCTATGAGTGAGAATATGCGGTGTTTGGTTTTTTGTTCTTGTGATAGTTTACTGAGAATGATGGTTTCCAATTTCATCCATGTCCCTACAAAGGACATGAACGCATCATTTTTTATGGCTGCATAGTATTCCATGGTGTATATGTGCCACATTTTCTTAATCCAGTCTATCATGGTTGGACATTTGGGTTGGTTCCAAGTCTTTGCTATTGTGAATAATGCCGCAATAAACATACGTGTGCATGTGTCTTTATAGCAGCATGATTTATAGTCCTTTGGGTATATACCCAGTAATGGGATGGCTGGGTCAAATGGTATTTCTAGTTCTAGATCCCTGAGGAATCGCCACACTGACTTCCACAATGGTTGAACTAGTTTACAGTCCCACCAACAGTGTAAAAGTGTTCCTGTTTCTCCACATCCTCTCCAGCACCTGTTGTTTCTTGACTTTTTAATGATTGCCATTCTAACTGGTGTGAGATGGTATCTCATTGTGGTTTTGATTTGCATTTCTTTGATGGCCAGTGATGATGAGCATTTTTTCATGTGTTTTTTGGCTGCATAAATATCTTCTTTTGAGAAGTGTCTGTTCATGTCCTTCGCCCACTTTTGTGACTTTATTTGGAACTCAAGTTTTTGCTGATGTAGCCAGTTAAGTTAAAACGATGTCATACTGGATTACGGTAAACCCTAAGTCTAATGACTTGTGTTCTTATAAGAGAAAACAGAGACACACAGGAGAGCATGCCAGGTGAGGCAGTGGCCGATCAGCTGATGAAACTGATGCACCTGCCAGCCAAGGCACCCCAAGGAGCTCCAGGGTCACCGGAAGCTGCAAGAATCCAGGAGGACCCTGCCGTGGAGCCTTCCGAGAGAACACAGCTCTGCTGACACCTTAGTTTCTGACTTTTCCCCTCCAGAACCACGAGAGACTAAATTTCTGTTCTTTTTAGCCACTCAGCTTGTGATGATTTGTTACAGCATCCCCAGAAAAATAATATAAGAGCCCAAGGATGGATGAGGCGGGGGATGGTACAGAAGGCACACACGCTGTAGAGAGCTGCAGCCCTGGGGGATTTGGACACCATTGTGTTAAGCAGGTGCTTACTGAAGTGTTCAGCTCAGACACAGCCCGGCCCTGGCAGCACAGATGAATGACCTGGGAGGTGGCTCCCAGCAAGCTCCCAGGCCCAGGACCCCCTTGCTCAGCCCATGGCCAGATAGTGGACCTCTCAGTGATTGGCTGTGCTGCGTGCTGAATCACCAGCCCCTCTTTCACTTCCCACCGTGATCTGGGGGCTTCCCGCCCTGATTTGGGGGCTCCCCACGTAGGCCTTACCTGGTTTGGCTGGGTTTCTGAGGCCTGACTTGTCTTCAGCTCAAAGTGATGTCTGATGGTGGAGACCTTGTGCTGCAGCCTGTGGTCCCGGCTGGGCAGGGAGAACTGGCAGGCGTCAGTTTAGGGCCCAATTTGGCCTATTCCTTGCTGTATGGCCTGGGGGCTTCTCTCAGCTGGGGCACTTCTAGAGTAGGGAGAACAACTCCCAGTGTTGATAGAAGGAAAGCATGTGCTTACACGTTTACTCTCTCTGGTGCCGGGGATGTGGTAAGTAATTGATCAGCCAATCAATAGCAATCAGTCAATAAAGGGTCACTTCAGTTATTCCTGTCTTTATTTTACTGTTTGATTGCTAGCCTTGGTTCCCAGAGCAACTGTCTAATTTTTTTTCCTTTTTTTTGCACATTGCATCTTCTAACATGTCTGCCGGACCTTTAGCCCTGGTTCCATGAAGATGGGGATGAGGATGGTGACACTGAGAAGTCTCCCTGGCACACAACAGCATGCTTAGATGAGCCCAAGCTCAGGTCAGTTTATTATTTTCTTTCAGACATATAGAGAAAGGAGACAGATTGGCCATTACCTCCATGTGGGTACGGACCAATTGAGGTCACAAGATCCCCGTAGCTGCGGTCTTCACAGCAGAGCCGTTATGATCATGAGAGCAGGAAGGAGGTCAGCTTCACCCTGCAGCTGAGCATGAAGAGGAAATTTGGAAGAGAGGCTGGGAAAACAAGGGATACACTGGTGGAATATTTATTTCTAGCTTTATTTATAGCATCCTTTGCTCAGAATCAGGAATCAGCAAAGCAGCAGAGAGGTGGGGCTGCCCCTTGAGTACCGGTTGTAGCTGGGGCTTCTCTGGTGCTCAGGCGGTCACATGTCCCTTGGTTTTCCTTCATGGCCCTGCCCTCTTCTGCTTGGCACTGGGTCTGCTTGCCTCTCCTTCTGCAGTTGGCTCCTTGGGGTTTTGTGACCACGTTACATTCTACAAAGCCATTTACTGCCCAACAATTAAGGCAGTCATGTAGGAGGAAGGCTGACTGCTAGGATCCCTCTTTCAGTAGGAGGAAGGCTGACTGCTAGGATCCCTCTTTCAGGGGGCTTTTCTGCCTTTGCATTTCTGTTGGGGAATAGTGTTTCCACTTGGGCTTGTGCTAGGATTTTTCATGATGGATTAAAAAGCGTCTCTGTTTTTCCACTATCGTTGAAGTTTTCCAGGTTTTTTTAGGAGTGAGCCATCTTATACAGGATAATAATGTCCATCATACCTTAAAATTTTGAAAATAATTTTACGTAACTTCTCTCCCTTAATTTAAATATGCACCAAAAATAATTATAAACGTATATTTACACATATGTGTTGTATTTATTTTAACTGTGATTGTCCTTTACTGTTTCATGTAGGTTTGCTGCAAATTAGGAAAGGTTCAGCTAAGAATGAGATGCAAAGATAGAAATTAATTTTTCTCCTGCAACAGCAATGCTAAGCTGTCTGCCCAGACAGCAGTAGCTCCTCACAGGCATCAGCCAGGACCCAGGCTCACCTGTCTGCTCTGCCATCCTCAGCATGGGTTCTGTCCTCACATTACAAGATGGCTGCTGCACCTCCAGGCATCACGTTTGCATTCCAGGCAGGAATAACATAGAGGGAGGGCAAAGGCCGACGGGCAAAAAGATTTCTCCTGTGGAAGCTTTGCCATTTTATTCTGGAAGGGCTGTCTTTCTCATGGACTTCTGCTCACATCTCATGGACAAGAACACTGTCGCATGGCCCCCCGCCCCCGATTACGAGGGAGTCGAGTGATCTTAGGTTTAGCTCTTACAGTCCTTAGAACAGAGGCAGGCAGGGGCAGAGAACAGAGGCAGGCAGGGGCAGAGAACTGAGGCAGGCAGGGGCAGAGAACAGAGGCAGGCAGGGGCAGAGAACTGAGGCAGGCAGGGGCAGAGAACAGAGGCAGGCAGGGGCAGAGAACTGAGGCAGGCAGGGGCAGAGGGGACTGACAAGGAATGGGAGCTCTCAGGCAGCCGGCGGGGCCTGCTCTGGCACCTTCAGGATGAGGATGGCCTGGATTTCCATTCACTGGGTGCTCATGTTGGCCCTTTCCTGTAGAAACTTACTTTGTAGGAGTGACTTAAGGCTAAAAATTGAATTTCATGTAAGTAAATTTAAACCCCGGATGCGTCATTGTGAGTTTTCAAGTTTAGTTTATCTGATGAGCGCAAGGCCCAGCACTGCGCCTCAGTCTAGACAGAGTTTGGAATAAGAAGCAGCAGCCATCCACGCGGGGCTGTCTGCAGGCTCCCTCTGGGAGTGCTGAGGAATGGCATGGTTGGTGACAGTGCTCACCAGAGGTTGCGTCCGGGAGCTGCAGAGGAGCTGCTTTGTCCGTCCATGGCCCTGCCCACATCCACGGCTGCTGCCTCCCTGGCTGGCCTCACCTTCGCCTCTGCCTAGAGTAGTCTCAAGTCAGGGCATAGATGCTGGCGGGACCGAGGTAAATAATCCGACTGGAAAAGCAAGCAGGAGTCTTCCCGATTCTCCAGGTGGGAGGATTCCCGAGTCTCAAGCTGGAGTCCTGGGAGGCACAGCCACTGTGAGGTGCCACCTGCAGCCGCAGGCAGATGGGTCAGGGAAGCAGGGCCTCCTCTGCCTGCAGTGGCTGCAGGACTCGTAGGCGTCACCCTCTTTAACGCATCACAGCTAGTTTATTTTCACCTTTTCATGGGCCATCATCTGTTCCTAACCTCCTGTTCCTCTTCTCAAGGTTGGGGGAGGTGGCTCGATGCAAAGACGGCCCCAGGGCCTGCCACATCCTGCCTCCTCCTTCCAGCTCTCTCCCCTCTCCTTCCTGCCCAGCCTTCCTCTTGAAAACGCCCTGAGCCCTTTTCCTGTGCCTTTCTCAGCCACCTGCCTGCAGAGGGGCTGCTGATGAGGAAGAGATGGTCCCTTCCCTGCCTGCGCTCCCGTGCTCACTCTGCGTGTCCACCCCATCAACCCTCCAGGGACGCTTCTTTTTCTCCCAAGATATGTTAGGGGAAGAGGCACGTATTTTAAGGTGCCCTCTGGGCAGTCTCTTTGTGCCCCAGCATTTATTAATTTGCAGCCACATGCAGCCTGGAGTGTCAGAGTCCCAAAGGGATGTTAATACAGTCGTCCACTGATTTAATCAAAAGCAGCAGCTGGGGCCCGGGGTGCGGTCGAGTTATGAAATTAAGACACAGTGCAACACACAGGAGGGCCTTTTATGCAAACTGTTGGTCTGACCACTTAAAAGTTTGGGATGTGAGTGAAAATTGAATGTTCATCCTCAGATGTGTAGCATGCTCCACTGTGAAACTAATTGCATTTCAGTAGCACGTGGAGGCCATTATCATTGCTATTATTAATAACCATTTATTAACTGTGCACAGTGTGAAACCAGAGAGCTTACTCAGCACAGAGCCCTCCATTACAGAAACTGGGCATACACAGGATCGATTTGGACCTGTTTTTTATTGCTGCTCTTGTTAAGCTTAAATAGTCTTTTGTTTGTACAAATGTTATTTTTGTGCAGCGAGCAAAAGCAGATAGCGTACTTAACACTGCTGTTTCGCACACTTGTTTTTCATGGTGAAAAATGTGAATGGTGCAGAGCTTCCAGACCCAGCCTCAGTGTTTTTAACCATGGACATCCTCCCAGGCAGACCAGATGCCCTCTACGCGTAATATTCAGGTTTGTGCTTAGAAAAATACATAGAGGATCGCATTATACACACCCTTCAGGGTTTTGCTTTTTTCGTTTGAAATACCTTTGCAAATCTTTGTCAGCAGGGGCAGGCTGGCAGGCCCGTCGGTGGTGCCCATGGCATGGAGGAGCCGCAATGTGCTTAGACTCTAGGATGCCAGCAGTGCCATGGGGTATGCCATTGTTCATTGTCCTGGACTGGCATCTGTGGAGTCCCTTGGGATTAATTTCTTAAGATGGAATTATGTGTACTTAAATGTTGCTAATTATTACCAAACTGTGACCCAAAAAAGTGTCACCAATCAGCCCTCCCAGAAATGGCACGGGGAAGTGTCTGCTTTGGTTCATCATGTTTCTGAGCTCCCAGCTCTCTGGCCCCCTCTGCAGAGATCGACCACTAAGGCTGTTTATTGAGTTTATTGAGTGTCCTTCTAGACTTTTTATGTATGCCACACTCATAGGCATGCTTATTGTGTCTCTCCTAATTCTCCTCAATGGTTGTGACAGTTTCTCCAAACTGGGGCCCAGGATGGGTGGGATCACCTGTGCGGTGCGGAGCTTGGAGCCATGGCTGCAGGGAGCTCAGGAAACCAGAGACTGGTCCCCTCTGACCCGCCCGGTGGGACCCCTGCTTTCCTATGGGGACACAGCAGCAGCATCAGTGAGCAAACTGAAAAGAAAAGACTTTTCCTTTGTGCAGCCATTAGCAGAGGAAAACAAATGCCAAATGTAGGTGTGTTTTGGCGTTGGTAGGGGGATAAAAGAAATGCATGTATGCACCGGCTGGTGAAATGGGATTTACAAACACAGTCACGACTTAGTGACAGGAATACATTAGGAAAAACCCGTCGTTAGGTGATTTTGTTGTTGTGCAAACATCGTAGCATGTACTTACACACACCTAGATGGTGCAGCCTGCCACACACCTAGGCTCTATGGGAGAGCCTGTTGCTCCCAGGCTGTAAACTCACGCAGCAGGTGACTGTGCCGAATGCTGGAAGCAATTGCAACACAATGGTGAGTATTTGTGTATCGCAACATAGAAAAGGTGTAGTAAAAATACTGTACAAAAGACAAAACATGATGGCTTCCAGCTTCATCCATGTCCCTGCAAAGGACATGATCTTGTTCTTTTTTATGGCTGCATAGTATTCCATGGTGTATATGTGCCACATTTGCTTTATCCAGTCTATCACTGATGGGCATTTGGGTTGGTTCCAGTCTTTGCTATTGTAAATAGTGCTGCAAGAAACATATGTGTGCACATATATACCTATGTAACAAACCTGCATGTTCTGCACATGTATCCCAGAACTTAAAATAAAAAAAAAAAAGAAGAGAAAATGGTTCACCTGTACAGGGCACTTACTATGAATGGAGCTTGCAGGACTGGAAGTTGCTCCGGGTGAGTCAGGGAGTGAGTGGTGAGTGAATGTGAAGGCCTAGGACATTACTATACACTACTGTAGACTTTATAGACACCAGACACTTAGGCTACGTGAAATTTATTAAAAATGTTTTCCTCTTCAATAATATACTTAACTAAGTGTACATTTTTAACTTTATAAACTTTGAAATTCTTTGTAACTTGACTCTTTTGGAAAAACACTTAGCTTAAAACACAAACCCATTGTATAGCTGTACAAAAATATTTGCTTTCTTTACATCCTTATTCTATAAGCTTTTAAGTTTTTTATTTTTTTACTTTTTAAACTTTTTTGTTAAAAACTAAGACACAAACACAGGCTAACCTACATTACAAACCTATCATCTAGGCTAACCTACATGAGCCTAGGCCTACACAGAGTCAGGATCATCAATATTACTGTCTCCCACCTCCACATCTTGCCCCCCTGGGATGTCTTCAGGGGCAGTGACACGCATGGAGCTGTCATCTCCCATGACAACAGTGCCTCTGAATACCTCCTGAAGGACCTGTCCGAGGCTGTTTTACAGTTACCTTTAAAAAAAAAATAAATAGGAGTACACCATAGATAGGAGGATACCCTAAAATAATGATAAAAGTATAGTAAATGCTTAAACCAGTAATATATGCATTTATTATTATTATCAGGTATGATGTACTGTAGATAATCGGTATGTGCTACACTTTTCTACGACTGGCAGTGCAGCAGGTTTGTTGACACCAGCCTCCCCACAAATGTGAGCAACGCGGTGTGCCGTGTTCCTATGACTACAGCATCACTAACGCAGTGTGCCGTGTTCCTATGGCGACAACATCACTGGGCAGTGGGAGTTTTTCAGCTCCGTTGTAACCTTATGGAGCCAGCGTCATATACTTGGTGCCTACTGACCACAACGTCGTTATTTGGTGCATGCCTATACTTTGTCATCACAAGTGGCTGCTGAAACTTCTCTCCCTTACACAAACACACGTGTGCATACACATAAGCACATGCACACATATATCTGGGGAGCCTTTATCTGTGCTTCCTTGGGTACCATGGTGAAAACGCTTTAATCTAGAGACTCTGGATCGAAGCATGGGAAAACAGAAAAAAAGATGTGTTTGCAGAAATGCCTGTACTGCTGTCCTGCAGGAGCATGTTAGTCTCCTACCGTGAATTTTAGAACTTCAGTCTCTTTGGCAACTGTGTTTCTGGAGCTCTCCCTGCTTGCTGGAACTGCTTGTGTACAAAGCCACGCAGTTGTGGAGGAGGGACCCTCAACCGCTTTAGCAGCATGTGCTGCCAGGGAAACCCCTTTTTCCCTTACCATGTCAGGAACCAAGTGAAATAATAGAAGCCTGGAAAAGAAGACGGCTTGCATTTGAGGTGTGGTAGGCAGAATAATGGCCCTCCAAAGAGGTCCACCTCCTAATCCCCTGGACCTTTGGATTCGTTAGGTTATGTGGTGCAGGAGAATCAGATGAAATTAAGGTTGCTAATCAGCTGACTTTAAAAGAGGGAGATGCCCCTGGATTATCTGGGTAGCCCCATGTAATCACAGGGGTCCTTAGAAGTGGGAGAGGAAGGTGGAAGAGGAGAGTCAGGGGGAGCCTGGGCACAGAGGCATGGTCAGAGAAACACAAGGCTGTTGGCTTAAGAGGACCAAGGAATGTGGGTGGCCTCTAGAAGCTGGAAAGGCAATGGAGCAGAAGTCCCACCCCCACCCCGCCCCGGCCAACCCCTTGCCTCCAGGAGGAACCAGCCCTGCTGACACCTTCAGGTTAGCTCAGTGAGACCGGCTTTGGAACTCCTAACCTACAGAATCCCAAGATGATAAACTAGTGTTGTTTTAAGCTGCTAAGATTGTGATGACTTGTTACAACAGCAACAAGAAACGAACACAACAGGTTGCCCGAAAGAGTCTCTTTCGACTCCAAGGCCATTCACTTTCCACCAGCCAGGGGTATCTTGGTTTCAGGAAGAAGATAAGATGTCATTAGATGGTAGCCTGGAGCTCACACAGGGCAGCTGCGTCCATCTGGGCAGAGAGGACGCTTTCTGGAATGGCTTTCTGTTGGTGATGCCTTCCAGGATGGCCATGGGGCAGACAGGAAAGAAGGGAGAGCCTTAGGTCGAGGGCATTGGGGTCCCTGCCCTCACAGGAGCTGGTGCTGAGGGCGGGACATGTAGGCACCAAGGGCAACCTGTTCCATGAACAGCCCAGCAAGAAGCTGCAGCACCCAGGAGGCCCCAGAGGTACCTGGGGTGAGGGCCTGCCTGGGCATCACGGCTGCACACAGTGGCTCAGTGCCAGCAGAGAACCGCCAGGGGAGAGGGGTCTCCTGCGGAGGAACTTGGTGCCTCGTGTGCCTTCCTAGTAGCTGTCACACAATAGGGACCCTGGGAATGTCCTAGGAAATGACACAGACTCCTAGCTCCACTTGGCCAGTTTCTGCATTTAGAAGGGTGAGCTCTGGGAGGACCTGCTTTGAAGACGCAGTGATGTCACGTAGACTGAGTTTGTGAACTTTCAGGGGTGAAGGATTGGAAAGCTGCCTTTCTTTGGCTATTTCATAAGTATACCAAGATAGTAGAATTCCTACAGCTAAAGAGCAGTGATGTATTACTTTTCAGTAAGCTTTGCAGACCTGGGTGTAGAAAGCATTGCAGCATCCTCACCTCTTCTCTGAGTGTCCCCTTCACACAAGTCGGCCATCCTCTGAGTTCTCAAAGGGAGGCTGTTCCCTCTCTTGCCACTGAGGCGTGCCCTCCCTGCTCCCCTCCCTGTGGCCTTGTCCACATGCTCTCTTTCACCCTCTGCCAGACACAAAGCCCATCTAAGCCCATGTCCCATAGCTCTTATCCCTGACCTACAGGACCACTCCCTCATTCCCTGAGCCTCCGGACCCTGGTCATGGTGTTCCTTTCATTTTCCTTCCTGGCACCATTTTTAGGTCATTGGTCTCCTTGAGGATAATCTGCTGAATGCCTGGTCTCTGTTGTGGGACCTCCTCACAGCTCTAACCACCTTCCTGGCACGCTGTGGCCTCCTTCTCCTGTGGCTGGACCCCCAGCCTGTCTCTCCCCAGCCTCTGCCTCCTTCTCCCATGGCTGGACCCCAGCCTGTCTCTCCCTAGCCTCTGCCTCCTTCTCCCATGGCTGGACCCCCAGCCTGTCTCTCCCCAGCCTCTGCCTCCTTCTTCCGTGTTTGAACCTCAGCCTGTCTCCCTCCAGCCTCTGCCTCCTTCTCCCGAGGCTGGACCCCCAGCCTGTCTCCCTCCAGCCTCTGCTTCCTGCTTCTATGTCTGGACCCTCAGCCTGTCCCCCTCCAGCCTCTGCCTCCCTCTCCCAAGGCTGAACCTCAGCCTGTCTCCCTAGTCTCTGCCTCCTTCTTCCATGTCCAGACCCTCAGCCTGTCCCCCTCCAGCCTCTGCTTCCTTCTTCTGAGGCTGAACCTCAGCCTGTCTTCCCCCAGCCTCTGCCTCCCTCTCTGACTGCCTCCGCCTGCCCAGCCTCCTGGGTGAGCCCCCACTGTGGTGCTTTCTGGCCCCCATTCATTCTTCTTACCTCATTTCTGCTCCCTAGCTTTCCCTCCACCCTTAGTTCCTTTCTTACCCAGCTAAGATTCTGTGGCTCATGATGTCATTCCTTCTTTTGAGCATCCTCAATTCCCTTGCCCTCTTCCCTCTCTTTTATAATTCACTTGGAAACATCCCAGCTCTGATTAAACACATTTATCTACCCTGAGGATCTGAACATCGCAGGAGACAGTTACACATCTGGCTGAGGCTCACTTACGATTCATGATTGCAAACCTCAGAAGGGTCTTAGTGCGGCCTGGAAACCCGGCCGAGTGGTCCTGGCCACTTTGGTGCCCCCAACCCCCCTGCCCCATGTCCCTGAGGACCTTTTCAGGGGCCCGAGGCAGCAGGGAGTCTCCCTTCCTGGTGAAGCCTCTTGAGCCCGGGGAACCCTGGGCGCCACCCGGGAATGGGAGCCGCCTAATGCTCAGGCCCTCCCCAGCCTGTTCTGACTTACTTGGCCTAGAGTGGGGCCCAGGCAGAATTCGATTTTACTGTTTAATTTCCTCATTTCATTGAAGTAGAAGAGTGGATCGGTTTCCTGCAGCTGCTTTTACAAATGACCACAGACATGGTCTCTTAAAATAACAGAAATTTATTCTCTCAAACTCCTGAACTGAAGTGATCTGCCCGCCTTGGCCTCCCAAAGTGCTAGGATTACAGGCATGAGCCACCCGTGCCCAGCCTTAGAAATGTATCCTGATAGTTCTGGAAACCAGAAGTCTGAATTCAGCGGGGCTGTGCTCACTCCGAAGGCCCCAAGGAAGGATCCTTCCTGCCTCTTCCAGCTCTGGGTGCTCCGGGAGCTCCTTGGCTTGTGGCCACATCCCTTGAAGCTCTGCCTCCATCTTCACATGGTCTTCTCTGTGTCGCTGTGTGGCCTTTTCTCTCTCTTACAAGGAGGCTCTCATTTTAGGTTTCCAGCCCACGTGGGTAATCCGGGATAAATTCCTCCTTTCAAGATCCTCACCATAATCACATCTTCTGCCATATCAGGTAGGGTTGATTCTCATCATAAAAGATTCTGGGAACTAGGTTGTGGACCTATGTTTTAGGGGGTCCCCATTCGGCCCACTACAAACAGATAGAAGGGAAATGAACAGATTCTAAGTACACAGCTCAGTGAATCGTCACAAATGAAACACATCCAGGCAAACAGGATACAGAAGAAGGAATAGCACCTCTCCCACATCCTGCAAGCCCCTCGTGCCTCCTACTTGTCCTTAACCCGCATTCCAACAGGACCCACCTCCCACGTCTGAACAGCACAATTTTGAACCACACATACACCGAGCCACACTGTGTGCGCTTTTGTGCCTGCTTTTTTTGCTCACCATTATATGTGAGATAAATCCCTTTTGTTGTGTCTAGTTGAAACTTGTTCATCTTCATTGTTGCGGTATAGCTTTGACTGTGTGAACACACCGCAATTAGGGATCCATTCTACTGTAGGTGGGCATTGGGTTGTTTCTAGATTTTGGCAACTATGAATCTTGCTGTTGTGATGATGTGTGGATTTGTCTTTGGATGCACACACATACTCGTTGCTGTTGTGTGAATGCCTAGGAACAGGGTTTCTGGGCCATAGGGAGATGTGTTCTCAGCATCAGTAGATCCTGCAAACCCTGTTCTGGAATGGATGAGTGAACGCTTTCTCAATAGAGATGAGAGCTCATGTTGCACTCCCTTCCACGCTGGGTACTGCCTTTGTCACGTCAGTAGTTCTCACGTGTGCAGGGTGTTGCATTGCCCTGTGGGAGATATCAACCATTTTTTCATCTGTTTACTAGCCACGCGGCTATCCTCTTCTGCATAGTACCTGTCCAAGTCATTTGCCCATTTCTTTGAATTGTCTGGATTTATTGGATTTTTCTTGTTGATTTGCCCAAGTCCTTTGCCAAATGCGTGTCTTATGAATGTCTTTTCTGTGGTCTGAATTTCCCTCTCAGTGGTGTCTTTTGATGAATAATACTTCTTATGTTCATGTGGCTCAATGTACCTTTTTTTTTCCTTTTGTGGTTTTAGTGCTTTTTTTTCTTTTCCCATATTTTCTTAAAGTTTTATTATTTCACCTTTCATGGTGAGACTTACAATCTATATGGAATTAAATTTGTAAATGTGAGGTCAGAATGGGGGATATGTGTCTATTGCCCCTGATATTTAGATACACATCTAAATATCTGCTGCCTTTTCTCTGTCTCTTGTTGTCTTCGTTTTGAGGACTCTCCTTTTCCTGAGTGTCCCATGGCTGATTTTGTGTGGGTGGCAGTGGGAGGGCAGGAGGAGGAAGAGGGACTGCTGGGTCCTGTGTCTTTATTCCCAGCTCCCTCCCGCCCAGTGAACTCTGGTCTGGTGGGCAGCAGACTGGCTCCCTCACTTCCCTTACTTCTCTTCCAGGAAGCCCATCCTGGTCTCCATTCCCCAAAGCTGCTCTCCTGCTTGACTTCAGCCACACCCTCCTGCCACCCTCTTCCTCTGCCTGCTAGCCCTTTGGCTCTCCAGGGAGTGCGGCTCATGGCTTGTCTCCCCATTGATCCTCCTTCACCTCCTGCTTGTGTCTCCTGTGCCTGACAACGAGCTCACCTTCCTGCCTCACTGTGAGTGCCTGCCCTGCCAGCCCTGCTGATGCCGTGAGTTTCTTCTGCCCTCCACTGTGCCGCACGGCACAGCCCATCATAGCACTTTGCTTGCCTGGAGGTCTGCGAGCCTTCTCAGGGGAAGGAGGGGGCTTTTCCCCCTTGGCCTCACTGTATTCATTGAATTGCATGAAATTGGATTACTCTCCAGCATTGCCTGAGTCCAGTGTTGAGAGAAAGGTAGGTGAACTCCATCCATGAGTACAAGGGAAATTCTTTGGAAATGTGTTTGTAAGCTACTCTGTCTGGTATTTTCATTGGTATTTGGTCCAACGCTTGCCATAAGCTTCTGTGTTCCCTGCCACTTTACTGAGAGGAATGCAATCCCTCCCAAAGTCCCTGACACTGGGCACCCCAGAAGTGTCATTCCCAATGTGAGTAATGAGCACTTCCAACCCACCAGAGAAATATTGCCCTCAAGATGAAGGGGGAGCCAGGTGTCTGTGGCTAAAGAGACCTCTCCCTGCCCACAGTACCATTTCCATGGCTTTGGAGGAAAGCATGGGACCATGGCTTGCTCATAGGCTGGGGAAGGTGCTGGGGGCATGGGTCCTTTTGACCCCTTGGTCTCTGACAATCAGGAGATCTTGACTCCATTCGACACCTGTCCCAGAGGAGGCAGTGCCCTGTCTCCTCTTGTCCCTCTCTAGGTGCTGCTGGTGGGTACGGCAGGCCCCGTGGGTGATGCCATCCTGCTCGCCATAGAAGGAGTGGACAAGAGCTATGCTGCAGCCGTGCTGAGGGTGTGCCGGCTCTGTTGCTGTGGGGTGACCATTCAGGTCCTGCAGAGGAGCGAGGGGCTGTGCCCAGAGACTCCATGATACCCTTTGTCCTCAGGAACTCCCTGGAATGTGATGGCTCAGGCCGGAAATTCTTCCCCCAAAGAAGCCGAAGTGATCACCGGCCGGTATATGAGCACGGTGCATCAGTGTGTTCGCTGGGCCTGGGTGTCCCTGCTGAGAGACCTCCCTGCCGTTGACCCGGTGACACCCCAACATTGATCCTGTAAAACGAAGCCCAGGCAGAACAGCAGCAAGGACAGCAGCAGCAGCAAGGAGCTTCCTTTGCCTCTTTGTCAGACGTGTCCTCCGAGTCTGACTCCTCCCCTTCCCTCCCTCCCTCCCAGCAGTTGCTGATATTATTTTAGGGTTCTAGCCAGGAAAGGAGAATAATTGGTAAACAAGCAAATCCCATGCCTGAAGAATCATGTTTTCACAGTACAATCAATGCTTTTTGGAGTGAGGGGTTATATATTAAATGGTCAGGATTATTTTGAGACAAAAATGAAGGTTAATGGAATGAAGCTTAGTATTAAATAGCTTGCAGATGTCTTTTTAACCTATGAAGTGGTCGTCTGCTTTTACTAGTGGGACAGCTTGACCAGTGTAATGATTTTCAAGCTACAGAGACAGGTAATATGCCATACATAATTGCATAATATGTAAGAAAAATATCCATTTTCCTCGCACTTTATAAGACAAGTGTGTGCAGGTACCAGATTAATGATGTCAGTCTGGCTAGTTCTACTTGACATTTTTTTCTTAAAATTTTAACATATAGATTTTATACTTCTCGACTCTTATAACCTTGTATGCAGTAATGACTAATCAATTAAATGATACCCCCAAATATTAATATAAATGCTAGGCAAGATACAAGAATTCCCCAGCGGGTCCATTTTGCTGCCTCTGGTTTAGAAAATCAACTTTGCAGCCGGCACGTTGGTGGTGCCACTGTGATATACTCAGGTTTGTGTGGATGCTTCCTGCCTCGCCTTCCTGCCGCAGGGGTGGGAAGTGTGTGGTGTTGAGGTCAAAGGACCGGGCAGGTCCATGTGACTGCTCAGGTGAGGCTGGACCGTCTAACATAGGGGCTTTGGGATCACGTCCACGCCTCCCTTCATGGGTGAGGGACAATACTGTGGTTTCTCACAAGGACGCGCCCATCTGGAGATAAAAGTGAGGCACTGAAGGTGGAATTTGCTCCTGGATGAGGGCCCGGTTTGCTGGCCCCTCCCGGCGGCTGCCCCCACCCACTTGTTTTCCAGCTTGGCAGTGCTGAGCAGGGTGTCTCTGGGCAAACCCCGTCCGTGCCTGCGGAAGCCAGAGGGAGCCGCCTGTGCTCGGCGCCAACCATGGAAGCGGCTTTCAGAGTCCTCGGAGGACCCTCTCCGGGGACCACAGGGCGACGGCCGCTCCTAGCGCAAGGGCGTTTATGAACTGCTTGATAAAAAGGTCAGAGCGATTTAAGCAAAAACGGAAGGCCCTGCTGCGGCTGAAGACCCTTCTGAGGGGGAGATAAGCCCGCTGTGAAATTAGAATGTCAGTCAGCGGGAAAATGGGATTCAGAACGCTTTAAAGCTGAAAAGCTCCTTAGAGACTTTGCATCAGAAGCCCTCATTTTCTAGGTGAGAAGACTGGAGCCCGGTGAGATGGAACAGGCCCTGCAGGGCAGGACTGGGGCTGGACTCTCACACGCCTGGGTCCTGACTCTCGGGTCTTCCCACAACATCGGTCTGCATCAGGAGGCAGAGACTGGTTAGATGTTCAGCTTTCTGCTCTGGGTACGCCTTTTGGGAACCTGTCCCCTGGGAAAGAAGCAAACAGATTACCCCAGTTAGGAGTAGATCCAGCCTCCTGAAGCTGAGGACCGGGAACCCCTGCCCCCATAGCATGCTTCTGAGGTTCAGATGGGGGCAGCGGGAGATTTGGAGGAACATAAGGGAGAAGCGGCAGCAACTAAAACCTTGGCAGGCAGCGGAGGCCTCTCTGCCCGGAGCCCGTTGCAGCAGGAAGCCCCAAAGCCACACGGAACAGTACCTCCTGCCCTCGGCCCCTTCCAGGGAATCGAACCAGCTTCCGGGCCAACCTGGCCCTTGGCTGAAGCCCTGCTCTGCCCTGCCTCCTGCAGCCCCCGCCAAGCACCAGGCCTCTTACGGGTGGTATTGGGTCCCCAACAAAGACATGTCGAAGCCCTAACCCGTGATACCTGTGAATGTGGCCTTATTTGGAAATGGGATCTTTGCAGATGTCATCAAGTTAAGATGAGGTTATACTGGTTTAAGGTGGGCCCTAAGCCCCTGAATGCTACCCTTACAAGAGGAGAAGAGACCCAGAGACAGCACAGGCGGAGGGAGACGATGTGAACACACACAGCGAGAAGGCCACGGACGGCAGAGGCAGAGATCCGAGGGATGAGTCCACAGCCAAAGGGCTCCAGGGCTCCCAGCACCCCTGGGAGCTGGGAGAGAGACCTGGAGCAGATTCTGGATTCTCCCCCAGAGCCTCCAGCCCTAGCACGGCCCTGTCGACGCCTGGATTTTGGACCCGAGCGGTCCAGAATTGCGGGAGAATACATTTCTGTTGTTTTAAGCTGCCTGGCTTGGGGTAGTCTGTACCGCAGCTGAGGAGATGTACACGATGGCCTTTAGAGTCCGCTCTGAGGCACCCCTGGAGACTGCTCCTGCTGTCCAGGACTTGACCGCAGCAACCACCTGACCCGCCCTCATCCCTCCCTCACCTCATTCCCACTCGCGTCCAAATCTACCCTCCTCACCCTGCTGCAATGGCCTTGCGCAAACACACCTCTGATCATGGCCCCTGTGCTCAGCGATGCTTGGAGGCCAGCGTGGCAGCCCAATCACAATTGCCCAGCGTGGCTACGTGCCCTCCAGGGTCCCACCGCATTCCCTGGGCCCCCCAGGCCCTCACGTCGCCGTGCCCACCCTTCGTTCTTCAGGGACCACTGTGGGGTCAGGTCTCAGCATCGCCCCCGCCTCTGTTTCTATTATCAGGAAGCCGCTTGTTCCCTGTCTTGCTAGCAAATACCTGCCCATGTTTTCACATTCGAGCCGGTCCTCTGCGCTCCAGGTTCAAGCAATTCTCCTGCCTCAGCCTCCCAAGTAGCTGGGACTACAGGTCGGGCCTGGTTAGTACTCGGATGGGAGACCGTTTATTCATTTTATAAGCAATCGTAATAAAGACACACGGGGATGTGCAGTGACCTGGTTCTGCCCTGCAGAACTGCTCAGCATGTTTGGGAGGAAAGATGCATTCAGAAACCTCCCTTCAACTTCTCCTTGGCCACTGTGTGAGTGTCTTGATGTCACTCCAAATCAGCATGGGAAGGCCAGCAATGGGGTCCAGGTGGGGAAACTGTGCTTGTGCTGGACACTGGAGGATGCGGAGGCTGGAGCTGCCGCAGCAGAGAGGGCTGGCACTGAGCAAGCCTCGGCAGGTGGGCAGATGGGGGCAGGCGGGTTGGTGGGTCTCCTTGAGATGCCACATTTGCAAGCTTGAGAAGCTGAACTTGAAATCCATCCTTGGAAAATCATTTTGCAAGCAGGTACTAAAGCAATAATTGCCCTTCCCTTGGGGGGCCCTGAGGAATGAGGAGAGGGAACCTGGAGGAGGGATTTTGCAGAAAACTTTAGCCCATTCAGTTGTATAAACTCCAATGGAAATGGAGGGGAAGAGGAGACGTTCGTTCTTACAATTGCTTTTTCAAAAAGCTCTTTTACATCGTTTATGTCATTTCAGAGATGTACGCGCCCAAGCCTGCTCCATCGCTATTGAACATGGAGTGGGTGGAGTGAAGGGCACAGAGGTAAAACATGGCTTTGAGATGTTTGGACTGGGACCCAAGGACAATGATGGTGTCACTGACTGGTGGGGACATCGGTGGGAGAAACGATGAGGCGTGAATCTGGACACCGGCCACAATCAAGCCCTGCTCTTCTTGAGTTCAACTGGGAAAAATGCAGTAGACAACGTGGTAGTGTAAAGGAAGTTTCCAGGGGCTTCCTGTAGGGATTTGGTGGTAGAAGATCAGAAGTTTTGTCTAATTTATCTAAACCAAATTTTATAAGGCAAAGATAAAGCCTATAGAAAGAAGCAGTTTAATTTCACAGTTGGGAAACTGAAGTTATTGTAAGTTTTGGGTTCAATTAGATTGGAAAGTTTACTATACAGCATATCTTTCCCTTTCCTCCTCCCTCCTTCTCTCCCTCCCTCCTTCCTTTCCTCCTTCCTTCCCTCCTCTCACCCTTCCTTTCTTCCATTAACCGATCCATCCATCCATCCATCCACCCACCCATCCACTTTTGTACTTACTGGAAAATGAGCCTATACATTTAGAGTGTTTACATGTATCTCCCATAGTTTCTGAAGTGAAAAAAAAAGACTCAGGGGAAACAGCATGTTGCCTGGCAGAACTGGCGGCTTCCGTTCAGAAGGCAGAAGGGCAAAGTAACTGAGGTTCCTGGGTGGTGTTTTTCTTCTCTGTGTGCAGCCAGCCCTCTTTATTCTTCATCTCTAGGGGCTTCACATAGCTGGGGCAGCCCCACCCTTCAGAAGTGTCATCTTGGCTATAACTGGTCCATTTAACATGCATGCCAAGCACCCATAGGGCTACAAAGAGCCATGGTCCTGCTTGTGGATTTGCAGATTGAGTAACTGGTCAAAAAAGAAGGCATGAGAGATATTCCAAGATGCCTGCAAGGCCAGCCAGCCCTGGCTGATCCCCTCCTGTGTACCCACAGATTCACCGTCATGACCTGTGTCTTGCGCCACTTTTGGAGCATGGGATTTCGGACTCCTCCCCAGTACAGGCCGTCATCTGGAGTTCTGTCGTGTTTCCATATTTCACATGGAGTGATGAATATGCTGGAGATGTGGGCTCTATGGAGAGTGCTGGGCTTCTTCCAGTTGCCATATCTGTTGTCCCCAAGAACCAGTGTCCTCTGCAGCTTGACAGAACCTCTTTTCCCTGGTTCTCCACGCCTTAGCCCACCACCCTTCCTAAAATCTTTTCCTTGGAGCATCCATCTTCCATATAGCTCTATCTTGCCACCTCCTGAAACCACATCTGCTCTCCCTTCTCCAACAGGCTAGTGGGTTTCCTCCCAGAGGTCCACGCAAGACCTTGGCTCAGCAGAGTGGAGGTGCCTCCCTCCTCCTCTGTTCTCTGCTGCTCTTCCCCCGTTCCTAGTGGAAGGTCATCTGTGTCTGCCACCTCACTCCTTGGGTACCAGGTCAGTCGTGATGGCCTGTTAATTTTTCCCTTGTCACATCTTTCTTATTTGTGATTTTATGATATTCCCAGGCCCCAGTGCTAGGTCAGGGCTGACTGATGCCACTCCTGGGAACGTGTGGCTGCTTATCCCCCTGGCTTCCCTCTATTCTGCAGATAAGTGACAGGTAGTGGAGGCAGTGGTGAATGGGCACACCCTGCTCAAAGTTCAGAATGACTGCCATTTCCACCCCTCCAAGACCTGAGGTTGGTCATTCACAATCACATGGGTACTTTCCACACTGGTGGCACCTTGGAAATGATTTGCAGATAGCAGCTCATTGAGTCCTCAAAATAACCTAACAAAGAAAATATTTTACAGATGGGAAACTGAGACCTAGAGAGGTGAAGTGACTGAGTCACCCAGCTTGCAAGTGCTACAGCCCAGGTTTGAAACTGGGCAGCATGTCACTCTTGGATAGCTGCCCATGCTCTACTCCTCTCCCTTCAGCCGAAACCCTCCAGGGCCCTCCCAACAAAGCCGTCTCTGCATCATGTCCCTCCTCCTGTCTCCCTCCTTCGTCCACCCTGCCTTTCTCTAGTCATCCCGCCTTGCTTTATCTTATGAGTTTCCTTCTCCTAAGAATATGTGTGGAGCAGACTGTGAGCTTCTGAAGGCAGGCCACTTGCCTGTGCTTATTACTTAGGACTTTTGTTTACAATTCCTCATCACACCAATCATGCTGCCTCATACATATGATAGTAGCTCAATATGTGTGGAATGCAGATTATCAACTTGCTTCATGCTGACCATGCAAAGGAGAGGTGAGGCTATAGTGCATATGCAAAACCAAGTGAAAACTAAGGCAATTATGTCGATAATTCACGAAGAAAAGCACACTTTTTGGGGGGCTTAATTATCTGGATTTATCCAGTGGGCGTTTTTGAAAAAGCAATTATCCAGACAACAGCCGGAGGGTTCCCTTTCACGTTGAGTGGGTCACAGGGCGCCTGAGTCAGGAGCTTTGTGTTCTGGGGTTGGCCCAGAAGCCCAGTCATTGTTGGATTCTGGGAAAACCAAGTGGCTTCCCCGTGCCGTAGTTTTTCTTTCTGTTATTGAATGAGGCCAAGATCTTCACAGAGCTGGTTCTTGTTGCGTAATCAACCTCCTGTTTTTTGTCTTGTCTCACTTGCTAATTCTCTTAATTCCAACTTTTAGCATTCATTTTATGCTGAGTTTTTCTCTAATTGATTCTTTGGAGCTTTTTATTTCCAACGAGGTTGCAAACTGTGGTGCCAACATCCATTCCCTGCTTTCTTGGTGGACCTGCCCACCTCCTGGAACCCAGAAGTGGACCCTACAGGGCCCAAACCCACAAAGTACTGATGGCTAGGAGTGGTGACGTCACCACAGACCCCGTGCCCCAGTGCAGTGACTCTCCCCTGGCTGCTGGCTTCTGCTGCCTGCAAACACCCAAGGCGACGGCCCCTGGGTGTGGCTCCAGCATCCATGTTTCACTGAGAGAGCCCCTGATGACTGTGGTGGGGCTGACAGTCATGGCAGGGCTTCCAAAGACACCTGTGTCATGAGCTCTGTAGACATCACGTCCCCACTCAAAAAGGTTCTGATTTGAGAACATTTTGGATTTCAAATTTTTGGATTAGGGATGCTCAACCTGTATTGACTTCAAGTGTTAAGGCACCAAATAGAAGATCCATTTTTTGAATCAACCTTAAACGGGATTTCTTTTTTAAGCAGCGATTCACAAAACTGCCTCAATCTATGAGAGACTGTAAAGCTAAAAGAAAACTGCAGAGCCTCAGGGCTAGGCGGCCTGGCAGGCACACACTGACAGTGCGCTATCTTGAATGTGACCTGGTCTTGGAGATTCCATCAGAATAAATAGAGCCACGGCCCCATGCCAGTCTGAGCACTCCATTTAATTATTCAGGGGAAACTCGGATATACTCAGGCCTTGAAATGAGGCAGAAGCTTGCAAGGTTTCAGACTGTGTTCAAACTTCCCCTGCTAGCCAGCCGTGTTGGAAGCATCAAGCATCGAAGCCTCGTGAATCAGCATTTGGAGAGGGAGATCAGCCGGGCTAAATTTGGAGATTTTTGACTCAGCCATCAGTGAAATTCAGCAGTTCCTCCTGAAGCTTTTGGTGACCTTTTGGTTTCATCCAAGCTCAAATACCAAAGGCACTGTGAAAGTGGATAGAATTGTAAACCCTTGCGTGAAGATGGTGCAGCTGGCGTTCTGAGATGAGTTCATCCACCACAGGACTAAACACATCTCTGTGCCTCTAGCTTTTCCTGTGAAGGAATGGAAATGGGGTGGTGGGGAGGGGCAAGAGGTGGAGGCAAACAAAGAGGAGGTGGCAAGGAGATGCCCCTCGCCATGCCTGGCGCAGAACGCAGGAGGCACCCGTCTGGACCTCACCAGTGCCGGCGCCCCGTAGCTGTCTCCCACCAGCTCTCCACGGAGCTCAGAAGGGCCCAAGTCAATGCATCCTCCAACACATCCTCGTGTATTGCCAACTGAGCCTTTGAGCGAGTGTTCAGCTGACACTAAGTGCTTTTTGCTCTCAGCACAATTATGTACTTCTGAATAACACTCGAAGCATCCTTTGAATGTGAAAACGGGTTAGATCAAAACATCAAAGTGCACCTCTGTCCCTAATGATCCTTTTTAATGCATCTGTGGTTTCTAACATTAAGAGAAAATGTGAATTTAGCTGTGTGCTTTTATGTGTCTACTCTGTGACTTGTTTATCCAGGCTATACTTAGAAACAATAGAAGAACATAAAATATGAATACAGTATCCATATTAAAGTATAATAAACATTCTGAAGTATGTGTTAAGCTGTCAGGAGCTCTGCCGGACTGGAAGATGTAAGCTGGGGCTGGGTTCTTCATTGTGTGTGGACTGAAAGCCTCGCTAATGATGCCACTCTCTTCCAGCCCTATTTCAATATGTTTTAGCTACAGTACTTTAGCGTCAAGATCTTTTCCTCAAGCCTTTCTGGAATGAATCATTTCTTCTATTACTTATTGGTAAATATCTTGTTTTTGTTGTTTTTAAATTACAGAATAACTACATGCTCATCATAAATAAATGATGTAGAAATTAGTAACTAAAATAATAATTTCTATAGACTCACCTCGCTTATAATTTAACATTAATCTGTCCAGAATGAATATAAGTATATTCATACACAAAATGTATTGTCTGTAATCTTAACCCATTTATGGCTAGTGTTCCATTATTGGAATGCTAAGCTTGTGGGAGTTATTTGTATCCTACTGCTCAAGGTCATCGCTGTGGTCTGATTTTTCACAAAAAAATTTGCAACCTCCAGCATATAAATGGGCTAATGACATAATGCAAAGGATATTATCCAGCATGTCTTGCTTTCCTCACTTAATGTATATTTAACAACTTTTCATGAATGCCTATTTTTTGGTAGAAAAAGCTAAGTTACAAAATAAGATAAATTAAAAATACACGGCCAGGTGCAGTGGCTCACGCCTGTAATCTCAGCACTTTGGGAGGCAGAGGTGAATGGACAACGAGGTCAGGAGTTCGAGACCAGCCTGGCCAACATGATGAAACCCGTCTCTACTAAAAATACAAAAATTAGTTGGGCTTGGTGGTGGGTGCCTGTAATCCCAGCTACTTAAGTGGCTGAGGAAGGGGAATTGCTTGAACCTCAGGAGTGGAGGTTGCAGTGAGTCAAGACTGTGCCACTGCACTCCAGCTGGGGTGAAAGAGTGAGACTCCATCTGAAAAAACAAAACAAAACAAACAAACAAAAAACCCCCAACATTATGATATAGCTATTCATTGGGCAGCCATTAAAATTCTAGTTATGAAGATTATATCATTACATGGGAAATATGGTAGATGGTGAATGAAAATGATATAAAAGTATTAATATGATATAACATTATTAATAACCAAATATCCAGTTAGGGTTTTCAAACAAAATCTGTTCCTTTTCTTGGTTAAAGTGGCATTATCTTGATGAAAAAGAAAAAAAAATCTTCTGCTTTTTTGGCAAAGTTTCCCTTGGCTGTCTTTAGAGTGTGCCATCCATGTGGATGTCATTTCTCCTGATGATCCGGGTATGATGATGGGGGCTCTCTTCCCTACTTGGAGCTCCTAGGCTCACTCCCCCACTGACCTCACTCAGCTGAGTTGTTAATGGGTTTCATCCTGGCATAATCCCATTTCTATTTTTAAGCTCTTTAGACCCTCTTGGGTAAAACTAGTTTTAACTCCAAATGCACTTTCTTTTTGAATAAATGTGAATTAAGCAATTTCAGGGAACAAAATGTTTGACAATGAACAGGTTGAGTGTAAAGGATATGAATGTTTATTTGGGATATTAAATTCCAAATACAAATAATTGTATTATTCTCCAAATGCAAGGAGTATGAAAGTTGTGTCTTGTATCTTATCCTTCATAGCATGGGAGGTGTTGCTATTTGCTAAGTGTATTCTAAAATGAAATCTTAATTTCCCCCTTCCCACCCCACTTGCTGCAACTCAAATTAGCAAGTTGCACCATCATCCTCACTGTTGCTTAGGCCAAAAATCTACGTGTTCTTGTGGTAGTTAGCTTCTGCCGCAGTAACAGGTAGTCCAGACATCTCTGTAGCTTGCAACTGCAAATGTTTGTTTCTCACTCTGGGGTCTGAGGCTGGCTGCAGCTTCTAAGCTGCTCCTCTTGGCTGGACTCCTTTGGGCCACCCTTCTTCTCACCCAGGACCCAGGCTGGCAGAGAAGTTACACCCTGGGGCATGCTTTCCTCAGGGTGCAAGGTAGAAGTCAGGAAGGACAGCAGAAGCAAATGATGCCTTTTAAAGCCTCTGCTTGTATCTGGCACACTGTCACTTTATGTGCATCCCATTGCTTGGAACAAATCATGTGGTCAAGTCCAAAGTGAAGGTGCAAGGACATGCACTGTCCCCTCATATAAACCTTCACATTATTCTGCAAGTTACTTATGGCTGAGCAACTCCCACGTGCACATGTAAATAAACCTTGCCTTTTCTCCTGTTAATCTATCTTCAGTTAATTTGCAGGCCCCCAAGCATGGGACCCAAGTGGTAGAGGTGAAATTTTTTCTCCTAACAATAGCATATTTTGGCCTAGTGATTCATGATAACTGTAAGTTATTAACAATACAGTAGAATCATTCCAAGTTATACTTAACATTTAAAACTTTCATCAATGATTATGAATGATGACTCATCCCAGGGACACAATGCTTAACACCACCTGGCTTGAATACTGACTGATCCACTTACTAGCAGCTTAACAATACAATTTTATTTTTAAAAATTTATTCATTTATTTATTTTTTTTAGACAGGGTCTTGCTCTGTTGCGCAGGCTGGAGTGTAGTAGTGATATCTTGGCTTATTACAGCCTCTACTTCCTGGGCTCAAGCAATCCTCCCACCTCAGCCCCTTGAGTAGCCGGGACCACAGGCATACGCCACCACACACGTCTGATTTTTGTACTTTTTGTAGAGACAAGGGTTTCACTGTGTTGCACAGGCTGGTTTCAGACCCCTGAACTCAAGTAATCCACCTGCCTTGGCCTCCCAAAGTGCTGGGATTACAGGCATGAACCACCACACCGGCTCACAATTTTATTGTTTTACAGTCCTGAGGTTGGAAGCCCGGCACTGTCCCCCTGGGTTAAAGTGGAGGTGTCGATAGGGCGGGTCCCTTCTGTAGCTCCAGGGGAATATCTGGTCCTTGCCTTTCCCAGCTTCTAGAGGCTCCTGCTTTCCTCGGCTAGTGGCTTGTGGACCCTTCTGTCTTCAGAGCTGGCAGTGTGCGTTTCTCTGTGCCTTTCTCCATAGTCATATCTTCCTCTGACCCTGACCCTCTTTTCACTTTTGAGGAGTTTTGTGATTACACTGAGGACATGAAGACCATCCAGGACAAGTGCCCTCTTTCAAGGCCTGCTGATTCCATCTGCAACCTCAGTGTCGCCTTGCCACGTTACCTAACATAGGCACAGGTCTGGAGATCAGGACTTGGATGTTTTTAGTTTTTTTTTGGAAGTACTGTTCTGCCTTCCACACTCTCTGCAGCTTTTCTGGTGGATGCTGCATCAGAGGTAAGGAGATGCCGCCTGCACCACCCTCCACTGCCCACCCACACACCAAGCTGTAAGGTTGGGTTAAGTTTCTGATGCAACTAGGCAATGTGACCCCACGAAAGGGGCAGAGGGGCACCTGTCACACATGGGCACAGGCTGTGGGGCCAGCTGGCTGGGCTCACATCCTGGCTGCACCTCTCATGAGCTCTGTAAGCTCCCTGGGCCTCCCTTTCCTCACCTGTGAAATTGTCACAGCATGCGCACCTGCCCTCTGTGCCATGTGGGACTTGGGGGAACATCTCTAAAGCCCTTTGCCAAAGGCCAGTCAGGTAGCAAATGCTGTGTGAGGGTTTGGGACATAAACACACACTGGCAGCATGCCTGAGCGAAGCTTCCGTGGCCTTCTGAGTGTCTGGCCAGGTCATTCTGGGAGCTGTCAAATACACCTGGCTGTCTTCCTTTTCTGGTCACATGGTTCTGGACCCTTTGTCCTTTGTTGGGGCCATTGGCTTGTTCTGGAAGCTGTGCTGAGAGCACAAGTGATGTCGAACACCCCAGGTCAGAGTGTTACCATGCCAGAAGGCCCCAAACACAGATGCTCACCCCAAACACATTTTGCTGTTGGCTTCCTGGCCTAGATTCCAGCCAGGGATCCTCCTAAGGAACCTCTCTGGTCTCCTCCCGAGCTTGCAAAGAGAGGTCTGAAGAAAGCTTGCGATTGCTGAGCATGGGGGCTGGAGCACTCAGCGCCTGTCGCTCACATCTTATTTGAATTTCAGAAAAACAGGAAAAGTAAATGCATGAGATTTTTCTATTCAATTTCAAAGCCTTTTCCCAAAAGTGACTTTTGATAACTGTCATTAAAAGGAAATAGACACAGTATAAAAAAAAGCAAAAATCTTATAATGTAAAAATTACTTGATTTCCTCTGCTTTGCCACTGGTTTAATAAAAAAAAAAAAGCTCCTTTTCTACTTAAAGCTGGCATGATCATTGAATTCATAGACTTATGTCGCTGCTGGTCTTAGTGCTTAATATATACAGTGACTCATTCTACTTAATGGCATCAACAACAGATGCAGAGAAAATGCTTCACAAGCCCAAAGATTGCAGTTGGAAAACCCCGTGCAGTGGGAACAATTCTTTACTAGCCCTAATTGAGGGCAGCTACTCTTTGTGCTTGCCTGTGACAGTTTTTTTTTTCTCTCTCTTTTCCCTCCTCTCCTTACGTGTCCACCCAGATTCTGCAACCCATAGATGGTGGTCTGTGCAGACCAGCAGCCAGAGTCTGCCTTTGGCCTCTGATGCTGTTGTCCTCAACATATTTTCTCCTTCTGCACCCCTGCCCACAACTCCTCTGTGCTCCCCCTCCTCAGGGCTACTTCCTACCTGAGGGAAGATCAACCAGAGGGGGCTGGTGATCAGGACCCAGGGCAAGGGCTCCAGGGAGAGTGAGCTCACATTTGCTGGGAACCTGGGAGCACACGGTGCTGGGGAACCTGCCATCCCCCAACTCAAGTGTGAACGCAGAGCTGGATTTCAGCATCACTCAGGCCCTTTGTAATATTTATTTTGTGCATTTCTTTTTTTTTTTTTTTTGAGATGGAGTCTCACTCTGTTGCCCAGGCTGGAGTTCAATGGCATGATCTCCGCTCACTGCAACCTCCGCCTCCCTGGTTCAAGTGATTCTCCTTGCCTCAGCCTCCTGAGTAGCTGGGATTACAGGCGTGCACCACCATGCCTGGCTTATTTTTGTATTTTTAGTAGAGACGGGGTTTCACCATATTGGCCAGGCTGGTCTCGAATTCCTGACATCAAGTGATCCACCTGCCTCGGCTTCCCATAGTGTTGGGATTACAGGCAGGAGCCACTGTGCCCAGCCTATTATGTGCATTTTAAGACAATATTTTATAAAAGGATTAGGAACTTTTTCAGGCGGTTGAAGAGAGCTCTATTAGAACAAAAAAGGTTGAGAATTCCTGGTGGAGATAAAGTGCAGGGAGAGAGAAAAGTTAGAGGACACGCTCCCTGTCCTAGGACTTTGGGGTGGCAGGGCCCTGAGGCTCTGAGAGCAGCCCAGACTTTGCCCTTATTCTCTGTGTTTCAGGGCCTCGCTACCTTTCCAAGGCAACATCGTTCTTGGAGCACCTGCTGAGGTGCTCTCTGCTGGGGGCCGTAAGTGAGCATCGAAAAAGCTGTAAAAAGTATCCCTGCTGCTCTCCAGGGACTCACAGCATGGACGGCACCTGCATTGAGAGAAGACGGCAATGGTATCGTGATGGTGAGTCTGTTGCCGCTGTATAGAGAAATGGGGAGGGAGAACTCAATTGCAACTTGGGAAGAAGATCATCTGGGAGGAGGTGGAGCCTTTCTGTCTTGAAGGTTGGGTCTACCTCCAGGTGTGAAGGAAGGACATTTCATATACAGGGGAAAGAGGTTTAAAGTATGGAGCTGGTGTGTGTGTGTGTGTGTGTGTGTATGTATGTGTATTTGCACCTGGAAGCATGAGTGTGTGTGCACGTGTGTGCTGGCATCTGGGTCTGTGGTCACAGATGTTTGCACATGTGTGCATGTACCTCTTTGTGTGTGCATGTACCTCTTTGTGTGTGCATGTGTGTGTGGCTTATTTGTGAAACAAAACCAAAAGCCAGATGAGGAAACTTTATGGGAAGCGAAGTCTGAAGACAGATGGGGCCCAGGCTGCAGACATCTGGAGGGCCAGGCTGTGAGGGCAGGGCTTTGGCTGTGTGCGGGGCAGTGGGAAGCCTAGTGGGGTAGGAAGGGCCACTTTGAGATGGTGCAGTGGTGACAGGAGAACACGATGACTGAGGCCAAGAGCTCAGTTAATATTTCAAGTGGGATGTTGTGAGGCCTGAAATAAGGCTGACATGGAGTGGGTGGGGAGGAGGGATCTGCATCATGGGACCCCCTACTCTGGAAGTTGCTTGGCAGCTGCCCATCAATCATTGAATAGACATCTGTTGAGTTTCCTGCTTCCTGCCCTGCACTGTGCTAAGTAACAGAGGTACAGAGCATCTCAGTCACCTCCATGGTACTCAGACCCCCTCCCAATGCGGTCACACATTGCTAACAACAGTGCTGCCAAAGGAACAGCTGAGCACTATGTGTGCGGGTGGTGCTAACTCTTGCATGTGGGCTGTGCCAGGTGTGTGCCCAGCGCTTCCTCAGGAGGCATTAAGGAGCAAGCTTCCAGATACCCGCTTCTCAGCCCAGCTCTGGCTGTTGAGCTGCTTCCCCCTGTGGGATGCTGCAGCTTCCTAACTGCTGCAGTTTTCAAAGTGTGCAAATCTGATCTAGAGAAGTAAGGCCACTAGCTCCAGATGGGCCCACAGCTGTTGGGTTCAAAGGGCTTCAACGAGCCACGATTATTATCTGTGGTCTTGATAATAAGATCATTATCTTATTCTGTGTTCCTGTAATAACGACGTGTTTGTAAATGTTGACCCTGCAAGGTGACAGGTAGATAAAAATGCCTATGGTTCTGATAAATAGTCATTGGATATTTATGTCATCCAAGGGTGGTGGCTTTGGAGTGTGGAAGGTAATAATAAGACAATAATCTCGTGATAATAGTCTGAGATGAATTATATCTTTAATTATGCTTAAAATAACTTTTAAAGAATAAGTAAGTGAATAAATAAGCAATGTGACAAATAAACAACTGGTGTCAACAACTCTAGAAGTTTGGGGAAAATAAGTTTCTAAAATTCCTTGACCCTCCTTCCATCAAGAGATGGGGTCTCTGTCCCCCTTTGAATCTGGGCTCCATATTTCTTGGCCAATACCTCTTTCCCCTGTATATGAAATGTCCTTCCTTCACACCTGGAGGTAGACCCAACCTTCAAGACAGAAAGGCTTCACCTCCTCCCAGATGATATCCTTAGAGAATGGAACTTCGTGTCTGATGACTGAAGTGAGCTTAGGCCTCCCTGGCCAGCTACCAGGGCCTTCCTATGTGCTGGCACTGGGAGGTCTGTGTCCTGAGCTCGCCTGGCCCTCAGGCTGGGCACACACCGCACACCAGTGAGCAGCAGCCATGTGGTGCTGGCAGCTTGGTGGGCACAGCAGGCATGGCCACGAATCTAATGCCTGACAATGACAGGTGTTGGAGCATGTGTCTTAAGCAAGCTGGACAAGGTGTGCATCAGCCAGCAGAAGGGAGACAAGGATGAGCCTGCTGCCCATCTACACTCAGCTCCTGTCTTTGTCTTCCTCAGCCAGTGGTGAGGTGATCTATAGTGGTTCTGGGACAGTGTATTATGGCAGAATCAGGTCCTGGGAGGTGAGCGTGGCTTCCTGCCATGAGCTACCACAGCTCAGATGCCTAAATATTTAGTGCACATTCTGTTCATCTTCCTATAGACTGGGCATTCAGAGCACAAAATGCTGTTGCAATTCTTCCTCCCATAGGAGGGCATCTTGAATGTGCCAGGGCTGGTTTCCAGCCTCTCCCATCCTGCTAATGGGTGCACGCTTTCCATGAATTGCTGTGTGATGTTCACACGGAGGTACGGTGTCAAGGGGGTTTGTCCAATCTGTAAAGGGAGTGGGTAGGTTGAATGCAGCATTCTCCAAAGGGTAACCTCATGAATTCCAGGGCCTGGATGGAAATGGCAGCTACCAGGTGGAAAGGCCGTGTGGACTGACTGGTTTGGAAAACCCTGAGCTTAATGCAGGACTGAACTCTAGTGTCTCAGATGCTACAGAAATTCAAGACAAGATCAAGTTCTTAGCTTCTCTTTGGCTTCTCTGTGGTTCTCCTAGTTGCTGTTGGGGGCTCCTGCTCCTTTCTTTCCACCCCATGCAGGTATGGGCGCTGCTTCTCTTCTGCTGAGGGATTCTCCTACACTAGGAAAGGTTCCTCCATCTGCCCCTTCATCAAAAATATTCTTCCTTCTATCTCATTGCCTTAGAGTCTGCCTCTATCAACCAATTACTCCTGAGACTATGAGCTGTCACTCACCATTGTGAAGAGGGGGCTTCAGTATCTCCATGCCTGTTCCTTTCTTTCTCAAGTCCTCCCATGTATGCTACTGAAAATCTGCATCCTGAAGATTCACTTTTTTCTTAGAAGTCTGGTCTCTAGAGTAGGAGCTGGCCACTTTTCCTGGAAGGGGCCAGAGAGTAAATATTTGCCAGCCATGCGGTCCTGTTGCAGCTACTCAGCTCTGCTATTGAAATGTGAAAGCAGCCACAGAAGATGGGTCAGTGAGTGGAAGTGGCCACATTTGGCCCATGGGGAATGGTTTGCCCACCCCTGACCTAGATAGAATGTATCACGGGTCCCCTTGGAGCACTTGTCATTTGCCAAATTATTGTCTTCCCTCCAGCCAGTTCCACCCATAGAACTTAAGTTACCCTTAATTTCAACCAAGGAGTGGAACCTGACCATGAATCCATGCTCCAATGCCTAAGGCTTTGACTCTTGGCTGGCTGGGCAGAGCCAGTGAGTGGAAACAGATGGGGAGAAGAATTGATGCTGTTACTCTACCACTGAGGGCTGTCTGTCTGTGAATGAGGGGTGAGTACCCTGACACTGGGGGTCACCAAGAAATGGCTTTGGGTTACTTTGTTGTGGAAATTACAGGTAGGCTTTGATGGGCTCTGAAGGAAATTTCAGAGTCTGACCTTTAAGCTGCTTCTGATTGAGATTCAGTACCTGGCTTCTCTCCTCCTGTCTTCTATCCTCCCGCTCCCGCTGCTGGGCATGTGGTTGCTGCAGCTTGCAGTGTCCCGTGCTAGCATGCCTTATCCAATTTCCTCTGCACAGTTCAAATATAATAGAAACAGATGCCTGCTAGAAAGATGAATTGGAACTAGGACTATGTCATTGAGTTATTGAATTGTTTTGATGGCTTCCACAGGCTGATGCAGTCACACAGGGCAGCTACAGCTTCAGTTTTGTCTGGCTGTTTATCAGCTTTGGAGTGAGTTGTAACAGAATTCCTTCCTGCACTGTGGACTGCTCCTCAGCTGTGAGAGCCCTGCCACCATCCAGATCCCCAGCAAATGTGATATGTGAGGCTGGCTGGGTGGATGTACCCTGGACACAAAGCTCTTTTCTTGTTTTCCTCCCGCTCACCCAGCTGGAAGCCTTGTCGTGCTATAGTTGCTCTTTTAGCACATCTAGGTATCCCAGGTTGTGGACATCAATAGATCAGATCCAATAGGCTGCAGCTGTCTGTAGAGGGATGTTGGGAAGTATGCAGGTCTGAGTTTTTATCCTACTTGCAAGTACACACCTCAGCTGGCCCCAGTTTCCACAACACTCATGGCTCAGAGACAAAGGCTTTTATTAAAGCTGCATTTCAGTTCTCTTTGAACTGAAGTCCCATGAGCAGGAGGCGGACAGGCCAAGATACTATTTTTGTGCAAAGTTTTCTCAATCTAGGCACCATGTACATTTTGGGTCAGAATTATCTGTTGTGGCAGTGTGTGTGTGAGGGGGTGCTCTTCTGTGCATTGTAGGATATTTGGCAACATCCCTGGCCTCTACTCAATGGCTATTGTTTTCACAACATCTACAGCCAATATGAACTGCTGCTCTATGGTATGTACAAACGTGTGCACTATTTAAACACTGTTGAGAAAAAGGACCTCCTTGGAACAAAGGCAGATGAGTACCTTTCCTGGGTGGCACTGGACACAACGATGCTTGGCCTCTGGTCTGTGGCCCAGAGGTAGACAGTAGGCAGCCACATGAGCTGGACATCCATCCCCAAACATGGGACATTTCTTTGCCATTATCAAAGAGGGGAAGGCCACTTGGTAGACTCATTTTTTCATGTGATTAAGGCCTACTCACTAGTACACTACTAAGTCATTAGGGACCAATAAAATTTGTCATTTAAATCAGAGATGCACTCAATGACAACATACCAAATGCTGAAAATCAACCATCAGCTACATGTTACCTTCACAGGATAAATTTCTAGAATAAAAGAATAAACTTGAATTTTTTTAAAAAATGTGATCATTATATTTTCTGATGGTGGAGTGTAAGTATGATAGATTGCTTCTGTGATCATCCTAGTGTGCATGCTAGTAATGCAAAATGCTTGCCTCCTTCCCACTGGTAGGGTTTGAGCATGGCCAGTGTGAGGAGGTGTTAATGTAGTTCTCGTGGTGAAGGTAGTTGGGTGGCCCTACTACTGAAGTTAATGCTGCCAGCATTATATTTTGTGATAATAAATGCAAATTTAGACCTCAACTGGTTAAAATAATTTTAATACATAAAACATTAGGAGATTTTCACTCCAAGCCATATCTGTAATACTTACATGATTTTGACAATCAATATTCAGATATTGACAATAAATCCAAGTAACATACTTTGTCCACATTATTGGAATTTTTATGCTGATTGGATATGATGGCAGTCTCTGGACCATGTGAGTGCTGAACACTCACAAGTTTAGTGATCCAGCGATGACACTGATACAGGTACGTGTCCAGTTTCCTTCTGACGGCCTAATATGAATCAAATGTCAGACTTTACCCAAATACTGAGGCTTCTGCCTAGTTTATTCAGGACTAATTAAAGTTTCTTTAAAATGTCTGCTCAGCATGGTGGTTCACACCTGCAATCCCAATGACCTGGGAGGCCAAGATAGGAGAATCACTTGAGGCTAGGGTTTGAGACCAGCCTGGGCAACATAGTGAGATTCTGTCTCTAAAAAATAAAAAAAAAATTAGCCAGGTATGGTGGTGCCTATATAGGTGGTACCTCCTATAGTCCCAGCGACTCAGGAGGCTGAGGCAGAGGGATCCATTGAGCCCAGAAGTTGTCAGCTGTAGTGAGCTATGATTGTGCCACTGCACTCCAGCCTGGGCAATAGAGTGAGACCCCATCTCAAAAACAAACAAATAAATAAATAAATAAATTTGTTCTCCTGAGAAGTCTGACATCCCCCTGGGCACCATGGTCAGGATCCTACTGCAGAAGAATTAACCAAGGTGGATGCTGCTTGTATTAGCTTGTTTTCCCATGGCTATAAAGAACTACCTGAGACAATAATTTATGAAGCAAAGAGGTTTAATTGACACACAGCTTTGCAGGCTGTACAGAAAGCATGGTGGGTGAGGCCTCAGGAAGCTTACAATCATGGTGGAAGGTGAAAAGAAAGGAGTCACATCTTACATGGCTGTAACAGGAAGAAAAGAGCAAAGCAGGAGGTGCTACATACTTTTAAACAAACAACTCTCATGAGAACTTACTACCATGAGAACAGCAAGAGGGAGATCTGCCCCCGTAATCCAATCACCTCCCACCAGGCCCTTCCTCCAACATTGGGGATTACAATTCAAGATGAGATTTGGGTTGGTTCACAGAGCTGAACCCCATCATTCTGTCCCTGGCCCCTCCCAAATCTCATGTCCTTCTTACATTTCAAAATACAATCATGCCTTCCCAACAGTTTCTCAAAGTCTTAGCTCATTCCAGCATTAACTCAAAAATCCAAGTCCAAAGTCTCATCTGAGACAAGGCAAACCCTTCTGCCTATGAGCCTCTTAAATCAAAAACAAGTTAGTTGCTTCCAAGATACAATGGAAAATGGGGGTACAGGCATTGGATAAATGTTCACATTGCAAATGTGAGAAACTGGCCAAAACAAAGAGGCTACAGGCCCCATGCAAGTCTGAAACCCAGCAGGGCAGTCATTAAATCTCAGAGCTCCAAAATAATCTCCTTTGACTCCATGTCTTATACCCAGGCCACACTGATGCAAGGGGTGGGCTCTCAAGGCCTTGGGAAGCTCTGCTCCTGTGGCTTTGCAGGGTACAGCACCCAAGGCTTCTTTTATGGGCTGGTGTTGAGTGCCTGTGCTTTTCCAAGGGCACATGCAAGCTGTCAATCTACCATTCTGGGGTCTGGAGGACAGTGGCCCTTTTTTCACAGCTCCACTAGGCAGTACCCCAGTGGGGACTCTGTGTGAGGGCTTCAACCCCACATTTCCCCTTCACACTGTCCTAGTAGGGGTTCTCCATGAGGGCTCTGCCCCTGCAGCAGACTTCTGGCTGGACAACCAGGTATTTCCATACATCCTCTGGAATCTAGGTGGAGGTTCCCAAGCCTCAATTCTTGCCCTCTGCACACCTGGAGGCTTAATGCCATGTGAAAGCCTTTGTGGCTTCTTGATTGCACCCTTTGGAGCAGAGCAGCACCTCTGAAACATATCTGAGGCCCTTTTAGCCACCGCTGGAGCTGGAGCAGCTGGGATGCAGGGAGCAGTGTCCTGAGGTTGTGCAGGGGAGCAGAGCCCTGGGTCTGGCCCATGAAACCATTCTTCCCTCCTAGGCCTCTGGGCCTGTGATGGGAGGGGCTGTGTGAAGGTCTCTGAAGTGCCTTCCAGTTATTTTCCCCATTGTCTTGGCTATTAACATTAGGCTCCACTTTACTTATGCAAATTTCTGCAGATGACTTGAATTCCTCCTCCAAAATGGGTTTTTCTTTTCTACCATGTAGTCAGGCTGCAAATCTGTAATACTATATGATTTTGAATATCAATATTCAAATACTGGCAATAAATTCAAGTGACATGGTTTATCCACATTGTTGGAAACTTTTATGCTCTGCTTCCCTTTTAAATGTAAGTTTCAGTTTCAGATTATTTCTTTGCTCATGAGTACAAGCTTAGGCTGTTAGAAGCAGCCAGGCCACATCTTGAGTGCTTTGCTGCTTAGAAATTTCTTATGCCAGTTACACTAAATCATCGCTGTCAAGTTCAGAGTTCCACAGATCCCTAGAGTAGGGGCACAACACTGCCAGTCTGTTTGTTAAAGCATACCAAGAGTGACCTATATTCCAGTTCCCAATAAGTTCCTCATCTCCATCTGAGACCACCTCAGCCTGGACTTTATTGTCCATATCACTGTCAGCATTTTGGTCACAACCATTCAACAAGTCTTTAGGAAGTTCCCAATGTTCCCTCATCTTCTTCTTATAAGCCCTTCAGAATGTTCCAACCTCTGCCCATTACCCAGTTCCAAAGCTGCATCCACATTTTCAGGTAACTTTATAGCAATGTCCCACTTCTTGGTACCAATTTTCTGTATTAGTCTGTTCTTGCATTCCTATAAAGAACTACCTGAGACTAGGTAATTTATAAAGAAAAGAGTTTTAATTGACTGAGTTCCACAGGTTGTAGAGGTAGCATGGCTGGGGAGGCCTCAGGATGTAACTCCTTCCTCTTCGCCTGCCACCTTTCAATCATGGTGGAAGGTGAAGAGGAAGGAGTTACATCTTACATGACTGGATCAGAGGAAGAGAACGAAGAGGGAGGTGCTACACTCTTTTAAACAACCAGATCTTGTGAGAACTTATTCACTATCATGAGAACAGCAAGGGGGAGATCTGCTTCCATGATCAAATCACCTCCCGCTAGGCCCCTCCTCCAACACTAGGGATTACAATTCAACCTGAGATTTGGGTGGAGGCACAAAGCCAAACCATATTGCTGCATTCTTTCATGTTTCTTAGGCTGTTCTATATTTTTATTGGCTGTTCTTCTGAAATTTAATGATAAACTGCTATTGATTCAGCTTCAGACTTACTAATATAGTTTCTCTAATAATTTTTGTTAATCCTTCAGTGTGTATTGTCGCATGAACTATGATTTGACTATGATTCACTCACACCCCTACCACACAAATACACCACTGAAGTTTGTTTATATACAGTTCCACCACCCCAAATTTGCTTTTACAGTGACAATTCACTTGTGTCATACTTATTGCATCCTTGTGCTATTACAAGTTGTCTTGGCTTATCTGGGGTTCTAACAAGCCCACATAAACTATTTGTACCTTGCTCTAGGTTCCCCAGAGCAAACTTTGCGGCAAGGTACAAATAGTTTATGCGAGAGGTGATCCCAGTGAAGGAGTCAGAGAGTGGGATGCTGGGGAATTTATCCATGGGTTCTCATCTCCCACATGTGGTGGGTTGCCCCGGAGGGTATTGATTTTTCAGGTTGTGTTTGTGTGTAGCTTAGCAGCCTTCTGCTGCTTTGGAATGCAGAGAGACAAGTGGCCCCTGCCTGACTTGGAATTCCTTGCAGAGGTGTATGGAGCTGTCCGACACTGCAGTGCTGAAGTTGGTTGAGCTAGGAGGATGTGGCATGTTATCCATCCTAAGGACCTACTACACAAGTGTAATACAACTACTGGGTTATTTTTCAGGTAATAGGGCACAGTTTTAGAGTACAATGAAAAGTCTTGTGCAGACATAACTTTTTGTCATTTCTCTTATTGATATATCTTCAGTGCCTAATACAAAGTAGAACAAATAAAATTTGTTGAATGAATCAATATAAAATCAGGTGTGTGAGCGCATGTTATTCTTTTATAAAGTAAATAACAATGGTTTAAAAAATATGTTGCTAACAAGAAGTCTACTCTGATAGTTTGTTCCTCTCCAATTCTTTGTCACCTCTCTTCTTTTCTCTTTGGAAAGGAGAAAGGGTCAGAAAGGTGTGCCACAGGCTCTTCTGCCCACTTGCGAGCAGCTGCTCTAAATCACTTTCACTAGCAGAACTACTGTCAAGCTCTGAGGAGACAGTCTTTTTTTTTTTTTTTTTTTGAGACAGAGTCTCGCTCTGTCGCCCAGGCTGGAGGGCAGTTGCACGATCTCTGCTCTCTGCAACCTCCGCCTCCTGGGTTCAAGCAATTATCATGCCTCAGCCTCTTTAGTAGCTGGGACTACAGGCATGTGCCACCATGCCCGGCTAAGTTTTGTATTTTTAGTAGAGACAGGGTTTCACCATGTTGGCCAGGCTGGTCTCGAACTCCTGACCTCAAGAGATCCACCCGCCTCGGCCTCCCAAATTGCTGGGATTTCAGGCATGGGCCACTGTGCCTGGCCCTGAGGAGACAGTCTTTACCCAGGGTTGGAAATCTTGGGACTTGAGGTAATGAGACACAAGACAAGAAGGTTCCACTGGAAAAGATTAACCAAAGGTAGCAGGGAGCCCCTTTCTTTGTTATTTTAATGGCAGGGTTTGGGTGTTCACCTTACCCTTTAGTTTTTACAACTGGGTTTTGTCATAAGCAGCATTTGTAAAGTTTCATCAGAATACGAATTGGCTTTGCCTAGTTTTCAGTCTTCACTACTCCCTCTCCCTTGGGTTGTAGTGGGAAATCATTCAGTGCACTGGCCAGTGGATCAGAAACACATCCTTTTCCAAGAAGAGACTCTGTGTAAGCTTAGAGGAGTTTATTAAATTAGTATGTGGGATATAATTTCACCCAAGTATAAATCCGTAGCTGCTTTTAAAGAAATGAAGTTATATTACAAACAATTTCCCTGTCACCTGCACAAGTCATGTTAGTTAGAGGTTCAATCTTCAGTTCTGTCAGCATGGGTGATCCGTTCCAGAGATGCATGGCTCCTTGGAGGGCCTTCCTTAGGAAAGGAAATCACTCACGAGACAGATGAGCCTTCCTGGCTTTCACACGGTACATGCTGACTCTTCACTGGCAGAGGTGGGAAGTCGTGGATTTCATTACTGCAGTGCACTAAGGGCCAAGGAAAAAAAAATGCAATTTGCTACTGCCTCAATGACTTTGTATTTTAATCAAATGGATAAGAAAGAATCATTAACTGATGCTCAGACTGATTAAAATTCCAGTGAGAAGGAAAAGAAATGAGATTGTGACAGCAACAGAGGGTCGCTCATTCCCTGGCACTCACGAATCTGTAAAGTCACACGATGTTGATTTTCACCAGGAATGTGGACTGAGAAGGCCCCTGCAGATGTGGACAACGAGTATGTGGCCTGATCACTATCCAGACAACACCATCAGTCCACATCCTTGCCACGAAGTCAGGTGCCTACCCTTCCTGGAATGGTCAGAAGTGAATTAAATGTCTCCTTCTATGATGAAAAAGTTTCCTTTTCCCTACACAATTGAATCTTGATATAAAATCACAGAAACTTAAAGATGTGGCCACAGTAGTAATTATCTGGGTATGTACAGGGTCACTGGAGGCATAGGAGAAAACAGCAAATGCATTTGAAAGCACTTCTGAAAGCTACAAAATGCTACTCAAATTTAGAGTGCCTGTTATTGTTATTATTACTTTTCCCATCCCTGTCATTACTCTGATCACTGCTATTGCTAGTGTGAAGTTTCAGACTGCACACACTTTTTCACATACCTTGTCTGCTGGACAGGCAGAGACCAGAGGAGCAGTTGGTCAATGGAGACCTTTTCCACAGCAGATTTCTCTTCCTGATTTACATGTAGCTGTCCCTGGATGAAGCCTTGGGATCCCAGGAGACAGGACTTCCTCCAGGGAAGGAGAAGGAAATCTGGTCAGTGAAGTGTCCCAGTGGAGAGGAGGAAGACACTTAGAGCAGCTTAGTAGCCTCCATTCATTCAGAGTTCATTTCTCACACCCTCCTTCCACATCCCTTCCATAGTGCCTACTATGTGTTTTTCCTGATGCTGCATTCCCTACCTTTCGAGAGGTGAGAAAAAGGAGCACCCACCTCTGACTCCACAGTTGTGTTGTTAGAACCCTCAAGGGCTGCTAGGAATGGCTTTGGCTGCATCCAAAGGGTAGGGCTCCAAGGCACTTGTGCAGGCTGGAAAGTGGGGACTGATCGGCGAAGACGTGGGAAGGGCAGACGATCTTTAGGGAGTAAGCAGGAAATGCGTGATAAAGATTTGATACAGTTTGCAGAAAGAACAGGTGATTTAGAAATACGAAATAAAAACAAAAATATACAATAGCCAAACAAGATGCAAATCAGACCCTGGAGACAAGGTTGGTGGATAAACTAAAATAAAGACATACAGGATACAGTGCCCCCCACACTTGCTGCGGTTGAACAGAGAATTGGGCTTAAGCTTTGTAGTGGTGGGTGTGAAAGGGGATATAGAGCTGCTTACCAGGTCTGCCATTCCAGGAGTCAGAGAATCACCCTGGCCAGCTTCATGGTATGACTTAGATAAAAGCAAAAGAGACTTTTTTTGCTTGCATGCTTGGATGTCATCTCAAAATCTAAAAATCTCAAAATCTAAACCTTCCTAATCTAAACCTTCCTAATACCAAGGTCTTCCGTCCTTCTTGGCTAGGAGTTTTCAGTTCATACCCACCCCAGGCACTGAGATTTCTCTAAGGTGACCATCTTGCAGGTGAAGGGGCACTTCCTCTTGGAACCCCCAGATCTCCTCTTGTCTTCTTCAAGGATGACATAATTCCAGTATTTTGAGATTTGATTTAAATAACCATTACTTACATCATCATCTTGCTGATTTAAAAAACATTCTATTACTAACTGAAGTCTTTTTTTTTTTTTTTTGAGACGGAGTCTCGCTCTGTCACCCAGGCTGGAGTGCGGTGCCACAATCTCGGGCCACTGCAGCCAACCTCTGCCTCCCGGGTTCAAGAGATTCTCCTGTCTCAGCCTCCAGAGTAGCTGGGAATACAGGCTTGTACCACTACTGCCCAGCTAACTTTTGTATTTTTAGTAGAGATGGGGTTTCACCATGCTGGTTAGGCTTGGCTTGAACTCCTGACCTCAAGTGATCTGCCTGCCTCAGCCTCCAAAGTGCTGGGATGACAGGCGTGAGCCACCGCCTGCAGCCCTGAAGTCTTATTTTTTTTTAAATGGCATAAGAACACCAAGGTGGTTATGATTGCAAAAACCTTCATGTGGGGGCTCAATAGCAGTGGTCAAGATAAGAGCACTCATACAATGTTTACTATGTACCAGGCACTATTTTATGTGCCTCATGTATGTGAGTTCATGTGAGCCCTGCTGCACTCTGTGAAGTAGGGCTGTGCTCAGGTAGACCCAGAACCTGGCATTGCCCAAGGTCAAAATATGGTGTTGCTGGGGTGAGTCTGTTCTCCTAACCTCCATGCACACCAATATGTTCTCTAGAAAGGAATGCCCTGTAGTGCCAGTCCTCAGAGACAACCTCTTTGAATAGTGAATCAAACCAGAACATTTCATGCTTCTACCAACATATGCGAATGATGCACATTGTTTGCTCAACTTGCATTTATTCACTTAATTCCCCTTGGATAGGTTTTCATGTCAGTATACAGGACATTTATTAATAATATTCCATTGCATGGATGCACCAAACTTGATTATTGCACATTTGTGTTTTTTATCATGATAAACTATGCTAAAATGGTCTATTGTTTCTTTGTGAACCTTGAAAATATCTCAAAAAATTCCTAGAGGTAAGATGGCTAGACCCAAAAGCAAATGTTTTCAATAGTTAACAGCTATTGCTAAATTGTTCCCTATGTATCATGCAAACATTTACACTCCTATTTGTTTGCCTGTTTCTTTATGCTCTGGTTGACACATAATATGTTTATTAAATGACAATTTTTTAAAAATTTATTTTATGATTCCTAGTTTCTATGCCAATATCAAATTCTAAAGTGTCTGAATCATCGAGATGCAGAAAAATCTTAATTCTGTGACTTCTAAAAAATGCAAGGATCTGTGCCTATGATTGTTTCAGAGGATCTGCCTCTTACTGGGAGACTGCAAAGCGGTGGATTTGGCCATTTGATGTACCCTACTCTGGCAGAGATAAGTTGGAAGTTTTGTTTAGCTTTTGAGAAGTCTCCTACTCCTTTGAATACCTTCTCCAGGATGGCATCTCCAGAATCTTGGGCTTTCTGGTGCAGTTTTGGCTGGGGGATGTTTCAGTGGGTAGAAAAGAGCTCAGTAGGGAGAAGAGCCCTTGGCCCATTTCCCATCCAAATGCTGGAGGAATCATTCACTAGATATCATCTTTTTTGAAGCCCAGGAGCAGAACTATGTGGGGCATCTCAAGGAGAAATCAGAAATCACACTGCTCTCATCCCTGCAGCCAAGTGGGGACACAGTCACCTGGCCTTTCTCCTGGCCAGGTATTCAGTTTGCCAAGAAGCCTGCCAGGATCGGACAGCTAGCTTGGTTAGCACTCTGAGAGTGTCTCCATATTTTAGAGGTAGATTCGCATTAGCTAAGCTAGAAATACTGATGTATAATACCAGAAGGCCCATGTACTTAATTTACAGTGAAAACTCCAGTATGGCTGGCACAGAGCCTGGGTGGTTTGAAGGTGGTGAGATCCTCTGTGGGAAGCTGAAAATTTGAAGTTCATTTGTAGGGCCTAGGATTTAAAGCTGGTTGAGCTGGATGGTTAATGGTGCCAGGCTTCACATCCATTTTACAACAGGCATCCTCTTGCCACTGGGAAGGGAGGGCCAAACCACCAGTTAGGACTTTCATTGAACGGCTGGCTTCTCTCTGGCTGCCTCTTCTTCTCTGCCATCTTTCCCACACCCGTCCTGACTGGCATGCTGTGTGTGCTGCTCCTGGAGACGCGCTGAGCAGGTTCTAGCAGGACCCAGCCTGGGAGCTTCTGCTCTTCAAGGCCATTCCAATCTCTCTGCTCCACCCATTACAGATATGATAGGCCTCCTGGTGTATCCCTGAAGGGGCCTTTCTATTTCTAAGTAAATGAAGGATTCTTCAAGTTAAAATAAAGATCTCTTGGTGAGTGTGAACCGGTTCTGGGGGTTTGGCGTGGGGAGTCAGGGTGAGGAAACAACTGTGAACAGCTACACAGTGTGCTCAGTGTGCTTCTACTGCAAGATAATACTCCCACTGTGAGACTGTGCTGCCACTGTGAGACTGTGCTGCCACTGTGAGAATGTGCTCCCACTCTGAGATAGTGCTCCCACTATGACGAGATAGTGCTCACACTGTGAGAGAGCGCTCCCACTGTGAGAATGTGCTCCCACTATGACGAGATAGTGCTCACACTGTGAGAGAGCACTCCCACTGTGAGAATGTGCTCCCACTATGATGAGATAGTGCTCCCACTATGACGAGATAGCGCTCCCACTGTGAGATAGGGCTCCCACCGCGAGACAGCACTCCCACCGCGAGACAGCGCTCCCACCGCGAGACTGCGCTCCCACCGCAAGACTGTGCTCCCACTGTGAGATATTGCTCCCACTTGCAAGATAGCGCTCCCACTTGTGAGATAGCGCTCCCACTGCAAGATAGCACTCCCACCATGAGAGTGTGCTCCCACCGCGAGACTGTGCTCCCACCACGAGACTGTGCTCCTACTGTGAAATAGTGCTCCTACTGTGAAATAGTGCTCCCACTGCGAGACTGTGCTCCCACTGCGAGACTGTGCTCCTACTGTGAAATAGTGCTCCCATTGTGAGACTGTTCCCACTGTGAGACTGTGCTCCAACTGTCAAATAGTGCTCCCACTGCAAGACTGTGTTCCTACTGAGAGACTGTGCTCCCACTGCGAGACTGTGCTCCCACTGCGAGACTGTGCTTCCACTGTGAGATTGGTGCACCTGTGTTGGTTTTGTATGGGCAGATTTCCTTTCCTATGATGGCCCGTAGTTATTGAGAGTCCTTGCCTGCAGGCTTGTTTGGAAATAATTGTGAGCATTGGTAGTACATCTGCTGACTCCCTGTGTGTCAGAAAGCTAGCGCGTCCAAGCCCTGCAGTGCTGAGAGCCAGGTGGTTTCACGTGAAGCAGGGAGTCCCTGGCAGGGGCAGCTGCAGGTGCTTCTCTCAGTCTGGGATGGGCCAGATGGGTGAGGGACCAGGGAAGACACCAGATCCTCTATCAGGCTTAGCTTGGAGAAAGCTGGCTCTGTGCTGAGACTTGTCAAATATGCTCAGATGTTTACTTTCCATGATTAAAACCCATTTTAATTTTCTCTGTGATATTCTGCCCTTCCATGGATTAGGTAACCTGATTTTAAGGGGATACATTTCTATCCCCATTGGACACCTCCATAAAGCTATTTTCATTTTCAATTTAAAAAAGAAGTGGTTCACACATACCGCTTTTTTTTCTTCTTCTGAATTGTCTGTGCCTTTCCTCCACCTTCCCCCTTCTAATCTGGGCTGTCAGAACGGTTCAGGGGGTATCTGTTCCAGTCCATTCTCCCAGCTGCTGGAAAATCACTGATCTTGAAGCCCCTCTCTGACCACAGGCAGCCCCAGGGTTTCCATAGCTGCAGAATTCACAGTGGTTCTTTTCCAGGTCCTTAGCTCAGCACTCAAGGGCATGTGTGCTCCCTGTGAACTTCTCTCACTCATGGTGATGCTGCACTTTCTCACAGCTCTGGGTACCCACCCCACCCCCATCCTGCCTGCTGCAATCCTATTGATTCCTGAAGGTCTGCTCAATGCCTTCTGCTATGTGCCTCCACGATGCCACATGATACTCCAACTCCTTCTCCATGGAATTCCCATCAAATGACTATTATATTCTCATCCCTTCCAGATACATACATGCTTATATGTTATATAATGCCCAGTGCTTTAAGTTACTCAGCTCAAAGCACTAGACGTTACATGAAGTGGCCATTTGCTACGGACTGACTTGTGTCCTCCCAAATTCATATTTTGAAGGCCTAACTCCAAATTGACTATATTTGGATATACAGTTTTTAGGGTAATTAAAGTTAAATGAGGGCATAAGGGTGGGGTCCCAATCCACAGGGATTAGTGGCCTTATAAGCAGAGGAAGAGAGAGAGATCTTTTGCACTCTCCCTGCACAGACTTGGAGGAAAGCCATGCAGGGTCATAGAGAGAAGGTGGCTGTCTGCAAGAACCTCCCCAAAACCTGACCACGCTGGCACCCTGACCTTAGACTTCCAGCCCCCTGAACTCGGAGGAAATGCATTTCTCTTGTCGAAGCTATCCAGTCTACGGTATTCGTTATGGCAGCCTGAGCTGAGGAATACACCACACATTAAAAAAGTAAGGACTGTGTGCATTTGGGAAGAAGTCATCTAGTCCTGCAATTAGATTTGGGAGGCAACTATAATGCATAAACAGTTTCTGAATTTGTGAATTTCCTATTTCTTTGCTTCAGAATAGTTTGACCTTTAGACATACAGGCTCACAGATTGCTGAAAAATCACAAGGTCTGTGATGAAGCTGTGAAAATAATTGAAAGGATTTGTTTTTCTAACCCTGGCTCTATCCATCTGATTACACTGTAACTAATATTTGCTGCAAAACCTGTGGACAAAAATTATTCATAAACTGCAAAGAAATTGCACAGCCATGAAAGAAATCAGTGTGTTAAAAGGGCCATGTTTTCTCCCTCTAAGCAATAGAGAATCTGTGAGACACTTTGTTGTACAATAAATAAATAAATAAAATAAAAAAAAGAAGAAGGAAAAATAAAAGAAGGAAAAAAGGAGCGACCCTGAATACTGAAGAAACACTATTGAAAACTGTGAGTTTTCAGATTGTTAATATGAAATCCTCTCCTGATGATTATTTATTTTAAGAGGGTGCACGTCAGTGTGATGCTCTTTCTCCCACTTGGGACCCTTTCCAAGGATGTATTAGTTAATACAAAAAGCACTGTCAGCAAAGGCACTCACACATGAGACAGCTGGAATTGATCCATTCTGGAGGCAGAAAACTTGGCAATCACTGGCTATCAATAAGCAGAGTGAGTGACATTCTCAGGATTAGTTGCTTATCCAGAAGGTGTGAGCCCTCTTTAGGGTTTTAGAAAATGTGTGCTTACTTAGGTTGTATTTCTGTGTGATGACGTGTAGGAGGAATGCAATTTACCCTGGATTTTTGTGAAGCAGGGCTGCCATGCAACTGCAGTTATCCAGCAAGGAGCAGACCACATAGGGTCCCAACAAGAGACACCTGGAGCCCAATCACTGGGGGCTCACTTTTGTCTTCTATATGATGGAAGAGCAGTATATGCAAATCATCTAAGCTTCTCTTCTGTCAGCATCCCAGTTTCTTCTACTGCTCTTGCCAAACCTGATCAATTACACCCTGGATCAATGCCACCATCTGTCACAGGTGGCCCCGTGGGTTCTGGGTAACTAAAGGAAGACACAGACCAGCTTTAGAATATTTTATTTTTGTCTCTTGGGACTCCAGGAGCTGAGAAAGTTTTCATCTTTGGTTTGGCTCAAAAAAGAACATTCTAAGTAAAGAAGGAACACTGCTTCCCTGTCCTGCCAATGCCCTGATCCCCTCCCCGCTTTCATTCCTTCCCAATTCCATACCCGCCAACATCCGGTGATGCAGCCGGCAGGAAACACAGGGAGAGACGGGCAGACAGCTCATTCCTGGAACCTTCACTTTATACCGAGAGGTGTTTGCTTTGTGTGTGTGTCCAGCATCTTGCCGTTCTCTGCCAGTGTGCATTGAGTGTTGAGGGTGGAGCAGGCATTTCAGCACCAAGGTGATCGCTCAGGTTCCATCTCCTGTCTGACATCCACTGGCCAGAAAAGTATTGTTGTTTAGATAAGTAACATTTAGATGTGTCTTAGCCTTGGCTGCTGTAATGATATACCATAGACTGGGTGGCATATACACAACAGAAATTTCTTTCTCACAGTTCTGCAAGCTGGAAAGTCCAAAATTAATGTGCTGGCAGACTTGGTGTCTGGTGAGGACCCACTTCCTCATAGATGGTTGTCTTCTCAAGGGCAGAAGCAGTGAGGGTCTCCCTAGGGCTTCTTTTATGGACATTAATCCCATTTATAAGAGCTCCACCCTCATGACCTAACCACCTTCCAAAGTCCCCATGTCTTAATACCATCACCTTGCAGCTTAGAATTTCAACATAGGCACATGAACATTCAGATCATAGCAAGGGGTAAAGCAGAGCTGAAATATTCTTGGACAAAGGGAATGCAGATTTTTTTGTTTTTTTTTTTTTTTTTTTGAGACGGAGTCTCACTCTGTCACCCAGGCTGGAGTGCAGTGGCACCATCTCGGCTCATTGCAACTTTCGCCTCCCGGGTTCAAGTGATTCTCCTGCCTCAGCCTCCCAAGTAGCTGGCATTACAGGTGTGTACCAGCACACCTGGCTAATTTTTTATATTTTTGGTAGGACAGGGTTTCACCATGTTAGCCAGGCTGGTCTCGAACTTCTGACCTCAAGTGATCCAACAGCCTTGGCCTTCCAAAGTGTTGGGATTACAGGCCTGAGCCACCGTGCCCAGCCAGTTGTTCGTTAAATAGAAAAGGAAATACAGGAGTCTTAGAGGAAGATAAGCTTTGATCCAGACACACACAGGGCCTCCCTTGAGTCTAGAACAGCGATGCAATTCCAAAGGAAGTATGTTTACCAAGGTCCGCCTCCCTATCCCTATGTCAGAGCCATTGTGTGCTGACTGCGCTGTGGGTGTCAAGAGTGAGAGAGAAGGTGTGGTGTGAGGGGCTCCACAGGCAGACTCCTTGCTCAGAGCATCTCACTGGACTGCGATGGAGAGCTCTAGGAGAAGCACTTTTCCCCATGCACCCACAGTTCTTTGATGGAGCAACGTTCCCCCAGAACGCCTACAGTGCCTGGGCTGATTCCTTCCCACCCTGCCCTCTCCAGAGGCCAGTTATCAAATCTGGTGCAGAGTGCACTCCGGGCTTGGTGAAGTGTGGAGAGTCTCAGGTTCTTGGTGAGCATTTGGTCCCCTCTGCCAGGACTGCAGGATTCAGAACAGCTCACAATCTCAGAAACTAACAAATCTAACTTTGAGAACTTTCTGGTGTATTTTGAATGTATCCAGGACTTTCCTCCAAAGTTATTTCTTATAGGCAGAAAATGATTTTGTTGCCATCTTGGGAGAAAGAACAGATGGAAGTGGCTTGATTAAACCCTTCTATGAGAGCAGAAGAATTTATAGCAATATTGAAATTGCTCTATTCTTTCTATGAATGCGGGAGGAATAAATCAAGAGGTTGTAAGTTTAGGACAATAATAGTATAGTGATGACTTCACCACTGCACACACTGTTTCTCCTTGGGCTTAGAGAGGCATGCCACAGCATCCTGGAGTAGGTGAGGAGAATGCAGCCTTCAGCCACTTTCCCAGGGCTAGACAGCTCCCTGGCTTGGGTCACAGGATGGAGTTGCCAAGCTCCCAATGCAAAGCCTCTAGATAAACGTGAAAGTGCCAGTCTTGCATTTTGCCTGTTTCGCCACACACTTCTGTATGTGAGTCACAATCAGAAGGGGAGGATGGACAGAGAATTCAAAAGAGCCAGGCTTCAGTGTTACTGCCCACCCAGTTGCTCTCCACAGACCAGCACATTTTAATCTAAGAAAGTGGCTGCCCACGTCAGCAGAGGGCTGGGCAAGCCCATAACTGTGATTGCTGAGGGCTCCACCTTGCAGATGCTGCTGAGCCATTTTTCATACCATTTGATCAAGCATAGCTTCCTACTGCATATTGAGATAGCTTAGTCCTGACCAATCAAAGGGCTCTAGGTGGTTTTATTATTTTAAACTAAGCTGTCTACTCACTCTTGTCTCCTCCTCCTCCTCTTCTTCTCCCCCATCCTGTTCCTCCTCCTCCTCCTTCTTCTAGCTACATAGCAGGTCGGTGTTTGGACTCCATGTGCCTGGGGATTGGGGAGTGGGAGGGGAGGGGACACTAATGAGCTGTCTATCAGAGGATACATTTGCTGGGGATCTGGGTTGAAAGCACGGGATGCCAGGGTTTGGTTTACCAATCTCCTGTCTCCGCTGCTGTAGCGGGTGGCAGATTTTCCCAGAAGTGGCAGTTAGAGAGAAGTGCAGACCCAGGGGTGGTGCTAAGGTGCCTACTGGGCCATGGTCCCTTTCTGGGTCGAGGAAGGCAGGGCAGCCAGTCTTCCTGACAGAGAGACTTGTATCTGACTATTTTGAGCTCCAAGAGGAAAGTGGTGTGCACCTTGCACTGTGCCTTGCTGCAGCCCACAGACCTCAGTGCAAACATTTTCAAAACCAACATGCCTCTCCAAGGAGATGGGCAAACATGTGTAAGAGGGAGGAGAGGCATATCTCTATTCCAAGCTTGCACAGCTTAGTTGCCAACCTTTTTAAGGTAGATTAGCTCTTTTATTTAGGGAGATACTGTACTTGGGATCAGGATCCCACATACTTAAGGCATCAGAAGGGCCCTTTGGGCCAGGAGGCAGGAATTAGGGTTAGGATCTGGGGCCCCTTTCAGAGTTAATGAATTTAGAGCCCAAGGCCCTCCTGGGGGTCTCAAAAGCTTCTCCAGAGTGGAAGAAAAGGCGAGGCTTCCGTTTGGTCTTTATTTCTCAGGAGGCTCCAGGCCAAGGTACAGGACCCTTTGCTGATGTGTCCGTGGGGACAGGGACTCCAGGCCACTGAGGAGATGGCAGCAACTCCCAATGCACAGTGGAGGAAAGTCACCACTGAAGATGTCCCCTCCTGCTCCCTAGCCCATCACCCAGTTTTTGGTTCATTGATTAAACATGTCCTATGCAGGGGGACTGAGTTACAAGCCAGAATGTTGTAGGATACACTGACAAGACCCCCATTAATCCTGACCTGTAGGCTCGAGCTTGTCCAGGCTCTGAGGCCAATATGGCCCCTTTCACAGGAGAGATAAGGGGATGCCCCATCCTAATCTCCAGAGGCCACATCACAGCAGCCTTGCTGCTGGCCCTGACTCCCTTCCCTGGATGTGTCCTTGTTGTGAAAAAAATTCCTGTTCACCCACCTGTTTCCATCCTGGGCTTTGACTCCCCCATCCTGAGCCCTGGCCTTTGCTCCCCCACCTCATTCTCTGGCACAGTCCACGGACACATGAGGGGCAGGACATTTGTGGGAAATCAAAGTGCACCATAGCTGGCCAGCACTGGCCACCCCCGGGAGTGGAGTCGATGGTGGGAGAGGCTGAGGTCCAGCTCAGCAGGAGCAGGAGGAAGGTGGGGATGGGTGGCCAGGAGGGGTGTCCACTCCCAACAGGAGGAGAACACGCGATGGGCAGGGCCTGGGAGCTTAGGGCGTCCACTCATGGTTACGTTTGTTTCCCCAGAAGAGGAAGCAATTAAGAGGGACCGAGCACATATGGATAGAGGTGGAGTTTTGAGTTTGGCAATTAAGAGGAATGAATTTTCTTTGTCTTCAATCTTTGGTATACTCTTGCCATCTTTTAACATTTAGTCCTTTCCACCTCACTTTTCTTTCTTTTAAAACTCTCTCAGTCTCTGAGTGTATTTCCAGCAGTGCCCATCTATCTGTTTGTGGGGACTTCCTTTTCCATAGCTGGGGCAGCTTCTCTGCTACTATTTGGCTCTTCTTCATTTTTTCCAACTCCCGCTGTTGTTTTATGATATTTATCTTGAGCTCTTCTTTTATCTTAATTTTAAATATTTGCTCCATAGAGGACATTTTCATGAAGCCCCTTCCTTCCTGAGGAATTTTCTTGCCATCTGTTCATTTCATAGCTTTCGCTGAGCACCTACTCTGCATCAGGCTGTATTCCAGGGTCTGTGGACCCACATACAAACAGGAGATAATCTCTATGAGAAGAAACCAGAAGGCAGGAGAACTGGAACAAAAGGGGTGTCCCTGCCTGTCTCCTGGATCAGCTGACTTCCTTTTGCACTTTAGGCCAGCACAAAGGGCTGGGGACTCTGGGGGCTCTGCAGCCCATCCACGCTCCTGCTCACCCCTTCATCCAGGAGTGGTCCCTCCTGACATCCTTGGCTTTGCTGACCATGTCATAGGTCTGCAAGGGCTGGTGTCCCCTCCTCCAGGTTGGCTTGCTCAACCTAAGCTGCTCTTCTTCATGAAACTCGGGTCATTCTCTACAGAGGTTCCATTTCCATTCTTATTCATTTTATCTTTTGTTACTTTCAGAGAGGAGGAGGGGTGAGATGTCTGAACATCAGAAGTCTGTTGAGAGGAATGGGAAAGGTGACCACCATATACTTATATTAGTTTCCTGGGCTGTCACATTGAATTACTACAAACTGCAGGACGTAAACATCAGAAATTTATTTGCTCACAATTCTGGAAGCCAGAGGTCTGAAGTCAAGGTGCCAGCAAGGTTGTGCCCCCTCCAAAGCCTCCAGAGGAGGATCCTTCCTCGTCTCCTCCAGCTGCTGGTGGCTCCTGGCAACCCTGGTGGTCCCCAGCTTGTAGCTTCATCTCTCCCTGAAGGGGACCCCTGAGAGAGCTCAGGGGGAAAGCAGGGGGAAATGACTGCCCAGTTCCCACATCGATATGGGGCAACCCCCATTGGACAAGGTGGTTTCAGCAGAGCGGGGGACAGCATTCCCCGCACCCCCCATCCTGGCTCTCATGATCTCAGAATTGAGCACAGAGGAGCTCCTGAAAGTTCACGAACAACATCTGCCCCACGAAAGACACAGGGGCTGATGGAGAATAGCTACTGAGAGCACCCACAAAGGAGCATTAGAAGATGTGGGAGCACCCGAGGATGTGGGAACACCCATGAGGGAGAACCAGAGGTCCTGAAGCATCCACAAAAGAGCACTAGAGGATGTGAGAGCAGCCACAGAGGAGGAACAAAGGATATGGGAGCACCTAGGAGGGAGTATCAGAGTATGTCAAACCCCCAGAAGGGAGCATCAGAGGATGTGGAACCCCCAGGAGTGAGCATCAGAGGATGTGGGGCCCCCAGGAGGGAGCATCAGAGGATGTGGGGCCCCCAGGAGTGAGCATCAGAGGATGTGGGGCCCCCAGGAGGGAGCATCAGAGGATGTGGGTCCCCCAGGAGGGAGCATCAAAGGATGTGGGAGCACCCAAGAGGGAGGACAAATGATGTGGGGCCCCCAGGAGGGAGCATCAGAGGATGTGGGGCCCCCAAGAGGGAGGACAAATGATGTGGGAGTCCCCGGGAGGGAGAATCAGAGGATGTGGGAACCCCCAGGAAGGAGCATCAGAGGATTTTAGCGCCCCCAGGAGAGAGCATCAGAGGTCCTAGGAGCACTTGAGAATGCTTCTGCCATTGGTGAAGAGGGAACAGGTAGAATCAATTTCTCACCATGGATGTTGGCCAGGACCCAAAATATTCATACTAAAGCATTCCCCTTCCATGACACCATGATTTGTAATTTCCCTAAATGTGTCAATCACATGGGAAGGACGGACATGGGGCTGAATGAGATGCATGGAATTGGGTAAATGAAGAGCTCTAAACAGAGTGTAAATTCCACTGAATTCCATTATAGAGTTAGAACCATCCATTTTTGAGTTTCCAAGTTTGTGACCACAAATTTTAAATTTACCATATTACTAATTGACACAACTACCTTCTCTAACATTGGACAAGAAGTTCAGTAAATCAGATAGTCTTCTGGCTGGGTCTTGTAGGATAGTTCTCAATTTGTCCTGATTTATGATATATTTTCCAACCTGTGTACTTACTGTGAACATCAGTGGGCCTTGGCTTAAGGGAAAACAAGAAAACCTGCAGAGAAATATAATCCAAAATCACTTTTCACCTTTCTTCATCGAATCCTCAATGGGTGTCCACCACTAACTGAACTTTAAGTAAGAAACACGTCTATACCAAGCGTCAGGGCCAGATACTCCGGTTACCAAAGGTGGAGAGGCTTTGGCGGTGGGGGATGGGGTGTCACAGAGTCAGCCTCAAAGGTGTATCACAGGGCTGGGCAGAGACCAATGTTGCCTTCTGGGCCAGCTACACACTGGCCACATCCTTTTATTTTCTTCTTTACTGAGTTATAATTAAGAAATAGGAATTGTGTATATTTAGGGTGTACAACTTGATGTTTTGATATATGTGTACATTACAAAACATCACCACAATTAAGCTAATTGACATGTCCATTACATCACAGTTACTTTTGTCTCTCTCTCTCTCTCTCTCTGTGTGTGTGTGTGTGTGTGTGTGTGTGTGTGTGTGGTGAGAACACTCTAGATCTACCTCTTTGCTTTAAAAAGGAAGAAAATCCTCCATCCAACAACGTAGATGGCCCTGGAGGATGTTATGCCAAGTGCAAGAAGAAACGAGAAGGACAAATGCTACATGATCTCATTCCTATGGGCCCTGCAACAGCCACATCCTTCTTGACTGAAGACATTGGCCTTGCCTTCTATCAGGTTTCCCCTCTCCTGGGGTTCCTCTGCCTGCTCTCTCAAGACACATGGAACATGTACACGTGCCCAAGATGGATCGGCCGCTCAGCCGAGCCTCCCAGTGCTGCCTGCCAGGCTGGAGGGACCCGTCTTCTAGGGACATTGCACTCCCCTGCTCTTCTGAGCTGACCCAGTCTTGAACCCCCCCTTTTTTTCTGGCTCATGTGGTGCTGCCTGGTGTCAGAGCCTGGCCTTCTCATATCTGCCTTGTCCCTGCACAGCCTGAACGCAGGCCCCCAGAATAGTCCTGGCTCAGGGCCTGGAAAAAAAATCACCTAGTCAGAACACCAAATTACAACTCAGAAGGTTGCTTAGTGAGCATAAAATTGGAGCAAAGAGAAGTGGATATTCTGAAGGGATGCTTCCGATGTGCTGTGGTAGCAAGATGCATTGTTCTTTTCGACTCTGGGGCTATTTCCAGAAAAAGACCTGGGAGGGGACCTCTAAAATTGGGACATCCATCCTCCCAGACAGTGCTGAAGGGCATGAATGCACTCCTCCCTCTCCTTCCTTTGTTTAAAATATTCCTATCATTCTCCAAAGGCCTCCGCAATTACAGCATTATGCATTACAGGTTTCAAGATTGCATTTAATCTTTTATTAGTTCCATCTGCATCACTTGCTTCCTGATGAGATTTTGAGGAGTTGCCTTAATCTCATCAGCCCTGTATTTACAGATCTTATCCTCATAGGATTGCCTCTGGGAAGATTTTTGCTGATGGGCAAATCTAACCATTAGAGTCAAGGCCTGGATTTCATGCCACTAATCATGTCCATAGCCTGCATGCGGACAGATCACCTGCCCCCCTCGGGTTCCCAGGGCCTCCTGCTCCCAAGCTCCTCTGCCTATTTGCCCACAGGCTTTGCTTCTCTCCCAATGCAAGTGTGGCTTCCTCAGAGGCAGGTCTCTGAGTCTCCTGGCCAGGAAAGACCCTCTGATATGAACCTGTAGCACTGCACACCTCCCTTCATAGTGCCCAGCCGTCGTTATTCTTCCCACCTTTAGGGTTTGAGTAGATGACTGTGTGTATTCATTTCCTAGGGCTACTGTGACAAAACATAGATTAGGTGGGTCCTACAGTTCTGGAGGCCAGAAGTCCAAGATGAAGGTGCCCTCAGGGGAGGATCTGTCCCATCTCTCTCCCTAAGGCTCCCTTAAGACTCTAGGGAGGATCTGTCCTGTGCCTCTCTCTGTTGCCCAGGCTGGAGTGCAATGGCATGATCTCGACTCACTGCAGCCTCCGCCTCCTGGGTTCAAGTGATTCTCCTGCCTTAGCCTCCTGAGTAGCTGTGACTACAGGCGCCCAACACCACGCCTGGCTAATTTTTGTATTTTTAGTAGAGGTGGGGTTTCACCAGGTTGGCCAGGCTTGTCTCAAACTCCTGACCTCAAATCATCTGCCTGCCTCGGCCTCCCAAAGTGCTAGGATTACAGGCATCAGCCACCACGCCTGGCCCTCTCCCAGTTTCTGTTGGCCACAGAGGTCCCTTGGCTTGTTTCCACACTGTGCACTCTAATCCTCCATCTTCACATGGCCGTCTTCTCTCTGCATTGTCACATCATCTTCTCTCTGTGTATGATGGTGCCCACGTTTCCCCTTGTTTTAAGGACACCAGACATATTGGTTAGGGCCCAAACCCTGAGGCCATTAGGCCTGATTTTACCTTGATTATCTCTGTTGGGACCTTCTTTCCAAATAAGATCACATTCTGAAGTCCTTGGAGTCAAGACTTCAACACTCCATGGCATCCTAACGAAGTCATTGACTTTCTTTGTTGTTACTTTCAGCATATCCCCTGTCTGGCACAAAGGGAGCACAGTTGACCTGTGAACAGTGCAGAGGTTAGGGACTCAGACCTACCTTGCAGTAGAAAATTTGAGTATAACTTTTGATTCCCCCAAAACTTAAGTACCGATAGCCTCTGTTGACCAGGAACCTTACTGATAATTTAAACAGAAGATAACACATATTCTGTATACTATATGTGTTATACGCTGTATTTTTACAATAAGGCAAGCTAAAGAAAATAAATTGCTAATAAAAAATCGTAAGAAAGAAAAATATTTACCATTCATTAAGTGGAAGTGGGTCATCAAAGGGTCATCGTCCTTATTATCTTCATGTTGAGTGAGCTAAAGAGGAGGTAGAAAAGGAGGGCTTAGTATTGCTATCCCAGGGATGGCAGAGTCAGAAGAAAATTCACATAGATGTGGATCCACAGGGTTCAAATCCACGTTGTTCAAGGGTCAACAGTACTTCATAGCTGTCTGTTGAAGTATGAATGAATGAATGAATGAATGAATGAAAGACGGTTATCTAAGGTCAGGTCATCCCTCCTCCAGGCCCCATGCACATGTGCTACCCTTCACCATAGAACTGCTCACAGGCAGCTAGAGGTGGTCTCATCATCCAAGACCCAGTCTTTCTCCTCCAGTCCTCATGATTGAGAATCTGAGTTTGTGGAAATATTCAATGAATTTGCTTTTATCTTCCCTCCCTCAGATTAATGAACAGGAGAAGGAGGTGGGACAATAGAAAGAATATGGTCTTGGTAAGGGGCATCATTGCCAGATTTAACAAATAAAAATATAGGATTCCCAATTACATTTGAACTTTTCCCAAAATTGTGTAAGATGTGTTTATTAAAGTTATTTTTTGTTTATCTGGAATCCAGATGTAACTAGGCATCTTGCATTTGCCTGGCAACTCTGCTGTGGTTGGCACCTTATTGGTGGACTAGATTATTGAAAGTTGCAGGCAGATCCCTCCACAGATTGAAAAGTGGGAGGTAGAAGGATGAGGAGCAGATGTGGGTAGGGCAGAGACTCAGGTAGATGTGCAGTGGCTATCTTTGGTCTTTCATCCTGTTACTCCTGTTTAGGAATAAACAGCTCCAGGACACCTCTCCGCTTGTCACCTCTCCCTCTCCATTTATGCCATTTTCTCTCTTTCTGCCTCTTCTTTGCTTCGTCTATGTGTACTTACACAGTTCTTACATGTAATTACTGACTTAACACTAGTAGTGTTTTCTGTTCTAATCCCTGTCTGCAAGCAATTGGCCTTGCATCAGATGCCCAGGATTGACTATTCGACTTCCAAGGCCATGTTCCCACTGTGAACTGACCTTTCATTGTTTGTGGATGACTTCCAATTCTCCACACTCAGGGACAATCTGGGTTTTACAGAGAAGCTTTCTAGGTACTAGGTGACAAGGTCTATTGTTATTCTCACCTACAAAATGGCAATAGCAATAGGCTAACCTCATACATTGTAAGGATTCAATTCAATAACTCAATTAAGGTATCATGGATGTAGAATATAGTAAGCACTTAAAGATGTTAGCTATAATCATTATCATGTTCACCACCACCACCACCACCACCACCACTATTTCATTATTATTATCATCACCATCATCATCACTATCATTGTCATCATCATCACTACCACTGTCATCACCATCATCACCATCATCTCCATTGTCATCATCTCCATCATCATCATCACCATCACCATAATCTTCATTCTCACCATCATTACCATCACCACCACCTCTATTATCATCATTGTTATCATCTCCATCATCATCATTACCATCGCCATCACCTCCATTATCAATGTCATAATCACCATCATTACCGTCATCATCACCATCTCCATTATCACCATGATCATCATCTCCATTATCACCATCACCATCATCACCATAATCTCCATTATCACGATCATTATCATCATCATCACTATTACCATCATAATCATCATCTTAAATCTCACCATCATCATCGCCGTCATTACCATCACCATCATCATCACTGTTGTTAAAAATCATGAGCATCATTGTCACAATCATCATCATTTCACCCATGTATCTGTTAGGATGACTTTTCCCCCTAAAAACCTGGATTGAGTTTAAGTTCTTATTTCACCCCCATGGAATAACAGTGCTTTCACCAAAATTTTAATAAATTCTCCAGCTGCATACATCCTAAAGGTTGCCTTTGGGCCAACAGGATCCTGCTTCTACTGACTTAGTCTGCTGTAGCAATTATCTTTCCAGTGAGCAAGTATGATCCTCTATCTGCATGGCTTTGATCCTGACATGAAATTCATCACTCACCTAAGAGTTTAAATATGTAGAAGACTTTACAGAACTTTCAGAGACATGGTAGAGTTAGTATTGTAGCTATGCAAACTTAGTTTTAGATAGTTCTGTTCACAGCAGCCCCTCTCCATTTCTTCAATCTGTTTCTCATACTTCTGCCATGTTAGCTCCTTCTTTCTTCCTCTTATTCTCTCAAACCAACCCCCAATTTCTTTTCATATGTGCTGCATCTGCTGATAATTTATGTTCTCAAAGCCTTCCTTTTCTTCTAAGTAGCTCATTAAAGTGTTTCCCTAAACACTCTTCCCTTTCTAAAACTGAGTCTGGCATAAGCTATTCAAATATTAAAAGTTCTACTGAACTACAATTGGTTTGAAAGCTGCAGTGAACAGACTGGACTGCCTTCTTTTAAAGCACACTTTCCCTTTTAGCAATATAATTCTATTCAACTTTTGCTTTCAATGTGTGGCACCAAATCTCTTTCATCTCAAAAAGGCAGCAGTCTTTTCAAGAATACTCTGGAAACACCTTTCCCTTAAATGTTTTATTTGATTATCAGCACTGCATTATCACTATTTTCTAATTATCGTCATACGGTTTTGGTCACACTTAATGAATAAAAAGTAATGGTAAAAAAGAAACCCATTCTAAAAAGCTTTCTCAAGATACAGTTGAGAAAATCGAAAGATTTAAGTGTGTGCTGGCTGAGAAGCCAGACTAAAGCCAGCCTCAGAGGATGGACTTCCATGCATGCAAGCAACTGCTAGAAAGGCTGCCCGGAAGTGTTCCTGCAATTTAATCCTGAGGCTCACATGTCAGCATTATTGTTGGTGATTGGGTTTGCTTCTGAGGGAGCAGAGAGAATTCAGGATGTTGGCGCTGAGCCCCATTGATCTGTTTGGATGATTTCAACTTTCCTAAGCACAAACTCTGTGTGCCAAGGGGTGCGCTTCAGGTGGAAGCATGAGAAGCACTTCATTTTAACACATGGGAACCACCGCCTCCACCGGCAGAAGCACATCCAGGAAAAATCATTACACTTCTGACTGTGAAGGAGTCTACTTTTGGGTCAACAGAGGTTTCCAAACCTCATTATTACTCTAATATTTTGACATTGATAAATTGGATTCTAACACTGTCTTCTGGGTTAATGCCAGAGGACTCTAGAAAAGATATAAATAAAGGCTTTATAGGGGAAATTTCTTTAATTAGGGAAGCTGAGTAATTCACAATTCTGCAACACAGTAGATAGAGTTATAGTGAAATTGCACTCTGCGTGAAATCCACCGCGGCTGTGCATTTACAGTAAATGCAGCTTGAAGATTTAAGCTGGCATGAGCTCAAGGTGAGAGCTAGTCAGCTTATGTTGCAGAAATGCAGAAGGTGCAGTGAAGGGGCAGCAAGGAGTCTCCACTTAAAGCCAGCGATTTTTTCTCTCTATTCTGTCTTCTTAACTTGCTGGCTTCAACTTTCCTCCTCTCAGTCCCAGCTCATGGAGTCTGGGGAAAATTTAGGGCCTGAAAGCTGCCTCTGCAGAAGCAGTGTGCAAGGGGGTACTAGAAGCCTAGGTTGAAAAAGAAGAAGAATTTGCTGGAAGGTGTAGTTGGGACCCCTGAACTCAGAAGAAGTATGGAACTGAGGTTAGAGCCAGGGCTGGTGGTTTCATGCTGCACTGGAGCAGTGACATGAGAGCTGACCCAGGTCAGGCAAGACAGGCCAGCGGTCAAGGTGGGGTGGTTAAGGAGGCACCTCAGGAAGCAATGTCCAATATGGGAGAGCCTGGCCCCTGATGGGACAAAACACGATTTGGGGAAAGGAGGTTCTACAGCGTGAGAAACTGCCTGCCTAGCCCCCCATCTCCTAATAAACCATAGGGTCTTGTGGAGGGGAGCTGTGTGATCCTCACCCTGTATCTTTGAGATAAGGGGTACCTTTATGGGGACAGAACTGGTGGCTCACATGAGCAGGCGTGTGTTTAAGGCATGGTGCTGGTAGCCTGTGCTGGGTGGGCCGAGGGGAGGGGGTGGCCAGGGGTTGGTGCAGGAACCCCTCTAGCTCCTGGCTCTGACTCTCTCTCTTCATGGCTCATCTCTCTCTCTGAGTTCTGCACCAGTTTGTGGCTGGCTGCTACTCAGTGGCCCAGGTCTTCCTCTCCAGAACTGCATGGAGAGCGCACACCCCCCTCTCCCCAAAGCATTCTTTGTGAAGCAACGTGTATAATTGCTTGCTTCATTCACGTTACAGTGGATAAAATATCTAGAGGTTGATTAAATACTTGAGCCCTCAGCAATATCTGCTAATTAAGTCCAGATCCCTGTAATCTTATGAGCAAGTAATGTCTAGCCACACCAGGGACACACCTACACACACATGAGTCAGAAGACTGGCTGGAGATTAGAGTTTCTTCGGGTGAGAAGCACAGAGTGAACACCTGCCTTGGACACTGGGGCTCACGGGCACTCTCAGGTGAAGGTTGACAGGGGACTCTGCTCCTCTGCAGCTTCTCCCCCTGGCACCTCCACCAGTGATGAGCACGCCAATGCCCTGGGGAGCCAGAGGCATAAGAAATGCCAGTAAATAAATTGGTGGAATTAATAATGAGTATAGTTTTGCTGCTAAATTAATGCATAAAATAAAAATTCTACATGGAAGCAACATACATTTTAGAAATAAAATTCAAAAAGTATTTAAAACTATGAAAAACATCAAAATTGTAAGACAAATAACATAAAATATATGTAATACCTCATGAAGAATACTATTAATGAGAAAAATTTGAAAACTCAACAAATGAAAGGGTCTATTATATTTATGGATGGAAAGATTCAATACTGTAAAGATGTCAACTCTTTAAAATTGATCTACGGGTTACTGAAATCCCTATCAAAATCCAACAGGGTGTGTTTGACTTGACAAACTGATTCTAAATTTCACATGGAAATGCTATGTCAATGAGGAAGATGATGTGAGGGTTTTTTCTTTGGAATATTTAACCTTATATAAGCTATGAGGGGGCCCTCTTGAGGTGCTGGCAATTTCTTGACCCAGATGATGGTTACATTGGTTACAGCTGTGGGTTTTTGTTTTATGCATTCTTTAGGTATGGTATATCATAAAAATAATTTTTAAAAGAGCTGATATATGATACCAAGAGTAACCACATTTCTCTTTAAAAGCCCTAAATATTCCTGGTTTTTAAAAATTAATTTATTTTATCACCTAAGTAAATGATAATTTGAAGAAACAAAAAGCTCAGATATTGACAATTTCTCTATTTCCTTTGAGACAAGACACATTGTCCATTAAGCAAACGGTTTTCTGGGATTGGACTTTTGGAACTCTACTGGAAATAGGGGTAATGGAATGACGGCTTCTCCCCTCCCCCTCCTCTTCCTTCTCTATTCCGCTCCTCCCCTCCCTCCTCACCATCTCTCCTCCTGCTGTGATCTGACTGTTTACATCCCCTCCTTCACTTCCAGAATTTATACATTGAAATCCTCACCCCCAAGTTTATGGTGCTGGGAGATGGGGCTTTGGGAGCTGATGAGGTCATGAAGGTGGGCCTCTCATGAATGGGATTAGTGCCCTTATAATAGACACCCCAGAGAACTTCCTCACCCCTTTTGTCCACCATGTGAGGAATCAGTGAGAAGACAGCTGTTTATTAGGAAACAGGCCCTTGCCAGAAATAGAATCTTCCAGAATCTGGATCTTGAACTCTCATCCTCCAGAACTGCGAGCAATACATTTCTGTAGCTTGTGGCCCCACAGTCTGTGATATTTTGTTACAGCAGCCCAAAGGGACTAAGACATCCCATTCCCTTCCCGTCTCCTTTTTCTTTTCCTCCTTCCCCTCCTCTTCTTCTTTCTCTCCTTCTTCCATCTTTTTCCCTTCCCTTCCCTCCTCTGGACCTTGCCTTGAATATCATTGAGTAGGTTCAAGTGCTCAGGGCTCTGGTTAAGGACGTGTGAGGTTCTGAGAGACCCCTGCCCAATAGCCTCCCCTCATCTGCCTGTTGATCTGAAAGTCACTACTGGGGTTAAGGCTTGTTTGACAGGAAGTGCGAACATGTAACTGAGGGGCCCTGACCCAGGACTGGTAAGCACTGGGAGCCCAGGGGGCACCTTGACACTCTGGTATGCTGTGAGCCAGCACCCTACTAACACCAGAGTCTTCACCTGGGGCTCCTTCGTGGATGAACCTTCCTGCATGTCAATGAGACATAATACCTACTTCCTTTTTACCACAGTGGGAATTGGAAAGATTAGTTTTAATTAAACTTATTTACTTTGAGTTCCTCTGAGAAGTGGTTTTAACTAATACAAGAGAGCTAGAACAGCACTTCTAATTGGGATAATATTAGTGAGCAGTAATGAAAGAAATCCAAGATTATGTGAATAGTCATTCAGTTAAAAGGGGTTTTCTATAAATACTGTGTGATATTGTATTGAAATTAGAACTTTCTTTTAATTTTCTTGACTCTTTAGTCTTTGAATTACATTTAAACATGTTATTTTATTGGTGGTGACATGCTTTAACATAATAATTTTCTCTTCTAAAATAACCCATTATATGTTCTGGTTTTAGACAGGGAAAGTATTCTTCAGATAATAAGGCCTTTATATATTTTGAGCCCATACCTTTGTAATAAAATATAAAGTAGTTAATCTCCTAAGCTGCACAGTCTTTCTACAACACCCATGGGGAATTCATAGGTATTAAATTAGCTACAAGGGGACTTTGAAAGTGTTCTCCAAATGCAGTAAAAAGATATAGAGAAATCAAGAAAGATACTGAGAATTACAAGAAAAAAATCACTAATACCACAGTCTACTAAGATTTCAGTACAATTTGTTTATAGTAAGTTTTCTAGTTATTTGGAGTTTTCTGAGCTGAAGTACTGTACGTGATGTTTCACTGTGAGAATCAGAAGGTAGTTGTTCACCTCTGAGCTCGCTCAGCAGGATGTATGTGGCTTGCCAGCCTGTGGCATTCTAAAATATTTGAATTCATCACGTCTGCTTCTCTGACAGCGGCCAGACTGATCACCTCTGCCGGGATGCTGGTTCATAAATTCCAGCTACACACATCCTGTGTATTGAGTTAGGTACCAACCAGCCTTTCTGTCTCCTGAATGTAATAGGATCATGGGGATTATAGAGTAAACATTCATGTGAGCCTGGCTCTTGGTATCTATTTGGGATTATCAAGAAGTTTGGTCCATTAGAAAGAAAATAACCCATCCATCATAATTTGATTTAGAAGGATAACTTTATTAATGTGTGGTGTTTTGTCCCACTGGAAATATGAGAAAGAGTTCCTTATATTTGCATTTTAAATTTCTTTCCCATGTTCACCTGCTAAAGTAATAAGTTCAAAATTCAAATGGTAGAAAAGCCACTCAAAGCAGATAGATTTCTAAGAAAAAGGGAGATTTGGAAGATCTGGTGAGTCTGAATTCACTCTTCTTCCTCTAAGAAGTTCAGCACCAAGGTCAGTTCTGGGGGGGGCAGTTGCATACCTCCAAGCTCCTCCTGCCCTCGAAAAGTGAGATGAGAATAATTTGAAGAGTATTTAATAAGGGATGCTGGTGGATGACTGTGATCCAGCCCTAGCTTTTCTCTTCGGGGTTATCGTTAGAAGAGAGCCGTGATTCTGACCGGCTCTTGGGAAGAGCAGGATCCAGATTGCAAGGTGTGGACTCACATCTCTTACTCTTTGCAGTATTTCTGATCACAAGCATAGAGGTGTGGGAGTTCAGGCAGGCTGGTGGGAAAAATGTTAAAGATAGTTATAAGAAATAGACACAAACCTTCTTAGAAGGCTGTGGGGGTTGCATAACTTCAGTAATAGATCTGGCTGAAAGCAGCCTAATCCTCTTACCTTAAGTAAATAGCTTAAAGTAGATACAAATGAATGTAAGGGAGTTTATCTAAATAATTTGTTTACTCATGTGGTCCTAAAACTAACCCTTGATCATTTGTGGGCAGGGTGGCTCTCTCAGGAGGAGGGTGACCAGGTTAATTACACTCTAGTGGTGTTGACTCAAAGCTTTTGTCATTTAATGTGTGCTGAATAAATGCCAGCAGGGCCAGCGAGTCAGGGCCACAGCTGCTACAACTCTTTCAGTCAGCGGCCTGGCCCCCTAGCCCACTCTTTCACTGAATATCAGTGTCTGAGTACATTATTCATCTGTTGTGCAGCTGGGTCTGCGGGACGGACCCCCACAGAGAGGAAGTGAGGGGACTATTTAAAGATGAACAACTTCTGGGCTGAGATGGCTTTGTAGGACAGAGAGGGGCCTTAGATACTGAACTTGTTTCTGACCATTGTTGTTGTTCTTGCTTTCTTTTTTTTGAGATGGAGTCTTGCTCTGTCACCCAGGCTAGAGTGCAGTGACACAATCTTGGCTCACAGTAACCTCTGCCTCCAGGGTTCAAGCAATTCTCTGCCTCAGCCTCCTGAGTAGCTGGGATTACAGCACCCACCACCAGGCCTGGCTAATTTTTTGTGTTTTTAGTAGAGACATGATTTCACTGTGTTAGCCAGGATGGTCTTGATCTCCTGACCTCGTGATCTGTCTATGTTGGCCTCCCAAAGTGTTGGGATTTCAGGTGTGAGCCACTGTGCCCGGCCTGGACCATTGTTTTCAGGGCAACTTTACCCATAGTGCCAATAAATATTTGCTGAATGAATGATTAAATTGTCTAACGTTGCTCTCCCTCCTTTCTTTTTTGCATACACCAATTCACTTAAACAATATTTTTCTGAAGTCTAATACTACACATACAGAAAACTTCACAAGCATAAACGTTAACTGTAACCTATTATACTGTGAAACACAGCAATGAAACAACCTGTAACTGCTTATCAAATTCAGAAAGAGAACATTTCCAGCGCCGTGAAAGCCCTCCCTTGTGCCTTCTCCCCATTACTGCCCTCTCCACTCTCCTTCCTTACAAGCCACAAACATCCTGACTCTTATGATAACCCCTTCTTGGATTTTCTTAAGTGATACCTGGTAGGTACCATCACTAAACCCGATAGTAGATTTTCGTAAATGGAATTGATGAGTGTTTTATGTGATGCCTGGCTTCTTTGTTCGCCTCATGGGTGTGACACTCGCTTGCATTTTTGCACGTAGCCCCAGTTCTCTAATTTTCTTTGCTGTTTAGTATTCCACGCGTGAATGCAGAACAATTGGCTCGTCTTTTTATTGTTAGTGGAATAGATGCACAACATCTAGATGGTTGACATGGCTTTAGCTCTTGCAATGATGCCTCCCTGACTGTCACTCTGCATGATTCCTTGTCACATCTGCAGGTGCTTCTGTTGGGAGTACACTGAGGCTGGGCTCCCCGGGTCAGGCATGAGGGCATTGAACAAACGCAGATGAACACACATTTATTTAGGGACATATGGGTACTTTTCTTGCTCAGGATCTGCCACTTCGCACTGGCACAGCATGGCCCATAACCCATAAACCCATTACCTCATGGCTGACACCGTTAGGGCTCCAAGATAAAGTTCCCCTCATCTCATGTTGCTCTGAAAGCTGGGAGAGGCTGCGAGTCACAGCCCCGCTGCTGTCAGAGATGGACGGGACTCTGTGGTGTGGGGAGCTGGGGGTGGCTGAGGTGCTTGGCTGGGCCTGCAGATGCCCTGCCATGGTTTGAAGCATGACAATGATTTTTCACACTGGCAGCTCAAAAAGTTTCAACAGGAGAATTGTGAACAGCGTTATTTCTACAAAAATGTTTAATAAGATTTAATTTACATAACTATAGCTTCATTTAACATAACTTTGATTTACAGTGTTTGAGCTTATTAATGCAATTTATATTTGACCTTTAATTTTTAAAAAGTAGTTTATCCTAGAAGAAAAACAATTTTTTTTAAGGAAAATATTTGAAAAAAATTTTTTTTTTGAGACAGAGCCTCACTATTGCCCAGGCTGGAGTGCAGTTGCATGATCTTGGCTCACTGCAACCTCCGCCTCCCAGGTTTAAGCAATTCTCCCTGCCTCAGCCTCCCGAGTAGCTGGGATTACAGGTACCCGCTATCAAGCTTGGCTAATTTTTGTATTTTTTAGTAGAGATAGAGCTCTGCCATGTTGGCCAGGCTGGTCTTGGACTCCTGACCTCAGGTGATCTACTCGCCTTGGCCTCCCAAAGTGCTGGGATTATAGGCATGAGGCATCACACCCAGCCAAAATATTTTTAAATCATCAATTATTAATACTATTTTAATTTTTTTTTTTGAGACAGAGTTTTGCTCTTGTTGCCCAGGCTGGAGTGCTCGGCTCACTGCAACCTCCGCCTCCCATGTTCAAGCAATTCTCCTGCTTTAGCCTCCCACCCGCTACTGTGCCCTGCTAATTTTTGTATTTTTGGTAGAGATAGGGTTTCACCGTGTTGGCCAGGCTGGTCTTGAACTCCTGACCTCAGGTGATTCCCCTCCCTTGGCCTTTCAAAGTGCTGGGATTATCAGTATGAGCCACTGCGCCCAGCCCTATTATTTAAATTTTTATGTTGATGTACTTATATATTCATATATTTAATTTATATTTTTGATGGGAATATATTCAAATATTATATATTTATATATTTCAAGTAGCATCTTATATATTTTAATCTGAAATTTTATATTTTATTAACTAAAGAATTACTTTAATCATGGAGAATAAATGTAAGTCCAATTTTTTTGTAGAAATAGAAAATATAGAAGCAGAGCTCAGAAATGAAAAGCTTAAAAGGAAACAGAAAAATCTTCAAAGAGAAATTTCTGCTTAAATTAAAAAAATCTTGAGACCAAGTAATTCAGCAGACTTTCACTGAGTGTGACTCACTTGAAATTAGCAAACAGGATATTACATTTAAAAAAATTATTCTTACCAGATATAAAACATGAACAGGACAATAAAATCTCTTCATATTTGTTATTAAAGGAAGAGTTAATTTTTTATTAAACAATGAATGCGAATGGACAAGATTAATTCTTATCAAATCCACAACTACAAGCAACAAACAGCTCCAGCCTTCTGTTAGAAGATGAGGCAAATGCTGTTCACAAAATTGGTAAATTGAGCAAGAAAGATGAAACCTCATCGCATCATTTTGATAGTGTGTGAATGCTTCTAGCAAACAGTCTGATTCAAATGGATGATTCTGATTTTTCTTTGGATAAGTCTGAAAAAAATTTAGTATTTTACATCAAAATTTCTTCAAGTGGAGAAAGTGTATAAATCAACTTTTATATTTTAAATTCAAAGACAAAGTATTTTCTAATTTTTTTTTCATATTTTATAACAGCTTTGGCTAAGACGATATTTGTGGCTAGAAACACTCACATTCTTAATAAAAAAAAAACATCACTTGGACGTAAAAATCACACCATGTTACCACCATGGGAAAACATCTGAATAAGCAGCAAACAATCAAAGGTATTCAAGAAAGACACCTGGTACTGAAATACATGGGTGTGATATTCTTAAAGGATAACAGTTTATACCCAATACTTAGCAAGCACGATGATAATCATGATGATGATATATGGTTGTGTGCGTATATGGGTGTGTGTGCGAGCTTGTGGTACCACTAATACAATATTTATAGAAAGCAATAGAAACTTTTTAATTTAGTAGAAATTATTTCAATAACTGAATGGCTGAGTCTGAAATATAGATGAAAAGTAAAGCATATGAACATGGTCAAGAATAAAAAAATTAGAATATAAGATCCATATTTTAAAGACTAAAGTGAGAGAAGAAATCATAAACAAATGTTTAAAATGGTAAATATTATTCATTCAGCTAGAGTATATCAAGGACAAATTATCTTGAACAACTAACATTTGTTGTTTGTATTGCTAACCACCAGTCAAAAGAAAACAGAGATATCGACCTGGCGTGGTGGCTCACATCTGTAATCCCAGCACTTTGGGAGGCTGAGGTGGGTGGATCACGAGGTCAGGAGATCGAGACCATCCTGGCTAACACGGTGAAAACCCATCTCTACTAAAAATACAAAAAATTAGCCGGGTGTGGTGACGGGTGCCTGTAGTCCCAGCTACTTGGGAGGCTGTGGCAGGAGAGTGGTGTGAACCCGGGAGGCGGAGCTTTCACTGAGCCGAGTTCACACCACTGCACTCTAGCCTGGGTGACAGAGCAAGACTCCATCTCAAAAAAAAAAAAAAAAAAGAAAAGAAAACGGAGATATCAAAATTAGTAGCTATGTCACTGCTTTTATGTCCATTGGAAAATGTATAGGTTTGATTTAAGTAAAAGATGGAATAGGCAACTTTCAGTTTTGGACATTGATCTTAAGCATCCTTACCACAATGATTAAAAAAAGAAGGTAACTATGTGAGGTGATAGATACACAAATTAGCTTAATGGTGGTAATTATTTCAGAAAGTATATGAACATCAAAACATCAAGTTGTACACCTTAGGTATATATAATTTTTTGTTGTCAATTATACCTTGATAAAACTGGAAAAAAAAGTAGTTAAGGGCACACCTAAGATAAAGACACGAGGAATGTTGTTGAAAAGTATAGAAGCCAGAATTCTAGTGGGAATCCATTTGTTAACACCATTTGTTCTGGTGGAAAATCCAATGAGGAATCCATATTCCTGTATGCAACCATCCATATTATATGAAGGAATCACAACTCATACCCATGGGGATAACAATTTTGGAGCAGTTTAGGGATTTTGCTTAAAAAAATTAAAGTAACTTGGAAAGTTTTTTAAAAAGAAAAGTGGATTTTGCTTAAATGAAACAACAGTGGACGTGACATTCCAATAAAATATAAAAAAATTAGAACCAAGTAACAAAAATGCTTACGTAACTGTGAATAAGATTGTTTACTAATGATTCTGAAACTGATTGTATCTATTATAAATTACAATTCAGTGGCAATTGAAAAGCGATTTGAATAAGTTGAGCCATATTCTGCTAATTTTGGTTTTCCTTATAATGTTCCAGAATTGAACAATTTAGAAGAAGAAGGCTGAGGTGGGCAGATCATGAGGTCAGGAGTTCAAGATCAGCCTGGCCAACATAATGAAACCGCGTCTCTACTAAAAATGCAAAAAATTAGCCGGGCATTGTGGAACGTGCCTGTAATCCCAGCTACTTGGGAGGCTGAGGCAGGAGAATCGCTTGAACCCAGGAGGCAGAGGTTGTAGTGAGCGGAGATCGTGCCATTGCATTCCAGCCTGGGCAATAGTGCAAGACTCCGTCTGAAAAAAAAAAAAAAGAATTAAGTAAATGTAATAAATGAAGAGCTAGAAAATTCATTGATTATATGTCATTTTACAGCTCATGTTTTAAAATAAGCTTTTAGTTGTAAAATAATTTTAGACTTACAGAAAAGTTGTAAAGAGAATACAGCCCTCATATAAAGCTCACACAAAGCTTCCCTGATTGTTAACGTTTAAATTAGTATGTTACATTTCTCATAATTAATGAAACAACATTGACATAGTATAAACTAAAACCCATACTTCATTCAGATTTCTTAATTTTTGCCTAATGCTCTTTTTCTGTTCTGGGCCCGCGCCCAGGATGCCGCATTTCATTTAGTCATCCTGTCTCCTTAGCCCCCTCTTGGTGGTGCTGTTTTTGCAGACTTTGTTTGGGTGACCTTCACAGTATGGAGGAAAGCCGGCCAAGTATTTCGTAGAACATCCTTCCGTTGGGATTTGTCTGATGTTTTCTCACGATTAGTTGGGGATTACACGTTTTTGGGGAGGAAGATCACAGATGTACAATGCCATTCTCATCATGTCACACAAAGGGCACATGCTATTAACATGACTTACCACTATGGAAGTTAACCTTGAACACTCAGATGCAGTCACACTTGTGACATTTCTCTTCTGTAAAGTAACCCCTGCTTCCTACTATACTCTTTGGAAGGAAGTCACTATGCACAGCCCATACTTAAGAGTGGAGAGTTAGGCTCCACCTCTTGGAAGGCAGAGTATCTGTACAGATTATTTTGAATTATTTTGTGTGACAGCCTTTTCTATTCTTCCCCATTAATTTATTTATTCAATTATTTCTTTATATCAGTGTGGACTCATGGATGGACTTTTTTTTTTACACTTTGGGTTATAATCCAATACTACTTTATTCATTGTATTGCTCAAATTGGTCCAGTTTTGACAATTGAAAGCTTTTTAGTTGGGTTCTATTTTACTAGAGCCAACTTAGACCATTGAGACATCTTTTAGTTGGCTTCCTTATCACAGTTTTGAATGTTATATATAATTAAATTTAAAAAATAATTATTACGAATATTTTATTTTCTGATATTGTTGTTATTACTTACTTGCTTCCTGGTGCTGCGAGATGCTTAAGGTTCATCTTCTATGTTTCCTGCCCCAGGCCTAGAACCAGCCATTTCCCCAAGGATACCAGGGTCCTTCCATTGCAGGAGAGTATTATGAGTGGAAACCATGGTCTGGAGCCTAGATGTACTTGCTGCCACTGAGGTGTTGTTAGTCCTAGTTGCTATCATCTGACAGCAAGGAAATACGTGTGTATACCAGCCTGTGTATATACATATATCTATAAATGTTTCTCTATGAAACCATCCATATTCATATTAAGGTAAACATGAGTTTATGTCACCAATGATGAGCCGTCATCACGTGGAGTATTCTAGCTCCTCCAGTTATCTCGAACCTTCCATTTCAATCGTGAGAAATATAACTCCTACCATTCACCATCCATTTATTTAATCGTTCAATTTCACTAGACATGCATAGTGGTCAGAATTATTAACCTGTACCCCTGTGGGAAGCAGCTTTATCAGCTAGAGCACAGTGCTTATATACTGTTTCTGTTGTGTTTAGTCTTACAGGCTCCATGCATTTTCTAAGTTACTTAAGCCAGTGCCTTTTCCACTTGCCTCTGAAGATTATGTCTTACACTTGTAAAATAGTCACATTCTTTTTCACAATCTTTATGCCATCCTGGAATCCTTTGACCTCTTGAGTAATTTTCAAAAAAAAAAAAATTTTGCATACCTTAAGGTTTCCTCTTTGTGCTGCAAATTTATGTTATGGGTTTTGTATAGTGTATGTACCCACCATTACAGTATTATACAGGATAGTTTTGCCACTCGAAAACAATCTTGTGCTTCACCTATACACGCCCTGTCCCCAGCATGAACCTCTGGCAACTACTGATTTGTTGTCTTTATGCAATTTTTCCCTTTCTAGAATATCGCATAACTGGAATCAGTACATATCCTGTTCAGATTTTCATCTTTCACTCCACAATATGCATTTAAGTTTCTTCTGTGTCTTTAAGTGGCTCACTAGCAGCTCACTCCTTTTTATTGGAGAATGGTATTCCACTGTATGGATGTACCAAGTTTGCTTATCCATTCATCTATTGAAGGACCTATTGGCTGCTTCTAGTTTTCAGTGGTTATGATAAAATGACTACCAACATCTGCATGAAGATGTTTGTGTGTACAAACGTTTTCAAATTGGTGGGGTAATTACCCAAGAACATGACTGCTGGATCATATGGGAAGAGTAAATTTAGCTTTAAAAGAAACTGCTAAACTCTCTTCCAAATTGGCTGTGCCATTTTGTATTCTTATTAAAAATGAATGAGAGTTTCTGTTGCTCTGTATCATTGCCAGATTTGATCTTGTCAGTTATTTGGATTTTAGCCAATTCTAGCTAACTTAGCCATTCCAATAGATCTGTAATGATAACTTATTATTGTTTTAATTTGCATTTCCCTAATGAATAATGATGTTGCCTATTCACATGATTAGTTTCCATCTGCAAGTCTTCATTGGTGAAGTGTCTAAATCTTTTGACTGTTTTAAAAGCTGAGTTATTTCATATACAAAAATTAACACAAGATGGACTAGAGACTTAAATGCAAAACCTCAAACTATAAAAATCCTGGAAGAAAATCTAGGGAATACCCTTCTGGTCATTAGCCTTGGCAAAGAATTTATGTCTAAGTCCTCAAAAGTGAATGCAACAAAAACAAAATTGACAATTGGTACCTAATTAAACAAAAGAGCTTCTGCACAGCAAAAACAAACAAACAACAATAACAAAAACTAACGGCAGAGTAAACAGATGACCTATGGGATGAGAGAAAATATTTGCAAAATGTACATTTCACAAAAGACCAATATCTAGATTTTATAAGAAACTTGAACAAATCAAAAAGAAAAAAAAAACTATTTAAAAACTGGGCAAAGGACATAACAGACACTTCTCAGAGAAAGAGAAAGACATATAAGTGGCCAAAAACATGAAAAAAATGTTCAACATCACTAATCATCAGGAAGATGCAAATAGAAAGCACAATGAGATATTATCTCACACCAGTCACAACGGCTATTACTTAAAAGTCAAAAAATAACAGATGTTGATGAGGCTGTGGAGAAACGGGAACTCTTACACACTGTTGGTGGGAATACAAAGTCGTTCAGCCTCTGTGGAAAGCAGTTTGGAGATTTCTCAAGGAAGTAAAACTAGAATTATTATTCAACCCAGCAATTCCATTACTCAGTATATACCCCAAGAAAAATAAATTGTTCCATCAAAAAGACACCTGCACTTGCATGTTTATCATAGCACTATTCACAATAGCAAAGATATGGAATCAACACAGATACCAAACAATGGCGGATTGGATAAAGAAAATGTGGTACATATACACCATGGAATACTACATAGCTATGAAAATAATAAAATCATATCTTTTGCAGCAACATGTATGCAGCTGGGGCCATTATCACAAGCAAACTAGTACAGAAACAGAAAACCAAATATTGCATGTTTTCACTTTTACAGAGGAGCTAAACATTGGGTACACATAGACACAAAGATGAGAACAATAAATACTGGGGATTCCAAAAAGGGGAAATGGGGGGACAGGATTGAAAAACTATCTATTGTGTATTATGTTTGCTACTTGGCTAACAGGATCATTAGAAGCCGAAACCTCAACACCATACAATATACCTATGTAACAAACTTGCATGTGTACCCCATGAATCTAAAAAAGAAAAGTTGGGTTATTTCTCTTTTCATTGTTGAGTTTTAAGTTTCTTTGTATATTTTGAATACAAGTCTTTTAACAGATATGTTTTGCAAATAGTTTCTCCCATTCTGTGGTTTGTATTTTTATTTTCATAAGTATCTTTTACATAGCAGTTTTAAATTTTAATAAATTCCAAGTTATCAGTTCAATTTACTTTCATGGATTATCATTTCATGTTGTATATAAAACCACCTCAAAAAAGCCAGGTCTTATAGTTTTTTCTCTCGTCATTTCTTCCAGAAGTTTTATAGCTTCGTGTTTTACATTTAGGTATATGGTCAATTTTGAGTTAATTTTTTGTGACATGTGTAAGGGCTAGGGTTTTATTTTCATATTGACATCCAAGTTTTCTAGCACAATTGTTAAAAAAAACTGTCTTTTCTATATGGAATTGCCTTTGCTCCTTTATCAAAGATCAGTTAACTATATCTGTGTGGCTCTATTTATGGACTATTTAGTTACATTGACCTATTTATTTATTTTTGCCAACACTAGGTTTTGATTACTGTAGCTTAATAGTAAGTCTTGAAATAGAGCACTGTGAGTCCTTCAGCTTTATTGTTCTTCCTCCTCCTTCTTCTTCTCCTACTCCTTCTTTAGTGTTGTGTGATCTAACTATTTTGCCATTTGATACACACTTTAAAATTAGTTTATTGATGCCTACAAAGTAGTCCAGTAAAGTCTGGATTGTCTTGAATCTGTGGATCAAGTTGGAAAGAACTGACATCTTGACAATATTGTCTTCCTATCCATGAACATGGAATATCTGTCCATTTATTTAGTTTTTGATTTCATCAGCATTTCATAGTTTTCTGCATTCATATCCTATACATATTTTTGTTATAGTTATACCTAATCATTTCATTTTTTGTGCTATTGTAAATGGTATTTGTATTAGGGTTCTCCAGAGAAACAGAAAAACAGAAACATCATCATCTCTGTGTGTGAGTGCGTGTGTGAGACAATGTGTGTGAGTGTGTGTGTGTGTTTGGGGTGGGGAGACAGGAAGATTTAAAGAAATTGGCTCATATAATTGTGAAGCCTTGGCAACTGCAAATATGCAGGTTAGGCAGCAGGCTGGAGACCCAGGGAAGAGTAGAAGTTGGACTCCAAAGGCCATCTGCTGGCAGAATTTTTTCTTGCTTGAGAAAGGCCAGTCTTTGTTCTACTGAATGCTTCATCTGATTGGATGAAGCCCACCCACATTATAGAGGGTAATTGTCTTTACTCGAATTCTATCCGTTTAAATGTTAATCCAAAAAAATACTTTCACAAGAAAGTCTAGAATGTTTGACCAGATATCTGGGCACTGTGGCTCAGTCAAGCTGACACATAAAATTAAGCATCTCAGTATTTTCTTTTCTAATTTCAAATGCTAATTTTTAAATTTCTGGTATAAAAGAAAGCAATTGACTTTTGAGACCTTGTTATACATATTTATTAGTTCCAGAAGTGTTTTTAATTGGACTTTTCTACATAAAAGATTATATCTGTGACTAAAGACAGTTTTACTTCTTTCTTTCTAATCCATATACATTTCTTCCTTTTTCTATTTTTATTGCACCAGGTAAAACTTCTAGCACAATGTTGAATAGGAATGGTGAGAGAGGACATTGTTGCCTTGTTCCTGATTTTGAGGGGGAAGATTCCACTCTGTTTTCTTTAAATATGATATTAGCTTTCAGCTTTTAATAACTTTTTTATCAAGTTGATGATGTCCTCTCTGTTTCTAGTTTGCTAAGAGTTTTATGATAAATGGGTGTTGGATTTTGTTAAATGCCTTTCTCTGTGTTGATTGATTTGATCAAATTATTTCTTTTCTTTAGCTTGTTGATATGGAGGGTTACATTGATTTTTTTTTATTTTTGAGTCTTGAACCAGCCTTGAATGTTTTAAATACATCCCACTTGGTTGGGATGTATAATTCTTTTTGTACTTCGATGGATTTGATTTCCTAATATTTTGTTGAAGTTTTTCATATATATTTATGAGAGATATCAGTCTATAGTTTTCCTTTCATTTCACATCTTTATCTGATTTAGGTATTAAGGTAATCTGGCCTCATACCTGAGTTAGGAAATGTTCCCTCTGCTTTTATTTTTTTGGAAGATATTGTAAAGAATTAGTATTATTTCTTGAAATGTTTGTTAGAATTTACTGGTGAAAACATCTGGTATAGTACTTTCTTTTTAGGAAGGCTATAAGTTATTTATTCAATTTCTTTAATAAACACATGCCTATTCAAGTTGCCTCTCTCTCCTTGTGTGAGTTTTGGTAGTTTGTGTCTCTCAAGAAATTCATTCATTTCATCTAAGTTATCAAATTTGGAAACAGAGTTGTTCATAGTATACCTTTATTATCCTTATGCCAAAGGGATTCATTATTTAATGAATATTCTCTCATTTTTTATATCTGTGATTTATATTCTCTCTCTCACTTTTGGTAATCCTGGCTATAGATTTATCAATTTTGTGATTTTTTTTTTTTTTTTTTTTTTTTTTTTTTTTTTTTAGGGAAGAAGTAAAGTTGTTTTTATTTGCAGACAACCTGATCATTAAGTAGAAAATCCTAAGGAATATATTAAAAAATGCTAAAATTAATTGAACTTATCAGAGGTGTAGGACACAAAGTCATTATAGAAAAGCATTTTTAAAATAGATGAACAGTTTTTTTAATTCATCCTCCTCCTTTACTTCCTCCTCGTCTTCTTCATCTTCCTCTTCCACTTGTTTTTGGGCAACTTTAGCAGGACCTTTTGCACCATCAAACTTTCTAGACTTATAGTCAGCAACATCCTTCTCATACTTCTCCTTCAGCTTTGCTGCCTTGGTGATTGATATGGTTTGGCTCTGTGACCCCAACCCAGTCTCACCTGGAATTGTAATCCCGATAATCCCCACCTGTCAAGGGTGGGACCAGGTGGAGGTAATTGGGTCATGGGGGCGGTTGCTGTTCTTGTGATAGTGAGTTCTCACGAGATCTGATGGTTTTACAGGTGTCTGGCATTTCCCCTTTTGGCACTCACTCCATCTTGCCATCCTGTGAAGAAGGTGCTTGTTTTTCCTTGCCTTCTGCCATGATTGTAAGTTTCCTGAGGCCTCCCCAGCAATGCGGAACTGTGAGTCAATTAAACCTCCTTCCTTTATAAATTACCCCGTCTCAGGTTTTTCTTCGTAGCAGCATGACACTGGACTAATGCAGTGAGGTAAGGCTCCTTTCGCTGTCATTTAAGTTATTCCACATCTCAGCCAGCTTTTTTGCCACATCTCCAATAGAGATGTCAGGCTTTGTGAATTTGATCTTGGGCAGAATTCTGAACAGAACAGGAGGAATCCAGATGGTGGTCTTTTGTGGGCATTAGGATCCTTCTTCTTGCCTCCCTAAAATAACTAACTCTTTGGTTCTTTGATACTTTTGCTGACTTCCACAAATTTGGCTACATTGTATTTTAATTTTCATTTAGTTTTCAAAGTCTTTTTAAATTTCTTTGAGATTTATTTTAGACCTATGGGGTATTTAAGAGCACGTTATTTAATTTACAAATATTTGGGAATTTTTCAGCTATCTTTCTGTTATTAATTTCTAATTTAGTTCCATTGTAGTCTGAGAACATGCTTTAAATGGGTTTCTATTTTTTCAAACTTAAGGTGTTTTTCAAGGCCCAGAATGTAACCTATCTTGGCAAATGTTCCCTGTGAGCTTAAGAAGAATGTGTATTCTGTTACTGCTGGCTGAAATATTTTTAAAAATGTCAATTAGATCAAGTTGATTGATAGCGCTGTTCAGGTTGTCCGCATCTTTACTGATTTTCTGCCTGCTTAAACTGTCAATTCTGGCAGTGGCTAACTATAATAGTGGAGCTGTTTATTTCTCCTTTCGGTTCAGTCAGTTTCTTCCTCATGTATTTGGATGCTCTGTTGTGTGATATATTCATGCTTATAATTATGTCTTCCTGGAAAATTGACCCTTTTATTGTTAATGTCCCTCTTCATCACTGATCTTCCCTGTTCTGAAGAGTGCTGTGTTTGAAATTATTACAGCTATTCCTGCTTTTTTATTCAAGAGTGTCAGCATGTTACAACTTTCTCCATCCCTTCAATTTTAATTTGTCTGAGTCTTTCTATATAATATGTGCTTTTTGTAAACAACATATAGTTGGATATTTAAAAACAAACTCATCTGACAATTTTTTAAAAATAATTTCTTAGGCTGTACACTTTAAAGTGCTTATCGATATAACTGGATGAATATCTACTGTTTTTAACAGTTCTCTATTTACTCCATTTATTCTTATTTTTTAAAAAATTTTCCTATTTTTCTGCTGTCTTTTGCTTTATTGAGCATTTTATATAATTCTATTTTATCTCTTCTCTGAGCGTGTCAATTTTAATTCTTTTAGCTTTTTTTTCATGTTTGCCTTAGAATTTACAATATTTATTTTTACATGATCCAAAGCAACCTTCTAATGCTGCTACACTTCGTCACATGTGGTGCAGGAAACTTCTACTGGAGCAATCCCAATGCCTCTCTCCTATACCTTGTGACACTGTTGCCATTTATTCAGCTTCACTGTGTGCTATAATCTCCCAATGCATTGTTACTGTTATTACTTTAAACAGCCAATTATCTTTCAGATAAATTAAGCATAAGATCAATAAAAGCATGTTACTTCCACGTATTTCTTCTCTGATACTCTTAATTTTAAAAAATGTAGAACCTGGTTTCTGATCTCTGTTGTTTTCCTTCTTTCTGGACACAGAATTTCTTTGAATATTCTTGCAGAGCTGATTTGCTGGCAATGAATTGTCTCACTTTTTGCTCATCTGAGAAAGTATTTTTCCTTCATTTTTGAAGGATAATTTCATGGGATATAAAAATTCTAGATTGGTTGTTTTATTTCCTTCCAACACTTGAGATATTTCACTCCATTCTCTTCATATGTGCATAATTTATGATGAGAAACACTGTAATATTTATCCTTGATTTTCTATAGATAAGATTGCTCCCCCACCCCGATTTCTTTCAAGGTTTTTTCCTTGTCTGATTTCTCGCGCTTTGAATGTGCTACGCCTATGAATGGGTGTGTGTGTCTTTTGGCATTAATCCTGCTTGGTGTTCTCTGAGCTTCCTAGATTCGGGGCTTAGTATTATCTTTAATTTTGGAATAATCTGGGCCATTATTACTTTAAATATTTCTTCTGATGAGTTCTCTCTTTCTTTTCCTTCTGATATTCCAATTACACTTATGTTACAACTTTTGAAATTGTCTCCAAATTTTTGGGTGTTTGTTTTTGTTGTTGTTATTTTTGTTGTTTGCCTGTTTCCTTGTTTTGTTTTTACTCTTCTCTTTCTGGAAGTTTCTATGGACATAGCTTCAAGCACACTGATTCTTTCCTTGGCTGTGTCTAGTCTCTTACAAGCCCATCAAAAGCATTTTAAAATTTCGGCTACAGCGCTCCTGATTTCTAGCATTTCCTTTTAATTCTTTCTTAGAATTTTCATCCCTCTGCTTACATTACCCATCTGTTTTTGCATGTTTTCTACTTTTTCCACTAGTGTTCTTAACATACTAATCATGGTTACTTTAAATTCAGTGTCTGCTAATTCCAACATCTGTGTCATCTCTGAGTCTGATTCTGATGCTTACTTTGCCTCTTCAGACTATTTTTTTCTTGCCTCTTTGCATGCCTTGTAATTTTTTTTTGAAAGTTGGATAATAAGAACGAAGGTTCATAGGCCTTTATGTGAGGATTTATGTGAATCTGGCTGTGAGCCAGGCTGCTGTTTCAATGTTTGCTGTGGCTCTAAGTGTTAGGGGCTTCAAATTCCCCTAGTGTCCTTGTTTTTTATCTTCCTTCTTGTCTTTGAGCTTCTTTTAGAACACTCCTTTGACAGTCTGTGACTTGCAGCAATATTAGCTGTGCTCCGCCGCTGCATGGGAGCCCTGCTGGGCGTGGGTGGTAAGGGGAAGGGGAGGAGGCGTGTCTGTAAGGTTCTGATTGAATGTCGGTGGCTTGGTGGGCCTGTGTCTGTGGGCTGTGACCTTCACCAGTCTTTCTTCATGGGATAGGTTTCACCTGCTCCCCTTTGGATTCCCTGGCTGTAGCATTGCCAATTTATTTCCTTAAAGCCTGGCCCCTGGTGACTAGTTTTCCCCTTAAGTGAACAAGGGCTGGAGATGTATTAATGCCCTTAACCCGTGTTTTTCCCTGGAGAGTGAGCCTTTGCTACAGAGAAGGTCTGGGCACTTCTCCCCCACCCCCCCTCTTTTTTGTACAAATGTAATAGGTACACGTGCAGTTTTGTTATGTGGATATACTGTGTAGTGGTGTAGCGTAATCATCGCCCAGATAATGTACCTTGCAGCCACTAAGTAATTTCTCATCTCTCACTCCTTGCTCACCTCCCACCCTTTGGAGTCTCCAATGTCTATTATTCCACACTCCACATCCACCGGTAGACATGATTCAGCTCCTACTTATACATGAGAACATGCAGCATTTGACTCTCTGTTTCTGAGTTATTTCACTTAAGATTTTGATAATATTTCTTCCCTTCCCCATGCCATAGCCATAAGAGATCTTTCTTAGATCCTTACCATGGAAACCTGGTGTGTGTCCAGGTAGTGACGCCCATGAACGTGTGGGCGCCCTCACGCCTCCTGCCATGCTGTGGTTTCCAGAAATTTCTCAGTCTCTTGCTGGTCCACACTAAGCCTCCAGCAACTCAGACGACTGTGTATGTGCTTCTTCCAGTCCATGGCTCCAGCAGCTCCTGCTCTAGGTACACAGACCGTGGTGGGTACATCGCTCCTGTTGTGCCTGTTTTCCTAGGTTTTGGGGTGGTGGTTTGCCCTTCAGTCTCATTTTTCTGATGAGTCTAATTTTTAAAAATTTATTTTCAGTTTGTTGAGCTTCTAAGAATGGATGGGAGTGTTGTCTTCCAAGTTCTTTATTTGTCAGAGCTGAATCAGGAAGTCTTATGGGTTATGTTTGAGATTTTCTTTTCACCTTTGGTTTTCAACAGTTGGACTTTGAAATTTTCTGGCATGCTTGCCTTTTCTTCCTTCCTTCCTTCCTTGTTTCTTTCCTTCCTATTTCCTTCCTTCCTTATTTCCTTTCTTCCTTCTTTATTTCCTTCCTTCTTTGTTTCCTTCGCTCCCTCCCTCTCTCCTTCTTCTCCATCCTACTCATAGTTAACTGAGAGCAATTTGTAACTGTGAAATGATTTACTTTAATTTATTTATTTTCTCAATTTAGAAAATTATGACCCATTCTTTCTTCGCTTTTCTTTTCCTGTCCCATTACATCTTCTTTTTGTTTCAGGGACTTAATTGGTTTATCCTATACGTTCTTTTCTGCTTATTCCAAAGGCTGGACCATCTGTGTGTGTCTGTCTATTAATTGCACTTCTTCTCTTCTTTATGGTTCCAATTTTTTTATGCTTCTCTTCATGTCTAGTAATTTCTAACTTTATAGTGAGTTAGTTGCATTGTAGAAACCCTGGATTTTGATTTCTTCCTCTATAGGATGTCATATTTGTTCTGGAAGGCAATGTAATTACTAGATAAATGCTTCCATCCAGTTCAGTCCTGTCTAGGGACAGATCATTTAGCTTTTGCTCTTAGCCTGAGGATGAACCTATTAGTCCTAGGATGTGATGTGTATTCTCACTGTGTGGCTGTTTCTGGGTTTCAGTGGGAAGTTTGAAGCATTCAGCCAGCATGTCTAACTTGGTGAGACTTTCATATCAAAGCCCAAGGGAATGAAAAATGGGAAAGAAGTGGAAAACTGGGAAACCACAATGGAAGGAAATAAAGCAGTTAATAGAATAGATACACAAGATGGTCTAGGCTTTGGATTCTGTAGGATATGTCCTTCATCAATGTCATAAAGTTCTGAGCCATTATCTTTTCAAATGTTATTGTTTTCTCAATCTTCTTCCTCCTCTTTTCCTGGTAGTCCAAAAACATCTGTGCTAGACCAATTTATTCCCTCAGTTCTCTGGGTCTCTTATCCTCCCCTATTATTTTTTTTCTACCCCTTTGTCTCTCCATCTTTATGGCAGGTATTTATTTTCTTTCTAATTTATTTTCCAATTTACTGATTTTCTCATCAGCAATGTCTAATGTGTTGGTAAAACAATCCATTGAATTTATCTCGGTTATTATATTATTTGTCAGTTCTAAAATGTTTTTAATCAAATTTTTACTTAGTTTTTCAATGTATATGCACACAAACACACAAGTGTCTGTTGTGTATGTGCATGTGTGTGTGTATGTCTTTGTGTGTGTAGGTATCAACCTATTCAAACAGGTAGATTTACTGTCTTTTCATGGGCAAAGCATACATATTTGGCCCAATATTTGCAAAATTCAAATTCAGCATCTTTGCTATAAAATGTTTCCAAGTTTAGAAAAAGGTTATAATGGTAATGAAAAAATTCTTATATAACACTTTTTTCTAAATTATACTTTAAGTTCAGGGGTACATATGCAGAATGAGCAAAGACTTGGAACCAACCCAAATGTCTATCAATAATAGAGTGGATAAAGAAAATGTGGCACATATACACCATGGAGTACTATGCAGCCATAAAAAAGGATGAGTTCATGTCCTTTGCAGGGACATGGATGAAGCTGGAAACCACCATTCTCAGCAAACTATCACAAGAACAGAAAACCAAACACTGCATGTTCTCACTCATAAGTGGGGGTTGAAAAATTCTTATATAACACTTTAATACCTTTCATTCATGTAAGTTTATTTGATCCTCACAACCTTATTATGTGAGCTAGTCAGTTATTCTTAGTCCCATTTAAGAAATTTAGCAACCAAACTTCAGAAAGGTTAAGTGGTTTTCTGTTTGTTTCCTTAAAAACGTTTGAATACATAATTTCAACCTTGTCTTCTGTTTTAATATTAAGTTATAGTTATTTAAAATCTGTGTCAAACATCTGTGCCTCCTTGAGTTTCTTTCTATGTATGTTTCTGTTGGTCTTCTTTTGTGAGCTTTTATTTAAGTGTTTTTCTGTTTTAAATTGTATCCGGATATGGTATTGCCAATTTGTATGGAAGAATATTATTGCTTTTCTCCAGTGTAGATTTACACCTATTTTGCAAGATGCCTGGCTACACAAACAATGTGAGATTACTTCTGTCTAATTTCAAGGCTTCAGATCATTTTAAATTGAACTGAAATACTGTGAGATTCTACGTTATATTGACTCTTATTTTTAGGGTGCAGCCTTTGGGATTCAAATCCAAGAGAAAGACTTCACCAGGATCTTCCTGCACAGACCCTGGCAGGCCCTGATGCTGATCTCCATCTCTTTAGCTTTAAGAACGTTTTAAATGTGACAACACGCCCCTTGGCCTCTCAACTTCCCTTCTGAATTTGGCATATGCCCCTAAAGAAAAGAAGTAGCTGAGAATGTCTGGTTCATTTGGCATATTACCCACATCTGAGCCTGGTAATTCTTTACTATTTTGTTGACTTTCTTCTGTTTTTGTATTTTGCACAGCTTTTCAGTTAGAGAGTATTCTTAATTATCTAGCCCACTCTTACTGGAAGCAGAAATCTCCTAATTTTTCTTTTGTAATATAGTCTTAGTCCTTCTTTTAACACTAATAATTTTAAACATTCTTCTTCTATAGTCTTTCATAAATATTTTTATTATGTAAATTATGGATCCTGTTCAGCATGTTTGCTGCCGACTCATAGAATATTTCCTTGTCTGTGTGTGTTTTAATGTTTGCTTATGAACTCATTTTCTTCCCTTCTCCTGATTTTCCCTGTGGAAGTCAACGTTGCCCAGGTCCTGAAAATTTACTATGGCATATTTGCATTTTCTTTGCTTGAAAGTCGAGGACTTTTGCCAATTTGGAAATTAAAAGCACCATGTTGACTTAGCATTCCCTTTACACATGAAAAAATTAAATTTAAACTCCTAACCAGTGCCTGGTACTGGTGCTGCTTAATTTCTCATGCTGGATGTATTTTTCCATTGTATAGTCTTAGTGACATACAGACTTCCTCATTGCTATCACAGGCTTATGAACATTGTTCTTTTAGGTCTGCTACTGAGGAAGAACCCCTTCATGGTGCTGGATTTTTGCAGGATTCTAGATTCCAGCTTTCATGGTTAAGAGGATATGGCTACCTCTTCTATTTCTCATCTAGCTTCTAGCCATTTAGTCTCATATCTACTTGCTACATCCTGGTGTTTTTCTGGGGCACGGCAAGCTCTCACATTTGATTGCCCTGACTTTGAGTTCTCTTTATGTGTCTAGTACCTGAAGACATTCTTTCATTGTGAGTTTGACTGCCTTAGTTATTATTTATTTATTTTGTTGCATCTAATTTAGCTTCCATTTGTCTTTGTAGTGGAAGAAGGATCCAAATTAGCTCACCCGCATCCATATTGGAGGATTTGATTAGCAAATGATATGTTTGAATTCATTGAGAAAGTTAAAAATGACACAAAGTGCTAAAGGAATGAAAGCTTCATAACTATTGGAATCCAGGGTAATGGCTGGAGAATGGGGTTATCACAGGGCACAGGGTGGGTTGTACGATGGGACTTGCCAAGCCAAGTAGAACCTGCACCATAGTAGTCTCTACTATATTCCTGTTGGAAACACCAATGTAGTTTTAGTAAAATGACACAATTCATAGTATTAAATTCAACAAAATAATATAACTAATAAGTTAAGGCTAAAATGACAATTTGATTTGTCAGCTTATTTTAGTTTTATAGTTGCATAAAAGCTACAGGCATAATGATTTCCTACTTTGATTTATTAATATGTTTGTAAATTTTCAAGTATCATTGTACTAAAAATTATATTAACACCAGGAGTCCATGAAAAATGCTTTAATTTAAAGTAGTATATATATTAACAGGCTTGCACAAATTGTCTATACCATAAGAACCTTGGAACATACAATTAAAAATGTTTTCTGCCATATGTTTTAAATTGTGAGCTGTGTTTTTATATCTCTGTGCCAACCTGAGTTAAATAGCGCTAAAAAAAAAAAAAACCCAAAAAACAAAACCTCAGCTAACTACCAAATAAAACAAAGGAGCTAAAATTGATAGTTGAATTTAAGTCATAATCCTAAGTAAAGTCAGGTCACAATTGTCATGGGGGCACTAAGTGTTTGCAGATCCCAGGCACTTGTTTCTCATTCATGGTGTTGGACAATGAGCACAACTATGCATTTAAGCTGTTTGGGCAGAACTTGGGAGGGACAGGGATGAGGAGGGCTATCAATCACTTCCTAGAACTCCCTGGAGCTGGTCGTGTCCTGTTGGGGACCTTGGCCCCTGACTGGAGAGGAAGCGGCAGAGAGCCTGTTTTTGGGGACGTGGAATGCTAGAGTAGTGACAGTATTTGGCAAGTCTGATGGCAGAGGCCAGAGTCTGTAAAATGCTCCTTAATTCTCTTCCTCTTCACTTCTTCCGAAGCCACTTCCCATTTGTAAGTTTTTCTTCTCCCCAGTACAGTGTGGGGAAAGGTCCGGTTGTAACGTTTCCTTCTGAACACCCACCCCTCCGCCCCCACTTCTCCCTTTACTCCGTGCTCTCTGGCCCCGTTCCAACATAAGCACATCGGCACAAAATCTTTGGAGATGTTCTAAGGGCGAACTACTTTTCAGTACAAAGAAACAGAAAGAATAATTCCATAGCCAGTAATGGAAACGTTGCACAGTTTCAGCTAAACTCGGGTCCTCTTTGCTGTGGGTCTTCGGTGGGACGGAAATGAAATCATCCTGTGTCTTCCTGCTTCCATTTTTCAAGAGTTTCCCACTTGCTTGCTGTTGCTTCTGCGGCTGGAGCCCATCTGTTTCCTCTCCCTACTTCTTTCTCCCTTACAGCCTTCTGGAAAAGGACCTAAGGGCAATTCTGAACTGTAGCTCCATGGTGCAAACATCAGAGCTGATCTTTCACAAGTATATTGGAGATGAAAATAGGGGCTCTGTTACAGAGATCTTTCAGAGGGGGAACCGCAGGACTTGGTGACCTGTGGGGTGGGAGGAGGTTGGGAGGGTTAAATAGAAGGAGGAGAAAGGATTTCACATTTTAGTTTACCTGACTCGGTGGATTGGAGTGTGCTCTGGACATATCTGAAAAATGGATAGATACTTCAGTGATGATGGGAAGGTCGAGAGGACAGCTGCAGCTAAAATAGAAGCATTGCTGTGATCACATCTGTGCTTTTACAGTGGGGAGCTCAGGAGAGTGGGAAAAGGACCAATCATAGCAGCTCACTGTAGATATTTTGGGGGCAGGTAGATGTCAGGCTTTTCTCATCCCACCTTCTTGATGGAGAACCTGAAGCGATGGCTTGGGTGTTGTTGACACTGCAGGCTGTTCCTGAGTCAGAGGAGGAGATGCAAGCAAACACTGCAAAGGTTGCTCATAGCTCTCTGTTCACTGCTTTGTGGTGACAAGGAATTCAATAAAACCACCATTTTCGAAAAGCTTCTCTTCTGAGATATGAATGCTGTTCCTTTCTCTGCCTTTTTTTTTTTTTTTTTTTTTTTTTGCATGAACAGGAAAAAGAATTACATTTGAGTCTATCTCCAAAAGCTCCAGCTATCATTTTGGCTGCTCTCCCTGTGATCAAATATTGAAGGTGAATGTAGGAAAATCGATGGCAGGGTGAAGGTGCAGAGTTATGTAAGAGCCGCATGAATGAAACATTAAACGCCAGAAATCAAGAGCGGGCTTTGAAATCCTGGACCTAGTGCTGTGCTGCTATTTGGACTCTATTTTGGAATTTTGAGAAATCAATATGAAGAAGCATATACCAGGAGCAACTTAAAGAAAAGTGTCCACTGACCTAGAAGCAAGACCCAGAGTGCTTGCATCAGTTAGCTTGTGGCCTGGGAGAACTGCCGATATCAAATGAGAGGAGCGACGAACTCTCCAACATCACACAAAAAACATTTTCCTTTCAGAGCCTCGGAGTGCAGCATGGCAGGGGCAGTAGCACTCAGCATCTGCAGGCATTTGGGTTCATGGGAGCATGAAAAACAGGTCTAGCAAAATGTCGAAAAATGTGGAGTGTAGACTTTTACAAAAGAATGCAGGTATATTACTTTTAAATACACAAGTTGACTCAAGCTAGCCATGGTGAGTGCTACCTATGAAGGGGTCTTGATTTCATGAGATTATTCTAGCTCATGTTCGGTAACCCTGTTGATATTAATGGTTTTTCAGATATATCTAAAAGCAATTCAGTTTCTTGAGGAGTAAACTTGTCTTTGTTATCGTTACACATTTTAGGTTAGACACGGGTGTTTCGAAGAACCTAGGGAAGTGACTTTGGCATGGGCCCTATGGGATGGCTGCTGGCAGGCCCCATGCTCTGGGTGGCTGTGAGGACAGTGGTGAATGAGGGCCGCTTCTGAGGATGCACCCAGCCAGCCTCCTCTGCAGGCTCTGTCTGTGGATGTTGATTCACGTGACAGGCTGTCAGGCTCCAGGAGGCCCCTCCTTCCCAATGACTCCTACACACAGTTAGCATTGTCTGAGGACTGTGAAGATAAATGGACACTGTTCCTGCTTGAAGGCACCTAGAGTCTAGTTGGGGGTGTCTTCTGCAGACAAAGCAGCAAGACCATGTGACGGGGACCACAGTAGATGTGAGCACAGGGCACACAGGAGTGGGGGACATGAGGAGGGAGGAGTTTGCTCTGCTGCGGTGGAAGTGGGGGCTCAGGAGCCTCATGCAGAGGTGAATTTATCAGGTTTGAATTTTGAGAGAGGAATTGGCTGAGGAACAGAATCCAAGATGAAGGGGCAATGAAAGGCTAGGCCCTTGGGCGTGAAGCAGCGTCCTGCTTTTACGGGCCTGTGTGGATAGGGTGGGGTTGAATAGTGATGGCATGTGAGTGTCTGGGTGTGGGGAGTGTATGTTGAGGGCAGAACCTTTCATCTGGGATCACGACAGACAGAACCAGACAGATAGCAACAGCAGGGGCTACGATGGTGAGGGTTTTCATGCCACTGCAAATACTTAGATTTTATCCTACTGACCATCAGTTTCAAAGGTAGCACAGAGTTCCCATGTATCTTTCATCCAACTCCTCTACTACCAAATCTTATATTACTTTGGTATATTTGTCAAAGCTAAGAAATTAACGCTGGCATTACCATCAACTAAACTATAGACTTTATTGAGGTTTCATCAGCCTTTCCTTTAAGGACCTTTTCCTTGCCATGACCCAGCCAGGATCTCACGTGCATTTAGTCTTCACGCCTCCTTAGTCTCCACCAACCTGTGACAGTTTCTCAGTATTTCCTCAATCTCTCATGACCCTGACATGTTGGAAGACTATTGGCCGGGCACTTTGCGAAACATCTCCAATCTGCATGTGGGTGCTGTTTTCTCATGATCAGAGAGAGGCTATACACTTTCAGGAAGAGTTCCATGGAGGTGAGGTGCCCTCCTCAGCATCCAGTCAGGGGTGCGGGGTGGGTCCGGATGCCCACAGGACTCACCACTGGAGATTTTAACCTGGATCACTGTTGAAGGTGTTTGTGTGTGTGTGTGTGGGATTTCTTGACTGTAAAGTTACTACAGTTCCCTTTTTAATTTTGGAGGAGATACTTTGAGGTAATGTAAAGTCATTTTCCTCCTGAAACTTTTGCCCATTGGTTTAAGCATTCATTAGTGGCTCTTGCCTGCCACTAATAATACATATATATGTATATACACATACATTTATATGTATATAAATACATATATATGTATATACACATACATTTATATGTATATAAATACATATATATATATATATATATATGTATTTTTTTTTTTGAGATGAAGCCTTGCTGTGTCACCCAGGCTTGGTGATGGTTTGCTGTGGAGTTTTCATGTGTGATTTTTATCATTCTGATGTAGTTATCTTCTGGGTTTGTCTAATTTTCTGTGATTTGCTGTGGAGTTTTCATGTATGCTTTTTATTATGCTGATGTAGTTTATCTTCTAATCCTAGTTTTTAGAGTGTTTTTATCACGAAACACTGGTGCATTTTTCTGATGCTTTTTCTCTTTAATTGAGGTGTTATGTGGGGTTTTCCCCCTTAATTCTATTAATGTCATATATTACCTTGATTTCTGTATGTTGAACCACCCTTACATTTCAGAAATAAATCCCACTGGGTAATGGTGAATTTTTTTTTTTTCTTTTTCTTTTTTTTTTTTTTTTTCTGAGACGGAGTTGTACTCTGCCACTCAGGCTGGAGTGCAGTGGCATGATCTTGGCTCACTGCAACTTCCTCCTCCTGGGTTCAAACAATTCTCCTGTCTCAGCCTCCCAAGTAGCTGGGATTACAGGCCCACACCACCACACCTGGCTAATTTTTGTATTTTTAGTAGAGACAGGGTTTCACCATGTTGGCCAGGCTGGTCTTGAACTCCTGACCTCAAGTGATCTGCCTGCCTTGGCCTCCCAAAGTGCTGGGATTACAGGCGTGAGACACTGCACCAGGCCAGCGATTTTTACTGTGGTGTTCCTATGGTGATTTTCTGGTTCATTCATCTCTTCTACATTTATTAATTGGAATTTTTTTGTAGGGAAGATTTGCCAAATATTTACTTATTCAATCATTTATTTATATCAGTGTTCACTCGTGGATATTTATTTGAGCCTTTGGGTGATAATCCAATATCTTCATTGTTACGGATTTGGTAGCTCAAATGGTTTCAGCTTTGGACATTGGCTGCTCTTTTGTTTGGCTTCTATGTGTTTTTGACATGCCCCCGCCCATCCGTCCATCTGTCCATCCATCCATCTATTTACTTACTTATTTTTGAGCACTTCCTTACTTTACGGCACCACAAAACACTGCAGCCTTGTCTTATTTTTTTCCCTGCCCCAGCTAGAATTTTGTTTTCTTAAACAAAGAGTGGCGTGATAAGAGACATACTCAGAAAGACCACTTTGTGGAGGATGGATGGGAATGTAGAGGGGGCAAGAGTTGCCATGCTCAAGCTGGAGCCAAGGCTGGGTGGCAGGGTGGAGGAAAAGGCAAGTGTGGCTAGGTGGTGAGAGCTGAGCACCCATCATTTCCCTGCCGCCTGGAGACAGCTGGGTAGGGTGCTTTGTCTGCTGGAATCCTGAGGACAAATGGATCCCGCGCCATCACGGGATGGGAATTACTGTGGGGCTGGGGTTGGTGCTTCAGCTTCCAGCAGCCATTCTCCCCTTCAGATTCTCAGCTCTCCTCTCTTTCTTCTCTGTTGGGGTGGGCCAGGGGTTGCTCTTTTGAGGAAGAAAGCAGGGCTTCTTTCAGTATTGTCTCTCTGCTTCTTGGCTCCTCTCCTTTCTCATCAGGGCAGAGATGAACAGCCTGGCCTCTTGCTAGGCAGCCCTGTGTTGTCTGAGTGGTGCAAGGCTGACATTTCTTCTTGCCCTGCCAGCTCTGTGATAAGAACTGGGAGATGAATATCGCAGCAAAGGTGACTGCTCTCAGGAAGATGACGATTCTAGCACACAAAATAAACAAGTGAATAAGCAATCCATCTGATTCCAAAGAGTGGGCTAACGTGGGGTCATATGATGAAAAGGGGCTGAGAATGGGAGAGGGATCATTTTGATCAAGCAGTTACTGGAGATTCCATTAAAGGGGGCATTAGAGTGACGATCTTCATGAAAGAGCTATGCAAAGATCCAAAAAGCCACAGAAAGCTACCAGCCATGTTGCTGATCCAAGCCCTGTAAAGTGAGAGGGTTTATATTTAAATCTGTGGAATCTTTATATTGCAGGCATTTTATTAAATTGCTTCTGTTTTATAATGTGAGCTTACAGCACCATCTGGCCTCACCCTAATCTAAATTTAGTCCACTTCCCACTGAGGCACACACGTGCACACAGGCCCACACATGAACATGTGCAGTTTTTTTTTTTCTTGTCACACTGGCTTTGAGTGAACATGCCTACTTCATGCCTTTGTCCACACTGTCCCCTGTCTATTGAATATCTTTCTCCCTCCTGTGTCTGCAAGCTCACCTCAAGTGTCACTTCTCTCCTGTGGCTCACTCACTGACAGCAGCTGCACAGAGACAGTGGCATGACTTTCAGCTGTGCATTCTCCTGGCATTTATGTTGCTGGGGCCCAGGCTTCTACCCTGCCCTTGCCCAAGGCTGTCCAAGCTCAAAAAGAATTACAACTGTGACTGGCTCAGTCAATTTCCTTATTGACGATCTCTCCTTCTAGAGGCCAGAAGTCTCACAAGCTCTGACTGCTCCAATTTAGGGCAATTTTTGGAATCCGTATCTCCTTGGTGCTGAAGATTTTTATTTGCCTTTCCATCTCCTCTCTCCGCCCTCCTCTACCTGCTGTGTGCTGGAGAAGACTGACTCACGTGGCCCAGTTCTCCTGGGTTCTCTGGCCGTCTGCCTTCCTATTGGGTTTCGCCAGAGGCGCTGAAGGATGGTCTGTCAGTTCCCACTCATGAGGTCCCAGTGCCATGGTGAATTTCTGCACTGAAGTCCACAGTTTCTTTCCATGCAGCTGCTCTCTCTGGGTCCTGGGAAGCACATCTCCCCTTTCCCTTTTGGGTCTAGGGTTGTCAGGGTCTCCCTGGAGCTGCATCCTCCTTTGTCAGTTTCTCTTAACTCTGCCCACACCTCTGTAAGCACTACCTTTCCTCAGTTGACTTGTTGCTCATACTTAAACAAAGAGGATCCAGATTCAGATATTTGAGAAGCCAAATAATAATAAAAATAATTGATAAGAAGTTATTATAATAAAAATAATTCCAGCAAAAGGAGTTCAATTGTCTTAAGGAACATTCATCAAGACGTTTATTTTAGTTTTCTATTGCTGCACAGCAAATCATCAAAGACTTGGCAGTTTGAAACAGCACCCACCTATTATCACATAGTTCTGTAGGTCAGAAGTCCAAGCATGGCTTAATTGATCTTTCACCTTGGGATCTCATGAGAGTGAAACCAAGCTGTTGGCTTGGCTGCTGTGTTATCTGGAAGTTCTGGGTAACAGTCTGTTTCTGAGCTCATTGAAGTTGATGGCAGAATTCAATTCTTTGTGGTGTAGGATGGAGGTCTCCATTCTGTCTCAGGCTGTCATGTGGGGGCCATTCTCAGTGGCTAGAAGCCACCCCTTTTCTTGCTCCATGACCTCTCTGTCTTCAAAGGCAGCAGTGGGGAATTTCCCTTGCATCAAATTCCCTTCAACTCTGAACATCTTTCTCCAGGGAGAGCCACACCCTTTTAGGGGCTCCCCTAATGAGGTAAAACCTGCAAGGACCATCCCCCTCACTTAAAGCCAACTGTGCCACAAAACATGACCTCAACACTTGAGTGATGTCCCGGCATGTTTGCAGGTTCTGCCCACACTAAGGAGGTTGTGGGGGTGGGGAGTTTCCACAAGGGGGCATTTGGATCATTGCTGGTCATTTTAGAATTCTGCCCACACAGTTCCAAAGAGTCCTGATGGACCATCAATTGTTCTCTTCTACAGTGGCAAAAAAATGTGTGTCCTTTACATTCTGGGCCTTTCTTTTGGACAGCAATGGACAAAGCCGGCTGCCTTCTGGGTCACTGCCCTTGCTTTTGTATGTGTCTAGGATTCCCCTGGAAATGTATTGCTCTCCTAGGAGGTATCCAGAAAGGTAGGAGGTGGTTTTTGTTTTCATCACTACTGAGGCAGCTTCTGGGATTTGGTGGCTTGGGCCAGGGGTGCAGACCACTCCCACTATGCAAGGGAGAGTCCTGACCACAACTTCTTCTGCCTATGTGGTTTTGCAGGAGAGAACACTGTATGGTGAATTAGGGCTTTGCTTACTGAATTATGATCCCATTCCAGCTGCCTCCAGGACAATACCCCCAGCTCATGCTTTTGGCAAACACTTTTGTCTGTCTTTGTACAATGGGTCCATTTTTAGATAATGAGTGGGTTCCGGGAACCTTGATTTAAAAAAAAGCCCTTAAGTGACGTCGGTGACAGAGAGCTGAGGCTCAGGCTCTGAAGGAGAAAATGATGCTAGAACAGTCTTTGTACGGCTGCTGGGGAAAGCTGGACCCGCCACTGTCAACGCTGAGTCCTGGAAGGCAGATGTGGTGCTTGGATAGGCTGGCCCCTCCCCATTCAAAATAGCTTCCCTCATTTTTTGGGGGATCCCCAAATCCAGTGCATGGATGAACCTTGTAGATTCTGCTTTCTCAGCCTCTCTCAAACCTGTCTCCCTCTTTCCACAGCTGCCTCACAACCTACTTGACCCACAGCTCCTTCATGACCTCACACCGCTTGTCAGGCCCCATCCTAATCACACCTGCTTATGACTTGTCCTTATGGTTCATTTTGTTTCTCTCTCCCAGGCTAGGCTCACTCCAATTAATTCTCCATTCTGACAGTCTTAAGTCATCACATCAGGTTATTGATCACAACCCTTCAGTACCTCTCCTGTGCCCTCCTTGGTTCAAAATCCTTAGCAGGCAAGAGCCAGGCCTCTCCCATGTGATTCCAGACCAGCTGTTCGGTCCTGTTGCCAAGCCCGGCCATCACCCCGCCATTCAGACCAGCTTTCCTGGGCTTGCTTTCTCCTTTGCTGTGCTTAATCTGGGTGTTTTCCTTAAAATGTAGCCTCTTGTCTCTGCTCATTGAAATGGAACTCATTCTATAAGCACCTTACTAAAGACTTTGTTATTCACTAAGCTATAAACATTTTCCTGAAAAGATGTCATTTGTCCCCGGTTGAGGTGGGGAGGTGCCCCCTTCCCTACTTTGGGTTTTCCTGTGTACTTACTTCCATTAGGCAGCACGCCTAGCTTTTTCTGCGCAGTTTCTCAATCAGCATTTGCAGGATTGGATTTTTCGTGTGGTTGCCACAAGGCTCATAGCGTTGGGTGTTGCTAAGTATATAGGAGGTTATTTCCTTCTCTGGGGACTTTGAAAATAGGACGTGAGACATATGTGGCATCAACAGAATAATATATGCAAATGGAAGGGCTACCCTAGCTTTGCCATATCACGACTGTGCTGCGCTTTCAAGGCATAGGGATTTTCCCCACTCCTAAGCACTCTCTGACAGAACTCACGTTTGTTGTCTGTTTTTCAGTTCCTGAGGCACTTCAGCATATGCTGTCTGTTTGATGCTCTTTATAGCTACTCTATGGGAGTTGTATAATATGAATGATACGTAGGAATAGTATCTGTTGTGCTATATTTCCTACATGCTCAATATTGATTGGCATACAAGACTTTTCTCATCATGGAAAACTAATTGCACAAAAAATTCAATATCATGGTGTTTATCACGTGTTTCTTTCCAAATGTGGCTGAAGCTATAACAGTCTATACAAATACAACATCTCTATGTGTCACATAAGGATACATCACTTTTACTCAAGGTATATTCCCAAAATGGACGTGTCTCTAACCTCAGCTCTTTGCAATTGAGATGGAAGAAACTGCTGGCTTCTGTTTACTGATGTCATTCTTGAAGAATAGCACAGCCTGGGAGCCAGGGCCTCTATATGTTGTAATCTTTCACACGTGTTTCTTCCCTTATGTGGCTGGCTAATATGGGAATTAAAGATTTAAATTGTTTCTACACGTCTCCATTTGTGTAATAAAGAATGAAACAAATTTCCAAGGACCCTGCCTACGTTGTCACAATGGGACATCTGTGGGGAGTGTGTCAGGAGCAGAGGAGCGCCCGTTTCCAGCCACCATGGCACATACCCATATTCTGGGCTACAGGTGATGAGAGAAATCTCTCCCACCTGGTACCATTATTAGAAGCAACTGGGCTGTGGTGCAAAGTTATTTTCATCTTAGACAAGTGCCTTTGTTTGCTGGGCTTGCACTAGGTGGAGTGCTGCATCAGGCCACATTTGTGAGATTGCTGCTGGGGTTAAATAAGTTGGGGCTGCAAGAAACTCACCTGGATCTTCTTCAGGCAGCCACTGGGGCTCTAGGGCTGGTGTCTGAGCAGTGCACTCCCATGTCTGCTGCTCCAGATGCTGGTTGGGTTCTCAGGAAGACAGTTTGCACATGGTGTGTGCTAGGAAGGGCCTGCAGGATCACCAGCTGGGGAAGGGGGAAGGAAGCAACACTGGGCAGAAGGAGAAGTTGGGCTCTGACACAGGCCTGATGGTGATCTCAGTCACCTCCAAGAGGCTCTGAAGCTAACTGGCCCATCAGAGTTGTCCCGACTTAGCCAGTCGTTCATAACCCTGCCTTGACCAGGCACTAGGTGTGAGCCTCTTCTAGAAAAGGCATGCTCTTGGGTGAGGAATGTTCCTGTATTAGTTTGCTTTCACACTGGTGAAAAAGACATACCCAAAACTGGGAGAAGAAAGAGGTTTAATTGGACTTACAGTTCTACGTAGCTGGGGTGGCCTCAGAATCATGGTGGGAGGTGAAAGGCACTTCTTACATGGCAGCAGCAAGAGAAAAATGAGGAAGAAGCAAAAGTGGAAAGCCCTGATAAGCCCATCAGATCTCGTGAGACTTATTCACTATCACAAGAATAGCAAGGGAAAGACTGGCCCCCATGATTCAATTACTTCCACCTGGGTCCCTACAACACGTGGGAATTCTGGGAGATAACATTCAAGCTGAGATTTGGGTGGGGACACAGCCAAACCGTATCAGTTGCTATAGCTGTATCCATCCCTGAAGGAGCAGATGAAAGTTGTCTGCCAGCAGCTGGGCCAACAAGTCCTTTCATGGAGGGGCATCTAAGCTGTGCCATTACTTCCATCATAGCTTTTCTCCATACCATCCACTCAATGTGGTGTGTTTTCCCACCAGACTGAGAAAGAAAGTGTATCAGTCAGCTTAGTAAAAGCTTAGCTTTCAGAAAAAGCACGTGATAGGCAGTGGTCTTTGACCATGGCCTCTAGCAAAACAACACTTTTTCTATTATAATCTGGTACACTCAAAAACTCAAACAAAATCTTTACATCACAGTACTTGCTCTTGCTACAGATGCATTTTAATATTTCCTATCCTGTCCCAGTCTATCCTCTACAAAATTGCTAGTTGTGACCAATAATTTGATGAATTCTAAAATAATAATTGGTTGTAGCCAGCACCAAGGAAAGGCAGTCTCCCAATAGATAGAAAATACCTGAAGCTGGTGATCAGCAACTTCCCAATAAGATCTCAGGAGTTAGGCAAGTGCACTCAAGCATGCACCCTAAGAGGCAAAATGGCAGAGTTTAATCAGTATATGACCTTCCTTTAGGAACACCCAATTGATAAGGGAAAAATGCCTCTAATGAGCATGTGCACAACTTCAGTAAACACAGTGCACCCAACCTTCCAAGTGCTGACTGCCAACCCCAAGGAAAAATCAAGGGAGAAGAACCACAAACCTTGGAACCATGCCAAAGTGTAAAACTCCCAAGCCAAGGGTTAGATGAAGCACGTGGATGGTTCAAGCCACCCACTGGGCTCTCTTCCAATTGTATTTTACTTCCTTTCATTCCTGCTCTAAAACTTTTTAATAAACTCCTGCTCTAAAACTTGCCTTGGTCTCTCACTCTGCCTTATGCCCCTGGGTGGAATTCTTTCTTCCGAGGAGGCAAGAATTGAGTTGCTGCAGACTCATATAGATTCACTGCTGCTAACAGTAAAAGGCACCCCTCTAGGCAGAAGTAGTTCCTTTGTGCAATGCTTGGACTTCCTGCTGGATTTTGCTTGTCCCTTGCCCGTGAAGAATGGTGTTGGCAGCTTAGCCCCTTGTGGTGACTCTAAGTCACCTGCAACAGGATTGGAGATCTTTAGGGGTAGGGTGGTCTTGGAATCTTTTCAATAATCCCAAATATCCCAAGTCAGAAACCCAAAAGTAAATGTCTTGGAAGCTATGTCCTTGAGATACTTCTCTGACAGAAGATGTCTCCAGCCCCTTTAGATTCAAACAGGCAATTTACTGTCAGACTTCATTTCTTCTGCTGAGTGCATTAAATTACGTTGACAAAGACTGAGGCAAAACCAGGAAGTCTTTTCATATTCCAAATAAAACTTATCAGTAAGATTCCAAGGGAGGTCAAATTCAAATGATTCCCAAATTGTTGAAACACAGAGCCGACGCTATATATAAACATAGTTTGAGACAATCATTATCTTCGCCAGCTGTCAAGTTCCTGTTGCTTCCATCTGAATGAGTGACATTTATCACCTTTAAACACCGGGATGAAGGAGGAACTGTACGTGCCTCCCAGGGTGACGCCAGGCACCATGAAATTGCCAATCAGAATTATTATTGCTCTCATCCTCTGAATTTTCTCACTCTAGCATAACCTTCCATTTCCATTAAAAACTATTCTCTAAGATTGACATCAGATTGATGACTTTTAGGTAGCTTCCACGCTGAGGTAAAATTTTTAACTGCTCATCACAAAGAATTCTTCCATGTATTGCAATGAAATTGAATTAATCCTTGTTCAAATCAAATAAATATTTGTTATTTTTTGACAGATTTGAACAAAATAAGCATGCATGACCATAGTCATTTATATATAACCATAGAATTAATTGTGAATAGTTAGAGTTGCAAAATACCTTTGAGATTATTTCATTTGAGATTATTTTGAGGACTTGAGAGGCTAAACAATTGCCTACATCCTTACAGCTATATTTCTAACAGTTTCATAAAGCATTTCACAAGTGACAGATCCCTTCCCAGGGATTAAGATGCCATTTTGTGTTGTGCATGAAGGAGAAGATGGTGGGGGTAACAGGAAATGAACCAGTTTAGGGTTTTGGGCTTCCCTGGCATCAGCTAATGTGGCCTAAGGATACACCTGGCTACTACATTCTGTACAAAATTTTGTTTTCTTTGCACTGTGGCATATTTCACCTCCAGATTCCCCTGATCAGAATGTTGAAAACCAGTGCTAACCTTCCACTCCTTTGCAGAAACACCTTCTCGTCCCTGCCCTGCATTGCGGTTTTTGCTTGGGTGGTGAGCACACCTGTACCTGAAATAGCTTTAAGCTGTAATGGCTGTAGGCAGATGTGGTGTTTCGTTCATTAATTAGAGATAAGGCTTCAATTTTAGTTTTTTAGTTTTTGTTTTGTTTTGTTTTGTTTTTTGCTTGAAAATTGTCCATTGTCTTTTGTATGTGCTACTGGATAACTTTAAGAAATAGTAAAATAGTAACTCTCATATAAATATACAGAACATACATCAAAGATTTATTTAACTTTTTAATTAATGAATGAGCCAGTATGATGGTATAACTGGTTCAAAGGGAAATGAAGACAAACAAACAAATACACACACATGTGTAGACCCTCAGGGATATGGAAACCTATTTACAAACAGTTGCAAAGTTGGTCACTATCCACAGGGATGTAATCAAAGACATCTCCATAAAACACAATTTTCTTTTGTATAAGCAAGAACCACTGCATTAGTTAGTATTCTACAACTTACATACTGTTATAATAGCTCGAAGACAACCAAAGGCAGAGACCACCTAGAAGGGTGCCCTAGTCATTATTTTTGCTCATTTCCAAGTCTTCTGTACTTTTCCTGACACCTTGTTTTGAATGCTGCCCTTGGACTGAGCTTTAATATTTCATATAAAGCTTGCCAATAAAGTTAAAACGCTTACATATTTCTATGCGGAATTCATATGTAGTTAAGTGAGCTTAGCAGCAGAATAATTCTGTTTTACAAATTAATTTTATTGGCTAAAATAATAATTTTTACTTCATCTATTGGATGTATCCAGAATTAATAAAATATACATCTAGGCTGTAAGATCCAGTTTAAGATTTTCTACTCCAACTTGCACAGGAAACCCCAATAAAGTCATTAATAGTGTCTAGTAGGGAAGCCTTGGGTCAGGGTGAGAGATTTGAATTTCCTTTCTGACCAGTTGCCTGACCTTGAACAATATTCCCCTTCCCTCACCCACTGGATTTTGGCATCTTCATCTGTAAAGAAGAGTGTTTACTAACTCATGATTCTCTCAGCACAAAATTCCGTGATTGTCTTTCACATCTCTGCAGTAGGTTCTGAATCCTGACTGTGTTCCTTAGCAAATGCTGTGTGGTGTCTCCCAAGGACCATCAGAGGAGCCTCCCAGGCCTGGTCCAGGGACCATTCACATCTATGGCTCTGCAGGAGCTTTCTCTCTCTCATCAAGTTCTCACCTTCACCTTTAGATAAAATTTTTAGAAACCTGTGAACTTACTTATCAATATATTCTTCTTCAAAAATACTGAGACTAAAACAATGATCAGTGGACACTAGTTCTTTCACTTAAGCAAAATGTGAAATGCCAACTAGCTCAGAAATAGGAGATGAACATAAACAGCCCCATTAACCGAGCCACTCACTCCTAGCAAATCACATTCTGATAAGCTTTCTAATGAGCGGAACCATGTCTTCTAACATGAACCCTTTTCCAGGATTTATGTGAAGCACTTCAAAGCTGTTATTTATGTTAAGCCCCCACATTCGGTTGTTCCATTTTATAGAAGAGGAAAGTGGCTTTCTGAGGGTTTTACAGACACACCAGGACTGCAGATCGTGCTGAGCTCAGAAGCGCAAGATGCGGGCAGCAGTTGTGGGAGTTGTTTCTGTCCACGTAATGCTTGTTGTGTATCATCCTCAAAAGCCTGATTGCTAAAGTCAAGAATAAAACCGAAATTCAAGCTTCATTAAAGCTGGGGCTTTCTGAGAGAGGCATCCCTCTCTCTCCTACCATCACTTGCCTGTGAATTGTGCTGTAGCCAGGGCAGGCAAGAGCCGGTGGAAGGACTCAGGAGCCCTGGGCACGGTGAACTACAGGTCACGGCTGATAGCTGGATTTTCAAATAATTTGATTTAAATTAAAAACATGTTAAATGTTTAACTTGAACTCTTTAATTAAAATTTGAGCTCTTTAACAACTTGAACTCTTTAATTAAAATTTGTGATAGGGAGAGTTTGTTGATGACCATGTCTATTTCAGCTTCATGACCTTCATTGAATTACACAGAGTGTTCACTTTGTTAAACTTTGCAAATGTCGCCTGTTGCTGCTAAGAGAGTTAACCTTGACTTCTCTTCCCTGATCCCAAGTTTGGCATTGATTTTACCATCACTCAGGACAATAAAGATGTTTTCCCATTTGGATCTGGAAGAGGGAGTTGAACAGGACAGATATTAAACATGTTTCTGTAAGCATGCTGTCTACTTATAGAAAAAATTCTCTTTATCAGAGGAAGAGAACATTGTTATGAAGGCACTGACTTGCTGAAAAGGGCATGTGTTGGCAGCTCTTGTTTTTCCATGATGACATCATCTAGATTTGAATTTTACACAAAGTCTTGTGATTTCCTTCATGAAATTAAATTTTAAAAAGACTTTATTTTAAGCTATTGGCCTTTAAATATAGAATTGGAATGCAGACGAGTTGTTAAGAGCAGGTACTTGTGGTTTATGTGCTCAGTTTCACACCTGTCTTGGCTATTTTTGCTGTGTAACCTTTGAAAAGTTACTTAATATCTCTGAGTCAAATGAAAATGGTAATAGCTCCCACTGCGTGGGGTTGTTGTGAGAATTAAACAAGATAACATTAGCAGATAACAAGTGCTCAATAAATATTTTTGATGGCCATTGTTATTTCTTACGTAAGGTAGATAAGGAGAACAATCTTAGATTCAAAAAAGAATACCTGACAAAGGACAATGGTGTGAAGGCTTGCAGAGCAAACTTATTTAGAGTCGTTGCTTCTTTGCACAGTATACAATGGTAAACTGGGCCAATATGAAGTCAGAACCACACCAATAGGATTGCTGGAACTGCAAGGGGCTGTGGCCACCGTTGGTTCCTTCCTGCAGAGTTCCTAGGCAGTGAGGTGGAATTCCTACTCTCAGGAGACATCATCTACTCTGGATGGATCCAGGTGTTATGTTTTTCAATTGTTTGCGGCATAGAAAGTGCCCACATAGAACTCTCAGGGTTAACACTAAATCCTAGGAACCCACAGAGGCTAACTATTGCAAAGATGACAAAATTTAGCTCCCATATAATGCCACTGTGAGCACAAGTCAACGGAGATTTGGCTCACTCCTCCTCAATACTGATACCTCCAGCTCCTGCTGTCCTGATGGATCCCAGTGCCCGCAGCATGGCTTAATCAATGAGGCAGGAATTAAGTTATCAACCATTTCTTTAATTTGGCAGCTCCATCTAGTGATTTTTTTATTGATTGCTCACCATTCACGAACACAGAAATGTTGACCAGAAAATTAAAGTAATTGCAAACAACATACTGACCATACAAAATACTTTAGACTAAAGAGGTATTTTAGTTACAGATATCAGAGAATAGTTCACATTTTCATTGTAGAGAACTGATTAATATTCATTGAAAATTATTATTACTTACTCAAGAAGTAATTTATTCATTTAAAAATAAGCATTTTGCTTCTATGATCTTTTTATCCTTTGCTGGGGCTGGAAATACAGTGTGCTGCCTTGGGTCTTCTGAGATGCAGACACTAAGGTAGGTTTAGATATGCAAGAGATTGTCAGGGAAATGCCTGTGAAGGGTAAGGGAACAGCCACAGGAGGAGGCAGGGAGAGCCTCCAGACTGAGATGTGGGTCTGACATCTGTGAACGAAGAGAAGGAAGGAAGGGCTGAGTAGAACATCTCATGTCACAGTGCAGGTCTGAGAAGGATTTGGCCAGGCTGATGATGTCTCCTCATGCCAAACCTGCTTGTTAGAGGAGTCCTGGCCCAGTAGGAATGGGCAGATACCGGCACCTGCCATGCTCAGGCACTGGCTGGAGCATCCCAAGGAAAGCATGGCTGTGGCCTGAATGCAGTGCTGGGTCCAGAGGGCCAGCACTGACCCTGCCAGTCAGCATTGCCCCCTGAAGCAGGAAAGCAGAGTGTGCATCTTCATGGCGGCCACAGCAACCTACAAGACTCAGTCTCTGATTTCAAGAAACACACACCATGGTTGGGATGCAGAGTGTGGTGATCCTCCATGGGGGCATGTCCGGGGCTCCTGTGTAGGTGCATGAGTAATATGCATGTGCACAGCTTTTGGAACTAATACTGGGCCCATCCTGGGACTGACTTGGTACAATGGCATGTAATTATTATTTGCAGAATCAAGTGCTTCTGTTTAATTCAGTGTATGCTTGTTGAGACACTTGATGCTCCAGTCCTGAGGGAGAACAGGAGATGAGTGAATTGTGAACAAGACAGACACAGGGCCATGATTGCCATGCCTTCCATGCACAACTCCAGGTCCTTTGAATCTGTCCTCTTTTGCCTCCTTCACTAGACTGTGAGCTCTTAGAAAATAAAAAACTATAATTCAGTTCCTATGCATTCCTCATGGGTAGCACCTCGTAGATACTGAATAGATATTTGTTGATTTGTGCTATTATTGTTGCAGATGAGCAAAGTGTTGAGAAATTATAATGCATCAGTATTATCATTGCCATTACAGTTGATTGCAAACTCAATTTCCATTCCATACCATTTCTCCCTGCATACTCTTTCAAAGGAAAAGAGAATCATCCTCTAGTATATCTCTCATATGTGAGTGCCACTCACAGCCCAGGGTAATTCTTAAGATGACAGCAGACAGTAGGTAATAAAATGAAAGACTAATCTTTTTCCCTCCCCTGCACTTCCTGCCTTGCAGACATGAGCCTTTTCCTTTGTTCCTGCCACTCTGGCTCAAACCTTCTTCAGGTGGGAAGGGTGCTGACACCTGCTCCTTTCTCCCACAGTCAAATCCGTGCTTAGGGAAACATTGAACGTCAGGTTTGTGCTACTTTCTGAAATTGCAGTCTCACGCCTTCCTCTTCCAGGCTGTTTGTTGTCCTGCAGGAAAGCTTCATGAATAAGGTCAGGGTAATGCGAACTACAGTTGAAATGCGCTCATCCGAATCACTGTGGAGGTGCCTTCTTTGTACTTTCAGTATTTTCATTATGAAAATACTTAAAACAGACAGAATAATACAGAGACTAATATGAGACCACCAGGAACTATCACTCAGTTTTATCAAATTTTTGTATTTTACCGTATCTTCTTCATTCCCTTAAAGGCATAAACTATTTCAGCTGAGTCTCGCAAACCTCCTGTGTTAGGTCCTTCTTGCGCTGCTATAAAGAAATACCCAAGACTGGGTAACTTAAGAGAAAAGAGGTTTAATTGGCTCACGGTTCTGTAGGCTGTTGTATTAGTCCATTCTCACTCTGTTAATAAAGACATACCCGAAACTGGGTAATTTATAAAGGAAAGAGGTTTAATTGACTCACAGTTCAGCGTGGTTGGGGAGGCCTCAGGAAACTTACAATCATGGTGGAAGGGGAAGTAGCACATTCTTCTTCACATGGTGGCAGCAAGGAGAAGTGCTGAGCAAAGTGGAAAAAGCCTCTTATAAAACCATCAGATCTCATGAGAACTAACTCCCCATGATGAGAACAGGATGGGGGAAACTGTCCCTGTTTCAATCATCTTCACCTGGTCCCTCCCATGATGTGCAGGGATTATGGGAACTACAATTCAGGATGAGATTTGGGTGGGAACATAGCCAAACCATATCAACTGTATGGGAAGCATAGTGGCATCTGCTTCTGCAGAGGCCTCAGGAAGCTTCTGGTCATGGCAGAAGGTGAAGGGGAAGCAGATGCACCACACGGAGATAGCAGGAGCAGGGGTGTGTGAGGTGCCGCACTTTTTTTTCTTTTTTTTTTGAGACAGAGTCGAGACTGTGACCCAGGCTGGAGTGCAGTGGTGCAGTCTCAGCTCACTGCAACCTCTGCCTCCTGGGTTCAAGCAATTCTCCTGCCTCAGTCTCCCGAGTAGCTGGGACTACAGGGGCACACTGCCATGCCTGGCTAATTTCTTTTGTGTTTTAGTAGAGATGGGGTTTCACCGTGTTGCCCAGGCTGGTCTTGAACTCCTGAGCTCAGGCAATCTACCTGCCTTGGCCTCCCAAAGTGCTAGGATTACAGGTGTGAGCCACTGCGCCCGGCCGTGCCACACACTTCTAAATGATCAGATCTTGGAAGAACTCAGTCACTATTGCGAGGACAGCACCAAGGGCATGGTGCTGAACTATTCATGAGAAATCTGCCTCATGATCTAATACCTCCCGCCTGGCCCCACCTCTGCCACTGGTGATTACAAACTGTATCACCTCCCTAACCCATTTGCTTGCTTATCACTCCTGGGCATGTTTTATATTTTCGCATCATACAGATGTCTCCATAAACAATGAATCGTCTTGTTTTGCATGTTTTCAAACTTAAAATAAATTATTCTTTTTTTATATCTATGAGTAGGGTCCTGGACACTGCCCTCAGATTCAGTGATTGGTCCAGGAGGACTCACAGGACTCGGCACGTAGTCGTTCACTTCATGCTATGATTGCTTACAGGGAGAGGACACGGAGCAAAACCAGCAAAGGGAAAGGGCACATGGGGAGATGTCTGGGGGAAAACCAGGCGTGAGCTTCTGAGAGTCTCCGCAAGTGGTGTCACACAGGATGCATTCAGTTGCTCTAGCAATGAGTTAAGACAACATGTGCAAAGGTTATCAACCAAAGAAGCTCATTGGAGACTTAGTGTCCAAGGTTTTTATGTTTTTATTGGGGACTGATCACATCTGTACCCTTTGCCTGACACATACATATCAGCACCCTTTGCCTGACACACATTCCAGATTCTCAGAAAGAAAGCAGGTGTCCAGCATAACCATGTAGTCTGTACAGTTCAGGCGCAGTGAGGCACTCTTATCAGCCTGGGAATAGTGGGAACCATCTTAGCATCCAAGGTCTCAGACACTAGCCAAGGGCCCACCATACAAACAGGCCTTTCCAGGGATAGTGGCCGCAGGCTTGTGATGTTAACTCTTTCCTGTACGAAATCCATATGGCAACTTGCCCTCTTTACTCAAGATTATGATTTGAAAATTCATGTATTTGATACATTTAGATTTTTCAAATTTTTTATGTTATTCTTTCAATAAACATTTAAGCTGTTCTTCATTTTTCACCATTGCAAACAGTAATGCAATAACCATTCTTGGATATCTTCTTGGACATGTATACAAGTTTCTCAGAACTATAGTGTGTGCACATCTTCTTCTCTGCTAAGCGTGACCAGTACGCTTTCCAAATTGTGCCAACTTTATCATCTCACCAGAAGTGTGAATGCTCACTTCTTTACCGCCTTACTAATGCTTGACATTGTCAGAGTTTAAGATTTACTGATTTGAGAAGAATAAGGAGAGGGCTTCTTTAATTTTATAATTCTTTAGGTGTACACTCACCTGGAAGGAAGCTGTTTTGTAAGGCAGGGACTTGGAGTTTCTGGACACAATCCAATCAGGTCTCCAGGCCAGACGGAGGAGAGAGGACAGGGCTGCTTCTCCCTAACCATTTCCTTCTCTGGTAAGGGTGTTCTTGAGTCAACACTGAAATAGCATCAAAGGAAATTGCATTTCATAAGTGATTACATTTTTCCGTGATCAAATGCGGCCAATTTCTGGGTAAAAAATAACCAAGGTTCTTTTCTGTGATTCATACAGTACTCAGAAATCCCTGGCTTCCTAGAACCCCAATAAAAACATTCAATCTCTAAGTAATAATTCTTAACGATACTTTTTTTTTTTTTTTTTTTTGGCTGAAGAATGTCAGGAACAAGGCCAGGCACAAACATTGAAGCTTTGCAAATCTCTGCAAAGCTTTCTTCAGGGGCTGACTTCTCTGAATTTCCTGAGACAGGAGGATGGGCACGTGGTGCCCACTTTTGTATTACACAGATGGGTGGGAGCATGGGCTGGGGCTGTGCCTGTTCTGCGGAGACATGTCTAGTGCAACACGGTCTGTGACATAAAGGCACTCTCAGTCCAGTGGGAGCAGTCAATCCAAATCAGCAACTCCCAAGCTCTCCTGCCTGGACCTGCCCAGCAATGTAGAGAAGCTATGTTTTGTAGCACAAACTCCTTCTGATTCAAAGGGGCTTAAATCCAAAAGACATATTTATTATAACAATGCTGGAGTGTGCTGTGGGTGAATTGTGTCCCCCCAACATTCGTAAGTTGAAGTCCTAAACTCCAGTACTCCAGACTATGACTGTATTTGGAGGTTGGGTCCTGAAAGAGGTCATTTAGGTAAAATGAGCTCATCTGGGTGGGCCCTAATCCAGTTTGACAGGTGTCCTTAAAAGAGGAGGATGTTAGGACACAGACATACCCAGAGGGAAGACCATGTGAGGACACGAGGAAAATATGCCATCTATGAGCCAAGGAGAGGGAAACCAATCCTGCCAACACCTTGATTGTGGACTGCCAGCCCCCAGAGCTGCAAGACAGTAAGTTTTTATTGTTTAAGCTGCTGCACCTTTGTATTTTGTTATAGCAGCCCTAGCTGACTCATACAGGAAGCATCATGGAGGAAAGACTTGCAGGAAGAGGAGGAACAGGGATCCGAGGAGGAACAGGGATCCAAGGAGGAACAAGAGCCCACTGCACCTGCCTCCTTTACTTCTTTCCCCATCCCCTGCCCCCTCTTTGATATTCCCATGATGGAAAGTGTGTGTTGTGTTGTGCTGTGTGTGTTGTGCTGTGTTGTGTGTATTGTGTTATGTTGTTTTGTGTGTGTTGTGGAGCTTTCGCCACCTAGAGAGGAACTCATATCCTTCACCCAGCTTGAGTTTCGGGATTCCCTGGGATGGGACTTGGGTTGGCTCAACTTGGGTCAGGGTTGCCCTAGACATGCCACAGAGGGGTTTGGGGTGATTAGAAAGGGCCACGCTGGGGGTGACCATGCATGGTTTGGGGTTGGGCACTTGGGCAGAAGAAGGTCCAGGAAGTAAGGTGAGCTGCTGAACAGATGAAGGCCTGGTGCCGTGAGACGTGGAGCTGCTTTCCTGGGGTTAGAAGTGTCTTAGCTATGGGCTAAACTTTAGGACCAGAGACAGCTAAGGGTATGTTGTCGAGGAGATCAGGCCTGTACTGGAGCAGGGCCAGAGAACCCAGGGCCTGGCCCAGGTGTTTCATCTTGGCCTTCAGAGGATGCTTGAAGGGCATTGAGGAGGAGAGCAGTGTTCAGCCTCACACCCTTGGGCCAAGAGCTTCCTAGTCAAGTAGGGTGCTGGTTAGAAAAACAGACTTAGAGCAACATACAAGACCCAATAAATCAGACTTTTTGGGGTGGGAGCCAGGAATCTAATTTTTTAACAAGGTCTCCAAGCAACCCAGAGGCACATTGGAGACTCAGAATCATGGATCTGGCATCTGTGGGGAAGTCACTTGGAAGCTGCAGGCAAAGACGTCCC